>NC_000001.11:223608935-224846292 GCF_000001405.40 Homo sapiens
TGCTGGTCTGGTTCTCTTTCTCTCCGTGACCTATAGAGCAAGGTGGAGGGGTAGGAGGGGGACACCCAGTGAAGGGTCCTTTGGCCTTGTAGTTTCTTAGAGGCTTCTTCTGGGAACATGTACTGGGAGCTGGGGTGGGTCCTGCACCTGCATGGGGCCATTTCCCTTCGTGGGCCCACAGACAACTGTTCCCCACCACGGAGGGAAGGAGACGCACAGGGCCTGGGCCTTCTTCTCTGAGAACACTCTCAAGCAGAACTCGCCGTCTTTGAAGGGTTCAAATGTGGATGGCACCACCAGGTACTCCCCAGGGGGCAGCCGGGCCCGGCCAGAGACCTCCCGCAGGTTGACGTAGGTGCTGGTGCGGGCTGAGGGCTGGTAGGCCAGGAAGAAATCCCGGCCCAAGTGTGCGTCCGTGTGACTCTCCAGCTGCACGAAACAATAAGCAGAGTCAATTTCTTGTTAAATCCTGGAAGATGAGAGCCCAAGAGTTCAGCTTTATTGTGCTGATTTAGGAATTATTGATTTTTACCATTGCACCAAGAATCAGGAGGCCGTGGATTCTGTTGTGAACTCACTGTATGTCAATCATCAAGTGTATTTTCAGTGCCTTCTGGGTGCCAGGCCCTGTTTGAGGCATTGATCTTGACTGTGTGACCTTGACCTCTGGGCCTCCCCAGTTAAACGAAGGTTGAGGGACAGGGTCTCTAGTGTGCGCTCAGCTTCTCTCTGGATATTTTTCCTCTCTAATCCAATAGGCTCTTTCATTCTGCAGCTGTCTCTGGGAGTGTGGCATTGATCTTCCCAGTACAGGCCCAAGGCTGGAGAAAAGAGCTTAAATCCTAGTCCTCAAGCAAAAGCTGCCACAAAAACTTGTTCACCTTTGACTATCTGTGAAAACTGCTCTGCAAAGAGACTAGGATGGTCAGTCTGGGAACCCAGGGAGGCAGCTCTAAAAGAGACAGGCAGAGGGGGCGGCCACAGCTAGGCCTAGTCTGGGGTCCCCCCAGCCTCCCCAGGGCCTCGACTCTCCTCAACAGGCGACGATGCTCTCCAAGACCCACTTATTTGTTGCGGGGAGGTGGGAGGCTGTTGGTGCATGACACAGGTTAATTAGTGACTGCAGAGTGCTTCCAAAACACAGGTGCCAAAGTTATTATTGCTGTAATTAAGCCTCCCCATAACACTGTGTCTTTACCATCAATCTTCATCAAGATGCCTGTGACAGAGGCCAGGTGCTGATACACTGCAAGGGCTGTTAACTTCTGTGTGACCCAGAGCTGAAATGTCCACCCCAGAGTGGACAGTGTTCATTCTTGGTCATCAGACCCTCTTTGGATTACAGATCTGCTAAGCAAAGAAGGAAGCAGGCCACCTGCCCCCACTACCCTAGTCAGGACTCCACATAGAGCCCTCAGGCAGTCCCCACTAACCCGGCCACTAGGGTGCCCACAGTCCTTGAGATTCTCCCTAAAAATGCTTACATTCTGGGCAGGAGAATGCTGGTGGTGTGGCCAGAGAGGATGTGACCAAGGCCTACATGTCATGAGTTAAAGGTCATTCTTGCCATACCTGATGGTAGCAAAGGGAGGAGACAGGGCACTGGTAGGAGAAAGCACTCAGGAGAGTTGAAGTAAGGAAGCTACTCTAATTTGTCTTGGGTTGGGAAGGGGGCAAACTGAGTTCCAGCAAGAATCCAGGGGTGGAGCAGGTTAGAGAAGTCCTATTTGGGGGCCAGAGTGGGAACTGGAGGACACTGAGGCAAGATCTAGGTAAGACTCTGTCCTACTAGGGACCCCAAGTAAGCAGGTGCCACAAGGTCCCTGGCCCCCACATCTGCCCTTGACATAGCTCAGCTCAAAGTTACAGGATGGAGGTTGGGCAGGTTTAACTAAGGGTGGTTCTCAGTGTGGGATCAGGATCAGCAGGAGCACCCCAGGGTAACTTGTTAGAATGCAAATTCTCAGGCCCCACCCTAGACTGAAAGAATCAAAAACTCCAGGAGCAGGGCCCAAAAATCTGTGCTTCAACACGCCCTCTAGGGGATTCAGAAGCACATTCTAAGTTTGACAACTGTTGTCCTGAAGGCCCCCCGGCACTCGTAGAGCACAGGATCCAGGGTGACACATTGAGGGCACTGTGAGGTGCTGCTGGAGAAAGCTCCATTGTGTGTGCACGTCACCTCTCTCTCATATAAATGGGGCATTTCTGATGGGAACCACCATCACCCAGACTTAAATCAGCTTTGGTTTTAATTATTTTCCAGTAGTAATGAGGTAGGAGGTAGGACTCAACTCCCAGCAGGACGCTGGACCAAATGGAGCACTAGCTGAAACAGGGAAGAGGTGAAAGCACCTCTCCATGAGACATACCCACCAGTGTGCCCTATCAGTTTACTGTTGCCTTGGCAACATCCAGAAGTTACTGCCCCTTTCCATGGCAACAACCTGACAACCCAGATGTTAACATTCTTTTTCTAGAAATTTCTGCATAATCTGCCCCTTAATTTGCATATAATTAAAAGTTGGTATAAATATGAGTGTGGACCTGCCTGTCAGCTGCTACTGTGGGCTCACTGACTATGAGGTAGCCCTGCTCTGCAAGGACCTCTGTTGCTGCTCTACCCTGCCACTTCAATAAAAGTTGCTAACACCACTGTCTGGTCCTTGAATTTTTTCCTGGGTGAAGCCAAGAACCCTCCCAGGCTAAGCCCCAATTTGAGGGCTCACCTGCCCTGCATCAGTAAGAGGTATTTGCTCTAAACCATTCACTTCCTTGTCTGTTCCCTCTGTAATCAATAACATGCACTTTGTGAGCCAAGGGCAGGTGGACCAGTAATCTGCAGCCTTGGATCAAGGCATACACTAGAGCTGATGAATTGAGCCTTGCTGGCACATGCTTCATGGCTAGCCAAGCTTGAAAACCCAGAAGAACTGGGGTAAAGCTGAGCAGGGTGGATGCACCTATACATAATTAGTGCAACTGACTCCAGCTAGAGGAAGCCCAGATAGAACACTGGTTCTCAACCTTGGCTGCCCATTGGAATCACCTTGTTCAGACCACCAGGGGCATGGGGAAAAAGGTCACCACTGTTCCTTCCATGAGGGCCTGACAGATGGGACTTGCAATGGTCCTCACCCACTCTCAGAGCTACCAGCCTACTCATGTGGTTTGATTCATGACTGGATCATGTGAGAGCTGTGGAACAACCAGCTTCTACCACAGGAAACAGACGCTGCTGGCTGCCCATCCTGAAGGCAGCCAAGCTATTTCTCACCAAAGGAAGGAATCTCTGTCAGCACTCACATACCTCCTTGGGAACCTGTGGGGCAGAAGAAAAGAGCAGGTCACCTGAGAGCTCCAAGGTCCTCCTTCTGCTCCTTTTCCTCTCTCCCTATGTCTTGCAAACAGACTGTGCAGTCCTGGGGCAACTGAGGAGACATTTGTGCTAAAGTGAGAAGCCAGTCAGCATTTCTGAAACTGGAACACTACTGATGAATTTCAAGGCCATCTATAAATAGGATCCTAGAAATCTGGTGGGGGACCACCAGATTTCTAGGTTCTACTTTCTTATTTTCTAGTTGTAGAATCTACCAAGATCTCAAATTATTCAGGAGTAATAGCCTTGGGGTTTCAATGAGAGCTAATCTCTTCTTCAGACCTACAGACCTGGTGTCCAAGATCAAGAGTTTGACCAGAGTGGGGGAATCTCACTCAACCTGAGCCATAGTTTATTCTGCCCTTGGCTATGGTGAAATGGTTCAAGAACAGGCACATGACCCAAGCTGAGCCCATCAGAGACTTACTTCTCTGGGATTTCTGAATTGGAACTAACAGAAGGGACTCCTTTCTTAATGCTAGTGATATTAGGGAATGAAGAAATCTAGACTAGCACAATGTCATCAGCACTAGAGAGGAGATGTGGAAAGAAAGAATCCTGGTAGTATCCAAGTCCCTTGTCCCAAGCCTTCATCTCCTTCCCTTAATTTGGTTTCATGAGCTGGTACACTATTTTCACTAGCCTAGCTCGAGTTGGGCTTTATTATATGCAACTGGAAGTGTTGACTCCCATAAGAGAGTAGCTCTCAGATCCAGAGTAGAAGCTTTCCCATGCCTGGGGTTCCTATGCCAGGCTAGAGAAGAGGATTCAGACCCCATAATTTGTCCCTTTCCATTCTTTGTCCCTGACACATAGGCCCTTTTGACCAGAAGACCATCCATTATTTGTGGTTTAGGTCTATGGTCAACTGCCTATAACTCTGAAAAACAACAATATTACAGAAAATGTGTATCAGCTGGCATGCTCACTTCTGGAGCCCCCATGGGTCATTGGCAGCAGAAGTAGAAGAGTCCAGGGTCACAGTCATTCCTCTAATTTTGAGTGTAAAACCAAAATCACCCATGCAGAGGCCTCACAAGTATCTTCCTGTCAGCTCCTGGCCTAATAGCCTTTACACACCCTTGGCAGGGGCTTGCCCAACCACATGGGCCGTCTTTCCACAAACAACTTGACCACCTCTGCTGCCATCAGTATGCTCCAGATCCACCCTACCAAGAATCACCCAGCAGAAACTGAGCCAGGCAGGTGGGGCCTCTTGGTGGCACAAATCCAGAGCAGCGAGGTAAGGGAGCAGGCCTTAGCCACTGCCCATGGGTGGATGGAAAGAAACAGTCATCTTTCAAATGCAGGATCCTGACTGCAAATGACAGGCTGGCCTGGCATCACTGCAGGAAGATAGAGGGGAGAGAGAGGAGGCCAGACAAGGAGGGCTCTTTAGTCTTTGGAGGCACCTGGCTGCTTCTCAGTCAGCAGCAGGTTTTCATCCTCAATCCAAACTCCAGTTAAAGCAAGAGAAGGGAGATACAGGAATGAGAATATGGCACCCACTCCCTGCAACCCCAGCTACTCCCTATAACCCCAGCTACTTCTGATACCCTCTTAACCTGACTTTTAAACTGTTTTCACTTATGGATGTCATGCTCTAAATTATATGCCTGTGGCCAGATATAGAAGGACCACAGATCACACACACTGGAATATTTTATAAGCAGCTATAATTTGATGACTAAAAAACTGATATGCTTTATATATTATTTATGAGCGCAAATGTCATGCCACACAAAGCTATTTCAGTCCCTTTGAAAGAATGCTTTGCTGGTCTGGTTATATAAGGTAGGCCTGGCTGAGTGCAGTGGCTCACGCCTTTAATGCCCGCACTTTGGGAGGCCAAAGCGGGTGGATCACCTGAGGTCAGGAATTTGAGACCAGCCTGGCCAAAATGGGTGAAACCCCATCTCTACTAAAAACACAAAAATTAGCCAGATGTGGTGGCACGCACCTGTAATCCCAGCTACTCAAGAGGCTGAGGCAGGAGAATTGCTTGAACCTGGGAGACGGAGGTTGCAGTGAGCCGAGTTCACAGCACTGCACTCCAGCCTGGGCGACATAGTGAGAGTCCGTCTCAAAAAAAAAAAAAAGGTAGGCCTGATGGATGAAGAACTGAGTAGCCCACCCTGCAGCCATGCCCACCTACTATTGACTCTCCAAAACCATCACTTAACTTTCAAGCTGCCAAGAAATGTCCTTTTGGCTGGAATGTTCTCCCTTGAAATCAAGTTCATCTTTCAAGGTTCTCATCAAAATCTCCTCCTCGATGAAGCTGAGGTGAACCCAGCCCATTGTGTCAGGTCCCCATCACAGCAGATCTGACCTGCTCTGTTGCCAGTGGAGTGTGCATCTCACTTTCCACTTCAGATTGTGAGCACCTTGAGGGCAGTAACTATGTGATAATCCTCCATGTCCTCAGCTTTCAGCACAGCACCCGGCACATAATAGATGCTCACTACAGTTTGTTGAATTGATGCGCATACACTAAGTGCCTACTCAGGTTTTTATCTCTTCAAACAGAGTCTGGCTTTGTGCTACTTACATTCTAGGTGGAGATGAAAGAGCCACACTGGAGTAGAATTGGAGTTTATTTATTTGCAATTCCTTTCTCCTGCCATCAATTAGCAATTATTTTCCAACTCCCATTCTTCAACATAAAATATACTCGCATGCTCGTGCATGTGCACACATGCACATATACACCCTAAACTCTAAAGCCCTAAATTCCAGAATATGAGAAATAAAGTGTGGGGTGCAGATAGGATCTCGACCATTGCACTATTTCCTTACTGGTTTCTTATTACAATATTTTTTTCATACATTAATTTATACTGAGATATTGGGCCTCCAGACAGCTCTTGGTCTTCCTGATTAGAATTGTATTTTTCCCAAGAAATTCCTTTAATAAAATTGATTTAAAAATGGCCACCATGAGCCCCGCTGGAATTTGCTATAAGGAGTCTTTGCCTGTATAAAAAAGTGGATTCCAATTTGCTTCTGGCTAGACTTGTCAAGACACAAAGGTCTTGCTTTAACATATCTGTGAGGCTGTTAAGTCTGTAGAGGGGTGGCTGCCAGGAAAACTGGCATATTAGTCAGGGACTGCAGCGTGAGCCCAGAGACAGCTGTATTCCAGAGTTCAGAGACACCAGAACTGAAAATGGGCACGTGGTTTCCATCACCCCAGCTCATGCCCTGTGTGCTCCAAGTGTCTCAAGGCCTCCCAGGGAATAGTTGTCTTTGGCTCCCATATCCAGCCTCCTTCCCTGACTCAGTGATGCCCCTCATCTTCCTTGTGCCACCTCAAGTGCCTTATGCCCCCATGTTCTTGGCTCTTGTCCCTGGGGAAGCCTGTACTTGGAAAAGAGTCTAATGAACACATGTACACTGAGCCCTCAATGACAGGCAAAGGTTAATGTATCACACATCTCAATGTTAACAGCAGAGACTTAAGCCATAGGAATGAATCTCTAAATGTGGAATTCAGGCCTCAGTAAGGCCACTGGGAGAGGTATATAGAGGAGCAAGGACGCTTCTCGATTAGGAATACTCCAGCAATAGGAAAGATGTGCTACAATGACTGGCCAAGATATTCAGCCCCAAAACATCAAGTGTATAATGAAGGACAAACCCAGCACAGCAGTACCTGGTAGACGGCATAGCCGATGCTAAGCATGCCTTGTCCTATCCGCTTCCGCCACCTGCGATTTTTCTGCATCAGGCCCAGCAGCACTGTACAGCAGGGTTCACCGATGCTCTCCTCCTGGTCCTCATCCACTTCATCCAAACGGATTTTGAACTGGGGATTGGTCCAGTACGTGGCTGGAAGTCACCCAGGTGATGGTGGTTCCCCACGTAGCGGGTGAGGAGATGAAGAAGAATAAAGTAAAAGGGAAGAAACTTGATCATCCTAATGAATGCACAGCTCCATCCAAACTGTGCCTAGTAAGCAGGCCTCAGAAAGTGTTCTTTACAAGGTGGTCAGGCATTTCCTCCTACCTTCCTACACATCCACACACACAGACATATGGCATCGCATTTGGAAATGTGTGCTTGTCCATTTGATCAACGAGGAGCCCAGAAGTGCTTGACTGGGAATATTCAGGATCCCATGATCCGAGGGCTACACTGGGCAGCACTGCCTCCAAGTCTTCCTGGGGAAAGACTTAACATCACCTTGCTCTCAGCACTTGACATGTGAAGGCAAACCCACCTTCTGGAGGAAGGGAGATCTCTGGGTAAAAAGCATGTCCCCAGGACAGTAGAGGAGAAAGTCCCTGAAGAGACTAGCTACCAAAAAGGTCTCTCCGTGACACTATTAAGACAACTGCTCTTGCCATCTGATTGACACCTATTCTCCCTCTGAGAGGGCCCCAGCTGCAGAGCACAGCCTGCGGCACCCCTGAGAACTAATCTGCTGTCCATCACCCCAGGGGCCTCACAGGATGGCTTCAGTGTTGCAGCCCACTGATGAGACACACTTTCTTCAAGAGAAAGTCATTTAATAATGCATGAGGAATCACAATTGGCAATTAAGAAGCAGTCCTGCCACACCACGTATGGATATTGAAAAAGACTCCTTCATTTCAAAGATGGCTTTTTTTAAATCTCTCAGAATAGTAAGTACACAAGCCAAGGCACGGAGAGATTAAAAGGATCATCCAAGGATATGCAGCAAGTCTATGACAGAGTCCAGTGGCAGAGCAAAATTGCAGAAGGCACGCCTGACAGGTGTCTCCACTCTAGGGCCTCAACAATTTCAATAATGATGTGCCCGGGAGGAAAAAAGAAGTGGAAGGGCATGGGATTTTTCCTTACATCCTTTAAAGAAGAGTCTAACTTGGAAAATAACAAGGCATTCACAGGTGACCAAGAGCCATTGATTATCACTTTTCTTTACAGTAGGATTACTTATTCAATTCCACCTTCTCAGAATCCCCACTTCCACTTTTTTTTTGGGGGGGGGGGTTGTTTGTTTTGTTTTGTTTTGTTTTTTTGTTGCTGTGTTTTGTTTGTTTGTTTGTTTTAGGGCTCAAGTTTATGGATTTTAAAGCCGGATATCTGTGGATCCCATAGGAGATGGAAAAAAAAATCTGTAATCGCCTATACTTCCATCACTACCAAAGGGCAGGAACTATCCATGTCTTCCTGACAGCTAGTTGGCAGCATGGATGGGACTGTGATTTGGTGCATCCAGATACCTTGTGCACCCCCTACAGTTCTGAGCTCCCAAAATGATCCATGCAAATTTCCTCCACATTTTCTAAGAGCTTGCTAATGGTGAGCATATTTTAATTTCTCCCAAATGCAACATTACTGCAATCCATACATTTTTTGTTTACTCCTTAACAGTACTGGAGGAAGAGAATGGGCCATAAAAATAATACTCCCATTTATATAATGCTACACAGTTTACAAAGTGCTTCCCTACACACTCTGTGTTCCAAGGCTTGCAGTGACCCAGTAAGGTTGGAAGGTTGAACCCCATCTGGAGGACTAGGAAACTGAAGCTCAGAAGAGGGAAATGCCCTTCCCAGAGTCTAAATCAAGCAACAAGGGCAGGATGTGGACCCCTTTCCTTCCTCTCTGTTCAGCACTCTGGTCACAGCTGCCTGAACCGGGAGCTTTGGGTTGGATGGGTGATGAAAGAAGAGAGAACTTGTCAAGACCCAGCACTGCATCCAGGTGGGGTTTTATTCTAATGCTGCTTCCCTAGCACCGAGCACAGCCCTGCAGTGAGCTCTGTCATGAGAAGAAAGTGACTGGCCCTGCCCCATGCGCTTACAGTCTAAGTCAATCAACAGATCAACAGCAAACCAGGCAGGGAACATGGGGAGCAGGAGGTGAAAAGTAGAGAGAGCAGGATTTGCTTTTCTTCATTTCTCCTTAGAGATGTGGGGCTGTCTTCCTGAGTTTCTTCATCAGGTGCTGCCTCAGCTGATTCAACCTAGGAGGAGCCTACACAGGGACACATTAGTGATCTTCTGCGAGCCAGGAAAGCTTCCCACCTTGCACCAGGTGAGGACCCAGGGTTAGTGCGGAGGCCATGCTTTGCACCATACTATCTCCACCAGGGTCTGAGTCCCCATGACACGCATGCCCTGTGTGTGGCCATCACGGCCCACGCTGTCTTTGCCCCTCCACCTCCAACTCAGGCACAAACACACAGTGAAACAGCAGCTCTATTGGATGCAGCCTATTGAAACAGCAGATGTTGTACCCGTGTTCCCCTAGCGCACCATCAGCCACTCTGTCCCAGAGGTCAGCAGGGTGACTGCTAGCCAGCTGGGTGTGGGGAGGGGAGTGGGGAGGAAGGGGCAAAAGCCCAAGGGAAGAACAGGAGGCCTTAGCATAAGGTGCCAAGAGCAGGGCTAGTGTGGAAAGCACGTCCTTTGCGGGCAGGGCAGGTGGGTGAAGCAGGGATGGTTTGAACACATGGTTCAGGCTGCAGCTGAGCGGCTGCAGAGCCACTGCCCACCCTCACAACCCTGGCCTCCAAGCCCTAGGGAGAAGCAGGGCCTCCAGAGGGTGCCCAGAAGTCAAAGAACAAAGTCCAAAGGCCTTATCCAAAGATTAACACATAGGGCTGGGCACGGTGGCTCACAACTGTAATCCCAGAACTTTGGGAGGCCAAGGTGGGTGGATCACTTGAGCCTAGGAGCTCGAGACCAGCCTGGGCAACATGGTGAGACCCTGTCTCTACAAAAACATTTTTTAAAAATTAGCCAGGCATGGTGGTGCATGCCTGTGGTCCCAGCTACTAAGAAGGCTGAGGTGAGAGGATCACTTGAGCCCGGGAGGCGGAGGTTGTGATGAGCAGAGATCGTGCCACTACACTCCAACCTGGGGAACAGAGCAAGGCCCTGTCTCAAAAAAACACACAAAATAGCACCAAAAAATTACATAAAATGACCCAGCTCAGGGAGGATAAGCTGGAGGAGGTTGGGCCAAGGCAGCCCTTCACCTTACCTGGGTAGTTCTGGCAGCCCCCAGCTGTGGAGCCCCGGGTCCAGTGGCCGTTGAACAGGACCAGGTTCCATTTGTGCACCTCCTCGCTACTCAGAGAGTCCGGGGACAGGTTGCAGATCTCCAACCGAGAGAACTGCCTCACGAAATCTGAAAGTGACATCCTGGGGCAGAGGCACCAGAGGGCTCTCAGTGAAGAGGGCTGGGTTGTGATTAAAGGCACGCATACTGAGCACGGGAAGGAGCCCTGTGGCACAGGCCCTAGAGGCCGTGGGCTAGCTTGATCTTTCCTACAGCACACTGATACAAACACGCAGAGACAACAGTCCACATTCTTCACTAGCGCTAGCTTCTTGGCTCTTACAGGGAGCCCCACACACATATCTTAACAACCAAGCAAAGGATCTGAACTGTAAACTGCAAAAGACCCCAGGAGGTCATCTCAACAAAGCCTCTGCCTCTAGATTGGGTTAAGTCTAAGCTCACAAGAGGTTTCTTTTTGTTTAATTCGGAGTGATGTCCAGCTAAGCCGTACCATATTCAAGGAGTATCCTTATTATCTTCCTTAGCTCACTAGCAAAGGAAGTTCTCCCATATTGATGGTAGGTAAATCTTAGCTTAAAGAGATAGAAGCAGTGCTCTCAGTTCATTGGAAAGATAATAGAACTGAGAAAGACAGGCTGATAGCTAAGCCAGGTTGAGGGCCTAGATATCATGGTTTCAGTGCTTTAGACGTGCTGGTATAGAGGTGGAATTATACCAGGACAAAAGGAGAAGAATGAATTCACCATGATCAGGAACCATGTCGCCTTCCTGGAAGACCCAGAGACCTAGAGTTCACATCAGAACTGAAAATGGACCCATCACCAATGGGACAGCGCTTCAGCAGAAAACTCTCTCACCAGAATTCTCCATCCTCAACTTTCTTGTCCAGTTCTTCCTTCCGCCGGGGGTCTATGTGATTCCACTCTGGTGCACTGAGGGGAAAACAAGCAGAGATGCTCGCTCCTGAGAGGTTCTACAAGCAGGGCAAGCTGTTTACTGCAGCTAAGCTTCCCCCTAAGAGCCAGAAACAAAATACCAAAAGCACTGCAGGCAGACAGAAAGGCAGAATGGACAGTGTGGCGCGAGCACACTGTCTGGGGAAGGGACACAGACCCAGGACACGGACTCCATGGGCACTAGCACGATGGCCTTGGACATGTGCCAGGAACATTATGACTCAAACATTATGCTCTAATTTTTACTCTCTAGGGCAAATTTGACATTTCTAATTAAGACTCCCAGGCCCCTGTTTGCAGGAATGGGGAGGCCCAGGAGAGAACGTGGATGAGTTCTCGTCACTGGAAAGGCAGGCACTCCAGTACCCATTAGTCACTTATCACTCTGGCTTATCCAGCAGTCTAGGGTGAATATGCTGACAGAGTCTAACCAGCTCTGGGGACATGGACATGGTTCACTTCCTTACACCCACGAGAATGATCATCCAGCCCAGTTTTACGGCAATTTCCCAGAAGAAACGTCACCCTGTGAGACCTCCTGCTGGTGGCCTTTCAAGGGCAATATCTATGCACTTTGTTTGAATGCCATCTCCAGCTTCCTGACCTTTACGAAGTTAGGTTTTCCTGAAATATGTATGTGACATCTAAGTAACAGAGCAGTATCAAGATCCATCTTTAAAAAAAAAAAAATCCCTGCCTGAATACCTTCAGCAAAACCTAAGCACCTTCTCTCCCCAGCATAAGAGCTGGGGCACACTCCAGCGCAGCCTCTTCCTCCAAGCCAGGCTTTAAGACCCCGGGGGTCAGCACGACAATTCCCAGAGCCTCTTCAATTCATTGAAACATTAATTTGATTAAAACCAAATCTCAGAATGTGCTTGTTATAAACAAAGATTAGGGCAGGAGTTGGAAAATTCCAGATCTGACCTACTGCTCCAATTTCTTTTTTTTACTTTTTTTTTTTTTTTTTAAGTAAAATCTCACTAATCCCTGGGCTGAGCTTAGGGATGTTGCCTTAGAGATTCGGCACCCTCCTCCTCCAATAGCTGATATATATAATTATCCCAGGTTGCATCTCCAGCTGGTAGGGCCTCCAGGACTTGACAGTCACCACCTCCCGCCTGCCAGGGAGCGGGTGCTCAGGGAAAGGAGAGAAAGTCAAACAAGCCCTTTGGACAGCTCGGTAGTGACTTTTGGTAAGAATGGCCCACATTCAGGGTTTCAATTTCACGTGGCCCTGTCATCCTTTTAGGGAAGTTGGCGGAACTGAGGTTTTGGGTTTTGCTCAATCTTACACAGTAGAATGAAAAATCCTTCCTACAGGAGGCTCATGTGTGGCCCTAGAGACACGTGTTTCTTCGTGACACAACCTGAAGGGAGTTACTGCCCCTCTGCGTGGTCATGACATGAGCAGTCATGATGCTGTGATTAAACTTGGCGATGTCCCCTTCGAAAGCCCTGGTGGCATCACAGAGTACCGACAGCACTTGAGGATTAAGGACGTATTGGGAGGGGGCATTATTGTGACCATTTTCATTTCTGGTGGTTCTTTGTCCATGAGACTGGCTAATTATTTTTTTTTTTTAAATGGAGTCTTGCTCTGTTGCCCAAGCTGGAATGCAGTGGCCCAATCTCGGCTCACTGCAACCTCCAACTCCTGGGTTCAAGCGATTTCCAGCTAATTTTTGTACTTTTAGTAGAGACGGGGTTTCACCATGTTGGTCAGGCTGGTCTCGAACTCCTGAGCTCAAGTGATCCACCCGCCTAGGCCTCCCAAAGTGTTAGGATTACAGGCCTGAGCCACTGTACCCAGCTGAGACTGGCTAATTCTAATTCCTCCCCCACACTAACCTGCCTCTGCCAGGCCAGCTGTGCTCACTGGACAGAAACCACCCCATGCTTTCCACCCTCCTGCATGATGGGGACATGGATTCCAGGGCCCAGCTGTCCTGGGACATCACCACCTCTGACTGACTTTCCCTCATCAGCAGAGAGGCCTGCCCAAGAGGAGTCTCTCCAGTCAGTGATCAAACGTGCCTAGGGTAGGAGCGAGTGCCGCTGCCTCATTCATCACTGCTGCCAGGGCCCGGGGCTCCTAGGGTCAAATTTCATTTTCTCAGCATCCTTGTTTCTTCTTGGTGCTGAGGGGTTTGGCCTTTGTCAGTGTCCAGTGTTTGTGGAGTGGAAAGAAACAGACTGTGAGTGATCGATTTGACCTTTGGACCAGCACGGTGCGTCAGGTAAAAAACACAAAAACCTTTCAGCGCAAAGCAAAATTCCACAGAGCCGCCAAACTTTCAAATGCCAAAGCAGAAAGCCAGAATCGAAGACTACAGCCCAGTGGTTTTTATTTTGCTTTTCCCAGCCTGGATCCATTTAATACTCTTTTCTGAACACACTGTGTGATCTGCAGACAGGACGTGCTGCTGAACTCACTGTGACATCGATCTCATTGTTGTGTGTTTTACACGACACCCTTCCGCAGAGGGAGAGATGACTGGAGAAGCGGGGGAAAAAAACCTACTCATCGCTCCAGGCTCCCGACCACTCCACTTCACCCCATGGATTCCTGAGTCTGATCAGCTTCTCTGGATGGCCCTGGAAATTCACCTGCAAATTCCATACACAGAAAAGCGACTGAATTACTATGCTCCTGTTGCCTTGCAGGCATGTCTGCACCTGACAGGATCTGCATTAAATTTTTCAAATGTCCCTAAAGGACCACACTTTTATTTTCCTTTAATGCATCTTTTCAGGCTTGGGCCAAGTGTTTTCATAATTTGTTTGAATAAATGAGGTATTTTTCATAATTTGTTTGAATAAATGAAGAGTGAGTCTAGCCCAAAAACAAGCTTATGTCTGCTTTAACTCAGATTTAGATTTTATAGTTGACTAAGATTGACTGAGCTTTTAATACATGAGACCTAATGATAATAAACGCCCTCCAAACAAACACCAAAGCACGGCAGTTAACATTTATCGAGCAGGTACTACAGATGAGGTGTAGTGCTAAGCATTTTAGGTGCTTTATTGCCTCATTTAACACTCACGACAATCCTGAGAAGATAAAGAATTATCTTCATTTCATAGCTCAAAAATCTGAGACTTAAAGAAGTTACATTATCCGAGATTATCTAGTTAGTAAGTGGTGAACGCAGGCCAGGAACTCAGGCAGTCCGTCTCCAAAGCCCATACTCCTAAATCCACATATACTGCTTTCCCCTATTTATTGAACACTCAAGCATAAGCCCCTTGGGCCCCTGCACACACACTGGCATTCACATATACACACACCAACTGTGTAGGCTGTTAGGTCCTCATTGTCTTCATTTCCTGTGTATCCCCCAACTCACCTAGCCCAATGTTTGCATGTACATGTTCAATTCCCATTTATGAGATTAACTTCATTAAAGAGCATATTTGGGCCAGGCGCAGTGGCTCACGCCTGTGATCCCAGCACTTTGGGAGGCCGAGGTGGGCAGATCATGAGGTCAGGAGATCAAGACCATCCTAGCCAACATGGTGAAACCCCATCTCTACTAAAAATACAAAAAAAATAATTAGCTGGGCGTGGTGGCGCGTGCCTGTAATCCCAGCTACTCGGGAGGCTGAGGCAGGAAAATCACTTGAACCAGGGAGTCAGAGGTTGCAGTGAGCCGAGATCGTGCCCCTGCACTCCAGCCTGGTGATAGAGCAAGACTCCACCTGAAAAAAAAAAAAAAGAAAAAAGAAAAGCATATTTATGAAACACAAACACATGTAAAGAACATCTGTTTCATTTAACTCTATTTATTTATTTATTTTTGAGACAGGGCCTCTCTCTGCCACCTAGGCAGGAGTGAAGTGGTGCAATCACTGCAGGCTCTCAAGCGCCTGCCCGGGCTCAAGCGATCCTCCCACCTCAGCCTCCCGAGTAGCTGGAACTACAGGCACACCCTACTATGCCTGGCCTATTTCAGTTAAATAAATAACAAGAGGTGGGACATTCATTGCATTTCCCTTTCTGCCTTGGCCATTGGGAAGCCCAAAGCAAAATTAATTTCTCAATTATAGCACTGTCTTCAGCGTGGATTGATGTATTTTACTTAGTTGTGTGGTTTTATCATGTCTGTTCTTTTAATGGTAAACCACTAGCTGGGTATGGTGGCTCACACCTGTAATTTCAGCACTTTGGGAGGCCGAGGCAGGAGGATGGCTTGAACCCAGGAGTTCAAGACCAGCCTGGGCAACACAGACAGACTCTGTCTCTACAAAAATTTTTAAAAAATTAATAATTAGCCAGGCATGATGGCACTTGCCTGTAGTCCCAGCTACTTGGGAGGCTGAAGCAGGAGGGTCACTTGAGCCCAGGAGGTTGAGGCTGCAGTGAGCCAAGATCATGCAACTGCAGTCCCACCTGGGCAATGGAGCAAGACCCTGTCTCTAAATAAATAAATAAATAAATAAATAAATAAAATCATTGTAAGCCACCTTAAATCCCTTTTGAAAGAAGACACAATGTAGGAAATAAAAATAATGAATAGGCCGGGTGCGGTGGCTCACACCTGTAATCCCAGCACTTTGGGAGGTCGAGGCGGGCAGATCATGAGGTCAGGAAATCGAGACCATCCTGGCTGACACAGTGAAACCCCGTCTCTACTAAAAATACAAAAATTAGCTGGGCGTGGTGGCGGGCGCCTGTAGTCCCAGCTACTCAGGAGGCTGAGGCAGGAGAATGGCGTGAACCCGAGAGGCGGAGCTTGCAGTGAGCCGAGATTGCATCACTGCACTCCAGCCTGGGCGACAGAGCGAGACTCCGTCTCAAAAAATAAAAAATAAAAATAAAAAAAAATAATGACTAGTATAGCCCATGTTTTTTCCTCGGGTTGGAGAGTGAGGAATACTTACATGCCTTTCCATGACTCTACCCCACCCTAAAAGCTGGGACTACTGCCCCTTTTCCTGTTTTGGGATTTTGTGAGTTCCCACTGTTTTGCCCACACAAACATATTTTTTGGAAGATCTGTAGAATCTAACTGACAATCTCTACAGCTTTCCTGGCTGCATCTAAGGAGAGGGCTTGCATTTAGTTAGAACCTATTGAGCAAAAGCTCAGAGAGGTTACGTTGTCCATCTTCAAGTGAGTAAGAGTCAGAAGAACCTTCTTTTATTTTTTTTGTTTTAGAAAAAAAATTTTTAATTTTTTCGTAGCGATGAGGTCTTACTATGTTGCCCAGGAATGGTCTTGAACTCCTGGCCTCAAGTAATCTTCCCACTTCAGCCTCCCAAAGTGCTGGGATTACAGGTGTGAGCCACCACACCTGGCCGGAAGAGCTGTTCTAATGAGCAAAAGCTAATGCTCATCTGTGGTGTCAGGGGTTCTGTACAGGCAGAGTGCATCCCAATATGGCAGTGAAGCTCAAAAGCCAATTCCGAACCTTCTAGTAGTAATCACCTCTTTCCTCCTGTCGAGATGGCTTGGATTCATGGAAATATTATCACACGTTACCTTCCCCACCTTCCACACAATTTTACCTCTTCGACTCCAGTGACAGAGTACGCATGACTCTTAACCAGCTTCTGGCTGGTGATGGCTTCGGCTTCGGCTGCACTGGAGACCTGCGTAGAGAAGAAAGTCCACTCAGTGGCTGACCCTGACCTCTCAGGGGCCGGCCGTAGAATGCTTTCCAAGGACACACTACACAGCCACTGGGGGCTTCAGTGTGGGACTAGGGGTGTAGGCATGGCTATGAACCTCAGGTAAAGAGTCATCTCCATCCAGACTCCCTCTTTAATTAGGCCTGTAGTTCCGGGCCAGTGCAGGTGCCTGCCAAGCCTGGAAGACAATTTACCAGCCTTCAAAATGCCACCAAGAAACTGGGAAGTCATTTATTCTCTGAGAGTGACCCCCAGCTGCCTGAAGAAGGCTAATTCTCCATGCTGATGGCTCTGGACAGGTCCCAGTCCTCCAAGGTTCTCCCTGAGTGGACTCCTCATTACCCTTCCCATTTCCTCAGCACCCCCTCTCCCATGCCCCATACCACCCCTCCACCAAAAACCACATCTCCTGCTGGGGTTTGCAGAGAGAGGAAAAAGGGAGGATCTTCTCACTTTGTCGTTCACATTTCTAAAATCACCAGGTAAGGACAAGAGAGGAAGACAGGGCAGCCAGAGGGCAGCTGGTCACAGGAGCCCGAGGTGGTGACAGGACCTCAGGGCTGGGGGCCTCCAGCCTCTGTTTCCACAGCCACCTTGGAAATCCACACAGCTCAGCCTCCTGTCCAGCCACAGCCTCTGGTTTCAGAACTTGTCTTTTCTTCAGGGATCTCAAGATCCATCAGGTATCATCAATCATCACATTTGTTTTCCAAAACCTCAAGATTATTTAGCAAAAAGGAGGTAGCAAATGGGGGGCCTAGGATCCAGGGATCCTAGACTATGTTCTTAGGGCCACTCCAGCAGTACTGAAGGGGCTCTAACAACGAGAGGGAAATTGGGGCTCCTGCAATGCAACTAACCCCAGTTCCTACCCACTAATTAGGTCTTCACCAGCCCCTATATGTTCAGGCCTTTGTGTCACTAGACTTGCCCACTAAGCTCCAGACTCTGCTCTGACCCAAAGCCTTCCTAGGCCTCTCTCCCGCTGTCTCATCCCTTCCCTACCACACAAGGGGTGGCGGTGGGGGGAGGTGGGGCAGTAGAGAAGCCATATGCCTCACATCAATGGAGCAGCCCAGCAGAGACCCCGCACAGAGGGCCTTCCGGATGATCTGATATAGATTGGCTGGTGGTTTCTTCAGGTCATAAAACTCAGAGATGCCACCTGTGAAATCCTCAAACCCCTCCACTGTGGAACCTCCAGCGAGAGCCTCATAACAACCATTAAGCCTATTGGAAAAGAAAGAACACATGCTCCATTAGCACCCTCAGCAAGGAGACCCGGGGATTGGGGACCGGGACAGTGCTAGGACATACTGTGGCCTGGAAGATAAAGGAAGGCTCTTTGCCTATTTTGCCTATGGGCCAGGAAGGTGCTTAGGCCACTGTTTCATGTGCCCAGCTCAGCACTTCACTAGGAACTGACCTCAGCCAACCTCTCTCCAGCCACCCCCTCCTTTACAAAGCCAAGGGCAACCCCTCCAGAGTTGGCCCCAGCTGCCTGGGTTTCTGGGGGCTGGGGGCACAGATGGGGAGAAGGAGAACTTTCCCTCAAGGCTGAGAGGCATCTGCTGAGGCTTGCTGGGAAATAGAACTGGAAAGGAACTGGGGTTGCAGAAAAGGGTATCAGTAAACAAAACTAATTAAAAGAACCCCAAAGAAGGTTTTGAACATCAAACGCTGGTGAGAAGAACTCCTGAGGAAAGAGCAGACACTTTGTTGAGTTTGGTATCTAGTACATTTGTTTTATTATTCTTCATCATTCTTTTAAACGTTTACATTGCCCCAGGAACCTACCTTGGGATTTGAAAGAGGAAAAGCTCAGGCCCAGAGGGGCAGGGAGGCTGGCCCCACCACAT
Source organism: Homo sapiens (assembly GCF_000001405.40). Classification (NCBI taxonomy): domain Eukaryota; kingdom Metazoa; phylum Chordata; class Mammalia; order Primates; family Hominidae; genus Homo; species Homo sapiens. The sequence continues at coordinate 223,627,787 of NC_000001.11, forward strand.
ACACATTCACCCGAGGCAGAGCTGAGATGCTAAACTCCCCGCCCAGATTTCTGTTTCTCTTAGTTACTGAAAAATGCTCTCTCTCCGGCTCATGGGGGTCTGGATGCTGGGAAAGACGCCATGACGCCCTGAGTTTGGGGTGGGGAGGCAGACGTGGGAGGGACAGGTGAGAGCTTTCAGGGAGGCTCTGGCGTCTCCCAGCTCCTGGCTTCCCCCACTTACTTGGCATAGGCTTTCTCCAGCAGGGCACTCCAGAATTCATTGCCTTGTTCCGAGTGTAGGAAGAGCAGCTGTCCATTCTTGGTGGGCAGCCTGTCGTCAATGACCACCTCCACCCACTCTCCGTACTGCCAGAACTGGGGAGGGGGGACACAGCGGCTGCTCACATGAATAAGCAGATGTGTAAAGGGAGTCCCTCCAGGGGACCTCACGTGGGGACTCTGTGCCATCAGTGTTCGAGTCTTGGCTCCTTAGGAGCAGGACATGTGTCTGCCTTATCTGTGCACATAGGAGATGCCAGATGAACCCGGGAACATCTAGTCCAGGGTCTGCGTTTGTGCATCAGAGAACTTGCCCAGCGCCACCTAGTGGCAGCAGGAAGTGATTCAGACCCACACCTCCTGACCCTCAGTCCACAGGGCTTTCCTGAAGGCCACGTGGCCTAGGGGAGCTGGGAAGAGGATGGATGTGTGGATATCTGGATGGATGCATTAAAGCAGAGGTTCTCAGACTGAAGTGTGCATCAGAGTCACCTAGAGGGATTATTAAGACATAGGTCACTGTGCCCCAAACCCAGAATTTCTGACGCAGTGGACCTGCAGTGAGCCCTAAGAATACGGAAAACAGCAACAAAGGGCCAGAGCAGAGCACAGTACCTGAAAGTGAAAGATTCCCGCATAGTTCTCCTGGAAGTCCTGGTCCCTGGGGACCACCCGGTAAAGCAGCTCTTCATTCAGGGTCAGGGAGGCAATGGCAGCCAGAAGCCAGCAGTCACCTGCACAGTGTCACAGGGGACACAGATTGGTCAGGCCCAGCCTGCAGGGGCCCTGCTTTCTCTGACCCTGTCCCATTCAACCCAGAGTCCACGTTGCCACATTCCCTTCTGAGTCAGGTAGAGTTTCCTCCTCCGGTGCTGGAAATGCACCCGCAGCCATCAGCTTCTTCTGCCTCCTTGGGATTTGTTTACTCGGGAGTGGATCCTCTGCTCCTCCCTGTGGCTGCCCCCTCCCCCACATGCTGATCATTTCCCCACTCCTACACATTCAGCCAGTGGAGTGGAAAAGAAAAGAAGAGGAGAGGAGAGAAAAGAAAAGAAAATTAGTCCCTTTGGTCCCTTATTAGCAGCTCTGATTAAGTTGGTTGAGGGAAACATTGAAGCTGTTAATCCAATCTATGATGTGTACGTGTAAGAGTGTGTGTGTGTGTGTGTGTGTGTGTGTGTGTGTTTATGTTCCTTGCCCCTCCTGACCTTGGATAATGAAGAGCTGGCTCTGCGTGGTCTGTTTACAGTATTGCCTTTTCTTGTTTCAGAGTTCACCAGGAGAGCCTTGATGCCTTATTGCTTAAAGTTCCCTTGAGATACTGCTTAGCATTAAATCATCATAATTTGAGGCAGAAGAAATAAAAGTCAAGAGAGGTTACAAATCCTGGGTTTTGGTGTTCGTCACATTGGAGATTCAAGGAAATGCAGAAGAAAACAGAAAACCCCTTTCTGTGCAAGTTGGGACCCACCACACTGATGCCACTGAGTGGCACTTCCCTGGGAGGCATCGTTGTCCCTTGCAGTGTCAACTTCAAAAGAAGTAGCACGGGCCCCAGGCACCACTGCCTACCTTAGCATCCTATGGCGAATCTATCATCCTAGAAGTGACGTAACTTTGCTCACCTCTACTTATTTGCTTATTCCACACCAGCTGCTGAGGTCTCAGTGTCCTCAAGCGTGCTTTACATCATGTGAAGGCTATTGCATCTTTCTGGCCTGGTACTGCTTCTTTCCACCTTCATTGTAGATCTCTAGCTCTAGGAGTCTAAGATTTGGTGAACAAGTCCCTGTTTCTCCTATTCATTCCATTCAAACAGCTCCAAAGTCCTACCTGTGCATCTTAGCCTTTATCTTTTCCATATCAAAGATCTGAATCTTTTCAATGTGTGTTCAGATGGAAGGCCCTTCAACCTTTTAGAGACCATCTGTGGACCTTGTCTCACTCTAAGTTTTCTTTTAACACTGTGGCCAGAGCTATATACATATTCTAGGTGTGAACACATTATGGTTTTCTCAGAAAACCTGTTGCCTGAGCAAGCAGTAAGCCAGGAACCCACATCTGAGGAGCCAACATCTCCATCATCACTCAGAATTGCTCCATCACCAGGTCATCCTAGAAAGCCCTGGCCTCTGTCTGCCTGGATCTTTCCCAACAAAGTCATTCATGATCTGACCCCAAATTAATTAATTCCTCTCTCTCTCTCTCCCTCTCTTTTTGTCTGTCTGTCTCTCTCTCTCTCCCGCTCACTCGCTCTCTCTCTCTGTCTCACACACACACATACTCATTTACTTTCTTTTTCTTTTAAGAGACAGGGTCTTGCTCTGTTGCCCAGGCTGGAGTACAGTAGCGCCATCATGGCTCACTGCAGCCCCAACCTCCTAGTCTCAAGCAATTCTCCCACCTCAGCCTCCTGAGTCACTAGAACTACAGGTGCATGCCATCATGCCTGGTTAATTTTTTTTTTTTCATAGAGACAGGATCCTACTATGTTGCCCAGGCTGGTTTTGAATTCCTGGACTCAAGTGATCCTCCCATCTTAGCCTCCCAAAGTGCTGGGATTACAGGTGTAAGCCACCATGCCTGGCCATATTACTTTTTGAAGAGCTTTTCTGATCCAGGAGGCAACCTGCTTCCTGCCTCACTCTCTCACCAGGCTCTGTTTCACAGACAAACACTATCTTCCTAATGGCAACAGGGCTCCTAGGTGAGACTAGACCTGGTAGTCGAGGGAAACAGAGTTGATGTGGATGGGCTGGCATGAGTTATGTTACTTCTCACCAAAGAAGCCTCAAGCAGGGCAGTCTCTCATTAAAAGGCAACTTCCAAAGGTTGAGCAAAATAACACAGTGTCCTCCTCCCACCCAGCTCCTCTCAGCCCATTTTTCTTCTATGAACACCTGTGATCATGTCACACCCCTGCTCGCAACTGTCCTCCATTGCTCACCAATGAAATACAACCTAACAGGGCATCAACACCCTTCACAATATGACTCCAACCTACTTCTCCAGTCTTTTTCCTATTACACTCTCCGCTATGAATCTAATCTCCCAATCGAACTTGGATATGTACAAAACATACCCTGGTCGTTTTCATTGATGTGATTTTTCTTGTTTGTTCCCTCTGCTTGCAAACTTCTTGATGAATCTTACCCCTTCTCCATGAAGCTTTCTCTGATACCGCCTACCCTCCAGCCAGAAGTCACCGCTTTTTTGGTATGTGTCCTAAAGACCTTATTTACGCTTCTCTTGCAGAGTTATCACAAGCTGCCTCAGATCATGATTTGCACCCAGACTGGCCTCAAAACTCCATTCATGCATCAACTCCTTGGCAGAGCTTTCCTTACCCCTATCCCTGGCCTGTCTTACCAGCACCAAGCCCTTCCTCCTCACACCTCCCCAGCAAGTTCTAAGGCCACTTGATTACATCTGTTTTTCTCTCTCCCTCATCCCTCTCTGACCTCTTCTTGCAAAGCAGCAATGTGGATTCACTCATCTCGGCATCCCCAGCAGGTGGCTGACACACAGAAGCAGCTCAACGGATGTTTGATGAATAAAAACAAATAAGCAGATGACTACATGAATCAATGAATCATATTTTGTTCTTCTGCAAATCTCCAACAGCATCTTACATATATTTGCACCTCAGCCTCCCAAGTCTGTGGGGAAGTGGCATTCAACAAGAATCTGCATCAAACCTGACAGATTTCACTTTCACCAGCATCAGGCAGAGGGAGATAAACAAGGTAGGGCAAGCACAGAAGCCCAGTCCTCTGGGGAGTGAAGGGGGAGACTGCTCTGCAACACCTCTAAAGCTAGTGGCTTCTCAAAGAGATCAGAGCAGCCACATAGCCCTCATTACTGGGCATGGTCCTGGTTGCCTTCCGATGTGAAGGTTCTGGCTCCCGGTCTAAGCTTCTTCCGACAGCCCACCCAGAGCACTCCCTAGATATTACAATTCAAGTCACGGCAACAAAATGTCCCTCCGTTGCTGACATCAAATGAGGTGGCCCAGCTGGAGGAGAGTTTAATTTTCTCTTCATCTACCTCACTCCTGACATTTCACAGGGTCTACCCAGCTCTTGCAAGCAAGCACAGAGGCTCGAAGGGATGCTGTGGGTTTGGAGGCTTTTGGATCCTTGCCAGTCACTGCATGAAGTGTGAATGGATTGTCATGACGAGAATGCGTTTTCAAAGGAATATATCCAAATGTGCTTCCCTTCAGAGTCCTCTGGAAGATGGACATTTACTCTGCTGTTCACATTTAGAAACTTGTTTGGGGAACTGCCAGCAAAAAAACAGCTTTGATCTTGGAGCATAGGTTTTGTTTTGTTTTGTTTTGTTTTGAGACAAGGTCTCGCTCTGTTGCCCAGATGAGTGCAGTAGTGCAACCATGGCTCACTGCAGCCTTGACCTCCTGGGCTCAAGCAGTCCTCCCACCTCAGCCTCCCAAATTGCTGGGACTACAGTCATGTGCCACCATGCCGAGCTATTTTTTTTAAATACAGAGCTGGGGTCTCACTATGTTGCCCATGCTGATCCTGAACTCCTGGCCTCAAGCAATCCTCCCACCTTGGCCTCTCTAAGTGCTGGGATTATAAGCATGAGCTACCACACCTGACTAATTTTCAATTTTTTAATTTTCAAAAGCAGTCAGGAGGCTTTGACATACTAGTTAGGTGGTGAATAAGGCAGACAAAAACACTGGGAAATACCTTGATAGACAAGTCCCTCCTGGCCACCTTCGAGCTAGGGCTGCTCAGGAGTTAGTGCTCACTCATGCGCTTTAAGCAGAGGTGCACTTCATGGGAATTTAGGGAAGGTTTCCATGTCCTGATGAAGTGGGGCAGACTTGGCTGGCAGAGACTTTTTTGCCCATTGCCCTTCCTCCTTCTTCCCATCTGGAAAGTCCACACTGTGCTTGGAGGTGCAGAGCCAGCTTGCAATCCCAAGGCTGCAGGTGCAAGATGAAGGTCAGCATAGGAGAGTGCAGAGCAGAGCACAGTGTGAGTCTAGCTCTCCAAGGGCATTATTAAAGTTACACTAGCCCTGGGCTGTCTGCCTCTAGTTTTCTTATTATAAAAGAAGAACTTGCCCCCTATTTATGCTTCTTGTAGCCCAAGGTTTTTCTAACTGATATTAGAAGCATGACTACAGAGTGATTTGGTATGCCCCATAAATTGGCTCTGAAAAAAGAATTCCACAAAAGGAATTCCAAAATAAAGTTGGGAATAGCCTTTCAAATACACACATTGCACTGGGTTGAATCTATTCTAGGGAGACTGGAAGACCTGGATGGTAATGCCTGTGTCTGGTCCCAAAACGGAGACTATAACAAATGCTCTCTTAAAAAAAAAAAAAAGAAATGTATTTGAGAGGCCAAGGCAGGTGGATCACTTGAGGTCAGGAGTTCAAGACCAGCCTGGTCAACATGGTGAAACCCTGTCTCTACCAAAAATGCAAAAATTAGCCAGGCGTGGTGGCAGGCACCTGTAGTACCAGCTACTCAGGAGGCTGAGGCAAGAGAATCACTTGAGCCCAGGAGGCAGAGGTTGCAGTGAGCCAAGATCACACCACTGCACTCCAGCCTGGACGGCAGAGCAAGGCGCCGCCTCAAAAAGAAAAAAAATAAAATAAAATCCACCAGGAGATAATAATCCTGAATCAGACATTGTTAAAAAAGAATCCCTTAATTCAAAAATTCCCTTTACACATTAAAATCAAAGCTTAAAGGTCGGGATGTCTAATGTTATTATAAACTGTAGGTAGCAAGAACTCGAGCTATAGCTTAATGGAATTTCTCAAACACCAAGGGAAGAAATGGAGATACTTCTGGACTGCAGGTAGAAAGAAAGAGGAAGGAAAGAAGAAAGGTCAGACATCAGAAACCCTACAGTAGCCCCTACATTACCTTGAGGTTGAACAATGGCTGAAGTGGAAACAAGAGTAAAGCCTCAGGTAGTTTGAAGCAGAAGCCAAAGCAGGGAACATGTATGCCCTGCTGCCCATTCAGGAATCCAGAAGCAGAGTAAAGATGGCATCATGGAGCACTTACACAGAAGATGAGAGACAACGGAAGTGCCCCCAAGTCTCCCTCGGGTATTATGTAAGATTGAGCTGAGGGCAGGGAGGAAAAAGTCAGCTCAATCCTATTGCAGAGGTTGTGGGGTGGACCTCTGGGTCAGGCACTGAACGGAGGCTGTGATGTGTCATGTCTGCAGCAGTAAGGAGCACTCAGGTGGGGCTGAGTCAGCCAGGAAAGGTCCACTGGACCCTGAGGAAATCAGAAGAGACCCCACAACATGCCAGTCACATCTCCAGGAGGCCAGCAAGGACCCATAAGTCAGCACTAGGGTACGTAAGGACTAGCGGGCTTCTCTCATTGGTGGGAGGACATTGTTTGGCCTTCCTTATACCCACGTGCCATCCTAGGATGGTGGGGGAGGAACCAGACTTTACAAAGTGAGAAACCACCTGTTTTAGTCCATTCGTGCTGCTATAACAAAATACCATACACTTGATGCCTTAGAAACAACAACACAAGTCTAGAGGCTGGGAAGTCCAAGATCAAAGCACCAGCAGAGTTGATATGTGGCAAGAGCCCACTTCCTTGTTCATAAATGGCTGTCTTCCAGTTGTGTCCTCAAACGGCAGAAGGGGTGAGGGAGCTCTCTAGGGCGTCTTTTATAAAGGCACTAATCCCATTGATGAGGGCTTTGTTCTCATGACCTAATCACCTCCCAAAGGCCCTACCTCCTAATACCATCATATTGGATGTTAGGATTGCAAGATATGAATGGCGGGAGCGGGGACAGATACAAACATTCAGTGTATAGCACCACTCAAATAGAGTAATTGAAAGCAATATTTATCCAAGAGAGGTAAGAACTTGAAACAGACAGAGGCATAATACCTTTAATCGGCTAGTTTATGTTTCCCTCCCACTCATGGTCCATGGAAACTGGGGCTCCTCAGCAAGCTGAGAATAGTTGAGCAAAATAATGAATGCTGTGCTGATTGCACATCTGAGTATAATGTAAAGATTTTGACCCTGCTAATATATGCTTGTTTTTTAAAAATCTGTCTTCAATATTTTATCACAGCTGAGGCATCCTTAGCCTACTCTTCCACAGAAGGCTGCTCTAAATGTTTTTATACACAGGGAGCTATTTCAGCTCTGTACATTACCACGAAGCAGTCACAGAGCCTCCCTTCCCCCACTTGGTGAACACGCCTTTTGAAGCCCTTGGCGTTTGATTCATGCCATTTTGACTACCTTAAAACACACACACACAAACACACACATACACACACTGATTTTTTTTTTAACCACTCCTTGCAGAGCAGGGCTAATTCATAGTCAGTGTGCCCAGAATCGACCCACACATTGACTTTTGACTCTATTTGCTTTGTTGACAATTCCCATCTCTCTGGCTAGACTTGGAAGCTGCCTGGAGGCAGACAGTGGGCCTGGTGGTTCTCACAGACCCCAGCATAAAATTCTTACTGACTGAATTCACCTCAGTGTAATTGTATCAAAGGTTATTTGAAAATTCAGACCTTGAGTAGTCTATCACTAGTAAAGCTAAAATTCTTACTGACTGAATTCACCTCAGTGTAATTGTATCAAAGGTTATTTGAAAACTCAGACCTTGAGTAGTCAATCACTAGTAAAGCTAAAATTCTTACTGACTGAATTCACCTCAGTGTAATTGTATCAAAGGTTATTTGAAAACTCAGACCTTGAGTAGTCAATCACTAGTAAAGCTAAAATTCTTACTGACTGAATTCACCTCAGTGTAATTGTATCAAAGGTTATTTGAAAACTCAGACCTTGAGTAGTCTATCACTAGTAAAGCTAAAATTCTTACTGACTGAATTCACCTCAGTGTAATTGTATCAAAGGTTATTTGAAAACTCAGACCTTGAGTAGTCAATCACTAGTAAAGCTAAAATTCTTACTGACTGAATTCACCTCAGTGTAATTGTATCAAAGGTTATTTGAAAACTCAGACCTTGAGTAGTCTATCACTAGTAAAGCTAAAATTCTTACTGACTGAATTCACCTCAGTGTAATTGTATCAAAGGTTATTTGAAAACTCAGACCTTGAGTAGTCAATCACTAGTAAAGCTAAAATTCTTACTGACTGAATTCACCTCAGTGTAATTGCATCAAAGGTTATTTGAAAACTCAGACCTTGAGTAGTCAATCACTAGTAAAGCTAAAATTCTTACTGACTGAATTCACCTCAGTGTAATTGTATCAAAGGTTATTTGAAAACTCAGACCTTGAGTAGTCAATCACTAGTAAAGCTAAAATTCTTACTGACTGAATTCACCTCAGTGTAATTGTATCAAAGGTTATTTGAAAACTCAGACCTTGAGTAGTCAATCACTAGTAAAGCTAAAATTCTTACTGACTGAATTCACCTCAGTGTAATTGTATCAAAGGTTATTTGAAAACTCAGACCTTGAGTAGTCAATCACTAGTAAAGCTAAAATTCTTACTGACTGAATTCACCTCAGTGTAATTGTATCAAAGGTTATTTGAAAACTCAGACCTTGAGTAGTCAATCACTAGTAAAGCTAAAATTCTTACTGACTGAATTCACCTCAGTGTAATTGTATCAAAGGTTATTTGAAAACTCAGACCTTGAGTAGTCAATCACTAGTAAAGCTAAAATTCTTACTGACTGAATTCACCTCAGTGTAATTGTATCAAAGGTTATTTGAAAACTCAGACCTTGAGTAGTCGATCACTAGTAAAGCTAAAATTCTTACTGACTGAATTCACCTCAGTGTAATTGTATCAAAGGTTATTTGAAAACTCAGACCTTGAGTAGTCTATCACTAGTAAAGCTTTCTGGGACCCGCTTTCTGTTTCCCCCCTTTTTCTCCCACTTCTGCCTTCTCTGGCTAAAATCAAATTTTGGCATTCAAAGGAAGGCTCTGACTTGCTTCTCAAGTTTGTTCCCCATGCCTCAAGTAGAGCCTCATCTCCCCGACCTTCTGACACTCACCTCTCTGAAGACTTCGCGTATATCATGGTTAGACTCAGGTCTACCTGGATTTGAGAGACTGACTTTTTGACCTCCCACAAGCCATATAATTATACCATTCTTCATTCCCTCCAAATGATACAGATGCCAACCCACTGTGACCAGAGGTAATCTAGACTTTTCTGAACCTGGCAGACAGCAGCTTGACTGGGTCTCCAGTGCCCCCATCCTGCAGCCCTAGCACTATCTGTAGCCACACTCCACCTCTGCCCTTTCCCCCAGCCTAGCCCTGGAGCACAGATGCCTACCAGCCCTGGTAACGCCTGGCTCCAGCTCTGCCATGACTTCTTAGCATCCTCAGTACTCCTGTTTGCTCCTGTCACCTGCTCCCCTGATTCCCATCACCATCCAGCAGCAGCACCTGGGCAGGCTGACCAGGTGGCACATGGGACTGGGGAGTGAATGAGTCAGCCAGGTTCCTACTCCTGAGCACCCTAGCAGGATCCTCTGTTTAAGTTCCCGTCCTCTTAGAATCACTTAGTAAATCTCCCCCATCTTGCACCAGCCTCCAACCCTCCTGGAGTTCCTCTCCCTTCCGGCTTAAGGGGTAGCTCCTGTATGCCATCATCACTCACCAGCACTTGCCAAGCATCACCATGTGCGGGGCCATCTGCAGGACACTGGGACAAGAGAGACCTAAAGATCACCATCTCTGCCCTTGAGAAGGCTACAAACTTAGTAGAGTAGAAATAGCACAGGTTTTGAACTCAGAAATCCTGTGTTCAAAGCCCTGGACCCTTACTTGCCTGCTGAGTGTCTGGCAGCAATCACTTGACTCCTAGGATTCTCAGTTTTCTAATCTGTAAAATGAGTTTGGACCTCACAGTTTATTGTGCAAGATCATCTGATACTGAGCAAAAAGGACTTACTTGTAACAAGCGAAATGTTTAGGGATATCTGTATATATCTCCAGTTGGCCTTCTGTATCCATGGGTACCATATCCATGGGTTCAACCAACTGCAGGTTGAAAATATTTGAAAAAAATGGATGGCTTTGTCTGTACTGAACATGTACAGACTTTTTTCTTATCATGATTCCCTGAATGATACCATATAACAACTATTTACATAACATTTACACTGTATTAAGTATTATAAGTAATCCAGAGGTGATTTAAAGTATATGGGAGGATATGCATGGGCTATCTGCAAATACTACATCATTCATATCAGGGACTTGAGCATCTGTGGATTTTGGTATTCCTGGGGATCCTGGAACCAGTACCCCACAGATACCGAGGGAAGACTGTATGGGGTGTGTGTGTGTGTGTGTATGTGGTCTCCAGTTGGCTAGAGAGGACATCAGGATATAAAAGATATCAAAGATACACATGACTGTATATGTAACAGCAGGTATGATATTTTTAGAGTGCCTCTGGAGTATCTTGTTTAATGTTCCCCCGTGGGTAAGCCAGCTTCTCTCTCCCCGCCTGAGTATAATCTCTCCCAATAAGCAACTGCTTCTTTGCTGATAAGGAACAATTCCCTGGCCTTTCCATATTCAGGACAAAAGAGGACCTTCAGTGCCTCCGGGAATCGTAGGCAGGGGCTTCTGCTGACACCCCAGGCTCTGTGGTCCCTACTCTCCCTCAAACAAACAACATAGAACCGAAGGAAATAATGTCAGGCAGAAGCCCACACACACAGTTAGAACATGAGTCCCTATGCTGGGGCCCTGCTCTGTCCTAATCCATTCACCCCGTTACCACCTGCCTGCGCTGAGTCAGATTTAAAGCACTCGTTCTCTGCACCTTCTTTGAACCTACAAATGTACCTCAGCCTAATGGACCTTGCACATCTGGAAGTTGCCCACAATAAATCCTGCTAATGTAGAATTAAAGTAGGTTAATCTGGCCAGGTGAGGTGGCTCATGCCTGTAATCCCAACACTTTGGGAGGCCAAGGTGGGTGGATCACCTGAGGTCAGGAGTTTGAGACCAGCCTGGCCAACATGGTGGAACCCTGTCTCTATTAAAAATACAAAAATTAGCTGGACGTGGTGGCCCACACCTGTAATCTCAGCTACTCGGGAGGCTGAGGCAGGAGAATTGCTTGAACCTGGGAGGCAGAGGTTGCAGTGAGCCGAGATAGTGCCCCTGCACTCCAACCTGGTTCACAGAGCAAGATTCCATCTCAAAAAATAAAAAAATAAAATAAAATAAAGTAGATTAACAAGATGGCTTTTGGACAGGGTAAGTTCCTAGAAAATGCAGATGAGAAAAAAATGTACTATAGGCTCAGCCCTTCACCCTCCAAGAGTTGAAATCACATAAGCCACACCCTCATCAGTGTATTGCACAAGGAGAGTGCCTTCTGTTACAATCATTTTAATCGGGAAGCCATCAGGCTGGGGAAGCTACACCACTGTAAGTTTTTACCTAAGCAAGCCAAAGCCCAATGCAAACAGTAAAATGAAACTAGAAACTTTACTGATCAGAAACCACAAACTAACCTCTAAAACCAGTCTTTCCACTGTAATCAATCAAATGTGTTGTATTTGTCTTACTTCCATATTCAGCCTCTAAAAGCCCACGCTGCTGCAGTGGAGCTCTCTGAACCTCTTCTGGTTTTGAGGGCTGCCCAAATCATGAATCCTTCTTTGCTCAAATAAACTTTGTCACATTTATTTTGTCTAAAGTTTTTCCTTTAACATTTCCTGTATTTGAATCTGCCTGTGCTTTGCACAAGACAAAGTGGCTATTTAATGCCCATTTGCCAGACAAGTAAAGCTGAGGCCCTGAGTTCAAGTGACCCCCCAAGGCCAGGCAGTGTCAGAGCCAGGACTAGTTCTAGCAAGATGATGAGTTTTCTGCCTTCCTAAATCTTGCAGTGCCATGTGGAAGCTGAAGTAAATACATTCACATCATTTGAAATACATGCCTTAGATCTCTGTACAAAGGTAGCAAGAAATTTCGGGAAGAGTCCCTCCTCCTGTCAACCTACACATAGCTTCTCATCAGCCCCTTTTCATCCTCACTTTCCAATTGCCACAAACCACCCTCTCTCCCCACCCCTTGCTAGCATTTTTTCACCCTCTGACCTACCTCATAAGATAGCATCTCCTTACATTGCAATAACATAAAACAGCCTGACTTCTTAAGAGTTCTTATAAAGATAAAAATGAGATAAGATACGCAAGGTGCCTAGCTTAGGGCCTGCCACATAGAAAGCCCTCAATAAACCTCCTTATTATTCACTGTTATCCCCCAACATACAATTAACCCAAACACCAGGGAACCCAAACAAGTGAATCAACAAATGTTTATTGAGCGTCTACTGCCTATAGGAAAACAAAAACTGAAATGATACCAGGAAGTTGCTGGTGTCCTTCCCTATCCACCCCTCTGTTTGGTATAGGACTCAGGACTGCTATCTCACTCCCACCACCTGCCTTCTTGTCCAGGTTTCCCATCTCAGGCATCAGAGCCACTAGTTTGTCAGTTGCTGAAGCCCAGAAGCCATTCTGATTCCTTTTCCTCACTCCATTCATATCGAATTGCTTCCCAAGTGCTTTTGATTTTATTCCTAAATAGCTCTCAAATCCCATCCTCCTCCCTAACATTGCTGCCATCGCCTCCACTCCCAGTAAGACTATAAAGGACCCTCTTTCTCCAAATAGTCATCATCCAGGAGCAGTAATTAGGAGGTTGCAAAAAGAAGCAAAATTGTCATGATGTGGAAATATTCATGAGTTTTCACCCAACCATCCCTCCCCACCTAACACTAGAAACATTAAAACTACCAACCATGCCAACCTCACATGCAGATACAATGCAAGGTGGTTGCAAAGTAACACTGAACATTTTGCTCAATTCGATGGATTTCATGAAGTTGATGAAAGTAATACTGGAGATCTGCTTCAGTACCACTGACCAAGAAGAAGTTGGCAGAGCTAAAGCATTTGCAGCTGAGGAAGGAAAACTGCTGAGGTTCAAGGCAGGACTGGTCCTTGAAAAGGGAATGGTTTGAGCGTCAAAGTATTGAAGGACGGCCTTGGAGAAACTAATGAACTCTTTGAAAGTTTTCATGATTCTTCCTCAAAACTCAAGCAGGAAGCAAAAAGTGTTGCTTCCTGCTGTCTTGTCATCTTTTCAGCATGAGTTCTCCCTCAAAAAGTCAACAACTGATTCATTCCTTGTTCAAAGAGCTAGCGCAAAACTGCAACTATTACATAAGTATCATGAAATACAAAGTCACATGAAAACTTTTTCATAATTTTTTGTATTATCTTTCAAAGTAAGATACTGATCAAGCCTTTTTTTAAAAAAAAAAAAACTGTTTACTAAGAAATGTGGACCTCCATTTTACTTTCAGTGGTCCCTTTCCAATACCAGTTATCTGCAAATAATGAGGGTTTCCTATCTTGCAATTGTCTCTTCCTGGTGTCTGCACTCTCCACACTGCAGCAAATCTGGCTATAAGCAGCCCTGCTTTAAAATCTTACATGATTCCCCATTGCCCTTAGGAATAAAGTCCAGAATTCTTCACACAGTGCCAGAGCCCTGCGTGATCTGGCCACTGCCTCCCTCTCCACTCTCAGCCTTTGCACTAACTGTTCCCTGTTTGCACCAGTCCTACCACTACTTTGCAAGTCCCCGCCCCAGTGCTATGCACTTCCTAGCCAAAGGACCTTTATTCATCTCCTTCCTGCAGCCTGGAACCCTCTTCCCCGCCTTCTTTCCCACAAGAGGAAGGAGTGCCTATTTGTTCTCCGCTGTTTCCTGGCATGAAGAAGACATTTGATAAATATTTAAATGAGTAAATAGGCTGTGAAAGTTCTTCCTGATTCTGACAAATGAGTATGTCAGATAAGCCACGTGTTCCCTCACTCCTGTAAGCATCCACAACCAACGGTACTTCAATCCACCACCATTCAACACCGTGGGCCCACCTCCTACTGTACTTGTAAATTAAGAACCTGGCACACCTTACTAGAACATCGTCCTCCTTTTAGAGTGGATGATGGCAAGCTACCAGTGTTCTAGAAGCAAGATTATAGAGAACATCAATCCAGGGCATGACAGATACCCAGAAAACTCAAAAGGCCCCAGGTACTGTGTTCTCAGCAGACGGTGGGGTATTGGGGTCACCCAAGAAAGAAAGTCACTAAGAGTTTCAAAGATTAGCCCCAAGTCTGGTATTTTTCTGAAACAAAGAGTTTCGAAGATTAGCCCCAAGCACTGGTGTTTTTCTGAACAATGGTAACGTGACTCATTTATGGCAACTATAATTTTTATAGCCTCAAAATAACACTTTGGAGTCATGCTACATATAATAAGGCACACTAATCCACTTCTGCTGCCCCCCATAGGTTTCCCGGCACCTCCACTCCTGGTTCCCATGACGACCCAGAAGGGGCCTCTCAGACCTGATAGCAGCGTAGAGGCAGCTCCTCAGGGAGGGGCAGCTATCACACATCACTACATTTGGCATTTGGCCGAGGACTATTCTGGGCCAGGGGGGTCTTCGGCTTCCAGGAGCTACAGAGCACCCCAGAGAGTTAATGTACTTCAAAACAGAGGAAAGAACAGGAAAGGCTGACGGGTCATCTTTGAATCAGAAGCCATTTTTGCCTTACCTTCTAAGTTTTCAGTGGAGAGGAAAAGGAAAAAGAAAAAGAAAAAAAAGCAAGCAAACTCTTCACAGCTGAAGAAACTTGTTCAGATTATTTCAGAGTTCCTCCTAGTTGCTTCTGAAGCCCACCAGGCCAATTCTCATCCATCTCGTTTCTGTGATTGTGGAAGGAATAAGACTCAATGGCATGAAACAGCTTCAGGACTTTCTGCCTCACCTCCAGCTTTAAATCAGACCTTTAATGCTACTTAGAGGGAAACATTTTTCTTAGTAAATTATAAAAGTGGAATTGATTCACCAGAGGGAGAAAAACCCACTGAGTAAATATATTTGAGGCTTATGTAAACACATCTCAGAGCGTGTTTCAAGGGAAAGCGGCTTGCTTACTGAGTTTAATTATAATGCTCTTTGGTTTCAAAAATAAGACAAAAATGCTAGAAGCCAGGTGTAATGGGGAAAGAAATGAAAAGATGAGCACTGAGATGCAATTGTTAGCTCCAGCCATGGCTGAAATACACGGGATGAGATACAAAAATGGCACATCACCGTTATTGCTAGGGACAGCCCTGACACACTGTCAAGTGTCCCCTCCGAAAATGATCCTAAATGGCCCGGCAGTTCCAACTCCGGGCTAGGTATCCTGAGGTTTCCAAATATACATAGATCTTTAAAGTGCATCAAATATTCAACAGAGGATAATGGCATCTCCTAGCAAGATGAGGGTGGTCTTCCAGGCTCAAATATACTGACATGAGGTGAACTGAACTCAAATGTTAAAATGCCAAGGAACCCAGTGGGGTGTTGTGAGCAGAAAACGAGATACTTTGAGGCTGGGAAAATATCCTGAGTACAATGCCCAAGAGCAAAAATATGTGAAAAGAGATAGAAAGGAAGCAAAACTCTTAAAGGGAGTAGTAGAGGGGACACTGGCCAGGCTGGTGGGCAGGGCAACTGCAGAGAAAGCCTTTCAATCAGAAGCCACTGAGTGCACAGAAGCCTGGAGCACATCTACAGAAGCACAGAGTTTCTCCAAACAGTTTGTCCAAAGTGAGGACAGCTAGCAGAAGCTCAACGCACATCACAGGTGAAAGCCGACTGGCATGCAGAAAGTCCCCAGGGTCCGCACCATAATTCAGGCCCGGTGGGGGCTTGATGTAGACTGAAGACGGTAAACCCGTCCTAACCTGCTTGCCGATCTAGTCTGTCCAGCGCGTACAGTACTGGCCAGCATAATGATTTCTAGAAAATCTAGACTTCTGATTTCCTTTTAAAAAAAATTTTTTTAATACAAACAATCCCACAGTACTTATTGTCATCTTGTAATAACATAAGGGTAATCAAAACAATATGAATAAATGTTCGTATTGGACAAAGGACACCTAAAAACAAACTATATCCTTCTCAACAATTTCTCACTTCATTGATCATTTCTAGTTGGAGACACTATGTACCCGAGTAATATTATCTCCTTTTAGCATGATCCAACCCAGTTGTTTTAACTCTGTTTTAGAATAAATCTCTTCTGCATCAACTAATACAAGGTTCATATACTCATCAAAACCAATGATACAGCCTTCTATCCACATATTCTCTGCTTATAGAGCCATACCTGAATCTGGGATCTATTTTGTAAGAATCTGTAGGTGAGGTTGATGGGCTCCATCATAGCTTTTTGCACTTTCTGGCCCTGACCACGGTATACCATGATGGAAATTCCTAGATTTCTGATTTCTTATAAAAACTGCAAAATCTGGCCAAAATTTCTCTCTCTACTTATTCTACAGATATTTACTGAGCATTCATTCTGTGCCAAGTATTCCAGACCCTAAGGATACAACAGTGGGGAAAAACAGAGTCCTCGATGTTATGGAGTATACATGCTAGTGAGAAAGACAAACAATAAATAAACGCATGTGACAGGTGGTGGTAAATCCTGTAAAGAAACCAGAGCAGGGTGAGGGGAGTGAGAGTTTCTAGGGGAGCGCTAGGAAACGCAAGGCAGTCTGGGAAGGTCTCCCGGCTCCTGCATGGCAACATCCAGCTCGAGCTAGGTGATGGCTTCCTCCTCACACAGGGCAGGTTCTCTGGTTTGCCACAGTCCCTGCTACTCTCTCTTGTTACCTCCTCCTGGCCTACTTTACTCATTTATGTGGCCTCTGTAGGCATCAGAGTTGTGGCCCCCAGAGTTAATCCTTCCCTAGATCCCTCTGTATTAGTCAGGGTTCTCTAGAGGGACAGGACTAATAGAGATGTATATATGAAAGGGAGTTTATTAAGGAGTATTGATTCACACGGTCACAAGGTAAAATTCCACAATAAGCCGTCTGCAAGCTGAGGAGCAAGGAAGCCAGTCCGAGTCCCAAAACCCCAAAAGCAGGGAAGCCAACAGCGCAGCCTTCAGTCTGTGGCCAAAGGCCCGAGAGACCCTGGCAAACCACGGGTGTAAGTCCAAGAGTCCAAAAGCTGAAGAACTTGGTGTCTGATGTTCAAGGGCAGGAAGCATCCAGCGCAGAAGAAAGATGAAGGCCGGAAGACTCGGCAAGTCTAGTCCTTCCATATTCCTCAGCCTGCTTTTATCCTGGCCACGCTGGCAGCTGATTAGATGGTGCCCACCCAGATTGAGGGTGGGTCTGCCTCTCCCAGCCCACTGACTCAAATGTTAATCTCCTTTGGCAACACCCACACAGACACACCCAGGAACAGTACTTTGTATCCTTCAATCCAATCAAGTTGACACTCGGTATTAACCATCAGGCCCTCCAACTCTGGATACCCAAGATCCAGCAGAGAAAGGAGACACTGCTCCCAAGCAGACACGCAAAACAAGTCAGAGAAAATGGGATTTGAGGAAATACGAGCCTAAGCCAAGTCTGAAGGGGGTGGGGGGACCACTCCAGGCATTGCCCTGTTAAATGATGGAGAAACAGTTTTTGAGTCCTGAACACATGTACAGAAGGGGCTCCAGATGCAACTGGGAAAGGATCCCCAGATCTCTCTCCCACTATAGGGCACAAGGCTGGGGGCCACAGGTGGCAGAGCATCAGGGACCAAGGTTGAGCAAGAATGCAGACCAAAGTAACAAGGTACTGGGTCATGAAGCCTGGGAACACATCCCAGGGCTGCTTAGCTACCCTATGGGACCCCTGAGGGAGGCACAAAGAGTCCTCCTGGAGCAGAAGGGAGAGGGTAAACTGAAGTGCAAAGTAAAGGGAGAGGGTAAACCAAAGTGCTCCACTTTCTAGGAGCAGGTTTGGGGCAAGGTATGGAGTGGCTTCATTCCATTCCCTAAGCCAGCAAGAAATGCCACCTGTAACTTTACGAGGTGACTATGGGGGAGCACTGTGGGGAAAATAGACTGCACTCTGTACAGGGAAGATCCAATCCACTTCTGCCAGCTGGTGAGGGATTGCCCAGCCAGAAATCAGCAAGAACAGCTGAGACAACAAGAGGGCGGTGACACAGCAACCACAGGGCCAAGAGAAAGCACTAGAGAAAGAACAGTGTCTGCAAAGGACTTGTTAGATGGGACTTGTTTCCATTCCTCAGGTTCATGGCCTCTTAGAAGAAGGGTATCACCTGTCCTTTCTCTCGTGAGTAGGTGGTGTGGATTTGCTTCCAGAAGGACCAGCCTTTTCTGGGATCATCCTGCTCTATTCCTTGGATGGCGGGAGCCAGCCTACTGAAGAACTGAGGGTGTACATCTCCCAGCCAGTCCCAGATGCTGATGCCAGGGCTTCCAGTAAATGCCCAGAGCTGCCCTGAAGGTGACAGAGGCCTTAACACAGCCTGTAACCTCACCCTTCCTGCTTCTGCGCCAGCCTGCCTCCACCTTTTTCTCTTCAACCACATCCCCAAGAGAGCATGCATAGGCTCCCTTGAGCCTTGGGGACTGGGACATTGCATTACTGATGCTTGAGCAACCGCGTTGTCTTCAGATCTCTTTTAGTTATGCCCTTTAAGAACCATCCACATGTGCTGGAACTAATGGCTGAGGCGGGACAGCAGGGTACCCCTCGTAAGTCAGAGAGAGCTGAAGAAGCCCAAGACTCACAGCCAGTCTGTGATAGAGAAATTGTCCTTAGGCCCTGGGACGATGTCTGCAAAACTGAAGCCACAGGCAGAGAGCAGAGCTGGTAGGTGTGAAGTCAAGTCCTAACACTGGGGTCTGTGAAAGGTGTTAAAATAATTATCGCCTAGAACGCAGAACAGATTCATTTTAACAAGCAACACTCTAAATAGGAATCAGCAACACTCTAGGACTTGATCTTCAGACCCAAACCTCAGGCAGCTCAGCCAAGCGGGAGCTCAGAGAGCACCCCCTGGCCTGGCACCACCTGCCACCTCTCATAAGGTTCAGGGGGTGTCTTCCTGGGGACTCAGGCTCACTGGCAATTTTGCACTTTTCTTACAAAGTGAGGAATAGTCAGGTCACCTCTGAGTAGGTGACACTGGAGAACACTGACAAAATTATCTTCTGGCAAAAAGAAGTCTCCCCTGGTGGAAGGAGCCCAGCATTCCTGTAAGGCAGGATTCTTAACCTTTCCTGTGCATTGTGATAGAAAAGTAGAATCTTGGGACCCCAAACTCATTATGCTAAAGGAAAAGTTAAGCTTGGGAATTGAGTCGCCCAAAAACTACCTTTCTTTTGTTCCCAGATAGTTGTAATTTCACAGGCTTGCTTTATCCTATGTAAAATGCAGATTTACTAAGCACAAGAAAAATGCATAAATGATTTTTCCTCTACCCACTTCTTTTCACATGTAAAATGTAGATTCACTGAGCACTAATCAGAGCCTCACAGGAATGTAACCACTTGCCTTATTGCCTACCCTCCTTTCTTTCTTCCCTCCTGCTTGCTCTTCCTCTTTAAATATTGAAGTTCCTAAAACCCTCTTTGGAAAAAGAACAGGTCACAGATTCCACTGTGACTTGTGTTTCTTTTTCCCAGATGTGTCCTCAACCTTAGCAAAATAAAACCTCGAATTGATCGACACCTGCTGCAGTCATATTTTTGGTTTACAGGAAGGACCCCTTTGGCAAATGCTTCAGACAAAAAATAGGGCCATAAAAAAACAATTATACTGAAAGTTATCAAAATATGTTTTTTAAAAATTATAATAATGCTGTGCTTTTCTATTAATGTCATGAACAAAAGATTTGGAGAGGGGCCTGATAGACAACATAATTATGAAATGGCAGTGAGCAGACGTGGGGTTTTGGATATTTGTAGCAACTGTCATGTGATATGAAAATCACCCCTGATTTCCATGACTGTACTTCATCTCCTGCAGTCATACAGAAAGGAGCTAAGTTAGTGAGGGTTCATGGAACTCTCCACGCAAAGCAGAATTCTTTCGTGCTCCTGAAATAATGCGCAATATGCAAATCCTCCTGTAATCCACGGCCTCAAACTCTCATTAAAGTGGAAGGGGTTGTCCTGGGGACCCTTTGTTCAGAGTAGAAAGGAGAGTGGTGTTAGTGGAACAAAACCAGAGGGCGATGAGCACCAGGACCCAAGATTGAGGGAAACGATGCGCCGATGCGCCGCGGAGTAGAGGAGCCACCACGGGTAGCAAAGTGAACTTCCCCCGAATCACGGTTAAGCCCCCTGGGCCACATGGAGCTGTCATCTGCAGTTTTTCCCACCTCGGAGGCCTGACCCTGTGCTCTCCATAATCAATGAGTAGATTTGGCCCTTTATGTTCCCTGAGGCTTCCCTGACTGCTCATTAAAAGGATCTGCTCAGTCCTAGTGAATTGATTTACTTTGCCACAGTCCTTGAAGGATGCTACAGATCAAAAGGTGTCCAGGAAAGTGATCTTAAAGATGCTGACACTACTCCCAGTTACTGACTAGCGGTGTGCATGCCAGGCCCCTGTTCCAGGAGCCCAGGCCTCGCTCCATGGGGGAGCGTGGACTCACAGAGGAAAATCAATGTGCAGGATGCAGAAGAGAAGGCAACTGGATTTAGGTTGTTGCTGTTGGTTCCTTGTTTGCCTTTAGAGACATATGAAAAGGTCCAGTCATTCTCTTTACAAAACAGAAATACAGAATATAAAACTCAATAAATGCAACAAAAATGAAAAAGACATCCATTTCATAGAGGTGAAGAGAAAAATCAGGTCAATAGAGAAAAGGGGGTTAGAAGAGAAAAGCACACACAGGCACAAACACACGGAGTATAAGACAGAGTGAAAAATAGATGGGGAAGGCAGGAGACAGAGAAAGAAACCCCAGCACTTATCAAACCCTTAAGGTAAAGCTCATCTCACTCATGAATCCTGCTCCCAATGGAAAATAAGCCACCCACTAGATTCAAAGTTTGGATAAACCTAGTAGCATGTGTTATTCAAAAAGCACTCTAATTTCTTTCCACATTCTGGAAGTCTCTGGTCCTCATTTAGGAAAGAAGAAAGTATCTTGCTCCCCATTCCTGAAAGCAGCAAGCATCAAATTTCATTTTTCAGAGACCAAGGTCTACTTTTATACAGTAGCATCGCTCATGTGGCCTCTGGGACTATTTACACATAGAGACGATTCAAGTCCTGTTGCATTTTCACAACCATAGGCACAAATGATACCACACCTTAGTGTTTCCTGCCTGTGGATGCACTCAGGTAAGAACTGGATGGAGCTTGCATGGCAGGTAGAGTTAGCAGTTACTGCTGAGCCTGTGAGAAACAGGCTTACTCTGAGAGTCCTGCTGGGGTCCCCAGGATGCAGTGAGCACTGTGTTCCTTTTTCCACAGCCACCAGCAGGGGCTAGGGACAGTCTCCTTCATGACCTGCTTCCAGGACATCCTTCCACTGTTAAGGATCAGTCAGCACCTCCAACCCCCTTAATGTACCCACCCAGCAGTGTCGGCAAGCTGGGGACAGACATGCAGACAAGCTGGTTTGCATGAAATTCTGAAATCTTTTGAAAATAGAGACACATAGGCAACCTCAGGATGGAATTTTTATTCTAAATGCCTGATCCATCTTAATTGCCAAAAGTGATACTGGCAAAGGAAAATGAAAAATACAAAAAGGCTTGGATTTAGGCTATCTGTGTTTTCAAATGATTTAATAACGATGATAGGCAGGGATTTACACCAACAGATCAAAAGTGCAACAAACATTTATGGAGCCCTGCTAGGTACCAGGCACCGTGGATATATTGATGTGTAAGACAGTCTCATGGAGCACACAGTCAGGACTCCCAGAGTTATTACCATCCCCCTCCACCCACGGTAGCCCCCACTTCCTAGAGGACAAGGAACCAAGTGTCAACTCTCTATCCATCACAACCACCTGACCAGCTGGCTTTGATTATATCCCCACTTTACAGCTGTGAAAACTGAGGTGGAGAGGCCAGAGGTGCACCAAGAAGACTACCCGTGCATGCTGAATTAGGCACTGCTAGTGGTAGATCAAGAGAGAGAGAGGAGGGGCCCTTGGCAAAGGCATTTCCAGGAGCATTGCAGAGTGATAGATTTAGGAGAGGGGGAAAGATGCCAGGGTCATGGGGCTCAGAGGGCAGAGGTGGCCTTGGAGAGGGAGAGTGCAGGCTGGGCCAGACCTGGGATCCCCCTCCATTTACATGTTGGGGTGTACCTGCCTTATTCTTTCTGCCCAGAGCCATGGCCATGCCCCCTTCTTTTGGATAGTTCTCCCTGTGGTTTTAGAGGAGGTTCCCAGTCACAAGAGGCTCCCAGCAGCTAGAGTGGGGCCCTGACCCAGGCTGGGCCCACGGCTGTGGCTGCAGTAACTGGCTCAAGGAGTGGGAGAAGACCCAAACCATAACATCACAGTCCTTTTCTGAGATCTGTAAAACCAAAGCTGGTTTACAATTATACTGAGGGAAAGTCTGGAATCATTAGTCGTCCTGTTTCCTGCCAGATGGATCCTGTCTGCCATGGAAGAGAATGAAGCCAACCTGTAGATACCAACAGAGAAGAGAGATGGGCAGAGAGTGTGCCAGGAACATTTAGATCCCTGGAACCAGGCTCCAAAGCCAACAATGCCGTTCCCCTTCCATGATCTAGTTGGATGAGCCAATAAATAATCCTTTTCCTTAAGCTATTAATAGTTGGGTTGGACTTTGAAAGCCAGTGACCAAAGGAGTTCTGGTTGATATATGGGTATGACTTACTATAAGGGGGTGCACAAAGCCAGAAATGGATGCTATATTCATTGGACAAAGTCTATTTCAGTGGCCACAGAGACCTCAAGATGCTCTGAGACGTGCATAGGCCAAAATGCAAGGGAGAGAGACTGTGCTGGAACGAGCAGTGGAGGGACTGGCTGGGTCGCTGAAGTTTCCTGAGTGATGTGCACCCTTGAGAGTCCACTGGAAAAAGCACACACAGACATGACCCACAGGGGACTGCACATTATAACTTATTCCATCACCACATGGGGCGACCCTGAGACTCCTTCCACTCCAGTAGGACACTGAGTGTGGGTGGCCCTTGCTAGGCCTGGTGAGAACAGGCTCCACTGAGAAGACGGAGCAAGGAAAGGCTGGGATTGCCAGGAACAGCAACTTTGAAGAACTCTCTTTCTCAGTGTGCCAGGAGGCCTGAGCGTTGTGGGAGGGCTTTCGTTTGAGGGCTGTTTCAACAAAGGATTTACTCATTTAATTACTTAAATGGAGGTAAAATCATACTGTCCTCCTTCAGGGACTGAGCTGCCCAAAGAAAAGTCATATTCTACAGGAAAAATTACTTGAAACAATTGGATCCTTGGCATTCAGCTTCCTCAATCTTTATTTTCCTAAAATATGTCTTCAAGAAAAGCCAGCTCCTGGGCTCT
Organism: Homo sapiens; assembly: GCF_000001405.40. Taxonomy (NCBI): domain Eukaryota; kingdom Metazoa; phylum Chordata; class Mammalia; order Primates; family Hominidae; genus Homo; species Homo sapiens. The sequence goes on from NC_000001.11 coordinate 223,651,475, forward strand.
AAGTAAGCATAAGCTCTGATGGTAGCCAAGAGACTCATACATTTAGGATGAAAATCTGGCTTAGCAAGGACAGTAGGGAGGAAGGGACAACACACAGCCCACCCTGACAGAAGCAGCCAGACTTTGGACGTGCTGGCAAATAGCCTAACACACCCAATATGAAGTGCGAACAAGGAGATCCACTGCCATGTGTTTTATAAGAGTGCAAGAGAAAATAACTCAAATGTCCATCCTTTGGAGGCAGGATAAATCCGACAGAGTGTAACACTTGGAATGGTTCACAGAGAACGAAGTTCTTTATAGACTGTTATGGAAAGATCCCCCAAATACTTTATTAAGTGAAATGACACCAAATAATGGCAAGGTGCCAAACAGTGTTGATAGTGTGCTGCCTTCAATACAAGAAGGGATATTCAGAATATGTACTTAGATTTGCTTGAATTTGCACAAAGAAACACGGAGGGAATTTTTCGCATGGCTGCAAGGCAGTGAGCAACGGAGTCAGTGGCGTCAACTGGAGACAGTGGGAAACAGACTTCACCGGGTGCCTTTCAGTTGCTTTAATTTTTATACTGTGTGTATTCAAAATAATGATGAAATAATCACACAGAACTCTATGAAAAAGACATCATTTTCATTATACAAATCAACTGTTTTAAAAAAATCCCAGCCTGGACGACATGGCAAAACCCTGTCTCTACAAAAAACTACAAAAAAATTAGCTGGGTGTGGTGGTGCATGCCTGCTGTCTCAGCTGCTCAGGAGGTTGAGGTGGGAGGATCACTTGAGCCCAGGAGAAGGAGGTTGCAGTGAGCCGATATCGGGCCACTGCACTCCAGCCTGGGAGACAGAGCCAGGCCCTGTCTCAAATATATATATATATAAACATCTTTTTTAGAAACCCTTAGAGCAGATGACACAGATGACAATCTGTGTTGTACTCTGAAAAACCAACAGAACATTTAACAAACATTAATCCATATCAGGCCCCAATTCAACAAGTGCTGTGTGCTGCTCCCTTGTTCTTTGGGACTACACACGGTATGTCGAGTGGGGAATCTCTCCTCTTAATCTCTCACAATTCACCCACTGTTCAGGACCAGCCCTGACTCAGATCCCTCAGGCCACAGAGGCTGTTGCAACTCAGCCCCTGGCTCCCCACCCTGACGCTCTGGGTTATAGCCTTGGCGCTGTGAATCTCCTCTTCTACTGGCAAAGGCTCAGTCTGCACCTGGCTCCTTTCAGGAGATTGGACTCCCCAGCCCCTTTCCGCTCTGTTCATTAAAAACCACCACTGCAGCGGCTGGGCTCCCCGGGGCAGCCACCACAGAGGCTGCTGCGTTTGTTCTGATGTGAGCTGGATTCGGAGAGCTGGTTGGGTTCATTTCCTGTGCTTCCAGCCTCCTTCTCCATTGGCAGCACGCACTCACCATGGTAACGCTCAGGCCGCTTTTTGGAAACCCTCACTTCTCCTTGCTTAAAACTATTCAAAGAAAAATCCATCCAAGCCCGTCAAGGAAAAGGTACTTATTAAATACCTTTCCCAAAGTTAAAACATCTCCAACAAGGAGCTGTCTGAGGCGCCTTCGAAGTTGTGTGTCCCTGAGACACATGCATAATTAGGTTAAACATGGAGCTGGAAGTAAAAAGGCACCACACTTACCCAGAACAAGAAAAGGTCAGAACGCTACCCCTCTGTGAGCCCTCACACAAAAGCTCGGGAAATGGAGGCTGTGGTTTTCAGGCAACGGGGCACGCGCTTGGGTGCGGCACCCCGAATCGTTCCCGCTGCTTGATCGTCACGCTCTGTGAGCTCTTTCTAAGGTACATTTGCTATATTCATTAAAGGAGAGAACATTGGAAGCGTTTAAAATAAAATGCCTTGTGATTTTCAAAATCATGAACATTTCCAGCAGGCTGAAGAGAAAGGGCTTTCTTGGCTGCAATAAGAAAGAATGAGAAAAAGAGAAAACCTCCTGAAAAAAAAGTGGCGGGGGGTGGTGATGGGGTCCATGTGATGCTGAGGTTTCTGTTTGTTTTGCTGATTTTCAGTAAGCAGGATTTGTTTCTTTTTCACCTTCACTTCCGGTTCTGTATTTTGCAGCTGTCACTGGATGGTGGTTTGGAAGCCCCTCAAATTCAATTCAGAGCCATGTTGCCCATAAAATGTAAGGATTGTCCAATTCAACGCAGAAACTCCCATCTGTGAAGCCTTGGTATCGGGAGGGCTTATGAAATCAATAAAGCTCATCTGCCACCAAGGAGAGCCTCAGTTTCTGACAATGGAGGCTAGAACTTACAAAACTAAATGAAATTATTTCTTAAAAACTCAACTGCCCCTAATTTAAAAGGAATATGATAAGTTCAGAAATGAAGGTTTTTGATTACAGGATCCCAGGCCTATGAAAGAATGTCTGGCTACAAAAATAAGATTCCTGTTTTCTTACTAATTATAAAAGCACTTATTATGACAGCCCATAATTACTTAGATATGGCCATTCCAAAGGACAAATTATGTCTACTTAAAGGTAACTACAACAAAAACACAGTATAGCACAGATATCTACTCTACGCCTGTAATCCTGGCTCCTTGCTCTAGCATTAAAGTGGTTAAATGAACTGGCAAAATCTCTCATTAGGGGGAGCCAAGAGGTAGTTCCAGCATTTGGACCTACAGTGAAGTTCCAGCATTTGGACTCACAGTGAAGAATGCAGTCTCAGAAACACAAACCCAGACGGACACATCAGGTACCTAATTCACTCGGTGAAGTCTCACAGCTTCATCTGATGTTTACTCATGACACATACACACCCGCCCTCTCCCAAAACAAATAAGACTCTCCCCAGTTACTCACCTAGACCACCCTGACAAATGTCTGTGCGCGTGGCTCCACCAACGATAAACTGAGGGCTGGGACACAACTCCTGAAAGTAATTTGGAACAAAACACAAGTCACAAGGTGCTCAGTGATGGCAGCAGCCTGGGGAAAGGAACATCAGAGTCCCAGGTTGCAGAGCTGGAAGAAACCCAGGATTGTCTACTGCCCATCACATGGTTTTATTGCTGAGGACTCTGAAGCCCAGAGAGGGGATGAGCCCTGGTCACAGTCACACAGCCAGGGGTGAACAGAGCAGAAGCTGGAGTCCAGAGCCCCTGCCAGGACTAGTGTTTTCATTTTTTATTTATTTTTTATTTATTTTATTTTATTTTAAGTTTTTGAGACAGCGTCTCGCTTTGTTGCCCAGCCTGGAGTGCAGTGGCATGATCTCGGCTCACTGCAACCTCCGCCTCCCGGATTCAAGTGATTCTCCTGCCTCAGCCTACCACATAGCTGGGATTACAGGCACGTGCCACCACACCCGGCTAATTTTTTTTTTTTTTTTTTTTTGTATTTTTAGTAGGGATGGGGTTTCACCATGTTGGCCAGGCTGATGTTGAACTGACCTCAAGTGATCCATCTGCCTTGGCCTCCCAAAGTGCTGGGATTACAGGCATGAGCCACAGCACCTGGACAGGACTAGTGTTTTAATACTATATGTGTGGTGTGGGTGTGTGGGTGTGTGGGTGTGGAAAGGTGGTGAGGAGCAGGGAGGTAGGAGAAAGGCAAAGGCTGAGATAATATGTGATGAAAAATGATCTCACCTATTCAGACAACACCCCTATTTACATAAAGAGATTAGAAGAATATTTAGCAAAATGCTGTGCACCCTGTGGGCACTCGTTAAAGTCTTGACTAAATGATAATGACCCCATGTGCTGATGGACACACTGAAGTGTCAGAAGTACCATGTATCCTGAGATGAGAATTCATCTCTGATACATTCACATATCTGACCTGCACTTCCTCCACTCACCTATCTCAACTGGCATCTGCCTACAGCAATCTCATGGCCCTGGTGCTCTGTTGGGGCACAATGACACATGCTTTAGTCATGCTTTCTTTGTTTACCCAGCAAGGATTTTTTGAGTGCCCGTTCTGTATCCAGTACCCTTTGAACCATGGCAGGCAGGGGAAAGAGGGAAACATGGTGAAATGAAGAAAGAAAAGAAATAAACCACGTAGTTCTTGGCCTCAAGGTGCTTTTGCTGTATATAGCAAACCAAGATTGACATTATGAAAAAAGTCAGAGAAAAAAGGCTAGTGCATAATAATAGAATGTAGGCTATATCCACAAAGGGAGAAAAAACACAAAGAGAGAAAAATGAGAAGGGCCCAACAGGGATGATGGCTGCAAGACTTAGTGGGTGGGAGATGATGCCTGTCCATTAGAAAGGTAGGATGCAGGAGCAGTCTACGTACTGGTTCCTAAAGAAGAGATGGGTCTACCTGTTCACCAGGCAAACTGCTAGGGGAAAAGGGCAGGACCTCGAGGGACAAAACGGAAGTCAGCCTACATTTAATCGGTGGCATCCTGGGCTGCACTACATCAAAGACTGTCTGGCCACAGAGAGAGAGAATCATTTCATTCTTACTTCATAGAGGTGAAGAAAGGGCAGATCAGAAAGGACCAGGAAGCAGGAGGGTGGGCTGAGGGCAGATGCATGGGGTCTGGATGAAGCTGGCAGTGGGGATTCTGGGATTCTGCTGTGTGAGGTGGAACCTTCCAGGTGGCAGCCCCATAGCCTCTATAAGGTGCTGGCTCCTGCTGAAATGGCAGAAACAGCTCCTCTGGGCTGACTTTTTTTTTTTCCCAAGTATTAAAAAAAATTTTGCTGGGTGCGGTGGCTCACGCCTGTAATCCCAGCACTTTGGGAGGCTGAGGTGGGCGGATCACCTGAGGTCAGGAGTTTGAAACCATCCTAGCTAACATGGTGAAACTCCCTCTCTACTAAAAATACAAAAATTAGCCCGGCATGGTGGTGCGCCCCCGTAATCCCAGCTACTCAGGAGGCTGAGGCAGGAGAACCCAGGAGGCGGAGGTTGCAGTAAGCCAAGATCACGCCATTGCACTCCAGCTTGGGCAACAAGAGCGAAACTCCATCTCAAAAACAACAACAACAAAAATTTATTTACCTGTTTTTCATTGAAAAACTAATACATGAACATGAGAAAAAAAACCCAACAGTAAATAATGGTGTAAAACACAAAATCCCTTCCGCCTCAGAGTCCGCACTGGTAGCATTTCTTAAGTGTCCCTCCAGAAGCTGTCTTCTGATATGAAAGCATATTTATGTACATACACACGTTTTGGGTTTTTTTGTTTTGTTTTTTTTTTTTTTTTTTTTGAGACGGGGTCTCGCTCTTTGGCCCAAGCCAGAATGCAGTGGCGCGATCTCGGCTCACTGCAAGCTCCGCCTCCCGGGTTCACGCCCTTCTCCTGCCTCAGCCTCCTGAGTAGCTGGGACTACAGGCGCCCACCACCACGCCCAGCTAATTTTTTGTATTTTTTAGTAGAGATGGGGTTTCGCCTTGTTAACCAGGATGGTCTCCATCTCCTGACCTCGTGATCCGCCCGCCTCGGCCTCCCAAAGTGCTGGGATTACAGGCATGAGCCACCGCGCCCAGCCACATACACACATTTTTATCACATATGTCTTGTACGTATGTCTTAGGACATAGAGAGCTTTGTAACTTCATTAAAAGTACCATAAGTTATTTAGCTCGTTTATTTTCTTGCCATTTATTTATTTGTAAATAAAGGTTCTCTAGTGATGGACCTTTAGTTTTTTGTTTATTCATTCGCTTTCAGTCTTTTGCAATCTCTGGCGGCAACTTAAAGAGAAAAGTGGCACCAGCCAATCTGGGTGTTCTAAAAGTGTGCAGCTGCAAATGTTCACCCCGGGTGCCCAAGAGCTCCCAGTCTCCAAGCAGTCATTTTTTGGCAAATAAAAGGCAGAGAGATCTGATAGAGTAATAAGTAAAAAGAAAGAGAAAAAAATTTTAATTTAAATGTTGTTTTTAAAAAAAGAAGGAAAATGTTGTGTCGTCAAGAGGAAAGAAAAGACAGCACACTCAATAGGGGTTTGGAAGAATCTCTTTTCTTAAAAACTCTCTTAAAATAGGTTCTTGGCTGGGCATGGTGACTCACACCTGTAATCCCAGCACTTTGAGAGGCCAAAGTGTGTGGATCACTTGAGGTCAGGAGTTCAAGACCAACCTGACCAACAGGGCAAAACCCTGTCTCTACTAAAAATACAAAAATTAGCCAGGCGTGGTGGTGAGTGCCTGTAGTCCCAGCTACTCAGGAGGCTGAAGCAAGAGAATCACTTGAACCCGGGAGCAGAGGTTGCAGTGAGCCAAGATTGCGCCACTGCACTTTAGCCTGGGCAACAGAGTGAGACTCTGTCTCAAAAAATAAATAAATAGATGAATAGATTCCTGTTCTTCATCCGCCATTCATCCATCGGTCTACTGAAATCTGACTTCTACATCCATAGCTTCATAAAACTCCTCTCACCCATGTCATCAATAATAACTAACTTCTCTTTGCATTTGGTACCGTTGGCTATTCCCTCTCTGAAATTGACTTCCATACCCTTACTCATGCTTGATTTTCTCCTTGCCTCTCTGAGCATTTCTCCTCAGTCTCCTTCATGCATTCTTCTACTGTGCTTACCCCTAAGTATCAAGGAACCCCTGGCTCTTGGTCCTCAACCCTCTGAGATTATCCCATTTCATACAGCAGTAACACCCCTAAGCATTCTTCTCTCAGTGACATCATTCGACCTCATGGCTTCAACTATTAACTGCAGAATATGCTGATGCTTCCAAAATAACTCCCTGAGCTGTATCTTCAATTACCTGTGTCACATTGCTCATTTTTCATTAGATTCATATCTAATAGGCCTCCCAAGTTCTGCTAAAATGTTGAGTTTGGGTTGGAAGACAGAGTCATTGGCAAAGGCTACAGACAATTACAAGTGAAATATACAGAATGGTGCTAAGTGGTTTGTAGGTAGATGGAATGTCCATTTTACTACGTGGTACTCAGTATAATTCAAAAAATGCCCCCACCCCAGAAAAACACATACACACACACCAAGGAATGTCATGACTGATATGTTGCATGAATCTTTCAGGGACCACAGAAAGTCCCCAGCTTTGGGCTGGGCATGGTGGCTTACGTCTGTAATCCCAGCACTTTGGGAAGCCAAGGTGGGCTGATCACTTGAGGTCAGGAGTTTGAGACCAGCCCAGCCAACGTGGTGAAATCCCATCTCTACAAATAAAAATGCAAAAACTAGCCAGGCATGGTGGTGTGCACCTGTAATCCCAGCTACCCAGGAGGCTGAGGCATAAGAATTGTTTGAAACCAGGAGGCGGAGGTTGCAGTGAGCCAAGATCGCGCCACCGCACTCCAGCCTGGGTGATGGAGTGAAATTCTGTCTCAAAAAAGAAAAAGAAAAAGAAAATCCCCAGCTTTGCAAGGAGATTCCATCTCACTACGATGCCCAAAGAACTTACCCCAAATCTCTCCATTACTAAGTTCCTGTTGAAGCACAGATCAGAGATACAAAGTAATTGGGAGTCAGAGAGGTTTTAAAGAGGCAGGATTCTGTGAAGAGGCAGCCTGCCACCTACCCACACTTAGAACCCTTTTTTATCTTTCCTAATAACAATCATGTCTTTTTAGTAACACTGTTTTCTATTACTCAAGCGAGGATCTCAAAACACTCCATAAATACAAATTACTCTAACCTAGGATCAGCCTCTGATGACCAGGCCTAAGGAAATACAGGTATCAGTCAAGAATCCAAGGCAGAAAGTGACTGAAACCCACACTGTCTCAGTGATGATGGCTGTTTGGCCACACTGCTCTCCTAGAGCGTTAACCATGTCTGATAGCTTTGGTTTGCACTTTAGGAGCTCTGGTTTTTAGAACCCCCAGAGATGCTGCCATCTTCACCATCATCATCTTCAAGTATAGCCACATTGCTTGACCCAGCACCTCCATCCCTCTGTGATCTGGCCCCACTGGATGTTTCCAGCTTTGTCTGTCAGTTTCCCACAGTGAGTGATTATCACTCTCTTCCCATCACAGTGGACTCCCACCTTCCTCTGAATACACTTGCTCCCGATGCACTGCCACAACCCAGTACCTCTGCCCACACCTGCGCCTTCTCTTCAGTCTCTATCCCGATTCTCTTCCACCAACAATCCCAACTCAAACGTCTCCGGTAATTAACCTGCCCCAATGTCACTGTCAAATTTAACTGCTTCTTCCCCTGAACTCCCATACATTGTGTTCATATTTCTATTTATTTCACTCTCTGGATATTCTGTCTTGTAATAACAGCTAGATTTCCTTATTCAAGCATCCCAATAACCAAAGCCTCCAAAAAACAGTGAAGTGGGTAATATTGTTATCTCCATTTTATGGAAGAGGAAACTGAGTCTTGGGGTCATTAGTCATGGTTCCTCAGCTAGCAAATGGCCAGAGGGGACCAGAAACCTGATCTACCTGACGCACGAGCTCATGCTCTTAACCACTCTGTGGCCTGCCAGCTGTCCACTTGTCCGTATGTCTCTCCCTGATGAGCCAAAGCTCCACAAAGACTCCTCTCCAGCACCTGAACACAACCAGCACGCAATAAATCATGGCTAAACTGAAAACTCCAGATTCACTCCAGATGTAGCAGCTGAAGAAAGAGTGGAAGCTCCAAGCTGAGGCCTGTCACCCTCATCCTTATCCTAACCTCCCAACAATTCATCCCCTTGACATTTCTCTTAAACTAGGTCCTTATTATGCAGCTGACATCACTTCATTGCTGTCTTGCTGTATTTCTCCTTAAGATCAATAAACCACTTAATTGCCAAAAAGTGGACACTTCAGGGAAGAATATCATTGACTGCACTGCACCAGGGCCTGCTCATGCTGGGCATTCCTCAAACCACAGGACCTGGGCTGGGCATTAACCAAGCACAGAGGGGAAGCCAGAAAATAAGGAGGCAAAAATCTACCTGCTAAGAACACCCCCGATCTCACATAGCCAACCATGCTGTTTGTGGTAGGATTGTTCTTGCCCAACCCTAAATTGTCTCAGGATTGTGAATAACCAAAAGTTCATCCTGAGAACCTATGCTTGACCTTGAGCCCTTCCTCTGGGCAAACTTGTCCTGAAACCCTTGGGACAAGAGCTCAAGCAAATCTTTGCTCAATTGCTTATGAATAGGCAGAAACGCCCAGCAGGGGCAGGATGTCAAATGATGTGATTTCAGAAAATATCTAAGTATCAATCTTTATTTTATTATTGAGAGGACAAAAACATGTGTACATACATGTTCAACCCATCTCATCTGCTTTCCCCCAAAGGGCGGTAGAAATTAACGTCTGTGTGGGAACCAGGATCATATGAGTCACATTTAGGCAGTGGACTTAAAGCCCCCAACACTGAAGAAGTACAAAATCACCCTCAAAAGCAGCAGTGAAATAAAAAAGCAAACGACACAATTAAAAATGGGCAAAGGGGCTGGGCACAATAGCTCACACCTGTAATCCCAACATTTTGGGAGGCCGAGGCAGGTGGGTCACTTGAGACCAGGAGTTTGAGACCAGCCTCGCCAACATGGCAAAACCCAATCTGTACTAAAAACACAAAAAATTAGCCAATTGGTGGCAGGAGCCTGTGGTCACAGTTACTTGGGAGGCTGGGACACGAGAATCACTTGATTCTAGGAGGCAGAGGTTGCAGTGAGCCAAGATTGAACCACTGCAGTCCAGCCTAGGCAACAGAGTGAGACCCTGTCTTAAAAAAAAAAAAAAAAAGGCAAAGAACTTGGATATATGTTTCTCCAAAGATGATCTACAAATGGTCAATAAGCACATGAAAAGATGCTCACCATCACTGATCTTTGGGGAAATGCAAATCAAAACCACAATGAAATGTCACCTCACACCCATTAGAATGGCTACTATCAAAAAACAGAAAATGGCTGAGTGCAGTGGCTCACACCTGTAATCCTAGCACTTTGGGAGGCCAAGGTGGGCAGATCAACTGAGGTCAGGAGTTCAAGACCAGCCTGGCCAACATGGCAAAACCCTGTCTCTACTAAAAATATAAAAATTTGTTGGGCATTGTTACGAGTGCCTGTAATCCCAGCTACTCGGGAGTCTGAAGCAGGAGAATCACTTGAACCCGAGGGGCAGAGGTTACAGTGAGCCGAATTCGCACCATTGTACTCCGGCCTGGGTGACAAGACAAGAGTGAAACTCCATCTCAAAAAAGAAAAAAAATGAAAGAAAATAACAAACATTGGCAAGGATGTGGAGAAATAGGAACCCTGTGCACTGCTGGTGGGAATGCAAAATGGTGCAACCACTATATAAAACAGCACTGTGGTTCCTCAAAAACTTGAACGTAGAACTGCCATATGATCCAGCCATGGGTCATATCTTTTGGGTATATAACAAAAAGAACTGGAAGCAGGGTCTCAAAGAGAAGTTTGTATGCCCATGTTTGTAGCAGCATGATTCACAATAACCAAAAGTGGAAGCAACCCAAGACCAACAATGGACAAATGAATAAACAAAATGTGGTCTATAGACACCACAGAATACTATTCAACCTTTGAAAGGAAGGAAATTTTGACATATGCCACAACATGGATGAATCTTGAGGATATTATGCTAAGTGAGTTATGCCAGTCACAAAAGGACAAATACTGTATAATTCCACTTATATGAGGTACCCAACATAATCAAATTCAAAGAGACAGAAAGGAGAACAGTTGTCAGAAACTGGGGAGAAGGGCCAGGCGCAGTGGCTCACACCTGTAATCCCAGCACTTTGGGAGGCCGAGGTGATTGAATCACTTGAGGTCAGGAGTTCCAGACCATCCTGGCCAACATGGCAACACCCGATCTCTACTAAAAGTACAAAAAATTAGCCAGGCTTGGTGGCAGGTGCCTGTAATCCCAGCTACTCAGGAGGCTGAGGCAGGAGAATCGCTTGAACTGGGGAGGCAGAGGTTGCAGGGAGCCAAGATCGCGCCACTGCACTCCAGCCTGGGCAACAGAGAAAGACTCTATCTCAAACAAAAAAAAAGAAAGAAAGAAAAAGAAAAAAGAAAAGAAAGGAAACGAAATTCGGGGAAGAATGAATGGGGAGTTTTTAAATGTGTATTTAGTTTCTGTTTTGCAAGATAAAAACAATTCTGGTGATGGAGGGTGGTGATGGTTGCATAGCAATGGGAATGTACTTAATGCCACTGAACTGTGCATTTAGAAGGGGTTAAGATGGCAAATTTTATGTTATGTGTATCATACCACAATTTAAAAATAAATGAGTAAATGCAACAAATGAACTTACAATGCACCACATTTCTGGATACCCTGATCTCTTTGCAAACCCTTGAAAGGCCTCTTGGGAGGAAAAAATAATAATGAAGCATTTAGGATCAGGCTAATTTTCTCAGCATTCAATGCATGTTCCTCATAGAGATAGGATCAGAATCTTTACTGATTCAGGAGTCTATTCAATAACTGTAAGATCTTAGAGGATAAGTCTGCCTTCTCTAATGTACCCTTGTGGTATGTGAGCATGAGCCTGCCCAAAAGCAGCTGTGTGATAATTTTTCACTGATGATTAGGGAAGGAGAGGTTAAATTTTGACACGCATTTATTTACTCAACACGCACTTGAAAACTCCAAATAGGAGTCCTTCAATTGCACCTTCCGCATTACTCAGGTTCTACTGCCTCATGCTCTGAATTTTACTTCCTCCTTTGACAGCCACAAATCAGCACATCCAGTCTACAATTACCGCATTTCCACAGACCACGAGGACAGGTGAAGACATAGTTTGGGGAAGAACAGGCTATGTGGTTAAGGAGGTAAAGTCTCTAAGGATTTCAAAGAAAGGAGAAAAACTAAGCAAAGGTTAACTGATACCTGACTTTGGTCTCTAAAGGAAAATTTTCTCCCCCTCCTTCCTCTCCCCCAAGACCCTTGGGATCTGCAATGGTACCCCTCCCTAAGGCTTTTCACCACCCAGTTGTGACAACCCAGGTTCCCATGGCCCATCATTTATGCCTCTGTAGAGTTCTTACTTCATTCTGCCTTGGGCATCTGTCCTTTATTCACACCTGTGTCTCCCCACACTTTCCATCAGAGCTGAGACCACAGCTCCTTCCTCAGCTTCTCCCTGACCACCTTTCCAATCAGTGCAGAGCCCATGCCTGGCACAAAATGGAAGCTCAAAAAAACTGTCTGTTGAAATGAAATGTGGCTGTCTTGAAATTAGAATAAAAACCATTACTCCCAATCTGGATTTTATCAACATACCAGGGTAACCCTATAGGTTTCAGAGGGGAATGGGAAGATGAACCACGGTGGGCGGGAGGGCAGCATGGCCAAGGAGTTATTCTCAGAGATGAAAACTGTTAGGCAAAATCAGCAGGATCAAAGTAAAAAGGGTAGAGGTAGCTAGCTGGAGTTAAATAGTGATTTTGACCATTTTAGAAGAAGTACTCTCCCTTTGTCTTCCTGTTTCAACCACTGCCAAGAAAATAGGAACCCTGACTTAATTTCCCTATCATGGTTTAGAAGACAAAAGGTGCCCAGGTCATTTCATAGCCCCTCTCCTGAGACGTTGTTATGAGCTCTGTTGAACAGAGCACTTTGTATGGATGAGCTCAATTCTCACAACCACTCTGTATGGGAGAGGTTCTCATCCCTGAGGAATCACTTGACAAGGGTCACATAGTGATAGGTCATGGGTCTAGGTTTTGGGAGGACTGTTCTCCATCCCTTGCCCTTGAGCTTTGGGTAGTATCAGTAACCGCATCCAGGAGCCTCTGCCTTCCGTCTGCATCCACAGAGCCCCAGCTCCCACCTCTCCACTCACCAGCCCTGATGGAATAATGTCAATTCATGACCTTGCGCAACCGTGCACCTTTCAGCAATGATGTTGTCACAATTTACCTGCCAGCTGATTGCATCCAGCACTGAGTTGTTCCATTGTGCACTGGCCCAGGGACCATATGCAGTAATAACAACTACGTATTCTGCATCTATTATGTTCTGGGCACTATGCTCTGAGATTTATCTCTAATTCTCATACCAACCCTGAAAAATAAGGTGCCAGTAAATGCCATTTTACAGATGAGAAAACTAAGGTTCACAGAGTTTACCGGCCCAAAACAACACAGGCAGAGCTAGGATTCAAATCTATCTTACCTAGTTCCAAAGCTCATCCATGCTCTTCTCTCTATACCTCACCATCTCTGAACAAGAGTTCAGGCTGGGTGTAGTGGCTCACATCTGTAATCCTAACACTTTGGGAGGCTGAGGTGGGCAGATGGCTTAAGCCCAGGAGTCCAAGACCACCCTGGGCAACACAGCACAACCCTGTCTCTACAAAAATATGTAAACATTAGCTGGGTGTGGTGGCACGTGCCTATAATCCCAGCTACTTGGGAGGTTAAGGTAGGAAAATCACCTGAGCCCAGGAAGGTTGAGGTTGCAGTGCACTGTGATCGCACCACTGCACTCCAGTCTGGGTGACAGAGTGAGACTCTGCCTCAAAAAAAATAAGAGTTCAAAAGGTGATGGGGGGGCCAGATGCAGTGGCTCATGCCTGCTATCCCAGCACTTTGGAAGGCTGAGGCAGATGGATCACCTGAGGTTGGGAGTTTGAGACCAGCCTGACCAACATGGAGAAACCCCATCTCTACTAAAAATACAAAATTAGCCAGACATGGTGGCACATGCCTGTAATCCCAGCTACTCGGGAGGCTGAGGCAGGAGAATCACTCAAACCCAGGAGGTAGAGGTTGCAGTGAGCTGAGATCATGCCATTGCACTCCAGCCTGGGTGACAGAGCAAGACTCCATCTCAAAAAAATAAAATTAAAAAAGGTGGTGGTGGAGGGATCTGAAATATGAGATCCAGACACTTAGGGTCCACAGCCTCAACTTCTCCCTCAGTTCCTCCTGATCAGATGTAAGGCCCCTCCACCTTGTATGTCACTCAACAGCAAGCCCGCTTCCTTACCGTGGGCCGCTTCCAGATGATGCCTTGAGTTTGCGGAGAGCCTGGTCCAAGATCCTTGTAGCCCAAAGCTGATGGACATGCTGGGAACTCAGGGTCCTTAAATAGGACCCCTGAGTCCAAGCACTGTTGCCTCAGGGTCTTGAAATCCTGGCCCAAGTACTTCAAAGCGTTTTGGTTGGAGCCAAGACCTTGAGTGGCTGCCCGCTGCCTAGATACACCAGCTGCCTGGGCTGCCATGGCCGTGGGCTCTGTAGGGTGGACAGAAGGGCAGGGCTGCACTGTACTCTCAGACACCTGCTCCACTGGGAGGGGAGCTATAAGGCACTAAAGGAGGTGGAGCAGACAAACATTTCACCTGAGGCCCTGTTCCAGAAGGAAGTGAGTCATGGCCAGGGACAAATATGTACCCAAGGTCCAGGCCAATCTGCCCCACCTTCTTCTTCTGCCTTTTGCAAATAATTTGGGGTCTGGGAACTTTCCAGGGCCCATCCCAGGCCATTAGCCTAAGAAATCCATTAGGATCTTGACCCCACCCCGGCATTCCCTCCACACACCTCTTTGCAAGACCTGCTTACCTTGCTTCAAGCCCATTGACTGAGATGAGAAGGCTTATTGAGCAGCTTGAAGCAAATATTCATCAAGGAATTGGAGGCATGGCTCTGAGCAGGAAGAAGGCAAGTAGTTACAGGGGCCTCCTTTCCTGCCAGAAATGTTTTGGTGCATATTTCCTAGGAAGGCAAAAAATACCAGAGAGTAGTGATTCACAGGCCAGATTTGGAATAAGCCTGACTGGAGGAGGTTCCACCTGTGAGTGAACGCTTTGGCCTCTGACTGCCTCGGTTTCTATCCCAGCTCCCCCGGTAATTTGCTCTGTCATGTTGGGCAAGTTGTTTAACCTCTTTTCTCCTAAGTTTTTTTATCTATAAACTGGAAGAGCATAGGAGAGCCTACCACAAAGGGTTGTTCGGAAGAGTGATGAGATAGTACATGTCATCTGCTTAGAACAGTATGAAGTAACATTCAGTGAATGTCAGGTATCACTATTCCTTGAAGCCAGGATTCCCAGAAAGGCCTTGGAATCAGGAGCCTTGATTCCAATCTCAGAAGTGAGTTACAAGCTGTATGACCTTGGATTAGTCACTTCTCTCTGGGCTCCAGTTTCCTACATCTGGTCTACCCGAAGGATGTCAACCACACCAATGCTTTTTGAACTTCAGTGTTTGTGGCACACTAGAAAATGGTCCCCCAAGGATACCAGGTCCTCATCTTGAGAACCTGTAAATAGTCCCTTATCTGGGAAAAGGGTTTTTGCTGCTATGACTAAGTTAAGGATCTCGAGATGGGAAGATTATCCTGACCCTAAATACACAAGTGTCCTAAGAGGAAGGCAGAAGAAGATTTGACAATAGACAAAAAGGAGAGGTGATGAAATGAGGCAGGCAGAGGTTAGCGAGATCCTGCCCCACTCCAGGGAACACCAGCAGCCACAGGAGCTGGAAGGGGCAAGAATGGATTCTCCCCTAGAGCCGCTGGAGGGATGTGGGCCTTCCAACACCTCGATTTCACAGCCTTGGGACTTCTGGCCTCCAGAACGGTGACAGAATACATGTATGTTGTTCTAAGCCACCATATTTGTGGTCATTTGTTACAGAAGACGCAGGAAACAAATATAGTGTGCAGAAGAATCCCCTGGAGCACTCGCTCAAAATGCTGATTCCCTAATAGGTGCTACCACAAATCCTCCACCCCCATCCCTCCCAAAAAAGAGTTCTAATTCAGGAGGTCTGAAGTAAGACCCAGGAATCTGCAGTTTTTAAACCAGTACCACAGAGATGATGCTAATACAAGGATCCAGGGATGCCCTCTGAGAAGCTCTGGACCAGCCGACCTCTGAGGCCTCCAACTCTGACCTTCTAAGCCAATGACAGTCCACGTGTTAAGCACTTAGCTAGGTGGGTAGGTCTGAGCAAGTAGAAAGAAGGGTTGCTCCCAGGTGTTCAGAAAAACATGTGGTTTCCCAGGTTTCATCAGAAACTCAAGGCCAGGCCAGGCATGGTGGCTCAGATCTGTAATCTCAGCACTTTGGGAGGCTGAGGCAGGAGGATTGCATGAGCCCAGGAGTTCAAGACCAGCCTGGGCAACATAACAAGACCCAGTCTCTAAAAAAAAAAAAAGAAAAATTAGCTGGGCATGGTGGTGCATGCCTGTAGTCCCAGCTACTCAAGAGGCTGAGGTAGGAGGATCACTTGAGCCCAGGAGGTCAGGTCAAGGCTGCAGTGAGTCACCCACTCCAGCCTGGGTGACAGAGTGATGAAACCCTGCCTGAAAAAAAAAAAAAGAAAGAAAGAAAGAAAAAGAAATTCAAGGCCAAAATGGCCTTCAGAGGCTAAAGCTAGCCTCAGAAAGACTATGGTCCATGCCCCCTTGGGGACCCCGTCTTCCTTCCCTCAACATCACTTTCCCTTTGATTCCACATCTGCCCACTATTAAGCTCATCTAGTGTTCACAGTTACATTTTCACCGGCCCACACAGTTGACACGGTCTCACTTGGGTGGCCCCAACCACCCCTAAAACCAGAACCACAACTCCATTCAGTCAAAACAGAATGGTCATTGCAAATCTTGGCTGTGTCACTGCCAAGCTTAAAACCTCCAATGGCTGCCCACTGTTCCTGGGAGAAGAGTAAGGGGGATTTTGCACAGCCCATTAGACCTTGAGCAGCTGGCCCTGCCTACCTTTCCTCCTGCTCCATTCTCCCCTCCTGGCTTTCTTTCCATTCCTGGAATGTTGTGTTCTGTCCTGCTTCAGGGCTTGACACCTTCTGTGCCCTCCACCTGAAATGTTCTTCTCCCCACCCCAGCCCTGTTCATCCAGTAGACCTGGGTGCCCCAGAAAAGGTTTTCTGGACAACTCCACACCTCATACTAAGCCATTTTCCCCTCTTATACGCTCTCATAGCAACCTGCAAGACCCTGTCCCGCACCGATTCCTGTAATCATTTAATTAATGCCTCTCCACCCCATAAGGCTCTGATCTCCACGAGGACAATTACCCCTGTTTGTTTTACTCATTGTTGTATTCCTGAACCCTAGAAAGCTCCTGGAACATAGTAGGGACTCAATAAATATTTGTTGCATGAATATACACCTACAGGTATGAGATGTGCTGTGGATAAACGTGCACCAGGTATAATGGACCTGACACCTTCCGGCAGGGTCATTAGTTCATTAGCAAGGATCCTATGGGATTGTTTTTCTTGCCTCTTTCTCCCCTACACCTCCCAGAAACATTCCCCTTAGACTGACTAAAATGAACAAGCCCTTCCTCCATCCAATCACAGAATAAGCACAGCTGGTAATTTTCCTTCTGCACAAGGGAACTCCTTCGAGGTTAGCAATCTCCTTCCTACCCCACCTGCCTGAATTACCTCGCTCCCACATCCAGATGCTGTGCAAACAAACCCTTCCTCATCGAGGCTGGCAGGTCTGAGCCACTGAAAATAGAGCCTTCCTTGTATCCAGGCACAAAAAGAACAAGTGGAGTTGAGAAGTCTCTGCTCCCCAGCGCCTCATGAGCAGACAGCAAACATCTATGTGTTCTCCAGCCAGGTACCCAGGAGGAAGCAGCCTGCATCCACTGTCTCTGTCCACCTGGACAGATGTCTCTCCAGCCTCACACCCCAGGCACCACAGGAACCAGTGCCAGCTCCTTGCCAGGCAGCCTGAGGATCCACTAAGAGGTTGATGAGGGTGTGCAGACACAACTGACACACGCCTGGCAGCACCTCCTTAATAAGAACACTTCTCGGCAAAGAGCCCAGGTGAATGCTGCCTCTTCTCTGTGCACACCAGCCAAGTGGGGATGCTGAGCTGTATCTATACATGGCTCCTCTCAGTCAAAAGGATCAAGGCTGTATTATCCCCTTAGAAAGGAAGATAAATCACTCTGGTTGCACCCAGCGGTCCAAGTGTTCTTTTCAGATGATTAAAGTTTGCAAAGCTTGTTGTCTTGCATAACTATAACTTCAGGGAAAAGATGGGTGCAAGCTAACTGCAGAATTCTCTCTCCTGGGCCTGACAGTTTCAGAATGCTAAGGCAAGCAGGGGTTGAATCCAGTGTCAAGAGGATTACAGAGTTCTCATACATTGCTGGTGGGAATGTAAAATGGTGCCGCTGTTTTGGAAAGCAGTCCAGCAGTTTCTCAAAATGCTAAACATAGAATTACACAGTAACTCTGAGTAACATCCCACTTCAAGGATTGAAAGAGAATTGAAAGCATATGTCTACACAAAAACGTGTACATAAATGCCCATAGGAGCATTATTCATAATAGCCAAAAAGTGGAAACAACCTAAATGCCCATCGATGGACAAATGGATAAACAAAATGTGGTATATGCATATGATGGAATATTATTCAGCCATAAAAGGAGTCCATAAAAGGAGCGAGATACTGTTACATGCTACAACATAGACGGATCTTAAAGACATGCAAAGTAAAAGAAGCGAATGACAAAAGGCCATACATTGTATAATTCCAGTTTTATGAAATGCCTAGAATTGCAAAGCCATAGGGAAAGAAAGCAGAGTCGTGGTTGCCAAGGATTGGGAAGTGGGGCTGACTCTAATAGTTACAAGGTTTCTTTTTTGGGGTGATGAAATTATTATGGAATGAGATGGTGGTGATAGTTGCACAACCAAAAGTCACATTTTAGGCCAGGCACAGTGGCTTACACCTGCAATCCCAGCACTTTGTCAAGCTGAGCTGGGAGCATCGCTTGAGCCCAGGAGGTTGAGGCTGCCGTGGGCTATGGTTGCACCACTGTACTCTCATCTGGATGAGCAAGCGAGACCTGTCTCAAATAAATAAATAAATATCACACTTTAAATGTACACTTTGGCGATGTTTATGTTATGTGAGTTATATCTCAATTTTAAAATTGAAAAGGAGAAAAAAAGGCATTACAGAGGGGAAGGCTGGCTATGATACAAGCATTGGTAGGTGGCCTCTAAGGAAGAGATTGGCTTCCCATCTGCCCAGGATATCAAGTGCCCAGCACATGCAAACAGTTCTAGAGCTGTAAGAGCAAACCCTACCTAACCAGAAGCCTGGATGAGTTGAGATGTGTGGGCTCATTCTCTCTCCAGGTCTGCAGGATCGCTCATGGCATCTTAGGGGTCACAGCTCAGGCCTTCATCCTGGCAGGAAAGGGCTCAGTCAAGGCCAGTTGGGAGGCCAGCTGAGACTGCCCCCTAGAGGCCTACAGATCCTGTTGACCTGGTATGACTAAGTAATGTGGCAAAAACTCACATTTGAATAGAATGCAAGGTCTACATAGCACTTTCCTGCCATGGCTGCTTAGAGATTCACGACAAGTCTGTAAGAAAGATCATATTGTCAGGCTACCCCAAGGTCACTCAAGTAGCAAACTTGAGCCCAAGTCTTCTGATTTTAATTCCCATGCTCTTTTTAAGGCACGCTACCCACACATACCAACAGGGAGATGCGACCTGGGCAGTAGGCTGTGAGATGTGATGCCTAAAAGGAAGAAATCCAATGACTCACTCAGCCCTCCAATCTGCAAGCCATCTCTGTGCCTCACTCAGATCTGCAAGCCTCACTCAGATCTGCAAGCCGTCTCTGTGCCAACACTCCACTGGGCAGGGGTCAATGCTCGTAGGAGGATAAAAGGACAAATAGAGGCCAGACGCATTTGTTCAGGCCTGCAATCCCAGCACTTTGGGAGGACAAGGCAGGCAGATGACTTGAGCCCAGCAGTTCCAGACCAGCCTGAGCAACGTGGTGAAACCCCATCTCTATAAAAATTTCAAAAAATTAGCCAGGCATGGTGGCAGGCACCTGTAATACCAGCTACTCAAGAGACTGAGGCAGAAGAATTGCTTGAACCCAGGAGGTGGAGGTTTCAGAGAGCTGAGATCGCGCCACTGCACTCTGGCCTAGGTGACAGAGCAAGACCTTGTCTCAAGAAAAAGAAAAAAGAAAAGAAAAGAAAAAATCGAAAGACAAATAGACACCATGCCTGCCCACAAAGAACTTCCATGCAGTGGAAAGACCAGGCAATGCTCAAAGAAAGAGTGGTTGATTCTGAGGATGATGAGTGATAAGGAGGGCTTCATGGAAGAGGTGGCCTTCCAGTTAGATCTGTAGGATAAGGTGCTTGAAGGATGATGATTTTGAAAGAAGGCAGTGTAAAAAGGGCATTGGAGTCAAGGGGAACAGCAAGAAAATGGCAAGAAGGAACAGCTCTGCACACAGTGCCAACAGAATATTAATTATCTAGAATGAGATCATTCTAGATCACTCACTCCTGGAGTGAGGCAGGAGGCAAACAACAAGAGGAAAAGACACTGGGGGCCTTGAATGCCATCCTAAATGGATGTGGACTTCTTCTCTATAGTTAGGGTGCAGTTGCTCTGAAACAAGCAAGAATCGATGATGGCTTAATTCAGGTAGTGGCACTGGGGCTGGGCAGGTAGGGAGAGGAGTTCCCAAGTTTACCTCCTCTGTGAGTCCCAGAGGCTGGGGATGAGTGTGGAGGAAGGGAAGACACAGCCAGGATACCTCTTGTGATCTTGTGATTTAATAAGAAATAAGTATTTTGGTCTTTGTCCTCAGTTCCTGGCACAAAGCTTCTAAAATCTTTGTAATTTCCTGGGTGATAAATGTGCTAGGAGCATCTTTTGTTGTAATATTTGGTCTTTGACTCTAGTTCCTGACAGAGCTCCTAAATCCCTGGAATTTCCTGGGAATAGAAGAGTCTTTTGTTCTAATAAGGTGACTCTTGTGGGCTCCTGAATGGGGGCTAGTCACAAGAAAGACCAAGCCATGATTAGAAGCTTGGAAAAAGCCAGGCAAGTTGCTTCACAACTGTAATCCCAGAACTTTGAGAGGCCAACGTAAAAGGATCGTTTCAGCCCAGGAGTTCAGCGCCAGCCTGGACAACACAGTGAGATGATATCTGTACTAAAAATAAAAAATAATAAACTAGCTGGACATAGTGGTACACACCTGTAGTCCCAGCTACTCAGGAAACCAAGGCAAGAGGATTGCTTGGGCCCAGGAGATTGAGGCTGTAGCGGGCCATGTTCATGCCACTGTACTCCAGCCTAGGCAACAGAGAGAGACCCTGTCTCAGAAACAAGAAAGAAAGAAAGAAAGAAAGAAAGAAAGAAAGAAAGAAAGAAAGAAAGAAAGAAAGAAAGAAAGAAAGGAGGGAGGGAGGGAGGGAGGGAGGGAGGGAGGGAGGGAGGGAGGAAGGGAGGGCTTGGAACTTTCAGCCCCACTCCCCATCTTCCAGGCAGGGGAGAGGAGCTGGTGACTAGGTTGATAATCCATCATGCCTATGAGATAAAGCCTCCATAAAAATTCCTGAGCTACAAAGACCTAACAACAGAGCTATCATTATATCTGGCAATCCCATTACTGGGTATATACCCAAAGGAATATAAATCATTCTGCCATAAAGATACATGCAAGCAAATGTTTCTTGCAGCACTATTCACAATAGCAAAGACATGGAATCAATCAAAATGCCCATCAATTACAAATTGGATAAAGAAAACGTGGTGCATATACACCCTGAAATACTATGCAGTCAAAAAAAGAACAAGACTATGTCTTTTACTGAAATGTGGATGGAGCTAGAGGCTATTGTCCTTAGCAAACTAATGCAAGAATACCAAATACCACATGTTCTCACTTGTAAGTGGGAGCTAAGTGATGAGAACTCATGAACACAAAGAAGGGAACAACAGACACTGGAGCCTACTTGCAGGTAGAGGGTGGGAGGAGGGAGAGGAACAAAAAAAGAATAACTATTTGGTACTAGGCTTAGTACTTGGGTGATGAAATAATCTGTACAACAAATCCCTATGACAGGAGCTTAGCTATATAACAAACTTGCTGTATTAGTCCATTCTCACACTGCTATAAAGAAATACCTAAAACTGAGTAATTTATAAAGAAAAGTTGTTTAATTGGCTTATGGTTCTGCAGGCTATACAGGCTTCTGCTTCTGAGGAGGCCTCAGAAAACTTACAGTCGTGGTGGAAGACAAAGGTGAAGCAAGCACATCTTACATGGTGGGAGCAGGAGGAAGTGTAGGGGAGGTGCTACACACTTTTAAGATAGCACTAGGGGGATGGTGCTAAACCATTAAACCACCCCCATGATCTGATCACCTCCCACCAGGCCCCTTCTCCAACACTGGGGATTACAAATTGACATGAGATTTGGACGAAGACACAAATCCAAACCATATTCTGTCCCTGGCCTATCCCAAACTTTGTGTCCTTCTCACATTGCAAAATACAATTATCCCATCTCAACAGTCCCCCAAGTTTTAACTCATTTCAGCATTAACTCGAAAGTCCAGTCCAAAGTCTCATCTGAGACAAGACAAGTCCCTTCCACCCATGAGCCTGTAAAATCAAAAACAAGTTAGTTACTTCCAAAATACAATAGGGGTATAGGCATTGGATAATTACTCCCTTTCCAGAAGGGAAAAATTGGCCAAAGCAAAGGAGCTATAGGCCCTATGCAGGTCCAAAACCCAGCAGGGCAGTCATTAAATCTTAAAGCTCTGAAATAATCTCCTTTGACTCTGTGTCTCACATCCAGACCACACTGGTGAAAGGGCTGGGCTCCCAAGGCCTTGGGCAGTTCTGTCCCTGTGGCTCTGCAGGGCTCAGCTCCCATGGCTGTTCTCAAGGGTGTTGAGTGCCTGTGGCTTTTCCAGGTGCACAGTGCAAGCTGTTGGTGGATCTACCATTCTGGGGTCTGGAGGATGGTGGTCTTCGTCTCACAGCCCCACTAGGCAGTGCCCCACTGGAAACTCTGCATGGGGGTTTCAACCCCACATTTCCCTTCTGCACTACCCTAGTAGAGGTTCTCCATGAGGGCTCCACTCCTGCAGCAGACTTCTGCCTAGACATTCGGCCATTTCCATACATCTTCTGAAATCTAGGCAGAGACTCCCAAGCCTTAACTCTTGTCCTCTGCACACCCACAGGCTTAATGCCATGTGGAGGCCACCAATACTTGCAGCTTGCACCCTCTGGAGCAGCTGCCTGAGGCATATCTGGAGCTTGAGCCGCCAGGACACAGGGAGCACTGTCCCGAGGTTGTGCAGGGCAGTGGGGCTCTGGGTCCAGACCACAAAACCATTCTTCTATCCTAGGCCTCTGGGCCTGTGAAGGGAGAGGCTGCCATGAAGTTTGCTGAAATGCCTTCCAGGCATTTTCCCCATTGTCTCAGCTATTAACATTCAGTTCCTCTTTACTTACGCAAATTTCTGCAGCTGGTTTGAATTCCTCTTCTGAAATTTTTTTTTTCTCTACCACATGGCCAGGCTGCAAATTTTCCAAACTTTTATGCTCTGCTTCCCTTTTAAATAAAAGTTCTAGTTTTAGATCATTTATTTCCTTATGCATGTGACTGTAGGTTCTTACAAGCAGCCAAGTCACATCTTGAATGTTTTGCTGCTTAGAAATTTCTCCCTCAAGATACCCTAAATCATCTCTCTCAAGTTCAAGTTCCACAAATGTCTAGAGCAGGGGCATAATGCTGCCAGTCTCTTTGCTAACACATAGGAAGAGTAACCTTACCCCAGTTTCCAATAAGCTCCATCTGAGAGGTCTCCATCTGAGACTTCCTCAGCCTGGACTTCATTGTCCATATCACTATCAGCATTTTGGCCACAACAATTCAACAAGTTTCTAGGAAGCTCCAAACTTTCCCTCATTTTCCTGTCTTCTTCTGAGCCCTCCAAACTCTTCCAACCTCTGCCTATTACCCAGTTTCAAAGTCATTTCCACATTTTCAAGTACCTTTATAGCAATGCTCCACTTCTCTGGTACCAATTTTTTTTATTAGTCCATTCTCACACTGCTATAAAGAAGTACCTGAAACTGGGTAATGTATAAAGAAAGGATGTTTCATTGTCTCACAGTTCTGTAGGCTGTATAGGCTTCTGCTTCTGTCAAGGCCTCAGGAAACTTACAATCACAGCAGAAGGCAAAGGGGAAGCAAGCACATCTTACATAGTGGGAGCAAGAGGAAGGAGGGGTGCCACACACTTTTAAAACAGCACTAGAGGGATGGTGCTAAACCATTAAACTGTTCCTATGATCCAGTCACCTCCCACCAGGCCCCTCCTCCAACACTGGCAATTCCAGTTCAACATGAGATTTGGGTGGGGACACAACTCCAAACCGCAGCACTTGCACATATACCCCTGAACCTAAAATAAAAGTTTAAAAAATAATAATAAAGAAAGAAATCTACACACACACACACACACACACACACACACAGAGAGAGAGAGAGAGAGAGAAAGAGAGAGAGAGAGAGAGAGAAAGAGAGAGAAAGGCAAGGTCACAGCTAAAAAAAAAAAAAAAATCCCTGAGCTACAGAATTCAGAGAGCTTCCAGGCTGCTGAACTCATGGAGGTGCTGGGAGGGTGGTGTGCCCAGAGAAGGCATGGAAGTTCTGCACCCCTTTCCCCATACCTTGCCTGTATTTGTCTGTTCTCATGCTGCTAATAAAGGCATATCTGAGACTGCATAATTTGTAAAGGAAAGAGGTTTAATGGACTCATAGTTCTACATGGCTGGGGAGGCCTCACAATCATGGCAGAAGAGCAAGGAACATCTTACATGGTGGCAGGCAAGAATAGGACATGTGCAGGGGAACTCCTCCTTATAAAACCATCAGATCTCATGAGACTTATTCACTATTAAGAGGATAGCATGGGAAAGACCCACCCTTATGATTCAGTTACCTCCCACAACATGTGGGAATTGTGGGAGTCACAATTCAAGATGAGATTTGAGTAGGGACACAGCCAAGACATGTCATTGCCCTGTGCATCTCTCCCATCTGGCTGTTCCTGAATTGCATCGTTTTATGATAAACCCATAACTTAGTAACTTTTCTCTTTGCTTTCTGTGAACTATTCTAGCAAATTAGTGAACATGAGGAGGAGGTCGTGGGAACCTCCAATTTGTAACCAAGTCAGACAGAAGTTGTGGGTGACCTGGGGACCCACCACTTATGATTGGGCTCTGAAGTGGGGATGGTCTTGTAGGACTGAGCCATTAACTTGTTCTAACTCCAGGCAATTAGTGTCAGAATTGAGTTAAATTGTAGGACACCCAGCTGGTGTTGGAAAATTGTTCAGTGTGGGGGAAAAACCCACACATCTGGTGTCAGAAGCGAAATGTGTTGTGAATAGAGGAAAACAGTGAGTGCTTCTTATATGCCTCTGAATGCTGGCATTTGACAGAGACCCTAACCTCATCTACCCCAGAAGCTGTAACAGTTCAGGACTCATATTTAGCGTAAATAGGGAGATATTTTGATTTCCTCTGAAAGAAAACTACTAGCTAGAAAAGGGACAGGCTGGGTGCAGTGGCTCATGCCTATAATCCCAGCACTTTGGGAGGCCAAGCCCAGGAGTTCAAGACCAGCCATGGCAACATGGCAAAACTGCTGTCTCTACAAAAAATAAGAAATTCACTGGGTGTGGTGGTACACACCTGTAGTCCCAGCTACTTGGGAAGCTGAGTTGGGAGGATTGCTTGAGCCCAGGAGGTCAAGACTGTAGTGAGCTATGATCATGCCCATAAATAGGCACTGCATTCCAGCCTAGGTGACAGAGTGAGACCCTGTCTCAAATAAATAAATAAATACAATACAATACAATACAATACAATACAATACAATACAATACAATACAATACAATAAAATACAATACAATAGAAAAGAGAGGGCATAAATGTGGAGAGTCCTCTGACCTAGTCTTAGAAAACAAGGCCATGAAGGTAGGAACTGTGTCTCTCTCAAGTTCATCGTGCAACCCTTCACAGAGCTCCACATGCAATATGGGGACTTACGAGTGTACTTTGAGGTTGTTCTTGCTGGGCATGTCACTATATCACATGCTTCCCTGACCTCAGTTCCTGCTGCCAAGCAGCCACAGATGCACCTGCATCAGTTTTCTCTGTCTCTACTGGATCGTTTTCTTTCCCATACAAGTTTGCTATAGTTTCTCCTGCCTTAAAAAAAGAAAATGTTTAATCTCTCTTGACTCCATGCCCCTGTCCTGTTTCTTCTTTTCTTTCTTTTTTTTTTTTTTTTACCTTGAGTCTTGCTCTATCACCCAGGCTGGAGTGCAGTGGCACGATCTCGGCTCACTGCAGCCTCTGCCCCCTGGGTTCCAGCGATTCTCCCGCCTCAGCCTCCTGAGTAGCTGGGATTACAGGCCCATGCCACCATGCCTGGCTAACTTTTGTATTTTTAGTAGAGACGGGGTTTTGCCATGTTGCCCAGGCTGGTCTCGAACTCCTGACCTCAGGTGATTCGCCCGCCTTGGCCTCCTAAAGTGCTGGGATTACAGATGTGAGCCACCATGCCGGGCCTCTTCCTTTCTTTTCACAACAAAATTTCATGAAAGTGGTGTGTATTCTCACTGTCCTTTCATTTCTGTCCTGCCTTTCTCTCTTACCATCCCTCTGGGCAGATGGTCAGGGTAAAACCATTGGCCAATATCCAGGTGGTCTTGATGTTGCTCAATCCAATGGTTAACTCTCAGTCCTCTTCTTAGTTGACCTGTAAGTAGCTGATTGGACTCAGGTCGATGCTCTTTCCACCTAGAAATAGAGAGGGGGATGAATTTCAGGAGGGATGTTTTTGAGTGGCCAAGAGGAAATCAAATCTAGAGCCCAAGGGGAGAGGTTGGCCTTAGGACACAGACAGTTCATCCCTTGTCACAGGGTAGATGGCAGACACAGTGTGAGGATAGATGTCACAGTTGGACCTTGGGAAGTTCTGTTTTCAGTGCTTTGACCTTTCTCTTGGAAATAGGAGTGAAGGGCATTAGCTGAGAGTGAGAATGGGGCAGAGGTGTTGGAGATTTGAGAGAGAGAGAGGAGGTATAAAGTAAGTGATCTGGCCGGGCATGGTGGCTCATGCCTGTAATCTCAGGACTTTGGGAGGCCAAGGCAGGTGGATCACCTGAGATCAAGAGTTTGAGACCAGCCTGACCAACATGGTGAAACCCCATCTCTACTAAAAATACAAAATTAGCCAGGCATGATAGTGCATACCTGTAATCCCAGCTACTTGGAGGGCTGAGGCAGGAGAATCACTTGAACCTGAGAGGTGGAGGTTGCAGTGAGCCAAGATCACACCATTGAACTCCAGCCTGGGCAACAAGAGCGAAACTCTGTCTCAAAAAAATTTTTAAATAAAATAAAATAAGTGATATTGAAAATTGGATAAGAGACATGATGCTGCCAGGTGGCATTAAGGGCCAGTTGAGTTAGTGACTATCAATTTAATGTAAGACAGATCAACACATATATTATTTATTTTTTGCAGATGACAAATTTTCCCAAATTCAGTGGTCTAGAACAGCATATATTTATTATCTTACCATTTCGGTGCATAGGGAATTTGGGAATTTAGCTGTATGGTTCTGACCTCTAAGACTTTCATGAGACACCGACTGCAGCTATAGTCAACTGATGGCTCAGCTGTGGTGGGAGGATCTCCTATCAGGATGGCTCACTCGCATGGCCATGGGCAGGAGGCCTCGGTTCTTCATTACGTAAGTCTCTCCTTAGGCTGTTTCAATGTTATCATGACACGGCAGCTGACTTCCTCCAGAACAAGTGATACAAAAATCAGAGAGGGAACTGCTTTTTACAATCTAGTCTCTGAAGTTGTCTACTCACTTCAGGTTTATTCTATTCATTAGAAGCAAATTGCTATGTCCAGCCCACTCTCAAAAGAGGAATTTACCTCCACCTCTTAAAGTAAGGAATACCAAATAATTTATGGGCATTTTTTTAACTACCATACCTTGATTGTGTGCTTTATTCCAGTCACACTGAGCTGTACAGGCACAGGTCAGGCATGGGGTAGATGGAAAGTTGGATTAAGTAAGTTATGAATATGTGAGAGCAAGAAATCTAAGAACCAGAGCCTTGATGGTGCCAGGCCTCCCAAAATCAGCAGGTGAATTCTGCTGAATGTCGGCTGCACATGGCTCCAGCAGGCTCAGCACCAGAACGGTGGGTCCTTACGCTGCTGCACGCCCATTAGCAAGCTTCAGCTCTGGTCACCTGTCTAATTCAGTCCTGCTGTCCGCTGGCCTCGTTGAACTACTCATTATTTTTTGTTTGTTTGTTTGGAATTGAAGTCTCACTCTGTCGCCCAGGCTGGAGTGCAGTGGCATGATCTCAGCTCACTGCAACCTCCACCTCCAGGGTTCATGTGATTCTCCTGCCTCAGCCTCCCAAGTAGCTGGGATTATAGGCGCCTGCCACCACGTCCAGCTAATTTTTGTATTTTTGGTAGAGACAAGGTTTCACAGTGTTGGTCAGGCTGATCTCGAACTCCTGACCTCAAGTGATCTGCCCACCTGGCTTCCAAAGTGCTGGGATTACAGGCGTGAACCACCGCATCCGGCTGATTACTCATTGTTTTTGCTCCGGCAAAACTTGGACTTCCCCATGGCCTATCATAGCCTCTCCAGCTCCAACTCTGTCTTATGACTTGCCTAATACAGCTCTCACAACTTACTAGCAAATAATCCCTTTGTGTTTCTCTGTCTAAATTGCCAAAAGAGAAAAATCTAATTGGCCCTGGTACCTTCTTAAGCCAGATCACACAGGTCCCATGTCACTGACCAAGCTAAGGGACTGGTTGCTGTGGCACATAACATCAATGCCCACACCCCTTGGAGCCCTGTATGTTTGCAAACTCACAAGCTCTGGTGTGCTTGCAACCCCAGCAGCTAGCCCCTGACTTCCTTGGCCAGAGGGCTGTACCTCTCTCAGCCTATCAGAGCCACCTTGCCAGAAGTGGCTCTCTAACTGGGGACATATGCCCCCTGGGGTGCTTGGTAACATGCTGGAGCACCAACATGATGTTTTCTTGGACTATTCATTCTATTGAAAGTTTTTTTTTTTTTTGAAAGAGGAATTCTTAACTTTTTTTTTCTTTTTTCTTTCTTTTTTTTTTTTTTTTTGAGATGGAGTCCCACTCTGTCACCCAGGCTGGAGTGTAGTGGCACGATCCTGGCTCACTACATCCTCCACCTCCCAGGTTCAAGCGATTCTCCCATTTCAGCCTCCCAATAGCTGGGATTACAGGCACCCGCCACCACGCCTGCCTAATTTTTGTATTTTTAGTAGAGATTGGGGGGGTTCACCGTATTGTTCAGGCTGATCTCGAACTCCTGAGCTAAAGTGATCTGCTTGCCTTGGCCTCCCAAAGTCCTGGGATTATAGGTGTGAACCACTGCACTCGGCCAATTTTTAATATTTTTAATAAGAATTATATACGGGAAGCTGCCAGGCTCTAATTTCAAGGAGTGCATATTAGCTCTTCTCCATGTAAAGGGTCTTTCTCTTTTCCCTGTTTAGTGGAGAAATTTTGAATGTGGAAAATATAACATATGCATACAAATATATGAAATAAAACTCATGAAAAAAAGAAAATATATACACGAAGATCAGAATAGTGGTCTCTTTCACCCTGAAGAGTGGGAAACGAAGTGAGGAAGGAGCATATAGAGAGACGTAAGTTTTAAGTAATTTTTTAGTTCTCGGGTGGGGTGGTGGATACATAGGAATTCATCATACTTTTTGTTTTGTTTTTGAGACAGTCTCAGTGTTGCCTAGGCTGGAGTGCGGTGGTATGATCGTGGCTCACTGCAGCCTTGACCTCTTGAGCTCAACTGATCCTCCCATCTCAGCCTCCCACGTAGCTGGGACCACAGGCACACATCACCATGCCTGGCTAATTTTTTGTATTTTTTGTATTTTTTGTAGAGATGGGGCTCTCCCTATGTTGCCCAAGCTGATCTCAAACTCGTGGGCTCAAGCAATCCTCTCACCTTGGCCTCCCAGAGAGCTGGAAATACAGGCATGAGCTACTGTGCCCAGTTCGTCATACTACTAATAATAACTTAAAGAAATTAAAGAAAGCCATGTGCTGGCCAGGCACGGTGGCTCACACCTGTAATCCCCGTACTTTGGGAGGCCAAGGCAGGCGGATCATGAGGTCAAGAGATTAAGACCATCCTGGCTAACATGGTGAAAGCCTATCTCTAGTAAAAATACAAAATTAGCCAGACATGGTGGTGTGTGCCTGTAATCCCAGCTACTCGGGAGGCTGAGGCAGGAGAATCGCTTGAACCTGGGAGGCGGAGGTTGCGGTGAACTGAGATTGCACCACCGCACTCCAGCCTGGTGACAGAGTGATACTCTGTCTCAAAAAAAAAAAAAAGAAAAGAAAAGAAAAGTAAAGTAAAGAAAGCCATGTGTTGACTAATAATAATGAGAGTATTATGAATCAAGGATTACAATTAATCCAATTTTGAACATGGACAGTAAAAAAAGAAATCCCCACAGCAGGTAGAGAGGGAGATATTTACGAGTTAAGAATCCTGCCCAGGGAGCCTCAAATCTAACAAGCCTGTTCCCACAGCAGGCCTGGCAGTGAAATCAGCTGGGAAGGTGGTATCCACAGCCCCTCAGTCACTCTCCCTTGCAGTTAGGGTCTAGGCTGCACTTGGAAAGAGCCTCATCTCCCGTCCCCAGCTCCCCAGTCACTAGTCCAAAGAGAACACTGAGTTCTCCACTGGGTTTTCAAAGGAAAGGCAAAGGAGGATAAAACATTAACAGGTCCTTGTTAGTATAGGTTCTTGTTAGACTTTCAATTTACAAGGAATTTTAGAGAAATGCCTCAAGCTGAACCTGTAATAGCCAGGTGGGAACTTGGGCAGATGGTAGCAATTTCTCAAGGTTCGTCCCAAAACACTGCTGCAGATCCTTCCCATGGTCACTGTTTAAACACATGTCCTGTCCAGTCTTTCTTGTAACCATCCCTTGAGTCATTTCTTTCCTCTCCATCCCCACAGCCATGACTTAAGTACAATTCTTTATTCCTTCTAGCCTGCAGCACAACAATAGCCTTCCAAATCTCTCAAATCCCTCCAATCTCCACAGTCTGATCCTGTCACTTAAGGTACTTCAATGCTCCTCACCTTGCCTTAAAGATGATAGCCCAACTCCTTGGTACAGCACTGTGACCCTCAGCGTCTGGGTGTCCCAGCCCTGTCACCGTCACAACCCTGTCTGCCCATATCTCCTCCATGCAGAACTAACATTGGAAACACCCCCCAAACTCACAATGCCTTTTCACACCTCTATGCTCTTTCTGGCTGCAAGGACAGTCACTCTGGTCTCTCCCTGCTTAGGCATGACTCACCTTTCTAGATTAAGTTCAAATATCACTCCTCCAGAATGTCTCTCAAGGTAAAGGCTAGCCCATGCATCTCACTGAATTGTAAGGTTGGCTTCTCCGTTCCATATCTTCCCCACTACTCCCATTAAAGTTGAAATTCCTTGCATGCAGGGACTGTATTTTTCATCCTTATGTCTCTATTCCCTTTATCTCAAATTTCTTTTTTTTTTTTTTTTTTTTTTTGAGATGCAGTCTCGCTCCATCTCCCAAGTTGGAGTGCAGTGGCATGGCACAATCTCGGCTCACTGCAACCTCCACCTCCCGGGTTTGAGCGATTCTCCTACCTCAGCCTCCTAGGTAGGGATTACAGGTGCACACCACCACACTCAGCTAATTTTCGTATTTTTAGTAGAAATGGGTTTTCACCATGTGGGCAAGTCTCGTCTCAAACTCCTGACCTCAGGTCATCCACCCGCTTGTGCCTCCCAAAGTGCTAGGATTATAGGCATGAGCCACTGCACCCAGCCTATCTCAAATTTCTTTCTGTGACTTAGAACCTGGCACATAATATGAGTTCAATACATGCTTGATGAATTAATAATTAGCTAAATATATAAGTCATATTCAAACTTTGTATTTCACACTCTTGGACTGGTAAGAGACAGAGTATAGTTAAGCCCGTGATGAGTATAATTGTATGAATTAAAGTACACATGTATACTGAGGGCTCATTTCACGTGTGAGTCTCTGAAAATGTTTGCGACTACAACTTAAACCAAGACAACCTAAGGATTTCGAGAAGCAGTAAGAGTATCCAGAGAAAATAGTAACTTAGATGCAGCCAATACAAGCTCAAGACTGAGAGTCTGCAAATCTAGATTCCAGCCTCTGCTCTGCCACATTCTTGAGTGACCTGGAGAAGTCACTTTAACCCTGGGTCTTCCTGTGCTCATCTGACACAGAGGGCATGGGAGCCTGGAGCCCAGCCCTCCTGTGCACCCTGTCTAGCTACACTTCTCTGGAGGCGAAAGGCTGCTGGGCATTGAACACAGCTATCAGCCTGGGAGCTGGGCCGAGCCTCACCAGGGAATAGTGAGGGGCTCCCTGCTCCGACAGCACACAGGTGCACACACACGCCTGCTCATCAGGTCCCCGGCTGACCCCTTTACACACACCATCTCCTGCTTCTGCAACAATGCCGTGCAATAGCAACTATCACCAGCCACATTCTACAGGTGAGAAAGCTGAGCTTCATCCACAGTTCCTCAGTAGCAGGAGTAGGATTGGAACCCAAGTGTGTTAGCTAAAAGCCCACACATTTATCCAAGATACCATATTGACACTGTTTAAAGTGACAAACGATCACTTTATGTAGAATGCACCCAGGGAGTTGAACTGATGGAGTCTGCATTCTTGTCACAGAGTCCACTCTCCCCTCCACATCTCCCCCTTAGCCCCAACACAGGACTGCTGGGTTCCTCTGCTAGTCCCAGGTGAGATACTCTCTCACCTTCCAGCAGCAGGTAACAAGGACCAGGAGGCACCAGAGACAAACCCAGCTCCTCACTGCAGCCAGCAAGGGAATATGGCCTCTCAGAGCAGCTGGGATTCTAGCCAGCTGAAATTAAACTGCGCAGCGACAGCAGTCAGAGGTAACTCATGTTAAAGGTATCAGTGATGGCTCCAGCAACTGGTGGTCTCTGCTGCCCCCTAGATGTCTGTTTCCTCCAACAGGCCTCAGATTAATTTAAAACCAAGTGCTTGGTGTAATATTGCATAGTAACACTCTTTTCCTGCTTCATCAATCATGCATTTATCCTACCTTTCCTGTGTGGACTGTAAGTAGTTGGCAAGGCAATGCTCTTCTTAAGAATTGCAGCAAATAGGAGAACAAGTGATAGAGGAGTCACCGTCTGGCAACCCTTAATGACATAATGAGTCTAGGTAGCCATCACCAATGGATGCTAACACAATTAGATGAAAGGCGAATGGAGAACTTTATAATAGATGGATCTGACTGAAACACCTAAGCCCACTTATCAATCTGTGCATCTATGCATGGGACATTATTGCCTTCTCATATAATACGGTGTACAATATAGGTTCATCTGTGAAGACCTCTGTCCACCCCCCAAAAAATAAACTGAATCCAATCAAACCTCTAGATTTTACTGCCAGTTTAGAGAAAATAAGAGGTTAGTCAGGGTTTCTTAGCCTCTGCATTATTGACATTTTGGATAACCACCAAAAGGATAGTAAAAACCAGTCTAATGGTGAAATGAAATAATAAAAAATAGTTAATCCAAAAGAAAGGAAAAAAAAAAAGGAGAGGAAGGAAAACATAGACTTGATGGGACAAACAAAAAGCAAAAAGAAGAAAGTAGGTTTAGATGCAAACATATTAGTAATTCCATTAAATCTAAATGATTGCATTAAAAAAATTCTCAGCCTAGTTAAAAGCAACAAAGGGACATAGCTTAACTATAAAGATATAGAAAAGTTAAAAATAAAAGTACAGAAAGAAATGCATGCAAACACCAAAAGAAAGATGATATAGCTATATAATATCAGAAAAAGAACACCCTGAGGCAAGAAGCATTATTAGCGATAAAGAGAAACATTTCATAATCATGAAAGATCAATTCACTGGGAAGATGTAGTAAAACTGTATACTTATAACAACATAGCCACGAAATATGTACAATAAAAATTGGCAAGACAAAAAGGAAAATATGCAATCTTAATATGAGATATTAATACAATACTCTTAGTAACGGATAGAACAAGCAGACAAAAATACCAATAAGGATATAGAAGATTTGAATAACACAATTAACAAACTTAGCCTCCTTAGCATATGTAGAATACTGCACCAAACAGCAGCAAAGTCCGTGTTCTTTTCAAATGCACATGGAGTATTTACCAAAATTGGCCACCACACACCCCACAGTCCTGGTGGCATGGGCACATTTTGTGCATAGTTGATTGATATGGGAGACTGTACCTGACCCAACATGGGTCAATGAGTTTTTTCCCTAGATTTTTGGACTTGAATCTGATGGTTGAAGCTGTGAAAAATAAAGTTTGGGCACTTTTCCTCCCACCTTGAAAAGGGGATCCCAATGTTATCTGAGTCTCTGTTTAGGTTATTCCTGAGGCATGCGTATTCTACCTTGGTTTTACAATGACATTCCAGAATCTTTAGCATGCATTTACTTTGGACTTTTTTTTACCGTGATAAAATATATATAACATAAAATGTACTAGGTTTAGCATTTAAGTGTACAGTGCAGTGGCACTAAGTACATTCGCATTGTTATGCAACCATCACACCATCCATCTCCAAAACCGCAGGTTTCATCTTTTCATCTTCCAAGACTGCAGCTTTATCTCCATTGAGCACCAACTCCACATTTCCCACTCCTTGTATCCTCTAGCAACCATCATTCTACTCCTAGACTACTTTGTGACTCAGTTTCTCTGTCACTTAAGAGAAGAGAGGCTCCATTGCTGACTGCAGGGATTGCTTCTGTATATGCAGGCCTTCTTGCATCTATAGGATTAGGTTTACTGCAGGGAAAAAAGGTAAGAGAAATATACATCATATGGGTTTTTGGAGGAAGAAAAGAGGCGACAGCACAAAATGGATGAGGTTTTCGTGTTGGGTGTCCTGCACACAGGACTCAGCAGCCCTGCCATGTATCTATCTGCCCAACTCTTTCCCATGGAGTTCATCTTGTGGGCCACTTCCAAATTATAGATCCACAGGCAAGTTTCACAGCTCTGTCGCTGTCACCTGTGGCAAGCTTCTCATAGTGCCTCTGTGGCTTAATGTCATGAGCCCCTCCATTGTGAGCATTCTGTTTAGGGTCCTGCACCATCACAGCCTGGCAATGAGCTTCAGATGTTTTGCCATAACCTTAGATTTAAGTCATCAAGCAGCAGGACCAAGACCTATCATGCATTTACTTTTGTTTTTGGCTTAATTTGAGTTGGTTTTTTTCCTTGTACAAAAAGAATCTCTGTACACAGACTCCTATTAATTTTTTTAATTAATAGTTTTATTTTTCAGAGCAGTTTTAGCTTTACAAAAAATTGAGAAGAAAGTAAGATGTTCACACACACACAGCTTCCCAATTATTAATGTCTCACACTAGTGAGGTACATTTGTTAAAATCGATGAACCTATGTTGACATGTCATTATCACTGTAGTTTACTTTAGGGTTCCCTCTTAGTATGGTATATTTTATGGGTTTTGACAAATATATGATAATATGTATCCACCATTATAGTATCAGACAGAGTATTTTCACTGCCCTAAAAATCCTCTGTGCTTTGCCTGTTCATCTACCCCTCACCAAACACCCAGAAATCTTTTTTTTTTACTGTCTCCATTGCTCTGCCTTTTCCAGAATGTCATATATTTGGAATTATATGTTATGTAGCCTTTTCAGACGGACTAGTGATATGGTTTGGCTGTGTCCCCACCCAAATCTCATCTTGAATTGTAGCTCCCACAATTCCCACATGTTGTGGGAGGGACCCGGTGGGAGGTAATTGAATCATGGGGAAAAATGATTTGAGCATCTATCATCACAAACAACCCCATTCTATCTCTAATAATGACTTTTGCGGGTCTTTGCAGTGCTGTTCTCATGATAGTGAATCAGTCTCACAAGATCTAATGGTTTTAAAAATGGGAGTTTCCCCGCACAAGGTCTCTCTTGTCTGCTGCCATATAAGATGTGCCTTCACCTTCTGCAATGATTGTGAGGCCTCCCCAGCCATGTGAAACTGTGAGTCAATTAAACCTCTTTTTCTTTATAAATTACCCACTCTCAGACATGTCTTTTTCAGCAGCATGAAAATGGACTAATACAACTTATTTCACTTAGTAATATGTATTTAAGTTTCTTCAATGTCCTTTCATAACTTGATGGCTCCTTCCTTTCTTGCTTTCTTTTTTTTAATTTTAACTATACAATAAAGCACTAAGCTAAAGAAATTAAACTATGGAATATCTATCTGCTGGCTGGTGGGGAAAATGTGAGGAGCCTGGAGCTTCCTGGAAACACACAATTTCCTCCACAATCTTCGCTGACCTTCCCTTGAGTTATCCCTCTTCCTTTTTAACATTCCTCTTGATTTGAGCCTCTATCATCACAAACAACCTCATTCTAACTCTAATAATGATTTTTGCCTTAAAGTATTATGTCTGATTTTAATATAGTTATGCCAGCTTCCTTCTCATACTGTTCACATAGTATATCTTTTTCCATCATTTTATTTTCAACCTTTCTATATCTGTATCTTTATGCATCATTCTGTTAATATATATCAATCCATCAGTGACTGATTCTCTGATTCCCTAATGTTTAAGCAATTTCCTTTTTTTTTTTTTTTTCTTTTTGAGACAGGGTCTTGCTCTGTCACCCAGGCTGGAGTGCAGTGGCACGATGATGTCTCACTGCAGCCTGAACGTCCCAGGCTCAAGTGATCCTCCCACCTCAGCCTCCCAAGTAGCTGGGATTACAGGCACACATTACCATACCAGGTTAATTTTTTTTTAATTTTTTGTATAGACAGAGTCTCACTATGTTGCCCAGCTGGTCTCAAACTCCTGGCCTCAAGCGATCCTCCCACCTTCACCTCAAAGTGCTGGAATTACAGGCGTGAGTCACCACACGAGGTCAATCTACTATTCTTGACCTCAGCTATTGGCTGTGATATATTATCATATATAGAGAGCTGGATTTGGTTTGCTACTGTTTTCTTCAGAAGAGAAAGCAGGATGTTGCTCAGCCTGGGAGGGTCATGCCCTTGGTTGAGTTAGCTCTCTGCAACTGAAACAAACTCTAAAGGATTTGAGACCTGGAAACTTTCTGCTAATCCCACCTCCCAAAGTTGGGGCAGTTCACATCCAATGACTGATAGAAGTAAGGTATAAAGACACAGACATTTTGGCTTAATCTAGCATCTCTGATGGGCCGTGTATGGTCCAGAACATCCCATAGGAATGGCCAAAGCTTTGTCACAATTGCATCACATTTTGACTTTTCCCTCTGCCCAAGACTGCTTCCTCCTCCTCTCATCCACGGATGTTGATTCCTAATAAATACTCTGTACACCAAGCACAGTCTCGGCATCTACTCCTGGAAAACCAGCAACAAGGTCAGCAGGGCTAGCTAGCTTCATGGGCAGCAACCTATGCAGTCATAAGGGCCCTGCTCCAAGAGGGGCCCCATGCTTAGGTTAATACTCTTGTCAACTAACGAGTGGTGAGGTTCATAAATTTTGAAATAAGAGGTTTATTTCTCATGAAGTGTTGCAATCTGCAAGGTGGCCATTCCTACAGGCTGGGAAGTGTAGCCTGTGACAGAAGTCAGAAGCAGGTACTTCGAGGCAGGGATGGATAAAACAGGAATGTATAATGAATGGCTTGGCTAAGTATACATATTTAGTACACAATAGGAGGAGTCATGAATATTTATGAAAAGAGAAACATGTGCATGTGCAATTGGGCTTCATGCCTCTTTATGCGTCACATGTTCAAAAAATGATGATGCTTGCATGATCCAAGGGTGGAGTTTTTGGCCCTCTGACATCAAAAGGTGAAACAGAGAACACAAAAACCATCAACGTGCATCTTCTGCAAACTGCTGAGAACCACTCTGTGGTCAGTGATCTCTTACCAGGAAGGAATGCTGGTTAGTTGCTGTGTTAAAACCACAAAAAGGCCAGGCACGGTGGCTCACACCTGTAATCCCAGCACTTTGGGAGGCTGAGGCAGGTGAATCACGAGGTCAGGAGATCTTCAAAACCATCCTGGCTAACACGGTGAAACCCCGTCTCTACTAAAAATACAAAAAAAATTAGCCGGGCTTGGTGGCGGGCGCCTGTAGTCCCAGCTACTCAGGAGGCTGAGGTAGGAGAATGGCGTGAACCCAGGAGATGGAGCTTGCAGTGAGCCAAGATCACGCCACTGCACTCCAGCCTGGACAACAGAGCGAGACTCCGTCTCAAAAAAAAAAAAAAAAAAAAAAAAACCACAAAAAGGAAGGGGGAGTCCAGTCATGGCCTCAGATGACTGGCTAAAGGCAATGAAGTAGAGTCATCTGTATCTTGTTCCCCAGGGCTGATTTCCGTGTACTCCTTAGGAAAAATTTCTGGTTAAAGATGAATAAGGATAGGGCATATTGAGGTGTATCTGACCTCCCATCCCCTTATGGCTGGGAACTCAGTTTTTAAGGTTCCTCTGGGGTCCACTTGGCTGAGAGGCACTCCATTCAGTCGGTTGGGAGGCTTAGGATTTTATTTTTATTTCTTACTCTGCTGTCATCATCTTGAAAATATAAATTTTGGTGCTCACTTCAGCAGCACATATACTAAAATTGGAATGATACAGAGAAGATTAGCATAGCCCCTTTTTAAAAAAAAAATATATATATATATAAATTTTGATGGCTTTAGAAATGATTTGCAGAGAAGTGAGTCAGAAAAATCTTATGACCAATCAAGATTTCACATTAATAAAGTATTATTATCCATTGTATTATATAAATTGGTGAAACAAAAAATGGTACATTTTTGCAATTTGTAGGTTTAGTCATTACTCATATATCACTATTATCCCTATTACATTTTATAAAAATTGTTTTTTTAAAAAAAAGCTTTATATTTTAGGGGTTTGTTCGTTTGTTTGTTTTGAGACAGAGTCTCACTCTGTTGCCCAGGATGGAGTGCAGTGGCACGATCTTGGCTCACTTCAATCCCCACCTCCCAGGTTCAAGCGATTCTTGCCTCCCAAGTAGCTGAGAATACAGGCGCCCCACCACCGTGCCCGGCTAATTTTTGTCTTTTTAGTAGAGACAGGGTTTCACCATGTTGGCCAGGCTGGTCTTGAACTCCTGACCTCAAGTGATCCGCCCACCTTAGCCTCCCAAAGTGCTGGGATTACAGGCGTGAGCCACCGCACAGGCTTTATATTTTAGTATTTTAATTACAGTTTTTTTCCTGCATTTTTAACAAGATAAGCACATTTTCATTTTGCACCCAGCGCTATAAATTATGCAAATTACATACCCAGCAGGGAGGATAGGTTCCTGTGAAGATGATTGTCCCTGGTTGTCCTGTAGGAGTCTAGGAGAGAAGAGTGACACTTTAAGCTATTATCTGTTATTTGCAACTTCATGTGACTGACTTTCAGATACTTTGATGAAAGAAGACTTTTAAATGTGTGAAAAAGATCTCCTCAGGGCACTGCATACAAGGAAAACAGGGAGACTACCATCAAGGTGGGAAAGGGTGATACAACAGGGCCAGGGACCTGATGATAAACTCCAGATTTCACCAAGAGTTAGGCTTTGTTAGAATCCTGTTCCTAACAGGACACAAATCACACAGCGAACTATTAAAAATGAGAGCAAAGCACACAGCACAACTATTAAAAACTAAAAATTAAGCTGTCATTTATATGAGTCATTAACAAAACTCCCTTATCACCAGAAGTATGCTAACACCATATATAAAATTGAACATGTGGGGACATCATTCAACCTCTTGTTTAAAACTGGCTTTGAATGGCCCAACTCTAGAGAATTAGAATGCTTTTTATTATCTGGGGTCCTCTGGAGAGAGATCAACTTCTCAGAGTTCTAAATAGAGAAAATTATCTGGAGTTAATTAAAGTACGCCAATACTGTCATTTTCCACGTGGGGTGGAAAGAACTAATGTGTAGTTAGGATATCAGCAAAAGGCTAGTAGAAACACGAAGTCACTGGTAAATTGAATGCACAACTCCTGGGAAGTGATCAAAACGCAACTGTTTTGTATATTCTGCTACTTGTCTGTTTGTTATTTCTATTATATGTCTATGGCCACCTATACAAAAAGTGAGGGCCCTATTTTCATGTGAAAGGAACCGCCACAGTTAGAAACACTCTAACAAAGGGTAGTGGAGTAAACCAAGCCACTCCTGTTCTAAACAGATTTTAGATTCAGAAAGAATCGCTCTCTCTTTTTTTTTTTTTTTTTTTTTTTTTTTTTTTTGGAGAGATAGGATCTAGCTATGTTGGTCAGGTTGGTCTTAAACTCCTGGCCTCAGGCAATCCTTCCTTGGCTCCCAAAGTACTAGGATTATAGGCGTGAGCCACCACGTGCCCAGCCAGATTCAAAAAGAATCTATTGAATAGGGGGGAAACTAAGTAATTCAAGAGACTTTGTCTATAGCATTTTGACTATATCTTCTCAGTAAGGACAAAACGAACTATAAACAAACATTGAACCCTAACCTAGTTGGTAGTTGTAATTTTCATGGTAGTATGGGTTTGTGATTCTAAAACTACTTTCTGTGTATTCTTGAATTAAATAAATAAATAAATATATTCAGAAGGATGAAAGCAATATCTCTCACTGTTGGAGAAGAGAATTACAAATATGGAAAGAGGGAAGGTTAAAATAAATCACATTGTGGTCATTTGGAATTGGAGGCCAATTTAAATTCAAGTGGCAGGGTATAATTTTTTTTTTTTTTTAGATAGTCTCTGTCACCCAGGCTGGAGTGCAGTGGTGCAACCTCAGGTCACTGCAACCTCCACCTCCCGGGTTCATGCAATTCTCCTGCCTCAGCCTCCTGAGTAGCTGGGACTACAGGCATGTGCCACCATGCCCAACTAATTTTTTGTATTTTTAATAGAGATGGGGTTTCACCATGTTGGCCAGGCTGGTCTCGAACTCCTGGCCTCAAATGATTCACCCACCTGGACCTCCCAAAGTGCTAGGATTACAAGTGTGAGCCACCACACCCAGCTGGGTATAATTTTTTTTTTTTTTTTTTTGAGACAGTTTCGCTCTTGCTGCCCAGGCTAGAGAGTG
The DNA here is from genome assembly GCF_000001405.40 of Homo sapiens. Classification (NCBI taxonomy): domain Eukaryota; kingdom Metazoa; phylum Chordata; class Mammalia; order Primates; family Hominidae; genus Homo; species Homo sapiens. Next base: position 223,692,564 of record NC_000001.11, read on the forward strand.
CAATGGCACGATCTCGGCTCACTGCAACCTCCACCTCCGGGGTTCAAGCAATTCTCCTGCCTCAGCCTCCCAAGTAGATGGGATTATAGGCACCTGCCACCACGCCTGGCTAATTTTTGTATTTTTAGTAGAGACAAGGTTTCACCATGCTGGTCAGGCTGGTCTCAAACTCCTGACCTCAGGTGGTCCACCCACCTTGGCCTCCCAAAGTGCTGGGATTAAAGGAGAGGCTCTGCACCAGCGTGGGTATAATTTTTTATGAGTTAAAATTGTATTTTATTTATTTACATTTATAAAGAGAGCATTATGTTTAGATTTATGTACCTGGTTTTTTAAAAACTCGTTTACCTAATTAATGAGAGAATGAGTGGGATGGTAAAGTTGGTTTCAAGAGAACTTGAGAGATTAAGTATTATAGGCACTGAATAAAAGATGTTAAAATAGAATTTTGGGGTGGTATACAAAACTGGTTAATGTTATACAGGGCAAGAAGACTATAACCTTTGGGATTTAGGGTTTTTGTTTATTTGTTTGGTTTTTATTTTTTATTTTAGCTTTTGTTGTTTTATTTTTTTTCCCTGAATGAAATTATTAGTAGCTATACTAGACAAAAATCTACATGCTAGTATGTAACGTTATGGTCTTGGCCCCATTCAATAGTGAATAACAAATCAAATCAAGGTACATTCTCCTAAAGAATAAGAAAATTCATCCTGGCATGGTGGCTCACACCTGTAATCTCAGCACTTTGGGAGGCCTAGGTGAGCAGATCACCTGAGGTCAGGAGTTCGAGACCTGACCTGGCCAACATGATGAAACCCCATCTCTACTAAAAATACAAGAATTACCCGGGCATGGTGGCAGGCACCTGAAATCCCAGCTACTTGGGAGGCTGAGGCAGGAGAATCGCTGGAACCTGGGAGGCAGAGGTTGCGGTGAGCCGAGATCTTGCCACTGCACTCCAGCCTGGAGACTCTGCCAAAAAAAAAAAAAAGAATAAGAAAATTCTTGGCTGGGCCTGTTAGCTAGAGAGTGGACAGAGTGTCCTCTAATACAGAGAACAGAGATCTGTCTGCCTTGAGGCAATAGAAGCAATTCCAGTAGCACTAAGCACCCAGATCTTGGTTTCTAAATACTATTCCTCACTAAAAAGAAAAAGAAGAAAAAAAAAAGGCTCCTTGAAGAAATGCTTAATTTCCCCCCACAAAAAAAGAAATGTTTAATTCCAGAACTAGGGCAGAAAAATTATAAGTGGAATCTGGAATAGCTTCATGTTCCAGGAAGTAAGGGGGTGCTCGAAGAATGATGAGGACACGGCAGAAGGGCACAGGAGCTGTCCTGAAGGGACTCTCCCTGGCAAAATCTGGGGCAATTTGAGCATCAAAATAAATAATAATAGTAATGCATTTAATCCATTGAGTAATATAGGAACCTATCTGCCCTTATTTATGTAAATAACTGGGAGATAATGGAAAACTCTTCCTAGCAGTCGTATACCAGCCAATAAAGGAAGAGGAAATATTATAATTTTTAAAAACACTATTTTATAATAATCATAGTAGTGGTTGGTTCAGGCAATGAATGTAAAACTAGTAGGTAAAAGTTTGTTGAGGAACAGAATATGTATATGGTCTCAAAGTAGTTCCCAAAAAATAATTGATTAATTTCAAAGGTATTTTAAAAATAGTAATTTTACAATGAAGAAAATGACAGCCACCACCTTCACTAAATTCTCGAAATTATCATCATCAGAAATGGGGCAAATCGATATCATGTGCCTCCTGATGTAATGTCCTGAGAAAGACATATCACTTTTATGATATTATTGCCAAAAATGCATAACTTCAATCTATTCATAAAGAAACATCAGACAAATCCAAATTGAGAGGCATTCTACAAACTAACTAGAGTGTGTTCTTCAAAAATGTCAAGGTCACAAATGACAAAATAAGGCTGAGGAACTGCCCTAGATTAAAGAATACTAAAGAGGCATAATGACTAAAGGCATTTCATGATCCTGTATTGGATCATTTACCTGAGAAAAAAATTATGAAGGTTATAAAAGATATTATTGGGACAATTGATGATATTTGAATATCAATTAGATTAAATAATAGCAATATGCCAGTGTTAAATATTCTGACTTTCATACACCCTGAAGTACTTAGGAGTAAATGGGCACAATGTCTGCAACTGATTCTCAAGTGGTTCAGAAAAAATATACACACACAGGCACACAGCACATATATGCATATGTAATGGGGATATAATGCTATGTATATGCATATAATGGTGTGTATGTAGATGGATGGATGGATGGATGGTAGAATAATAAAGCAAAAATGAAGCAAAAGGTAAATAATTGGTGAATCTGGGTAAAAAATATGCAGGAGGGGTTTGGACTAGTCTTGCAATTTTTCCATAATTTTTGATAAAGCTGAAGTTTATTTTTTTAAAAATCCTCCAAAAGACCCCCCAAAAGATTGGTGTCAACCTCCATCATATCAGTTCAGGGTGTGTAGTCTTAGGCAGACTGGTTTGGCCACACTTCCCGATCAACTAACAGGGAACAAGTGAGATGAGGCTAACGAGGCACCATCCTCCCCTTTGGATCATAGGCAGAAAGGACCAGAGTGGCAGGCGGCCCTCCAGCACATGAGGCTCATTTCTCAGTGGAATGGCCAGGGACAGCCCCAAGCCACAACAGACTCACCCCCACATACACACTAATACCTGTGGAGGGGAAGCCTGGTCTCCTCTGGCCCCTGGCACTCTCTATCCGGAGGCCCTGCTATCTAAGATGTGTTCTTAGTCACAGTGCTATGAACCTCGGACTTCTTGCAGGAGAACAGGGAGAAGAGGCCTCAGAACATTAGTTTGCAGCTGCAGCTCCCTCTCCTGCATGTTTTCATGAAGGAAAATACCGTTAGACATTAAACACCCAACGTTCAAAATCTTAGACACGAAGTTGGGAGAAAAGGGAATTAGTACTCATCAGATTTTTTGCTGAAAAATGAGAGATAGTTTTAGGGGGCGGGCCCAGTGGCTCACACATGTAATTCCAGCACTTTGGGAAGCCAAGGCAGGTGGATTGCTTGAGCTCAGGGGTTCAGCATCAGTCTGGGCAACATAGCAAAACCTGGCCTCTACAAAAAATTACAAAAAAAAATTAGCTGGACATGGTGGTGTGTGCTTGTAGTCCCAGCTCCTCAGGAGTCTGAGGTGGAAGGATCATTGAGCCTAGGAGGTCAAGGCTGCAGTGAGATATAATCAAGCTATGATCGTGCCACTGCACTCCAGCCTGGGTAACAGAGTGAGACCGTGTCTCAAAAAGAGAAAGAGAGAGAAAGGGAGAGTTTTAGGCTAATTTAAACAGAAAACATTTTTGAAAGATTATTTTATTGTTACAAGATGGACTGTGATTGATGTAAAAATACCAACAGACACAGTAAAAAGATATAATTCCTCTAAATATAACTAGAAGACACAAGAATTTCACAGCATGACCACAGCTGTACAATACAGGACGTTAGCCGTGTTCAGAGTCAAGTTCCTCCTGCCTTCGAGTGCCCAGGAAGCTGCCCTCCTGTCAACAGTACCCAGCCACAGGAATGAGAATCCTACTAGGTCCTCTGATAAGCTCATTTTGTCATTATTGCCTTTAATTCCCCAAGTGGCAATCCCCATCCTAAATGCTCTAGAAGGCTCGTTTCCATCCTGGCTAAAATATCCTGATGGGCTGACATGATCCAACCAACTGCAAACTGAGAAATAACGTCTCCAACTTGCCCTGCGCACATTTTCTCCCTCCTCTCAGGAGCCAATGTGAGCCAGTCCCGCACATTCCAGAGCAAATAGTGTCTGGACTGAATCGATGGCTACTTGTAGGCCTCTCCAGGATCCAACCATCCCACGTAGGTCTTCTCGAAGTGCTGTCCACTCAGAGAAGATCTGGCTGAGGAAACAGACACACAGAGGCCACGCAGCCAGAACCACAGCCCAAATCAGCCCATAGGAACAAGGTGGGGAGACCACCACTACTGCCCCCTGCTGGACACTGGGCAAACTCCTTCGCGGAACTCACAAGCCCTGTGTGTCCCGGCACCTGCTCTCTTCTCTGGCCCCATCTCCCATCACCATCCTCATCTGACAGTCCACACTACAGCCACCGAAACTTCTCTCAGTTCCCAGCCAATTACTCAGTCATTTTGGAGCCCTCTCCCCTTCCTATCCTCTCTCCGTCTATCCATCCACCCTTACACTAATTGAACTCAGCTCTCAGGCCCCAGTTGATGACTTCCTCCCTTAGGGCCAGGCACGGTGGCTTACACCTGTAATCCCAGCACTTTGGGAGGCCAAGGCAGGTGGATCACTTAAGCTCAAGAGTTCAAGACCAGCCTGGGCAACATGGTGAAACCCCGTTTCTATGAAAAATACACAAAGTAGCCAGATGTGGTGGTGCACACCTGTAGTCCCAGCTACTCAGGAGGCTGAGGTGGGAGGATCACTTGAGCCCAGGAGGTCAAGGCCACAGTAAGCCATGATCACACCACTGCACTCCAGCTTGGGTAACAGAGAGTGACCCTGTCTCAAAAAAAAGACTTCCTGGCCATGCGTGGTGGCTTGTGCCTGTAATCCCAACACTTTGGGAGGCCGAGGCAGGTGGATCACTTGAGGTCAGGAGTTTGAGACCACCCTGGCCAACATGGTGAAACCCCATCTCGACTAAAAATACAAAAAAAAAAAAAAGAAGAGTCGTCCGTGTTTGCACGCACCTGTAATCCCAGCTACGCAGGAGGCTGAGGCAGGAGAATCACTTGAACCTAAGAAGCAGAGGTTGCAGTGAGCCAAGATTGCGCCACTGCACTCCAGCCTGAGTGACAGAGTGAGACTCCATCTCAAAAATAAAAAAAAAAAATTAAATGTAAAAAGACTTTCTCAGTGTATGTGGTATATCCAAGACAATAGAATATCATTCCACCTTAAAAAGAAGGAAATCAGTTGGGCACAGTGCCTCACACCTGTAATCCCAGCACCTTGGGAGGCCGAGGCACGTGGATCACGTGAGGTTGGGAGTTCAAGGCCAGCCTGACCAACATGGAGAAACCCCATCTCTACTAAACATACAAAATTAGCCAGGCGTGGTGGTGCATGCCTGTAATCCCAACTACTCAGGAGGCTGAGGCAGGAGAATTGCTTGAAACCAGGAGGCGGAGGTGGCGGTGAGCCCAGATTGCACCTTTGCACTCCAGCCTGGGCAACAAGAGCAAAACTCCATCTCAAAAAAAAAAAAAAAAGGAAGGAAGGAAGAAAGGAAATCCTGTCACGTGCCACAACATGGATGAAACTTGAGGATATTATGAGGATATTATGCTAAGTGAAATAACCCAAGACTCCCCAAATCTGGGTGAGGATCCTCAGTAATTTGTCTCCATAGCGCTTACCACAGTGAATTGCAATGGCCTGTTGCCCATTGTCTATGTCCTCTGTAAGGACAGTACAGTATCCTGTTCACGGTTGAAGCCTCAGTACCCAGCATTATGCCTGGCACGTTATGTGTGGTCACAAATAATGATAGATAGACAGATAGATACATAAATAGATGGGTCAGTTCATGAGGAACTCAGTATCAGACTCCAGAGGGCTTTGGGATCTGGAGTCATGACTGCCTGAGATCCAAAACAAGACATTTTGCCAGTTTTACTTGTTTATGCTGAAAAGCATCAAAGGCCTTTTGAAATAGAGGTTTCCTTTTCCATGGCTAAATTAGGGGTTTTCTTGCTTTGAAATAACAATACTGCTTTTTGCCACGTGGTGGAGCCAATACAACATCAAACGGGCCCCAGGAGGCGCCATTTTACCGTCATCACCTGCCTGGGCAGGACCACCCGCTATAGCTCACAGTGAAGAGCATGATTGTGGTGTAATAACTTTATTACTACAGGCTTATTTTTGTTGTTCAGGAAATCTTGGTGACCTTTAAAACTTCCCAAGACACACAAATCATTCCAGTTGCACAAAAGGATGGAGCGGGTTATTTTCTCTCCAATGAGAGCCTGTCAACCTGTTGGTGCAGAAATACATGTGCAGGCTGTGTTTAATTGTGAGTGGGGGTTGGGCGCGGTGGCTAACGCCTGTAATCCCAGCACTTTGGGAAGCCAAGGCGGGTGGATCACCTAAGGTCAAGAGTTCGAGACCAGCATCGCCATTATGGTGAAACCCCGTCTCTACTAAAAATACAAAATTAGCCGGGCGTGATGGCAGGCATCTGTAGTCCCAACTACTCGGGAGGCTGAGACAGGAGAATTGCTTGAATCCAGGAGGCAGAGGTTGCAGTGAGCTGAGATCATGCCACTGCACTCCAGCCTGGGTGACAGAGCGAGACTCCTTCTCAAAAAACATAAAAAGTGAAAATAAAAATAAAAATCGTGAGTGGGAATAGACTAGGAGAAGCCCCCAAATTATTGTATCTTCATAAAGCCAAGCTCACACTTGGGAGGCTGAGGCAGGATAATTATGGAGGCCAGGAGTTCCAGACTAGCCTGGGCAATATAGCGAGACCCCATCTCTACACACACACACACATATACACACACAAATTAGCTTGGCATGGTGGTAAATGCCTGTAGTCCTAACTACTGAGGAGGCTGAGGTGGGAGGATCACTTGAGCCCAGGAAACGGAGGCTGCAGTGAGCTATGATCATGCCACTGTACTCTAGCCTGGGTGACAGAGCAAGGTCTTGTCTCTTAAAAATAAAAAATAAAAAGCCAAGTTCTTCTCCATCAGGGCCTGCTTCTGAAGAGTGGGCAAGCAGGACCATGGGCCTACAGTCCTGCTATCAGAAGAAGTTCTCATGGACCCTGGAACACCTGTGATGGGGCTCAGGAGCCTCTCCACCAGAGCTGCCTAGAGCCCTACTCCTTCCCCACCAGCCTGACCACCACACTCACCTCTTTCACCCTTCACTTCCAACCCCTCCAATTGCCCTTACAAGGTCCTATAGCAGCTAGTCCCTCCCCACCTCTCGGCCTCACCTCTGGCCTCTTCTGGCCCTTGACAAAGATTCTTTGCTTGACCAAACTTTAGTGAGCCTCCTGATCCTTTCCTAGGCCCATCTGTGCACTTCCTTGAAAAATTCAGTTTTAACGAGGACCCTGCTAAGTCAGTTTAGCTAGAACCCCTCAACACCTTGCTATCTGATCATCCCCAATATCTAACTGTGCTCCTCATCCTCCACCATCTAGGTGATGTCCAATGACCCTGTCCTGTCTTCAGCAAGACTCGGTTAGGGGGTTTAGCCAGAATCCCCCTTATTCTTTACGTTTACTCTTAGTAATTATCTGTCACTGACCCCCACTCTGCTTCTTGGCTATGCATTCCCACCTGGCCGTGCCATATTCCGAGTTGAGCCCAATCTCTATCCACCCCGCAAAACCCCATTGCAGTGGCCCCTATGCCTATTGCAACAGTCCTGAATAAAGCCTTCCTAATCATACCTCAACAAGTGCCACCGAATAATTTTTTCTTTTCTTTGACACCAATCTCACATTACTACCACCACCCTCCCCCAGGACCCTACTCCCAGAACACACTCAACCACCCCCATCCCTACATAGAATGCTCAGGGCGCCAAGGGGGCGTCCAGGGACTTCATGGTTTCTAGCACTTTGTAGTCCACCGAAATGCCCCCAGGAGTGGCAATCAAGTGGAGAGGCTGGGCTGTGTGTTGATGGCCAGTCTGGTCCCAAGTAGACCCCATAGAGATGTCCTGGGCCCTTCATCCCCCCTCCACACCAGCACCAGCACCCACAACTTAGGGACAGACCAGTCAGCCCCAGAGAGAGAGAGAAAGAGAGAGAGGGAGGAGGGAGCAACAAGAAATGCTTGCACAGCTCTGTTCTGCAACATTCTTATCTTTCTCCTAGAGGAATTCAAGCATTAAACCCTGGGGGAGGAATCTTCTGGTTCTCTTGTAAAGGAGGGTACACTCCACCCCACCCTAAACTCAGACATTTGAAGCAATCCTAGTGGATAGTAAATCTGGGCTCCTCAAAGTTCTCAATTCAGGGACTCCTTTAGCATGACACAGGGCCCAGGGAGCATTTCCCTCACCCTAAATCAATGATTCTGACATCAAAGATGCCAACAAGTTTTCCCTGGGAACGCTTTGTGCCTATGACCCTTCGTTCAACAAACCTTTACCAAGCACCCACCAGGTGCCAGGCACTATGCCAGGATCACAAAGGTGAACAAGAAAGACATGGTGTCTCATTCAGAAATGGATGGGCTAGCGGGGAAATGGACACTAAATATTTGTATCACCAGGTGATACGCGCTCTCACAGAAGTTACATAAAACGTGCCAAGATGACAGCTCTAATTATTCACTATTGTGCTTTTCAGTTTATATTCAAGTCCACATTGCAGAATACATGTTAGAGAGCACTTATGTCTTGACATGACTTGCACTTTTGATCAGTCCATAGACTGCTTGAGTGGAAAGAAATTCCTCTAAGACACTCCCTTCTGAGTATGAGTCAGAAAGCTGAGGTCTCCCCAGCATAGCCGGGTCAGGGGCAGGGTGACAGGGCCTCCCGACACACGCAGCATCCAAGCAGACTGAGCAGAGCCTGCAGAGCGGGCAGCAGGATGGGACCTCTCCCGAGAGTCTGGAAGCCCCAGCTGGCTCCGGCCCTCTCTAGGGCTGCGGGACCCTCCCTTCTCTGGCCTCAGCTTCTTAGCTGCCTTGGTTAGACTGGACAGGAGGAGACAGCTCTGCCCTCCTTTCCACCTCTGAGCTTATGCTCTTGTGAGTCTCATTCTTGCCATGAAGAATTGAAGAATCTTTGTGCTCTGAGTCAGAAGCTATGTGGCCGCTTTGCTAAAATGTGACTCAAACACAGCCTCAGCCCTGAGGCCCCTTTCATTATATTCCCTTATTTGGTCCCAGGCAGCATTTCCATATTCTCTCTGGGGAGCTGGTGGGCAGAGCCTTTCTGTGGGCCAAGGAGGAGCTCAGGTGCCAGACACTCAGACTCTGATGGCTCTGTAGCTAACTGGCCCATCCTCAGAGACTAACGCAAAGGAACGAATTTCCAGGATGTTCGACTATGTGGAGAAAACAAAAAAAAAGCAAAGAAAAAAATATTTTTAAAGAAAGAAAGAAGGCCAGGTGCAGTGGTTCACGCCTGTAATCCCAACACTTTGGGAGGCCGAGGCAGACAGATCACCTGAGGTCAGGAGTTCAAGACCAGCCTGGCCAACATGGTGAGTCAATACTAAAAATACAAAAATTAGCCAGGTGTGGTGGTGCACACCTGTAATCCCAGCTACTCAGGAGGTAGAGACAGGAGAATCACTTGAACCCAGGAGGTGGAGGTTGCAGTGAGCTGAGATCGTGTCACTGCACTCCATTCTGGGCAACAGACTCCGTCTCAAAAAAAAAAAAAAAAAAAGAGAGGGAAGGAAGGGAGGGAGGGAGGGAAGAAGGAAGGAAGGAAGGGAGGGAGGGAGGGAGGGAGGGAGGGAGGAAAGAAGGAAAGAAGGAAGGAAGGAAGGAAGGAAGGAAGGAAAGAAGGAGGCTGGGCGCCGTGGCTCACGCCTGTAATCCCAGCACTTTGGGAGGCCGAGGTGGGTGGATGATTTGAGGTCAGGAGTTCAAGACCAGCCTGGCTAACATGGTAAAACCCTGTCTCTACTAAAAATACAAAAATTAGCTGGGCCGTAATGGTGCACACCTGTAATCCCAGCTACTAGGGAGGCTAAGGCAGGAGAATTGCTTGAGCCTGGAAGGTAGAGGTTGCGGTAAGCTGAGATCGCACCACTGCACTCCAGCCTGGTTGACAGAGTGAGACCCTGTCTAAAAAAACAAAAAAAAAGAAAAGGAAAGGAAAAGAAAGAAAAAGATGGGAAGAAACAAAGGAAGGAAAATAAACTACATTATATGGAGAATTATTTGGACACCATCAAACTTCCACTAGCTGTCCCTGAAAACCGAAATTAATATGCTAAAAAATTACTATCTCTAAGTCCATAGAAAAGTCTCCTCTGTATATACATCAAGAAGAGAGCAAAACGGGGAGGATAGGACATAACCCACCTCCCAGAGAGAGAAGCAGCCCGGCCAGTGGAAGTGTCCTGGTGATATTCCCCCAAGCACTGCTACATTTCCAAGTGGCCCCTGTGACTGGAAATTAGAAGCATAGGAGTTATTGACCTAGGTAGATTTTGAGGCAAAAAAATCCACAAAGGTACAAGAAGAGGAAGGAGAGGAAGGAGCTGGTGAAGGAGATTGAGAAAGAACAGCCAGGAAGGTGGAAGAAAAACCAGGAGAAGGAGGGGTCCATGGAAGCAGAGGGAAGAAAGTAAGGGAATGGCAACAGTGGCAGTGGCAGCTGCTGGACACAGAGAGTAAGAACTGAGAAGGTTTCCCTGGATTTCGAATCAAGGAAGTCATTGGGGACTGTGACCACTGCACTTCGCAGGGTGCTGACAAGTAAGGCTTAGAATGTTCATTTTCTCCCCCATTTGCTCTGCAAACCACATTGCCCCTGTCTAGGACAGAGGTTCCCAAAAGCAGTTTTGCATTCAAATGCCAACTCCACTACCCACTGACTGTATAACCCTGGGTGACTCATTGAGTATCTTGGTGTCTCAGTTTTCTCATCTGTAAACATGGAAACAATGACAAGACCTATCTTATAGGGCTATTCTGAGGATTAAATGAGTAAATATGTGCAAAGCATTTGATTTTTTTTTTTTTTAGATGGGGGTCTCTCTATGTTGTGCAGGCTGGTCTCAAACCCCTGGGCTCAAGTAGTCCTCTCACCTCTGCCTCCCATTGTGCCGTGCCTGGCCATTTGCAAAGCACCTGAGATGAGGATGTGTTCTCTCCAGGCTGCTCCAGCCAATGACAACACAGTAGAGGTACTGGGCTGGCCATTTCTGCCCAATGCAGACTTCTATTGGCCCAGCTTTGCCCCAGAATCCCCACTGGGTTGGCCAAGGCTTTCTCAGAGTGGCACTGCAGTCTATGGATCCTCCTACCACACCGCCTTTCCTTCCCCATCTCTTTTCATAGGTGTAAGGCTTATGTTATGGGCTGAAGGCTTTTCTGGACTACTCCTGTTCTCTCTCCCCTCCAGTTACACAGGACTTACCCCCAATAAGTCTCTTGCATGTCTAACTTCGTTTTGGCATTTGCTTCCCAGAGGACTCAAGTTGACACACTTGGTTAAACAGAATTCTCTGCTACAGGACTTGTCAGAGCCTTTAATATTAAAATATACACATTATAACTCATCAAGAGGGAAAAGTATAAAGCATTTCCCAAATTCATTTGATCACTAAAAACCACACACTCACATCCACACATGCCACAGACCCTCTCATGAACATCTCATGAAACATGTTTTGCTGAGTAAAGTTTGTTTAACATTGAACTAGGCCAGCCGTGGTGGCTCACACCTGTAATCCGAGCACTTTGTGAGGCCAGGGCAGGCAGATCACTTGAGGTCAGGAGTTGGAGACCAGCCCGGCCAACATGGTGAAACCCCGTCTCTACTAAAAATACAAAAATTAGCAGGGCATGGTGGCGCATGCCTGTAATCCCAGCTACTCAGGAGGCTAAGACACAAGAATCACTTGAATCCAGTGGGTAGAGGTCGCGGTGAGTCGAGATCACGCCACTGCACTCCAGCCTGGGCAACAGAGCAAGACTCTATCTCAAAACAACACCAAAAAACATTGAACTGAAGACCCCTAAAGTTCCATCCAACCCTGAGATTCTTTCATATGAATCTCAAAGTGTGAAACGCCTCAGTCGCCTAGGGCCTTATTCTACAGAAGGGAAGTCCAAAGGCTCATTTGAATTGCATTAGCAACTCGAGCTATATTTGTAAGTCTCCTCCCATCTGAGAATTTCTTTGTCAGCAACGTTTTCCCTATTCTACAGATGGAGAAATTGAGGTCTAGGAAGACCAAGACACTTGTCTCAGACCCACAGTTGAGGTCTTAGTTTGCCACTGAGTCACGGTCCGTGTGACACAAGGATGGAAAACCAAAGGGAGCCATAGCTGAGGGAAGGGAAATGAGAAGGGTATCTGAAATGTCGGCCCTGCAATAAGGTGGGCCACAGCAATAATGAGATGTCACTGGGCTCAGCCCTGTGCCTGGAAGGAGGGAGGTGGTCAAGGATATCAACAAAAAAATAGTTGCTGATCCCAGGAGAAATACAACACTGAATTGAGGGGAAAACACAGAAACACATCTAGACTGTCATTAAACAAATGTAACCGAGGCAGGGGAAATGTGGAGCCCCAACGTGAGTAGGTGATGGAGTTGGGTGACTGTCATATGTCACAGCAGGATGGGTAGTTGGCTGCCCCCAGCCCCCTCCTGCCGCTCCCTGTTCCAGCACCCTGGCCCACCAGCCCCTTCCTGGCAACTCCCATACTCCCCCAGTTCATCCACTAAAGGATTAATAGCTCACTCAGGGGAGGCTTCCTGCCCCTCGGCCAACACCAACTTCCCTTTCAGCAAGCCAGTGTCGGCACTACAGTGGTTTGGAATACTTTCAATATCACTCCCTGTTAACAAGCCTATCCTTGGACTGGCTGAGAAAAGAAATGGAACGGGGCAAAGTAACAAAACAAAGAGGCAAGACAGAGCCAAATGTCTCCTATGGTTACCTAAATCACAATTTAGACAAGCACTGGTGATTCTTGCACATAGAGAACCACCACTGAACTGTACAGGGGAAACTGGTTTCTGCCCCAGAGATGTGTTGGGGAAATGACATACTGACCACCATGACTACATCCTCGGAAGACTGAGTGGCAGAGTGCTACTTTGGCTTTCTTACCAGGTGAACTTGAGCATATATCTGGGCAGTTCTAGAATTTCGATGTGGGAGGGACTTAGGGATGAAAAAAATAAAATGTGGATGGTAGATGGCATTTGGGGCAGGGGATTGGAGGCTTGTCTTGTAGCTGTTTCTGCTTAGTAAGCTCCCTGTTCTGGCTTAGAGACATATTTATTGGGGAGCTTGCTGATGGGAATTATGGACGGGGCCAACTCCTCTCCCAGCACCCTGTGGTGCTGACATCTGAGGTGATCACTTCCCATGGAGTGGAGAAAAGCATGCTGCTCTATATTTGTTCCCTACAACAGGAAGCGTGAAAACAGGATTTGCTGCCACATGTCAAGTACTCATGTGCCTGTAGAAGAAAGGGGCCATTGCTGCTGATGATAACAATGATAGCATCTAAGGTTTTATAGTTCCCCAAATAATTTCACATACACTGTGATTTGATGCTTATAACAACCGTGTGAACTATGCAAAGTAGGTATTATTTCCCCATTTTAAGAGATGGGAGAATGGATAGTTAGTATTTTGAAAATTGCCAGACCCCACACTTATAAGACTACATGTATTATTAGTAAAATTACTACTAGGGGACCCCAGCTATGAAAACCTCTCTGGGAGATAGCACTGGTGGGTGAGGGGCAGCAGCTTCGGCTCTTGCCTCCTGGCAAGGGTGGGATGTAATACCCTAAGCTCCAACAGACTGGGGAAAGAGAAGGGGCTTAGAAAACTGTCTGGGCTGCTGGATTTCTTTCCGGAGTTTCCCTCTCTCCTTCTACTGTCAGCACGTCCCATCTTTTGCAACACCAGGGAGAAGCCTTTCCATGCCTCTTCAGCTCTTGGAATCCCTCCAGAAGCCCCCTCCCTCCTGAGTGGCATCTAACAGGCCTGTCCAATACTCATGCTACAGCTATGAGGAAAGAATAAACCCTGCAGCTGCTTCAGAAGAGAAAGAAATCTCTTTTCAAATGAAACCGTTTTTTGCAGCCCTGTGGAATTCATATTCTCTGTGATCTCCTTTGGATTCAAATCACGGACCTGAAAGAGGGAGGGGAAGAAAACAGGTTCTTTTCCTCTGCCTGGGCCTGCCGTTCCCTCTGCCCTCCTACACTGGGTATGGACAGACCCCAAGGGACCATGGTCTAGGTGTTGGCAGCCAGGCTGGCTCTACAACACAACATGTCAGCTGCTCTGCTGGGCCTCTGTTTACTCATCCATTAAATGAGGAGATAAGATCTCCCTTGACTGGCTGTGAAGATTAAGTGCACAAATATGTGTAAAGTGCACAAATATGTCAAATAAAAACTGAGACTGACACGTGGAGGTGCAAAATTAAAAAGGAAGCTTTGGTTAGTATCTCCAGAACCTGGCTAGGCACGGTGGCTCACATCTGTAATCTCAGCGCTTTGGGAGGCCGAGATGGGTGGATCACCTGAGGTCAGGAGTTCAAGACCAGCCTGGACAACATGGCGAAACCCCGTCTCTATTAAAAATACAAAAATTAGCTGGGCATGGCAGTGAGCCCCTGTAATCCCAGCTACTCAAGAGGCTGAGGCAGGAGAATTGCTTGAACCCGGGAGGCGGAGGTTGCAGTGAGCCGAGATCACGCCACTGCACTCCAGCCTGGGTGACAGAGTGAGACTCCACCTCAAAAAAAAAAAAAAAAAAATCCAGAACCTGCAGATTGTGCCTCTGATGCATCTCAAACATCCAGGGCCAGGGAGAAAATAATCTAAAGAAAAATACTACTGAAAAAGATTCCATTGCCATGGCCCTCTGAGACACACACATTCTTATTCTCTTATTTTCTCTCTCTCTCTCTCTTCTTCTCTCTCTCTCTCTTTCTATCTCTCTCTCTCACTCCCTCTCTCATTTACTCACAAGGTCAGTGGCCCAGACCCAGGCAGTTCTGGATAATCCCAGCTGTTTCTGACTCACCACCATCCTCAGGGCTGGCTGACTCACTCCAGGAAGGTTTTCCACCATGAAGTGTTTGTCTATGTCCTTGTGTTCCCGTGAAAAGGATTGTGTGGTCAGAGAAAGAGAAGACTTTGCTGGGTCAGTGAGATAGCATAGTGTGAGAGGCTTTGGGAAGTAGAAAAAGCAACATTAACTCAGGTTTAAAAACTAGACTTTGTCCAAATGGTTGGGGAAAGTAGTCATTGTATGTGTTTGCAATTAAATTTGGGTGGCATAGGACAGCCTAAAGCCCTTTGTAAGCAGAGCTCTATGTGCGCAGCGATCCCTAGAAGGCTGGCAAGGGGAGTGGCCAGGGCTGCACCAAAGAGGGTGTTGCCTAGCTGGGGAAGAGGAACTTCAGGTGAGCCAGGAGGCTCTTCTGCTCCCAGGCTGTGCAAAGCTTCTGAGTTGACTGGAATGATAGGTCTGATCTGCCCATTTGTTGCTAAAATGACTTAGGAGGGAAATGACCTCCACCTGCCTGGGAGGAGTCACTTCCTCCAGAGATGAGCTGTCCTTGAGGAGATCAGTGGGAGGAGAAGCCTGCGCTCTGCCCCACTGGGCAGAAGGACAAGCTTTCTCCCAAGAGCCTCGAGCCCAGAAGAAGTCGGGGTGGGGCCAATGGAAATCAGACAGTGGAACAAATGAACAGCTTCCAGGACAGGGCTGTCGCTTTCCTCTGTTTTCAATTGTGATGGCTTCATGAAACCCTTGCACCAGAAACCCATGAGCTAGAAATGAATGCCTGTATCCCCATCTCTGGACTCAGAGTCCAGAGTGCCAACCATTACACAATGGAACCTGTGTCCCCGCCTTATTCAAGAGTAAAGAAAGCAAAGCCTGGTGGTGGACGGTGGTACCTGCCCATCAGGCAGCATGCCCAGACTTGCAAACCAGAGATGGAGGATGTCAAATAAAAACAAAACCATGGGAGACTGAGGCAGGAGAATCACTTGAACCGGGAGGCGGAGGTTGCAATGAGCCAAGATCGCGCCATTGCACTCCAGCCCGGGCAACAAGAGTGAAACTCTGTTTAAAAAAAAAAAAAAATCCAGACTTTTATAAAGGGACACTTCAATAGAAAGAAAGACTATTGCAGGCCAGGCGCAGTGGCTCACACCTGTAATCCTAGCACTTTGGGAGGCCAAAGCAGGTGGATCACCTGAGGTCAGGAGTTCAAGACCAGCCTGGCCAACATGAGGAAACCCCGTCTCTACTAAAAATACAAAAAAATTAGCTGCACATGGCGGCTGGTACCTGTAATCCCAGCTACTCAGGAGGCTGAGGCAGGAGAATCACTTGCACCCGGGAGGCGAAGGTTGCAGTGAGTGGAGATTGCACCACTGCACTCCAGCCTGGGCAACAAGAGTGAAACAAGAAAGAAAGAGCGAAAGAGAGAGAGAGAGAGAAAGAGAGAAGGAGAGAAGGAGAGGAAGGGAAGAAGGGAGGGAGAAAGAAAGAAAAAATAGAGAAAAAGAGAAGGAAGGAAGGAAAAGAAAGAAAAGAGAAGAGAAAAGAAAAAAAAAGAGAGAAAGACAATTCCAATTCAGAGAATCTGCAAGCAGCTCAAAATCAAACAGAAAAAGATTCTTCTTTTCTAGGGTAAAGGAGGAGCAAGTGGAGATAAGCAGACTCTTGGGAGGGGAAGCTGGACAAGTGAGGGGAAATGACCAGTGGGAGCTGACAGGAAAAGGGTCTTGCTGTGTTCAGTCAATTCCCAGGAGAAGCTGGGCAGGGAAGTGACTTGGCAGGGACACTCCACTTTGTTTGTGCTTGTTCAGGCTTGGGGGCAAGCAGCATTCAGGGATCTGTAGGAAAGAGAGAAGTCTGACCAAAGTTTTGTCAAGCAAAGGGGGTAAGCAATGGGTGTCAGAGACAAGAATAGATGGGGGCAGAGGAATAATAGTGACAAAAATACTTGCTTTAAGAAAAGGTAACATCATGGCTCTCATATTAGTATAAAATAAACACATTTTAAAGATTCCATTTCGGCAGGGTGCAGTGGCTCACACCTGTAATCCCAGCACTTTGGGAGGCAGAGGTGGGCAGATCACCTGAGGTCAGGAGTTCGAGACCAGCCTAGCCAACGTGGAGAAACCCTGTCCCTACTAAAAATACAAAATTAGCCAGGCATGGTGGCAGGCACCTGTAATCCCAACTACTCGGGAGGCTGAGATAGGAGAATCACTTGAACCTGGGAGGTGGAGGTTGTGGTGAGCCGAAATTGTGCCATTGCACTCCAGCCTGGGCCAACAAGAGTGAAACTCCATCTCAAAAAAAAAAAAGAGTCCATTTAACTTGATTAAACGAGGCAATCTGGTGGATGTTATAACTGGTTCAAAGGAGAAACCAAAGCAGCACAATTTACATGACGTGAAGAGTACTGAAATGGAATATGCAACTAGACAAAAAACTGGTCTCTCTACAGGGGGACTGTAGTGCCTCTACTGGACAGAATGCATTTGCATATCTATAGGAAAAATTATTTTCCATTGCTACAGTTATCTACAACTTAGATTACTTACTTAGAGTTACTTAGGTAACTATACATTGCTACAGTTATATACAACTTAGAGTTATAAAATAACTCAAAAACAATGAAAGGGGCTCGTGTGGTGGCTCACACCTGTAATCCCAACACTTTGGGAAGCTGAGGCAGGCGGATCACCTGAGGTCAGGAATTCGAGACCAGCCTGGCCAACACGGTGAAACCCCATCTCTACAAAAAATATAGAAAATTAGCCAGATGTGGTGGTGTGCACCTGTAATCCCAGCTACGTTGGAGGCTGAGGCAGGAGAATCGCTGGAACCCGGGAGGCAGAAGATGCAGTTAGCTGAGATCGTCAAGATCCTGTCACTGCACTCCAGCCTGGGTGACAGGGTGCTACATCTCAAGAAAAACAAAAACAACAACAACAACAACAAAAACAATGAAAGGCTAGACCCAGATCTTCTGGAAGGAGATGCTCTAAACCAGGGTTTCTCAGCCTCTACATGACTGATGTCTTGGACTAGATCATGTTTTGGGTGGAGAATGTAAACCAAAAATAAAATTCTAAGCCTCCCCCTCCCCTACCCCCGCCAACCATCTAAATGGATGGTTCCTCCTTAGCCGAGGCTCTTAAAATTTTAACCTGAAATTTTCAGGCCATGAAGGAAAGGCAAGGTCGGACATGCTTCATTATACCTCTCCAGCGTGAACATCAACCAGAGTTTAGGTCTGATAAGAAACATTTTACTGCCTGTTCACTCTGAAGCCTGCTAGCTAAAAGCTTCATCTATGTGATAAAACTTTTGTCTCCACAACCTCTTATCGCAACCCAAACATTCCTTTCTATTGATCCTGGGCCTTTAGACAAACTCAACCAATTGTCAACCAGAAAATGTTTAAATATTTACCTATATCCTGGAAGCCACCCCCACTACCCACCCACCACCCCCCGCCACTTTGAGTTGTCCCGCCTTTCTGAACCAAACCAATGTATTTCTTAAATGTACTTGACTGATGGCTCTTGCCTCCCTAACATGTATAAAACCAAGCTGCACCCCAACCACCTCGGGCACATGTCCTCAGGACTTCCTGTGTCACAGGTGTGCATCTTCAACCATGGCAAAAGAAACTTTCTAAATTAAATGAGACCTGTTTCAGATTTTCTGGGTTCACAAGAGCTATCTTGGACATTGGAAGATGTTCAGCGGCATCCCTGGCTTCTACTTAGTAAAGGCCAGTAGCACCTCATCTCCTAGCTGTGACCATAAAAACTATCTCCAGACATTCCCAAATGTCTCCTGGGGTGGGTAGGGGACAAAACTGCCCCCAGTTGAGAACCACTGCTGTAGACCATGCACAGTTTTCCAGTGAAACCCAAATTCTTCCCTACTACTGTAGAGAAGAAGAGGAGGTAATTTCTGCCCATCTGCATTTCTTGGCACGCACCCATGTCTCTGTGTGTGAGATGAGAATCACACCCTAGCTCCACAACAGAGTGGTCACAGTAGCCAACACAGGCAGTATTCTAAATGCTCTCTCCCTATAGTAACCCAACTAATCCTGCCAGTTAAATATGAGTTTCAGGTAAACAATGAATCATATTTTCTTTTAGAATAAGTATGTATGCCCATGCAATATTTGGGCCCTACATATACTTTAAAAGTATCTGTTGTTTATCTGAAATTCAAATTAAACATTTGGGAGGGTTGTTGTTTTATTGGCCAAATCATTTTATTTTATTTTATTTTTGATATGGAGTTTCGCTTTGTCACCCAGGCTGGAGCGCAGTGGCGCGATCTCGTCTCACTGCAACTTCTCCCTCCTGGGTTCAAGCGTTTCTCCTGTCTCAGCCTCCCGAGTAACTGAGATCACAGGTGCCTGCCACGACGTATTTTTAGTAGAGACGGAATTTCACCATGTTGACCAGGCTGGTCTCGAACTCCTGACCCCAGGTGATCCGCCTGCCTCCGGCCTCCCAAAGTGTTGGGATTACAGGTGTGAACTACCGCACCCAGCCTTATTGGCCAAATCTGACAACCCTATCTATAATCAAATAAACAGCTGAGCAGTAGTAATTGCAGCATTGTGATTGCAATAGGCCTCCGGTGGCTTAGAGTCCCTGTTCTGCCTGTGACTGTTGTGCCACATTGGGGACGTCATTTAGCGTCTCCGAGGCTCAGTTTTCTCATCTGTAAAATGGGGACAATATCAGCGCCTTCTTCAGAGTCGCTGGGAGGATTAAATGAGATGATGTATGCAGAGCCGTTAAGACGCTGTTTGGCACAAAGTTCAGGGCAGCTGGTTTAGTTTCCTCGACTTCACTACCTGACCCTCTGCTAACTCCCCGGGTGTTTTCCGGACGGCCACAACTATCCTAGCCTTCTTCCCTATGGGCTGCAAAGGTGGCCTCGGGTTCCGGTGGGAGCCCCAACTCTGGACCGCGATTCGCGAGCCTCCCCGGCGCCGGGCCGCGCCATCCCGGGAGCTGTCCGCAGATGGCAGCACCGGCCCCGGGTCGCGGCGTTCCCGGCGCTCGGCAGGCCGCAGGATGGCCTGGTCCCGGGCCGGGAGCCCAGCAGGCCGGGAGCGGCTGAGGCCACACCCCGCGGGCCGGGCCGCTTCCCTCCGGTGAATCATCGCTCGCAGCGGCGGCGCCCGCAGTGGCCGCAGCAGCGCGCCGGGCCCTGGCCGCGCCCCAGCCGAGCGCAGCGCGGAGTCGCCCCGACCTTTCTCTGCGCAGTACGGCCGCCGGGACCGCAGCATGGCGGGCATCGCGGCCAAGCTGGCGAAGGACCGGGAGGCGGCCGAGGGGCTGGGCTCCCACGACAGGGCCATCAAGTACCTCAACCAGGACTACGAGGCGCTGCGGAACGAGTGCCTGGAGGCCGGGACGCTCTTCCAGGACCCGTCCTTCCCGGCCATCCCCTCGGCCCTGGGCTTCAAGGAGTTGGGGCCCTACTCCAGCAAAACCCGGGGCATCGAGTGGAAGCGCCCCACGGTAGGAAGCGCGCGGCAGGACGCGGGCAGGGCGGGGTGCCGGGCAGGGCGGGGTGCAGGCCGGCCCGCGGCGCGCTGGGGCGGGGGGCAGCCCGGGTGCTGCAGTGGGGAAGCCGCAAGCCAGGACCTCGCAGTCCTGCGACACCTCCGCGCCGCCAGAGCCCGGGACTCTGTTCGAGCGTGGGGGGACTCCCGGGGCCTTCCCTCTCTTCCACCCACCACGCTTTCCTGGGCGGGTCGAGGCGAATCACTGCCCTCAGATCCCACTAGCAGGCCACTTTAGGACTTCACAAAAACTCAGGGTGATGCAGGAGGCCGGGGTGAAACTTTGATTGGACTCTAGCGGGGAGCTGGAAGGGAAGGGGAATCGGGTCTGCAGGGAAGGGACGGTGAGAGGCAGCATCTACCAGACAAAGTCCGTCTCCAACTGGGGTTCTGTCTGTTCATGGAGGGGGACAGGCCATAGCCTGGTCATTTTGTGACTAAGGATAGTCTCCTGCAGCCCTGGGGTTAGATTTATTTTTCCAAAGGGGAGCCAGCGATACCTCCTCATAACATTGACACTGGTAATTAACCCAGGACACGGAGGTGTCTCATGGTTTCCCTGGCGGGAATCACCCGGGAAACCTCCGGGAGCCCTCCAGACCCCCTTATCCCGTCCCCCAGGGTCTCTGACCTCCCGGCCCTGGGACAACTTGTGCTCCCCAATCTACTTGTCCATTCTGTTTCTTGGGGAACCCCTGAGGCTCCTCCTCCTTTGGGACACTTCCCCAGGCTTCCCCTACCACGCCTAGGAAAGCCTGCCCTGAAGTCCAACTTCTAGATTCCTGTTGTGAGAACAAGGCTTCCAGCTCTGCTTCCACACCCAGCAGCCTCCCAGGTCACCTTCTGTTACCCTAAATCCAGCCCATAGGTAGCAAGGGCTGCAGGAAGCGCCCTAGCCCAGACTCAGAGCACTTGGGTTCTTCTTCTTGCTAACCTGCTGGTGACCTTGAACGAGCCATTTAACCTCTCTGTGCCTCCATGTCTTCATCTAAAAGAAAACATGCTGCCTAAATATTTTCTCTCTTTTGTGGCCCACTAGGCCCTGCCGTCATGGCCTCCTTTCAGTCTCTCAAAGAGCCGGTTCTTTCCTGCATGAGGCCTTCTCACCAGCAAGGCACGCTGTTACCTGGAGTGTGGCTCACTCTCATTCTTCCCAACTTAGTCACATGTTCCCTTCCTAAAGAGGTCTTTTCTGACCCTTCTTAGCAGCCACCTCCCCACCTTGTTTTTCTCTGTCACCCCACTCATTTCCTTCATAGCATTGTCACAGTTTAGAATATAATCACATGTATTTGTTCTTCCTACTGAACTGCAGGAATCATGTGTATATTATTTACCAGTATATCCCCAGTGCCTGACACATAACCATGCCTTTCACAGTATTCATTCATTCATTCATTCATTCATTTACTCACTCATTTGACAACACTGATTGAGCACCTGTTACATGCCAGGCACTGTCCTGAGAGCTCAGGAGATACACCAGTGAACACAAAAGAAGTGACTGTTTGTAGAATATGGATGCAGGATTGTAATGTGCCTCAAATGAAATTATGGTTGTGAAAGTGATACGCTGACCTGACTCAGTGCCTCACACCTGTAATCCCAGCACTATGGGAGGCCAAGGTGGGAGGATCGCTTGAGCCAGGAGTTCAAGACCAGCCTGGGCAACACAGTAAGACTTGTCTCTATAAAAAAGTAAAAAAAAAAAAAAAAAAAGTGAAACACAAACCAAGAGAATGTGTTCACTTTACATTTGCATGGCACTTTACAGTTTACATAGTGAGTTCACATACTCATTCACTTATTCTTTCATTCATTCAGTAAGCATTTCTCGAATACCTACTATATGCTGGGCACAATGCATATGGTTTCTGCTTCTGAAGACTTACTTCTGAGGCTAGTGAGGGGACAGAGACAGGTCCCCCAACAGTTGGAAATGCCTGTGGGACTTCCAGATGAGGATGTAGAGGTCTAGAGATGATCTAGCGCCACTGCTTAGGGCAGGCGGGCTGTGCACTGCACAACTAAGGAAGAGTGTGACTTTTACGATCCCCATTTGCCAGTTGAAGAAATTGAGGCTTGGGAAGGTTAAATACTTGCTCAGAGTCAAGTGGATATAGGGCATAGATCCAGGACTGTGTGTAGTCTGTGCATGTTGAGCCTACCCCTTATGGCTGCGCTCTCTGCCTCCTTCCTACCTTCTCAAATGCTGCTGAGGTCAGGCAAGGGGAGCACAGTTGTTTCCGCTGGATTTGAACACTAGCAAGTCATTGGTGAGTTTAGCAGAGCAATTTCAATGGAAAGGTGAGAGTAGAAGCCAGATTGTTGTAGACTCCAGAGTAAAGGAACTGGAAATTAAGAACATGATCAACTTATTTAAGAAGGACCCCCGGGAAGAGAGGAGAACTGATAGGTAGAGTAGGACCTGGACTTTGAGAGCCTGTGTTTTTTTCATATGAGAACAACTTGAATGTGTCATATGTTGAATCACCAGGAAGAAGGGATTAAAGATAAAGGCAGGGAGGGGGCAGTGAAACAGGATCCCTGAGGAAGTGAGAATACGGGTTGTGGGCAGGGGAGGGGAGCAGGTTAGCCTTGCAGCAGGAGGAGCTGCTCTTCCTCGGAGAGAGGATTTCACAACACTGGCAAGAGTGGCTCCAGTGCCTGGAGCGGGGATTAAAGCAGTAAGTCCAGTGGGGTCCAAGGGCCATGCAGGGGTACAGTGAGGAGAAAGCAGGTGTGATCCGGGTGGCACATCAGATCCTTCCAGCAACCAGTCTGTTAGGAGCAAGGGCAGATGTTGTGAGCCCCTATGTTTCCCCCAAGAAAATCAAACCTCTGAGAGGTTTCTCACTTGCTTATCTTCAGCTGGCCGAACTCAGCCTCAAACCCATATGTCCTGTCTCCAAGTTCAGTGACTGTTATCATCAACTTCTTCAACAGTAATAATAATAGATCACATTTATGGAGTGCTTGCCAGGGCATGTTTACATCATTATCTCATTTAACACTCAGAACAATCCTCTGTGGTGGGTGTTTTCATCGTTCCCATTTTGCAGGTGAAAAAACTGAGACTTCAAAAGGTTAAGTGACTTCCCAGGGTCCTACGACCTACATAATAAGTGGCAGAGCCAGGATTCAAACCTAGGTTATCAGAATAATGCAGCAAAGCCCAAACCCTCAGCCCCTTTTCACTGACTGGTAAGACCCATATTTAATTCGATGCCCTACATGCCGTGCACAAGTTTCAGTTTTCTGAAGCATCGCTTAGATGCTTAGGTGTTTAGCACCACTCTGAACTCTGACTTTTCTAGAGAGGCTGCTAAAGGCATTAGAAAGTTTCTGAAGTATAATGGAAAAACCCTGCTGGAGTAAGTGCCTGGCACACTCAGGATTATCAGTGTGATTCTTTATAATAAACAGGCTCCCAGCACCAAGCCCAATCTATTCCATCAGCTGGATAAGAGCTCTCTGGCAGGCCTTGGGCCAAGCTGGCTTCCTTTGCCTCAGCAGAAGAGCATTCTGATTCTCTCTGCCATCCCCAAAACTGACAGGAGCAGAGAGAAACAAGGCAGAGGCATGAAGGGAATGTCCTCTGCGGCAGATGGTGCTTCCGGAAGAGCTCCCACAATCTGAGCTAGAATGAACAGGGGCTAGATCCAAGTCTCATATAGGCATACTTCTGCTTGACAGAGTGGGCATGCCGAGGGCCGTTGGGTGGAGGCAGGCGTGTGCAACCCAAGCAGACATGAGACGCAGCTCCTTCAAGGCAAGGTTGCCTGAGCCCAGAGAGGCTCAAATTTGTGCCCCAACTTCCTCTGTGGCTTTTGGGTGGGGCTCTTCAGAATCGAAACACACTCAGAGGGCTGCTGAAAGGGCTAAGAAGTGTTCAAGGTTGGCTTCCATCAGGCTGCTCATGACAATGGCCCCTGAGGTTTTAACACCCTTGAACGCTTGGTACTAAATCAATTAGAGGCAGGGCAGGAGCAGAAAGAGTTGGCGCATTTGATCAGTAAGTTCCAATGCCAGTGCTGTCTATTATCTGTGAACTGTGTTAACTTTGGACACGTCACTTCACCTTTTTGAGCTGTTTCCTCGTCTGTAAAAGGGGGATAATACCCATTCCATGAGGTAAAGCTTTGAGCACAGTCTCTGATGTAAGCAGGTACAGAATATATAGATGCTGTAAGTTTCATGGTCCCATGGAAGAATTCAAAAGGGTTAGATCCCGCCTGCCCTCAAAAGGGTATGTGTTAGGAAATCAGAGTAATACCTAAGTAGTAAATTGCAGAGTCCAGAGACTCTGGGACTCAGACTTGAAGGGATGAGTGAGGATTGGACTAGGACGACTTCACGGAGGAGGTGACAATGAGCCTCAAGGTATGATGCAATATGGAAAAGGAGGGAAGAGAGTGGGAAAGGAAGGAATTTCATGCAAGCAAAACAACTTGCATGCAGTAACAGAGGAGAGAGGATGCTAACCCAGTGGATAGGGTGGCTCTAGAGTGTGGATGGTCTCCACGTCTGGCAGAAAAGGCTGGACTTGCTGCTGTGGCCCCCGGGACACAGCACAATGAAGGAGGCTCCAGGCAGTCCAGAGTGTGCAGGGTCCAATGCCTGCCCTTCTCAGACAGGACCACCCATCCACCCATCAGGGCCCAGGGAGCAGGGGTCAGAAGGACCTCATGACACAGAGTTCTGACTGTGATGACACACTTTCCCCAGAGGGGAGGGGAAGGGGAGAAGGGGTTAGAAGACCCCACTGAGAATGGAGGCATCCTAGCTGCAGAAGCACCTGGCTGGTAGGCTAACAGCACTTTGTGGGTCTCGTTCCCAGGAGATCTGCGCTGACCCCCAGTTTATCATTGGAGGAGCCACCCGCACAGACATCTGCCAAGGAGCCCTGGGTAAGTGATAGATTCAGAGCAAGCTGGGGGATCTTGTCTGTAAGGCTGTGGGTGGAAGAGATGAGGGACAACCTGTGGCTTCTCTCCCTTCCCAAGCAGCTTGGCAATTTCTATTTGCAGAGAAGCTCCATGGAATTTCTTGGCCCTAGCGGGCAATGATTCTACCCTCAGCCCCATGCTGGGGCACACAAATGAGGCCTCCTGTGTCCCCTGCACAGGGCTAGTTGCTGAGGTTACAGAGATGCTGCCACTAGGAGGACCAGGGGGCTTCTGGATGTCAGCCACCCCTTGGTATGCACCTCCTGGAGCCAGCATTACCAGTGGTTCACGAAATACACTCTGGGCAGAGGACTAGGTGGGAGGACTCCCCCAGACCAATGACAGCACTGAGACATCAGTTCTGTGAGGTTCAGGAACCAGGGAAGGTGACTCAGTGTAAAGAAAGAGGAAACTCTAATGCTCGCTGCTGAAGGAAGTTATAGTACCAGGGCATTCTCAGTGTTTGCAAGACAAGCTCACCATGGTATCACAGTTGTAACGCTCATTTAAGTAAAATGAACTGGAGTAGCTGAATTGTCCAAAACCTTGCTTTCTGGAGCCGAGTTCAGATTTGTTTCTGGAGATAGTCCTTGTTGAAGGTTTCAACCCACAGGGTTCTCCACCTTTAGTATGAAAATTCCCAAAGCTTCTAGGAAGTCCCAGCAATGGGGCCTGGCGCTGTTATCTAAGATTCTCATAGAATCTGCCCTCAATGTTCTTTTACTCATAATAAATGTGGGCCTATAATTACTAGAGCAGATTATTTGCTCTGATAAACCAAAAATCTATTTTCTGCCATCAGCCTCAGCTGGCTGGCTCCCCAGACAAGTTCATCAGTAGCAAAATCAGTCAACTAGAGTTGTACCTCCTGTCCTCACCCACCTAGCAGAGGTTCTGTTACTCATATACTCCTAATACCAGCTGATAACAGCTAATATGTATCTCTAAGGCACCGTGATTATTCCCATTTTATAGATGAGGATGCAGAGGTCTTCCTACAGCTAAAGTGGTGGCTGGTACCCCTGACCCCAGGGTATGTTTAATTCCTGAGCTAGACTCCCTAAGACGGGACCTGGAAAATTTTCTAGCCCTGAGGAATGTCAGAGCATCATGTGAATCATTAGGACAGACAGACTGTGAGGAAGAACATGAGCTGGGCGGGAAAGTTTGTCTGAGCTCAGGCTCTGCAGATTCCTGAGATGCCAGAGCACATTCTTACCTGCAGAAAACACTCCTTTCATTTCTTTTCTTCTCGCCCCACAAAAGACAGAAGATAGAGGTCCTTGAGCACCCAAGGCGGATCCTCCAGGAAAATCTATTCATTAGAGAAAATGGAATTGATGGAAACTTTGACCAACCCCGGGGGCTTTAGAGAATCCAGAAACAGCCGGCGCAGTGGCTCACATCTGTAATCCCAGCACTTTGGGAGGCCGAGGCAGGCAGATCACCTGAGGTCAGGAGTTAGAGACCAGCCTGGCCAACATGGTCAAACCCTGTCTCTACTAAAAATACAAAAAAATTAGCTGGACGTGGTGGTGGGTGCCTGTAATCCCAGCTACTCAGAAGGCTGAGGCAGGAGAATTGCTTGAACCCAGGAGGCAGAGGTTGCAGTGAGTAGAGATGGCACCACTGCACTTCAGCCGGGGTGACAGAGAGAGACCCCATCTCAAAAAAAAAGAGAGAGAATCCAGAAACAAACACAGCAACTGCCTAACATCTGCTTCAGAGTTTAACAACACCTTAAGTGCCAAAGTGTAAGCAACAAATACATGATTTAAGTCCTGTGTAAATACCACTGGGCCAATTGGAGAGGAGATAGCAAAGGTTAACATTCCTGGGAGAAATTTCCCTCCCAGGGGAATTATAAACCAGGTGAAATGTAAACCTTTTAAAAATTTCTTAGTAGCTAGTCTGTAATTTCTCAGGGGTGTGTGCGTGTGTGTGTGTGTGTGTGTGTGTGTGCGCGCGCGCGCGTATAATGCAGTATTGGTCATTTTGTTCTTTCAGCCTTTTATTTTGGAGGACTCTAGTTAGATCACAATCTGTGAAATGTGGTATACTGTACTCTCACCCTGATTCTGGCACCTGGCCAGCGGGTGCTGATGGGGCCTTGACCTTCACCAAATCCCAACAGCCTCACAAGCACCAGGAACAGAGGCCATGGCAGTGACACTCTGTGACATGGCCAGAGATATGAGCCTAGACTCAGCTCTGTTGGTAGTCCGAAGACTGGGCAAGTAATTACCTGGAACTTCCATCTGGAACCTCCGTCTCTTCCAAAAACGGAGAAGGAAGGAGGGTAAATGGAGTGACCTCAGACACCCCCTATGAGTTTGTATTCAGCTATTCTAAAGCCATTCCCGGGTTTCTAACCAGCTACTCCTCATTCCTTGTGCTAGAGGGTTAGAGCACTACAAGATCATCCTTATTTTCTCTCTTTCTCTCTTTTTTTTTTTTTTTTTTTGACAGGGTCTCACTCTGTTCCCCAGGGCTGGAGTGCACTGGCAGGATCTTGGCTCACTGCAGCCTTGGCCTCCTGGGCTCGAGTGATCCTCCCACCTCAGCCTTCTGAGTACCTGGGACTACAGGCACACGCCACCACACCTGGCTAATTTTTGTATTTTTTTGTATAGACCGGGTCTTGCCATGTTGCGCAGGCTGGTCTTGAACTTCTGAGCTCAAGTGATCCACCCACCTCGGCCTCCCAAAGTGCTGGGATTACAGGCGTGAGCCACTGCGCCCAGCCAAGATCATTCTTTTATTACACACAGAAGGAGTAATAACAGTACCCATCACCTGCATAACAGTATGCAATTCATAGAGCATTTTTTCACTACAGTATTTCATGTACTCATCCCAAATCTAAAGTAAATATTCTCACCTCACTGTACAGATAAAAAAAAACTGAGCCACAGAGACGGGAGAGTAAGTGTAAAGCCACACAGCTAGTAATTGCCAAAGGATTGAACCCTGGTCTGATTTTGAATCCTACACTCTTCCTAACCCATGCTCCCTCCAATTTGCCATAGTGCTGTGCTGAGGAACCATTCTCAGCAAAATTCATCTTCTCTACCTGCGCTTTCTACCCTGAGCCTTACTCAGTTCCCCCAGGGAACTTGGGCAGGTGACATTCTTAGACTTGTGCACTTTGCAACGCCCTGCCCTGTTTACTGTGCTGCCCAGCAATGTTTAATCCACAAACACCCACGCTCCTTCCCAGAAGGCTCAGCTTCCAAGCTTCACCAAAGTCATTTAAACCATGTTTACAGAGCTGCTCTCACCAAGAGCCATCTCCATTGCAGAATATAGTTGTGTAAGAATTGATTCAGCAGAGAAAAATCTGCCCTTCTGGAGGAAGGGCTGGAGACCCAGCTGGAGCCTCCACTGGCTGACCCTGCAGCTAAATATGGCTCTGAAATCGTGGGGTAATAACCACATTCTTACAGGTGCTTGCCACTTGAAATGGCTCCCAAGGACCCAGGAAACTCCAAGGCTGAGCTGCTCCTACCTCTGATGCTTTACTTTGCACTGGGTCAC
Source organism: Homo sapiens (assembly GCF_000001405.40). NCBI lineage: Eukaryota > Metazoa > Chordata > Mammalia > Primates > Hominidae > Homo > Homo sapiens. Next base: position 223,721,408 of record NC_000001.11, read on the forward strand.
CACTGAGCTTTCCCCACAGCCTCACAGCTCACGGATGAAGGCAGCTACCCCAGCCAGGAAGGCATAGGTCACCTTGCAGGCCTCTGATTTCCTGGGGTAGAGCCCAAGGCTGCCAAGGCTGTTGAAACAGCACACCCCCATTTCATTGTAACCCAGCAAATGTTCCCTGGGCCCCTCAGAGGTGGGTCAACCTGCCTCCTTCTCAAGATGTCACATGGACCCCCAGAGCACCCACTGGGAGGTGTTTAGCTACAGGGTGCCCCACCCCACAGCCTAGCTCAGCAGAGAGTGGGGAAGGGACAAGACCAATGGGAAAGGCAAGCCAGATGGGGAATTTTCCAGTCCTGTTCCTTCTACCACTCATTAGCCACTTATTTGGACCCAACCCCTCTGAGCCTCAGTTTCTTCTTCTGTGAAATGGGAATAATGATAAGGATCCCTTCCCAGGGCTGTGGAGAAAAGTGAGATTTATACAGGCAAACACACTTGGCACACTATAGAATCCCAGACAAATTCAAGGGACCAGGATTATCATTACTGATTCCAGTTATGTGAAAAGTCCTTTTGCCAAATTGCCGAAGAAAAAGAGGATGGTGGAGGAAGAGAAAAGGAGGAGAAGAAAATAAGTTGGGTTGGAAACCAGATCCTTGTCCTTGAAAATTTCATAATCTAAGGGTGGAAATGCCAAAACGAGGAGAGACAAACTTGTGGCCTGTGTTTGGGTAACACACAGATTGAAACTCAGAAGGAGAAACATATGGGGAGAAAATGAACACAAAGGGGTCAGATGTGCATTCCTCAATTTTAAAAATTGAATATTTAAGTGTTTTAAATAATTTTTATTTCTTTTCCTTTCTTTCTTTTTCTTTCTTTCTTTTTTTTTTTTTTTTTTTTTTTTGAGACAGGGTCTTGCTCTGTTGCCCAGACTAAAGTGCAGTAACAAAACCATAGCTCACTGCAGCCTCGACCTCCTGGGCTCAAGCAATCCTCCCACCTCAGCCTTCCAAGTAGCCAGGACTACAGGCACGCACCACCTCACCTGGCTAATTTTTGTGTGTGTCTGTGTGGAGATGGGGTCTCACTGTGTTGCCCAGGCTGGTCTCAAGTTCCTGGGCTCAAGCAATCCTTCTGCCTTATCCTCCCAAGTGCTGGGATTACAGGTGCGAGTCACCACACCTGGCAAATAATTTTTAAATTATAAATTTAAAAATGCATTTTTATAATAGGTACCTTTAAAAATGTTAATAGACTTTTTTTTAAGAACAGTGTTAGGTTTATAGAAAAGCTGAGATGATAATACAGGAAGTTCCAGATACCTCATACCCAGTTTCCCCTATTATTAACATGTTACATCAGTGTGGTACACGTGTTATAATGAATCAGCATTGATGCAGTATTATTAAAGTCCATGCTTTATGCAGATTCTCTTAGTTTTCCCCTAAGGTTCTTTCTCTATTCCGGGATCCCATCCAGGACCCCACGTTTCATTTAGTTGCCAAGTCTCCTTCGGCTCCTCTGGGCTGTGACAGTCTCTCAAGTCTTTCCTTAATTTTGATGACCTTGACAGTTTTGGGGAATATTGATCAGAGATTTTGTAAGATGCCTGTCTATTGGAATTTGTGGTGCCTTTTTAATAAGTATGCAGTGGCTCACACCTGTAATCCCAGCACTTTGGGAGGCTGGGGCAAGAGGATCGCTTGAACCCGAGTTTGGGACCAGCTTGGGCAACATAGCAAAACTCTGTCTCTACAAAAAAATTACCTGGGCTTGGTGGCACATGCCTGTCGTCCCAGCTACTCGGGAGGCTGAAGCAGGAGGATCACTTGAGCCCAGGAGGTAGAAGCTGCTGTGAGCCGTGCACTCCAGCCTGGTTCTGGAGCCACTGCACTCCAGCCTGGGCAACAGAGGGAAAACTTATCTCAAAAAGTAAATAAATAAGTACCCATGTAGTTAAAATGTTTAAAGACTAGCAAATAGATGTTGGCTGGTTTGATGGAGAAAGTAAATCCATTCTTTTTCTTAAAAATGATCTCTTCACCACCAGTCCCAGCACCCCCCTTACCAGCCTCCCAGGGCACTGTCCATGGCTACATTGTCCATGGGCCATCATGTCCCCTCGGCTTCTCTTCTGGTTGTAAATGCTCTTGCACTTTTCTCCCTTGTGGCTGCCGTCCACACTCCCAGCTGCCTTCCCTCTGCACTTAAGATCTAAGATCTTAGAGACGAGATGAGACATCTCTTGCCTTCGTGCATCTAAGACAGCTCATCAACAGGTCCAGGTGAACTGCTAACACTGCTGTGTTGCTTGGAGGCCCCTGTCCCACCCTGGCTGCCTCAGCTTTGGCCATGGTACCCACGGTCTCCAGCTACATCAGATGCCTGAAGAACAAATCTCTCCTTAGCTCTCCCTGCCCCCTCTCCAGGAATAGGAGCAGTGGGACCCCCTTCAAGAATCCCCCATTTCCCATATACTTTCCTGCAAAGCCACAGGGCGTGCAAAGTGGGATTCCAGGGCTCCAGCCTGCTCCCCATGGGCCTCTGGATCCAGGGGTGACTCTTTGCCTGTTTGGGTGCCTCTTTAGATTTTCCACCAGCTTCCTGTGGCCAGGAGCCAGACCACGCCCCTATACGGCCATAGTTGTCTTATCTTGTCTCTGAGATTAGAAGGTTGGAACAGATTTTCCTGATGCCCCACTACTTCTGACATTCTGTGACTTTAGAATGTTACCTTCCTCGACAGCCCCCTGCACCCTCACACATCTGGCTTTAGCTGGACTGGTGTTTGTGAGGAATTATATCTCCACCTTGTTCAGCACCAGTCCCCAAGAAGACCAGCCAAGGGACACTCATCTGGGGATTTGAGAAATGAAGGACCGTGGGTTCCATGAGGTCTGTTGGGGTCCTGGCTAGCAACACTGTCTGGATGATTGAGCCCCAGGAGGAGGTGGCCTGGCCAGCAGGTGTGCAGTGAGGCCACTTCTAGACCACCCCTGTCCCATAGAGCTTCTAGTGATGATGGAAACCGTGTATATCTGCACTGCTCCAAACAGCAGCACTAGCCCTGTGTGGCTGTGGAGCACTTGAAATATGACTCATGCAACTGAGAAACTGAATTTGTAATTTTATTTAATTTAAATGTAAATAGCCACATGTTCCTTGTGGCTGCTGCACTGCACAGCAGCAGACTGTTGCGCTCTGGAATCCAGCCTCTCAGCCTTTACTCTCCAAAGCGGGATAGTATTCACATCAGAGCCAAACAATGCACAGACGTCAATAAACAGGCAGGGCATGGTGGCCCATGCCTGTAATCCCAACACTTTGGGAGGCTGAGGTGGGAGGGTCCCTTCAGCCCAGGAGTTCAAGACCAGCCAAGCAACATAATGAGAACCCATTTCCACAAAAAAAAATTTTTTTAATTAGCTGGGCATGGTGGTGTGCACCTGTAGTTCCAGCTACTTGGGAGGCTGAGGTGGGAGGATCACTTTGAGCCCAGGAGGTCAAGGCTGCAGTGAGTCGTGATTGCACCATGACATTCTAGCCTGGGTGATGGAGTGAGACCTTGTCTCAAAACAAACAGCTAAACCTACATCAATAAACATCTGTAAATATCAGGGTAGCGAATGAGGACTTGGTGTCTGGCAGTTAGGGACTGGCCTCTTATTCTGCCACATACTGGCTCTGTCATTTTGAGTGGATCACTATCCTCTTCACACCTCAGTTTCCTCATCCGTGAAATGAAGATAATAATAGTGCCTACTATCAAGACCATCCTGGCTAACACGGTGAAAACCCATCTCTACAAAACTACAATATGAAATACAAACAATTAGCCGGGCGTGGTGGCATGCACTTGTAGTCCCAGCTACTCAGGAGGCTGAGGCAGGAGAATCGCTTGAACCTGAGAGGTGGAGGTTGCAGTGAGCCATGATCGCACCACTGCACTCCATCCTGGGCAATAGAGCGAGACTTCATCTCAAAAAAAAAAAAATTGTGTCTACCTCAGAGGACTGTAAAGATGAAATGAAATAATAGACATATAAAGCTCAGAGCTCCAGAGGCTGGTACATAGTAAAGGTTTAATCCATGCAGATTGCACGTTCTCTTTGGGGACAGTACAGCTGGAGGGGAGTACTGTCAAATGAGGTCGCGTCGCTGAGGTGGAGACACATTGTGGCACATCTTGAATACCCGACTGGGTCCCAGCTTTAGCACTTGACATTGGCGGCCACCTAAGTTTTGGAGAGGGGTATGACAGAGGAGGTGGTGTCCCAGGGGGAAGGTCCGGAAACTCAGAGGAGTTTCCTGCTGTAATTTTCTTTGGTCACACAATGGTCATGGCCTCCTGATGTTTCCCACAAAGGGCCAGAGGCCCTTCAGTGCCAAGGAACGTGGACTCTCTCCTATCCCAGCACATACACGTGCTTCCAGTACCTTGTGATCTCTAGCCATAAGTTTCCACTCACCCATCTGCGAAATGGGAACAATGACGATGTTTGCGTCCTTTCTTTTTCTTTTCCTACAATGCAGGGAACTTTAAGACTATGTGACAGAAAGGTGCCACTGGAACCCAGGGCCTCGTGGGTTTCCTCCGTCTCTCGGGAGACCAGGATCCGAGTGAGAAAGTTTCCCACGTTCATTCTTGTTGGGCCCATTCTCAGGATGATGTTTCTCCTGTATTTTGCTACCCCAGCCCAAGCAAGACTAGTAGTTCAGCTTTGTGAATCCCCTCAGGAAGTCAGGAAAATAGATACTGTCTTTGGGCTTCCTCCAGGAGCTAAGAAAGGAGAGTTCCTGAAGAGCAGGAATTTAAGACAGGAATTGGCAGCCGAGGGCAAGGTTCCACCTCCTCCTCCCTTCTTCTGTGGGGTCTGTGATGAGAGCAGGGATGGGGAGGAAGAGGGTGGGTTTGCCTGCGCCTGGGGGGAGGGCAGCCATCAGGAAGGAGCAGCCACCTCTGCTGGGGTACTGGAGATAAAAACTCTGATATTGACTAGTGACCGTGGGGGCGATGGCCCAGGAGGGTCAGGGCTGCAGGGAACAGGGACACAAAAACGACAAAACATGCAACAGGTTATGTCCTTCTGGTCCAGGGCACGGCTGAGACAGGCAAGGGACTAGAGAGAGGAAGAGTGAATGTCAAGCCCCAGCACCCTCGCCTCCCTCCCATCCTCCCTTTTAGGGCCTCCCTTCTGGCAGATAGGGCAGGGAGAAGGGAAAGGAAAGGCCTGGGACACGTGGTTTGGATCACTGGCTGTGGCTCACAGTTCTGATGTGTGTGCAGTTTAGGGAAGGAGGCTGAAGACTTCTTGTTAATAAGGGTGGGGCATGAGTAAAATGGAGGATCTGCCCCCTCCCCTCCCAGCCCCTGATACAAATGAAGGATGATTGTACATGCATGGGGAATTCCACTTTGGGGGTATCCTTTTCTGGGCTGCTGCCAGACTCTGAAATGAGTAACAAAGGGATGGCCCAGGGTGACTCATCAGCTACCCTCTCGCAGGCCTAGCACGCTGGCGGGGTGTGCATTTCCTCTAGAGAAGCCCCTCCCTGCCAGTTTCAGAGGGATGGCCCTGAATTGGCTTTTCAGAGGTTCCTTCTCCTCCCTTCCAAAGCGAAGACCCACAGCTGCCTGAAAATGTGGCTCTCCGCCTTCTTGGGCTGCCTAGGACCTTGAGAGATGTGTCTCTCTGGGACAGGGTGTCAGGTCTGCTGGAGATTGTTAAAATGCTGTTGTCTCAGGAAGGGTGAAATTTAGCCAGGAGCAGTCTTCAGTAGCTTGGTCTGTTTATCGTGTATCTAGCTGTCAGCATGCAAAACAAAAGAACAAAAGGTCTAAAGAAATATAACGCAAAACAGGTACGATTTGAGATCCATCAGGGTTTCTCAACCTTGGCACAACTGACTGGATAATTGTTCATTGTAGGGGGCTGTCCTGTGAATTATAGGATGTTTAGCTGCATCCTTGGCCTCTACCCACACACCCCCGTGTGCCACTCAAAAATGTCTGCAGACCTTGCCAAATGTCCCCTGGGGGCTTGGCGGAGTTGGGGGGTGCATGGAATGCCCCCAGTTGAGAACCACTGGCAGAGCAGGAGTGAAGGGGGAGGTACTGTGGGGGTCACTGGGCACACAGAATGCCATTTGGGGAGCCTGGTGCAAGGGAGTGGCCGGATGGGAGGTAGGAATAGCAGTGGTAATCAGTAGGTGAGTTGCTGAAGACAAACTAAATATTCTTTCCAGCATTGCTTCAATCTAATCCAGCCGCAAGTATGAGTAAATACTGTAGGAAAGGAGAAAACATTGCATGTACGGGGTCAGGGCAGCATTGCTGGGATATTTGAGCCTGTGGGAGGGGAGCTTCAAGCTTCCCACTAGCATTGGGAGGAACACAGCAAAGGAGGAGAAGGGCCCTCCCTGCTTCTTGGAGAATGGTTCCACTGGCAGGCCATTCCGTCTGCTCAGCTTCCTAGCTCAGGTGCCTTTCCAAACCACACATCAGCAGGGAGACAGTGGGAACATCTCAGGTCCAGGGTACCTTGGGAACTGCAGAGCAGCTGGGTGGCCTGACACTGGCATTTCTCAGTGTTGGCTCCATTCTCTTGCTGGCACCCCCAGGTGGGAGACTCTGTTAGCAGGTGTATCTTACTATCCCTGGCTCCCTGGTATGCGTTACAGTTCAGACTCCCAAGCACAAGCTCCCTGTTTTGTCACACCTGTATCTAGTGTGTAACAATCCACCCCAAAACAAATGGCTTGAAACACAAGGCATTTTGTTCTCTCTCATGGTTCTGAAGGATGACGGGGCTGAGCTGGGCAACTCTCTCCCGCTCTCTCAAGTGGTTGCAATCAGATGGGGATGGGGACAGAGTCATCTGTAGGCCCCCTCAACCACATGTCTGGTGCCCGGGCTGAAGGGTGGATCAGCAGGGGTCCAGGGATCTCTGTCTCTTTTGTGGTCTCCCCATCACAGGGACTTGAAGGTAGCTGAACATCTTACAGCAGCTCATGTCCCAAGAGAAAGACCTGGGAGCTGTCTCATCTTTACGACCTAGGCTTGGAAGTCACATAGCATCACTTCTGCCATATCCTATTCATTGAGATCAATGAAGGCTCACCCAGGATCAAAGAGAAGGGACATGGAGCCCACTTCTAGATGGAGAGTGGCAGGGTTCTGGAAGAACATGTGAAACCAGAAACATTGTTGCCACCATTTTTGGAAGACACCACGATTCCTCCCCTTTGAATAATGGCCTTCTTGTCCTTTACCAGTAATAACCCAAGCTGCTTGGACATTAGCTCTTCATGGTTTGCGGGGTGGGGAGGATGTGTTTTCTGGGACTTCCCAAGGTACACAGTAGTGAAGGACTTCACAAGCTGGGCTGATGTGCCAGCTTCAGGACTCCACTCACCCCCAAGCGTTCTGAGATGCCCATGGGGCTCAGGAGCCCTGACTTGCACAAGCCAGCAACTGCCTTTCTGCTTCCATTCAGCCAGCTTTACTGGGCATCTGTTATAGGAAGAGCAGTGGGCTGAGACTTCAGCAAAAAAGACAAAAGCAAAACACAATCCCTTCTCTATACAAGGTTCTTCCCTTTCTGTGTCCAACCAGTCCCTCCATTCTCGGTCCTTAACTCATCACCAAGCCGCCATTTTCTTCTATTCCCCCATTACTCCAAGGCGGGCCTCAGTTCTCACCTGGAGTCTGGCTCAGGATGCCTACAGGTGGCCCCAGAATTGTAATGGCTTGACATGCAATTTTTCAGCTTTACAATGGCATGAAAGCAATACACATTTAGTAGAAACTGTACTTGAAGTACCCATACAACCATTCTGTTTTTCACTTTCAGTACAGTATTCAATAAATTACATTGAGTTGTTCAGCATTTTATTTTAAAACAGGCTTTGCCTCCTTAGATAATTTTGCCCAACTGTAGGCTACTGTAAGTGTTCTGAGCACAATTAAGGTAGGCTAGGCTAAGCTATGGTGTTAGGCAGTGTCAACAAAATAGTCAAATTCTGTGAAATATTTAAAGAGTTTATTCTGAGCCAAATATGAGTGACCAAAGCCTGTGACAAAGCCCAAGGAGGTCCTGAGAACCTGTGCCCAAGGTGGTTGGTTTACAGCTTGGTTTTATACATTTTAGGAGGACATAAGTTACAGGCAGACATCAATCCAGAAAGGCGGGACAACTTGAAGTGGATGGGGAAGGCACAGGGGCTGGAGGGGGCTCCGAGTCACAGGTGGATTCAGAGATTTTTCTGATTGGCAGTTAATTGAAAGCATTAAGTTACTATCTAAAGACCTGGAATCAAGGCCGGGTGCGGTGGCTCACACCTGTAATTCCAGCACTTTGGGAGGCCAAGGCGGGTGGATCACCTGAGGTCAGGAGTTCGAGCCTGGCCTGGCCAACATGGTGAAACCTCGCCTCTACTAAAAATGCAAAAATTAACTGGGCATGGCGGTGTATGCCTGTAGTCCCAGCTACTCAGAGGCTGAGGCAGGAGAATCGCTTGAACCCAGAAAGTGAAGGTTGCAGTGAGCCAGGATTGCACCACTGCACTCCAGCCTAGGAGACAAGAGCAAGACTCGCTCCCAAAAAACCAAAAAAAAAAAAAAAAAAAAAAAAACGAAAACCTGAAATCAGTTGAAAAGTGTGCCTGGGTTGAGATAAGAAGTTGTTAGAGACCAAGGTTTTTATTATGTAGATGAAGTCTCACAGAGGGCCACTCTCAAAGGCAATAGATGGCAAATGTTTTCTATTCAGACCTTTAAAAGGTGCTACTAGATGCTCAGCTAATCTCTTCAGGATCAGAAAAAGACCTGAAGGGAAGGTGATTCTCTACATCAAGCTTGTCCAACCCTCGTGCTGCCCAGGATGGCTTTGAATGTGGCCCAACACAAATTTGTGAACTTTCTCAAAATATTATGAGATTTTTTTTTTTTTTAGCTCATCATCTATCATTAGTGTCAGTGTATTTTATGTGTGGCCCAAGACAATTCTTCTTCTTCCAGTGTGGCCCAGGGAAGCCAAAAGATTGGACACCCCTGCTATAGAATGTAGATTTTCCCACAAGAGACAGCTTTCAGAGACATTTCAAAATCTGTCAGAAAAATATATTTTGGGCTAAAATACTTTGATTTCTTTCAGGGCCTGCTATCTGTCATGTGATGCTCTACTAGAGTGTGGTTGGAATTTGGTATCTTATTGCTAGGAAGAGTCTGTTTTGTGAGTCTTAAGATCTCTGTTTTCAGTTAAGGCTGGTCAGCTGTGCCTGAATTCCTAAAGGAGGAGGATAAAATGAGGCATGACGGACCTCCCTTCCCATCGTGGCCTGAACTTGTTTTTCAGGTTTACCTTGGAATCCCCTTGACTAAGGGGGCACCCATTCAGTTAGTTAAGGGGCTTAGACTTTGATTTTTAGTTTACAGTAGGCTGAGGTGTATTAAATGCATTTTCGACTTGCAATATTTTCAACTTCTGATGGATTTGTTCAGATGTAACCCCGTTGTAAGTTAAGGAGCATGTATACTTGTATCTAATCCACTTTGGGCATTGCTGCCAGAAAACCTGTCCTCAGGGAGCTATGGAAGTAGTGGAGGCAAATTATTAAATGGATGGATTAATTCCAAGTTCAGATCATGTTGGGAGTCAGCTGGGAGTCAGTGTGAGGATCTGGGAGGGGAACAGTAAGGGGTTAAGAGAGATACCCCAAAGGATGATTAAGGAGGGAGAGTTGGAAGGAAGGTTTCCCACAAAGAGGAAGCAGGGAGTGATTCATTCTGAAAAAGGCAAATATTTTATTATGCTTGGAGGGTCTGGTGCAGAAGGGGAAAGGAAGAGAAGGAAGTTTGGCTTAAATTCCCTTAGGAGCCAGTTCAGATTCCTAAGCTGGCCCGGACATCCAACCCAATCCGCCTAGCCCCAGCCCTCTCCAGTTCCCAATGCCCAGCCCCACAATGCCCGTCCTGCTGCCTGCCTGTTCTGGACTCTGCACTTGACCTTCCCTCTCCCTGAAAGTGCCCCTGCTCTTCCTCACCCAGCTCCCCGCTCTAAGCCTTCCTCGCCCACCCCAGCCCTCCTACAGTCCCAGTCTGCCCTGTTCAGACTCAAAGCCTCATGCTCACCACCATCATCCACAACCAGTTTCCACGTCTGTCTCCTGCCGGCTGTGAGCTCACTGCCTCAGAACCAGCGCCAGTCTCCTCTAGACTGAGTACAGGCCTGGCACGGAGCCAGGAATGCACCAACAAGGAGCCTGAGACTAGATTGGAGGGGAAAGAGACATGTCCTCCAGAGTTGACTTACGCGAGGACAGAGGTGTGCAGAGGCACGGCAAGCTGGGCCCCAGGCGAGAAGCATGGAGTGAGGGATGTGGAGGCAGCGGAAGGCATCTGGGAGTCTGGGCTGCCCCGTAGCAGCTCTGTGTTCTGCCTGCTCTTCCTCCAAGATGAGCTCCCTTGGCCAGTGTGTGAAACGTGTGTGTGAGTGTGTCACCGGTAAGCTGAGTTCTTTCCCTACTTGGTATCAGTTGCAAAGAAAGAACACTCAGTTGGAAAAAAAGGCAAGAGGGTTTTATTCCTGACCAGGAGAAAGAGAAGGAGGGGGCTCTTGCTCTAAAGACACCTTCACCCCGAGCCATGGAAACTGGGGAGTTGTAAGGAGATAGGTGTGGGGCAGGGAGGTGTGTAAGCAGGTGTGGGGTCACGGTGTGGGGGTGGAGACCTCTAGACGCTCAGGCCCAGGTCATAAACATGCCTCTCCATACAATGCAAGATGTGTTACCAGAAAGGGGTCCTGATCTAGAACTAAGAAAGGGTTCTTGGATCCCGCTCAAGAAAGAATTCAGGGTGAGTCCATACAGTAAAGTGAAAGCAAATTTATTATGAAAATAAAGGAATAAAAGAAAATCTACTTCATAGAGCAGCCCTGAGGGCTGATGATTGCCCATTTTTATGGTTATTTCTTGATTATATGCTAAACTTCTTGATTATATGCTAAACAAGGGGTGGATTATTCATGCCTCCTCTTTTTAGATCACGTAGGGTAACTTCCTGATGTTGCCATGGCATCTGTAAACTGTCATGGCTCTGGTGGGAGTGTAGCAGTGAGGACGAGCAGAGGTCACTCTTGTCACCATCTTGGTTTTGGTAGGTTTTGGCCGGCTTCTTTACTGCAACTGTTTTATCAGCAAGGTCTTTATGACCTGTATCTTGTGCCGACTTCCTATCTCATCCTGTGACTTAGAATGCCTTAACTGTCTGGGAATGCAGCCCAGTAGGTCTCAGCCTCATTTTACTCAGCTCTTATTCAAGATGGAGTTGCTCTAGTTCACACGCCTCTGACACATGTTCAGAAATAATGGTGATTTTCTTCTACAGGTGGGGACGTTAGCATTATAATGACATGGTAAAGTTCTGAAGGTAACAAGGGGTTGCCTGTTCCAGTTTCTGCCAGTTTTGGGGGTCTTATCTCCCTCTGGTATCTGGGCAGAGGTCAAGAAGCTCTGGCACCATCAGGGGCCAGCTTGTTTCTTTAAGCAGCTGTGCCTACAAATAAAGGGACTAAAGAAAACAATAAGAAAACCCAGTTATTTCCTGGGGGTTGCTCTGGTATCCAGCGTGTTTTACTTCACCAAGCGCAATTCTTCCCAGTGCAGGCACTGGGTGTAACTGTGACAGCCAGCACCAACCTGCCCACACACCTCCTGTCCTGCAGGACTGTCAGCAGCCTCTGCACTATAGTGTGACAGAGCCACAGGTAGCTCAGGTGTGCCTCAGCCCAGCCTCTCCTGCACTCCCCCTCCCCTGGCTCCCCAACTCTGCCTCACTTCTGTTTGTGAAGGAAAGACAGCAGTAGCGGAAGGGAAAGAAGGAGAAAATGCAGAGCAAATATTATGCTTTCCTCTTGGAAAACCTCCAGGAGCTGCAAATATTAGTAATCCAGCTGCATCCCACCCCCCAGGATGGGCTGGGCCTGTCACACAGCCAACCTTCAGGATGCAGACACCCAGGCTGGGGAGCACAGCTCTGGAAATTTACTGACATGGCCCTGAATGAATTTATCTTTTCAGTAGAAGGCCCTGGAGTTTAAAGGAGTCATTCATAAGGTCTGTCTGGGAGTGCCTTGTCCTCAGAGGAGGGTCTGGGTGGGTTGGAGTGGAAGGAAGGGCTGGCTACCTGGTGTGCTCTCCGTGGGTCCCCAAGAAAGGCAGCCCTGCTGGGGGCAGTGAAGCCCTTATCCAGGTCACGTGAGTCTTGGAAGGGGAAGGCTGCTGTGCTTAACGATTCAAAAACACAAATCAAACCTCCTTTCCCAAACAAATTAGAAGGTGTGGAGGAAGCTTGAATTCAGAGAGGATTTCCCAGAGACCCATAGGCAAAAGTGGCTTAACTGAGCCCAGTGGGTGTCCCAGAATGGGCCAGAGAGAATGACACTAAAAAGTCTTTGAACAAATGAGCAAATGAATACAGGAATGCTCATCTGCCATAGGCACAAACGTGGTAAACGTTCCCTGAGAGAACTGACAGCCCAGGGGTGCAGGGAGAGAAACGGTCCCAACTGCAGACTGGGTCCCAACTGCAGACTCGGTCCCAACTGCAGACTCAGGAGGAGGGAGGCTGTTAAGGGGCCGTCTTTCCTTCTGTTATGTGAGGAGAAAAGCAGGGAAGGGACCTCAAGGCCAGCCTCTCCCAGGAGCTGCTGTTCTCAGCCCCGGGATCCAGCGCTACAGGGAAGTGCAGGGGAGGCTCCACAGTCCCGGCTGGAGACCCGGTCAGGCCTGGGTGGCCACTCTTCTTTGTAGTGGCCACCCTCGTGTCACCAGCAAATGCTTTTGTATCTACACCCTTCTCAGTGCTCCCCCTCTTTTAAAAAATGTACTTTCTTTTTTTAAAAAGAGTTGGGTCTTGCCTTGTCACCTATGCTGGAGTGCAGTGTTGCTGTCACAGCTCACTGCAAACTCCACCTCCTGGGCTCAACCCATCCTCCCACCTCAGCCTCCCAGGTAGCTGGGACCACAGGCACACACCAGGACACCTCGCCCAGTGCTCACTATTTACCTTTATTTCTTCCTTATTCGGACACCCCTTGCTTCCAAAGAAGAGTTTCGGAAGGCTCAAGACGGTGAGACAGACACCTTATGCACTGCTTCACTCTCCCCCGCAGCTCCCCTCCCTCCTCACTGACCCCCGGCCACAACCCTCTCTCCTTGCCCCTCACCAGCCGGCACCCTTGGCAACCCTGGCACCCTTTCGAGGACAAGACTGCCAAATGTGGCCAAGGTCTGGCACACCATGTACCAATCGAAACTCCACTTCCCTTGAGTTTCAGTTTCCACGCCTATAAAATTAGCAAATGAAAAGAGCAAACACTTGGAGACACTGTTCTCAATGCTTTGCATATTTTTTTCATTTAATTCTCAGTGCCATGAGACAGTCTATTATTATTAAACCTATGTTATATATGAGGAAACTGAGGCACAGAGGGAGTAGTTTCCCCAGGTCACAGTCAGGATTTGAACTCCATGGTCTGGCTCTAGTGTTTCCCAACCATTCGGGGTGGGAGTGGGAGAGAAACCAGACTGCTCTCCCTAGAAAACAGCATGTGTTTGCATGTGTGCCAAATTTGCACAAAACATTTGGGGTTCCAGGTCTCTAAAGCCCATCCATGGAACCCCGGTTTCCCTTCTCTCACGTGATCCTAACAACCTGCCGAGGATACACCTCATCATGATCCTCCTTTCACAGCTGAGAACACACCAGCTTAGAGAAATTAAGAAGTGTATCCAAGCTCACACAATCTTAAGTGGCCAGATCAGGACCAAAATCCAGGTCCTCTGGCTGGGCGCAGTGGCTCATGCATGTAATCCCAGCTCTTTGGGTGGCCAAGGCGGGTGGATCACCTGAGGTCAGGAGTTCAAGACCAGCTTGGCCAACATGGTGAAACCCCATCTCTACTAAAAATACAAAAATTAGCTGGGCATGGTGGTGGGCGCCTGTAATCCCAGCTACTCAGGAGGCTGAGGCAGGAGAATTGCTTGAACCCAGGAAGCAGAGGTTGCAGTGAGCTAAGATGGAGCCATTGCACTCCAGCCTGGGCAACAGAGTGAGACTCTATCTAAAAAAAAAAAAAAAAAAATTTGTGGTCTTCTAACCACAAATCTAGTGCCCCTCCCCAACCACCTCTGGTCCAGCCTCTTAGATCTATCTGGGATGTCTTTCCACCATACTCCTTTCTGGTTTGAGAACCACCTGAAGGCTCAACGTGGCTGTGGGGTGCTCCGTGGAGCCATTTGGCCTGTGCCCAGCAGCGAGGGGGACAGCCAGCAAAGGTACCCCCGCCCCTGCCAGCCTGCCACCTACTTGGGACGTTTCTTTTCTTTTTTTTTTTGAGACGGAGTCTCGATCTGTTGCCCAGGCTGGAGTGAAGTGACGTAATCTCAGCTCACTACAACCCCCACCTCCTGGATTCAAGTGATTCTCCTGCCTCAGCCTCCCTAGTAGCTGGGACTACAGGCGCATGCCACCATGCTCAGCTAATTTTTGTATCTTTAGTAGTGACGGGGTTTCACTATGTTGGCCAGGCTGGTCTTGAACTCCTGATCTCGTGATCTGCCCACCTTGGTCTCCCAAAGTGCTGAGATTACAGGGTGAGCCACCGCACCCAGCCTACTCGGGACCTTTCACCACCCAAGTGACCAGCACCCCTGCCCAGAGTGCCCCGGTTCTGTCCACTAGGCCAGCAGGGACCCCGCCTCTGGGATTGTTTGCTGGAGGGGTCCTGGACAACGTAGAAAGGGCAGCACACAGCCCTGGGCAGGAAGGGAGGCAGGAAGAGAGATCCTCAGGGGCTGGGCTGGAGGAGCAAAGCCAGCCAAAGGGGAGTGAGAGGGCAGTCAAGCGCCTAGAAGCCAAGGAACCCCAGGAGGATGGCATCGGGCAGGTGCCTCCTGGTGCCCAGAGACAAAAAGATGTGTGGGAAGGTGACAGAATCAAGCGGTAAGGTCAGTGCTTTGAGGGAGCAGGCAACCACCAGCCTCCAGTGACACTTGCCTTTCACAGGGATCCTGGAGGTCCCCATTTGGGAAGGTGGAAAATCTCAGTTCCAACCTAACCAAAAGATACAGGGGCAAGTTTGGCCTTGAAACCCTGGACCATCTGCCCTGGGTGATTTCCTTTCAACAGTGCTGGGTCCAGACTCCCAGAACCCTACCTCTCCCATCTTCCCCAGTAAGCCTGCTTTCAGTCCTTTTCACACGAGAGCATTTAAATCCAAGGGTTCCCTTCCCCCTGGGTATTTGCAGCCCATCTGATCTCTAAATGTAGAGTGAGAGCCACTTGTAGAAATTAAGTCTAGGCTGGTCACGGTGGCTCACGCCTGTAATCCCAATACTTCGGGAGGCTGAGTCAGGAGGATCACTTGAGACCAGGAGTTTGAGACTAGCCTGGGCAACATAGCAAGACACCTCTACAAAAAAAGTTTTTTAATTAGCTGGGCATGGTGGTATGTGCTTGTAATCCCAGCTACAAGGTGAGGTGGGAGGATCACTTGAGCCCGGGAGGTCAAGGCTGCAGTGAGCTGTGATTGCACCACTGCACTCTAGCCTGGGTGACAGAGTGAGAACCTGTCTCAAAAAAAAATAAAAATAAGAATAAAGAAATTAAGACCAGATGTAGGGGAGATTTGTGGAGGAAGGGACAGGAGGCCCCTAAAATCCCATCCTGTAGGCAGCCCCTGCTTGACTAAGCATAAGGCTCGTGGGGCACCCAGGTGGGCTTTTTCTGGAGAGGAAGCAAGGCAGAAAACCCCTCCATTTTCCATCCCCAGCCTCTCAGGTCTGTGCCAGTTGAGTGTCTTCCAGGACAGAAGCATGGCTGGGTATGGAGGCAGCCTGGATATAGGGATGGCCGGTCTGTCAAGCCCGTGGTCAGGACCTTCACGGGGCAGCTTAGGAACCTCCAGGCAGGGCCTCATCTGCTGCCGTTAGTAATAAACATGGCCAGCAACAGCCAGGGCCCTGCTAGCGGGAGATGTCATCGGTAGCCACCTTCCTTCTCTGCAGAGACACCGTCTGTCCCATGGATGAGCAGAGTCCCCTGGGGACCCAGCTCTGACACTTGTCCTTGCTCATGTCCAGGGTGCTGGACAGACTGAGGCAGGTGTCAGGCTCCTGGGATGAGAAAGGCAGATGAGAGATGGGAGTGGGAGCTTTACAGTGACTTAGGCAGAATTGCTTAGTATTTACATATGCCTTACCTCATTCCACAGAGAATTTAAGGCCTGACCAAAAGAGACGGGGCGGGGGGTGGGGGGGAGAGAATACAATAACACCATGTACTGTAAAGAAAAACAGTCAGTTCTAAAAGAAAAACAACCCAGAAAGAAGGGAATGTGTCAAAACCGGGAGAGGGGAAAAAAAAAGGCATGCATGCTTTCAAAAGCACCTTAGGGGCTACAGATGGGCCCTATACTTAGTGTTGACACCCAACAGCCATAAAAGAATCTCACTGTGCCCCCAGGGGAGCACAGGGAAGGTCTGATTCTAGATTTTTTCTGTGCCATTTATTTATCTATATCCTCATGCACAAGTTCTATACTGTTTTAATTGCTGTAGCTTTTTATGTGTTTAAACATCTAATAGAGGTAGACTTCCTTCTCTTAGATTTTTTTCTAGCTATGCTTCATATTTAATTTTTAAATAAACTTATCAGAATCAGCTAAGTTCAAAAACAATTTTTAATCTTATTACCTTTTTTTTTCTTTTTTGTGAGACGGGGTCTTGTTCTGTCACCCAGGCTGGAGTACAGTGGTACAATCATAGCTCACTGCAGCCTTGACCTCCCAGGTTCAAAGTGATTCTCCTGCCTCAGCCTCCCAAGTTGCTGGGACGATAGAAGCATGACACCACACCTGGCTAATTTTTTAAAAATAATTTTTATAGAGACAGGGTCTCACAGTATAGTGAGATTTCAGGGTGGTCTTGAAATCCTGAGGGCTCAAGAAATCCTCCAGCCCTGGCCTCCCAAGAGCTAGAATTACAGGCATGAGCCACCGTACCTAGCCCTATTGCTATTTTTATTAGCATTACATTAAGTTTATAGGCTAACTTAAGAGGACATGGCATTTTTATGATAATGAGTTTTTGCAGTCAAGAACGCAGGCCAGTTTTTTTTAAATGGGGTAAATGATTGTCCAAGCGCCTCCAGGCAGGCTCACGTGCACACTCTGGAGTCAGTGAAGAAGGTGAACAGCTGACAGGAGCAGCCTCCCAGTCAGAGAAGCCCTGCACACTGTTGCAAACAGACAGCTTGCATCTGGAGTCTTCTGTGATCCGAGGAGGAAGCGTGGCTGAGTCCTTCCCAGAAGAGGGTCTGGAGCTGTGAGTTGGGGACAATTGTCAGATTCTAGCAGTGAAAGTGGTTCATGTGCAGGTGCAACCTGCCCCGCAGTCACGGGACACAGCCACATGGAGCCGAGCCACGCTCTCAGAGAAGGAGCCAGGGAAGAAACACCCTAACTGCACTCCTCCCTTCTTCTGGCCCCCAGCAGCCATAGGCCCTGGGCCCCCGGTGAGATACCCATAGAGATCAGCTCCCAGGCAGCAGGATGGAGGGTGTAGACTGGACATGAAGAGGCAGCTGGAATGTATCGGGCACTCAGCTCCAGCTCACCACGATCCAGGCACTCAAGTTCCCAAGACAATAGTTTCTGCTCTCAGATAAATGGAATAATTAAGGATCAAAAGGTTATCAACAGGTAACCAAGCATA
Organism: Homo sapiens; assembly: GCF_000001405.40. Taxonomy (NCBI): domain Eukaryota; kingdom Metazoa; phylum Chordata; class Mammalia; order Primates; family Hominidae; genus Homo; species Homo sapiens. The sequence goes on from NC_000001.11 coordinate 223,739,177, forward strand.
AACAGATTTTTTTTTTTTTTTTTTTTAGACAGAGTCTCACTCTGTGCCCCAGGCTGGAATGCAGTGGTGCAATCTGGGCTCACTGCAACCTCCACCTCCCAGGTTCAAGTGATTCTCATGCCTCAGCCTCTCCAGTAGCTGGGACTACAGGCGCGTGCCAACATGCCTGGCTAATTTTTGTATTTTTAGTAAAGATGGAGTTTCACCATGTTGGCCAGGCTAGTCTTGAACTCCTGACCTCATGTGATCTGCCCACCTCGGCCTCCCAAAGTGATGGGATTACAGGTGTGAGTCACCATGCCTGGCCCATAAGCAGATTTTGTACCTGAGCAGGAAGGCTAAGAGCTTGTAACAACTGAACATTCCCCCCGGAGAGGAAGGCAGGAGTTTTGCTTGTGCCAAGTGCACTGTTCAGACAGTCCTCTGAGGTACACCAAGGTCTGAGTAGCCATCCCACCCTCCCCTCTGCCAAAATTTTTGTGTGACTGGAGAGCAGAGCCCTCCTCCAAAAATAAAATGAGCACAAGGAAAATACTATTTGCAGATACATAATATTAAAACCATAGGTCTTTCTTTTTCTAGTCCCATCCATATGGCAACATTCCAGGAGAGGCCTCCGTCACTGGAAGGCACCCTCAGGGGCTTTCCTGGAGCTAAAAACAGTTTAAGCCAAAAGTTATTTGTAGCATCTGAGTTAAACTCTTCGTCTCACCCTTCTCGAGCTAGCTGGCTTATTTTATCCGGACCAGGATATAACAGCTCTAAACAGGCTTTGCCAGGAAGAGACGTCATGGACTTCAACCAGGGCACCTGACCAGGAAGAAATCACTGCAGGATGATCTGAAAGAGTTTTCATAAATTATTTTACGTAAGGTAGATTCTGACCTTGATGGGGACAGCCAAGGTTCTGGACCCTCAGCTGGGAAAGATGGGACTAAGTCTACAACTGCTGAGGTTGTAGAACAGGCTTCTTGTTGGGAGGAACCCTCTTGTGGACATGGGCCGTCGAGGTGGAGTGAGAGAACACCGTGCCACCTGGACGCTGAAACACCATTGAGTCACCTCTGTTTGAAATGCTTGTTCCCTGGTGCCGTAAAGAAATAGCACTTGAACATAAATTTAATTTACTCAGCAAGGACATTTTTATACTTTCTGTGAAAGGGTACACTCACCAGGAGTTTTGCCACGAGAGTACACCAAACAAAGGAGACAGGGTCATTTATAACCTGACGCGTCCACCCTACTGCTGTGTCCAGTTTCCATTGGCTGGAACAGGACCTCCCATTCTGTATTTGTCCCGATTGGCTAACAACTTAGAACTTTTTAAAAGAGGCAAAGGCAGAGGAGAACAAAGGAAGGAGGAAGTAACTTGTGGAATGCTGAGAAAGGTAAAAACACCTTTAGATAAGGAAGAGGAACAGGCTATGACCTAATGCTTGCTTGGACCAGTATAAGCATGCCAGGGAAAATACTTAGGCTAAATTGTGGGAGCTAAGAACATAAAGTACATTGATTTCTTTATCATGGCTAGCAGATATTTAAGAATGTTAGCACAGGTCTTTGAATAAATTTTGCTTCTAAGAGAAGTTACTATTTATTCCTAATTAAATGGGGAGGAAGGTCTTTGAAGAGAAACCTTTACACCTCTTAAGGACAAAAGTCCCCAAGACCTGTCCAATTTCGAATTCAATTAGGTGAATTCGAAATTGACACCAGCCTCTTTGCAGAGGAGACTGTTTTGGTTATACATCAAAAGCCTGTGCTTTGCAGATAGACCTGACAGCCACTAATTAGCTAGGAGCGTTGGGTGATCCAGTCCACCTCCTTAAACCTCAGTTTCCTCAACTATGAAATAGAATGAAAATAGTACCTACCTTGGAACTGTTCTGTGACAAGGAAATGAGATAACATGATAATGTGCATAAGGCTTTTAGCTCGGGGCCTGGCACACCTAAGCCTTTGTGTAATCATTGTGTAGATCTTGTCACTGAGAACGCTTACACGAGCAGATATTAAAATAAAGGAAAGAAGTCAGTTGGGTAAGGGAGCTTCCCAGCTTGGTTCAAAATATTTTGCTGATTGGGGTGAGGGAAAGAGTGAAGGAACCAGAAGCAAAAAAAGTAGGATTTCAAATGCTTCCCACCTTTTTAGAAATCAAGACATTCTTTAGTGGCCTCTACATCTCCTTCAACTCCAGAATTTGGAAAACTGATGAAAAACTTTTTGAATCTTTGGCTGTAAAATGTATATATATATATAATGTGTATATATATATATATATATATATATATATTTGAGAGGGAGTCTCATTCTTGTTGCCCAGGCTGGAATGCAATGGCACAATCTCGGCTCACTGCAACCTCCGCTTCCTGGATTCAAGCGATTCTCCTGCCTCAGCCTACCGAATAGCTGGGATTATAGGCGCATGCCACTATGCCCAGCTAATTTTTGTATTTTTAATAGAGACGGGATTTCACCATGTTGGCCAGGCTGGTCTCAAACTCCTGACCTCAGGCTATCTGCCCGCCTTGGCCTCCCAAAGTGCTGGGATTAAGAGGCATGAGCCACCATGCCTGGCCTCTTTTATCTTTTTCTTTTCTTTTCTTTTCTTTTTGGGGGGCACAGAGTCTCACTCTGTTGCCCAGGCTGGAGTGCAGTGGCGTGATCTTGGCTCACTGCAGACTCCATCTCCTGGGTTTAAGCAGTTCTCCTGCCTCAGCCTCCCAAGTAGCTGGGATTGCAGGCGTGAGCTACAAGGCTACCAACTGACTGACTCAGGGGATGTGTCTCCGCTTACCATAGATCTGTCATTAGCGTATATAGGCCTCAAAGAGCTGTAAGCAACCATGTCTAAGTGCTAACAGGACAAGCTAGGTCAGGAACTCTCAGGATGCTAAGTCATCGACTAGAATTCAAAGAATTCAGTGAGCTTCAGCTGGTCCTGCTGGCTCACGCCTGTAATACCAGCACTTTGGGAGTCTGAGGCAGGCGATCACCTGAGGTCAGGAGTTAAAGATCAGCCTGGCCAACATGGGGAAACCCTGTCTCTACTGAAAATACAAAAAATTAGCCAAGCATGGTGGCAGGTGCCTATAATCCCATCTACTTGGGAGGCTGAGGCAGGAGAATCACTTGAACCCAGGAGGCAGAGGTTGCAGTGAGCCAAGATGACACCATTGCACTCCAGCCTGGGTGACAAGAGCGAGACTGTCTCAAAAAACAAAACAAAACCAAAGAATTCAGTGAACTTCAATAACATATATATATGTTACTGATATATATAACAATATTACATATATTACATATTTTATATATATGTGTGTATATATATATATATATATATTTTTTTTTTTTTTTTTGAGACAGGGTCTTGCTCTTCTGTCACCCAGGCTGAGTGCAGTGGCATGATCACATCTCACTGCAGCCTCCACCTCCTGAGCTCAAATAGTCCTCCCACCTCAGCCTCCCAAGTAGCTGGGACTACAGGTGTCTACCACCACACCTGGCAAATTTTTGTATTTTTTTGTCGAGACAAAGTTTTACCATGTTGCCGAGGCCAGTGTCGAGCTCCTGTGCTCAAACAACCCACTGACCTTGGCCTCCCAAAGTGTTGGGATTACAGGCGTGAGCCGCTGCGCCTAGTCTTCAGTAACATTTTTAATAAACCTGTCAATTGGCGAAAATAAATCCAACAGTGAATTAAACTCCTTTGAGGCTACTTCCCATTATTGTCATGGGAAATTGTAGGAAAGTGCACATTCCTTAAGAATGGAGTAAACTTCCTCATCCTCTTCCCAGGCCCCCTCCCCTTTGTTTGTGTTTTGTGGTGAAGATGACCCCTCCCTGCAAACCATCTGGGTGCTGTTGCTGGCATCAGCTTGCTTCTAACTGCATGAAATGATTGTGGTGCCTGCTGTGCTGAGAACCTAGCACTGGCACCAAATGGGTGCCGAGTGCTTACACACCTGCTCTCATTATGCCTCACACTTATCCATGTCATGGGGGAGGGTTCTGAGGCTCAGAGAGGGACCAGGCTGCCTGGCCAGCTGCCCACCTCGTTGTGCCCATCCTTGTCTACCCCTTGAAGTGACCTCTGCCCCTCCGCACAGAAACCCTTCGGGACAGTCCAGCCTTCTGCCTCTGACTCAGGGCTTTTCCATCTGCACTGCTCCGTACTTACTTCCTGCGACTGTACTCCCTGCCAGAGCCTCTTTTCCTGGCTCTGACCTTCCTCCTAGGAGGCGTGCAACGTTTGTCCCCTTCCCATCTAGCACTACGTTTTCTTTCTCTCACTCAAACTCCCCTTTATATATTTGTTTGTTTATTTATTTAGAGATGAGGGTCTCCCTCTGTTGCCCAGGCTGGAGTGCAGTGGTGCAATCATGGCTCACTGCAGCCTTGAAATCCTGGGCTCAAGGGATCCTCCTGCCGCAGCCTCCCAAGTATTCGTATTATAGCTGGGACTCCAGGTGTACGCCACCACACCCAGCCCAAACTCCCATTCAAAGCCTGTGTGCTCAGAAGCCTCTGCAGCTGCGCTGGTTTCATTCTCTCACTGTGGAGCATCTGCTGCGAATCAGGTGCAAGGCTGGGCTCTGAGGGCACAGTTCAGCCACCAGAGTTCTGGGTCTTTCAGGGAATGAAATTTCCCATCTCTGCCCAACCACAACACAGCAAAAACATTTCTCCCTTTGCATTTCCCTCAAAATACTAGGTTGGTGCAAAAATCACAATTACTTTTACACCAACCTAATAGCCCCCAAACCCTCTGACCCAACCCTCATATGGGGGACTGCCTGAAACTTCACTCTGTCTATTCACAGGTTGTCTTAGGCTTTAAGCCCCTGGAGGTGGAGACAAGATTTTTAACATCCTCCTGGTTCTAAGACCCTCTGATAAGAGCTCCTTGTGCTGTGTTCACAGGTGACTGCTGGCTGCTGGCAGCCATTGCCTCCCTCACCTTGAATGAAGAAATCCTGGCTCGAGTCGTCCCCCTAAACCAGAGCTTCCAGGAAAACTATGCAGGGATCTTTCACTTCCAGGTAACTTAATGGTTGGCTCAGGTGGTTCCTCAACAGGTCCAGGGGGCTAGGAACAGTCTTCTGGCTTGGCTGGGTTCATCAGTCCCTGGTGTTTGCAGACTCCCAAGACCAATACTGTTCTACAAAGGACATTGGGCGAGAGCAGGAAGCTTCCTGGCTTACCCGTGGCCAGGATGTGAGACCCGGCTGGGATGGCCCTGGGTGGTTTCTTGGGACATGTAAAAGGGAGGTAGAGCAAGGTGTTCAGGAACTAATTCCCAAGTTTAAAAAAAAAAACTGTATTATTTGATGTTTGAGACAAAAACGTTGAAGTTCTCCTCCTTTTATGCCGGTAAATGAGAAATAATACTTGAAAAAGCTGGCTGGGCACGGTAGCTCATGCCCGTAATCTCAGCACTTTGGGAGGCCGAGGTGGGCAGATCATTTGAGGTCAGGAGTTCGAGACCAGCCTGGCCAACATGATGAAACCCCATCTCTACTAAAAGTACAAAAATCAGTTGGGCGTAGTAGTGCAGGCCTGTAATCCCAGCTACTTGGGAGGCTGAGGCAGGAGAATCACTTTAACCTGGGAGGCAGAGGTTGGGAGGCCAAGGTGGGTGGATCACTTGAGCCCAGGAGTTCGAGACCAGCTGGGGCAACATGCTGAAACTCCGTCTCTACTAAAAACACAAAAAAAATTAGCCGGGTGTGGTGGCACGTGCCCTTAATCCCAGCTACTCGGGAGGCTGAGGCAAGAGAATCACTTGCATCCAGGAGGCAGAGGTTGCAGTGAGCCGAGATCGTGCCACTGCACTCCAGCCTGGGCAGAGCAAGACTTGGTCTCAAAAAAAAAAAAAAACAGCCTAAGGTACAGGGCAGAATGCTAAAGAGGCGGGTGTGGATTTGAAAGGATGGACATGCGCCTCTGTCTTCGCTTTTTTAGTGAGGACTTGGCCTGCATAGGAGAGTTAAGGGAGCACCTCCTCCCAGGATGCGCTCATGGAACCTATCCCAGGGGATCAGGGCAAGGGGAGCCAGAGGCAGCTGAGGCTCAGAGTCCCAGTGCTGCCACCAGCTCCTCCTGCAGCCCACCTCTCTTGTTCTGCAGTTCTGGCAATACGGCGAGTGGGTGGAGGTGGTGGTGGATGACAGGCTGCCCACCAAGGACGGGGAGCTGCTCTTTGTGCATTCAGCCGAAGGGAGCGAGTTCTGGAGCGCCCTGCTGGAGAAGGCATACGCCAAGTAAGTTGCCATCCTCCCCTGGCCCCATGGCCTTCCCCCAATGCCCTGGATTCCAAAAAATTCACTCATGCCTGTAATCTCAGCACTTTGGGAGGCCGAGGTGGGTGGATCATTTGAGGTCAGGAGTTCGAGACCAGCCTGGCCAACATGATGAAACCCCGTCTCTACTAAAAATATAAAAATCAGTAGAACTACTCCAGGACTACTTTGAGTGGGAAGTCCTTTTCTATAGAAGGACTTCTTTGGCCAAAATTAGGCTCTAAATGCAAGGAGATAGTGCATGCAGGGTGCCTGGCTGCACTGTACGCTGATAAATGATGTCTATCACCATCTTTAACCAAATGCACAGGAACAAGTTATGGTACTGATTGTGCTGGACTTGAGAAGGAGCTCTACTTCCTTGACAGGACACATTTGTATCAACTTAAAAAAGCAGAATTTTTGCCAATGGGCAGAACTATTCATTGCAGAGGTAGGAAACTTGCCCAGAATAGATGATGTCACTGATTAGCAATGGCTTCCCCATCTCCGCACAGCTGCTTCCCACCCAGGTTGCCCACAGTTGAGTTTGTCCAGTGCTCAGGGCTGCCCACTCTCAGTAAGAAGCCCCACACCAGCCCCTCTCCACAATGGCCCCATGTTGGCTGTGCCGCCCGGCTCCTTCCATTAAAGTGACCCCACTTTAGAGCAGCAAGTGGATTTCTGTTTCTTACAGTCCCAATCCAGGAAGGAGGAGTCAGCTGTGAGAACCTGGAGCCTGACGGATGCTTCTAAGTCCCACTGCTCAATACTGGGGTCAGGGAAGCCACCGGACTCCAGCATCAGCAGTCAGGAGCACTAAGCCCTTGCCAACACCGTGCCTGTTTCTCAGAGAAACTGCTTCCATTATTGAATGGTTGTCCTTTTTTAAGCTATCAATGCCAAACGACCCATTAGTAGACCTCCCCTTTCTTGTCAGGATGTAGAAGGAATCAATACAGGAGGTTCATCCAGAAAATCACTAAGGTCCTTCCGACTCTAAGGTTCTACGAGAATCTTTTTTTTTTTTTTTTTTTTTAATACGGAGCCTCATTCTGTCACCCAGGCTGGAGTGAGCGGCATGATCTCAGCTCACTGCAATTTCCACGTTCTGAGTTTCAGCAATTCTTTTGCCTCAGCCTCCCAAGTAGCTGGGACTACAGGCATGCACCACCATGCCCAGCTAATTTTTTTGTATTTTTAGTAGAGATGGTGTTTTGCCATGTTGGCCAGGCTGGTCTTGAACTCCTGACCTCAAGTGATCCGCCCACCTCGGCCTCCCAGAGTGCTGGGATTACAGGCATGAGCTACCGCGCCCGGCCTGAGATTTTCTTTAAAACACAAAATACCAGGGAAATGGTAACTGTGGACATTATACCTTGCCTTCCTGAGCACCCCGAGCTGGGAACAAGGCCAAGGAGAATGTGAGCAGGGGGTCCCTGGAGCATCAAATCTAGACGGTACTAGGGGGTGGCTGTTTGAGAGATTATAGCATCAGTAGTGTCAAGGGTAGCGGCAGCGTCTAATCCCCTCTTGTAGGATCAACGGATGCTATGAAGCGCTATCAGGGGGTGCCACCACTGAGGGCTTCGAAGACTTCACCGGAGGCATTGCTGAGTGGTATGAGTTGAAGAAGCCCCCTCCCAACCTGTTCAAGATCATCCAGAAAGCTCTGCAAAAAGGCTCTCTCCTTGGCTGCTCCATCGACGTAAGTCCAGGCTGCCTTCCCTAGCCTCACCCCATCTGCTCTTGCTGAAGGGAGGCTCCCACAGTGCCCAAGGGAACCCACTGCTCCTGTGTACAACGTAATGCAGCCCTCGTCCACGTAGGGGCCAAAGGAAAACCTCCCTCCACCCTCTGAAGGTCCGCTGAAAATCAACTGGCAAAAGGAAGACTAATACAAGAAATGGCATACAAATGTATGAATGTGGACAGGGGAGAATCACAAGAGATTTCCCTACCACGCATTGGGATACAGAGGGTTATATTCCCTTCCTCTTAGGGGAAGGGAGATGGGGAGGTGCGGATGATTTTAGGGATGTCGTAAATGATTTTTAGGGGAATTCATTGGGCTTAAAGAACATAAATGGTCTGGGATAAAGTCTGTTGGGCCTGCAGAGCAGACAGTGGTTTGTGACAAGTCTGTCTAGCCATGTTGACAGACTTGTCTTTCTTCCTGCAATATGAGTTCAGTTCATAATAACTCATGGAAAGGACCAGACGTCATTGTTTTCATCTTTGGCAGGTCCAGACTTTAGGCAGGTGAGGGAACTTCAGAGAATAGCTTCCTCCTGTGCTTTGGGGGAGAGTGGATCGAGAGACAGAAGGAAAGGGGAGGTCAGAGAGATCTTGAGGCTTCTTCAGTTTAGCATTTCAAAGTGCCATCTCTTAGAGGTATTGGTTTCTGAGCACCCCAGTGTCTACCATTATTGCTCATCACCTGGAAGCCAAGGGTTGCTAGGCAAAAGTCAAGCTGTCTGGGGTGTAATGGATGGGGTGATGGTGCCTCCAGCCCTTCTGTCTTCAGTCCACTTCCCACTCTTAGCCTGCTCTGAATCACCCCCACCCCTCTGACCACAGGTTCCCTGGGAGCCCCTGCCACCTGCTGCCCCTGCCACCTTCCCCTCCATCTGCAGTGCTGTGCAGCCTTCCCCTGCACTCTTGCAGAGCTAATAGGCCCGTGGGAGACTTCGGAAGGAAGAGGAGGAAAGATTTCCTCATAATAGCCTTGCTGGCAACGCTCACCAGGGGATGGGAGGTGGGCACTGTGCCCAGGAGCCTTGGAGCAAAGGCTGTGCCCAACCTCTGAGCCCTGTCCCATCCAGGTTCTGGTCTCTGCGGGGGACAGAGATAAGAAGCCCTGGCTTTTGGAGCCAAAATCTAGGTCAGACTCCCTAGGCAGGAATTCTCAAAGTTTATCAGCAGAACACGTTGAGGCAGAAGACCCTTTCTGCTCCAGCCCTTCTTCCCAGGCTCAACCTTCATCAGAATAGATAGGGGAAAGGAGAGGCTGTGAGGCGTTCTTAAAACAGAAGCAAATTCTGACTCAGACCGGAATAAACAACCGTCCTAGTATAAACCCTACAGCTGGGCTGGGCCAGACCACGGAGCATGGGCTGGTGGTGGGGCGAGGGTGTGCTCAGTGTCCCTGGGCCACTCAAGGCTGTCTGGGTATCAGCCCTGCGCCATCGAGGACCCCCTCCGGCCCTCTCTCGGCCGTGCGCCCTTTCCCTGCGCCATCGAGGACCCCCTCCAGCCCTCTCTCGGCCGTGCGCCCTTTCCCGCCCTTCCCAGCCTGCAGAAATCCGTGGATGCGCTATTCACACGGGAATGCCTGTGCTCGTTCCGCGAGAGGGTTGCATTCCGCCTTTTCTCTGGTATTCTCGGCGTTCAAGCATTTGAACGGGGTAGGAAAGGTTCTCCAAGTGCAAGAAAGCGCAGCCCTGAGCCTCCCACCCCAGGCCTCGGCCGCTGCGCTAGTGCGTCCGGCGGTCCCGCCCGGCAGTAGGACAGAGGGAGCGAGGGAGTCCGGGAGGAAGGGAGAGCGGGTGCGGCCAGTCTGACGGTTGCTGTGTTTGCAGATCACCAGCGCCGCGGACTCGGAGGCCATCACGTTTCAGAAGCTGGTGAAGGGGCACGCGTACTCGGTCACCGGAGCCGAGGAGGTAACGGCCGGCGCGGATGTGCAGGGGTCCTGCTGTCCTGACACGATGGCCACAGGCACAGTTTGTGGTGATGCCCAGGGGCCCGCGCGGCCCCACGGTGGTCCAGTTTACACTCGGGCCCCGCACTCCTGAAGTTCCGCGCGGGAGGAGAAGGGCGTCCCTTTCGCAGCTCGGGCGCCGGGTGCGCCGCGCTGCCACCTGGTGGCCGCAGTGGCCGGCGCCAGGGGCCCTGGTTTTACTTGTTTTAGATGTTACCCTGTTTTACAGTTACAACCTTACTATTTTGATAAGCTAAAAATAATAAAACAATGCATCTTCATAGTGTTTTATACTCTATAAGGTGCTTTCTCTTTTGATCTCGTAAAAGTATTCGTGCCCATGTTCAAATCTGACTGCCTCTTACCAGCTGTGTGGCCTGGGCCAATTACTGGAACTCTCTGTCCCTTAGTTTCCTCATTTAAAAAATGGAAATAATGATAATATCCATTGGAAGGTCGTGGCGATTCAATCAAGTTAATATATGTAAAGTGCTCAGAGGTGACTCACACATCATATATAAGGAGGTAGCTGTCCTTGCTGTTGTGATCACTGTTGTTATTGAAAATATTATGGGCTGACATGGTGGCTCACACCTGAAATCCCAACACTTTGGGAGACCGAGGTGGGAGGATCACTCGAGCCTAGGAGTTCAAGACCAGCCTGGGCAACGTAGCAAGAACCTGTCTCTACAAAAAAAAGTTAGCTGGGCATGGTGGCATGCCACTGTCGTCCCAGCTACTCGGGAGGCTGAGGTGGGAGGATCACTTGAGCCCAGGAGGTCGAGGCTGTAGTGAGCCATGATCATGCCATTGCACCCCAGCCTCAGCGACAAAGTAAGACCATGTCTCAAAAAAAAAATTATCAAGCAACTCAAGTTCACTGTTAATTACAGAACCCAGTCTAGACCGCAGATCTTCTGCATGTCCAGTGTTCTTTTTTTAACCTTGATTTTTTTAACTACCCCCTCACACACACACGTCTTTTTATTTGAAAATTTTCACGTATACAGAAAAGTTGAAAGACTAACATAATAACTATCCAATTGCCACTCCCCTAGATTCACCGATTGCTAACATTTGCCATGTCTGCTTTATCTATGTGTGCACTTTTTTTGAGCCATATGAAAGTAAGTTGCAGACGTTATGACACTTCCCTCCTCAATACTTCAGCATTTATTCCCTATGAATAAGGACATTCTGTTACATAATTCCTCTACTGTTGCCACACCTAAGAAAATAACATTAATTCAGTAGTGTCATCTATTATAAAGTCTATACTAACATTTTCCCAGTTGCCCAAAATGTCCTTTCTGGCGACCCACCCCAACCCCATCCAGGACTCAATCCAGATTCACTCACTGCATGTGCCTGTTATCACCAGTGATCTTTCAACAAATGGTAAAGCTTCTCTGAGCTCCTTTACCAAAAGCGCATCCTGTCAGTTAAGCTGAAGTTCAGAGATGAAGCACCAACAGCCCCATCCTCGAGAGCCGGATCCTGGGAGCTTTAAATCTCATTTTCCAAAGCTAGGCAGCAGTGAGAGGTCTGGGTGCCAAGCCCCCTCTAGCTCTTGTGATCCTCCCTCATACATGGACTCAACCCCCAAATCCTCCCCACCGTCCTCAGCCCCATACCTCCTGGCTCATGCGGAAGGGGGTTGGAGGCCCAAGCCTTCATAGCCCTGACTTGAACTCAACCTCTTACTCCTCCCTTTTATCTAATCCTGCAGGTTGAAAGTAACGGAAGCCTACAGAAACTGATCCGCATCCGAAATCCCTGGGGAGAAGTGGAGTGGACAGGGCGGTGGAATGACAAGTGAGGAGGGCGCAGGCCTCGGGGCCCCAGGCGGGGGTGCATTGTGCTGGGAGGCTCTGGGAAGAGGGCGAGAGAAGAAGACATGTGCATTATTCTGAGAAATATAGCCAGGAGAGCCCAGGCCACGTGGACAGGGACCCGTGGACAGGGGCCCCTCAAAGGGTCTTTTAACCAGGACACTCCTCCAGCAGCCTGAGTGCCTTCTTCCAGGCCCCAAGCTGCTCGTGTGAAGTTCATTCCTGCCACTGCCTCCAGGTTCACCCCTTCCCTAGCTCAAATCCACCCTTCTATGGGGCTTTCAGGGAAAAAAATACACCCCACCTTCCCCCAGGCACTTCTATTACAGGGATGTGAACTTTGTACCAAAGGCCAGAGAAACATCCCTCTGTTGATTTCCAGGGCTTACTGGTAGGCATGTTGAACCCTCAACTATTTGGGGTAAACACTTGTTTGTACATCTGCTGTGGCAACCTCAGCCTACTTGCTCTGCCTCAGGTTGGAGAGGTGGGCAGTACAGAGGCCTGTGTGTAATTCCAGCCAAAGCTCAGGCAGTGGTTAGTTTACCCTGTGCACTGCCCCTGTGTACAGGGCCAGGTCCTTCTGCTCCGTGGACAGAGAGACACCTGCTGAGGCTTCCCAGGCCTCAGCCGGAGGCTCCTCATCAGATCTTCAGTTGTCTCTAAAAGAGCTGCCAGGCCCATCTCAATTGGGCAACTGCTCTGAGCTACTCCATCTCCCTCTAATGAACTATGTTCATTTTCTGGACTCTTCCTTGCCACTGTCTTCCAGCACAACTCACCCGCTCACTTTGCTCCCTGGTTTGCATCTGTATAGTGTTCTATACTCTTTAAAGTGCTGTAAGAGTATTAAAATGCAGCTGTTAGCCAGATGTGGGCTACTTTCCCCCTTTCTGGAGCCTGAGCCCTCAGAGGTGAGAGCAGATGTCCCTCTTCCTCAACTCTGGGGCCTTTGGGGAGAAATCATCGTACACTAACGCCTCTCTCTTTACTTTGTTTTCCAGCTGCCCAAGCTGGAACACTATAGACCCAGAGGAGAGGGAAAGGCTGACCAGACGGCATGAAGATGGAGAATTCTGGTAAGATTAGTGGAGGCTTCAGGGAAAGCTCTGTCTGCCCCAATGTTCTTTACTAGAAAACTGCTAATTAGAAAGAGTGTCGGCCAAAGTGAGTTTACCATGTCGAGGACACAAGCGTGTGGGATCCTGGTTTTGTTATTTTAAGTTCACTATAAGAGCCTGAATAAAGAAATTCTTAAGCCCCTTCAACGGTCCATCTTGACAATGGGGTTTATAAGCTGAGCAGCTTCAGAAAAAGGCTAAGAGGAATTCCTTTGGTAATGTTCAGATCCCAGGAAACAAGGGAAAGATGGGGCCTTTCTCCCCCAGGTTCCGGAGACTCATCCCAGCCCCTTAAGAAACTGGTCCCTTAGTGAGCAGCAATGGACCCACATGTCTGTGTGTCTGCGCCACTCTATAACCACCTGCACCTGGACACAACATGCTCTTTATCAAATGGGGCCCATATATTGTCACATTTGATGGGCACGGCTCCCATTTTTGCAGGTGAGAGTTCTGAGCTTCAGAGAAGTTTAAGTAACCTGCTCAAAGTCACCCAGCTAGAAAGTTGCAGCGCCAGGACTGGAATCTGGGCCTTCTGATTCTGAACCTGGTGCCCATCCACTCAGTTCTAATGAGCTGCTCTGCCTGGCTTTGGGTGGCTCCTGGTCTGGTGTTGGTGGAAAGTCAAGGCTTACCAGTGTGTCTTCTTATCACCTGTGATGATTGTCTCTGCTTTTGCCAGGATGTCTTTCAGTGACTTCCTGAGGCACTATTCCCGCCTGGAGATCTGTAACCTGACCCCAGACACTCTCACCAGCGATACCTACAAGAAGTGGAAACTCACCAAAATGGATGGGAACTGGAGGCGGGGCTCCACCGCGGGAGGTTGCAGGAACTACCCGAGTAAGGGCTGTTGCATATAAGGGCTGTTGCAATGCGGGGCCACCAAAGGCCAAAGCTCCCCTTACCCCACCCTGTGTACCACACCCCAGCCTAGCAGCCCCAGGAGGCAGCTCCTGCTCACTGGAACCCTCTCTGTCTTCTTTCTCCCTGAGCCTTTTCTTTTCCCTGAGCCTTTTCTCCCCGAGCTCTCTTTCTCAATCCCTTACCTCCTGCCCTACCCAGGACAAACCCAAGAGCCACTGTTTCTGTGATGTCCTCTCCAGGCCCTAGATTCCCCAGCGCCCATCATGACCTTCAGCCTGACCTTCCGCCATGCTCACGGAAGCAGTGCTCAATCCCACTTCACGGCCATGAGCTGCTCTATGCACCCCACACCCAGGCAGCCGAGCCTACAAGGGAACCTTGTCCCGGCACCCAGGGAGCCCTCCACATATCAGGCCCTGTTTGTTGCCCCATACTCACTTCAATCAGCAAATGTTGACTGGGCGCTGCCCAGATGGGGTGAAGATTTCTCCTCTGGTCCAGCCTTTGTTGAGCCCCTTGATTCTTCTGCCTTCATGGCTTAGTCCGTCAGCAGTTGTCTGAACATGATGACATCTGCCAATTATGGGGCACACCTTCAGTGCTTGGAACTATCCTAAGTGTTTTGTACACAGGGTGAGGATCCATAATCTGAAAATGTGAAATCTGAAATGCTCCAAAATCCAAAACTTTTTCAGCCCCAACATGATACCACAGGTGGAAAATTCGACACTTGACCTCAGGTGACAGGTCGCAGTCAAAACACAGTCAAAACTTTGTTTCATGCACAAAATTATTTTAAATATGCTATAGAATTACCTTCAGCCTATGTGTATAAATTATATATGAAACAGAAATGAGTTTTGTCATTAGACTTGAGTTCCATCCCTAAGATATGTTATGTATATACAAATATTCCAAAATCCAAAAAAATCCAAAATAGGAAACACTTCTGGCCCCAGGAATTTCAGATAAGGGATATTCAGCCTGCATAACATTCTATCTAACCTTCCCAACAAACTTCTGAGGCAGGCACTTTCTTATCACCTCCATCTCTAAGATGAGGAAACTGAGGCTTGGAGAGGCTAGTGACTTGCTGAAGGCCACAGAGCGTGCTGGGATTTGAACCCAGGCCCCCTGACTGAGGAGTCACTGTGTAAGTACAGTGGCAGCAGATCATGGTCACATAGTGATTCTCTGTGACAGATGAGGAAGCTGAGCCTCTAAGTCGCATACCAGGGCCACAGAGCAAGTAGTCAGACTGCGGCTAGCTGGCCTACAGTTCTGGGGCTCGGACTCCTTCACCTCAAGTATGCAGCCACCAAGTGGCAGTCCCAGAGGCGCTGGGAAGGCCCTCTGCCCCCCACAAGGGACCCCTCCTACCCACTAGATCAGGAGTCGGAAAACTCCCTCTAAAGGGTCAGATAGTAAATAATTTTGGCTTTGTGGGCCACTCAGTCTCTATAACAACAACTCTATTGCTATAACCCAAAGGCAGCCATACTTAAGCGAATGGCCGTGGCTACGTTCCAATAAAACGTTATTTACAAAAACAGGCAGCGGCCTTCGGAGCCATAGCTGCCAACCCCTACACAAGATGGTGCCTGTAATTTCACAGTTAGGGTTTTATCCCATTAGGTATGGAAAGGCAATTAGCATAATTCCCCTTAAACATGAATGAATCTTAGATTTTTTAAATAAATAGGTTTTGGAAGTAAAGAGGGCAGAGACATCAGGAGCAGGGCAAGGGAATAGGCCTGAGAGGACAAGGGACGCAGAACAAGAAAGAGTCTGGAATTATACACAGGATGTTCTTGGCCTCCGGGCTCACCGAGGGGGCGGCGACCGGCAAGTGCAGGGAGCAGATCCCGGAGTCCCCCAGGCCAGCCGAGCCCCGCCCCAGGCTCCCCATCAGAGCCCAGTGAAGAGAAGGTACCATGAGGGGAAGCCACAGCTCTAACCACCCTGCGTTCCAGAGTGACAGACCAGTCCCCAAGACAAGCCAGCCTGGAGCCAGAGAGAGAACTGCAAGAGAAAGTTTCTAATTTAGGTTCCTGTTAGATTCAGACAAGTGCAGGTCATCCTCTCTCCACAGCTACCGTCACCCGTCTCCAGCCTAACAAAGCCTGCAGTCCACACTCCAACCCTGGTGTCTCCCACCTCCTAGCCTCTCCCAACATCGCCTGCCGTCTCTGACCATCTTCTGCCATCCTCTGCCATCTCCCACCATCTCCCACTGTCTCCCACAGCCTCCCACCGCCTCTTGCCAACTCCCACCATCTCCCGCCATTTTCTGACATCTCCCGCTGTCTCCCACCATCTTCTGCCATACTCTGCCATCTCCCACCATCCCCCACCACCTCTTACCATCTCCCACCACCTCCCACCATCTCCCTTTATCTCCATCCCTCTCAGAAGCCTCCAAGCCTGAGACCAGGGCCACCCCCCACCCCCATGCATTCCTGCTCAGGGCTGGGCTCCTCTGCCCCTTTCTGGCTGCAGACACATTCTGGATGAACCCTCAGTACCTGATCAAGCTGGAGGAGGAGGATGAGGACGAGGAGGATGGGGAGAGCGGCTGCACCTTCCTGGTGGGGCTCATTCAGAAGCACCGACGGCGGCAGAGGAAGATGGGCGAGGACATGCACACCATCGGCTTTGGCATCTATGAGGTGCAGAGCGCAGGGGCTCCTGCCCTCCCTTCCCCATGTGTTCATCTCAGCCCCTGCATGGAAAGCTGACCCCAGAGGCAGAACTGGGGATGGGATCCCAGACCGGGAGCTTGGCCAAGGAAAAACAAAACTACCAGCCTGGCCAGGCTCAGGAGTAGCCCCCGTAGGGAGGCCCCTGCAGTGGCTCTGGGTTGTGGGGCCTTCTAAGCCCTTCACGGGCCCCCCACAGCCAGCCTGCAGGGAGTTCCACTCTCAAATGGCCTCCACATCCCTTCTCACATCCTCCAGGCCTGGCATTCTGGTCAGCCTACCCATCTTCAAAGAACAGAATATACTGGGCCACATCAGGCAATACTGTGAGGGCAGGACTGAGTCCATGGGTGCAGCTGCTCAGAGCTCGGCAAAGTCATTGGCCTGGATGGTGGAGAGCTTGGGGACAGGGGAACATTGGTCATGATGCTCCCCCCAGGGCTCTGATGGCTGGAGCCCAGATCCCTACACAGACTCCTGCTGTATGCGTGTTTTCCTTTCACTCTGAGCCACAGCCAGAGGGCAGCCGCATTGCAGTCTCCTCTCCGCCCTCAGGCTGGGGCTGGGGCACTGAGAACTCACCCAACACGCTGGGCCCCTGGGCTCTCCCCACTCCCTTCTGCAAAACAAGAAAGAGCTTTCGTGGGCTGCAGGTAGCCATGCGAGGAGAGGGATGAAAGGAAGGCTTTAGGGCACTGACTGGGGATGCATTTCGGTTTGATGGGCTGGAGCTGGCTCCTCCCGGCTCCCAAAGCCCATCTCTTTTCTCTGACCCATGTCTGCTGAGGTCCTTCAGCAGCCTGAAAAATGGCCCTGGCAGGGACCTGTTTACACCATGGAAAGTGGCAAATAGTACAAATCAGAGCTTCCACCCTCTCCCAAGAGCCAGTTTCCCAGCACACCCCTGGGAGAATCCAGACGAGGTGTCAGGAGAGGAGGCTCTGTGCTCACCACTGGCAACGTTGCCACCCATGGAACACTGACTTCTACCTGCTCACCCACCTGAGAAAGGCAGCTGGGCAAATACCATCAGTTGTAAAAATGCACATAGGCCTAAACCCCTCCGTCTCTGAAACAGGAGCTGAGGACTTCGGATCTGGGACAGAATCGATCCAAGGACAATGCAAATGGAATTGTGATACACAGCTTCCCTCCCACCGGCTTATGGGCTTGGAAATGCAGCCACGGGCTTTCAGAGTTGGGACGGACCTTGGGGATCACTGGGTCCTATTTTTGAGACAAGAAAACTGAGGCCAGAGAGGAGAGGGGACTTGCTCAAGGAAATGCAGACCGGACCACTGGACCTGGCTGACAGAGGCCGGCACTGCTGGCTCCTAGCCCCAGGTGTATTTCACCTCGCCTGCTGCCTCCTCCAACAGGGCCCGCCTGGCCCTCTTTCCCTGCGTGGGAGGCCGATATGGGCTTTGCCACCTTAGACAAGTCTCTTCACATCTCCATGCCTGAGATTTATACTCTAAGTTAGGAAGGGAGGTGAGGGCTTATCAACATAAGAGGATTTTCTTCAGTGTTGGAGAGGCTTTGAGTTCCTTGGAAAACAGTTACTCGGTTGAATTAGTTGATATTGCTAATGCTACAGAGAAAACGGGGGCAGCGGAAGAGAAGAGCACAGTGATGCATTTTCTTACACTGCTTTTCCGGCATCTGAATTGCATCTCCTTTATTTTGCAGGTTCCAGAGGAGGTACGTCTGGCCCATGTCCCGGGGTGCTCAGGTCACCAAAAAAGCGAGAGGCTTAGACTGCTGGAGCTCAGGGAGCGTCGTGAAGCCCGGGCAGGGGCTGGTGGTCATGAAGGATGAGTCCTGGCCACCCCTGGGGCCCTGCTGAAGTTGCCCAGGCTCTAGATCCCACTGGTCTAAGCTCTGGGCAAGGTTTCTGGAAAGTCCTTGTGGGACCCGCTGCCTCCCTGTGACCTGGCAGAGCCCATACAGGGTTTGGTTCTGGGCAGAAAATCCATGATCCTGAGACTGCAGGAGGCTTTTCACAAAGTTCTTTGTCACTCTTAGGAGAAGACTGAGTCAGGGAAAAGGTGAACCCTGCAGACTGTACTAGAAGACAACGCGGGAGCACAGAGGAGACCAGGACCCAATTCCCAGGCTGTGTGACCTTGGACACGTTACAGCTCCTCTCTGCATTTCAGGGTTTTGTTTTTTTTTTTTTTGATTTTTGGTTTGTTTGTTTGTTTTTTGTCTCGCTCTTTCACCCAGGATGAAGTGCAGTGGCATGATCTCGACTCACTGCAACCTCTACCTCCTGGGTTCAAGTGATTCTCCTGCTTCAGCCTCCCCAGTAGCTGGGACTACAGGCACGCACCAGGATGCCAGGCCAATTTTTGTATTTTTAGTAGAGACGGGGTTTCACCATGGTGGCCAGGCTGGTCTTGAACTCCTGACCTCAGGTGATCCACCCCCTTCAGCCTCCCAAAGTGCTAGGATTACAGGTGTAGCCACCGTGCCTGGCTGCATTTCAGTTTATTTTTCAGTAAAACTGGTCAACCATCCACCTCACTGCACTACCGTGGAATGACTTAAATTTTGCGAGAGCATTTGGGCCCACAGTCACCGCTTGCTGAAGCAGATGGGATGCCTGGTCCAAGGTCACGATTATTAAAGTAGACACACGGGGCACTTTGACCCACCTGTAGTACATTTCTTTCACAGCAAGGCAGTGCAACCGGTAGCACATCGGGCTCTTTTAGATGCTGCTCCAGCCTTGGTCCGGTGGATCATGCTTGGTTTAGAAGCTGGGTTGTCTTTCTCCTGCCCCCAGTCCTGTCTTTGCTTTTATAGTGCATCATACACCACGTAGAACCGAGCCAGGTTCCTGCCATGTGGACGCTGTTCCTGCCTGAGAGTCTCTTAGAGGAAGGCTGGGAACACTGTGGAAAGACTGGGCATCTCTGCAGGCGGAGCTGAATGGATGTGAAACCCCTGTGGGCATGTGCTTCCGAGTTCCTCAGCAGGCATTTGTGTTTTTTGGTAGAAAGTTTGCTTTTTGTTTTTTTTTTTTTTAAGACAAGGTCTCATTCTGTCACCCAGGCTAGAGTACAGTGGTGTGATCATAGCTCACTGCCGTCCTTGAACTCTCAGACTCACGTGAGCCTCCTACCTCAGCCTCCTGAGTAGCTGAGACTACAGGCGCTTGCCGCCACCCCTGGCTAATATTTTTATTTTTTGCAGAGACAGGGGTCTCACTACATTGCCCAGGCTGGTCTCAAACTCCTGGCCTCGAGCAATCCTCTCACAGCCTCCCAAAGTGCTGGTATTACAGGCGTGAGCCACCACACCTAACAAAAGTTTGCTTTTTATCTAAAATGACCCAGGCATTGTCACTGTACTGCTATTTTTTTAAAAAAATTTTGTTGTTTTGTTGTTGTTGTCGTCGTTATATAGATGAGGGCTTCCTGTGTTGCCCAGGCTGGTTTCTGACGCCTGGCCTCGCCTCCTTATACACCAGGACAGCAGGACTGAGCCACCACACTACCCAACTGCTTTTATCTCAGTGAATGAAAATGATACTTGCCTGGAGGCTTCCCCTCATCTACCCCCATGTTTCTCTATTTATTCCTCAGTTAAGTGGGCAGACCAACATCCACCTCAGCAAAAACTTCTTCCTGACGAATCGCGCCAGGGAGCGCTCAGACACCTTCATCAACCTCCGGGAGGTGCTCAACCGCTTCAAGCTGCCGCCAGGAGAGTACATTCTCGTGCCTTCCACCTTCGAACCCAACAAGGATGGGGATTTCTGCATCCGGGTCTTTTCTGAAAAGAAAGCTGACTACCAGTAGGCGGTTTGGTCCCTTCCTCTCCCCACCCTTCCCTGTCCCTCCCCACTGGTCTGTTCCTCGGCCCCTAGAGGGCTCTTTCATCCTCTGAATGTCAGTTACTTTTTCTGTAACACCTGCCCACCTCGAAGGACTAGTGTGGGGATTTGATGGATTGAGGAAGTTCTAGTGTTATAGTAAGGTAAACAATGGAAAAAGCCACTGTGGATATTTTTGGTTGGAAAGGGGTGGCTGTACAGTGAATTGCAGGGTCTAATTTCATAAGCGTGTCTCTGAATTCTCAAGTTGGTACTTTAATGTTAAACTACGAATCCAGTCTCGTCATTTGAAGAAAGCTGAGCAGTGCTGGTGTAATCCTTGATTTTCCAGGCCACCTGGCCTAGCAGAGCCACCAAGGGTGTAAGGTGGGAACCATCTCAACGGTTCCCACCTCCAGAACCTCTCCCTATTATAGTTGTCATGTCACCAGCTCTCTCTCCCCTTCCTCATGGGATCCCACGTTTGGGAACCCTTTGTGGCTGACATCACCATTTCCTGCCACTGTCCAGGTGGCCTCAATTCACAATGGCTTCTGCCACTTTGACTTCTGCCTCAACCATGTATGTTCAGCTGGGCACTTGATTGGCAAAGGCAGAATCTACCCTGGGTGATTTAAGCTAAAGGGAATTCATCGAAAGGCCATTGGAGACTCCAGAACTGATGGGAGGTAGGGGGTCAGGCTAGGAAGAACAGGAGCCAAGGATGTGTTGGAGGACCAGGGTGTGAGATGACCCCTTGGACTCTGGGTCATGTGCTGAGGTCTAAAGATCTTGTGGAGTGTGTCTGAGGTGCTGGGCTTGGGTCAGCCACCTGGCCTGCTGGTTCCTGTAGAGGAAGAGCCAATGGGAGGTAGAGGCAGGGAACTGCCCTTGCCCCAAGATAATGCATGATGCAGAAATAATTTCCCATGGCGAAGGGAGACAAAGCAATGCCAGGCAGCTGCATACCAATGAATGCCACCATAGCACGGCTGTAGCCCCCCTGCCACTGACAGGCTGTCTTCATTTGCTAAAGCCTACCATGGGGGAAGGGACCTTTCCTCTCAGCTCTGAGGATGCTTAGAGGAAGACTGGTGTGTTCAGTTTAGTCCTCACTGACAAGAAAATAGGAGCATGACCTGGTGGCATTAGAATAACAGTGTCCTTTGTCAAACTCATTACTCTCCCTGCCAGCCACAAGTCACTCTCCCAGGGAAGCCTCAACCCCTCAACTCTCTCTAGGGTGAGCTCCCTACCCCAAGAGGACACCCCACCTCTCAAAGGTTTCTGACTTCCTTGTCCCAAAATATTAATCCTTCTGCTCCAGATTCCAATGATCAGCACCAAGAGGTCCCCTTTTCCTTCTGCCAGGCATTGGCCCTGCTGATAGGACTCTTGGTCACTTAGTTAAAATCACAGTGGCCCAAGGAAGAACCTCCTGAGCTTGATTACCCTCACTATGGAGCAGAAGGACCTGGCCCTGGACACAGGGGCGGTGCACAGTATAAACTAACCACTGCCTGACCTGAGCTTTGGCTGAAATGACACACAGGCCTCTGCACTGCCCACCTCTCCAACCTGAGGCAGAACAAGTAGGCGATGATTTGCACTGCATGATTCTCAGTGTGAAAGTCTATGTTGGCAAAGGATATTTCAAGTGGAACTTAGAAGCTATTCCTTAAGGCTAGGACGAACACCACGCTACACGCGAAGGCTATCCTATTTGATAAAGATCAAAAACTAGCAAACAAAAATCTCCAGCTGCCCACGTTGCTTTGGTCATGACCCTTCCTTCAGATCACTTCTGCCTTTATTTTTGCTGTTTAGGGGATGTGTTATCACAGAAACTTGGAATGCAGAGAAATGTTATCACAGAAACTTGGAATGCAGAAAAATTTTTGCTTTTTAGGGGAGGTGTTATCACAGAAACTTGGAATACAAAGACCTCCCCCCACCGCAGCCCTGCCCCACCCCACCTACCCCCTGCTGGATTTAGCACTGCACTTCCATTTTAGCAGTGATTTCCTTCCTTTTTGCCCTCGCCTGCCTTCCAGTAACACATAATTTCCTTCTATTTCCAGAGCTGTCGATGATGAAATCGAGGCCAATCTTGAAGAGGTATTTGTAACTCTTTGAATTTCACCCACTCTGTCCTGGACAATCCAGAGAGCAGAGGAGCAAAAAAACTCCAAGAGTTTTTGGACTTCACGAACAAAGCCTGAAACTAAGGATAAAGCCGGGTACTGGGAATCCAAGAGTCGACTACCTGCATCAGCTCTGGCCTCTGTGCTGGGGGCATGGGCCAGTCCCTTGCCTATTGGGCTGTGCTAGCCACTGTCAAAATCCATCCACAACATTCCAGCTAGTCTTTATTCTTCTGAGTCCCCACTAGAATAGATCCTAAAAGGCCATTTTAATTGGATGCTAGAGAAGATACCTCTGTGAGAAATTAGAATATTACTCCTTCCCACATAATTTACATTCCTTCTTGTGTTTTAATTAGAAAAAAAAAACCTTATATTAATTCTTCACACTATACCTGATCTTAACCCAAATCACCGTAGAATTTGGGCCCCAGGGAGGG
Organism: Homo sapiens; assembly: GCF_000001405.40. Taxonomy (NCBI): domain Eukaryota; kingdom Metazoa; phylum Chordata; class Mammalia; order Primates; family Hominidae; genus Homo; species Homo sapiens. Next base: position 223,762,084 of record NC_000001.11, read on the forward strand.
GTAGAGAAGGGGAGTGGGAGGTGGCTGCCATGGAAGGGCGGGCAGACACTTGGTGTCATGCCTCGCTCTGATGCATTCTCATGTCTCTGCCTCACCTTCCAGTTCGACATCAGCGAGGATGACATTGATGATGGATTCAGGAGACTGTTTGCCCAGTTGGCAGGAGAGGTAAATGTTCCCAAAAACGATGTTATGCACTCTGGTTGATGCAAAGGAAGAGACAGTGTGTGTCCCCAAGGGGACTTTAGTTTAAAGGGGAGAGGAAACAAACTGAACAAAAGCAAAGAGAAATTGCAAATGGCACTTGGGTTCCAGCTCAGCCCTCTTGCGTGTGTCCTCCCTAAGACCTCCGCATGCTGCCGGGGGCTTCCATTTGCATGGTCAGCCCTGACTCTGTGTTCCTCCTTCCTTAGGATTCCTGGGCTCACCTTGTGACTGTTTTATTTTCTCTGTTCTACACCAATTGAGGCATGAAACTTGGCCCCTTATCCTTGATTTCCACAAAGGATTTGGAGAGATGGAAGGGTTTCAAGTCTCAAGAATGCAGGCCACCTGCAACAGAGTGTTTGAATTAGGCTTTTCTGTTCTCTTTTCTTTTTTCTTTTTTTCTTTTTAGAGACAGGGTCTCTCTCTGTCACCCAGGCTGGAGTGCAGTGGCATGATCATAGCTCACTGCAGCCTCCACTTCCTGGGCTCAAGAGATCTTGCCACCTTAGTCTCCCAAGTAGCTGGGACTATAGGTGCACACCACCATGTCTAGCTAATTTTTATTTTATTTTTATTTTTGTAGAGATGGAGTTTTGCCATGTTGCCCAGGCTGCTCTGGAACTCCTGGGCTCAACAATCCTCCAACCTTGGTCTGCCAAAGTGTTGGGATTACAGATGCATACCACCATGCCCAGCTAATTTTTAAATTTTTTTTAGAGACAGGGTCTCACTTTGTTGTCCAGGCTGGTCTTAAACCCCTGAGCTCAAGCAGTCCTCCCACCTCAGCCTCCCAAAGTGCTGGAATTACGGGTGTGAGCCACCATACCTGGCCACTTCCCTGTTCTTAAAAAAATCCCTCAGCCATTTAGTCCCATCACAAAGTTATTTAGCCCTCTTTCTTCCCAACAACTCCAAAAAAAAAAAAAAAGTCCTCTTTCTTCACTATGTGGAGGAACTTTCCAATCATTGAGCTCATCTGGTACTCCCTTCGCTGACCTAAAGACCCATCAAAGTACTAAGCCAGGCATCGTCTGCTCTGCGCCTCCACCGGCCTCTCACCCTCTGCTCCCTCCCAGATTCCCAAGGAAAGGGGCCATGAGAGTCTTCTTTCCCCTCTGATTGAATCCCACACATACACACCCCAAAAGGCAAACATGACTGCAATCAATCTTGGTTTTAAACAAAGGAGTTTATCCATGAGTTACACAAATATGTGTAAGTGGATAGAGACATCTGAGCCCATGAGGGGCCCTGGCATGATGGGCATAGAGGAGGGCCGGCTAGGTCTTGGAGACAGCTGGTTTTCACCAGTTTTACAGGAAGTCTGAGCTTTGAGTTTTAAAGAATGAAGAAAACATGCCAGATAAGAGGAATGGTATAAGAGAATTAAGAAAGACCACAAACATGGGTAGAGGGGAGTATTTATTATTTATATTCTCTACAGCAAAGAAATGGTGAGTGAACTCTCCCTACTGCATCCGTACATTAAAACACCGTATCTAGGCTGGGCACAGTGGCTCACACCTGTAATCCCAGCACTTTGGGAGGCTGAGGCTGGAGGATCGTTTGAGCCTAGGAGTTTGAGGTTTCAGTGAGCTAGGATCATTCCACTGCAGTCCAGCCCAGCCTGGGTGTTCTAAAAAGAACCAAACCAAAAACACTGTATCTAAAATCCAGAATGGGGCAGTACTACTCAAAGTGTGGTCTGGGGACAGCAGCCCCAACATGGCTCGGGGGCTTGTTAGAAATGCACATTCATAGGCCCCACCGCAGGCCTACCTAATGCACTGGTGTCCTGCCCTGTGCTCATCCAGCTCCCACGGGGGGCCAATAACTATGCTCTGGTTATGTGTCCACAGGATGCGGAGATCTCTGCCTTTGAGCTGCAGACCATCCTGAGAAGGGTTCTAGCAAAGCGTGAGTATCCCCTCATTGCAAAACCTCATCCTGCTCTTTCCCCTGTGGATGGGAGGGAACATGGAAATCTTTCCCCCTCCATGTCTGGCTGCTGTGACTAAACCACCACCCTCCATCCCCTCCAAGAAGTGGATGAAGGATTTGTATGATGTGATGAAAAAGAACAAGTGTTTGTAGCATCCACAGATCAAAGATCAAATCCAGGTTTCCACTACATACTAGCTTTGTGTGATCTATTTTTTTAATTTATTTTATTTTATTTTTGAGACAGAGTCTCACTCTGTCGCCCAGGCTGGAGTAAAGTGGCACAATCTCAGCTCACTGCAATCTCTACCTCCCAAATTCAAGCGATTCTCCTGCCTCAGCCTCCCAAGTAGCTGGAATCACAGGCAAGTGCCACCACAGCCAGCTGACTTTTGTATTTTTAGTAAAGACAGGGTTTCACCATATTGGCCAGGCTGGTCTTGAACTCCTGACCTCAAGTGATCCACCTGCCTTGGCCTCCCAAAATGCTGGGATTACAGGCATGCACTACCACATCCAGCTAATTTTTGTATTTTCCTAGAGATGGGGTTTCTCCATGTTGGCCAGGCTGGTCTTGAACCCCTGGCCTCAAGTGATCTGCCCACCTCGGCCTCCCAAAGTGCTGGGATTACAGGTGTGAGCCACCGTGCCCGGCCACATCTTGTAACTAACTATTTCTTAAGCAAAAAAATGTCAGAGGATTGATTGTTCAACCCCTTACTGTGGATCACCAGCAGGGAGGAGCGGGAAACACAACACAGAGACATTTTTTCCCCTCAAATTATCAAAAGAATCACGCTGCATTTGTTAAGAGAGCAACTGGCAATCCAGGAAGCAGAGTTTTGAACATATCAGAAGTTAGGAATCTGCATCAGAGACAAATGCAGTCATGGTTGTTTGCTGCATACCAGCCCTAGGGATCATCTCGAGAAGCCTCATGGACTTCAAGGGACATCATTCCCTCTGACAAGATGGCCTCTAGCCTAACTCCATGAGATAAAATAAATCTGCCTTTCAGAGCCAAAGAAGAGTCCAGGGCCAGCTGGGTCTTCCCTCCCAGTGTGAACCAAGAGGGCTGGGCCAGTCAGGTTACGGTCAGTCCAGTGCAGGGCCTCCCCAGAGGAGACCCAGTCTGCACCCGCCCTCCTCTAATTTTCAGGGAAGGCAAGAAGATTGTGTTTACCCTGGAGGCCACCAGGCACAAGTGAGGTCACAGAGCTCTTCAGATATGCAGTCCTCATGAGCTGAGGAGACTAAAGCCTCATTGTTTCTGCACAGATGGAGGGTGGGGCTGGGAGGTGGGGAAGAAGCGGGCCTTGCCTGGATTCAGCCCGCTCCTTGCTGGGGGAGCAGCATTCGCTCCGCGCGTGCCTCTGAGCTTACTACCCTACCCCTAGCTGCCTGCTGACTCCAGCCTTCTGGAGGGCTCCACACCAGAGTCTGCATGCACAGCTGCTGGGCCAGAGCCTTATGACCATCTAAGGGGTTGGTGCCCAGAGTGGCAGCTTTGAGGCAGGTCAGGCTCTAACCTCTTTCGGGGACATAACAAAAAGGCTGGGCTTTTCGTGAAGTCTGTGGGGAGCCAGGTTCACATTGGTGACTAGGGAGGGTCTCATGCCACCTGCCAAACACCAAGTGGACAGGACTCACTTAGTGCAGCACAAATAGCTCGTGGATCGATCCCAGTTCCTCAGGTTTCTCAGTCAGCTGGGGACACAGTCCATAAATGTCTGCAGATGGACAGTTCAAGTAAACCTCTTTCTCTCACGGGTCATAGCCTAGAATTAACACACCTGCTCTCTGTTTTCTTTTTCCCTGCCCAACAACTACAGGTGACTTTATATCCTGTGGGCACCTAAGGCCCAACCATTGATCATTCTGTTATTTATTTGTTCAAAAAGCACTTTTTAAAGCCCTGTTTGCCCACGGCAAATATACAGAGACATCAGGACAATGTGGACATCATCTGCACTGTCCCAGTCTGGTAGTCACTAGCCACATGTGGCTATTTAATATAATGGAAGTGGCTTCTGTATGTGAAGGGCACAGATAAAGAATATCTCCATGATTGTGGAAAGTTCAGTTGGACATCACCGCTCAGAGATTTTTCCTGTCACACTGATTTTGTCTTTTAGGCCAAGATATCAAGTCAGATGGCTTCAGCATCGAGACATGCAAAATTATGGTTGACATGCTAGATGTATCCTTTAATGTGCTCCAGGGAATAGAGACTGGGGGAGTTTAAAATCTCACTCCAGAAAGATTCAAACACATGGCCTTCTCCCTTTTCAAAATAGCCAGTTGTTCCCAACTTGCTGAGTTGCTGTCGGACAGTCAGCAGCGCTGACCTCCCTTACTAGGGAAATGCGAGAACCCTCTGATGAGGGAAAGCAAATGCTACACCCCCCCTCCCACCTACCCTGAAAGGCTTAGAATGCAGGCCCATGGCGGGCGGTGGCTCATGCCTGTAATCCCAGCACTTTGGAAGGCCAAGGTGGGCCTCCTGACTCACGAGGTCAGGAGTTCGAGACCAGCCTGACCAACATGGTGAAACCTTGTCTCTACTAAAAATACAAAAATTAGCTGGGTGTGGTGGCGGGCACCTGTAATCCCAGCTACTCAGGAGGCTGAGGCAGGAGAATCACTTGAACCTGGGAGGCGGAGGTTGCAGTGAGCTGAGATCGCGCCACTGCACTCCAGCCTGGGTGACAGAGCGTGACTCATCGCCAAAAAAAAAAAAAGAAAAAGAATGTAGGCCCACCAGTCCATTCCTGGGGCTGGTGCGGGAAATTCCTGACAATATGCCCATCACTTCTTTGCACAAAGCAGCTCGAATTTGTTTCCTCAGTGATGTGTTTCCATTACTTCCTCTAGGAAAATATTCCCTAACCACAGTATTTCTGATGTGAATCTGTTTTGTCTGATCAAGATCGTCGTCTTCTTTATTTATTTATTTATTTATTTTTTATTATTATACTTTAAGTTTTAGGGTACATGTGCACAATGTGCAGGTTAGTTACATATGTATACATGTGCCATGCTGGTGCTTTGCACCCACTAACTCGTCATCTAGCATTAGGTATATCTCCCAATGCCATCCCTCCCCCCTCCCCCCACCCCACAACAGTCCCCAGAGTGTGATGTTCCCCTTCCTGTGTCCATGTGTTCTCATTGTTCAATTCCCACCTATGAGTGAGAATATGCGGTGTTTGGTTTTTTGTTCTTGCGATAGTTTACTGAGAATGATGATTTCCAATTTCATCCATGTCCCTACAAAGGACATGAACTCATCATTTTTTATGGCTGCATAGTATTCCATGGTGTATATGAGCCACATTTTCTTAATCCAGTCTATCGTTGTTGGACATTTGGGTTGGTTCCAAGTCTTTGCTATTGTGAATAATGCCGCAATAAACATACGTGTGCATGTGTCTTTATAGCAGCATGATTTATAGTCCTTTGGGTATATACCCAGTAATGGGATGGCTGGGTCAAATGATATTTCTAGTTCTAGATCCCTGAGGAATCGCCACACTGACTTCCACAATGGTTGAACTAGTTTACAGTCCCACCAACAGTGTAAAAGTGTTCCTATTTCTCCACATCCTCTCCAGCACCTGTTGTTTCCTGACTTTTTAATGATTGCCATTCTAACTGGTGTGAGATGGTATCTCATTATGGTTTTGATTTGCATTTCTCTGATGGCCAGTGATGGTGAGCATTTTTTCATGTGTTTTTTGGCTGCATAAATGTCTTCTTTTGAGAAGTGTCTGTTCATGTCCTTTGCCCACTTTTTGATGGGGTTGTTTGTTTTTTTCTTGTAAATTTGTTGGAGTTCATTGTAGATTCTGGATATTAGCCCTTTGTCAGATAAGCAGGTTGCGAAAATTTTCTCCCATTTTGTAGGTTGCCTGTTCACTCTGATGGTAGTTTCTTTTGCTGTGCAGAAGCTCTTTAGTTTAATTAGATCCCATTTGTCAATTTTGGCTTTTGTTGCCATTGCTTTTGGTGTTTTAGACATGAAGTCCTTGCCCATGCCTATGTCCTGAATGGTAATGCCTAGGTTTTCTTCTAGGGTTTTGATGGTTTTAGGTCTAACGTTTAAGTCTTTAATCCATCTTGAATTGATTTTTGTATAAGGTGTAAGGAAGGGATCCAGTTTCAGCTTTCTACATATGGCTAGCCAGTTTTCCCAGCACCATTTATTAAATAGGGAATCCTTTCCCCATTGCTTGTTTTTCTCAGGTTTATCAAAGATCAGATAGTTGTAGATACGGCGTTATTTCTGAGGGCTCTGTTCTGTTCCATTGATCTATATCTGTTTTGGTACCAGTACCATGCTGTTTTGGTTACTGTAGCCTTGTAGTATAGTTTGAAGTCAGGTAGTGTGATGCCTCCAGCTTTGTTCTTTTGGCTCAGGATTGACTTGGCGATGCGGGCTCTTTTTTGGTTCCATATGAACTTTAAAGTAGTTTTTTCCAATTCTGTGAAGAAAGTCATTGGTAGCTTGATGGGGATGGCATTGAATCTGTAAATTACCTTGGGCAGTATGGCCATTTTCACAATATTGATTCTTCCTACCCATGAGCATGGAATGTTCTTCCATTTGTTTGTATCCTCTTTTATTTCCTTGAGCAGTGGTTTGTAGTTCTCCTTGAAGAGGTCCTTCACATCCCTTGTAAGTTGGATAAGATCGTCTTCTTGATTTAGATAAGGGCTACTTTCATGAGGATCCTACTTCCCTTTTGCTCTAGCTCCTTCCCAGGCCACCCACCTTTCCCCAAGGCAAACTAGTCATCCATTTCCCCCTTGTTTCCAATGCTTAGTGAGAAGTGGTGGTAAGGGGCAGCCTAAGCTTCTGTGAAGTTTTTTCTGTTTGTTTGTTTAGTTGGTTGGTTGGTTTTTTGAGACGGGGTCTCACTGTGTCACCCAGGCTGGAGGGCAGTGGCATGATCTCAGCTCACTCGAACCTCCGCCTCCCAGGTTCAGGTGATTCTCCCCCCTCCAGCCTCCCTAGTAGCTAGGACTACAGGTGCGCGCCACCATGCCCAGCTGATTTTTCTATTTTTAGTAGAGACAGGGTTTCACCGTGTTGGCCAGGCTGGTGTCGAATTCCTGACCACAGGTGATCTGCCCACCTTGGCCTCCCAAAGTGCTGGGATTAGAGGTGTGAGCCACCATGCCTGGCCACTTCTGTGAAGTTTTATCTAGTGGATTCATGGTGTACACCTGCTAGCTCCCTTCACCAAAGGCCTCTTAGATATACTCCACATACTTTAAAAAAAACAGCAAGGGCCTAGCCACTAGAAGCCATCCAAAGCCCTCTGCATGTCATCCAATACCTCATTTTTAGTAGTATCTGGGGCCTCCACAGCACCCCTAGATCAAAACAGCAACCAGATTCGGCAGGGAGCCAGCAGGTCTTTCTCGCCCTTCCTCCAATCCTTTAAATGGAGGTTTAGCCAGTGGGAAAAGCAGGAAAAGGATCCTTCTGCAAACCCTCCTTGTGTATATGCTATGATATTCAAAAGATCCAGTTGAGAAGACAAACTAGGTGACACTATGTGCAAATGGACCCACACTCAAGGGCTTTCCTTGACTGAAGGCAGTCGGACGGGAGTGGCAAGCTGGGGCTGAAGGAGTTCTACATTCTCTGGACGAAGATTCAAAAATACCAAGTAAGATCCCAGAGATGCGGGTGGATCTGTGTTGGGAAACATTCTGTTCATATGCTTTAAGATGCAGCAACTCCTGCACAGAGTGGAGAAACATTTCCAAGGGGATTGGGATTTTACCCATAATGAAGCTCAGAGTGAGTAAAGATGGGGCTGAGGAAATGCAAACAAAAAACCAACCAGGACTTCGCAGGTGAAATGGCCTATTCCCTTCCTCCTGATTATTGGGATCATCTAAAGGCCACCATCAAGGGTTTCCTGAAAAGGGTTTTTGACAGCTAAAGTACAAAAATTATATAAGACAAGAACATGGACCTATGGGCGTTGGCTGGCTGATTTGATGGGCATATTTACAAACCAGCTCACAGACAGAAGCAAAATACTATTAGTTATTTAAGGCAGAAACATAAGTGATTCTTCCACGGCCAAACTAGAGGCACAGAGCTGGAAAAACTTCATCCCCACTCAGCACATACTAGGGAGGTAACTTGCCAGCTTTGCTTTGGGTCATAGTTCTTACAGCTAACTTATGTGTTCCAGAAAATTTACCGAGAAATCGACGTTGACAGGTCTGGTACCATGAATTCCTATGAAATGCGGAAGGCATTAGAAGAAGCAGGTAACCCTTTATAACTGCATTTTCGTTCCTAGTTTAATCTGTCTGTAGAATATGTGAACACTCATCTTATACCATATAACACAAGATTTGGTAAAGCTATAAAATAAAGTAGGTGCTGGTTTAATACAGACACCTCCTTTTCATTCCCCTTTCAAAGACTAATTGGTAAAATTAAATGCAGTAGGATGCTCTGCCCTCTGTGCCTTCTTGAATCCAAGTTTCCTTTGGAGCCGCCTGGCACAGTAAGCAGGCAAAGCCAGGTCTCAACAGCCTCCTCCAGGTGCTTCCTTTCTGGTGCAGGGTTGGTTAGGCAGAAATCAAATGTCTCAGCTCAGCCCTTAGGGTAAGACCCTAGCAGAATTGGATATCAATAAAAGGACACAAGCGAGTGGTAGACCAGCAAAGCAGGAGACTGCTGGGCTTTGGGAACAAATGTGTCAGCATGAGGCTGTTCATTCTATTTGCTGGAATATAATGCTGCTGCAGAGACCCCACACAACATTGGTTTATACGAGGTATGTCTTTCTGTCGTATAGCAATCCCAGCTCCAGCAGTCCACGGCTAGGACGGTGCCTCCTACTATCCTACCATGTCACTATCTGATCACGCTTCCCCCAGCCTCCCCCCATCCATGATGCCCACCGGACCTTCAAGGGTCACCCTCATCCAAGGGACCTGGGACAGCCTGCCACCACAAACACATGCCACCAACAGGTTGACAGAAGAAGGGCCCCTTGCCTTTAAGGGCACACAGGCCATTTCCGGTCACACATCCCACCAGCCAGACTCTGATCACAAGGCCTCTGTTGACTGCAAGGAAGCTGGGACATGCAGTCTTGATGCTAGGTGGCCATAGGCTCAATAAAAATTATTTTACTCTGGAAGGAGAGAGAACTACTATGAGTTTACCAGGAAAGCTTCTGCTCACATATATCCAGGAAGAATCTGATCTTCAAGACGATTGAGAGCTAAACAAAAAATCAAACAGCAGCAGCATGGTTAACAACATGAAGCAACTGTGACCATGAGAACAGAAACAGGCAAGAAAACACTTATGTGTCAGCAAAGGACACAGGCAGGGTGAAGGTGGACAGTTCAAAAACAAAAGAAACAGCAGAAGGTACTGGCTTTGCAAAATCAAACCAGTCTCACAGAAGAGCAGCCAAGGGACAAAAGCAATTATACCTCATTTAAATCACCACATTAGTTTCATAGCCTGTGAGCGCAGCTAAATGGAACAATCTAATGCTTAGCAATGAGTTTGTTTGTTCATGTAACTTCAGGTTTCAAGATGCCCTGTCAACTCCACCAAGTCATCGTTGCTCGGTTTGCAGATGACCAGCTCATCATCGATTTTGATAATTTTGTTCGGTGTTTGGTTCGGCTGGAAACGCTATTCAGTAAGTGGATATTTGGGGAATGACTCATTTCAGTTCTCTTGGTATTAAAGTGGCCTGCCTTTCACCTCGGTGAAATCATCTAAACTAGAGACATGTCTTCCAGGAGTTGAGAATGAAATTCCCTCTTTACTAATTTGAGGGTGAGGAAGAAAGCATGTATGGTGGTCAGTGAAGTCAGTTGCTGAACTGAAAAGAGGATAATGTGATCTGTTTCAGCTCACTCACTTGTGACACCCTCTTTTTCTCCCTCCACAGAGATATTTAAGCAGCTGGATCCCGAGAATACTGGAACAATAGAGCTCGACCTTATCTCTGTGAGTCAGCAGGCCCCGCCTTGCTTCTAAGGGGATGGGGGAGGCATGGGGCGGAAAGGGCTGTTACTTGAGTGATCTGCTTTTTCAAGTTTTGCTTTAAAGAGCTCTTGGTCTGTCGGGGCCAGGCCTGTAACCGGTTGTAAGATCCCACAATGCACTTTTACTTGCAGTTGTTTTCCAACCACCTATTCTCAAGTCCAAAATGCACGCCTGGCTCCCTCTTCTCATGAGCTTTGACTTGAGTGTAGCTCAAGGTTAAACTAAGGAGTGGCTGCAGGATCATGCTTAGAAAAATGAACTCCTGATTAGCATGCAAGGGAGAACATGTTTATATAAAGAAATCCTTCAGCTGAAATTCAAGTTGGGTTTTGGGAAGATCCATCATTCTTAGAGTGGATCTACTTAAAATACTTTAAGCAAATTAGTTTTCTCTACTCCCTCCCCGTTTAAGATAAAACCAATACTAGTAAATACGTTTGCCATTTATTATTGTTATTGCACTCATGTGTCTGGAACCCTAGCAATACACATCTCTGAAATGATCATCAATCTGAATTAAGTGGGTATGCTAATTTCACAAAAAGCAAAGCGTAAAATGTTCTCGTGTCATCCCAATGACAGGAAGTTCTCTCACTGAAAGAAAGAAGCCAGGTGGGGTATACTTCCATTATCACCTGGCTCCAGTCAGCATTTCCTCTATACTCAGGGAAGGCCACAGAGGGCCGGGCGAAGTGGCTGACACTGGGTGAGAATGGCAGTTGTCAGTCCTGTCCGTGTAACAGAGGAGTGAAGTGGTGAGGAGGGCAGGTCTAAGGCACTGGCAGCTCTTTTCCATGGATTTTGAACTCTGGAGGAAGGCAGCAACTAAATAACTGTCTCATTCTGCTATTATGCATTGTATTAGCAAAGTGAAAATATAGTCTATCTGGTTACAAATAACACTAACTTGCTTAAAACTTTACATATCCTAGGAAATATCTCTACCCCTAGATTGCAATGTAGAGTCAACCCCATCTCTAAAAAAATAAAAAATTAGGCTGGCCGCAGTGGTTCATGCCTGTAATCCCATCACTTTGGGAGGCCAAGGCAGGTGGATCACCTGAGGTCAGGAGCTCAAGACCAGCCTGGCCAACATGGTGAAACCGCGTCTCTACTGAAAATACAAAAATTAGGGCTGGGCGCGGTGGCTCACATCTATAATCCTAGCACTTTGGGAGGCCAAGGCGGGCGAATCACCTGAGGTTGGGAGTTCGAGACCAGCCTGAGTAACATGGAGAAACCCCATCTCTACTAAAAATACAAAATTAGCCAGGCGTGGTGACACATGCCTGTTAATCCCAGCTACTCGGGAGGCTGAAGCGAAAGGATTGCTTGAACCCGGGAGGCGGAGGTTGCGGCGAGCTGAGATTGCACCATTGTACTCCATCCAGCCTGGGCAACAAGAGCAAAACTGCATCTAAAAAAAAAATTAGCTGGGCGTGGTGGCAGGTGCCTGTAAATACGTTACTCTGGAGGCTGAGGCAGGAGAATCACATGAACCTAGGAGGTAGAGGTTGCAGTGAACTGAGATGGTGCCACTGCACTCCAGCCTAGGCAACAAGAGCAAAACCCTGTCTCAGAAAAAAATAAATAAAAAATAAAAAAATGAGCCAGGCATGGTGGTGCGTGCCTGTAGACCCAGCTACCCAGGAGGCTAAGGTGGGAGGAACACCTGAGCCCAGAAGTCAAGGCCGCAGTGAGCCATGATCTCCCCACTACATTCCATCTTGGGTGACAGAGCAAGGCCCTGTCTCAAAAAATTTAAAATGAAATAAATAGTAGAGTCAACACAACTGTGACACGAAACATGCCACATGTTAAGTTCTGGAAATCCTAGCCTGTCATTCTTGCTGGATATCCTATTCTACCCCAGCCACCCACCCCCACTCCAGGGTCCACCTGGCCTGCCTGCTCAGTCCACTCCCTCCGCATCTCCTCCGAGAAGCATCTTCTTACCCACTGGCTTTTCCTGCCACTCCTAAGCCTTACCTTTTGCAGGTTCCTGGAGATCCTCGCTTCTCGTAGTCTTTGCAAGGATGAGCCATGTTCAGAAGCTCTCCGTTCAGTCTGCAGGGATTTCAACCTTGGCTGCAGATTCCATCACATGGGGAGCTTTGCCAAAGTGCTGGTGTCCTGTCTGTATCCCAGACCAGTTGAATCAATCTGATTTAAAGTTTCCGTATCACTACAACTTAGAACCAATGCTGAACACCATTGGTTGCAGGGATATCCACATCCCAAACTAACTTCTGATGTGATACTCTGAGGCAGAGATGTGAAAATGCTAATTTCTGTTGTGTGAATTTCACTTTTCATGTGTGCAATCAACCCTGTAATATGATTCATGGCCACTTAATGCAAATCACACAGACTACTGACCTGTTAAAAGCTAGACTCTAGAAATCAGGTAAGAAAAATATGAGTTAGTGCACTGATATTGTAGCCCTCAATCAGCTTTTCCAGTACAAGTTTTTTGGAACAATCTACAGGTACTTAAATAGCCTTTAATTTTAAAAGTGGTCACTGAGCTGACTTTTTTTTTTCCTTCCTCACAGTGGCTCTGTTTCTCAGTACTTTGAAGTTATAACTAATCTGCCTGAAGACTTCTCATGATGGAAAATCAGCCAAGGACTAAGCTTCCATAGAAATACACTTTGTATCTGGACCTCAAAATTATGGGAACATTTACTTAAACGGATGATCATAGCTGAAAATAATGATACTGTCAATTTGAGATAGCAGAAGTTTCACACATCAAAGTAAAAGATTTGCATATCATTATACTAAATGCAAATGAGTCGCTTAACCCTTGACAAGGTCAAAGAAAGCTTTAAATCTGTAAATAGTATACACTTTTTACTTTTACACACTTTCCTGTTCATAGCAATATTAAATCAGGAAAAAAAAATGCAGGGAGGTATTTAACAGCTGAGCAAAAACATTGAGTCGCTCTCAAAGGACACGAGGCCCTTGGCAGGGAATATTTAAAGCAACTTCAAGTTTAAAATGCAGCTGTTGATTCTACCAAACAACAGTCCAAGATTACCATTTCCCATGAGCCAACTGGGAAACATGGTATATCATGAAGTAATCTTGTCAAGGCATCTGGAGAGTCCAGGAGAGAAGACTCACCTCTGTCGCTTGGGTTAAACAAGAGACAGGTTTTGTAGAATATTGATTGGTAATAGTAAATCGTTCTCCTTACAATCAAGTTCTTGACCCTATTCGGCCTTATACATCTGGTCTTACAAAGACCAAAGGGATCCTGCGCTTGATCAACTGAACCAGTATGCCAAAACCAGGCATCCAATTTGTAAACCAATTATGATAAAGGACAAAATAAGCTGTTTGCCACCTCAAAACTTTATGAACTTCACCACCACTAGTGTCTGTCCATGGAGTTAGAGGGGACATCACTTAGAAGTTCTTATAGAAAGGACACAAGTTTGTTTCCTGGCTTTACCTTGGGAAAATGCTAGCAACATTATAGAAATTTTGCCTTGTTGCCTTATCTTCTTCCAAATGTACTGTTAAATAAAAATAAAGGGTTACCCCATGCAATCACACCATGCCATGTTTTCCTTCCTGGAGGGCAGCCCCACAGGACGGTTTATGAGCACACAATTATAGCTTGTTTCTACTTTAACAAGGTATGCTGCCTCTGTAAATTCATGTATTCAAAGGAAAAGACACCTTGCCTATAATTAAAATGTGGAACTATAAAATTTTTTAAAATCCAATTCAGAAACTTTGATAATCTGACCATAACATAAGGGAAGCTCTAATTTCTACTGCTTGCTGATCTGCTGTTAGGCAGCACAGAGACGTATGTGCCTCTCAGGAAGTTCCCTGCTCGACCTTGGCCAGCTCCTCCTGGGGTAGGTACAAGCAAGGGAGCTGAGAAAACATGCAGATGAAGTCACTGGTCTGGTGCTTGTGGTTCTTGATGAATCATTTCCTCAAGATGACTTGAGATGATAGGCAAATGCCATCCTAATATTTCCTGAACAAGGTGAGACAATGGATTTCCCAAACTCGGCTCAAATGAGTTGAAGTTCTCTTGCTTGCTGAGTGGATTTTGAGGGCAAAGGGGAGGCTGGTGGCCATGAGAGTGCAGGAGTCCCAACCTCCTCGCATCGGTGATTTCTCTGTCCAGCTGCACAGGTGGCAGGAAAGATGTGGGAGATGTTTGGACTGACTCAAGATTGGAGGTGGGCAAGGGAAGGGTAGCTGAAGGATCAGGGGACAAGGGAATGGACAGTGGGGACTGAAGTGGTTGCAACACAGGACCCCAGGGTCCAGGCTGGGAGGGGGTGGGAGTGAAAGGCAGGAGGGATCAGCTTTCGATTCTGAGGAAGAGAGTGGTCTCCAGAGACGAGGTACACAGTGGAGCAGGAAGGAGGCCCCTCCCATCCGCAGAGGCCATTCCAAACCTGGACTACTGTGCTGACGGCCCTGCATCTCCTGGTGCACTTTCATCTGTGGGACTGACCTAGTCTCTGAGATAACATTAAATAAATAAGGTATATGCTTATCAGAGCAAATTTAGAAAAGACTGAACAAGAAAAGGGAATAGAGATTACCAAGCATCCTGAGTTTTCCCATCTAGTGTAACGTTTGCTAATGCCTGTTTTACAGCGGGCAAAAATAGATAGATACGCAAATAGATGATAAGCAAAGTAAAGCTCAACTTTCTGAGCCTGTACGAACTCACCACCCCCCGCCCCCCCGCCGCCACCAACCCTCACTACTTCTTCCCTCCTGGGTCTCTGCTCTGAATTGCAGTCTCAGGCCCATCAGTCAGTCAGCCCTCTATCAATTAACTCCTCTCTCTCTCTCTCTTCCCCTCTCCTGTTTTTCTTTCCACAGCTCTTCCCTCACAGCATGTAAACATATATAAATACCTACCACATCCTAAAGTATACTCAATACTCTTACCTCCCCTGCTGCGGCCTCTCCTTCCTCCAGAGCCAAGCTTCTGCTTCCGGAGAAGCTGTCCACACTGGATCTCAATTCATTTTCCACCCACTACAGTCTGGCTAGTCACCTACCTCTCTTTGCTGCTGCTTTTTATGATCACCAGTTACCTCCTAATGCCAAATCCTATAAACATCTACCAGCCATTATCTCCCTGGACCTTTCTGCTGCCTTTAACACCATTTACGATTCTCCTGAGAACCCACATTCCTTTGGTTTCCTTCAGGTCTGCTTCTCTGGCTAACTCCGTCTCCATTCATGTGACAATCTCCACATCCCCAGTGGCTCCACTGCCGTTAGAAGGCGCACAGCTGGTTTGCATACTCTCCCCTTTAGCATGGTCTGTTCCCCACCTGCTTTCTTCCCTTTTATTCTGTAAAGACCTAAAAACTGTGCTACCATAAAAACATGACTATAGCATCAATACACAAGAATTGTTCAACATTAGACAAATGATTCAATGACATGATGGAATATTAGGAAGCCATTAAAATTCATGTTAATAGGCCAGGCATGGTGGCTCACACCTGTAATCCCAGCACTTTGGGAGGCTGAGGCAAGTGAATCACTTGAGGTCAGGAGTTCAAGGCCAGCCTGGCCAACATGGCAAAACCCCGTCTCTAATAAAAATACAAAAATTAGCCGGGTGTGGTGGCGCAGGCCTGTAATCCCAGCTACTCAGGAGGCTGAGATGAGAATCATTTGAACCCAGGAGGTGGAGGTTGCCATGAGCTGACATCGCGCCACTACACTCCAGCCTAGGTGACAGAATGAGACCCTGGCTCAAAAAAAAAATTTTTTTCATGTTAATATTTATGATACAATATCAAGTATAATATAGGAGAATGCAGAATTGCTTAAACAATAAGCTCTCAACTATATAAAGAGAAAAAAATCATAGATAAGACTACAAAGAAATAGGCCCAAGTGTGAATGGTACCTCCAGAGTGGTCTTTTTCCCTCCCTCTTTCATAATCTTTTTCTGTACTATTTCTATAAGGAGCTTTGATATAAGGATACTTACTTTAATAATAAAACAAACTAAAGAACAGAAAGACTAACAACAATGATGTTCTCAGTTTAGAATTAAGGAATATAAAACTGGGATCACAGTTCCCTAATTTTCACATCTTCTCTGTTCATACATCTGTGTAATTCTTTAGTTTGCCAAGTACCTTCATGCACAGAACTTAGGTTTTCCTCAACAACTCGGAAGCATGCCAAGGCAATGGCATTAAACTCCGCAGATGAGGGAACAAGGCTCAGGGAGGTCGGGTGTCCTTGGCAAGGTCACCTGATGGGTAAGTACGACAGCCCAGGACTAGAATCCATGTTGTTTCCTGTAGTTGTAACAAATTAAGACAAATTTAGTGGCCTAAAAAAATAGCCATTATCTCACAATTCTGTAGATGAGAAGTCCAACGCTGGTCTCATTGGACTAATGCATTCCTTCTGGAGACCTGGGGAGGATTCATTTCCAGCCAGGCCCACTCAGGTTAGCAGAGTTCAGTTCCATGTGGCCATCAGGACTGAAGTCCCCATCTCCTGGATGGGCCAGCCGGGGGTCTTTCTCAGCTTCCATGTTCCCTGACCCCCACATTCCATGATCCTCTTCATCTTTAAAGCCAATGACAGCAGGTCAAGTCTTCACACTCCAAGTCTTACTGCCCACCCACCTGCCCCGCCCACCCTCCTGCCTCAGCCCTCCTGCCTTCCTCTCCTGCCGTGAAGGGATCTTGTGATTACGGTGGCCCACCAGGACAATCTAGGCTAAACACCCTATTTTAAGGTCAACTGATTCGTAAACTTACTTAAATCTTAAAAGTCCTTCAAAGCAGTACAGTAAGTCGTCAAAACCTAGCATCACGGATAGGTTCTTGGTAACTGCAAATTAGAGCAAAATGATGTAAAACCAACCAACCAGAAACAGCAGGTCCTCGAATAACATCACTTCATGTTGTACCATTAGAACACTGATGAGAAAAAGAAATGGTTTTGTTACACACCTTTTCACTTTGAGTTTTGGCCAGGTGCAGTGGCTCACACCTGTAATCCCAACGCTTTGGGAGGCCTAGGTAGGAGGACCACTGGAGGCCAGGCATCAGAGACCAGCCCGGGCAGCATGACAAGACCCTGTCTCCCAAAAAAAAAAGAAAAGGAAGGAAAGAAAAGAAAAATAAAGTCACAGTTTCCAAGAACCTAATGATGATGTTAAGTAAGGACTTATTGTACCTACATTAGTGATACAAGGAATAACCAGGAGACAGGGATGGGGGTGCAGGGCATCTTTAGAATTCTGCCTACCACACGTCTTCGGATGTTTAGTTTATGTTGTCACTCCTTCTCCGTTACTCTCAAAAGTGTTATTCTCAAAATTATGTTCTTTCATCTACCTTCCTTGCTAGAATTTAGCTACTCATAAAAATGTGTAAGGAAGAGTGACCATGGTTTTTCATTTGTATCTTCTACTAAAGTAGTTCCACTAAGCAAATGGGTTTGGAAACAATTCACAAACCTATTAACATATTAATAAAATGATGTGGAGATTTTGCCTATATAAGTTTTCACCCCATAAATCAATGAGGACACTAAAACAGTCTATTAGAGGCTCTAGGTAAAATGTAAAGTAGGCTTCTATCACCATGATCTCTACAGTATTTTATTTTAAAAACCACTTACATTGAATCACTTAGCTGGTAAAAAACTCTTATTACGATACATATACTTATGTTAAGCAGTTTGTTCTTTTTCAGCTGGGTATGATATCCCAACGGCTTGTGACTATTAAACAAGGTCTATTTATGACATCAAAAACAAAAACCAGTAAACAGCTAGCATCAAAAAGTTTATTACAACTGTTTTTAAAGTCAGCTATGATCTTGACAAATATTACGGGTAAGTCTGTAGCAAGTTTCTAATTTCTGAGATACAAAAGACAATAAATACAGATTAAAATTCAGCCTACAAACAAGATTCTACATCTAATTACTGGTACCGTAGCTTAGTTTCAATATTTCAAACATATGTATAATTCTTAAGATGCTACAAAAACTCATATAATAAAGTTATTGTTCACTGACAACCAACTAACAGTTCTTCACTGACAATATACAAGTGTGCAGTGCCTTCGAGCCTTCAGGTGAGCCCCCCAAGGGCCTGCTGGTGCCGGGGACAATCAGAGACAGCGATGTGACGGCACTGGTCCTTTCTGGCAGGAGGACTGGTTTAGGAGCAGCTGCTGAAAACACTCAACAGGACAGAGAGCTGATTTCCCAACTGCCCAATAAATGATCCTATTTACTAGACAGGATTCTTGTAGAAAACAGGATTGTCGCTGTATACTTATCTGAGTGCTACACGGGACACCTTTGCCCCAACACAGTATGGCCTGCTGACGTAGATGCTTTATTTCATCACGCTAAATGTCCTCTAATGGTGAATTCTTCAATCCTTCATTCTCTTCTAGAGACATTCTTCATCGCTTTCAAGCTACATTGTCATTAAAATAAGTCTTGTGAAATTTTTGCCAAAAATAATCGTATTACTTCTTCTTAACAGAGATTAATTCTTCATTGACTAAAATTCTGTGTGGAAGTTTCAGGCCAAGCTCCTTTGTCTTGGTTTAATTCTTGGGTACAGCTGCAAGAGAGTTTAAAAAATTTTACATACTATAATAGATGTGTGGGAATATAACAAAATTTCAAGAAATAATGAGGTTAGGGGACAGATGTCATGGGAAGGAAATCAAAGTGAGAAAAGCACTCTTTGTGGTGTGTGTGGCACCTAGAGCTTTACGTTTAGCAACGTGGTCATAGCTAGACTCAGCAGGACGTTCAAAGATCACAAGGGCCCGTCAACTGTGACAACTCTACAAAGCAGCAATATAAAAACCCATGACAGTTCTAGGTATTAACTCAATCTGCACAGCTTGTTGAGCTGTAAATCGGCTCTATGTAAATCGGCTCTAACAAGGAAGGCAAACTGCTGTATGCTCTATGCTCCAGCATTTGGAGCTTCTATTAGGAAGGAAGAAAGAGACTGAATTCTTTTACCTTTATTCACAATGGACATGACATTGTGTCATGGGACTTCAGACTGTCAGAAATGAAATGCCACAGATTAAAAGTCTATAAATTTAAGGAAGATTAGGTGGAGTTTTTTGCTTTACAATTCTGTGGTTTTGTGTTTCCACAAGAGCTGTAAAGGTGAGTCCTAGTGAAGGTTGCAAGGCCTCTAGGCCTGAGCCAGGACCAAGTCAAACTGATAAATTCAACTGACACACCAAACAAAAGCAGCCCCTCTTGACAAAAGAAGAGGAAGAAAAAGGATTACTCAAAGAAAGTAGAAGCATAGGCTTTAATTACATCCCAATTAAAAAATTTAAAAATAATAAATAATTTTAAAAAGAGTCAGACTTCCAGTTAAAACTGAAAAACTGGTGGATCCATGTTACAGAAAATATTACTTTTCTATCTGAAAAAAAGACATTTAGCTAATACAATTTTCTAGACTGCTATCTGAGCCCTAACTACATATATGCACTTTCCTTTAAAAAAAAAGATCAGGAAAACAAACCAAAAAAGTGGTGTAGAGGATACTTCTAACAAGAAAAGATTTTCAAAGTACTAAGAAAATCTAAATTTAGGACTAAAATGAAAATATTCAGTCCAGTCTGTTAATTTCAGAATCTTCTAAGCGCCACACACACGAGAGAAAACACTCTCTGACCCACTGCTCCCGCACTTGGAAACATGCAATGTTCCCCGTGTCATTAACCACAGGACCTGTGTTAGAAAATTTAAATAATTCAAAAGATCTACTGTACAACTTGGTGACTATAATTAATAATGTATTATATACTTGAAAATCACTAATAGATGTTCTCACCAAAAAAATGATGACCATGTGAGATGATGCATGTATTATTTAGCTCAATTTAGCCATTTTACAAGTATACATATTTCAAATCATGTTATACACCATAAATATACACAATTTTTGCCAATTTAAAAAAAGAAAATACAAGACTCAAGTAAGCAACTAGTTCTAAGGAGGTAAAGTCTTTCCCAGATAAGAAACTATACAAAAGGGCTTATTTACCATTGATGTTTATGTTTATCAGAGAAGGAAAGTGGCTGTAGGCAAGAGACTGTACTTCTCTAGTGCTAGAGACTCTGGAGAAGCAACTGAGGGTGCTTGAAAGAGAACAGCCTTTATATTTCTACTTTCCTCTGGTCATCTGAAAGCTTTTTTTTAAGACAGGGTCACCGAGGCTGGAGTGCAGTGGCACGATCTCGGCTCACCACAACCTCTGCCTCCCAGGCTCAACCGACTCTCCTGCCTCAACCTCCCGAGTAGCTGGGATTATAGTATTTTTAGTAGAGACAGGGTTTCACCATGTTGGCCAGGCTGGTCTCAAACTCCTGACCTCAAGTGATCCTCCTGCCTCGGCCTCCCAAAGTGCTGGGATTACAGGCGTGAGCCACTATGCCGGGCCCCTGAAAGTTTTTTTTAAGGGCTGCATAGTCTAATTGTATTTGTTTTTCACTTTCAGTATTCTTTAAAGTTACGTTATGATCACCCAAATGAATACTGTCTAATCATCTATTCAAAACTTATTATGAAATGGTTATTTCATAATAAATTTTGCTGTCAGGACAGCAGCAGTCAAGGTGTATAAGTCATTTACACTGCACGTTAGACAAACAACAGTGTGGAAGGGAGAGTCAGGGAGAGATGCTGGTCAGAATCCAGGCAGTCAGGTCCCAACACTGAAGTCATTTCAAGTAATCCCATTGAAAGTAATGCCTAGGCAGTGGATCACTCACAGACAGAATCCTGTTCATCACCTAGATGCCAGAGTAGAAGCTCCATGTGGGTGGAGGCCATGTCCATCCGACACTTGATGAAAAGACCAAGAATACATCTACCATTTGCTCTCTATTAGACCTCTGAGTTATCCCCACACTAATCTTGGGAGGCAGGATTCTCCAGCCCTCCCCACGTTCCTTCTGCAGCCTGGATATCCAGATAACAGGTGCTGCAGATGGAGCTGAAGCAACGTAGAGGCCAGTGCTCACAACCTACACACCATCTTCTGTGTATCACAACTGGCTCTTCCCTTCCTCAACCCTTTCCTTACTTCCTCACCAACAGCAGATTCTGCAAGCACTTTAAACTTTTATCTCAATCTCTCGATTACCCTGATCATTTCTCTCACTCTTTCATACACCCTCCATGCCCCTTGCACACACACAACTGCTATAAGAGAACAGCTGAATCTATAAAGAGCTTACTGCAAAGCCCTGGAATCTGTTATTCTCGCTTTCTCTCCTCTGTCTGACCATACGCCAGCCTTCCCCTGAAAATACTCCAGGAGAATCTTTACATGATGACAGCAGTCCCATTGTACTACACTATAGAAGTGGTACATACGTGCTGGCATGATATTATTTTCTTGCTTTTTATGAAATATAAATCAAATAGTACAGAAAAACAAAGAATCTTGTCCTTAATGCCCTGCTGAAGCTCTCTACCAGATTTGCAAATCCTGATTTAGACAGATTAAAAATTGATTTCAGATGTCACAGGCTCAATTCCAATCATATTATCCAGTTATCTTTAGTCTGTTTATAAATGTAGGGAGGACCCCTGACCTCCAGGGCTGGCAAACAGATGTTATTGGTCATAATAAGAATCACTGAAAATGAGGCTTTAAGTCTAAGACTATCAAAATGTTTAAATTCCATGTCTTATTAACAAAGGGCAGTTTGGTGCACTGTACACATAACATACAGCAGTTTTTACAAAGCCCCTCTCTGGCACATATGAAAACACCGTAAGCGTCAGAATAACTTACTCCCAGCAAGTTACGTGGAACATATCCCTCCTTATCATTAAGGCGCGCCCACCACCATTCGATTTCATCTTCGTCTTCCCTGTGGATGATTGTCATGCAGTCTCCTTCTTTCATGGGCAGCTCATCATCATTCTGAGGTTCATAATCCCAAAGCGCATAAATGACTCCTTTATTCATTATGCCCATCTTCTCCTGAACTCCTAAAATCATGACAGTAAGATAAAGCACAGAATATACAACTTGGAGTATACCACTCTACAACTTTTAGCTATATGAAACAAAATGGGAAGAAACAGGTACAGGCTGGAATGTTAGTACTACATTAAATATACAATAAAATGTCCTGAGGTGGGGGGTAGCATGCAGTGGAAGGCAACAGTGTATTGGGAACATACAAAGGACACATTACTATATGCTATCATCTCTAAAACACCTCTAAAACCTAGCACTTTATAAGCATCTCTTAAAGGAGCTACTCAGAGTACAAAACTTTTGCAAGCTTAGGAACTAAAAAAAGAACTGTTCAAGTCTAGGATATTAAAAAAGTGAACGATATGCCTGTCCAATTTCAGCCTACTCCCAAATGTAATGACTAAGGAACTCTAGAAACATTACTTCATTCTTTACCCAAAATTCAGAGCAGACAGAGAAAAAAAGATGGAGGCACAATGGTCTCTATGAATTTCCGAATGGGGAAAGACAGAGGAAAAAATATATATAGAATATGTTAGAATGCAAAAATATGGCATTTTAGACATGATCAAAGTCTTCATATAATCAACTCTAATATAGTAAGAATCCGAATCTTAAAAGATGTCGAAATCCTCAAACTAGGAAGGGAAAAATCCTCAGAAGTCCACCTTTCACCAGAGTTAGTAACAGATTTGCAAATTAACTACACATTTAAGTTTTGCCCTTCTTCACTTATACCTTCCTATCCTAAAGGGCAATGCTAGTAAGAAATAACAATCATCAACTGGCAGGCAATAGGAAAAAAGCAGAGGAGAAGGAAAATAAGGTAATAAAGTTCTCAGCAATTCAGAATTATTATTTTCACTTTTATAATTTTTTAAAAACCAGGAAAATACTTGCTAGCTTTTGAATAGTTAGCTTTTTCAACTTATGTGAGCACTACACTATTGATTATGAAATTATTCCTGTATCAACTAATGATATAGCACACAGTATATTTCTCTCACTCTGGGAAAAACTGAAACAAGAAATTCTTCTTTTCTAGAAGAAGGCTCTGCCAATCTAAAGAGACAATTTCCAACTTTTCTTGTTTAAAGATGACATGCAAAGCATGACAGACTCACATGGTGATCAAACTTTATATAACTGTAATTTCACAAAGTTTTTAAAATGGCCACAGTGTCTGAGATGGGAATGAAGAAAGACGTAGGAGATTCTGGATATTTTAGTATACTCAAAATAACAGCTCAAGTCCCAGTTTGCAATAAATTAGGGACCAGGGTCTTGCCCAGGCTGGTATAGAATTCCTGGGCTCAGGAGATCCTCCCACTTCAGCCTCCAAAGTGCTGGGATTACAGGCATGAGCCACTGCACCCAGCCTCCAATAAATCATTAGGAATGGAGAAAAATTCTCATTACTTTGCTATTTATCAGATTAAGAGTTGTAGATTACTTTTTAAAAAATTTTTTGAGGGGACTAAAAACATGCTCAATCTTACCGGTAACTTGGGAAATGCAAACGAAAGCTACGAGGTATCATTCCAAATCCACCAAGAGTCAAAGAGAACGTGGAGTAAAAGGAACCCTCTGCTAGATGTGTATCACTGTGACCTGGCAAGTCCACTTGTAGATAAACACCAGAAGACAAGTACCAAAATGTTCACAGGGATGTTTACAGTGGAAGGAAAGGAAGGAGGGAGGGAAGGAGGGAAGGAGGGAAACAGCACACATGTCCTTCGAAAGCAGAATAAAAAGATAAACTGTGCAGTGAAAATAAACTACAGCTACAGGCAACACGAGTGAATCTCAAAAACCATGTTGAATGAGAAAAGCAGGCCACAGAATCACCAGTATGATTTTATATAAAGGGCAAAAACAAGCAAAACTGCAGATATTAGTTATAGGACTCATATACAAATGATGTAATTATTTTACAAAACAAGGAATGCTAAACGTAAAAGCGGCGGTCACTACAGACGTGAGAAGGGGCCACATCAGGGAGGGGCATCCAAACAATGTCAGGGACAGTGGTTATGTTCTGTCTCCTAAGGTGGGTACACAATTACTCACTGTGTGTAATCTACTATCATTATTACTTAAACAGCACATCCTGGTATCTATGATATACTTCATAAATTTTAAGAATCTGACCAAATATCCCTAATGTTTAAAAAAATCATATTCCATATCTAAATATAGGTCAGATGGTCAATAAAATTAATACAGCAAAACACATATTAACACATTATATATATGTGTGTGTGTGCGTGTGTGCGTGTGTGTGTGTGTGTGTGTGTGTGTATATTTTTTTTTCCCCCGAGATGGAGTCTCGCTCTGTTGCCCAGGCTGGAGTGCAGTGGCGTGATCTCAGCTCACTGCAAGTTCCTCCTCCGGGGTTCACGCCATTCTCCTGCCTCGGCCTCCCGAATAGCTGGGACTACAGGCGCCCACCACCACGCCTGTCTAATTTTTTGTATTTTTAGTAGAGACGGAGTTTCACCATGTTAGCCAGAATGGTCTCGATCTCCTGACCTCGTGATCTGCCCACGTCGGCCTCCCAAAGTGCTGGGATTATAGGCGTGAGCCACCGCGCCCGGCTTTTTTTGTGAGACAAAGTTTCACTCTTGTTGCCCAGGCTGGAGTGCAATGGCATGGTCTCAGCTCACTGCAACCTCCGCCTCCGGGTTCAAACAGTTCTCCTGCCTCGGCCTCCCAAGTAGCTGGGATTACAGGTGCCCGCCACCACAGCTGGCTAATTTTTGTATTTTTAGTACAGATGGAGTTTCACCATGTTGGCCAGGCTGGTCTCGAACTTCTGACCTCAAGAGATCCACCTGCCTCGGCCTCCCAAAGTGTTGGGATTACAGGCATGAGCCACCACACCCGGCCAACACATTATACCGGTTAACACATTATATTAACGCCCATAACTTCAGCACTTTGGAAGGCCAAGGTGGGAGGATTGCTTGAGCCTAGGAGTTCAGGGTTGTAGTGAGCTATGATCACACCACTGCATTCCAACCTAAGTAACAGAGCAAGATTGTCTCAAAAACAAAATACATACATAAATATATAAAATTTATATTTATATATATAAATTTTTAAATATGTTACTATATCAAAATATTCTATGGTCCAGAGTTTAAAACATAAACAAAGGCTGGGCATGGTGGCTCACACCTGTAATCTCAGCTCTGGGAGGCTGAGACAAGAGGATTCTCTGAGGCCAGGAGTTTGAGACTAGCCTGGGCAACAGACTGAGGCCCCAACTCCAAACGAAATTTAAAAGGTCAGGCATGGTGGCTCACACCTGTAATGCCAGCACTTTGGGAGGCCAAGACAGGCAGATTGCCTAAGCTCACGAGTTTGAGAACCAGCCTGGACAACATGGCAAAATTCCATCTCTACTAAAAATACAAAAACTAGCTGGGTGTGGTAGTACATGCCTGTAGTCCCAGTTACTCTGGAGGCTGAGGTGGAAGGATCACCTGAGCCCTGGCAGTCAAGGCTGCAGTGAGCTGTGATTGTGCCACTGCACTCCAACCTGAGTGACAGAGCAAGACCCTACCTCAAAAATAAATAAATAAATAAATAAATAGATAATAATTAAAAATTAGCCAGGTGTGGTGGCAGGTGCCTGTGGTCCCAGCTATTTGAAAGACTGAGGCAGAAGGGTCACCTGAGCCTGGGAGTTTGGGGCTACAGTGGGCAATGACCATGCCACTGCACTCCAGCCTGGGTGACAGAGTGAGACCTCGCCTCTAAAAAAATAAAATAATCACAAATATCAGCAATTAAAAACTACCAGCTGAGAGAGATGAAGAAGGGAACTCCAGGTTTGTGGTTCTCTGACCCCTCTCTCTTCATACCTAGGGCCTGAAAAAAGGCCTAGAGACAGAGGGAAAAGTTCAGCAGAGAGGGCAGAGGCGTCTGTTTTACCCTTAGGGGTCTTCCAATCAACTGGGAAAGGAGTTACTGAAAACTTGAGCAGTATGGAGTTCTGGGACCTCCTCATTTGTCTCTGTCTTCCCTCCTTCTTTAATTCCTCTCAAGCCCAACTAAAGAGGAAAATTTACCTCAACTTCTAAGCCTTGTAAACAAAAAAAATTTTCCTTGTATATACAAATGCCAATCAACATATATCTATCTAAAACTTCAAGTCCATTTTCCTCTAGGTACAGATCTGATGTTAGCAATCAGAATCATAAACTCAAAATCAAGAAAACAAAAGAGAAAAAAATAAAAGACAGCTCCAAAATATATGTTGCCTTTATTTCACTTTATGACAAGTTTGATTTTTAGGAAAACTTGGACCATTTGGGTTCTTAAACTGATCCTTCACTTCTCTTGATCATGTTGTTAGGAGAGGGGGGTCTGTTTACTTATTTGCAAGGATACACCATCAATCTATAAGTACTAAAGCCTTAATAGAGGGTCTTTTGATGGTCAAAGTCATTAACACCACTAGGTCAGATGCTGCAACACTGTCTTTTGTAATTGAAGAAGTCCCTGACAATAGCTGTTTCTAAGCATACAAACAGAAGCTGTATTATCTGTGACCAAGGCTGTTGTATTTTCAAGGCCCAAGACTATGGATAACACAAGATTTTTTCCAAACAAAAATACTTATTGAATTATACCCTGGAGATACAGAATAAATGAATGCAGTAATCAATACATTTAGTTCTACTTGTCACATACCATAAAGAAATTGGGAGCACTGAGTGTAGCCTTCCTCCATTTCCTCGCACTTATCTGCAGCAGTCTGCATGTCACTGTAGGTCATGGCAAACACAGCGGCTCCTGACTCCACCAAAAACTTACACACTTGGACGTTGTTACATGAGGCAGCACAATGTAATGGAGTCCTGTGAAGCAAGATACGAGGGCTAGAACTGTTTTCCTAAACTGAATGACACCTGCTGATAAGATATCTGGAAAGAAAGTTCTTGAGTCTCTCATCTACCAAGTTTTCTTCTGAAAACCTCTTAAACAGTTTTTTAAAAACCAGTTCAACACAGATGATTGAACCCATCAAAGAATTACAGCCACAAATGAAAATTTCAGAGAGTCATGGACCACAATGGGGCTGGGAGCTTAGCAAAGGGTGAGAAGAATCAAGGACGTGAATAAACAGAAATGAAATGTGTATAAACATTTAAGAAAAACAATATTAACATGGATTTAGTTCTATGTCCTGGAGCATCCAGCCTAATTCTTTCAGAGTAGAAGCCCTAACAGTCCTTAAGTTATTTAAGTTATACACCTTCACTCAAAACACTGGCCTTTAAATATCTATTTATCGTCATCAATTTTGAAGGAATTAAGTTGCATAGATGAACTACTTTTATATTTTTTAAATCCCAAGTTAAAACAAATTTTAATTGAAAAAATTTGTCAAATCAATTGAGACCAGAAAAGTGACTGTAAAATACACATATTTCAACTATAGGTAACTGGTCAGCAGGAATTTATTAATACCATTAAAGAGAACTCCAGCATCTCAAATGTTTTATAATAGATTATAAATGACCCTAGAGTAATGGTAAAGGTACAAGAGCCAGTACCACTGTCCAAACTCAGAAGTTGAGTGTGAAAATGTTAATCAGGCTCTAAAGTACATAAGATTTAGTTTCTTTACTCTTTCCTCTCCCCTTTATTCTCCTTGGGTATACAGACTTGAAAAAAAAATTTAGACCAGGCGCAGTGGCTCCCAGCACTTTGGGAGGCCGAGGCGGGCAGATCACCTGAGGTCAGGAGTTTGAGACCAGCCTGGCCAACATGGTAAAACCCCAACTCTACTAAAAATACAAAAATTAGCCGGGTGTGTAATCCCAGCTACTGGGGAGGCTGAGGCATGAGAATCACCTGAACAGGAGGTGGAGGTTGCAGTGAGCCAAGATCACACCAGTGCACTCCAGGGTGACACAGCAAGACTCTGTCTCAAAAAAATTTTTATTTTTTTTTTGGCCAGGCGCAGTGACTCACACCTGTAATCCTGGCACTCTGAGAGGCCAAGGAGGGCAGATCACTTGAGTTCAAGGGTTCAAGACCAGCCTGGGCAACACAGCAAAACCCCATCTCTACTAAAAATACAAAAAAATAGCCAGGTGTGGTGGCACACATCTGTGGTCCTAGCTACTTGGGAGGCTGAGACGGGAGGCTGCTTCAGCCCAGAGGGCAGAAGTTACAGTGAGCCAAGATTGTGCCACTGCACTCCGGCCTGGGTGACAGAATAAGACCCTGACTCAAAAAAAACAAAAAAAGAAAAAAAATTTTTTTAAATTCCCCATTCCAGATCACTTTTTTTTTTTTTTTTTGAGGATCTTGCTCTGTCACCCAGACTGGAGTACAGCAATGCAATCTCAGCTCACTGCAGTCTTGACCTCCAGGCTCCAGCAATCCTCCCACCTCAGCCTCCCCGGTAGCTGGGACTACAGGCACACACCAGCGCACCTAGCTAATTTTTAAAAATTTTTTATAGAGACAGGGTCTCTCTCTGTTGCCCAGGCTGATCTCAAACTCCTGGGCTCAAGTGATCTTCTGCTTCAACATCCCAAAGTGCTAGGATTACAGGTATTAGCCACCATGCCTGGCCAGAACACTATTATTAAATAGTTTGGCAAATATTACTATAGATTTTTTCACTGCATGCTTTTTAATAATGAAAAATTATATACAACATAAACTCCCAACATTAGGAAAACAAGGGCATTATGACACAGTAAGAATTTGTTTTCTTTATGCTATAATGTGAAACTAAAAATATAGGCTTAAAACATTACATATGTATTAGGAGCTTAACTATATTTGTGAAAAGCATATGAAAAAGAGCTTGGGCCAAGTACGGTGGCTCATACCTATAAACCCACCACTTTGAAAGGCTCGGGCAGGAGGATCACTTGAGTCCAGGAGTTCGAGACCAACCTGGGCAACACAGTGAGACCCTGTCTCTACAAAAATAAAAATAAAAATAAAAAATAATTTTTTTTTAAAAAGAGCCTGAAGAAAATATATTAAAATATGAATGGTGTTTACCTGTACACTGTGGGGATACAGATGGCTTGTTTTCCCCTTATTTCTATTTTGCATGTTTCCCACAGTAGACACACATTAAAATATAAGTGTTTAAAAATTGTAACCAAAGTGCTTCTCCAAGCATTAAAACAAAAGTTGGAAAACAATCTCAATGTCTAATAAAAGGGAGACCGTCACAATAAATGAGTACACAGTCACGCGGTAGAGTAATACGAGGCTAACTGAAATGTATGTATGTGTGTATGCAATTTATATATGCATACATGAGAATTTTATATGGTAACTATTTTCCATATTATGAGAAAAACAAGTTGTGAAACTAAAATACTGGAGTAAATATAGTGTGATTACAACTTTTTAAAATCCTATAAAGAAAAAAGTCAATTGTTTGTATTCTTCCACAAAAGTAACACAATGTAACTTAAAACTTTCTTTTTTAAAAATAACATACAAAATTTGCTGTCTATTCTGTTAGTTTTGGGGATGACAGGACCTTATTAGGACCTTTATTATTATTATTTAATATTGACTAACATTTCCCCTATCCTGCAAACAATACTCATCACTTGCAGTACCGCTTGCGTTTTACGTACACCCTGGTTCCACGAAAAATGGATTCCATGGTCAAATATATTTAGGATATGTTGCAAGTTATAATCCCCTCTTGGAGATATAGAATGGACATTAATATATTGAAGACTGAACCATTTCAGGGGCTTAGGGATACCTTGCCTAAATCAGCACTTCTCTCTTAAGCTTTGCTTAAGGATGCTAATTAACTGTGTACTACTTTGTTACACTTATTTTTATCATTAACTACTAAACTTTTTAAAACTCCACCTACTTCCAGGATGGGAATGAGATGACTGTTACATGAACACATGTTAATTCCTCAAAAATAGATACCACATTTCTCCAGCTAGATTACAAGCAGCTCAAGGACATAACTGACATACTTCTTTGTCTTCCAACAGCACTATGACAACTGCTTATAAACCGATTCCCACAACTGAAGTTTGACTGGAGTTTAAAAGAAAATCTTACCATCCATCACTATCAGCAGCATTTACATTTACACCAAACTGTACCAGGAACTTAACGATTTCTGTGTGGCCTGCACACACAGCATTGTGAAGAGCCGTGATGCCTTCATCATTGGGGAGGCTTGGGTCATCAACCTATATCAAGAAGAAGGGTGAGCATCACTCTAGTTTCTTGTCACCTGAACTGTCACTACTAACTGGCTCCTTTAGGGTCAAGAGGACAGAAATGGACTCTTGTGACACTTTTAAAAATCATAATTAAAACCTATAGGAGCCAAGAAAACTATACCAAGAACAATTCTAGAAATAAGACAGACAGAAAAACCACATTAAGTAGGCAGTCACTATAAAAAGGTTTTTTTTAAAAAAAGGAAGTACCAGAAACTATATCCTTATAGTCATTTTTGTTTATTTATCCTCCCAGCTTCTCACCACAAATTAGTTTCTAAGTAGAAGTTGCATTTGCTATGGAAAGCAAAAAAAAAAAAAGGTCAACTAAAAATATTTTAAATAGTAGGCTTCTAAAAGTAGAGACCGCATCTCTAACCTAATACAGTATAGTACAAATCCATACATGAACAATTTCTAAAGGGGAGTAATGATCTCTCTTAAGAAAGAAAAGTACTCTAGAGGACTCCAAGTGAAAACCGAACTTCCAAATGATGACAATTCCATAGTCATACCTTTAAAACAGCATAGCCTATTCTAAAGCGTGCCCAAGAGTTCCTGAACACAACCCCACAATGCCTAAAAGGAAAACAATTTTAAAATACAATTTCTCTACAGTCGCTTTCTAATTAGAGCTTTAAAACAAAATACAAGGTCATATTTTAAAAATTTACTAATTATACTCTAGCCTGGATGACAGAGCGAGACTCTGACTCAAAAAAAAAAATTTACTAATTATAATCATACCTCATAAATAATTCTCTGTACAAGGTCAAATTCTCCCTCCAAAGACGAATCTAGCAGTAAAGCAAGGGGGTTGAATTTCACCCTCATTCCATGAGCGATACGCTCTGAGCCAGTTTTACGCAAGTTTGTCCTTTTACCCTGCAAAGAAAATGGGTGGAAAATTTAGGATCCTCGTCTATGCAAGAGAACAACAGCAGCAAATGGGAAGGAATGACTTCTCACCTAAATTAGTGAGAGGCACTTTAACAATATAGATTTGGCACATTTTATTGAAGTATAACATTATTCAGAAAAGTATACGAATCTGACATGCAGCGTAATGAACTTTCACAAAGTGAACAAATACCATGGAGCAAAGTTGGAGGAACATAACTTTATAAAATCTAACATAATTACGTTTGGGTTATATGTTATAGTATGAATTAAACTAAGAGTATAATCAGAAGTGGCAAATAGGCTAGCGTTCTGTCAAGTATCAGAATTAGCCAAGACTGGTCTTTAGACTGCCTATCTAATACAGTACAGCAAACTCCACTCTCTTAAAGTGAGCAACAGCACAGCCCACAACTACAACAGCTAACCTATATTGAATGATTATTCATTAACCCTCACAAAAACCCTATGATCCCTAGTTTACAGATAAGGAAACCAAGGCACACAGCCGGCAAATGGCAGAGCTGGGACGCAAATCCAGGTAAGCTGGCTTCTTTAAAGTCTGCCATCTTAACCATTTCACACCAGAATGCCTCCTCGGGGGAAAGCATATAATTAAGGTAAATAATACAGATTATTAGTCTGTCTTAGGTATAACAAGGATAAATCCTACCAGCTTAAACTTTTAATGAATCGGACTTAAAAAAAAAAAGGCAAAATTTTAAAGACTAGATCCAGTATCCTGTAAAACAGGTTTCTTAAACACACCCAACAAAGTAGAGACGTTTACTGTTGTGAGGTGTGATATATGTACTCCACATAATTCTTTCATTTTATCTCAGATGTGGAAAATTGCCAAGTTTTAAAAAACATTAAGCGACAATACATTTCACAATGTGCAATGACTAAAATGTTGCTCTCTGAATGTTATCTGACTGTGGTTAATACAAGTCATAAGCAGTACAGTGTAATGACACTTGCCGATCCCACTGTTAAAGAATGTACGAGATAGTTGCTTCTATTTTACTTAAATCGAGAAGGAAAAGGTAAGACACCTTCCTAGGAAGAGAACAGCAGAATCTTAAAAAGAAAGTATAATACTTTTACCAATTCTAGTTTTCCTTTTTTCTCCTTGAAAATGTGGATTATTTTGACACAGCAACAAAAAGGCCAGAAAATAACAAGTGGCTGTAACGTGGATTGGTTTTGGCCAATGTGGAATAAAACGTCCTTCTTTTCTTATGTTTAAAACTCAAAGAGAATCAAGCCTCAGAACTTACGAGGCACAGGGTTGTTTAAAAACTGTTAACCTCTATTTTAAAACTTTTTTTTCTAGCTTCAAATGTTTAGTACATAAAACTTTTAAGCAAACATTTACTGTAACCAATTGTTAAAAATAACTGTGGACAATTATTATCTTTGAATACTATCATATCTAAAAGATAATAAGGAATCAAACATGCAAAGTACATTTAAAAAAATTCTTTTAATGCTATTTTGCTTTTCACCAGGTTTTAAATTCATAGTTCAGCATCCTACTTCCTTCCGTGCTTACTGAAGCAAAGTGGCTTCAAATTAAACTATGAAAAAGCAGACTTCATTCAGACATTCTGGGATTTTTATTTTCTCTCACCTATGTCAAAGTGAGAGGATGGAAGCTTAAATTTCAAACAAAAGCTTACTATCTGGAAGGAGTGTAGAAGGTGCACTCAAGCCAAAACATACAAAATCTTAGAATAACTTTCGTATGTTAAAGTACAAAGAAATCTTAGGGATCACCATATTAGCCAGAGATTTTCAGACTTCGTTGAAGGGGAGGAAGAGGCTGAAGAGGGGCCCCTCAGCCCAGTTACCCCTCCCTGCCCTCACTCCATCCAGAACCCTTCCAATTTTACCACTGTTGTAAGTTTGAGGTTTCACCTAACATTTCATTTTTTAAAATTTCACTGCTAGAAAATTTTTAAAAAGATTGACATCATCAATGAGAGAAGTTATACCATCTGCCTGATTTCACACAGCTAAGCTAGTAATCAAAAGTTTCAAACCCAGGTCTTTTGAGTCCCAGTCGGGTGCTGCTTCCCTAATATGTCACATCAGCTAGAGAAGAAACAGCAAATGCAGTGTTTATAGGGATAAGAACAAAACTCTGTTTCTTTCACAAATAAATGGGTTCTCTCTAAAACAGAAAAATGTTCTTTATATTGAATAAACTGCATTATGAAAACATTTATAAGATCCACTCTGTGCCAAGGGAATCGTAAAATAAAAATGCAAACTGGAGAAGATGAATGTGACCACCAAGAAAATCGTAACAAAGTAAAGGACTCCGGAAAAGGCTATGAGATAGTACATTACTTACAGGAGGCAGAGAGACCTGCCCGGTGATTTCAGGCGGGCGCATGCTCACCGAGTCTTCTCCGGGCCCTTCAGGCTCCCCAGATGGGTATGGTGGGGGTGGGTATGGAGGGTACTCCTCCAGGTACACATCAAGCACATGTGGAGCCTCTGGATTTGGTTCTTCTGGGTTATTCTGGAGATTTGGGCTGTTGTCTGGGACTCCCTCAGGCTCATAATCAAGGCCTGGAGAAGGAGCTGGCATGTCACTGTTCTCTGTACTGGCATTCCCCACATCCTCTGGGGACAATGATTCAGGAACCAGAGAGACCACCTCCTTTTCGGGCTCCACATGTAAATATGGATTCTGGATTTCTACTGGGCTTTCTGAGCTGGCAGTCACAGAAGCTGACTTGGATGGGTATGATGGGACAGAGATGGTCTCCATGGCCGCTATGGTGGTCCTCTGATATAAAAGCTTCTGAATATTTGGCCCATTAGGACCCTCTGGCTCTGTAATAGAACTACGTTTCTTTAGAGGCCTTGGTGCGTTAGACAGTTTCTTTCGTAAGGCTTCTAGGTCAGCATCACTCTGGTTTCGGTAAGGATTAGATAAGAAAGGCAGTAATTTAGTTGGGCTGAGTGGCCGAGGAATTCTTTCGTTTTCATGGTTCTCCTGAACTGAAGAAACAGGCTCTGTTTCAGGTTCTGGACTGCCAGGCTTGCCCTGGCTATTGGAATAAATGTTCTCTGGGTGCTGCTGTTGATTCTGGGCAGCAGCAATTACAGGCTTACCATATACTAATTGGAAAAGGAAAAAAAAAAGCCCTCATTAGCATTAATTAAACAAAACTGGCAAGAAACAGAAACAGCTAACAATAACTAAAGCCTCTTTTAATTTCATAGTTGTTACTACATAATCCCCTTCAAATATAATTAATTTTTAAAAATAAATGACAAAGCAGGGAATCCATCTTTGCATAATAAACTTATTACAGAATCAAAACCCCCACTGATTGTAACATGCACCATATCTCATGAAACAATAAGAAAATGTTGCCGTTTTAAGAAATCACTGTAGCATCCAAATTTAAAATAACAAAATGTGAAAAACATTTAGATGCAATGAAAACAGATAATCCTCATGTGTCCAGATTAAAACTAAACATGTACTATCCCATCTTTCACTTTTCAAAAGTGAATCAACGTGAGAACTTCTATTTGGCTTATAAAATTATTAAGAACCACTTATAGTTACCAAAGATATTCCCTGTTAACATTCTGATTATATTAAAATTATCTAATTCCCAAATTATTCCATTTTCACTAAAGACCCATGAAAAGAAGAGTAAGAGGTAGCATATATACTGATTCTTTGCTAATTTTAATTATGGCATCTTAGGTCACAATTACATGGTTATTTCATGACTACAAAGCTATTTTCATTCAATTAAAACATGGTAAGTTTTATTCTAGTCCTATGAAGTAATAATTTAGAAAGAACCCAACAAATTTCCAAACTGTGTATGTTTAATACAAGCTAACCTTCTGTTTTTACATTTAGCTAGCGGCTATGTCCCCATTACAATGACTTAAAATACAGTAGAGAATATATATATATATGTACGTATGTATGTTTTTTTTTTTAGATGGAGTTTCACTCTTGTTGCCCAGGCTGGAGTGCACCATCTCGGCTCACTGCAACCTCCGCCTCCCAGGTTCAAGCAATTCTCCTGCCTCAGTCTCCTGAGTAGCTGGGATTACAGGCATGTACCACCACGTCCAGCTAATTTTGTATTTTGGTAGAGGTGGGGCTTCTCCATGTTGGTCAGGCTGGTCTCGAACTCCCAACCTCAGGTGACCCGCCCACCTTGGCCTCCCAAAGTGCTGGGATTACAGGCGTGAGCCACTGCGCCCAGCCACAGTTATATATAAAGACATATAGACACAGACACACACATACAGAGACACACATATATATATGTGTGTGATGTGTGTGTGTGTATATATATCTATATATACATGTCTACGTATATATGTCTCTCTATATGTATATACACACACACACACAGACAGGGGCAGTGGTCCAGTCCTCTATATGACAAGAACATCTGGTCAACCTACAGTGAAGACACACACCTTCCTTCTGCACTGTAATGACCCATTATATTTGGTTCTCCCTCACCGATAAGCCCCTCCAGACTTGAGACCACACTTTATTCATCTATTATCTTTAGTGCCTACTACTGTAGGAGCAGACATTTAGCAAGCACTCTTTTAAACTCCCAGTAAAGAACAGAAGCCACAGTTAAAAACCCTTAGCGTCAGTCAAAATAGGGATTAGTTATTTTGCTGTCTGCTGAGGGATGGCTTAAGTTCTGGTATAGAACTTAAGCACGTCACCTATGAACGTTAAGAACCTTACCACTTGAAAAGTGTGGCCCTCTGGTATGAGTCTTGGTCAACGCGCTCTGCACAGCCTGCTGGAAGTTTTTTCCTGGCGCCTGCTGTTGCGTATACATGGAATATATTGAACTTGCTGCCACGGTCTGGGGTTTTCTGAAGGGTGGAAGTAAGGTGTCTTTGGAAGGCTGGGGAGTAAAGGGCCGGACGGCAGCAGCAGGTGGACTTTCTTGCTTAGAACCTGGAGAAAGGGTCTGGTCTTGGCCAACCGAAGGTATGCTGGGAGATAGCAGCACTCTCGGCTGCTGCCCTGCTGGTTTTGGTTTAGTTCCCATGGACGGAACAACTGTTGACAACTGCTGAGAACTTCCGTCTGGCTTAATGTCTGAAGGTGGCTGATTAGTTTGTCCAAAATAAGGCAAATTAATCTGTTTTGGTTTTGTAGGAACAGGAGGTGGTACTTTAGCCACATTTTTATTTGCAACCTATAACACACACATAAAAAGCCAGTTAAAATACTATATAACTGGGTACACAGGATGTTCTAGATAACCTAATTTCACAAATGTAAATAT
Source organism: Homo sapiens (assembly GCF_000001405.40). Taxonomy (NCBI): domain Eukaryota; kingdom Metazoa; phylum Chordata; class Mammalia; order Primates; family Hominidae; genus Homo; species Homo sapiens. The sequence continues at coordinate 223,798,768 of NC_000001.11, forward strand.
ACACTATAAAAATATTAGCTCTGGCCGGGTGCAGGGGCTCACACCTGTAATCCCAGCACTTTGGGAGGCCAAAGCAGGCGGATCACGAGGTCAAGAGTTCGAGACCAGCCTGGCCAATATGGTGAAACCCCGTCTCTACTAAAAAAATACAAAAATCAGCCAGGCATGGTGGCGGGCGCCTGTAGTCCCAACTACTCAGGAGGCTGAGGCAGAAGAATCTCTTGAATCCAGGAGGTGGAGGTTGTAGTGAGCTAAGATTGCACCACTGCGTTCCAGCCTGGGCAACAGAACAAGACTCCATCTCGGAAAATATATCTATATAAGCTCATATTTTTTAATTGTTAATTAGCTTTTGTTTTGTTTTATGTACTTATTTATTTTTATATAGACAGGGTCTCGTTTTGTTGCCCAGGCTGGTCTCGAACTCCTAGTCTCAAGTGATCCTCCCACCTCAGCTTCCCAAAGTGCTGGGATTACAGGTGTGAGCCACCACACCTGGCTGTTAACTAGTTTTAAATTTCTGTATTTACTCACATTTAATAATGGTTTTCATTAATGCAATACAATCTCTTCCCTTTATGACTTCCTCCTTGTTTCCACTTCCTATCTGGGCAATTTTAATACATTTAAGTGCCCACTTGAAAACTTTTACTGTCATCTTTCATATTCAGATGGCATCAATAATGGGAAACCATTCTTGTTCACTGGAATTTCATGCAATCTAGACAACTGTAATAAAACACACCTAACTTGGAGCACTCACACATAACCTGGTTATCAAGGATTAAGACTGTAACAGTTACAGAAAATTCACCACACAAGCATTTTGTAACTTTGAAGAAATAAGATACTTGAACAATACAAATACAGTGTTCTTCGATGCACTTATACTTTTTAGAGAATCACATGAAATATGACCCAAAACAAGCATGTCAGCCATTCTCCCACCGGGTGTGAGAGCACAAACAGACTCACGCAAGAGAAATTAAAATAACAGAATGCTAATGTATTTTCTAATCTCCTAGGTACATCCTGTTTCTTCTGCTCTCCCTCACACAATACTTTATCCCTTCTAAAAACTGCATTATAGAATTACTATTAAATTTTAAAAACCAGGATATTTGTAGGTACCTGAGCATCCCGCAAGATATCTTCACTGCTCTGGTTCTTCCTCAGAGTACCAAAGGAAGGTGGGGCATTGGACTGGTCTACTGCATCAAACATTGAGAACGGACGCACTTTCTTCTCTTTCTCCCTCAGCGGAACCTCTCCATCATCAACTAAAGACAAAAAAATCACAATGACATTCAAACTGTTTAGAATAAAGTATCTCATTCACTCGTAAGTTTCTCTCCCCTAAATCTCCCTGAAAATCTGTGTCCACAAAGCACGTTCCTATTTTTTAATTAAACTAATAAAAGGATAACCCAAGCACTATAATGATCGTACCTGAGTTCTCCAGCTAAATTAAGGTGTTCTGGAAATAAATATTGTTAAATATTGTCCCTATTGTTAACACACTAGAAAATGATTTATCAGGCGGGTGCAGTGGCTCACGCCTGTAATCCAAGCACTTTGGGAAGTGGAAGCGGGTAGATCACTTGAGCCCAGGAGTCCAGTCTGGGCAACATGGTGAAACCCCATCTCTACAAAAAATACAGAAATTAGTCAGGCATGGTGGCATGCACCTGTAGTACCAGCTACTAGGGAGGCTGAGGTAGGAGAATCACTTGAGCCCAGGAGGTGGAGGCTGCACCAGTGAGCCATGAGCGCACCACTGCACTCCAGCCTGGATGACAAGAGTGAGATCCTGTCTTTAAAAAAAACAAAAAAAGGAAGAAAGAAAAGAGAAAATGGACTCTCTAAAAGAATACACAGCACCTTTCAGATGACCAAAATTTAATGTTCAAGAGTAGCACAAATAAATCTCACCTTGATCCAGAGCATTCCCAGTGCTTTGAGGTACAGAAGCAGAGCCTTGGCTTGGGAAAAGATCTGCATTTGAAGGACTCCAATCAGGGCCAACTGGATGGATTTTAGAGCCTAAAATACAGAAAAGCAGCTACAAATAACTCAGCATTCTAAAGAGATTTTTAATGATTTTTACTGCTAAGACTTTTAATCTCTAAAAACAGCTTTAAATTCCAGACTCACAACACCCCAATAAATTTACTTAGAAAATACTGTATTATATTTTATATTTCTAATTTAAGATTCTTCCACTTTACTCAGGCAATTTAAAATTAGTCACAGCAAGTCTGCTTGAACCAGCAAAGACACATTATTCTTCACTGTGTTAGAAAACATCACCATCACATCCAGAAAATACTTTCCAATTCAAGAGACCTAAGGGTCTAAGGTGTATTTTATAAATGATATTTTAAGTGATACATGCACAACACAAAAGTAAATATGTGGATCCTTAATCCAGGACTTCAACTGCACTCTTTCACAAATCAGTATATTCAGGTTTTTTTCTACACTGATACTTAAATTTCAAAAGCCACTGCTTTCATTTTTCCTTACAGAAACAAAGCAAATATAACTCTTTCCACAATAAAATCCAGACTGCATGGTACTATTGCTTCACAGTAGTAGTTATGGTAAAATAACAAATAATTTGAAAATCAGCTATTTTTTTGCATATGATAATTGTAAGAGAACAGAGACAATACTGGCTATTACTTCTTCTGTCCAGGGGTCTGAATGATAAGGTCATTAAAGGATGCTTTACCCCAATTTTTCTACAATTCTCCCCACACTTTTTCCTCCCATTACAAAACTATGGCTTGTACCTCTCCATGTATCTGAGAAGTACACAGAATGCAAAGATCACTAACACAAGGAGCCTCTGCTATTTTCACTTTTAATCTCCCAATATGTTTAATGTTATTCTAAAAATTATCAGCAAATTCTCACATGTAAGCAGATATGAATATTTAACACCACTCATCAACATAATAGATTCAGAACCTCACATCCTATACAGATGACACCACAAACACATATGTTTTTACCCAAAAAGAAAAGTTCTCAAGTTATTAATATCAAAATTTCCTTAGTAACAATAAGGAACTTTTTAAAACAATTTTCAGGTTTATAAAGATATTATATTTTATTTCATTTCCTGAATAGAATTGTATTATTTAGGGTTAAGAAAAATCATCCTTGTACAACCAGGGTATCAATTTTAATTTTTTAAACGTCTCATTACACCAGCAAAGAATATAAAAGGATTTTTAGAATTCAAACATGAATAATGAATACAAAGAGAGATTTTTTTTAAACTCAAACTTGGGAGAAAGAATAGTGGGGACAGGAAGAACTAGGCTGTGCAGGACTTTTTACCTTTAGTTTGTGAAGCAGCCCCAGATCTCATGTTGGGCAGTGTCTGTATTTTCATCGGCCCCTCTGAAGCCTGAATGACCAAGGAACCATCCGGCAGGGCTGGCTTCACCAGCAATTCAGGCCTTGAGGGCATCCGAGGCATAGTAGACGACTGGATATAGGGACCTACTGCAGCCACACGGCTTGGGGCTGACGCGGCTTGCTGGGGAAGATTTCCATCAGATGAAACCTTAGGAAAGAAGCACAGGTCCTTTAGTATTAAAAATCATCTCAGGTGATCAGACTTAGAAACTAAGATGTGACATTTTCTTACTTTTTAAAATGAGCAGTTTCAGAATCTAGCCATAGAGTCTACAAAAAACATTCCAAAATAAACACTCCCCAATGAACTCTCACCCACACTTTATTACAAGTATTAGAGACAAACAGAGCTACACAGGTAATAACATTAAAAAGTAAAAAAGCAGCGGATTGTCTTTTAAGGATCCATAAACAGCATCTGTTTTCTGAGGGCACACTGAGTAATGATTCTGAAGAAGATGCCTATGAGTAACCTCACTGGGCTGGTCATCTTTTTCCCTCCTCCCCAAAACCATTACAAAACGGCCCACTTACTGGTAGATTTTCTTTTTGCTGTAGAGCTGCCTTCTTCTTCCACAGCCGGTCCCTCAGCTCATTAACACGCTTATCCATGACTGCCACTTCTGAATTACGCTTATTCAAACACTCCCTCTGTTGTTGTAGCTTGGCATTCTGCTCTTGATTCAATTTGTTTCTTAGCTGAATAAAAGAGAGGGGAAAAAAGGTAGCCAAGGAGTAGGAAGAAAATGTCTCAAACAGTTAATCACATGGTTAACTATTATATAATTTCTAAAAATATGAGGTCCCTCCACCCCTCCACACTTCTCATCTCATGGTTTAAAATTAAGTGACACCTGTGCAAGACCACCAGCTGTGGTTATGAGGAATGTCTCAAATTTCCTGTCTAGGGTACTATAAAGTTTACTCTGGATTCTCTGGAGTTTGGGTTCCCCCCACAACCTGCCTTCTCTTTAAGGAAAGGCAACTGAAATCTAGCACCTCTTGCTACTTATATGAGCAACTCTGTTTCTGGAAAGGAGGTTGTACAGCTTTTGGCAAACAGCTACGGTCTACCTGCAGCTCCTTATAGAGGCGATCAAGCTCAGCCACTGCAGACTGATTGTCATGGTGGCTGTCGATCCTGCCGTTCTTGAGCATCTCTAGCTGCCTGGTCAGTTCTTCTACTTTTGACACAGCCAGGACGAGCTCCCTCTGTTTTTGCTGGAACAAATTATTCATCTGTTCAATTTCCTCCACTAGATGAGACAGAGAACAGCAACAACAGTTGAAAAGAAAAATAAGAATGGACTACTTCCCAGGCAACCGGGCTTTACAATGAACTTTCTAATAAACAGTAGAAAAATTTTTCAGAATGTCCTGGAAGCAACCGACTTCTTTTAGAAGCAAGTGAAATCAACAGAGACATCTCTAAATCTCTGTGCTTCAATATCAATGTATATTTATCAGAATTTGCATTAAAAATATTATTAAACTCCAAATTTTAGAAACAATAAAAATTTCTTTAGAACTTTCAATTTTATAACATTAGGTGGATCTATTAAACCACAAACATTCTGAATAAAATGGTATCGTAATAGATGGAGCTATTATATGAATAAAAATCCTTGCCTTCATCAAATTCTCAGTCAAAAAATATTAAGGGGAAAAAATGCTACATTTTCCAAAGGTATCTTAGAAATCCTGTATAAAACATTCAACAGCTGAATTCAATTCAGAGGAACCTGCAGCATCAAAACTGCAGTAAATTATATTTTTTCAAAAGATACCCTTTAAAGTTATCTACAGATCAACCATGGTGGCTTGCACCTGTAACCCCAGCTACTCAGGAGGCTGAGGTGGGAGGATCACTTGAGGCCACGGTTCAAAAGACCAGCCTGGGCAACACAGTAAGACCCTGTCTCAAAAAAACCAGACAAATAAATGTATAAAAAAGTAAATCTATGAGGAACAACTCACCAAGTTTCCCATTGCTTAGTCTCTTCTGTTCCACGTGGCCTTTAAGTGCTCTCACTTTTTTTAGCTTAGCTTCCTGATTCTCAGCTATTTCTTTTAGCCTTTTAAGTTTCTCCTGCTCAGCAACTTGTTGCTGTTGTCGCTGATCTTGTTGTTTCAAAAACTTTAAGCGCTGTTCCTAAAAATAAAAGTAATCATTAGGTATGTCATTTTAGGTAAGTACACCACTAAGCTCAAAATAGCCTAACTGCAACACTTAGATGTTGAGATTGAGGTACACTTGTAACCCTGGTCTGGTCTCACCTTCTTCCTAAACACTGCCATCAGAATCACACTGGAAGTCTGTTCAAAACAGATACTCCTGAGCCCACCCTAGAATCTTCTGGGGATAAGATCCAGGAATCAGTATTTTTAACCCAAGTGGTTCTTATGCAGCAAGGATGCAGCAATTCTTGAACTAGTTTTCATAAACTGTTGCAACAATTTTAAAAAGCAGCTCATGTAGAAATGGGAAGCATCATAAGAAACTATTTAAATGCACAAGATTTGGAGTACATTTAGATTCAAACCCAGCTCTACCACTTATTAGCTATGAGACCCTGAACAAATTGCATAACCTCACCAAGCATGCAAGTCTATGTTTCTTCATCTATAAAACAGGGATGATCAATAGTAACTACCAATGTTACTATAGTGAAGATTAAATGAAGTGTGAAATGTAAATGTCTTTGAATGATATTTTACATAGTATATACTCAATAAATGGTCACTGAAAAGAGCTAAAGAAATATTTAACACCTTTAGAAAGCTGCAATCATGGAATCTGAAATTGTTTCTTTCCCCTGCCCCAAGGTACTTTTGTTATAGCAGAAATTTTGTTTTTATTACATTAAAATTTTTAACTAAAACTGAGTAACAGAGCCACACAATTTATAATCACAGGTAAACTATTTCTTAGATTAGTATGCCTAGAACATATAAGTAACATGGAAAGAATCAAAACAAAAACCCTGGCTAAGGCAGAAGGATCACTTGAACCCAGGAATTCAAGTCCAGCCTGGGCAACACAGTGAGAACCCATCTCAAAAGAAAAAAAAACCCACAAGGACTTGTTTTTAAGTCCTTGAAGACTAAAAAGCTTAGAAATTTGTTCTTCAACAACCAATCTTTTTGACTATATATCCTTGCTACTCAATGTAATGTGCATCAGCATCACCTGGAAGCTTGTGAGAAATGCAGAAGCTCAAACCTCAACTCACCTACTGAATCAGAATATGCATTTTCAACACGATCCCCAGGTGATTCATATGTATCTTAAGGTTTGAGAAGCAATGATATGCATGATTTTGGAAAAACTGGGGTCTGGTATTACAAACAGAAATGGATGCACAGGAACCCTAGGAAGTATGACATGAAGTCCACACTGCCTTGAGAACTGCCTTGAAGAATTCCTGGCCATTATTTCAAAGCCCTATTGGGTAACTTTGCCCATGACAAACCAACAATTGTCTACCCCAGCTTCAGTGACCTGATAATCACTAAAGGACTGTTAGTTGTGGATCCTGGGTGTTTAGACCAGGGGTTGACAAACTATAGTCTGCAGGCCAAATCCAGCTTGCTATCTTGTTTTTGTAAGTAAAGTTTTATTGGGACACAACCACACCATCTGTTTACCTATTATCCATGACTGCTTATAACAGCAGACCTGAGTAGTTGCAACAGAGGCAGCAAAGTTTGCAAAGCCCAAAATATTTACTATGTAGCCCTTTACAGAGAAAGGTCTGTTGGCTTTTGGGTCAGATTGGAAGCCTATGGCTGGCAGGAGAAGCAGCAGTTCTGATGGTAATGGAGTGGCTTCTTATATTTTCCTTGTTCAAGGCCAGGACTAGGGTTAGTTTGTGGATAAAGAATGTTCCCCAAATAAAGGCAAGCAGCCCGTTATTGGTGCCAAGCTCCAGAAGGGGACAGTATTAGATTAATCTGATCCAAGATTAATCTATGGTATGGTTATACCATGTTAGAACTTTAATATTCCTCTTGCTGTGGCCCAGAGTAGTTCCTAGAAGCAAAGATGAAGGGCTCTTTCCACCTTTCCTGTCTGGCTGATACCCATCATAGCATGGTTAATCTTGATCAGAATCAGGAGTCAGAAAGATCTTGAACAATTAGGATGATACAAGGATTTCTACAAAATGCTATAGTAAGGACTCAAAGAGAGCACAAAGAGAGCACCAAACAGCAGGTGGCTTTTGGGTTGATAATGTTACCTCATATCTGTGAGGTAATTGGCTTAATGGGGGTAGAATGTAAATAGCCTTACACATATATTAACAATAGTGGCCTGTTAGCTCTTTTAAAAGAAGATACTACCAGCCGGGCACGGGGGTTCACGCCTGTAATCCCAACACTTTGGGAGGCCGAAGTGGGCGGATCACCTGAGGTCAGGAGTTTGAGACCAGCCTGGCCAACATGGTGAAACCCCATCTCTACAAAACATACAAAATTTAGCCAGGTGTGGTGGCGTCTGCCTGTAATCCCAGCTACTTGAGAGGCTGAGACAGGAGAATCACTTGAACTCAGGAGGCGGAGGTTGCAGTGAGCCAAGATCGTGCCACTGCACTCCAGCCTAGGCGACAGAGTGAGCATTCATCTCCAAAAAAAAAGGACGATACTACCTTAGTTGCCAGCAATTGTTGCTGGGCTTCAATCTGTTGCTGCTGGCGAGATGCCATTTCCTGAAGTTCAGCAAGAGTCAGATCCATCCTAGGACTATTAACCTACAAGTAAAAACACAAATAAACACAATCCCAGCTTACTATAAAACTACCACAGAGATTCCGCCCTCAAAGGTCTATGTAAAAGCTTCATATGAACCAACTATGACAAAATTATTTAGCGATTTTTCTTTCATAATATCAAGCAGACCATTAATTCTTATATTAATACTCACCACATTGACTTTTTAAGATGTAATGTAAAACACACTAATATACAATAATCTTTTATTTTAAGTTGCAAGTTTAAAATTAAATAGTTTCAACAGTCAGGGACATAAATGGAACAATTCAGAATTACCTTGTTCTGTAATTTATATTACAACAGAAGTGTTTGATCATATTAAACATGGTATTGAGGCACTGGCAGCAAACCTAGAATTTAGTCATTGGAATATCATTTAAAAATACTTTAGCACTAAAAAATTCAAGACACATTGAGTCATCAGAAACAAAGCAAGGACATCCACTCTCACAACATCTATTCAACATTGTCCTAGAGGTTCTAGCCAATGCAATAAAACAAGAAAGAGAAATAAACAGCATCCAGATTGGTAAAAAAGAAGTTCAACTGCCTTCACAGACAATATAATCATCTATGAAGAAAATGCTATGGAATCTACAAAAAAGCTACCAGATAAATAGGTTACATAGCAAGACTGCAGGATTAAAAAAAAAAAAATCAATATGCAAAAGTCAAGTGCATTTCAATATATTAGAAACAATTAGAAATTTAAAATTTTTAAATTTAAATACCATTTATAGTATCAAAAATATGAAATACTTAGGGATAAATTTAATAAATAGGTAAGATGTATATACTAAAATCTCAAAAACTGCTGAAAGAAAATGCAAATAAATGGAGAGTTACACCATGTTCATGAATTGGAAGCTCAATACTGTCAAGACAGCAATTATTCTCAAATTGATTCAACAAAATCTCAACTGAAACCCAAACAGGCATTTTTGTAAAAATTGATGTTGATTCTAAAATTCATATGGAAGTACAAAGCATCTAGAATAGCCAAAATAACTCTGAAAAGAATCAAGCTGGAAAACTTACACTACCTGACTTCAAGACTTATAAAAGTTCCAGTGACCAATGCATGTGGTATTGACGTCAAAATAGACAAGTAGATCAATCAAACAGAATAGAGAGTACAAAAATAGCCCCACATACATGAGGCAACTGATTTTAGACAAAGGTGCAAAAGCAACTGAGTGGAAAAAAGAATAATCTTTCCAATAAATACTGCTTATACAATTAGATATTCATATTACAAAGATAAACCTCAGGGCCGGGCACGGTGGCTCACGCCTGTAATCCCAGCACTTTGGGAGGCCGAGGTGGGTGGATCACCTGAGGTCAGTGGATCACCTGAGGTCAGGAGTTCGAGACCAGCCTGACCAATATGGTGAAACCCCATCTCTACTAAAAATATAAAAACTAGCTGGGCATGGTGGCAGGTGCCTATAATCCCAGCTACTCGGGAAGCTGAGGCAGGAGAATCACTTGAACCTAGGAGGTGGAGGTTGCAGTGAGCCGAGATCGCGCCACTGCACTCCAGCCTAGGCGACAGAGTGAGACTCTGTATCAAAAAAAAAAAAAAAAATGAACTTTGATTCTCACACCATATGCAAACATTAACTCAATAGGGATCATAGATTTAGAGGTAAAACTGCAAACTACAAAACTTCCAAAAGAAAACAAAGGAAAAAAAAATCTCTATGACCCTGGGTTGGGCAAAGAGTTCTTAGATACAACACTAAAAGTATGCTCCATTAAAAAAAAAAAAAAAAATTGGATCCAGACTATTAGAACTTTCAAACTCAGTGAGAGAGCAAAAAATTGGGCAAAAGATTTGAACAAATAATTTCACCAAAGAAGAGACACAGAGAGCAAATAAGCACATGAAAAGATGTCCAAAATCATTAGTCATTAGAGAAATACAAATTAAAACCACAATGCGATACCACTACACATATATTTTAATGGCTAAAATTAAAAAGACTGACCATACCAAACTTTGGCAAGGATGTGGAAACAGTAAAACTCTGGTGGGCATGTAAAATAATATGATCGCTTTGGAAACACTTTGCAGCTTTTTAAAAATATATATATAAAGATATAATATATCTCTTTAATAGAAACACAGTCTCACTTTGTTGCCCAGGCTAGCCTCAAACTTCTGGCTTCAAGTCATCCTCATGCCTCAGCCTCTAGTTGGTGGAGGAGAAGATACATTGTGTCCATATGCACTAAAACAACGGCTAAGATCATTTTTATCATCTGCATTTCATCTTTTCATCATTGTAAGATAATTATTAAATCAAAGAAAAGCTCAGGCACCATGGCTAACGTCCGTAATCCCAGCACTTTGGGAGGCAGAGGTGGGTGGATCACTTGAGGTCAGGAGTTCGAAACCAGCCTGGCCAACATGGTGAAACCCCGACTCTACTAAAAATACAAAAATTAGCTGGGTGTGGTCACAGGCACCTGTAATCCCAGCTACTCGGGAGGCTGAGGCAGGAGAATCGCTTGAACCCAGGAGGTGGAGGTTGCAGTGAGCCGAGATCACACCACTGCACTCCAGCCTGGGCAACAGAATGTGACTTCATCCCAGAAAACAATAAAATAAAATAAAAATAAAAATAAGTAAATCAAAGAAAAGAAAAAGAAGAATCTGAAGAAAGACACAGTAGGAGAAAATGGTACTTAAGATCATCTGAATTCTACTATAAATGTACTGATGATTGGAGAAAGGTAGTTTAGCTAATCCCTAATGGCACTAAAAATAGTGACCGCTGAAAAGAAATGTCTTCAAAATATACCAAAGATGCATGCTCAAATTCACATGCAATAGCGAGAGTATAAATATATAATTTTCCTTTTTTTTTTGAGACAGAGTGTCACTCTTGTTGCCCAGGCTGGAGTGCCATGGCGCGACCTAGGCTCACTGCAATCTCTGCCTCCCGGGTTCAAGAGATTCTCCTGCCTCAGCCTCCTGAGTAGCTGGGATTACAGACATGTACTACTACACCCGGCTAATTCTGTATTTTTAGTGGAGATGGGGTTTCTCCATGTTGGTCAGACTGGTTTTGAACTCCTGACCTCAGGTGAGTCACCCACCTCAGCCTCCCAAAGTGCTGGGATAACAGGCGTGAGCCACTGCACCCGGCCAATTTTGCATTTTTAATAAAGTGATGATTGCAACAAATAAAATCACCAAATAAGAAATACTTCCTCAAACTTGCTCAGCATTTATTTTGTCTGAATTTGTGTCACATTAAACATACAACTTCTTCCAATAGTCAGCCATATACAGATCATTAAAATTAATAGTTTCTATGAAACAAATTTAAAATAACCTTTAAAAAGCGGCCATCCTTAGCCCATTGAATAACAAAGTAATAATGAATAAGATTTAAAGTTAAAAAATATGTATCACTGTGGTATATACAGTATGGATAAAAACAACAACTTACACCGTTCTCCTTTCTTCGATATTCACCAGGAACTTTTACACCATTTCTTTTTAAACTTGGATCCTGAGATCTTGGTCCACTCACTAAGGACAAAATTCAAAAACTATGCATTAACACTAGAGTTGACAGATATTTTAAGAACCAGTTCATTTCTGAGTTCTGTCATTACTGTTTGATATTTTAAGTTGAATGTATTCTTAAAACAAAATATTTTCTAATAGCAATGGACTTAAGGTCTCATAACTCAGTGTGTTTTGCAAAATTAATTTCATGGAACAGTGAATACTCAGCACTACTAAATATCACATGCCACCTATTCATTAGGAAAGCTGTCTGATTCACATACCAAAGGAGGAAAAATTAACAAACGTAATGTACTTCTGACTATGAGTAATTCATACCATTTGCTTATAGTTGCTCTTCCTAGTCATCTATTTAGCTACTCAGTAGTTAAACCAAGAAAAACTTCACTGAAATAGTTGAAAATTACATCAATGCATCCTTGTACTCGCTAACAATATTTTTAACTTATTATGAGAAGAAAGCACTTAAAAAAAGGAACAAGTAGTATCTTAATTATTTGGTTTATTGCAAACATTTTGTGGTAATTTGTAAGTACTATGAGGTACTTCCACATTTATTTAAGCAAAATATTTGTTTAAGTTTGTGAAGGTACTATCCAGAAACACTATATATTCTGCTTTTTTGGCTAAAAAGAATTTTTAAAGCCAAAATACATGGGTCTTTCAGTACCACTTAATGTATCATAAAAGGAAACGTCTTAATTTAAACTAATACATTATAAGAAGCAAATAATACCAACAGAGAATTTTAAAAATATATTAAGCTCATACCTGTACTTCCCAGAAATTAAAAAAATTATCAAATTACCTCCCAAGAAACTTAAGTAAAATGTCTATTATAACTGTCAGGAATCTTAGCACAAATTCCCATTGCTAATAAACAAATAAATAAACATGTCTACTCAGAGCCAAGTATCACACTTGCACCTAATTCTAATATGATCAGCTTTTATTTTTAAAATGCAGCTCAATTATCTGGCAAAATAGCTCAGGTAATCTGCCACAATATTTCTGTAAGAAAAAAAAACTTCTATAATTTCAGAATAATTGCTTTCTTTGCTGTCTTAAAGAGAGAGCACTTAACTAGTTTCTCCTTTGTATCATCAGTTACCTAATTAAAGTAAGCAATAAGAGCCTTAAACATAATTTCATATACATTCAGGGTCACAGGTCCTAATTGAATTGGAAAAAGAATATGGTGACAGTCTCCTAATCCTTAATCGAGAGGTCTAGACCAAAAACAGTAAGTTAACACCTTAATAAAGGAGACTGAAAAACAATCCTTGTTTTATCCCAATTTCAACACTATGTGGCACTGGTGTTTTGTGACAACGTGAAAACAGCTCCTTTATCTTCAGATTATATTTCTCACATTACTGACACTGAAACTGCATATTGCACTATTGAGAGACTATTTAATAATTTATCCAGTACTATACAGCAAGATATTTGAACAGGTAGATGAATGGGTAAAATTCAACTAATTAGATGAGTGCATGTGATGTAAATAGAGAACAAAAAAAAAAATAAGATGCAAATGCCAATATAAAACTACAAAAAAAAAAAGAAAAAAGCCTACGGAAAAAAATACATGTTTACTTAAAATAAAATTACAGACACCAGTGATACTGAAAGGCAACCAGGTAGCTTGGCTGAGGTGATTCAGGTTCCACTCCTGGCTCTGCCTCTAGGTGTGTGGCCTCTGACAAGTCACTTAACCCCTAAGTATCAGCATTTCTCATCTGTAGGGTAGAAGGGGCCAAACTAAGTCAATTCTGCCCCTCAGCTAACCCGTACTATAAATTTAATCATTCCTAATGGTCAGGTACCATATAGACACTTGCGTTAATGCAACAGTTAGTTAATAAAACTGAACTTTTTTTTTGGAGACGGAGTCTCGCTCTGTCGCCCAGGCTGGAGTGCAAATGGTGTGATCTCGGCTCACTGCAACATCCGCCTCCCGGGTTCAAGCGATTCTTCCACTTCAGCCTCCCAAGTAGCTGGGATTACAGACGCCCAGCTAATTTTTGTTTTTTGTTGTTGTTGTTGTTGTTGTTTTCGTTTTTTCAGATGAGTCTTGCTGTGTCGCCAGGCTGCAGTGCGTGGTGCCATCTCGGCTCACTGCAACCGCCAACTCCCTGATTCAAGCGATTCTCCCGCCTCAGCCTCCCGAGTAGCTGGGATCACAGGCACATGCCACCATGCCCAGCTAATTTTTGTATTTTTAGTAGAGACAGGGTTTCACCATGTTGGCCAGGATGGTCTGTCTCGATCTCCTGACTTCGTGATCCTCCCGCCTCGTCCTCCCAAAGTGCTGGGATTACAGGCGTGAGCCACCATACCCGGCCTAATTTTTGTATTTTTAGTAGAGACAGAGTTTCGTCATGTTGGCCAGGCTGGTCTCAAACTCCTGATCTAAGGTGATCTACCCACCTCAGCCTCCCAAAGTGCTGGGATTACAGGCATGAGCCACCGCGCTCAGCCAAAACTGAGCTTTTGTAATGTCCAATAACCCTGCTCGTTCTCCCACATCCTACAAGACTGCTGGGTCACAGGGATGGCTGTGTCCCCAGTGTCTACTGCTGCTTCCCACCCACACTCTCTCTCCACCCTCCCCCTACAGTCATCTATAAACTCTGGTCACAATCCCTGGTCACTAACGATGTGACCAACTGACTCCCTTGTTCTCTCCACCTCCAAGTCCTGCCTTCATTCTGGATGACATTACCGCCCAAATGCTAGCCTCTCAGTTCTAGCTTTCTCGTCTCCACTCTAATTCAGCCTCATTTCAGGGCCCCACCTGGGACCACAACACTAGAAGCCCTCTACCTCCGAAATTTTCAATTCAAACCTTCTGTTTTTTGACCACTATTTCCTTTCAATCTCAGGCGTCTCACTCATTTCCTCTCACACCTGTTCTTTCATCTAACTGAGACTCACAGCCTCTTAACTCTGTCTACTCTTTCCCCACAGCCCCTCCTGTCTTCACTTCTTCCCCACCCAGCTAAGGTATCACCTTGCCAATACCCTCTTCTCCCCTGTCCCACTGAACTCCCATTGAATTTGTCTAGAAACCTTGGGTTTTCTAGACAATTGCCTAGAAAAATTTGTCTAGACACCTTTGTTTTCTTCTCTTCTTACAACCCACCTGGGCTGTAGACCACCACTGGAGAAAAATCATGTATGGTCTCATGGTCTCTAATCTCAACTGGCCTCAATGGTTCCCAGCAGTCTGGCTTCCCTAGTAAGCCCTCTCTCCTAATCTCCAAAACAGCTCCAGCTTCCCACCCACCTCCATCATCACTCCTACCTCAGAGAAAACAAATGTTTTTAGATGAGAAATCCCTCAACTTACTCCCACAAAATGCACAAATTTAGCCACATCTGCCACAGTTTTATTTCTGTCCTGTTATTATGGAAGAGGGATCCTTCCTCTTGTCTAAGAGGACTTTCTGCCTCAGGGCTGTGGAAGGACCTAATCAGGGACCCTGCCTAACAAGTATTTCCTTTCTTATAGTTTCAACCCCCTGCTCTAATGACTCCTTCCCACCTGCATTAAACAACTATAGTCAAACTTCTCCCCTCGACAGCCTATCTCCACTGTTTCCACTTCCTAACCTCTCCTTCACCTCTCAAATTACCTGGCTTCTCATCATGTGCCACCTACTACTCCCAGCACAAAATAAAAGCTTAAATATCTGTCACGATTCACAGAGCACTACCTACCAATGTCCCTGCCAGGGGGGCGTTCATGACGAAGGAAGAAGCGAACTTCGTTCCTCTGACTTCCAAATCGTTGAAGAACATCAAACATTCGCTCATTATCCGCAACTGGACGTTCTAAAGCAAATGAGTAGAAACCACATTATTTTCAGGTAAAAGAAAGATAAATATATCATTCACCATCTATCCTTCATGCAAATTATACATTATGGATACAACAAATGCTTAGTATCTCAGGTAAATTTTTTTCATTAAAACACGTCTTAGAAACTGAAGTCACACAGATTTTCCACACACACAGAGTCAAGCCAGGGTGGAATACTACAAAAGGCAATGCATCTCAGCCAGCTGTCAGGAGCTCAGCAGTCTAAATCCAGTGGGCTCCACGCTGGCCACAGGTGCACCATTTAACTTCTGTGGTTCCAAAAGTTTCTGTAAAATCTATATTAGATCACATAGTCCCTTCTAACACTAATATTCATGATTCTCCGAATATACAAAGAAAATATTAAAAAGCAACTTTCTAAATAGCCTAGTCTTTTTTTTTTAATTGTAGTTTTCAATACAGGCTATTTTTAAATTATAATTTTACAAACAATATTTAAAAAAATCAGACCCATCCATTTCCAAATAAAAGTCTATTTACTGCTGTAAAATGTATCTATATTTGCCCCTCTTCCAGTGAGAATACCAGTGTCAGAATTTTTCTGGAAACAAAAAGAAGGGCACACCTAAATACCTAGTAAAAATAGAAGCTTCAGGAGAAACAATATATCTCAAGCTGTCCTAAAAAAATCTTCCAATCTCAAGGGATCTGGATATAAAAACGAGACACACTGTTTGAGGAGGCAATTGCTTAAAATCAATGAAACTCCAGTAATGTCAACATGATTTTTAAATATAAGAATGTTGAAATACCCTAAGAAAACTCAACACATTTATCAGTAATCAAGGACACTATCTTAACACCTTAAATAAACATGGGCAGAGAACAGAGCAGGCAAGCATTCACCAGCCAATTTGGTGAACCAACCCTGAACTTAATCTGCTTGGCTGCAACAAAATGCAGTTCTGGTTCTACTTCCAGTAACATAACATACTGAGTTGACATAGATAATCCCCTTTTATAAACCACACATATTCTAAGACCTCCCCCAAAAAGGATACACCACAGTTAGAGAGAAACACCTCCAAAAGAAATTCTGAGTAGCCCTTCCACCCACCCCTACAAAATACACACACACATGCTGTACTCAAAACAAGTAAAATCTCCAGGTTCCAGGAGCAAAGAGAGAACTCAAAGGAAGTAAAGTAGCTTGCTGTCCACGCTGGACTGCCCCAGAAAGATATGGACTTCTCACAAGCTCTAGGCTAACATCCCGATGGCCCTGTGATGGCAAAAGATCAGGCATAGGCCTGCATAAGCTGAAACAGACACTTAAAGGCTCTCAAAGCTCCCTACTAACACTCATGTGCCAGCCACACCTACGGTCATGCACTGCATGTTGACAGTGGTCCCATAAGATTTTAAGGCCATATTTTTACTGTACCTTTTCCTATGTTTAGATACACAAATATGTACCACTGTGTTACAACTGCCTACAGTATTCAATACAGTAACATGCTGTACAGGTTTGTAGCCTAGGAGCAAAAGGCTGTATACCATATAGCCTAGGTGTGTAGTAGGCTATACCATCTAGATTTGTGTAAGTACGCTCTATGATGTTCACACAACAAAATCACCTAATGACAAATTTCTCGGCACGTATCACCATTATTGACACATGACTGTATCTCCTTGACAGGGCATTCCTGCCTATGTGACTCTGAACATGCCATTCCTATCATTCATCATCTCCCCCAGCACCCTTTTCTCCTGCAGATGAAATACATCTATTACTGCAACTATCACATTGTATTATAAATGTCTGTGGATACTTGTTTCTCTTTGTGCCCTGTAAGATACCTGAAGGCAACTTTCATCTCTGTATCCCTCTCAATCAAGTGCAGTCCCTAGCACATAACAGGCATCCGAGAAATATTCACTAAGCAAATACACGAGTGGGTAGTGAGGAAATGCAAAAGGAAACAAGACAGGAGAGGAGAAGAAAGGCTAAACACTTAGAGAATTAAATAATAGGGGAACACATTTACACCTCTGGAATAAGAATTTTTTTTTTAATAACACACTAATAGGCCTAAGATCCTGAATGGTTTTTAAATGCCTACAAATCAAGAGGGAAGGGAAAAAGCCAGAGTAAACATGAGCAAAGAATATAAAGAAACAATTTCAAAAACCAAAAAGCCAAATGGCCAATGAACAAATGAAAAAACAGGCAACCACATTTGAAATCAGAAATATGCAAATTTAAACAAAAGTCAGGTTTTCAGCTATCAGTTTAGTAAAAGTTAAAATATTATAACTTGATGAGGAATACATCTAGAAATAACTGGAAAGGGTATGAACTGATATAACCTTTGCAGAAGGAAATCTGACAATATATATTACATTTTCAAATGTGTGAACCTTTATGTTAATGTGGTTCATGATAGTAACCTTTTTACTACCTATGGGTATCCCATAACATCATGTTGTATACCTTAAATATACACATTAAAAAAAAAAAAAAATGTGTGGCCTGGCCAGGCACAGTGGCTCACACCTGTAATCCCAACACTTTGGAAGGCTGAGGCTGGAGGATCACTTAAGCCCAGGAGTTCAAGACCAGCCTAGGCAACATAGCAAAACCCCATCTTTACAAAAAATACAAAAATTAGCTGGGTGTGGTGGCACATTCCTATAGTCCCAACTACTCAGGAGGCTGAGGTGGGAGGATCACTTGAGCCTAGAAGGTCAAGGCTGCAGCAAGCCAAGACTGAATCACACTGCACTCCAGCCTGGGCGACACAGCAAGACCTTGTCTCAATAAAAAAATAAAATATTTCACATCAATTACTGCATGTGGAGGAGGGGGAGGGAAAGGAGGAGGGGGAGAGAAAGGATGAGGGGGAGGGAAAGGAGGAGGGGGAGGGAAAGGAGGAGGGGGAGGGAAAGGAGGAGGGGGAGGGAAAGGAGGAGGGGGAGGGAAAGGAGGAGGGGGAGGGAAAGGAGGAGGGGGAGGGAAAGGAGGAGGGGGAGGGAAAGGAGGAGGGGGAGGGAAAGAAAGAAGAAGAAAAACAAAATTTTTTTTGAAAATTTAAAAAATGTATGAACTTTTAACCAAAGAATTCCATTTTTGGCATCCACCCCCTAGAGAAATGCTTGCATAGGATCAGAAGAGGTTCCTAAAAGGATTTTTACTGCAGCACTTATTAAAACAAGATAATTTATTTAAATATTTGTAAATAAAGCAATTGTTAGCTCAACTATAGTTTATGCATACTGGGGGAAATTATGTGATAATTTAAAAATAATGTGGTGGCTCATGTCTGTAATCCCAGCACTTTGAGAGGCTGAGGCAGGCGGATCACTTGAGGTCAGGAGTTCAAAACCAGCCTGGCCAACATGGTGAAACTCCATCTCTACTAAAAATATAAAAATTAGCTGGGCGTGGTGGTGGGCGCCTGTAGTTCCAGCTACTCAGGGGGCTGAGGCAGCAGAATCACCTGAACATAGGAGGCAGAGATGGCAGTGAGCCGAGATGGTGCCACTGCACTCCAGCCTGGGCAACAGAGTGAGACTCAGTCTCAAAAAAAAAAAAAAAAAGATACAGATTTACACATACTAATCTGAAAAGAAAAGATCTACAAGCTATGTTGTAAGGTAAAATAGTAAACTGGAGAACACTGATATGTATGCTACTGTTTACATAAAGGAAAAATGGAGAAACAACACAAAAATATTTCTACAGTTACTTATAAATGCAGAGAAAAGGTCTGAGAATTATCTGGCTAAAATCATAAGTGATTACATCAAGAGATCAGGGGAATCGCTTAGGACAGAGACATCCATTCTGTTTATATTATTACCTTTTTTAAACACTAGAGGCTGATCGTGGTGGCTCACACCTGTAATCCAGCACTTTGGGAGGCCGAGGCAGGCGGATCACAAGGTCAGGAGATCGAGACCATCCTGGCCAACATGATGAAACTCTATCTCTACTAAAAATACAAAAAAAATTAGCTGGTGTGGTGGCGCGTGCCTGTAATCCCAACTACTCGGAAGGCTGAGGCACGAGAATCACTTGAACCCAGGAGGCGGAAGTTGCAGTGGGCCAAGATCGCACCACTGCACTTCAGCCTGGTGACAGAGCAAGACTCCATCTCAAAAAAAAAAAAAAAGAAAAGAAAAGAAAAAGAAAAAAATCTAGAACACATATCGGTGTTATCATTAAAAAAAAATTTTTTTTTTTTGAGACAGAATCTTGCTGTCACCCAGGCTGGAGTGGAGTGGAGTTGTGCGATCTCAGCTCATTGCAACCTCTGCCTCCTGAGTTCAAGGGATTCTCCTGCCTCAGCCTCCCCAGTAGCTGGGATTACAGGTGTCCACCATCATGCCTGGCTAATTTTTGTATTTTACTTTAGTAGAGGCGGGGTTTCACCATGTTGGCCAGGCTGGTCTCAAACTCCTAAACTCAGGTGATCAACCCTCCTTGGCCTCCCAAAGTGCTGGGATTATAGGCGTCAGCCACCGTGTCCGGCCAAAAATTTTTTAATTAAAAAGTTGTGCCAGATGCAGTGGCTCACACCTGTAATCCCAGCACTTTGGGAGGCCGAGGTGGCGGATCACCTGAGATAGGGAGTTCGAGACCAGCCTGACCAACATGGAGAAAGCCCGTCTCTACTAAAAATACAAAATTAGTTGGGCGTGGTGGCGTATGCCTGTAATCCCCAGCTACTCGGGAGGCTGAGGCAGGAGAATTGCTTGAACCCAGGAGGCGGAGGTTGCAGTGAGCCGAGATCGCGCCATTGCACTCCAGTCTGGGCAACAAGAGCGAAACTCTGTCTCAAAAAAAAAAAAAAAGTTGTAAGAAAGAAAATCCTTTACATGTCATCATCACATAGTAAAGGTTATTAAATTCAAGTGAGCAAGAGGAATAAGTGGGATCAAAAGTATCAAGGAACAGAGTACAGCCCTGGCAAAGATAGAACACTTCTTCCTCTATGAAAATGAGAAGAAAATGGAGACACACAGAGAGAATCTGAGGTAAAGAGTAAGAAAACTGAGGGGCCAGGCGCGGTGGCTCACACCTGTAATCCCAGCGCTTTGGGAGGCCGAGACGGGTGGATCACGAGGTCAGGAGATCGAGACCATCCTGGCTAACACGGTGAAACCCTGTCTCTACTAAAAATACAAAAAATTAGGCGGGCATGGGGGCGGGTGCCTGTAGTCCCAGCTACTCGGGAGGCTGAGGCAGGAGAATGGCGTGAACCTGGGAGGCAGAGCTTTCAGTGAGCCAAGATCGCGCCACTGCACTCCAGCCTGGGCGACAGAGTGAGACTCCATCTCAAAAAAAGAAAAAAGAAAACTGAGGAAGCACACAATGGATGGTTTCAATTATCTCAGTAAAGAATAAAGCAAGGTAATTTGCTAAATGCAAGGAGGTTACCAGGAGCAGCTAGAAGTTCATTTCCTCATTCTGCAAATATTTCTACAGCATCTACTAGGTACAAGGCACTCCCCTTGAGCTGGGGATACAGCAGTGAACAAGATAAACAAGGTCTCTACCCTTAAATAGTTTACATTCTAGTGCATATGTTTGGGGCTATCAGGATAAAAGGAGCAATAAACTAATAAACACACACAAAGAGTGACGGGCCTTCTGCAGAGGATTACATCAGGATGATGTAACTGAGAACTAACTTCATGGCTACTTTTGGCAGGGTGCTCAGGAAAAGCCTCTCCAGAAGGAGATTAACATTTTAGCTGCAATCCAGAAGGAACCAGCAATGACAGTATCTGGAGACAGAGCAATACAAACAGTGGGAATGGCTATCACCAATGACTCTAAGGTGGGAATGAGCTTAGCATATTCGAGAAATATTTTAAAAGCTGCAGGAAGAAGCAGAGAAGAAAATGGTACCAGATAAGAGCAAAGACAAAGAATCTACAGAACTTCACAACCTAATATTAAAAGTTTGGATTTTATTCTAAGTGGAGGAGAAGTCGCTAGTTTTAAGCAGGAAAGTGAAATTATCTAATTTTCATTTTCAAAAGATCCCTTGGGCTTCTTCATGTGATTGTTCTAATCTGGTTCCTATGTAAACAGAAAAGAAAGTAATTCGGAGACTGCAGAAGACCTTCTAGAACATCCAACTGTAGAAAAGTTAACCAAAGATGAATAAAAGGACTTGCCTGAAAAGAAGTGGGGGCTCAGCTGAAGTTAGCTATCATGAATGGCATGAACTCAATTAACACAGTGTGTGACTTGCTCTGGGGATATCTGGCATCCCCAGAGGTGAAAAAGGAAACCAGCAGGAGTTCATCCAGCCTGTGTAGGAACAAGGCAGAAATGATGAAAAATTACTCCCACATCTACCACCTCCTATGGAGCCAAAAAGAAACCAGGCTATCCCATTTTAGAGCTCCAAAGAACCATACAGAAGGATTGATTTCAAGGCTTACAATAATGCCCACGAGTTCACCACTGCTGTCTGCCACTACAGTTCCTCGACACTGAGTAGCTTCCTCTAAAAACCTACAGAAATTGAGAGAAGGCAAACCAGTTAGGATGCCTCAAATTTCTAATTAAGTAAAGCTTACACATACAAAGACACTGTTGAGCACCATCCACTGGACCACAACAGCCCAGATGACCTTTTGTATTTTATATTGTGGTGTCTCCATTTTATTGGAGAAAAAGAAAACCGAAAAAGACTTCATGTATCATACCAAAGCTGGATCAGGAACACTATTTCTGCCGGACGTGCTATTCTCCAGTTTCTCCCCGGAGAAACATGAGCATTCACACAGTGCCACGTCTACAAACCAACATTAATAGAAGACAGAAGAACTAAAGCACGAGGCTGTCAGCGTCTCTCACCAGAGCCACACCACACTTCAGCCAAATGGCAATCACTCTCGCCGGGTTCTTTGCACAGATCCACCACGTCTCTGCATATTGTTTCTGGAGTAACTGGAACTTCTGTGAAGTGCTGCTCATTGTTACTGAGATACACGGTAAGAAACATCTAAAAATTAAGAGAGAAACACATGGTTACTGGTACTGTCTGCCTAATGTGGTATTCACCTTAAATTCCTTTCTCCAAACAAAATCTCAGTTGGAAGTGCAAACGTACAACAGAACAGTCTGGCTGTCACCCGGCCAAAGGTGAGGTGTGGACTGGGGGTTGAGGGAGACCTGGAGCCCAGCCCCTACCATGGGGCAGTAGCTCTAGAACCCTTGGTGACCCTAGAATACAGTCACATCAGTTCAAATTAAATCTGTTTTTGCCAGTTTTATTCATGTTGTTTGCCAAATACTTATATATGCTGGACCCATACTACAAATATATCTTCCTGTCAATCCTGTAAAGGTTGATGCGACAACCTCATCCATATATACTTATTTATGCACAGTCTCTTTTTTGGAAGGACACGTAAGAATGTAACACGCTGCTTCTGAAGTGGAAGCAGGAGGGAACAGAGCTTGTGGGGCAGCTCTGTATAAACCTAATCTTTATATAATGTACATATATTACCTATTCAAAAAATTGTACTTTTTTTTTTTTTGGAGACAGAGTCTCACTCCATCTCCCAGGCTGGAGCACAGTGGCATGATCTCGGCTCACTGCAACATCCGCCTCCCGAGTTCAAGTGATTCTCCTGTCTCAGCCTCCCGAGTAGCTGGGATTACAGGCGCATGCCATATCACACCACACCACGCCATGCCACATCTGGCTAATTTTTGTATTTTTAGTAGAGACGGGGTTTCATTATGTTGGCCAGGCTGGTTTCAAACTCCTGACTTCAGGTGATCCACCCACCTCGGCCTCCCAAAGTGCTGGGATTACAGGCGTGAGCCACTGCGCCCGGCCAAAAAATTGTACTTCTAAAATGTTTTAAGCAAATTAAATACCTACTTTGAAGTACAAGATTTCATTAACAAAGTATAAGTAGAAATGAGTAGCTGTTATGTTAACACCTACCTGACCTTGTATATAAACACTGAGACCAACAGAAGGTTTACATTTAAAACTCACTAATAGGCTGGGTGTAGTGGCCTACACCTGTAATCCCAACACTTTGGGAGGCCAAGGCGGGAAGATCATGTGAGTCCAGGAGTTTAAGACCAGTCTGGGCAACGAAGCAACACTCCGTTTCTACCAAAAATTAAAAGAAAATCAGCCAGACATGGTGGCACATGCCTGTGGTCCCTGCTACTTGGAAGGCTGAGTGGGGAAGACTGCTTGAGTCCAGGAGGTCGCAGCTGTAGTGAGAAGTGACTGCACCACTGCACTCCAGCCTGGGTGAGACCCTGACTCAAAAAAAAAAAAACAACAAAAAAACCTAACAATCTTGACAATCTTTCTCCTAGTAAAAAAAGACACTGTATCTTAGAAACACTGCTACTAAAGAATTAAATTTTTCACACCTATTAAATTACAAAAAAAAAAATCTTGTTAATTTCCAATGCTGAAGAAACGAAGTGAAACAGGAAACAAGTTTTCGACAGTGATGCAAATTAGTAAGGCTCTATGTTTATTCAATTCAATGAGTAACTCCATGCAAGTCAGTATGTATCAGGATTAAAAAATAATAATTTGAAAGCGTTACCTCACAGTGAGAATACATCCTGTGAAAATAATTCCAATCAAAGAAAGAGAATGCATAACCTATGGAACATAAACTTGAGGGACAAGTTTAGTCTTTTAAAATCATTAATGAAACTATGCTAAGCACTGGGAAAAGTTTGGGTTTTAAGACTGCAAAAAAGCAGAATAAGTAGGATATACCCTATGACCACAATGACAGGAGGACATCACACAGCAATTGGAGGGCCTACCAACAGTCACACAACTCCCCTTCCAACTTAAATGTCTCTGCCCATTACCCCCAAGTGGAGAAAGCTGCATTAAGATGTTGCTTGGGAAAAGGCAGCACCGGATTAGGGATGATGATGGAAACTGGCTAAGACATCAGACTCGGTGCCTCAAGAATTGGTCAGAGAAAGAGGAGATATACATGAGAGAAAGAGCGGACCCTTGCACTCAAGCCAGTCCAAGCCTCCACATTCTGCAACCAAAGCTGTTAACTCACATGAACAGGTATAACAGAGGGTAATCCAGAAAAATTAAAATAGTGAACACTGTTGAAACAATTTTTTAATGGAAAAATAAAAAAACACTGTAGACTTTCCCAGTATGAGCTCAAAAGCTCTCAAGCTAATTATCTCAGGCTTTTCACATTTTGACTACATAAAGGTACACAGTTCTAGAGTTCAACTTAGCCAACAAGGCAGCACTCAAAATTATTACACAAAAATCATAAAGCCTTGACTAAATCATTGAAAAAATAAAACGATTAACAAAGCACAGAAGTACACTCGTCTGCTGCTCCCAAAGTATACAGCATATTCAGTGATGGAGACAAATAATGTACACTTTAGCATTAAATACTCCCTCTCCATACTCCCTACCGATGCAAAAACTTGCTTTGAAGTTTATCACTTTGAAAATAGTAACTTTTCATTGTAAATATGAAGCTTAGAGGTGTTAAGTTACAGAAATACTGGAAATACAGAGTATATGCTAAACACACACCTTATCAACAAATAAAAGCCTATTATGTAAGATAGCACCTTACCTCTGTAAACTTCATCTTTCAGACACATTATCTCAGAAACTTACATCAACTCTCAGATAAACAGCAGGTGTTATTTTCTCTTTATAAATGAAGAAAAAGACTCAGATAAGTGATCTATTTGCCTACTGAAATGAGAAAGGTACAATTCTGTTTTTCTGATCTATCCTCTATTCTTTAAGCTGTCCTTTATAGAAAGAAAATACTAGGAAATGCTCCATTTAACCACAGTTACCCACACTTTAACAGAGATCTGATCTTTTACTTTCTGGAAAACCAACAGCTTCATTTATTTAAAAGTACAATTAAAAATAAGAATGATGACAGATGTGTTCTATTTATGGTTACTTTTCCCACAGGTTTAACACTGGTATGAACAGTAAGTGTACGAGTTGACCCCGCTTCTACCTGTAATGTATGGAGATTAGCTCTGCGGTGATTTTAGTAATTGTACTGCAGTCCGCGATGCTGGGCCAGCAACACGCTATTTTTGTCGATTCCCAGGCAGGAGATCTAGTTCAAACTCCAGATTTCTTCATAATTAGTTAGACTACCTTAGGCAAGTAATGTCACCTCTCTGAAACTCAGCATCCTCATCTTCAAAATGAGTCTTTAAGTTCCCCAATAGCTACACGTTTACCTACGTAACAAACCTGCACATCCTGCACCTGTATCCCAGAACTTAAAATTAATTTTTAAAAAAAAAAGTTCCCTAAGAGCTACTATTTAGTAAATGTTTACTAGGTACCAGAGTAAAAGTCAACATTTTTACAGCAGCCTACAAGGTCTGCTGTAGTCATGATCTGGCCCCCATTTCCTTCTAATCCCCCCTCACTCTGTGCTCTATCAGCGTCCTCTTTGCTGTTCATCAAACACACCAGGCATGTTCCCAGGTGGGAGCCTCTGTACTTGCTGTTCCTCTATTTGGAATGCGCTTCTTTGTATGCCAGTGTAACTCTCCCTTCCTCATCTCCGTCACGCCTTTACTCAGATGTCACCCTCTCAGTGAAGCCTTACCTAGGAACCCTACCTAGAATTCCAACACCAAACACACACACACACACACACACACACACCCTAGCCCATTCTTCTGCTTTATTTCCCTCCTTAGCACAGTCACTAACATGTCATATGTTATATTTATTTAACTCATTTTTATTATCTGCCTTTCCTACTAGAAAGTAAGCTCCATACAGTCAAAGGTTTTGTCTTTGTTCAGTGTTGTAGACTCAGCGCCTAGAACTGTGCTTGGTGTGTAACAAGTACACACTAAGTATTAAATCCTGCAAATGTGATTGCATTTTACAGATGAAAACACTGAAGCACAGAGGGATTTAAGTAACTCACCCAGGTCACACAGCTATTAAGTGGCAAAACCAAGATTGAGCCCCTTCCTTGAGAGCATACAGGTAAAGACTCTCCTGAATCTGGACCACACGGTGCCAAGTGTGTCACTGCCTCTAGTTCTGTCTTTTAGAGCAACATTTTGCCCACAATCCATCATCTCACCTGATTTATTTTCACGGTCAGTTTTGTTTCAGGTACTGCTAAACGGTATGGCATGTAGCGTGTAGCACAGCTATATACTCTCAAATGAGAGAGTGTGTTGTCCACTCATATCTTCAGCTTACATCCTGCTACCATCATTCTACCTCTGTTTCAACATTATTTTCATTCATTCAGTATTTACAGATCATCTGCTATATGTCTCTGTTCTAATGTAAAAATAATCTTTACTAAACAGGTAATACTACAGACAGTACAAAATTCAAAGAGAGAGAAAGAAAGCTGTTAGAAGGACACAGCCAGCCCACAGGAAGGAAGTCAAAAAAATAAACACCACAACCTGGCTCCTTCCCTCTCATGTCCACCCACTACTCCCCACTGGACAAACCCAACTACCTACCAGATGGCAAGGGAAGCGGTTGATGCAGTTTAGAGAAGTCAACCTCCTAAGGCACAAAGCAGGGTGGAGGAAGGTGAAAAGTGAATGCAGAGAGGCAAAAAAAAGACACTCAGCACAGGAGCCCTCCTCTCCGTACTATGCAGTCAGAGGACTCTTGAGCAACCGAGCAACCATCTAAAGGAAGTGAGGACACAGCCCAGCTAAGGTCTGGGAGAAGAATGTGCCAACCAGAGGCAACACATTTAAAGCCCTTGAGAAGGAAACAAGTTTGTCACATTTGCACAAGAGGAAGGTCACTGCAGACGAAGCAAGAGGAAAGGGTTAATTCAAGGAGGCAAGCAAAAGCCAGATCATGCATGTCTTTATAGGCTGGAGGTTCCCAAACTTTGGTGTGGACAGAGGGTCGTTATTAAACACAGATTGCAGGGCTCCACCCCAAGAATTCCAAAATCAATAGATCTGGGTTGGAGACTGAAAATTCTGCATTTCTAACAAGCCCTCAGGTGATGTTGATACTGCCGGTCTAGAAACCACGTCCTGAGAACCATCGTCTAAGGCTAGGGCAAGGACTGTGGATTTTAATCTAAAAGCCCACTGGAGGCAAATCATTAAAGTCAGAAAGTAGATCACTGGGTGTCAGGAGCTGCGGGAAGGGGAAATGGGAAGTGACTGCTAATAGGTACAGGGCTACTTTTTGGGGTGATGAAAATATTCTGGAATTAGTGGTGATAGTTACACAACATTGTGAATACATTAAATACCACTGAATTACGTATTTCAAAATGATTAGTTTTATGGTATGTGAATTATATCTCAATTTTCAAAAGTAAGAGGTTACTGGAGGATTTTGAACGGGGTAGCTATTTATGCCCTTAAAAAAAATCACTATATGAACAAACTACAGGAGGACTGGCATGAAAGTCCAATTAAGAGGTAAATGCTACACACGGAATGAGATACGATGGTAGCACAGACTGCAAATTAATAGCAAAGGTGGTGAAAATGGCTGGATTTGGATTATTATTTGAAGATAGAGCCAGTAAGACTCGCTTGGTGGACAGAATGTGGGATTTGAAAGTAGAGAGAAATTAAGAGTGACTCTGGATCTGCTACCTAAGCACTAGGTACAAAGTGAGGAAGGAGGAACAGGTTGGGAAGGGCCCACAGAATGAGGCCTCTATGTTAAATATGAGACACCTATGGAACATTCAAACGGAGACATGAAGAGGCCGTCTAATATGCAAGTTTGACTGAGATGAGAAAGCAAGAGATGAGCATGCAGAGGCATTTAAAGCCTAAGCCTGGATGAGAGCAGCTAGGGCCAGCTAGAGACAGGAAAGAATGCTGAGGACTGTGTCCTAAGCTAACCAAGCAACCTCCAGAGGTCCCACGGAGGACAAGGATTCAGCAGAGAAGCCTGAGAAAGAGCCACCAAAAAAAGGAAGAAGTCCAGAAGAGTGCGGGACACCAGGAACCAAGCAAAGAAAGCGTGTGAGGGAGGAAGATGCAAAAGTGTACAATCAGATTTGGCAAGATGGAGGCTGCTGACTGCCTTGACCAGCACTGAGTCATGGGAATAAGGGCCTGGCTGGAACAGGCTAGAGAACCTGAGGGAAGGAAGCAGAGGCACAGTACAGACAACTAGTTCTTCCAGTGTGTTCTGCCCTAACCCAAGGCAGAGCAAATGGAGCCATCTAGGGAAGGGAGACACAGGGTAAAAGGAGTGTTTTGTTTTTATCTCAAGGTGAGAGTTTTTACAGACCATTTTAATTGATGGGAATGACCTAGTTGAGAGGGAAAATGGTGTTGACAGGAAACTAACTATAGATATAAGTATATCCTCAAGTTATAAAGGTTATTTTTTTCCAATATGTATCAATTCCCTTTTCCTTCCTTTACTTGGAAGAGGAAAAAAAAAATAAGAAAAATAATCAAAAGAGAGGCTGGTTTCACTAACCTATCATGTTAACATGAGAAAATGCAGGCAGGCACACATGTTCTTTTTATTGCTACCATCCTTTTATCTTTGTTTTACAAATTTACTGTATTACAAAAAGAATTATTCAAAAAGTAATTGAATTTTCTGTCTAATAAAAAAATGAATTCACTTCTGTTTCATTTTGGTGAAGCAGTTTTTATCAGCATGTTGAAAATTTTACTTAGAAAAGAAATTTTAGGCTACTCTATCAACTAAGTCCTTCAGAAAACAATTCTGGCCTAGAATCCACCATTTTTAAAGATAAAAAATAAAACTGTTAAATCTAAGAAGTTTCCTGCATCTGATACCAAAATATTTTTGAAGGCAATGAATAAAAAATGAAACATTTTTATTAAAAATATTTCAGTTACACATGTTTTGTTATAAAACAGTGCTCACTGTATCCTATTATGCATACACATCTACAGGCACAGAAAAAAGCCTGAAACTATATTCACCAAATTAACAGTAGTTATGCCCTGGTGGTGGGATGACTAAGTGAATTTTTAGGAACTTATCTACGTTTAAATTTTCTAGAATGTACCACGTGCACAATAAAATTGATTTTTTAAGCAATCAATGATGAAAATAACCACATACCATTCTTATTCATATACATTGTGCCTTCCCTGGATCCTTACCGTGAGATATGGAAGACAAATATCTGTTGAGACTGTTTTTCTTGGGTCACTATCTTGCCTCAAATTTAGTCAGGAATGATTAAAAACAAGCAATTAAGAAGCACATCTTAAAAGTCCACTATATTAGAATGGAATATTATTCAGCCATCAAAAGGAATGAGGTACTGATACACGCTACCGCACAGATAAACCTTGAAAATATTACGCTAAGTGATAGAAGCCAGACATGAAAGACCACATAGCATATAATTCCATTTATATGAAATGTCTAGAATATGCAAATGCATACAGACAAAAAGTTGATAACTGCCAAGAACTGAGGAAGGGGGAATAGGGAGTGACTGATAAAGGTATGGGGTTTCTTTCTCGGGTGATGAAAATGTTCTGTAATTAGTGGTGATAGCAGCACAACCTTGTGAATATACTAAAAACCACTGAATTGTACATTTTATATGGGTGAATTTTATGGTATGTGAATATATCACTTTAAAAAAAAAAGAGCCCACCGTATGCTTAGTATGTGAGAGATACAAAAATCTCAGGCCGGGCATGGTGGCTCACACCTATAATCCCAGCACTTTGGCAGGCAGAGGCAGGGGAATCACTTGAGCCCAGGAATTTGAGAGCAGACCATCCGGGGCAACATGGCAAAACCCTGTCTCTACAAAAAAACACAAAAAATTAGCCAAGCATGGTAGCGTATACCTATAGTCCAAGCTACCCAGGAAGCTGAGGTGGGAGGGTCACCTGAGTCCAGGAGATCACTGCATGCTAGTCTGGGTATCAGAGTGAGACCCTGTCTCAAAAGCTATATATATATTTTTATATGTTTAGTACTCTATTACATGAATGAGAATGTGGGTAAAATGGAAATTCAGAAATGAAAAAGATGATTATGAACTGAGGTAGACGAGGTTTCAACAAACAGGCACAAATTAATAGTAAGCATAAGGAAATAATGTTTTTAAATTATCTGTCATAACTTTACTTCCAAAATGCCTTCTCCTGACACTATATGTTCTTTAAATACCATATTCTCAAGAATGTAAGATGACTTCATTAGCTCCTTTCCCATAAGGAACCAAGCAAAATGGGGTTCCCTAGAGTTAAAGCCTCTGGGAAGCTGTTGTGAGAAATCCTACTATTCTCATTGAATCAAATTATAAATGTGTTCCTGCCAACTTTTGAGGTAAATTGTTTTCATCATAAAGAGTGCAGCAATAATCAGGTCAAAAAAAAAAAAAAACAGCTGTTACAGATTTACCCATACTACAAGGACAGCAAATTGCTGGGACATCTGAAAAGGCTCGTGACATCTTGCTTACTTGGTAACAGAGTACAGTTTTTCTTCCCCAGGTAGAAAAAGTGCATATTAGATCAGCCCTTCTTGGTGACCACATACACATTAAAATGTTAACTTCCTTTGAACTTAGAAATCAGGAACATCATTTTTTATAGCAGGAACACAAAGAGAAGACATTCATCAATAAACAATAAACTCTAAAGCATACTTAAGAGCAGAAGATATAAATGACAGATCCCACAAGACAATACAAATATGAAGACATGCAGGGAAATAAATATTAATTAAAACAATGAGGTACCACTTAACAGCTACAGGTTGAGTATCCCCTATCTGAAACGCTTGGGACCAGAAGTGTCTCGTATTTCAGAATTTTTTCGGATTTTAGAATATATGGATAAGCAGTTGAGCACCCCAATCCAAATATCCAAAATCCAAAATGCACCAATGTGCATTTCCTTTGAGCATCATGTAGGCACTCAGAAAGTTTTCAATTCTGGAGCATTTCAGATTTCAGATTTTTGGATTAAGGATGCTCAACCTGTAGTAAATTGTCTTCAATTAAAAGACAAGATCCAACATAGATGAGGTTGTACAAAAGTTATTTACTCAAAGATACGATGGTAGTACTATAAATTATTAAAAATCCTACTTAGAAAGTAAAATAAATCATGTATCAAAAGCCACAGAATTATGTATATCTCATGACCTTACTCCTGGGAATTTATCCTAAAAAAAAAAAAACTGAAATGAAGAAAAACTCTAAATGCCTGAAGATTTTCACTATAGTGTGAGGTCTATATATAGTAAGATGGAAAACTAAATATACAAAAACATGGAAAAGTCTTTAAACAGGGAAAAAGTTAAGTAAATTAAAATCATTTGCCAGAAGGACTATGTCCAGCCACCAACTCCTGTAAGTATAAATAGAGTGTTAGGAAAATGTTAAGAAAAAGTTATAAAACAGAACAATACTAAGTGTTTTTAACTTTAAAAATATATGTACCATCGGCCGGGCACAGTGGCTCACGCCTGTAATCCCAGAACTTTGGGAGGCCGAGGCAGGAGGATCACGAGGTCAGGAGATCAAGACCATCTTGGCTAACACGGTGAAACCCGTCTCTACTAAAAATACAAAAAAATTAGCCGGGCATGGTGGCGGGCGCCTGTAGTCCCAGCTACTCAGGAGGCTGGGGCAGGAGAATGGCATGAACCTGGGAGGCGGAGCTTGCAGTGAGCCGAGATCGCGCCACTGCACTCCAGCCTGGGAGAGAGAGTGAGACTCTTTCTCAAAAAGCAGGCAGGGTGGCTCCTGCCTGTAATCTCAGTATTTTGGGAGGCTGAGGCGGGAGGATCACTTCAGGCCAGGAGCTAGAGGCCAGCCTGGGCAACACAGTAAGACCCCATTTCCCCATTTATATTAAAAAAAAAAAAAAAAATAGCTCGGTGTGGTAGCATGTACCTGTAGTCCGTCCTAGCTACTGAAGAGGCCGAGGTGGGAGGATCACTTGACCCCAGGAATTCAAGGTTATAGTGAGCTATGATCATGCCACTACACTCCAGCTTGGGCGACAGAGCAAGACGCTGTCTCCCAAAAAAAAAAAAAAAAGTAAAAATATGTGTGTCTGTGTGTACACATGCACACACATATGTACCATCTAAAAAAAAAAAAAAATATATATATATATATATATATATATATATATATATACTGACCTGTATGAAATACACAGAAAATCAGCGACACCAGAGGCAAGTATAGCTATCACTTTTAAATTTTTAAAATCTCAACAGTAAAATATTTTTATAATAATGTATAATTTAAAAGTATAGTTAATACAAACTGGGATAAAAGAACATGAAAATATTTCATTAAAAATGGTAAATGTGATTACAACTTGTTTCTACCTCCTATAGTCATCTATCTCAAGAGAAGGAAAGTCGAAGGAAAGATAAAAAAAAAAAAAAAACACTGTGTTAAGTTGTGCCAGGCCACCTACAGGCACACTGCATAGTAATTCATGTCAGTCATATCTAGATGAAGATGTGCCCTTCCAAAAATTCAAAGTCACAGATAATTTTCATTTAAAAACAATGGGTCATAGATTTATTTTAAGAGTCCTGTGTTTATAGAGCATGTATGTACTGTAACTATGATGTTATGCTATCAACATAAGAATGACTCATTTTAAAGAGGAATTATTTCAGATCAAAATCTGAAAGACTTTTCTAAGAGGAAATACAAAAAAAAAACTGATTAGGGCATTTACAAGATGAGTCAGAGGCTAACATTTATTCATTTGATTCAGAAAATCATGTGAAGTTCTACAGAAAGAAGAAAGGAACCAAGAGTATAAGATGTTCCCTGTCACCAAAGGGAAATTACGCTCTACAACAGCACCTTCAGAGTTTTCATTTACAAAAACTCAAATCCTTCAAGTTTACCTAAGAGGAAGAAACAGAAAATTATGAAATGAACAATCTATAAAAAGAGTGACACAAATCCTCCCCAAATTTTGCAACTCACAAGAAATACCACAGGAATAGCCAGGCGATTATGCTTGTAGAGAGATTAGGGGAAAATCTGAATGGTTTCTGTGTTTCACAATTCCTCTGCAGAAAGATAAATGTAAAACTATTACTTCAGTTTCTATATTTTGTTGTACCCCTTATGGAGGCAGGCCCGAAAATATTTCTTGTAAGAGGAGAATGCCACTAGGCTTCCTATAACCCAGTCAAGCAAAAACACCTCTCCCAACACTGTGATACAGAGTGGGGATTAAATTAAGATATAACCAAAGTTTCTTTCAAACTCATACACAGCCATTTAGCCCAACTATGACTTCTAACACTGGGCGGGGTTTAGGAAGGAGATGCCGACCCTTCCAGTCCTCAAGAGTACTCTGCCTGTCTCTGCACAGACCTGGAGCTCTGCTCCAATGCTCACTCTGCCAGCTGAGTCTGCACACCAAGGGCACTCATGAGCTTGGCTCCCTAATTCAGACATGCTGCACCCTAGCTGTGAGCTAGGCTGCCAGTCTTCTGCAAGAAGTGTGCTGCTCCACTACCCCAGCTTGAGCTTGAGCTGTCCTTCCTCGTCTCCCCAATATCTGAGTAGGCAACCCACAGGGGTCTCTGTGGAACCTTCCTCAGGAGCCACAGGGACACTACATATTTGAGTCCTTTCCCTCAAAGAGACACTCTCTACCTCCCTGACGATGGGTCCCAACCTTATTAAAGTTATCAGAGAATCACTGCTTACAAAGGCCTATCATGATTTCTTAGCTGTTTCTCTAGAGTTTACTCTTGGAGCCATTAAACTGCTTTTAAAAATATTCACCAATTACCATAAGTTATGTATACCGATGTTCTATTAAGGCTCAATGATATTAAACCTACTTCTACACTAAGTGTACCACTTTATATGATGGCATATTTTTAACATTAACCCATCAGTTCCTATCAGTTACATCTGAGTTTATTTAAAGCAAAATCATAAAGTCATATTCAAAGGATTTTTTTTACTTCATAAACTATTCCTTTGCTCACTTACAGCAAGTTAGTAGAATTCAGAAATCAATAACGTGAAGTCTCAATATCAATTTGAACAATATTCTGTTAAAAATGTTAATCAGGCATGGACTATCCTGACCATCCATTCAATATCATCTGGAGCACACAATCATATTCTGAAATAGTCAACATTCTGGAAAAAAATGATAGAGCAAATATGAAGTAGTTACTTTAATTAAGGAAAAAATCATAAAGTAGCCTGCTGGTCATAGATGTCTGGTAAAAGAACCACTTCATATACATGAATAGGTAACAGGGACCTCTACATAGAAACCTATAGGAGTCATATCCTATCAAAGCCAGCCATGCCAAAGAAGCTCCTGGTTCTATGCCTTCCCCTCAATCCTAACTTCTTGCTGACTTCAACAAGAAGTTTCGTTCATTCACCCGTTAGTACTTACTAAATACCTATTAAGAAAGGACAGTTAAAGCAAAAGGAACACAGTGATGAAAAAGCTTGCCTTCTTTAGGGCAGAGAAGAGAGGCTGGTAGCACACAAATGAGCATGGTATATAAAGCGATATGATAAAGAATTATGGAAGTGATGAGGGGAGGATGGCTGATCATGATTAGGAAAGACACCTCAGGGTGAAGGGGACTTTTGAGCTGAGACTGAAGAAGCCACAGCCACTTGAAACATCTGAAGGAAGACATTTCATCAAAGGCCCAGAGGTGGTAATGAACTTGGACTATTCCATGACCAGAAAAAAACGCCACATCAGGAATACAGACTTATGCCAATGAGGGCAGGGAGAACAGGGGGTAGCTCAGGCAGGGCCTTGTAGGTCAAGAATAAGGAGTACGGACTTTATTGCAAGGGAAAAGTCACTAGAGTAGTGATTTACAACATGCAATTCTCAGACAAACAGCATAAGCATCACCTGGGAACTTGTCAGAAATATAAAGTTCCAGGCCCTGCTCCACATCTCCTGATTCAGAAACCCCAGAGGAGAGGCCCAGTACTCACACTTAAGTTTAAGAACCACTGCATTAGAGGGTTTTGAGCAGGGAAGTAACATGAAACTAGGTTTCTGAGTAATTTGCTGCAAATAATGTAGAGTATTAATTTCACTAGCAGATAACAACAGTGTGTATTAATCTATGTAGTATATATTAATTATAATACCAGTAGTTAACCCAACAACAATAGCAATACATTATGACACATATACACTGGTATTTATATTTGCATATTTTGAATTTCAGGGAATTCCATTTCAATTACAAGAAATATTAAGACCTAAAATTTATTTTAAATTATCTACTCCACAGTTATAGCCTCGAGTCACCAAATGAGGAATCTAAAATAGCCACTTTTCCTCACTTCTCTCCCCAGAGTAGCTCACCTGATTCCTACTCTGTCCTGTAGTGTCAATTCATCCCCATCCTTCCAGAATAACTCAAAGACCATAAAACTTCCTCCAATCCATCCATCCCTACCCACACACTCACCTCCAGCCAGAAGTAAATGTTCTCTTTGCTTCTCTGACAACCATTCACACTGTAGTTGTCTGTATCCCTGTCTTATCTGTCCTACTGGTCTATACATTCTTTAGTACACATGTTTTGGTTCTTAAATGCCTCCTCCCTGGTTTTCCTCCTCCTACATTATAACTCACTCCCCAAAAAACTCTGTCAGATCTCACACAAAGCAAATATGCAATACATGTTTGTTGGACTGAACTGAAACTGTGACGCAGGGATTCAAAGTTCCACGAAGAGGAGAAAGTTAACAGGCAACAAGAACATGACAAAGAGGATGTTCACATCCTGAAGCATCAAGAAATGTTTATCTATAAATGGTATTACTTCACAGTGAATGTTTTCAAAGCCAGACAATGTCTCAAAGAATTCTGCTTTAAGTAAAATTAAGAAACCTTTTCTCTTCTTTCAACTATGCCTGAAGCTGAATTTAGATAAGTTTCAAATTCTGAACGTATCCTCTAAAGCAACTCATCTTAGGTTACTCTGCTTCAATATCTGTCATAAACAATCAATGTATAAAGCAAAAGAACAAATACATTTAGTTAATTCCTCCCCGGCTCCAACTATTGATAAGTTTAGTGTTGGTGTGCTTCCTTCTAAACTGAGTCTTGTTTGCCAGGCATTCGTCTTATTTTATGTAAAGGTACTGTTACAGATTTCATTCTGTTTTTTACTTTTACTCACTAAGCACTACATTTTTAAGATCTATCCGTGATGATCTAACTACAACCGATCCATTGCTTCTAGTTATTTCCTTCCTACCTCCCACTTTGCTATGGAAGTAGAGGCAAGAACTACACTCACCAAAGAAAATCCAAAATAAGAATATTCATTCATCCATTAACTCAAACAATATTTATTAAATCCCTACAGTGTGCCAAACACTGTGCTAAGTGCTAGAAACACAAAGATGAAAAGGCATGCTCCATGTCCTCACAGAGCTTATGGAACAATGAAGAAGCACTGCAAACCACGAAAAGGGTGCAATGTTGAGAAATGAGAACTTCCTGGTGAAAGTACATTTAAAGCATTTGAAGTCCAGTGAGAACAGAAAAAAAAATCCCCTCCAAGCAGTGGAAGAAGGCTTAACATAAAAGAAGTACTATTAAGCTAAAACTGTAGGATGAATAAGACAAGCAGGAAGAGGACCATCTAGGGAGAGAAACACTGTGTATAAAGACACAGGAAACTGTGGCATGCCCTCACAACTATAGTCCTGGAACTGTTGAAGCACAGAGGTGGGACGCAAGGCAGGACAAAGAAGAGATGGGTCAATTCCCAACCCACAAGCCACGAATGTGCTGCAAAAACTTTCAATGCACAAAATTTGTTTTATACACATGCTGTTATGGCAAAGTCCGATGGAGCGGAGCACGTCATGGAGGGCAATATGCAAGAGTGGAGAGCAATATGCAACAGAGTACAACTTGCTGTGAGCAAGAGGAAACACAATTCCGAAGGAAGGCCGAATGAACCACGAGGTGACCGGATGCTCTTCTGCACAGCACAAGGCATTCCCACTACTGTGCCATAGCTGGTGCTATGTTTTAATAACTGACTTGGTGTTTTGAGTTTTTCAATCATTTCCATTATGCAGCTAAAAATTCTGAAATGGAAATGTATCAATGACACAAAAAGGCTGAAATCCACTGGGCTACACAATAAAGAAACTTTCTATCTCACTAAAGAGTTTATATATTTTATGCTGTAAGGAACAGAGGTCAGACTTGAAGAATTCTGGAGAGGGAAGAGACACATTGCTGTTTCAGAAAGACCACCAGGGAAGCAGTGTGTTAAATGGCCTGATGGGGCAGAGAACAGAAAAGGTAAGAAAATAGATAAGGAGAGCATTACAACAGTCCAGGCAGGAGAGGGGTGAGGCCAAACAGG
This sequence comes from Homo sapiens, assembly GCF_000001405.40. NCBI lineage: Eukaryota > Metazoa > Chordata > Mammalia > Primates > Hominidae > Homo > Homo sapiens. The sequence continues at coordinate 223,836,755 of NC_000001.11, forward strand.
TGCCCCAGGAAATGGAGAAGAGGGATCTGTGTGCCCTGGTGACTCAACAGCTCCAGGAGAAGACAGAAGAGAGGAAAAGCAGCAGGATGAAAGCCCAGGTCCGTGGCTACTAAAAGCAACAAGCAAAACCTACCAGAGAAAGATCCTATCTACCTTTAAAATAAATGCATTATCCAAAATAGATACCCCCCAAACTTTTCAGGAAATTAACAAAATTTTTGAAAATTACCTACATATCACAAACTAAGCAGTTATTATCTAGATTTTGTTGTGATGCAGAAAACACTGCCACAAAGAGACCGTTCTAGAATTAAAGTTAACTCAGACTTGATTTTCCTAGGTCACTCGCTACTTTGTGTCAGGAAAATGAAGATACTATTGTTTTAAAATTAAAAAAAAAAGGGGGGGGGCGGGGGGTCAAGGAACTTTTAGGTTGAAGCATCAGAAGCTTCCAGAGCACTCTGGTCATGTGGTCAAAAGTAAAGCTGTCCTAAAGCATTTTAAGACAGACTATGGCTTCCTTGAGAAACCTGATACACCCTACTCAGTTGAAAAGAAACATGGTGACAGAAGGCTTTTTCTCAAGCCTAAATTTAAACTGCTCTGTGTAGCTGTCAGAGCTCTGTGGTGATATAAAAAGTATGGTTTCTCTTTAGCCCCATAGGAAGGAGCTTGTGGATACAGGAGTGATCTTCCACCATTCCTGTCTGGTCTTACTTCCAACCCCGGGTAAGTGCTACTGTTTCTCCTCTCACCCCTGGGGCTTCTGAGGGTCACTAAAACAATTTATTAGAGCAAGTGACAAACTCTTGAGTGCCTTCACAACCAATTCTGTCAGCTGGGCCTTAGGTGTGGTAAAAAATAAAAAATAAATAAAATTAAAACCCTTTAATTTATTTTTGGCAGCTTTCTGTAGACTTTCCTACTCTTCCCACCTTGCCCAAGTCTTACACTCTGGCACCTCTAAGGTCCACTGTCCACACAGCAACAGAGTGAGCTTTCCTAATCAATCAGGTTGTCACTTTTGCTAACTAAACCTCTTCTGTGGCTCCCACGTCCCTTCCCATGCCACCTCCACCCTTCCCTCTGGCCCGCGAAAACCTATATGCTGACAGGTCTTTTGCTTCGGCTCTTGTCACTCTGCCCTCTGCCCACGAAGCCCTGCCCCGCCCCCGCCGCCCCTCTCCCCTTGCCCCAGCCTCCAGTGCTTCCTCCCGGCCTCTGCACCAGTCCCTAGGAATCGTGCCCACTTGAAATGCTCCACCTGCAAATCTTCACAGGACCAGCTCCTTCTTGTCATTCAGGTCTCAGCTGAAATGTCACTTCCTGACCATCCAATCTAAAGTAGCCATCGCAGTCACATTACCCTTCTTAAATCCCATTTAACTCTCATGTTTTTCTTTTTTGTTTATTTTCTCTCTCTCCCACCCAAATCTCCCATTAAGCACTATGAAAGAAAGCTAAGCTCCCTGAAAACTTCCTTTCCTGTCTCCATGGCATTTACAACAGTGCCTGGAATACAGAAGATGTTAACTAAATATTTGTTGAGCAGATGTTATCCCCAAAAGGCCATCCAAAAACAATTAAATGGTTAATGAGGGAGAATGAAAAGCAATGATTTAATGTGATTTCATTCAAAATCAGCCCCTAATCTATTTCCAACAAAGGTATCTGACTACATTGAATTACTGCTCCCTACTACACGGGCAGCCCTGAAGCTGCAAGTGGAGACACTCACTCCACTCCCATCTGGACACTTCAAAGTCACTGCTGCACCATTCGAGCAACTGGAAATGGCTGAATGTCACTGGTCATCTCACAGCAGACATTCTATGCGTCCCTGTCCTCCACTTCTCCCAACATGCCTATCCTACTCTGCTCCTTTCCTATTAGGGTGATCCAAAAGTAATTGTGGTTTTGCCATCAAAGGTGATGGTAAGAACCGCAATTACTTTTGCACCAACCTAATACATCATCAACTTCAAGCCGTATTTACAGATATCATCTCAGGAAAGACTACTCAACACCCCTCATACAAAAGCTAATTATCACACCCCTTCTCTTTCCCTGCAGATGTGGAAGATCTGAGATCTCTATGGTAATATTAGATAGAGGTGGGAAGAAATAGCTATTGAGATGTTTCCTTTGCCCAGGGGGAGGTAACCACCTCCACATCATTTGAAAGTTGATAAGAGAACTATCTGCCAATCTTCTCATCAGTATGGATTTAAATAAGGGACGATGTCTCCATTTTTTTCTTTTTTTTTTTTTTCCATTTTTCCTTTTCTACTTTAAAACTACAGTAAGGTTATGCTTTGAAAAGCAATTTTTGAAGTTACCATTAGCCAAAAGAACATCATTACCATTGTTTGTCCTGTCAAACATATAAAAATATTCTAACCCAAGCATTTGCCATCTTGAACAGAGTATGTGTTTGCAGGCAGACAGTTCGAATCTCATTTCTACTAGTGACCAGAAACAAATTACTTAAGCCCTTTGAGCTTCAAATTCCTTATCTGTTGAATGAGAGTGGGAAGATCAACTTCAGAGTGTAATAAGGGGATTAGACGGGATGACCAACCTAAATCACCAGGCACAGTGTGAGGCACAGAAAGGGGGCTCCTCTTCATCCCTGGGAGGGAAGTTAGAGTGAAGCTTCCACTCCCCCTGCTTTTACATATAAATTGTTCACTCCCCTGTGGAAGAACAGTAAATTGCCTTAATCATTTTTTATTACCACAAGTAGTTTAAACTGGTAATCTATAATAGTTTATTCATTATGGTTTTCTACCACTTTTCTATGCTTGTGCCTTAAGGAATTTTGGGTTGATATGTTTGAAATTTAAATAAAGTAGTATTAAGTTATAAATCTGTATCCAGAAAAACAACTGAAGTGAAAGTTCGGCCAACTGCGGTGGCTCACGCCTGTAATCCCAGCACTTTGGGAGGCAGATCACTTGAGGTCAGGAGCTCGAGACCAGCCTGGCCAACATGGTGAAACTCTGTCTCTACTAAAAATAGAAAAAAAAATTTAGCTGAGTGTGGTGGCGCACTCCTGTAATCCCAACTACTCGGGAGGCTGCTGCTAGAGAATCACTTGAGCCCAGGAGGCAGAGGTTGCAGTGAGCTGAGATGGCGCCACGCCACTGCACTCCAGCCTGGGTGATAGAGCAAGACTCTGTCTAAAAAAAAACAACAACAAGTGAAAGTTCAGTACTTACTGGTCCAATGAACATATTCATTGAAAATCTGGTTCGATTATCATCCAAATAAATAATTTGTTTTCGAGTATATTTTATGTAGAAAAAAAGTTTCTAAATCTGTAAAACTACTTTTCCTGCCCATTATCTACTGATGTTTAAAATTTGCATTTCTTTAATAAGACACATTTATTTTAGTAAGACGGTATGCAAAGTGTTTTAAGAAATCACTGACTACTTAAAACTTGATGCTCATAAAGGATCCCCGAATGACCAAACTTCTTGGCTTGCCCCAATAAGACATAGAATTTTAATGTCTCACCTACCACTGCAATATAACTATACATTTCATACATAGTCACATCATCTGTGTTTTCTTTTTTCAATTACATCTGATTAAACAGAATGTTCTGTTCAGTACCTAGCACACCATCAAAAACAAGTATTTAAATAATGTGTGGCTTAAGTGGCATGAGCTGAAAAGAACACTCTGGATTCCTAAACTCTTAATTCCTGTTCTTCTTATTCTGTGAGATCCTTGTGGAGAAAGCTGGTGAGAGGTATGGTATGCAGTTATCCCATTTAAGCTAAGGAGAGGCTAGATAACATGAGCTTCAAGAATACTCAGTGTTAACTTCAGAAAGACTTTTTAAAGAGTGCCATACACTATGGTAGATCACCAAAAGAGACAAAGGTCTACAGTATTCTTTAAAAGCTCCAGAAAAGAAAGTTTTGTTTTATTGTCTGCTGAGGCGGTGGGGATAAAGACGGAGGGAACACAGCTCTTCCTAGAAGCAGTGTATGCGAATAAATGACCCTCCATGTGTCTTCCAGATAAATACATTCTCCTTAATTGTTAAATATAAGCAGGTGTATGCTTGTGTAAATTTCTTTTAAAAAGTCTAAATCTGGTTTCTCTGAAACAGGTAAAAATACAGAAATTTTCAAACGTCTTTCAGCTTTTAAGAGCTGAAGTCACAAGGCAACAAAACTAACGCACATGAAATGTGAGATGCTCCTGGGTGCGGTGGCTCATGCCTGTAATCCCAGCACTTTGGGAGGCCGAGGCTAGTGGATCACGGGGTCAGGAGTTCAAGATCAGCCTGGCCAATACAGGGAAACCCTGTCTCTACTAAAAAATACAAAAATTAGCAGAGCGTGGCCTGTAATCCCAGCTACTCGGGAGGCTGAGGCACAGAACTGCTTTAACCCCAGGAGGCGGAGGCTGCAGTGAGCCGAGATCGCGCCACTGCACTCCAGCCTGGACTACAGAGTGGTGAGACTCCGTCTCAAGAAATAAATAAATAAATAAATAAAAGAAATATTTTGCACATTTCTAAAAATAGATTATTTGTTTAACAGCCTTTGATAACTGTAATTCTATAAAGATAGGAACCTCTCTTTAGGGACCTAATCTAAACTTTATTCTGGAATAAAGCCTGATCTAAGCTAATTTGCTACACTATTACTCAAGCAAAAAGAATTCTTTCAGACCATGATATAATCATACAAATAAAATGTTCCAAATACATAACTTGAAGTCATACAAATATAATGTTTCAAATACACAACTTGAAAGATTTTTAGTTTCAAAACACAATTTTGGTTGTGTTTTGTGCAAATCTGTGCAAATAAAACCAGACCTTTGTAAATAATAATACAAGTATTTAAGCAAAAGTTAAGCTACTGGTCTGTAGAGCTGCACACTTTGCAGTTATGCTCAGAAATATACAAATCCTACTGATCAGGTGGTCAAACTGCTAAAGGAGATACTGTAATATCCCATTTTTTTCCTAGACCCTCAAAATTAGAAGCTCAAATTTTATTCTGCAGCATCATGAAATAACTAGAAATAATTATGCCTCTGCAGCACTGAAAGATAAAATGCCATAAACTTAGGAATTAAACTATGATCACTTCAACTGAGCTTTTTAAAATAAGCCATTACTTTCTCTTTCTTTTTTTTTTTTTTTGAGACAGTCTCGCTCTGTCCCCCAGGCTAGAATGCAATGGCTCACTGCAACCTCCGCCTCAAGGGTTCAAGATTCGCGATCTCGGCTCACTGCAACCTCCGCCTCTAGGGTTCAAGATTCTCCTGCCTCAGCCTCCTGAGTAGCTGGGATTACAGGCACACGCCACCACGCCCAGCTAATTTTTGTATTTTTGGTAGAGATGGGGTTTCACCATGTTGGTCAGGCTGGTCTCAAACTCCTGACCTCGTGATCCACCCACCTCGGCCTCCCAAAGTGCTGGGATTACAGGCGTAGCCACCGTGCCCGGCCCAGCTATTATTTTCTTAAAACCATCTATATAAGGGCTATATGATGACATCGGTTTGACTGCATTGTCATACAGTAGCCACCAGGCATGTGGCTATTTAAATATAATTAAAATTAACTCAGGTTCAGTTCTTCAGTTCCCTTGGCCACATTTGAAGTGCAGTAGCCACATGTGGCTGGTGACTGCCATGCTGGACAGCAAAGATACAGAGCATTTCCATTACAGCTGGACATTCATGCCAAATATACAGCATCTCCAATGACCAAGTGACAGGCAAATTCAAGCCTTCTGGTCTTCCAGGTGGCACTACCAAATACTGTGTAGTTTTGTAAATAATTTTTTAAAATTTATTATTTCAACAGCAGGTACAAACAAAAATTTTTATGAAACTATCAGCTGAAAAGAGCAGAGAGTAGCTTTTAGAGTTAGCCAAGCTCTTTCTTAAGAACACATTTTTGTTTTGAGCATAACACTTCACAAAATCAAAGTAGTGAATAAAAGATATCTAATGTAATTTTCAAACGACTAAGAATTTTTGCTTTTGGTAACTGCCTCCCTTTACATGAAAATCAAATACAACATGCGGATCACTAAAAAGCCAAACTCTCAAAGTGCAAATAATCTCTTCTTTCATCAGGAAAAAGATGTCAAGTATGAAAGTAAAACCAGTTTCTCCTCGGCAAGTTGTGGAAATATCATAGAACTAGAGATACTAACAATGGCAGGTATCTGAAAGTGAGAGTAATTATCAATCCCATTTCTGCAGTACCCTATCATTATCTCTACTGTGATTTGCAGAGCTTGCTACTTATTTTTAGTTAGCCTTCTAAAATACATCTTCCACTTTTGGTTTTGGATCCAATTATCACTTCATGTCCCACATAAAAGAAAACCACTTGATCCTGTACCATTTGGTGAGAAAACACATGAACACAATTTATTTGCACTTTTTTTTTTTTTTATGGAGTCACTCTTAGTTACCAGGCTGGAGTACAGTGGTGCCATCTCGGCTCACTGCAACCTCCACCTCCAGGGTTCAAGCAATTTTGCCTCAGCCTCCCGAGTAGCTGGGACTACAGGCGCACGCCACCACACCCAGCTAATTTTTGTATTTTTAGTAGAGACGAGGTTTCACCATGTTGGCCAGGAGGGTCTCAATCTCTTGACCTCGTGATCCGCCCGCCTCGACCTCCCAAAGTGCTGAGATTACAGGCATGAGCCACCGCTCCTGGCCTATTTGCACATTTTTAATATAATGCAGTCTAAATAGTAAACCATTATCTTCAGAATGCCTTTAAAAGCAAATCAAGGGTTGTACCTAATGCCACAGAACTGTACACTTAAATATAGTTAAAATGGCATATTTTATTTTATGTATATTTTACCACAATAAAAGTACATCAAGGCAATTGTCTACATTCTGAGACTATCCATTTTTTTACACTAAATGGCTTTTCCTGATAAATTGGTTAGAATTTTCCAAAGCAATGTAACAAAATTACATTTATGTTGGAATAAAAATCCAAGCATATGAAAAGCCAAAGATGAGAAATATACTTAATAAAAGTTTTATTTTCAAATATCCAAAATATTACAGTATAAAGACACATATAACATGAGTCTACTAAATGAAAAATTATTTCATATTTTTATATATCACAAATCTGAGAATCTCCACTTTAACCAACATTGGAAATTCAGAGGCGTTTATCTACCGCCTATTGCAAGCTAGACACTGTACTAATCACACTTCCTTCATAAACATAACTCTAATCCTCAAACCACCCTAAGAGCTGAGTACTATTATCCCCATTTTACAGATGATGAAACTGAGGGACAAGTTTTTTTTAAGTGGCTACGTCACTAAAGGTAGTAGCTGAGCAATACTGAAGTGTTAGTCTGACTTCAAAGCTGGTGTAAGTGCCATCATACCACACTGAGTCTGTGTTAGGATTGTATTCTGACATCAGAAAGGCAATCAGAAGAACCATACTGCTAAATTGAATATAGTCTCAAGAGCCACATAACGTTTTATGAATTCGGCTACACAACGGATACCTTGGTAGGGTATCTCCAAAGGATACCTTGACAAAAAACAAGGAAGAAACCATATAGCAACAACTGATACGTGTTTCTCTTGCTCCTACTGTTAGGAAAAATTCACAGACAATCCGTACAAGTTACTTCAACACAAAGAAATGTAAATCCAGGAAATAAAAATCTTAACAGCAAAATCCATCACCCTTATCTATGGTCCATTATTTCAATATTGGGTATTCACACTACAAACCTGATTTCATAACCAGGCATTAAACTAAAATAAGATGCATAATGCTATTAATACTTTCAAATTCCTTGAATCCTGGCAGGACAAAATATCCCAAACCCTCTAAACCCAATTACTAATTCTAGTGAATTGTTAAGTCGACCCAGTGAGAGTTTGGGACGCCCTCCATGACACAAGCAGGGGGCCAGGGAACAGCATATTATACTCTGTATGTATGACTGCAAACTTTGTCATCACTCCATTCCACAGACTTCATAAAAGTAAAAGCTTTTTGTTTCTTTGTCTGAACAAATGGAGCCACAAGCATAGGATGCCTGCAAGATGTCCCCACTTCAGTGGGAGAGGTGCAAATACAACTTCCACGAAGAAACTCGCTACTGAAGTCTGCAGAAGCCACCGCAACACACCGCAAACCTCCATTCCGCGATCGCTGAATGACAGAGACATTTCTGAAATGTCTCAAACCTGCTGTTCATCTGTGGCCTGGTGGCCGTGTCAAAAGCCTGCGGAGCTCCTAAAGAAGGCACTAATCCTCTCCGGAGGTCTTGCTAAAAGCTGTGGGAAACGAAGGGAGCCAGGCACGTACGCTTTCCTGCAATCTAAAACTTCCGAGATTGCATTTACCAAAACCCCTTTCCACAAAGAGGTAAGGGTGACTTAGCTGCTACTGTGGATATCAAGATCGAAATTCAATTAAAAACAAAGCAAAGGTACCCGTTCCAGTAACGTATGTTTCACTCCAGTAAAAAGTAAAAAGACACAGCAAAGAACAAGGTCCCCGGTTCCCGTATTCTTGACCTTCAAGAACTGCAAAAAAGTCAAGACCCAGTGAAAGACGAAAAGTTTGAGTGGCTGCTGGGCTCGCGGGCGGCTCGCCTGACTCCGGAGCAGCTGGAGGAACCCGCCTCGAGGTTAGGGTCTCGCCGCGCCCCCACGACGGCTGTGGGCGCAGAGCCCAGAGGATGGAGCCTCCCCTTCCTGAAACCCGCTCGAAGCTCGGAAAGCCCCGGCCCCTCCGCGCGGGCTGCGGCCCCCAGGCTCCTTCCCCGACGCGCCCGAGGGCGCGGACCAGCCCCCGGCACGCGACCCCGCACACTTCCGGGCCCGACGCCCTGGCCGCTCGCCCACTTACCGGCATCATCTTGGACCCGAACCGCATGGAAGCGGGTGGCCAGACTGCGGCCCCGGCCGAGCTGAGGTGCCCCGGAGGGTCGCGGATGCGGGGGAGGGGAGCGGAGAGCGAGGCCGCCCGGACCTGTTGCGAGGCGGCGGCGGCGGCAGCGGCGGCGCGCGGGTCCGAAGGGCCCTCCGCGCGGGCTGGGGCACCAACAAGCCCCGGGCTCCCCCGCCCCGGCCGGGCCCCCTGACGCGGCTTTGTCTCTTCGACGCTCGTGACGGTCGGGGCTCCCTCCTCCGCTCCGAAACCAACTAATCCCGGGTCGGGCCCCAGCCGAGCCCGTGCCGGCTCCGCCCCCCGCGCCGACCCCGCCCGCGGCGCGCCCGGCGGCCTGGGGGAGGGGCGGCCGCGGGAACGGGAGCTGCGCGCGCCTGCGCGGGCCCGGCTGGGTAGACGGGGAGCGGCGGGAGCCGGCCGCCTTTTCTTTCTTCGCCCCGGACTGAAGTGCGGTCGGGGCCGCGCGGCGGAGCGGCTGGAGCGCGCGCCTCCTAGCGGAGCCGGGGCAATTGGAAGGCCGCGCCTCAGGAAAACAGGATGGTAGTGAATGGCACCGAGCCGCCCCAGGGCTGCCGCCGTCACCTCCTCGGCGGCTCCGAGTCGTGCGAGGCAGGGGACCCTTTGCCTTCAGAACAGGGCGCCCGACGTTGGGCGCGTGGACAGAGTCCTCCGGCGGCCGCGCCGCTGGGCCAGGCGGAGAGAGGCGGACGGACTTCAGGGGAGGCCCGGGCCACGCCGCGGAAACTACCCGACTCCCTGGAGGCGGCCAGGACCGACCCTGTCCCGACAAAATGGAGTTCCCCGTGTGGCTTCAGCTCGCGGCGCGTTCCCAGAGCTCCTCAGTGATCCGGCTTTCGGATTGTTCGCCTTTCATCTCATTTGCCGTTGTCCAAATTCTAATTTAAAACTCATGTGTTACTTGCTGTAAGGTTAACAAACGTACACCGCAAACTGGATAAAGGGATAACTTTTATGTTGTGTATGTTTTACCACAATAAAAATAAATTTTGTAAAAATGTGTCAGGCAGCATTCTGAGGAGCTTCCCTGGGGGGTGCTGGGAACACCCTGCAAACAGCCTCCGATACGGGGAGCCGGTGGATACCATCCTTTTCCAGGGAGGGAGGCCAAGGCCTAGGGAAATGGCAGGGCTGCCTTCCAAAGAGTAGCAGAGCGGGTTCAGGCTTTTATTCCACCTTCCAGAGAGACACATACTGCGGGAACCCTAACTCCAGGAAGCTTTGTTCTAGTAAGTTGTCAGTGCAAGTTCACTCAGAATCACTTTTCTCTGCCTTTATACATGATTCTAGAACCTGAAGTGGGGTAAATCCCCTGGGTTTATCTAGTATCAAGAACAGACAATTCTTTCTTAGCCCACCATATCCCTTACCAGAATCTCCATCGAACTCCCTATTGCACCATCCCAGATACTGTATCTGGAAATACTAAATTACGGTTAATTCAACTAGAATTTAACGTTCTCGCCCGGGCGCAGTGGCTCACGCCTGTAATCCCAGCACTTTGGGAGGCCGAGGCGGGCAGATCACCTGAGGTCAGGAGTTCGAGACCAGCCTGGCCACGTGGTGAAACCCTTGTCTCTACTAAAAATATAAAAATTAGCCGGGCATGGTGGCGCATGCCTGTAATGCCAGCTACTCGGGAGGCTGAGGCAGGAGAATCTCTTGAACCTGGGAAGCGGAGGTTGCAATGAGCAGAGATCACCCCACTGCACTTCAGCCTGGGCAACGAGAGTGAAACTCCATCTGAAAAAAAAAAAAAGAATTTAACGTTCTCAAAAAATCTGGTTTATAGTCTTGTTTTCTTAAGAGGGTTATACTGAGTTAAGCAAAATAAATTCATCCCTCATTCAGTAAATATTTATTAAATACCTGCCACTTGGTAGATATTCTTCTAAGTCCTAGGGATACATCAATGAACAAAAAGTTCAAAAGACAAGTGTAGTTATTGTGAAAAAAATAGAATAAGGTAAGAGAAGGGGATAAGGTGTACAGGTGCAACTTTAAATATGGTGGTCAAGGTAAGCCTCACTGAAAAGGCGGTGTGTGAGCACAGTCTTGAAGGAAATGAGGGTGTGAACTCCACAAATATGAAGGAAGATTTCCAGGCAGAGGGAACAGCCAACGCTAAGGCCTGATATGGGAGCCTGCCTGGCAAATTCTGGGACCATCAAGGAGGCTAAGATAGCTGGAGCAGACGATGAGGGGAGAGTAGTAGGAGATGAGATGGAGTGATATGAAGGGCCAGACAAGGAGGGCCTTGTAGGCTATTCTAAGGACTTTACCTTTGCTCTGAGTGAAATGGGGAGTTATGGAAAGGTTTTGAACAGAAGAGTGATGTCAGCTGACATATTTTAAGAGCTGCTGTGGAAAACTGAAAGTCAACAGAGAACAGTAAGAAACTCTTGTGATAAGCCAAGCAAAAGATGGAAGTGGCTTGCTCAAAGGCGATAACAGCGTCTATGGCAAATAGTGGTCAGGTTTTGGATATATTTTCAAGTCCAAACCCACAGAATTTCCTGACAGATTAGATGTGGAATATGAGAGAAAGAAGCCCAAATTTTTGTCCCAAAAGATGGAAGTTGCCACAAACCAAAATGGAGAAGACCATGAGTGGACCAAGTTACAGAAAAGAGGAGATCAATTGGGAACATGTTAACTTTCAGAATCTTAATAATAAAAGAAACCCTAATACTGAAATTTAGCACGTTTGTGGGAAGCAATAATTCTTTTTTCTTTTAACTTTTAGGTTTGGGGCTACATATGCAGGTTTGTTACATAGGCAAACTCGTGTCACAGGGGTTTGTTGTACAGATTATTTCATCACCCAGGTATGAAGCCCAGTACCCAATAGTTATCTTTTCTGCTCCACTCCTTCCGCTCACCCTCCACCCTCAAGTAGGCCCTACTGTCTGTTGTTCCCTTCTTTGCATTCATGAGTTCTCATCATTTAGCTCCCTCTTCTAAGTGAGAACATGCAGTATTGGGTTTTCTGTTCCTACGTTAGCTTGCTAAGGATAATAGCCTCCACTTCCATTCATGTTCCCACAAAAGACATGATCTTGATATTTTTTATGGCTGCATAGTATTCCATGGTGTATATGTAGCACATTTTCTTTATCCAGTCTGTTATTGATGGATATTTAGGTTGACTCAATGTCTTTGCTATTGTGAATAGTGCTACAATGAACATTCACATGCATGTGTCTTTATGGTAGAATGATTTATATTCCTCTGGGTATGCACTCAATAACGGGATTCCTGGGTTGAATGGTAGTTCTGGGAAGCAACAATTCTTTTTGGTAAACTGCAGTTCATAAAGGGACTATTTTACACCAAAAAACCTACTTCATATTCCACTGGGGTTTTTTTTTATTTTTTTGCAGACAAAGAAGTCCCCAAAACAGCTGAAGATATTATGATCCACAGTCATCCAGGAAAAGAATTCTGGATATTGGTCACTAACCTTCCAGTTCTCACCAAAAAACCGTGTCTCATTACCACCCTAAAACTGGTTGTACACAATAGTAAATTATACTTAGTATGAGTGCTGGCAGCCCTAGCTTATTAATAAAATAATTACAATAGAAATGGAAGCAAGGAGAGAAGAATTGGAATAAGACAGTCCAGTTCTATTTCGTTACTGTCTGTTTACACAAATGCCCTGCCCAAGGGAAGGGAGGAGAAAAGGGACAGCAATTGGCAATATGTCCTGAAACTCACTTCTAGCCAATTGAGAATTCCCAGCTGCCAAATAGCAGGTATGTTGAGGACTTTTTTTTTTTTAATCATAGAAGCGTGAAACCAAAGAACCCTTGTCTGTGCTTTGGTTTCATTCTCTCAGATTCTGTACCACTCAAACATGGCTCTCAGAAGGGTTGTTTTCTACCAAGTTTCAATTTCTCTCCGCTCCCACCCTCACCTGCTTATTCTTTCAAGAGCCTCTGTTTGGTTCTCCCCACCCTATAATTCTCTACTCAACTCCAAGAAAGATAAGTCAAAATGCCACATTCTGAGCGGGGAGGAGCTATCTTCTCTTTTGGCTCTCACCCCACCCCTTGGCACAGTACAATTAATTATCTATTTGGTTTGAATTCAAATGTTTAAGTTCCCAACTTTCTCCCTGTGTTACTCGTTCTCATCTTCCACAGATGTCCCAAACTTTGAGTCCCTCTCTCCTCTCAGAAGATGAATTCCCATCTTACTCAGCCAATGAAACAGAGACTATTGAGATTGCACTCCTGCAATACCTATTCCCTTCACCTCCAACTCATCTGGGTTCTTCTCTACCCTCTCCCCACTCCTTTTGTTTATCTCTTTTACTAATACTCGTGTGGCTGTATTTTGCCAGGCCCTGTTCTAGACTTTAGAGGTAACAGAGAAGAGACTTGCCTTCATGGAGCTTATATTCTAGTTGGGAGGAGCTAGATAACAAACACATGAATAAGGTAATAATAAATGCTACGAAAAAAATAGCAACTAGGTAAATCTAAGAGAATAGCACCTGTTTTAGATAGGCTGGCCAGAGAAAGCCTCTGAGGAATGAGGGGAGGGAGGGAATCAGACTCTGGGCAGTGGGAACAGCAAGGACAAAGAGCTTGAGGCAGCCTTGTGCTTGGCATCTCAAAGACATGGCAAAAAGATCAGTGTGCCCAGGGCAGAGTGAACAAGGAGGGGAGTGGTAAGAGAGGTGGAAGATGTAGCCAGTGCCCAGGTCATGTAGAATCATTTAATATTCCACCAATTATCCTCCCTCTTGAAACCAGAGATACTCCATTTTTACAGTTTCCTTAACCTACGGATTTATTCAGTTATCTCCTACATTCCCCTCAAGTTAGCAGTAATCTGAAAGAAAAATGGGGCAGAAGCTTGTGTATCAAGCCTCTTTGCATCCATTTATACTTTTCCCTCTGCTTTAAAAACCTTCCCCTCCCTCCACCTTACCCTATATGGTAAACTTTTATTCGCCTTTCAAGTTCCTACCTAAATGCCTAAATGTCTTTTTTTTTTTTTAAGAAACAAGGTCTTACACTGTTACTGAGGTTGGAGTGCAGTGGCATGATTATAGCTCACTGTAACCTCAAACTGCTGAGATCAAGCCATCCTCCCACCTCAGCCTCCCAAGTAGCTGTGATTACAAGCATGCATCACCATGCCTGGCTAATTTTTAAATGTTTTGTAGAGATGGTGTCTCACTGTGTTGCCCAGGCTGGTCTAGAACTCCTGGCCTAAAGCAATCCTCCTGCCTCAGCCTCCCAAAGTGTTCGGCTTACAGGCATGAGCCACTACATTGGCTAAATGTCACTCTTAAGGCCATGTTTGATGTTTCTTACACAGAATTAATCAATATTTCATGTATATTCCATAGTACCATGTTGTGGTATTTACAACATGACAGAAAAAAACCACATCTGTCTCCCTAACTAGCTGCAAGGCAAAAACGATTTCTTACTCATTTATTTGTATATCTTTAGCCCTAACATTGTGCCTAGGGAATAATAGATACTCAATGGTATAGTACCTAATAAATGCTTACCATGCTGTCTTTTCTCTTTACTAGGTACAGGAATAGCGAGATTTTTGTTCTGATTCTTGCAATAGCCTTGGGCAAGTCTTCCCACAACTTCTCTTGCCTGCTGCAATTCATTCTCTACCCTAGAGCTTAGCAAACTACAGCCCAAATTTGGCCTTCTGCCTGTTTTTGTATTGCCTATGAGCAAAAATCATTTTTACATTTTTAAATTGTGAGGGGGAAAATCAAAACAAGATGAAGAATATTTTGTGACATGCAAAAACTATATGAAATTCAAATTTCAGTGTCCATAAATAAGGTTTTATTGGAACACAGACACACTTATTTATTTATGTATTGTCTAGTGCGGCTTTCAAGCTACAACAAGAGTTAAATAGTTGCAACAGAGCCTGTACAGCCAGCAAAGCCTAAAATATTTACTACCTGGAAATGTGCTGACTTTTGCTCTACCCAGCAGCAAGAATGGTCTTTTTAACACAAGTGTAATTATATCACTCCTGTGGTTAAAACTTCTCATCTAAGTAGATGGGGTATGGATGGGCCAGGACTAAAGGCTGAAGGGTGTTAGGGTCAGGTGATGAATAATACCCGGGAGTGATGAGTTACATTTTTCTCTCTTCTTCTGTATGCTCTAAATTTTAGATAATAAAATGACTTAAAAAAGAAAAGCCTTCAGTTGCTTTTTATTGCTGTTAGGATAAAGAATACTTCAACATGGCCTCTAAGCCTTCACATGGTCTATTTCATACCCACCCTCCAAGGTAGTTGGAGTAGGAAGAAAACCCAGCACACATATATCTCCTCATAATCATGACAAAAGATTCAAAATTGGTAACTTTGTAGGATAAACTCAGTGTTTGAAGACATATATCTATGATATATGACTCTAGCTTGATTTGGCTAAAGTAATTCCCTGTTTTATTGGTAGCCCGTGGAAAAAGGAGCCCATGATTTATTTTCTTCTATTGTCAGTTCTCTCTCCATTACCTCACCCCCTCCTCACTCATTTAGTCTGCCTTTCAGCCTCATCCCTCCTCTGAAACAGCTCTTGCCAAAGTCACCAATGGCCTGTGTTTCACTGATCCAATAAACATCTTCAGTCTCATCTTCCTCAACCTTCTAGAACAACTTAGCTGTTGCTCATTCCTTTCAAAACACCCTTTTCACTTGACTTATATGACAAGGCTCTTACAGTTTTTCTCCTACCTCCCTGATTACTTCTTGGTATCCTTTGAAGGCTCATTTTTGTTCACCAGACTTTACAAGTTGAAGGTCCTGTAGTCTCAGTCCTAGCCATTTCCTCTTTTCACTGACTACCTTCACTTCTTCCTTAGAAAGTTGTCTTCACAGTCTTAAACCTCATCGACACACATCTCTCTCTTTTTTTTTTTTTTTTTAAGAGGTGGACTCTTGCTTTGTTCCCAGGCTGGAGTGCAGTGGTGCTATCATAGTTCACTGCAGCCCCAAACTCCTGGAATCAAGCAAGACTTCTACCTCAGCCTCCTGAGTAGCTGGAACTACAGGTGCACACCATCATGTATGACTAAATTTAATTTTTTTCAACTTTTTAATTGTTATGTATTTATTTATTTTTTTTAGGTGGAATTTTGCTCTTGTTGCCCAGGCTGGAGTACAATGGCAAGATCTCGGCTCACTGCAACCTCTGCCTCCTCGGTTCAAGCAATTCTCCTGCCTCAGCCTCCCAAGTAACTGGGATTACAGGCATGCGCCACTATGCCAGGCTAATTTTGTATTTTTAGTAGAGATGGGGTTTCTCCATGCTTGTCAGGCTGGTCTCAAACTCCCGACCTCAGGTGATCTGCCCTCCTCGGCCTCCCAAAGTGCTGGGATTACAGGCGTGAGCCACTGTGCCCAGACTATTTTCATATTTTTTTTTATAGCTGCAGGATCTCACTTTGTTGTCTAAGCTGGTCTCAAATTCCTGGCCTCAAGCAATTCTTCTGGATTGACCTCTCAAAGTGCTGAGATTACAGGCATAAGCCACCATGCCTGGCTAATTTTTTATATTTTCAACCTAGGCTGCTTCTCTAGGTTCTAGAACTGCATTGTCAAATGCAAAAATCACTAGCCACATATAGCTGTTGGGCACTTGAAATGTGGCTAGTGCAACTGAGAAACTAAATCTTTTATTTTAGCTTAAATGTAAATAGCCACATGTGAGTAATGGCTAAAATACTCAGCAGTGTAGATACAGAACACTTCCATCATCACAGAAAGCTCTATTGAATAGTGCTGGATTTCCATATCAACATGTCTCAACTCAGCATGTCTAAAACCAAGGGGTAGTTTTTATTCCCAATTCTGGTTCTCATCTAGTACTTCCTGTCTCAGTGTATGCCACAAGTGTTCTCCCATTTTCTCAAGCCACAGACCTGAGAATCATGTTTGACCTTATTTCTCCCTCATCTCTAAGATCTATTCAATCATCAAGGTCTATTCATTCCGTCTCCTAAATATCTCATCAAGCTCCCTTTCTTCCGTGACTACAGCCATGCTATTCAAGCTACCATCATTTCTCGTAAATCTGATCACAAGATAGCACTGCTTGATGTCCTTCCTTAACTCTGCCTCCAAGCCCTTGAATGCCTGTCTCTGCCCATCCTTCAGTGGTACTAGGTACCACAGTCCTCTCCTTCTGTGAGACTCAGCCACACCACCTTTTTCAGTTTCCCTTTTGCCCTTCATGCTTCCTCTAGCACATGCTGTAGCATAGCTCCAAGGACCTCACCTTCACACCATGTGTCACCACTGTATTCACTGTATTCATTACACTGGTTTGTGTTATTCAATTAATGTCAGTCTCTCCCACAATACTGTAACCCACAGGTAGGGACTCTACTCATCCTTGTTTAGCATGGATTCTTCAGTACTTAAAACAGTGCTCAGTCCATAATAGTAGAATGAATAAATAAATTAATTAAAGAGTGACTAAATCAATGAATTATTCATTTGTCTGTAGCTTACATGATTCAAGTCAGTGTTTCCCAGTTCTATGGCCATAGATTATATCTGTCACCCCAAATAGCCATCTCATAAATGCCTACAAAAAGTTCTGATTGAATGAGAGTGAAAGGATCTATGGAATGTAAATCTCTTGCTGAAATACAGACCTAAAGTGCTCCCCTTCTGATGATTGGCCAATGGTGGTGTCTTTCATAAACAACTATATTTATGAGGCCGGGCGGTGGCTCGCACCTGTAATACCAGTACTTTGGGAGGCTGAGGCAGATGGATTACTTGAGGTTAGGAGTTCGAGACCAGCCTGGCCAACATGGTGAAACCCCGTATCTACTAAAAATACACTGGCCGGGCGCGGTGGCTCACTCCTGTAATCCCAGCACTTTGGGAGACCAAGGCGGGTGGATCACCTGAGATCAAGAGTTCAAGACAAGCGTGGCCAACGTGGCAAAACCTTGTCTCTACTAAAAATACAAAAATTAGCCGGGTGCGGTAGTGGCCGCCTATAATCCTAGCTACTCAGGAGGCTGAGGAAGGAGAATTGCTTGAACCCGGGAGGCAGAGGTTGCAGTGAGTGGAGATCGCACCATTGCACTCCAGTCTGGGCAACAGAGTGAGACTCTGTCTTAAAATAAATAAATAAAATACAAATACAAATACAAAAATTAGCTGGGCATGGTGGTGAGCACCTGTTAACTCAGCTACTTGGGTGGCTGAGACAGGAAAATCGCTTAAACCCAGAAGGTGGAGACTGCAGTGAGCCGAGATGGTGCCACTATACTCCAGCCTGGGCAACAGAGTGAGACTCTGTCTCAGAAAAAAAAAAAAAAAACTATATTTATAACTACCGTGTTACCATGAGCATTTGAAAAAAAAAAAAAAGAAAATCTATGTGATGAGACTTTAGAAAGAAAAATTAAGGCTTCTCTATTGACAAGCAAGAGAATTTTAGCCTGAAATACTGAAAACAGGCTTCCAAGTGCCAAGAACTCACAAAGGCCCATTGGCCACCAACGAAGTATGTCGCAGCTTCCATTCTCCCCCTTGCAAAGGGGCTTTATTCTACTGTAAGGAATGTACATGTATTTCTTCTTGGTCACCTCTTAAACACACAGTGTTAGATGAGAATGAACTGAATGAACTGCATCCTAACCATTTTTAAATCATTTTTAAACTTGGGATTTATTCAAGTATTTTTCAAGAATACCTATGAAAAGCACACTGATTTTACAGCTACGTGGCCTAAGTTCCTTTGAGGAAAGGACCAGTTCTTAAAGTTCTGGGCATTCCCTTTAGCCTAGCACACAATGTTTGACTCTCAATTACTAAATGAATGTAATTGTGTTGCTGCCACAAAAGTTTTTCTCTGAATAGCTAAAGATAAATAATTAGAAAAGGAAAAACTAGGCCGGGCATGGTGGCTCACGCCTGTAATCCAAGCACTTTGGGAGGCTGAGGTGGGCAGATTGCCTGAGGTCAGGAGTTCAAGACCAGTCTGGCCAACATGGTGAAACCCCGTCTCTACTAAAAAAAAAAAAAAAAAAAAAAAATTAGCCAGGCATGGTGGTGTGCGCCTGTAATCCCAACTATTCGGGAGGCTGAGGCAGGGTAATTGCTTGAATCAGGGAGGTGGAGGTGGCAGTGAGCCGAGATCACGCCACTGTATCCAGCCTGGGCGACAGAGTGAGACTCAACTCAAAAAAAAAAAAAAGGAGAGACAAGGAGAAACTAACTCGATGATTTTATATCATCATTTAAATCCCACTTATGAGGAATTCATAACTCACTTCTAATAACTGTTATGTATGACATTCAAGTTTCTTATTGACAGTTGAGAATATTTCACCCCACCTCTTATTGTCGCCCAATGTACATTAATTGAGACAGAGTAACTTTTTTTGTATTTTGTCAGGCAGCCCCTGAACCCCAGAACAGGTTCAGAGAGACTCCCAAGAGTAAAATTTGTAAAAGTCTTGGCCAAACTCAATTTTTATTGCTCTAGTTAAGGCCCAGAGGGAGCTTTTAAAAGGTCAGCAGAGAAGGTAAATTTAGGAGACTACAAAACTGAAAAAGGAGAGTAGTATCTGCTTAGAGAGAATTTTCACTTCGAACTGATGAGTCCTCAAACTGTAACCACTGAAGATTTTTTTCTCCTAAAGTAATTGTTTTCTGAAATCTATTTTCTTTCTTTTTTTATTTTTTGAGATCTGAAGTGGTTTTACCTTTATTTCCTTCACTTTAAGTCAATCATGAAATTTCACAGTGATTTCTGGAGTGGGAGCAGAAGGGAGGCGGCGTTAAGAATCACCGGGGCTGTGGCCCGGTCAGCCCGCGGAAGTGGAGGCCGTGTGGGCCCTCACTGGGGCAGCTGGAGGAGCACGGACTGCCCCGCCAGCAGATAGGTGATGTTCCAAGAGCGTGAGAGCAGGTACGCGATGTCTTCCACAGCTTCCTGCTCGATTAGACCGTCCCCCGCGGTGACCAGTGAGTTGACAATCAGCTCAGCTGCCTTGGAGTCGCCCTCAGCAGAGATGATGGCCACCTTTTTCTGCTGCTCAGCCTTTTCCACCACAAATCTCGCCCTCTCTACTTCCTGCTGAGCCACCTGTTTGGCTTCCATCGCTTCTGTGAACTCCTTCCCGAAGGTCAGATGTGTCAAGGACACGTCGTCCAGGATGAGCCCAAAGGTGGCTGCTCGCTCCGTAAGGTCATTGCTTACCTACCTGGAGACCAGCTCTCTCTGGGTGATTAGCTCTCCAGCATCAAAGCGAGTCATCGCTGACTTGAGGATGCCGGTCGTGATGGACAGCAGCACACGCTCATCATAGTCCTCTCCGATGCTGGTGAAGATGCGAGAAACTGGCTAGCAACGGCCCAGAAGAGGATGCGCAGTGTGATGTTGACATTCTGTAAGTCTTTGCTGCCGGCGATGACTGGCACTT
This sequence comes from Homo sapiens, assembly GCF_000001405.40. NCBI lineage: Eukaryota > Metazoa > Chordata > Mammalia > Primates > Hominidae > Homo > Homo sapiens. Next base: position 223,857,165 of record NC_000001.11, read on the forward strand.
TACGTGGTCGAGAACGGCAGTCAAAGATAATTGGTTTCTGTACCCAGGGGATGAGACAGTGAGTCCCTTCCCCTACCACAATGTCCTGTACTCCATGGAATCGGTCAAAGATGACAGCTCTGTGCCCAGCATCCACATTATATAAAGCAGAGTTCACCACGCCTCCTGCAACAGCTAAGGCCAGGCCAAACTTGCCGATGGACGCAAACACTTTGGCAGCCATGTTTTCTTCTGCTTGACCCTCTCACATCTGCTTCTACTCTGACCTCCACATGAATTCCCCAACCACACATACCCTGAAATCTATTTTCAAACATACATCACATTTACTACATCTAATAGAATAAATATGAACTTGAAAAAAGTAATCAAAGTATGCTTATACAAAAGAACCGACTATGGCAAATTCTCCCTGTCCATTTAAATACACATTTAGCCCAGCATGGTAGCATGCGCCTATAGTCCCAGCTACAAAAATAAATAAATAAACATGCTTTTCTTTACCCCTGAATATCAATTTACATTCAAGTTTTCAATTTAATTCAATAAACACGACTGAATGTCTATTATGATCCAGTCACTGTCTGGGGCACATTTATGTGAAATGAAGTACACATAAAATCGAAGGCATTTGGCCAGGCGTGGTGGCTCATGCCTGTAATCGCAGTACTTTGTGAAGCCACAGTGGGTGGATCACCTGAGGTCAGGAGTTCAAGACCAGCCTGGCCAACATAGTGAAACCCCATCTTACTAAAAATACAAAAATTAGCCATGTGTGGTGGTGCAAACCTGTAGTGTCAGCTACTTGGGAGGCTGAGGCAGGAGAATTGCTTGAACCTGGGAGGTGGAGGTTGCAGTGAGCCGAGATCGCCTGGGCGACAGGGCAAGACTCTGTCTCAAAAAAGAAAAAAAAAAGCATTATTTTAAGAACCCTATAGGTAGGAAATATTTTCATTGCCATATTCATGAAATTGGTACTTTTGTTCTCCTCATTTTATGAATGAGGAACTTGAGGCACACAGAGAAGTTAAGTAACTTGTCTGAAGCCTCCCAGTTGGTAAGTGGCAGAAGCTAGAAGCTAGGATTTGAACCTAGATGCTTTGAGCCCAGAGTCTACATTCTTAATCCCTGTACTATTGTCCCTTTACCACTGTTCTATTCTTCAATACTTCTATACTGAGTACGAGAGAAGGCAAGGGGCCAGCCAGTGGGGATACAAAGGTAAGTAATTCAAAGCACACGCAATCTAGCAGAGGAAAACGTACCTACGAGCACATGAGTGAAATCAAATGCACTGGTGCTCTGGCTGAAGTTCACACAAGGGATAGTCACCTTATCCCCTGACCCTCCCAGGATGAGACAGTCATGAAAGCCCTCACTGGGAGGAGGGCTGATTAACTGAGTCCAAAAGATGAGCTCACCATCTTTGGTTGGTTCGGTTAGTGTATTTTCTATTTCACTTATTCGAAGCCTTGATTTACTAGGAAAAATTTTTATTTCATTGAAACTAAGTTTTATTGTCTACTATATCCATAGCAATATGAAATATATGAATAAGGCATTGTCGATGCTCTAGAGGAGCTTATATACTCAGGAGAGGGGAAATGGAGGCAGAAAGAATAATAACTATGTCTACCATTTATAGCACAATTACTATATGTCAGGCATCATGCTCAGCCCTTTACGAATATTTCCTCATATTATCTTCATTAACCCTATAGGAAAGTACTATTATCTCTATTTTACAGATAAACTAAAGCTTAGAGATGTTAACTTACTGACTGATTGAATAGATAACTTTCTAAAAACCTGCTATGTATGTGCTGGGTACAATTCTAAACTTTAGGGATACTGTGGTGAAAAAGACAGATAAGTTCCTCCTGCCCTGCCCTGCTCTCTAGATGTTTTTATTCTTTTTGTTTTGTTTTGTTTTGTTTTGTTTTGTTTTTTGTAGACGGGCTCTCACTCCATCACCCAGGCTGGAGTGCAGTGGCATGATCACAGTTCACTGCAGCCTCGACCTCCCCTGGTTTATGTGATCCTCCCACCTCAACCTCCGGAGTAGCTGGGACTACAAGTGCATGGCACCGTGCCCAGCTAATATTTTGGTATTTTTTTGTAGAGATAAGATATGGCAACGTTGCCCAGGCGGGTCTCAAACTCCAGAGCTCAAGCTATCCGCCTACCTCAGCCTCCCCAAGTGCTAGGATTACAAGCGTGAGCCACTGTGCCCAGCTTAGAAGTTTTTATTCTAATTGGGGAAGAGAGATGATAAACAAGTAAATAAGATAAATGCTATGAAGACACTAAAATAAGATGGTGCAATAGTGACCGAGGTGGGGCATTTTAGAAATAATGGTGAGGAAAGTTCTATCCAAAGAGATGACATTTGAACAGAGATCCGAGAGACAAGAAGAAACTATCCTCAGAAGTCCTGGATGAAAAGGGTCTCAGGCAGAGAGACGAGCAAATGCAAAAACCTTGGAAGAGTGAGGTTGGCATGCTGGAGAGGCAGAAGAAAGGCCAGAATGGCTAGAGCAGAGGGCCTCACCCCAAATCACACAACTCATAAATAGCAGAGATGATTCAAATCTATGCCTGCCTAAGGTGAAAACCACTATGTAATATTGCCTAAAAAAACAAATAGAATGTTCTACACATTGTCATCACTGGGTGTGTTTTTAGGTTAACCTGAGCAATATCCAAAGGCAAGGGAACATATGGAACGAAAAGTCGAAAGAGAGGAAACTCTTGCAAACAGAAAGGCTTCCTCTAAAACAGGAGATACAAAGACAAATAAGGCATTGTATGCACCAGCTGTATCAAACCCCGCTTCATTAAACTCTGGTATTAATCTCCACCCATTATGCATCCTCAGTTCTTATCTTAGACTGAAATCCCTTGCAGGGGTGATGGAATGCAGCTTTGATACTTCAGATTAGAAATTCAGATAAGTGTAATCTAAAAATTTCTTCCTGCTTCTCCCAGGTGCCAGCCGAGAGCTATTCAGTCTGAAGGGTTCACTCTTCTGGTGGCTCCAAGAGAAGAGCCATCTGGGCAAGAAGGCAGCAGCCATCTGGGCAAGAAGTTCTGCAGGAGGTGGTGCAGAGCTGGCTAGTCAGGCTGTGATTAAACTGGTGTGTGAGTGGTAAGTTCAGACAGGAGCTGTTACTGAGATACTAATCATAAGGTAAGTGGCAGAGAACCAAACTGTGGGCAGAGCAGGTTCAAGTTGCTAAGCAAGCTGTCATAGACAAGGAGGGCAGAAAACCTTAGCGAAACATAACACCACAGATGAATCTAAGATAGACCCATTGTTCTGACACCGAGCTGGGTCAGATGAGCCCATTTTTACTCGAGTCAGCCTGGAGTAGCTCCAGGCTAACTGGGTAGCTCTGCTCCAAAGAAATCTCAATTCGTAATAAAAGATTGGGCCCCTCCCTGTATCCAGGCACACAGATTGTCATACTCTAGCTCAGCTGGGAGAGGAAGTTTAGCCCAATTTCCCTGCTGATAGTTGGCATTAAAGAAGGTGCTTTTCCAGAGTATGGTCTGTATTTTCTGCCTGCCTGATCTGTGGGTGGTAGGCAAAGGTGCACATCTACTCTGAGATCTATAAAGGCAGCTCTTCTGAAAAATGGGCTGAATTATCAACTGCATTCTTTCATGATGTGATTAGAAAAAAACCATGTGTAGTAGTAATAGGAACTACCTTTGATTTTTAAGTTCCATGACAGATCTTGGAAGTATACAACATATAATATCTTATTAAATCTCATAACAACCCTATGAAATTGATACTATTAATATTCCCAGTTTACAGATAAAGAAATTCGAACTTAGATAAGTAACTTTTACAAGGGGTACAAGTGAGAAATAGTAACAGGTCACTGTAATGCAAAAGCCTGTGTTCTTCATTTTTTAAGTCAACTTTATTGAGGTATAATTTACATACAAAGTAATGCACGTATCTTAAATGTATAGTTATTTGAGTTTTGCCAATGTATACACCCTTGCAAATACAAACAGATCAAGCTATATAACATTTCCTTCATCCTCATACCCCTTTGTATTAGTCTTCTCTACACTGGCAACCACAGATCTGCTTTCTGATGCCAGAGAGTAGTTTTCCATGTTCCAGAATGTCATATGAATAAAATAAAATAGTATGTACTCTTTCGTGTTGCTCTTCTTTTGTTCACCATAACGTTTTTGTTGTTGTTGTTGTATTTTGGGGGGAATTATAATTTGAAATTCCTGTACCCTACACAGATAAGTATCTGTTTCTCAAAGAGAGATTTCAATTTTCAGTCTCTCTCCCCATTTTTTTTTTTTTTTTTGAGATGGAGTTTCGCTCTTGTTGCCCAGGCTGGAGTGCAATGGCACAATCTCAGCTCACCACAACCTCCGCCTCCTGGGTTCAAGCCGTTCTCCTGCCTCAGCCTCCCGAGTAGCTGGAATTACAGGCATGCAACACAACGCCCGGCTAATTTTGTGTTTTCAGTAGAGATGGGGTTTTTCCATGTTGGCCAGGCTGGTCTCGAACTACTGACCTCAGGTGATCCACCCACCTCAGCCTCCCAAAGTGCTGGGATTACAGGCATGAGCCACCACACCTGACTTCAGTCTCATTTTTATATACATTTAAAAAGTCATATGAATAAGATCAAACCTTGCTTGTATTGTACAAAGCAGAATTGCCATCTGTTTACCTCTTACGGTGTTATATTTTTTAAGTGTGTAAGGGTTTTCCCAAGCTTTATTGAGGAATAGCTGACAAATACAATTATATATATTTTAGGTATACAACATGATGCTTTGATATACATATAAATGGTGAACTGATTACCATGATCAAGTTAGTTAACACACCCATTACCTCACATAATTACCATTTGTGTATGTGTGGTGAGAACATTTAAGACTTACTCTCTTAGCAAATTTCACTAGTCAGCATAACCTTTTGAGATTCATTCATGTTATTGCATATATCAGTAATTCATTTCTATTATTGCTAAATAACTTTCCACTATTTATATGTACCACGATTTTTGTACCCATTCACCTACAGAGAGATATTTGGGTTATTTCCTATTTCTCTGGCTATTGTGAATAAATAAACCTGCTATGAACATTTATGTACAAGCCTTTCTGTGAACACGTTTTCACTTTTTTTTTTTTTTGAGACAGGGTCTCAGTCTGTTGCCCAGGCTAGAGTGCAGTGGCATGATCTCAGCTCACTGCAACCTCCGCCTCCCGGGTTCAAGCTATTCTCCCACCTCAGCCTCCCCAGTAGCTGGGACTACAGGCACCCACCAGTGTGGGCCCAGCTAATTTTGTATTTTTTGGTAGAGTCAGGGGTTTCACCATGTTGGCCAGGCTGGTTTCAAACTCCTGACCTCAGGTGTTTGATCCACCCACCTTGGCCTCCCAAAGTGCTGGGAGCCACTGCACCCAACCTGTTTTCACTTTTCTTTGATACATATCTAGTAACAGAATTGGTGGGTGTATGTTTACCTTTATTTTAAAAATTGGCAGACTTTTCCAAGACGGTTGTACTGTTTCACATTCCCACCAGCAATGTACAAAAGAGTTCCGGTGCTCCACATATTTGAGAATACTTGATATTGTCTGATAACTTGTGATAAGCATCTTTTCATATGTTTATTGGCCATCTGTATTTTTTTGTGAAGTATCTGTTCAAGTGTAAGCCCATCTTTAATTGAATTATTTATTATTGAGTTGTAAGAATTTTTTTATAGATTCTGGGAAAATGTCCTTTAACAGACATGTGTATTGAGAACATTTTCTCCCAAAGGTGCATTGCTTTCATTTTCTTTTTTTTAATTATTTATTTTTCAATTTTTTAAATTTTACTCTAAGTTTTTGGATACATGTGCAGAACATGCAGGTTTGTTACATAGGTATACATTTGCCATGGTGGTTTCCTGCACCAATCAACCCGTCATCTAGGTTTTTTTTTTTAAGGTGCGCACTTTTATTCAACTGGTCTCAAGTCAGTGTACAGGTAAGCCCTGGCTGCCTCCACCCACTCCCAGGGAGACCGAAAGCCTTCATACATCTCAAGTTGAGGGACAAAAAAGGGGGCCACAAAGTCTGATCATTCAAAATAAAACAAAATAAAAAAGTGTTAAGGTGAAGATTTTTAAAAATTGGCATTACATAATTTACATGAGAGCAATGCTATCACCTCCTCTGTGTGGATGTGGGAGAGGACTGGGCCATTCTCCTTAGAGAGAAGTGGGGCGGCTTTTAGGAGGGCAAGGAACTTCCTGTAACAATGCATCTCATGATATTTGGAATGACTATTTTTTAAAAAAAGAACAACGTACAATCAATGTCCTCGGCCACATTGTAGAACTCTGGGGGATGCTCGCTCCAACAGACTGCTGTCACCTTCACCATTCCAGTTTTTAAATCCTGAGTCAAGCCAAAAAAAAAAAAAACAAAAACAAATAAAGCCATGCGAATCTCATATTGTTTTCTGCTCAAGTTAGGTTTTGACAAGAAAGGGTGTAATGTAACTAAGTCACAGTCCGCCTAGAAGCATTCGCAGTGGACAGTGGAGGGGCCAGACTTGTCATACTCCTCCTGCTTGCTGATCCATATCTGCTGGAAGGTGGACAGAGAGGCCAGGATAGAGGTGCCGATCCACACGGAGTACTTGCGCTCGGGAGGAGCAATGATCTTGATCTTCATCGTGCTGGGGGCCAGGGCGGTGATCTCCTTCTGCATCCTGTCCGCTATGCAGGCCAGAGTACACGGTGGTGCTGCCAGACAGCACTGTGTTGGAGTACAGGTCTTTGCAGATGTCCACGTCACACTTCGTGATGGAGTTGAAGGTAGTTTCATGGATGCCACATGATTACATGCCCAGGAAGGAAGGCTGGAAGAGTGCCTCAGAGCAGCAGAACTGCTTTGATGATGACCTGGCTATCAGGCAGCTTGTAGCTCTTCTCCAGGGAGGAGCTGGAGGCCCCCGTGGCCATCTCCTGCTCGAAGTCCAGGGCGATGTAACACGGCTTCTCCTTGATGTCATGCACGATTTCCTGCTCAGCCGTAGTGGTGAAGCTGTAGCCGCGCTCCGTGAGGATCTTCATGAGGTAGTCAGTTAGGTCCCGGCCAGCCAGGTCCAGACACAGGATGGCGTGGGGGAGGGCATACCCCCCGTAGAAGGGCACAGTGTGGGTGACCTCGTCACCAGAGTCCATCATGATGCCAGTGGTACGGCCAGAGGCGTACAGGGACAGCAGAGCCTGGATGGCCACGTACATGGCTGCCGTGTTAAAGGTCTCAAACATGATGTGGGTCATCTTCTCACGGTTGGCCTTGGGGTTCAGGGGGCCTTGGTCAGCAGCACGGGGTGCTGCTTGGGAGCCACACGCAGCTCATTGTGGAAGATGTGGTGCCAGATCTTCTCCATGTCGTCCCAGTTGGTGACGATGCCGTGCTCGATGGGGTACTTCAGGGTCAGGATGCCTCTCTTGCTCTGGGCCTCGTCACCCACATAGGAATCCTTCTGACCCATGCTCACCATCACGCCCTGGTGCCTGGGGCGCCCCACCATGGAAGGGAAGATGGCCCAGGGGTCATCATCCCCTGTGAAGCCAGCCTTGCACATGCCGGAGCTGTTGTCAATGACGAGCGCCGCGATATCATCATCCATGGTGAGCTGGCGGCGGGTGTGGACAGGCTGCAGAGCAGCGAGGGCAAGGCTCTGTGCTCACCTGGCAGACATGGTCTTGGCAGTCCATCATCTAGGTTTTAAGCCCCGCATGCATTAGGTATTTGTCCTAATGCTCTCCCTCTCCTTCACCCCCACCCTGGAAAGGCCTCAGTGTGTGATGTTCCCCTCTCTGTGTCCGTGTGTTCTCATTATTCAACTCCCACTTATGAGTGAGAACACACAGTGTTTAGTTTTCTGTTCCTGTGTTAGTTTGCTGAGAATGATGGTTTCCAGCTTCATCCATGTCCCTGCAAAGGACATGAACTCATTCTTTTTTAAGGCTGCATAGTATTCCATGGTGTATATGTGCCACATTTTCTTTCTCCAGTCTGTCATTGCTGGGCATTTGGGTTGGTTCCAAGTCTTTGCTTTAGTAAATAGTGCTGCAATAAACATACGTGTGCATGTGACTTTACAGTAGAATGTTATAACGCTTTGGGTACATACCCAGTAATGGGATTGCTGGGTCAAATGGTATTTCTGGTTCTAGATCCTTGAGGAATTGCCACACTGTCTTCCACAATGGTTGAACTAATTTACACTCCCACCAACAGTGTAAAAGCGTTCCTATTTCTCCACAGCCTTGCCAACATCTGTTGTTTCCTGACGTAGAATCGCCATTCTAACTGGCATGAGATGGTATCTCATTGTGGTTTTGACTGGCATTTCTCTAATGATCAGTGATGATGAGCTTTTTTTCATATGTTTGTTGGCTGCATAAATGTCTTCTTTTGAGAAGTGTCTGTTCATATTCTTCACCCACTTTTCAATGCAGTTTTTGTTTTTTTCTTGTAAATTTGTTTAAGTTCCTTGTAGATTCTGGATATTAGACCTTTGTCAGATGGGTAGATTGCAAAAATTTTCTCCCATTCTGTAGGTTGCCTGTTCACTCTGATGATAGTTTCTTTTGCTGTCCAGAGGCTCTTTAGTTCAATTAGATCCCATTTGTCAATTTTGGCTTTTGTTGCGATTGCTTTTGGTGTTTTAGTCATGAAGTCTTTGCCCGTGCCTATGTCCTGAATGGTATTGCCTAGGTTTTCTTCTAGAGTTTTTTATGGTTTCAGGTTTTACATTTAAGTCTTTAATCCATCTTGAGTTAATTTTTGTATAAGGTGTAAGGAAGGGGTCCAGTTTCTGTTTTCTGCATATGGCTAGCCAGTTTTCCCAGCACCATTTATGAAATAGCGAATCTTTTCCCCATTGCTTGTTTTTGTTAGGTTTATCAAACAGCAGATGGTTATAGATGTGTGGTGTTATTTCTGGGGTCTTGGTTCTGTTCCGTTAGTCCATATATCTGTTTTGGTACTAGTACCGTACTGTTTTGGTTACTGTAGCCTTGTAGTATAGTTTGAAGTCAGGTAGCATGATGCCTCCAGCTTTGTTCTTTTTGCTTAGGATTGTCTTGGCTATACGGGCTCTTTTTTTGTTCCATATGAAATTTAAAGTAGTTTCTTTTCTAATTCTGTGAAGAAAGTCAATGGTGGCTTGATGGGAACAGCATTGAATCTATAAATTACTTTGGGTAGTATGGCCATTTTCACAATATTGATTCTTCCTATCCATGAGCATGGAATTTTTTTTCCATTTGTTTTTGTCATCTCTTATTTCCTTGAGCAGTGGTTTGTAGTTCTCCTTGAAGAGGTCCTTCACATCCCTTGTAAGTTGTATTCCTAGGTATTTTATTCCTTTGTAGCAATTGTGAATGGGAATTCACTCATGATTTGGCTCTCTGCTTGTCTATTATTAGTGTATAGGAATGCTTGTGATTTTTGCACATTCATTTTGTATCCTAAGACTTTGCAGAAGTTGCTTATCAGCTTAAGTTTTTGGGCTCAGACAATGGGATTTCTAAATATACAATTATGCCATCTGCAAACAGAGACTATTTGACTTCCTTTCTTCCTATTTGAATACCCCTTATTTATTTATCTTGCCTGATGGCCCTGGCCAGAACTTCTAATACTATGCTGAATAGGTGTGGTGAGAGAGGGCATCCTTGTCTTGTGCCGGTTTTCAAAGGGAAAGCTTCCAGCTTTTGCCCACTCAGTATGATATTGGCTATGGGTTTGTTATAAATAGCTCTTATTATTTTGAGATATGTTCCATCGATACCTAGTTTATTGAGAGTTTTTTGCATGAAGGCATGTTGAATTTTATTGAAGGCCTTTTCTGCATCTATTGAGATAATCATGTGGTTTTTGTCATTGGTTCTGTTTAAGTGATGGATTACATTCATTGATTTGCATATGTTGAACCAGCCTTGCATCCCAGGGATGAAGCCGACTTGATCATGGTGGATAAGCTTTGGATGTGCTGCTGGATTTGGTTTGCCAGTATTTTATTGAGGATTTTTGCATTGATGTTCATCAGGGATATTGGCCTGAAATTTTGTGGAGTTTTTTTGGTGTGTCTGTGCCAGGTTTTGGTATCAGGATGATGCTGGCCTCATAAAGTGAATTAGGGAGGAGTCTTTCTTTTTCTATTGTTGGGAATAGTTTCAGAAGGAATGGTACCAGCTCCTCTTTGTACCTCTGGTAGAATTCGGCTATGAATCCTTCTGGTCCTGGGCTTTTTTTGGTTGGTAGGCTATTAATTTCTTTCTCAATTTCAGAACTTGTTATTGGTCTATTCAGGGATTCAACTTCTTCCTGGTTTAGTCTTGGGAGGGTGTATGTGTTCAGCAATTTATCTATTTCTTCTAGATTTTCTAGTTTATTTGCATAGAGGTGTTTATAGTATTCTCTGACGGTGGTTTGTATTTCTGTGGGATCAGTGGTGATATGCCCTTTATCATTTTTTATTGTGTCTATTTGATTCTTCTCTCTTTTCTTCTTTATTAGTGTAGCTAGCGGTCTATTTTGTTAATTTTTTCAAAAAACCAGCTCCTGGATTCATTGATTTTTTGAAGGGTTTTTCATGTCTCTATCTCCTTCAGTTCTGCTCTGATCTTAGTTATTTCTTGTCTCCTGCTAGCTTTTGAATTTGTTTGCTCTTGCTTCTCTAGTTCTTTTTTTTTTTTTTTTTAGACAAAGTATCACTCTGTCCCAGGCTGGAGTGCAATGGTGGGATCTCGGCTCACTGCAGCCTCCGCCTCCCAGGTTCAAGCTATTCTCCTGCCTCAGCCTCCCAAATAGCTGGGACTGCAGTCACCCGCCATCACGCCCAACTAATTTTTGTATTTTTAGTAGAGACGGGATTTCACCATGTTGGCCAGGCTGGCCTTGAACTCCTGACCTCGTGATCCACCCGCCTCAGCCTCCCAAAGTGCTGGGATTACAGGTGTGAGCCACCGCGCCTGGCCGCTTCTCTAGTTCTTTTAATTGTGATGTTAGGGTGTCAATTTCAGATCTTTCCAGCTTCCCAATGTGGGCATTTAGTGCTGTAAATTTCCCTCTAAATTCTGCTTTAGCTGTGTCCCAGAGATTCTGGTACATTGTCTCTTTGTTCTCATTGGTCTCAAAGAACTTCTTTATTTCTTCCTTCATTTCGTTATTTACCCAGAAGCCATTCAGGAGCAGGTTGTTCAATTTCCATGTAGTTGTGAGGTTTTGAGTGAGTTTCTTAATCCTAAATTCGAATTTGATTGCACTATGGTCTGACAGACTGCTATGATTTCCATTCTTTTGCATTTGCTGAGGAGTCTTTTACTTCCAAGTATGTGGCCAGTTTAAGAATAAGTGCCATGTGGCACTGAGAAGAATGTTTATTCTGTTGATTTGGGGTGGAGAGTTCTGTAGACATCTATTAGGTCCACAGCTGAGTTCAAGTCCTGAATATCCTTGTAATTTTCTGTCTCATTGATCTGTCTAATATTGACAGCGAGGTGTTAAAATCCCCCACTATTATTGTGTGGGAGCCTAAGTCTCTTTGTAGGTCTCTAAGAACTTGTTTTACAAATCTGGGTGCTCCTGTATTGGATGCATATATATTTAGGATGGTTAGCTCTTCTTGTTGCATTGATTCCTTTAACATTATGTGATGCCCTTCTTTGTCTTTTTTGATCTTTGTTGGTTTAACGTCTGTTTTATTAGAGACTAGGATTGCAACCTACTTGCAAGCAAAAAAAAAAAATGCTTTTTTTTGCTTTCCATTTGCTTGGTAAATATTCCTTCATCCCTTTTTTTTGAGCCTATGTGTGTCTTTGAACATAAGATGGGTCTCTTGAATATAGCACACTGGTGGGTCTTGACTTTTTATCCAATTTGCCAGTCTGTGTCTTTTAATTGGGGCATTTAGCCCATTTACATTTAAGGTCAATATTGTTATGTGTGAATTTGATGCTGTCATCATGATGCTAGCTGATTATTTTGCACATTAGTAGATGCAGTTCCTTCATAGTGTCAATAATCTTGTATTTCGGTGTGTTTTTGCAGTGGCTGTTACCAGTTTTTCCTTTCCATATTTAGTGCTTCCTTCAGGACCTCTTGTAAGGCAGGCCTGGTGGTGACAAAATCCCTCAGCATTTGCTTGTCTGGAAAGGGTTTTATTTCTCCTTTGCTTTTGAAGCTTAGTTTGGCTGGATATGAAATTCTGGGTTGAAAAATTCTTTTCTTTAAGAATGTTGAATTTTGGCCCCTACTCTCTTCTGGCTTGTAGGGTTTCTGCAGAGAGATCCGCTGTTAGTCTGATGGGCTTCCCTTTGTAGGTGACCCGACCTTTCTCTCTGGCTGCCCTTAACACTTTTTCCTTCATTTCAACCTTGGAGAATCTGATGATTATGTGCCTTGGGGTTGATCTTCTCGAGGAGTATCTTTAGTGGTGTTCTCTGTATTTCCTGAATTTGAATGTTGGCACATCTCACTAGGTTGGGGAAGTTCTCCTGGATAATATCACAATTGATTCCATTCTCCCTGTCGCTTTCAGGTACACCAATCAATCATAGGTTTGGTCTTTTCACATAGTACCATATTTCTTGAAGGCTTTGTTCATTCCTTTTCATTCTTTTTTCTCTAATCTTGTCTTAACACTTTTTTTCAGCATGGTGATCTTCAATCTCTGATATCCTTTCTTCCGCTTGATTGATTCAGCTATTGATACTTCTGTATGCTTCCTGAAGTTATTGTGCTGTGTTTTTCTTTTTTTTCGGCTCCATCAGGTCATTTATGTTCCTGTCTAAACTGGTTATTCTAGTTAGCAGTCCCTGTAACCTTTTATTAGGGTTCTTAGCTTCCTTGCATTGGGTTAGAACATGCTCCTTTAGCTCAGAGGAGTTTGTTATCACCCACCTTCTGAAGCCTGCCTCTGTCAGTTTGTCAATCTTATTCTCCATCCAGTTTTGTGTCCTTGCTGGAGAGGCATTCTGGTTTTTGGAATTTTCAGCATTTTTGCGCTGATTTTTCCTCATCTTCATGGATTTACCTACCTTCGATCTTTGAGGCTGATGACCTTTGGATGGGGCTTTTGGGTGGGTGTCCTTTTTGTTGATGTTGTTGTTGCTTTCTGTGTGTTAGCTTTTCTTCTAATAGTCAGGCCTCTCTTCTGCAGGTCTGCTGCAGTTTGCTGGAGGTCCACTCCAGACCCTGTTTGCCTGGATATCACCAGTGAAGGCTGCAGAACAGCAAAGATTGCTGCCTGCTCCTTCCTCTGGAAGCTTTGTCCCAGAGGGGCACCGGCCTGATGCCAGCCAGAGCTCTCCTGTATGAGGCGTCTGTTGACCCCTTTTGGGAGGTTTAATGTGTAGCTTCAGCATATCTTTAACTCTCTAGTCAGCATTGGGGTCAGGGGCCCACTTGAGGAGTCAGTCTGTCCCTTAGCAGAGCTGGTGTGCTATGCTGGGACAATCCCCCTTGTCAGGATCAGCTGCTGTCTTCAGAGCCAGCAGGCAGGAAAGATTAAGTCTGCTGAAGCTATGCCCACAGCAGCCCCTCCCCCCAGGTGCTCTGTCCCAGGGAGATGAGCATTTTATCTGTAAGCCCCTGACTAGGGCTGCTGCATTTCCTTCAGAGATGCCCTGCCCAGTGAGGAGAAATCTAGATAAGCACTCTGGCCACAGCCGCTTTGCCACACTGTGGTGAATTCCGCCCAGTCCATACCTCTCAGTCTCCTTAGCACTGTCAGGGGAGAACCGCCTACGAAAGCCTCAGTAATGGCAGATGCCCCTCCTCCCCCCAAGCTCAATCGTCCTAGATCGATCAGACTGCTGTGCTGGCAGCAAGAATTTCAAGCCAGTGGTTCTTAGCTTGCTGGGCTCTGTGGGAGTGGGACCTGCTGAGTGAAACCACTTGGCTCCCTGGCTTCAGCTCGCTTTCCAAGGGAATGAACGGTTCTGTCTCGCTGGGGTTCCAGGTGCTACTAGGGTACGAAAAAACTCCTGCAGCTAGCTGGGTGTCTGCCCAAACAGCCACTTAGTTTTGTGCTTGAAACTCAGGGCCCTGGTGGTGTAGGCTCACCAGGAAATCTCCTGATCTGCTGATTGCAAAATCCATGAGAAAAGTGTAGTACCCGGGCGGGTAGCACAGTCCCTCATGGCTTCCCCTGGCTGCGGGAGGGAGGTCCCCTGGCTTCTTGCACTTCCTGGGTAAAGCAATGCCTGCTTCTGCTTCTGCTCGTTCTCCATGGGTTGCACCCACTGCCTAACCAGTCCCAGTGAGATGAACTGGGTACCTCAGTTGGAAATGCAGAAATCACCCCCTTCTGCATTGGTCTCACTGGGAGCTGCAGACTGGAGTTGTTTCTGTTTGGCCTTCTTGGCCCCTCCCCTTCATTTTCTTAAGAGTGTCATTCAAAGAGGAAACATTCTAATTTTGATGAAGTTAAATTTATCATTTTTTTCTTTTATGTGTTGTGCTTTTTGCATCCTAAGAAATCTTGCTTAACCCAAGGTTTCATTTTCTCCCATGTTTGCTTCTAGCACTTTTATATTACAATTTTAGGTCCATGATCCATTTTTAATTATTTTGTGTATGTCTGGTATGGTTGACTGTGTCCCCACCCAAATCTCATCTTGAATTATAGTTCCCGTAATCCCCATGTGTCATGGAAGGGACCAGGTGGGGATAACTGAATCATGGGGCAGGTTTTTCCAATGCTGTTCTCATAATAGTGAATATGTCTCACGAGATTTGATGGTTTTATAAAGGGCAATTCCCCTGCACATGCTCTCGTGCCTGTCGCCATGACTTTGCTCCTCATTCGCCTTCAGCCATGATTGTGAGGCCTCCCCAGTCATGTGGAACTGTGAGTCAATTAAACTTCTTTCCTTTGTAAATTACCCAGTCTTGGGTACGTCTTTATTAGCAGTGTGAGAACAGACTAATACAATGTTGTGAAGTAAGAGCCAAAGTTCTTTTTTTTTTTTCTATGTGGATATCAGTTTTCCCAGGACAATTTGTGGCATAGGCGATCCTTTCCCTGTTTAATTATCTTGGCCCTTTTGTCAAAAACCAATCGACTATATATACGCAGGTTTGTTCCTTGGCTCTCCACCCAGTCCCACTGATTTATATGTCTCACGATATCCATGCCACCTTTCCCCTACAAAGCGTTCTCTCCTCTTCAGTACCCTGTCCCACAGGTTTAAACCTTATCAGCAGCCCTAATCTCTAATCTCTGCCTCCTTAGGTCAGAGGAGTCCCCTCATGCTCTTTTTTCTCTCTACCTAGTGATGTCATAGTCTAGCAATTGCTCCCAGATAGAGAGCCAGGGCAAATGGGGCTTACCCCAGGCATTTTCTTTTCCTCAAGGATCACAATCCTGGACTGTCTTGTTTCATGCCTGAAAACAGTTGCCTCATATGTTTCATCTAGTTTTATGTTTGTTTATGGCAGGAAGCCTAGTCCAGTGCCAGTTATTGCATCTTGACCAGAATTAGAAGTTACAGCTTTGGCTCCTAACCATAAGTTGTAGTGCCTCCTAAAGCTGAATGAAACCTTGCAGGAACTCTGAGCAGCAGCAGCAGCAGCAGCAGCAGTAAGAGCAGCAGCTACAGCTTGTGAGTTCCCCGGCAGAGGCTGAAGCGTGTCACTTTTGTTAGTATGCTCAAGGCTGCAAAAATTGAAGTGGGATAGGGTATGCATTAAAAATTCTCAAGAAGGATTTAATCATCTCTTAGAATTCCATGAGGACTGGGAGAGGTTTCTTTTGGTCAGCTTATCTGCTTCTTTATATGAACACAAATGCGTAGGTGTTTACTAACTATCCGATTTCTTCCCCAAATTCAAGGCTACCAAAAGTTCTAGGTAACCATAAAAAGGGCTGTAAATCACAGCCCTTGTGATTTTGAGGTAGGGCGCAAATGCATGACACAGGTCTAAACATCCTAGCAAGGACATACATGGAACCATACATAGTATCTTCTTGGGCTTCAGGTTAACTGACAGAACTCGTTGAACCGGATAATAGGCTGGCTACTCCCAGAAGGCAAGATTGAGATGAACTGAGGCCTCATAGCTACAAATTGGTACAGTCATTTCCGGTGAGTATACATGTAGGTTTAGATAAGACAATGTTGACTATAGAGTTAAAGATGTGCTGAAGCTGCACATTAAATCAAGGGGTAAGTAAAGCCTATGAACCCAAAACTGATTGAACCTAAAAATGGTGAGCGGTTTTTGCAGATCTTGGTGGACAATGGTAAGGTAAGTGGTCCCTTTCAGATAATCCAGCAGCCTAAATCATTTTTTTTTTTAATTTAACCTTAAGAATAAGTTTCCAAAAACAAAGAAAGTACAGGGCAATAAACAAAAGGATTTTTCAACAGACTAGAATAAAACCTCTACCAAGTATGTTAGTTCTTGGGCAGCAAGACCTTTAGGACAGCAACAGATTGGTCCATCAAGAGGGCATGGTGGTTCATGCCTATAATCCCAATACTTTGGGGGGCCAAGGCAGGAGTATCGCGTGAGGCCAGGAGTTCAAGACCAGCCCAAGCGATATAGCAAGACTCCAAATCTACAAAAAAATTTTAAAACTTAGCCAGGCATGGTGGTGCATGCCTATTGTCTCAGCTGCTTAAGAGGCTGAGTCAAGAGGATCGCTCAAGTCCAGGAGTTCAAGGCTGCAGTAAGCTATAATCATTCCACTGCACTCCAGCCTGGGTGACAGAGAAAGACCCTGTCTCAAACAAAAAAAAAGAGAGAGAGAGAGATATCAAAGACCTACTGGGTCTCTGTTAACAAATGTTTCTTAGACACAAGCAGGAGAAAATTAGCTCCTTTAGGGACAACGTAAGTCCACCTCGCTGTGCCCCTGAAATAAAGCCCACTTGGTGTTCAAGAACATCAGTCCCTGAAAAGAATTAGAGTGGCTAAAATTATGGGTGCAATGTCAAACAGAACCCTACTGGAAGCCACCTCTGCCACTTAATAGCCAGGTGGTATTGGACAATGTATTTAATCTCTGGAAGCCTCTATTTCCTCATCTGTAAAATGAGGAAAACATTTACTGTGAGAACTAAAGGAGATGGTATATGTAAAATATTTGGCCAAGACCCTGGCCCATAGTAAGCATTCCATAAGGGGTAGCTGCAACTATTTTTACACAGTATTAGAGTCAGACACCTCCCCACTCAGGACTACTTGCTGTTGGTATTGATTAGTAAAGCAAAGTCTTTGGGAAAGTCTGAATCTCTCTGTCCAGAGTCCTCGTCTCCCTTGGCTCTGAAGCCCAGGTCTCCACGGTATTCTTTAGATTCTTCATTCCCCAAGCAAAGTAGCTGTCCAGTCTTACCCCAAACAGTCTGCTATGGTGTGAATCTTCCCCAAAAATTTATATGTTGAAACTTAATTGCCAATGTGATACTATTAAGTGAGGCCCTGGCTGGGTGTGGTGGCTCACACCTGTAATCCCAGCACTTTGGGAGGCTGAGGCAGGCGGATCACCTGAGGTCAGGAGTTCAAGACCAGTCTGGCCAACATGGTGAAACCCCATCTCTACAAAAATACAAAAATTATCTGGGCATGAGGTGGGTGCCTGTAATCCCAGCTACACAGGAGGCTGAAGCCGGAGAATTGCCTGAACCCAGGAGGCGGAGGTTGCAGTGAGCCGAGATGGCGCCATTGCACTCCAGCCTCAGTGACAAGAGCAAAACTCCATCTCAAAAAAAAAAAAAAAAAGAAAGAAAAGAAGTGAGGCCTTTAAGAGGTGACTAAGTCATGAATGGGATCAGCAACCTCATGTAAGGGATAGTGGGAACTAGCGTTTGCCCCTTTTGCCCTTCTGCTTTCTACCATGTGAGGACACAGTGCTTCTCCTCTCCAGAGGATGCGGCAGCAACACGGCATCTTGGAAGCAGAGAGACTGGGTCCTCACCAGACAGTGAATCTGCCAGTGCCTTCATCTTGGACTTCCCAGCCTCTAGAACTATGAGAAATAAATTTCTGTTGTTTATAAGCTACTCAGTCTCAGTCTCAGTCTCAGGTATTTTGTTATAGCAGCACAGACTAAGAATCGTTTTTTTTTTCTTTACAAGATGGAGTCTTGCTCTGTCGCCCAGGCTGGAGTGCAGAGGTGTGATCTCAACTTACTACAACCTCTGCCTCCCAGGTTCAAGTGATTCTTGTGCCTCAGCCTTCCAAGTAGCTGGGATTACAGGCACGCACCACCATGCCCAGCTAATTTTTGTATTTTTAGTAGAGATGGGGTTTCATCATGCTGGCCAGGCTGGTTTCAAACCCCTGACCTCAGGTGATCCACCTGCCTCAGCCTCCCAAAGTGCTGGGATTACAAGCATGAGCCACAGTGCCCGGCTAGAATTTTTAATTCAAGTCATTCCCTCACAGGTCTATGCCTTCTCAAAACCCTACATGACTCTTTCTAATCCTCAGTTTTGTCTTTAAGTGGGGATAATAATGCCTGTTTTTCCTACTTCACAGGATTGCTATGGGGATCAGATATTATTATATAGGTGAAGTGAAACCTCACAGAGAAATGGGAGACTTAAGTCAAAATGATTGACTCAACTCAAGAAGCAACATCTGAAGAGATGCCGGTGCCTTGACCTTGGACTTCCCAGCCTCTAGAACTATGAGAAATAAATTTCTCTTGTTTGTAAACTATTCAGTCTCAGTCTTGGCTATTTTGTTATAGCAGCACAAACAAACTAAGAATCTTTACCCCTTTTGAATCTGGGGAGATGCTGGTTCTTGAGTTGAGTCAACCATTTTAGAAAATAATAAAAGCATGTCTTTCAGGAAAGAGCAAGCAAGTGAGCACAATTCAGGCCACCCACCACAGCACTGGAAGAGGAAAAGAAAAGACAACCTAGCTACCAACTACCAAAATGGTCCAAGACCAAGATAGGGTGCATAGCATGTGGTCAACTCTGTATCTAGAACCCAAGCAGTTAACTACAAGGCTGGAAAATGAGATCATCCAGCTGTTCACTCAGTGTGCTTCAGAGGAGAGGTGCTTTCCACAACTGAAGGGCTGCAAAGAGGGCAGGTAGAATCTCTGGGTGTAGGTGTTCTAACTGCAAACAAAATGCCACCCAGATGCCTCAAGGAGCAGTAGCAGCACGATGTACTGAAATAATCTAGGGGCAACTAGGGCACCCATGGAGTGGCTGCTAAGAAGCATGTCAGGATGTGTACAAACTGGAGGTTTGTAAGACAGCCCCAGGGAATAGCAGGCTTATTATTTCGTCTCAGGTATTACATATGTGAAATATGTATATGTTTTTGCATATGCTACATATGCAGATATGTTTTTGCATATGCAAATATGCAGATATGTTTTGCACATGCAAATATGCAGATATGTTTTGCACATGCAAATATGCAGATATGTTTTGCACATGCAAATATGCAGATGTGTTTTGCACATGCAAATATGCAGATATGTTTTGCATATGCTACATATGCAGATATGTTTTGCATATGCTACGTATGCAGACGTTTTGCATATGCTACTTATGCAGATATGTTTTGCATGTGCTACGTATGCAGATATGTTTTGCATGTGCTACGTATGCAGATATGTTTTGCACATGCAAATATGCCAACGTGGCAAAATGTATACATTTATACATATAGTTGCAATAAGGTTATGAAAAATTGAATTAACAAGTTAAAACATTTGCAAAAATAAACTTCCAGTGGATTAAAAAATGACGTTTTTATATAATTATGAATTCTATAAAGGCATTACTTTTTACATTTTAACATCATTGTTTTGTAAATCTGAATAACGTTTTTGCCAATGACAAAGTATACATGGTTACTCAACTTTCCCAGTGAGCCTGTTTCTATCATTATCATGTGCACAAAAATTGTCACCATGTGTAACTTGGAGGTGAAATTATGTACCCCTCTTCTGAGTGTTTGAATTTTTTTTTTTAAGTCAGAAAGATCTCTTCATGAGAATTGTTTCAAAAAAAAAAGATCATATGAAGCTGGGTGTAGTAGCTCAAGCCTGTAATCCCAGCACTTTGGGAGGCCACGGTGTGTGTATCGCTTGAGCCCACGAGTTTGAGACCAGCCTGGGTAACATGGTAAAACCTCGTCTCTACAAAAAATACAAAAATTAGCCAGGCATGGTGGTGGGTGCCTATAGTCCCAGGTACTCAGGAGGCTGAATTGGGAGGATCACTTGAGCCTGGGAGGTCAAGGCTGCAGTGGGCTAAGATGGCACCACTAAACTCCCACTTGAGACTCTGTCTTAAAAATAAATAAATAAATAAAGACGATATGCTTAACCAATAGGAGTAAGTCATTGAATAGTTAATGATATTATGAGATTACTGTAAATGTAAGAGTAATAATAATATTGTGGTTATTCTTTAAGTTCTCTTCTAGTTATACATACAGAACTATATATGGGTAAAATTATATGAGATCTGGGATTTGCTTCAAAATAAAAAAGGATGGAAGAAGTAGATGAGGGTGTAAATGAAATAAGATTGGTCTGGAGTTGATAATTGTCGAAGATGAGAAATGGCATAAAGGGGTTCATTATATTATTCTGTTTTTGTATAGAGTTTCCATTTTTTCAAAATAAAATGATTTTTAAAAGTAAGGACATGTCTTCAAATATTTAAGGAGCCACAGCATAGAAAAGGGCTTAGATTCAATGAGTAGAAATCGCAGGAGGAAGTTTGGTTGAGTTAACCAAGAAGGAAATGTCATGCCTTGAGAGGTCGTCACTAGGAAGTGATGACGACTTAATGGTTCTAGGCAATAATCTAGGCAATTGATGGCAGCTAACATCACAGACAGGTAACCAGACTTTATATGCCTCCTGACAGAAGTATGCAACATGGTCTATGAAGTGCTATTTTAAAAATAGATTCATTGTAAAAAAAAAATGACTTTATTGAGTATATTAGTTTGCTGCTGTAGCAAATGTCCATAAACTTAATGGCTTCAGACAACACAAATCTATTATTTTGCAGTTTTGTGGATCAGAAGCCCAGTATGGGTTTCACTGGACTAAAATTAAGGTGTCAGCACGCTATACCCTTTTCTGGAAGTTCTAAGGGAGAATCCATTTCTTTGCTGCTGGCAGAATTCAATTCCTTGTAGATGCAGAGCCAACATCCCCATTTTCTTGCTGATTGTAACATGAGGGCTGTTCCCACCTTCTAGAAGCTGTTTTTTTCCTTCACTCACAGCCTCTACCTTCAAAGTCAACTCAAATCCCTCTCCAGTGGCATCCTTACTGTCAACTTTTCTGCCTCCTCTTCCACTTTTAAGGGCACTTGTGATTACACTGGGCCCACCCAGATAATCCAGGATAATCTCTCTATTTTAAGGTTAGCTGATTAACAAACTTAATTCTATCTGTAACCTTAATTCCTTTTTTGCCATAGAGGGAACATATTCATTCACAGGTTCTGGGGATTAAGACTTGAACATCTTTTAGGGCCATTATTCTGCCAACCACATTGAGGTATGATTGACATATAAAAAATTGCAATATTTAAAGTGACAACTTTGACACATGTACAAGCCTGTGAAAAGATGTCACAACAATCAAGATAATGAACATGTCCATCACACCCCAAAGTTTCCTGGTGTCCATTTGTCTTAATTTATTCAGGCTGCTATAATAAAATACCTTAGATGGGATGATTTATAAACAATAGAAATTTATTACTTACAGTTCCGGAGGCTGGGAAGTCCAAAATCAAGACACCAGCAGATTTGGTGTCTGGTGGGGACTCTCTGCTTCATAGATGGCACCTTTTTGCTGTGTCCTTACATGGCAGAAGGAGTGAACAAGCTCCCTTGGGCCTCTTTTATAAGGGCATTAATCCCTTCATGAGGACAGAGCCTTCATTACCTAATCCCCTCCCAAAGACCACACCTCTTCACATTATTGCTTTGGGGATTAGGTTTCAACCTAACATTCAGCACCCTTTGAAATCTCTACCTCTTTTTCCTTCCTCCCCAACTCCATCCCCCAGGTAGCCAGCCACCATCTGATTTCTCTCATTACAGATTACCTTGCATATTCTAGAATTTTATGTAAGTGGAATCATACAGTATATACTTAGGGGAGATGACTTTTTTCACTTAACAATTATTTTGAGATTTATCTATATTTTTATGTATCTCAATATTTCATTTCTTCTTTGTTGTTATCATGATTGTTAAGTAGTATTTCATTGTCTGGATGTACCACAATTTGTTTGTCCATTAATCTCTTGATGAACCTTTGAGTTGTTCTCAGGTTTGAGCTATTTCAAATAAAGCTGTTAGGCCAGGCGCAGTGGCTCACACCCATAATCTCAGCACTTTGGGAGTCTGAGGCAAGCAGATCACTTGAGGTAAGGAGTTCAAGACCAGCCTGCCCAACATGGTGAAACCCCGTCTCTACTAAAAATACAAAAATCAGCCAGGTGTGATAGCACACACCTGTAATCCCAGCTACTTGGGAGGCTGAGGTGGGAGGATCGCTTGAACCCAGGAGGCGGAGGTTCCAGTGAGCCAAGATCGCACCATTGCACTCTAGCCTGGGTAACGAGTGAAACTCTGTCTCAAAAAAAAAACAAAAACAAAAACAAAAAAATGAATAAAGCTGTTATGAACACATTCGTGTATAGGTCTGCCTAGACACATCATGTTCTCATTTCTTTTGGGTAGATAACTAGGAGTGGTCATATAGTAGCTATACATTTAACTTTTTTAAAAGCTTTCAAACTATTTTCCAAAGTATTTGCACCATCTTATGTTCCACCAGCAGTGTATGAGAATTCCAGTTACTCCAAATTCTTGCCAACACTTGGTATGGTCAATCTTTTTTCATTACAGCCATTCTAATTAGATTACTAATTAGACAGTGATGTTTCATTGTGCTGTTAATTTGTTTTTAACATAAAAATTTAAATACATTAATGCAAGTAATTTTCATGATTAATTTCATAATTTTTTACTACTGTAATAATCATATTAGTTGATTTTATTAATTAGTTTAAATAATTAAAATCAGATCATTTACTAATGACTAATGATGAGGATCTTTTCAGGTATTTACTCGCCACCTATATATCTCCTTTGGTGAAATATATCTGTTCATATCTTTTATGCATTTTTAAAGTTGGGTTGTTTGTTTCTGTATTATTGACTTTTGAGAGTTATTTATACATTCTGGATATAAACCCTTGCCAAAAGCAATCAAACCTGAAGGATTAAGCTTCTGATCTAACTACTGGCTTATAGGAAATATAGGGGACCAAACAACAGGTTAGATCAGTGGTCCCCAAACTTTGCAGCATGAGGGACCAGTTTTATGGAAGACAATTTTTCCACAGATGCAGGCGGGGAGGAGGGATGGTTTCAGGATGAAACTATTCCACCTCAGATCATCAAGCATTAGATTCTCATACAGAGCATGCAATCTGATCCCTCACATGTGCAGTTCACAATAGGGTTCATGCTCCTATAAGAATCTAATGCTGCCACTGATCTGACAGGAGGCAGAGCTCAGGCGGTCATGCTCACTTGCCCGCCATTCACCTCTTGCTGTGCGGTCACATTCCTAATGGGCCACGGACCCGTGGGTTAGATGACACCCAGGAGACACAATTAGAAAAATCCAAAAGATGAGAAACTCTATAGGTCACATGGTCCCATTTCTTCAAAAGCACCTTGCAAAGGAAAGAGGGAGTGAGAGAAGGACATAGGAAGAGCACACAGATCAAGAGACTGTGTCTACACTTTATTTGAATCCTGATTTAAATATTAAACTATGGGGAGAGGGAGAGAGAAGAGAATTGAATTGGGGAAATGTAAACACTGACTGGATATTTGATGATAGTAAGGAATTATTGTTTTTTGTCACTGCAAGGATAATGTGAAATTTCTTCAAAATAATCAATAGCCAGCGGGAGCGAGTAGAAGTAAGGATATAGATGAAATGATGTCCATGAGCTAGTAGTTGAAGCTATGATGGATACGTGAAAGATCATGATGCATTTACTTTTGAATATATTTGAATTTTATGTTATTAAAAATTTTTTAAACAAATCAAAAAAAGTAATTATTTCATTTCACTCCAGCAGACTAGCATAGACAAGCTGAAAATCAATGAGCCAATGAGAATCCACCTAAGAAAGTCATATAAAAATAGCAAAATAAACTAAAAGAAAGCAGAAGGAAGGAAATAATAAAAAAAATACAAATTGTAAACAAATACACAAGACAGAAGAACAATAGAGTCAAACTTGGCCCCTTTGGAAACCCCAATCAAATGATGAACCTCTGATGATAATGATCAAGAATAAAAAAAGAATGTTCAAATAATCAACATTGTAAATGAAGAGGGAAACATCTTAATAGAAACTGAAGACATGAAAAATCTTTTAAAAGGATGCTTTAAACAAGTTTACGCCAATGAATTTTCCAATTTAGGTGAACTTGGCTAATTCCTAGTACAGTACAATTTACCAAGCTAATTGATGAATAATTAGAAAACCAATAGGATTCTAAGATGTACAACACCCCTACTAAGAAAAGTATAAGCCATTATTGAGAAAAATTAAGAATGATGTAATAAATGAAAGGATAAAATTGTAAGACTGAATATTTAAAATATAGTAATTTCCCCAAAATTGATCTGTATATTCAATATTATCTCAACCAAAATCCTAACAAGTATTTGTGCACGTGTATGTGCAGGCACAAGTGTGTGTGTGAACTGACAAATTGGTTCTAAAATGTATCTGGAAATACGAAGTGACACAAATAGCCAAAACAATATTTTAAAAGAAGTACAACTTTAAAATGCATATTACTAAGTGAAAAAAGCCAATATGAAAAGCCTACATACTGTATGATGCCAACTATATGACATTCTGGAAAAGGCAAAACTGTGGAGATGGTAAAAAAATCAGAGGTTGCCAGGGGTTAGGGAGGAGGGATGAATAGGTAGGGGGAAAAAAGTAAATTATTTTAAAATACATAATGACTTAGAACGTTTACTGCCCAAATACTCTCACTGAAAAATTACCAAAGGATAGAAATGAATAAGGAAGCTGGGCATGGTGGCTCAACGTCTGTAACCCCAGCACTTTGGGAGCCCAAGACCGGCGGATTACTGGAGGCCCAGGTGTTCGAGACCAGCCTGGCCAATATGGCAAAAGCTCGTCTCTACAAAAAATACAAAAATTAGCCAGATGTGGTGGCTCACGCCTGTAATCCCAGCTACTCGGGAAGCTGAGGTGGGAGCATTGCTTGAGCCCAGGAGGTCAAGGCTGCAATGAGCCATGATCACACCACTGCACTCCAGCCTGGGTGACAGAGTAAGACTCAGTCTCAAAAAAAAAAAAAAAAAAAAAAAAAAGAAAGAAGGAAGGAAGAGAATATGAAAAATAAGAATGAACAGAAATATTGGTAATAGATGATAACACAGTAATGTGACACATAATGACATTTCAATCAACAATGGACTGCAATACAACAGTGGTCCCATAAAATTGTAATGAAGCATATATAGAAATCTGACATGTGGCATTTGATATTGGCATTGCAGGTCAAGTGGGGGAAATGATCAGTATTCAGTAATAGTGCTGGGACATTTGATTTTCCATATTTAAAACTACAAATGAATTTAAAAATACCATCTAGGTTTTGTAAGTACTCTCTTTGATATTCGCCCAATGACGAAATCACCTAACAACGAATTTCTCAGAACATATCCCTGTCATTAAGTGATGCATGACCGTATAGCTTAATATAAAAATGTATTGACCACTAGTAGTCAATTAACAATAATAATAATGGGGCTGGGTGCGGTGGCTCACGCCTGTAATCCCAACACTTTGGGAGGTCAAGGCGGGTGGATCACTTGAGGTCAGGAGTTTGAGACCAGCATGGGCAACAGGGTGAAACCCTGTCTCTACTAAAAATACAAAAAAAAAAATTAGCTGGGCGAGGTGGCACACACCTGTAGTCTCAGCTGCTTGAGAGGCTGAGATATGGGAATCACCTGAACCTGGGAGGCAGAGGTTGCAGTGAGCCGAGATCATACCACTGCACTCCAGCCTGGGTGACACAGTGAGACTCTGTCTCAAAAAAAAAAAAAAAATAGTAATAATAATAATGGACTTTGTAGGTTTAAAAACAAACTGAACCAAATACCAATATCAGACTAAGTATGGGAGTGCAGTTTGGAAGGAAGTTAAAATGCACTAAATTCTTGCCTCACTCGGGAAGAGGATATAAATACTGATTAACTTTAAACTTTGTTAGGAAAAAAAGGGTATGGATGTTAAAAATTTAAGGAAACCACCAAAATATTGCACATAGAATTATAATAAGAAAACAATTTCTATTCAATAAAAGACAGAAAAAAAGAGAAAAAAGCATGAGAAAAAGAAAACACAAAATTAGTAGTGACAAGTCTAAATACATTAGTAATCACTATAAATGTCAATGGTAAACATACTAATTAAAAGACAGACTCTTAGATTGGATTTTAAAGTTCCAGTTAAATGATCTTTTTGTTTGTTTGTTTTTTGAGACGGAGTCTCGCTCTGTCACCAGGCTGGAGTGCAGTGGTGCAATCTCAGCTCTGCCTCCCGGGTTCAAGCGATTCTCCTGCCTCAGCCGGGTAGCTGGACTACAGGCGTGCACCATCACGCCCAGCTAATTTTTGTATTTTTAGTAGAGATGGGGTTTCACCATGTTGGCCAGGATGGTCTTGATCTCTTGACTTCATGATCCGCCCACCTCGGCCTCCCAAAGTGCTGGGATTACAGGCATGAGCCACTGCGCCCAGCCTAAATGATCTTTGTAAGACATACACCTTACCACTTATAAAAAGAGAATTAATACCACAATTTTAAAAATCACATAATTTAAAGAAATAGCAATAAAAGAAATAAAGAAGGATATTTCATATTTAACCCACCAAGAAGACACAACAAAAAATATCATGGAAAACATTTATAAAAATTAGATTCAAGAACTTTCTCTTCCCTAGAACTTTGCTTATTTCATTGCTCTGTACATTTCTTTGAACAGTTTGAGATTTTTGTCCTTCATATGTCTCTCTATATTTAAATATAGTATAGTACTAAAATATATTTTGGCTTAAAAATGATTCAGGAACTTTGAGGAATCAATACTAAGAAAGACAATGAAAGATAAGCAAAGCCAGGGGCCTCTTACTCCCTGTAGAGAGAGGAGGCTAGATCACAGCAACTCCCATGCATGCACAATGCGTTCATTAGCATATAGTGCTACAGGGTGCAGGGGAAGGAGCTAGCTCTCATTAGAAGGGTTCAGAAGGTTGGGCGCGGTGGCTCACGCCTGTAATCCCAGCACTTTGGGAGGCCGAGTTGGGTGGATCACGAGGTCAGGAGATCCAGACCATCCTGTCTAAACAGTGAAACCCCGTCTCTACTAAAAATAGAAAAAATTAGCTGGGCGTGGCCGGGCGCGGTGGCTCAAGCCTGTAATCCCAGCACTTTGGGAGGCCGAGGCGGGTGGATCACTAGGTCAGGAGATCGAGACCATCCTGGCTAACACGGTGAAACCCCGTCTCTACTAAAAGTACAAAAAAATTAGCCAGACGTGATGGCGGGCGCCTGTAGTCCCAGCTACTCGGGAGGCTGAGGCAGGAGAATGGCGTGAACCCAGGAGGCGGAGCTTGCAGTGAGCCGAGATGGCGCCACTGCACTCCAGCCTGGGCGACAGAGCCAGACTCCGTCTCAAAAAAAAAAAAAAAAAAAAAAAAAAAAAAAAATTAGCTGGGCGTGGTTTCGGGCGCCTGTAGTCCCAGCTACTCCGAAGGCTGAGGCAGGAGAATGGCGTGAACCCGGGAGACAGAGCTTGCACTGAGTGGAGATGGTGCCACTGCACTCTAGCCTGGGCGACAGAGCGAGACTGTCTCAAAAAGAAAAGAAGGGGTCAGAAAAGGGCTTTCTGGAAGAAGTGGTATGGTAGGCAGAATTCTAAGAATGACCTCCCCGCTCCCTCCGCCCCGCCAATGTCCCCTCACCCTCGTATAATCTCTTCCCGTTTGAGTACGGACAGACTCTGTGGATATGAAGAGATATCACTCCCAGGATAATGTCTTACATGGCAAAGTGAGGGCTTGTCCAGGTGGGCCCAATCTAATCACATGACTCATTTTAAAAGCAGAGTTTTCTTCAGCTGGTGGTAGAAGAAGTCAAGGAAATTCAGTGTGAGGGGGGATTTGACTTGAGGAAGGTCCTCTGTTGCTGAGATGGAAAAGGTCCCTGGAAAGACCTGGAGCAACTCCTGCCCAACAGCGGGCAAGGAGACAGGGACCTCATTTCTACTGAATCTGGCCAACAACCTGGAGGAGCTTGGAAGCAGATTCTTGCCCAGAGTCTCCAGGTAATAGCACAACCCAACTGACACCTTGATTTCTACCTCGTGAGACCCTGAGCAGAGAACCCAGTTGAGCCTACTATGACTTCTGACCTCTGGAACTAAAAGGTAATAAATGGCTGTTGGTTTAAGCCACTGTCCTAGTCCACTTGTGCTGCAATAAACAGAATACCTGATACTGGGCATTTTATAATGAACAGAAGCTTTTTGGCTTACAGTCCTGGAGGCTGGGGAGCCTAAGGTCAAGGCGCCAGCAGGCTTGGCATCTGGTGAGGCCATTCTCTTCTTCCAAGATGGTGTTTTTCCTGCTGTGTTCTCTGGAGGGGAGGAAGGCTGGATCACATGGCGGAAAGTGGAAAGGCCAGGAGAGCGAGCCCACTCCTGAAAACCCTTTTATTAAGACATTAAACCCACCCATATGTGTGAAACCCTCGTGGCCTAATCACCTTTTAAGGCCTTACCTCCCAATACCATTACAATGGCCGTTAAATTTCAACAGGCATTTTGGAGGGGACAAAGATTCAAACCACCGCAGCTGCTACATTTATGGTAATTTGTTACACAGCAATAGAAATGAGTACAGGTTACATTTGAACTGTCCCTTGAGGGATGGATTGCATTTCAAAGTATAGAGAAGAAGAGGAAGAAGCTCTTTAGACAGAGCTCCAATTGGGCATTTTTCAGTCTCCTAGATAATGAAGCCTTCATTTATTGAGTGCTTGCAATTTATAGAGCATATCTATGATATCATTTTACTAACTTCTCACAACTCTGTGAAATATTTATTATATCTCCACTTTACAGAGAAATAAACAACAGTCAAAAAGGTAAAGTAACCTGAGCCAAGTTAGTGGAGGAGGCTGTAATTAAAACCCAGGTCAGTTTCATTCCAAATCCCACCCTTTTTACTACATAAGCCTGACCTACCTGGGGGCTTGGTGGCTGAAGAGTGATATGCCACCGAGGAGACAGGTCAGCACTGTTTCCTTTGGGTCAACGGCCCTTAATCTCTTACCTCAGCCTCGTGATTACATGGGGTTTTCCATGTTTGTTTTCTAGAACAGAGTCAAATGGTTTGCTTAAATCATTGCAGATCAATAAACACGTTAACTCTAAAACAAGTGCACACAGTGTGACATTACCTCCCATCTCCACCTGTTTACTCTGTTTCCTGAGATGACTCATCCTAGCTGGTCCTCATCCATGTATCAGCCTGCCAGCAACCCTGAGGGCATTCATTCACCCTCAGTTGTACCTACTTCCATCCTCTGGGATTTCCACTTGAAAGACCTTCTGCCTCAGTGTCCACACATTGCAGGCTCACTCTGTGAGGGGGTTGCAGTGGGACTAAAAGGGGATCTCCACCATGTGATTGTCTTTTTTTTTTTTTGAGGCGGAGCCTCGCTCTCTCATCTGGGCTGGAGGGCAGTGGCACCATTTCGGCTCTCTGTAACCTCCCCCTGCCCTGGTTCAAGCAATTCTCCGGCCTCAGCCTTCTGAGTAGCTGGGACTACAGGTGCGCACCACCATGCCCAGGTAATTTTTGTATTTTTAGTAGAGACGGTTTCACCATGTTGCCAAGGCTGGTCTCAAACTCCTGAGCTCAAATTATCCTCCCACCTTGGCCTCCCAAAGTACTGGGATTACAAGTGTGAGCCACCGTGCCCGGCCTACCATGTGATTTTCTAAGATGTTCTTAGGGAAACATATTCACACACACACACACACACACACACACACACACTCCTGCAACGTGGTGTATATAATGCTGGAAGTAGCGTCAGAGATTAGGCATTAGTGAAGAGTCCCTGAGTGAGACCAGAGAAATGTGAGCTAAAGATTCATAATGGAAGCAATGGTCAAGGGTAATGACCTGGCCCACTCTTTGTAGCAAAGCTACCTACTACTTTTGTGAATGAAGCAACTGGAAATCAGACAACGCCGGGCATGATGGCTCACACCTGTAATCCCAGCACTTTGGGAGGCCCAGGCGGGAGAATCATTTGAGCTCAGGAATTTAAATGAGGGGAATACAAGGTGTGTTGCAGGAGTTTGTGTATTCTCTAGAATGTTTCTGTAGAATGACTTGCCCTTCTTCACTGTGGCTGCAGAAAAGACAGTAATCAGGGCTTCTAGAAAAGGGGATCATGTTGCTTTCCCAACATAAATAACAGACTAGTCAACTTGGAAAAAAATTCAGGGAAGCTGAAATCCTTCCCAAGCTCCTGATTTAATCAACAGTATTAGCTGAGACAGTAATCCACCCCTCAAATTCTGCAACATTTGACTCTGTATCATCTGCCAGGCCAACAGAAATAGCCCTTGACTGTAGCATTAATCAACGGCACTAAAGCCATCTAAAAAAAGAATGTGTCTGAGAGGAACTGAGCTAGGAAGAAAAAATAGATACAAGGAGACAAAAGTTGTCGAAAGCATCTAGCCCCGTCCGAGACTCTGCATCTGGGGTCACTGAACACACAGCCCCGTCACTGGAGAAGTATTCTCTGCTGAGAAGAGATTTTCCATCAGGCTTTACGGGAACGCAGGTGACGTATACCCTACAGCCATGGTGCTTTCCTTTCCGGTTTCATGCTTAGCAAAGAGCCCTCTGATTAATGATGCGTCACCCGAGAGCCCGTCCACTAGAAATGATGGCAATGTTCCTCCTAAGGGCACAGATTGGTGACCCAGGCAATCTGTCACTGTAAGGGGAAATCCCTGTTGCAAATCATTCTGCTGGAATTCTGATGAACATGTCTACAGTCAGCTCAGCACACAGCAGGGTGGATGAAGTTTCCTTCATGAAATCCAGGCTCAGAACCTAAAAAAATCCAAGGGTTGAGCCAAGCCCTTCAGAGGTATTTGGGGCCCTGTGTGTGACCCATTAGATTGCCATTAGTAACAAGCCCACCCCTCCAAAGAACCCCTTTCCACATCAGAATGCTTAGAAGTCACACCTGTGTCGTAATGATACCATTTGCAAAGACCTTGCTTGGAAGTAATTTTTCAGTATTTGGTTGCCCATGAAAATATCTGATTTTTTTTCCTTCCACCCACAATGAATGTAGTCCATAACACATACAAATACACACACACATTTTCACTCTTCCTCCTGCTTTACCAGTTTTACA
This sequence comes from Homo sapiens, assembly GCF_000001405.40. Taxonomy (NCBI): domain Eukaryota; kingdom Metazoa; phylum Chordata; class Mammalia; order Primates; family Hominidae; genus Homo; species Homo sapiens. The sequence goes on from NC_000001.11 coordinate 223,888,778, forward strand.
CATCTCTGCATCAGGACCCAAACTTGAGCACTCAGGATCTCAACCACAGTTGAGATCTCTTCTTCACTGTCATCCCGGCACATCAGTTACTTAAAACAACCCAATTTCAAGAACTGATAGACCTTCATTTCTGGACACACCAAAAACAAGCAAATTCCAGAGGATCAGCTTCAGGGTGGCAGAATGGAAGGAGTAAAAGCCAACCACGGGGCCAGGTGCAGTGGCTCACACCTGTAATCCCAGCACTTTGGGCGGCTGAGGTGAGCAGGTCACCTGAGGTCAGGAGTTCAAGACCAGCCTGGTCAACATGGTGAAACCCCGTCTCTATTAAAAACACAAAATATTAGCCAGGCATGGTGGCGGGCGCTGGTAGTCCCAGCTACTCGGGAGGCTGAGGCAGGAGAATCACTTGAACCCAGGAGGCGGAGATTGTGGTGAGCCAAGATTGCACCACTGCACTCCAGCCTGGGTGGCGAGTGAGACTCCGTCTGAAATAACAACAACAAAAAGCCAACCATGGGATCTGTGGCACAGCTCTCACTTCACCATTAGCTCACCCAGGACTGGCAAGGGAGTGCCGACTGGAGAATCTTATCCTCTGTTCCTTAGCTGTTTACATGTATAAAGCCTGAGGGCTTTGCACCTAATTAGGGTTTCAGAGCTTTGTTTTTCTCTCAACTAATTACATTTGCCTTGTGGGGAAGAGCCTCTGTCCAGGAGGCATTGCTCTCTGAAAATCTGTCTCAGCCCAGCAACAGGTGCAAGAAGGTGAACAGCTCCTCTCCCCACCAATGCGGTGAGATGCCGAGCCAGGCCCTGGCTTCTTCTTGCTCCTCTCCTTTCATTATCTCTAACTCCAGTGTCAGCCCTCAAGCAGTCCCCTGCTTGGTCACCCCTGGCAAGGTGGGGAATGTTCTCTTAACCTGCAGCTTTCTCCTTCGGGAACAAAGCGCAGCCTCTTAGCAGCTAGCAATCAACTCCTGTGCTCGGGGCCTTCCAGCCAGGCCTTCTGCAGTGCACCCTGGTAGGGGGTAAATTATCCTGAGCTTGGAAAATGTGACTGAAATCACCTCTGACAGAGGGAAATGGGTTTTCATAAAAGACGTTTCCTCACCTTCGGTTGCAACTCAATTCAACTGACCATTTCCCACCCTGGATCTCAAAAGAAATTTCTGCTTTGCTTCTGGGTATGAGCCTGGGTGATAATGAAAGGTACTTAGGAAGCCAGGCCTATTGAAGCAGCGTAGCCCTCAGAGGGGCATGGCTGACTTGGCTAAGAGTAGGACAGGGTGTGGGGTTGAGGAATCCATGGGGACTCAGGGCATCCTGTCGCAGACACAGGAGCTGACCCAGCCACAGGGTCACAGGACAGCCTGTGTCACCACAGTCTCTGTGCAGAGTCCAGAGTTCACAAATGAGATAAATGGACATTTGCTGACTGGGGTAACTCAGCATCTATTCACCCTATTTCTGGGAAAAGCCTCAATTTACATGTGGGAATGGACCACCCCCTTATTGTTATAGGAGTTATTAAGAAATTATTTTAGGCAGATAGAGAGGAAAAGAGGTCCTTGGGAAGTTTTTGTTTCTTTTAAAGCAGATCCAGAAACCTTTCTTGTCTAACAGGAGAGCGCCAGCTCTAAGAGCCACTGGCAAGCTTTGATATGCAAATGCAGGCCACTGGAAACTGAGTCCACCCAAACATGGAGATTCCAGGTTTCTTCCTTGCCCCAACAGGTGGCTGGCAACATGGCCACCCCCACATATCCCCACGTGTGTAGAACATCATGGCGCCCTGCATTTGCATCTTAAAAGGCTAGAGTGTGAGGGCCAGCTTTTTCGCAGGCTATGTGAATGACATGCCTGGTCAAACCAATCCTCTGAGCCCTATGCAAGCCAGCACCGCCTCCTCCAGCCTCCTCATATAACTAGCTGATTACACCACACACACACACGCCCTCCCCCCACATCCCTTCTCCCCACCGGGGTTTTCTCTCTATTCAAATCCCCTCTCCCTCTGTCTCTGTACTGGGGAGCTGTTTTCTTCTTCCTTCCTTCTTTCTTGTATATTAAACTTTTTGCTCCTTAAAACCACTCCAGGTGTGTCCGTGTCATTTTATCCAAACGTGTGCTAGACCAAGAACCCTGGTGTTCCTCCAGTCATCTGAGCCATATCATTATCTCATTCTGTTTTTGATGGCACTAACCACCAGCATACCCTGCTCCATCAGAACACTCATCCTCCTGAGCTCTGTGAATGGCTCAGGATGCACAAGTGAGAGAAAAATGTAGCCAAGTGAGGAGGCAGAGAGAAACTGCCTCCTGGTAACACAGTGTGCGCCCCTGGATCAAGCCATGCCTGAAGGCAGTTTATTCTGAACTTTTACAATAAGTGCTCTTTTTGTTTAAATCATTTTGGATTGGGTTTTTGTTCACTTGTAAGCAAAAGCACACTATGATAAAAGGGGATACAAGACAAGTATCACAAATCCAGAAATGGGAAGGGCCCAACCCCAGAGCCCAGGCTAGTCAGGGAAGTGAAGAAACAGACAGCATCTGAGATGCCTATCCCCAGTATCCAAGTGCTAGGTCCATGGTCTTTGAGCCTTAAGATGCAGGAGATCCCTGTAGGGAACTTCACAACAGTGTAGATTCCCACTCATTCCCACAGCCAATTCTCATCCTTAAGTCTGGAAGGGGAACGAGAGGTTTGGTTTCTAACCAATATCCAGGCAATTTGGAAGCAGATAACACAGATAATACTTTGAGAAACACTTCCCTACACTCTGAGCTGGGAGTTAAAGGACAGGGTTCCAGTCTCTGCGGTGAGGCAGTGGCAAGAGCTCCGTGGGCGGGAAGAATATTAGGCCAGAGCTTAGAACAGGACTGCAGAAGCAAGCATGGAATGGAAGCACATCTGGTGATCTGTGACATACAATGAGCCTGCAGATCACAGGCAATGATTTTTGGAAACTCATCACACAGTAGTTTGAAGCAGCAGGAACGATTTGATCCAAAGTGCCATGTGAACACTTCCGAGTCTACAAATGCTTTCATAGGTCAACCTAAGCTGTTCCTCCCAACCAACCTGTCTGGCAATTAGAAATTAGGAAATTAAAACTCAGAGTGTCTAAATAGCATGCACAAAGCCACACAGCTCACTGGTTCAGTAGCCTAGACCTGGGTCCCACTCTGTCTGACACCAAACCTCACACTTTTCAAATAATTCTCCCTTCCACTGGGGGAAGGGCTGGGTCTCAGGAAAGGTCTAAGGGACACACAGTGCGGGGATCAGTGAGACCCTGCTCAGCAGGCCCAGATGAGGGAAGGGGATGCTCCACCTGACTGCGCAGGAAGGCAAGGCCATTTTAACTTTGCAGCATCTTCAACTCATCTGGCTCAAGAAATCCCAGCCCAGCTTGGGGATGGAGAGTGGAGGAAGAGAGGGGCACCCCTGCAAGTGAAGACTAAGCTCTGATTTTTTTTTTTTTATCTTACCCAAATTCCCTATCTAAAGGGTCTGGGGAGTGATGCCCTACAAACCATAAATTCTCATCAGATGGATTTTATTTAACCCTATATATTGTGACTTACTTTCCAACCCGACTCTGTCATAACATTATGAGACAAGGAAGAAAATCAAAATATTTTACCCCAAAACATAGGCTTTTTTGTCCATATCTTGAAATGGCCCTGCAAAGCTGTCCTTTGTGGGGGTAAATTTGTACCTGTAAAGAATCTCTATTAACATAGCTAGATATTTTTCTTCCAGACCCTCCCAATCCTAAAGAGATTAACTGAAAGTCTAGCACTTTGTTTTTTTTGTTTGAGACGGAGTCTCACTCTGTCGCCCAGGCTGGAGTGCAGTGACATGATCTCGGCTCACTGCAACCTCTGCCTCCCGGGTTCAAGCGATTCCCCTGCTTCAGCCTCCTGAGTAGCTGGGACTACAGATGCCTGCCACCACACACAGCTAATTTTTATATTTTTAGTAGAGATGAGGTTTCACCACATTGGCCAGGATGGTCTCAAACTCCTGCCCTTGTGATCCACACCTGCCTGGGCCTCCCAAAGTGCTGGGATTACAGGCGTGAGCCACCGTGCCTGGCCAAGTCTAGCACCTTTTAAAGATCTGAATAGGAAACATTTGCCATCTATTGTCTCTGAGGACAGCCTCTATAAGACTTCAAAAGAACCTTGGTCTCCACCATCTTTTATCTTAACTTGAAAATTTCCTTTCTATGGATCCCAGGTCTTTAGACAAACTCACTGAAATCTACCTATAGCCTGGAAGCGCCCCTCTCCTCCCGCTTTGGTCCCACCTTTCTGGACCAAACCAGTGTATTTCTTAAATGTACTTGATCGATGTCTCATGCCTTTCTAAAATGCATAAAACCAAGCTGTACCCCGACCACCTTGGACACATGTTCTCAGGACCTCCTGAGGGCTATGGCAAGGGCCATGGTCACTCATATTTGGCTCAGAATACATCTCTTCAAATATTTTACTGAGTTTGACTCTTTTCGTTTACAGGAGCAATGGAAATGATTTTCTTTGATCACAGTGTCAGCTCCTGACATTGGGTTGCGCCCATCTGTGCTGTGGACTCTTCCCTCGGAATGAGAGAGGGAGATGGCTCCCAGTGTGGTTGGAAGTCACCCCGCCCCACAACAACACAGTGCAACAGGCCCCGGCTTCACGCCCATTCAGTTCAGGACAAGTTTTTTGGAGTATCTACTCTGGGCCAGGCCCGCAGGATACTAACATGAAATAGAGACAGTTCCTGCCTTTGAAGGGTGGTGATTTACTGGTGGGGAGAAAGGAAGAAGCCCATGAAAAGTCGTGTCTGTAGAAGGTAAGAAGGGGCACAACCGCCATGGCAGGGGAGTCACAAAGGAGAAGCATTCAGCCTGCCGAGAGGTCCCAGGACTTTCCTGGAGGATCAGTCCCCAAACTGACTGTGACAGGGAGCAATACCCAGATAACAGCAGAGGCCCAGAATAAGAAAGAGTCTGTGAGTGGGCAGAATTCCCTCCAGGGTCATGAGGGGAGCTGACTTCTGATTAGGGCATTTCATCCTTCTCTGAAATGCAGCTGAGAACTGGTCAAGCCTCACTCCCTTGCTGAGACCAATAGCAATCCCTGATGATCTCGCCACAGGTCCAGCAGGTGCCCCATCCACACTTTGTCCCCAGCCCCTACCTGGAAGCTCCAAACACCTACCTGAGGGGCCAACTCTGATTCCCAAGGAGGTGACACCTCCTGCCCCTTGTTGATAGAACATTGATAAGGAAATAGGACTGAGTTTTAAGCTTCTTTCCATGTCAAATATTTAAAGGCAATATAATGTTCAAGTTTAAATAATATTTCATGTGTAATTAAACAATCCCTTATTGTTAAATAGATGGGTTCCAATTTTGAACTGCTATAATCTGTGTATGTGTCCTTGATTAAATCCTTAAGAGAAATCCCTAGAAACATTATCTTAGGGTCAAATGGCTTGGATATTCTGTAAACTGCTGATAATTATGGGAAATTGCCTTCCAGGAAGGTTATAACAATTTGCCTGATCCCCAGCAGCAACAGACTTTACAAAGTACTCAGTATCTAATATTTAACTTTGATAAAGATAAGCTTCTCCCTTCTTTTTCACTTAAAATGCTGTGTCCCACCTCACTTTTCAGTGTCTCTTCACACTGACAAGACGGTTGGCTAATACTTCAGAGCTTGCAGAGCATCTTTATACACTTTTAATCCTCCTAACATCCGTGAGAGATGGAGCTTACTATTATCATCCGTGTTTGCAAATGAGGCCCTGAGAAGTTGAGTGATTTCTGTAAGGTCTCAGAGCCAATAGACACTGGTAATGAAATAAAATGCAACGCCCCTTATCTTTGGAGCCCAGTGTTCCTTCCACATAGGTGGTTCTCCACCCAGGCTGCCCAGGAGAATGTGGAATCTCCAGCAGTTCTGACTTAACTGGCCTGGTGTGGATGTCTGTGATGGGTGAACATTCCCAGACCCTTTTAAGAACCTGATAGAAGTGGTGGACCCACTTCCCAGAAAAAGGGACGCACAACAAAATAATTGTCCTGAGTGGGTCTGACAGAATCAAGTGAACCCTTTAAATCTGGATCTAGAGGTCAGAGACTGAGAATGTCAGAGATGCAAAAGAGATTCAGTGCAAGAGAAATCCTCCTACTGGTTTTGAAGATAGATGTTGGCAGCCTGTGTCAACAACCTGAGAGTGGCCTTGAGTTGCTGGGAGCACCCCAGACTGACAAACAGCAAGAAGAATATGGGGACCTCAGTCCTACAACCACAGGAACTGAATTCTACTGACAACCAGTGAGCTTGCAAAGAGGACTTGGAGCCCCAGATGAGAAGCAACCCTGGCTACCCCGATCTCAACCCTGTGAGATCCTAAACAGACAATCCAGCCATGCAACACCCAAACTTCTGACCTATAGAAACCCTGAGATAATAAATGGGCATTGCTCTAAATCACCAAGTTTGTGGTAATTTGTTACACAGTCATAGGAAGTGAATTGACCTGATGTATCTGAGCACCTGCTAGGTTATCATTAAGATTACTCTTCAAAGGTAAAAATTATTTTTCAAAATGTTTCTGCCCTACCTTCCGTGAGCATCTGGTGATGGATAGACACACACACGTCAAGGTAGACTGTGTTTAGGTGGGCATGGTGGTGCATGCCTGTGGTCCCAGCTACTCAGGAGGCTGAAAGAGGAGGATCACTAGGGCCCAGGAGTTCAAGGCTGCAGTGAAGCTGTGATTGAGCCATTGCACTCAAACCTGGGCAACAGAGCAAGACACCAGCTCTAAAAAAAAAAAAAAAAAAAAAAAACTGCTGAATGCTATAAATAAGATTGGAACTTGCTCTGCTTTTACAAGACCACTGTTAGATGACCACTGACAAGAAGACTGAGCTGGTCTCTGTAGGAAGCAGGGGCCTGGGCAGCTCTGGGGGCAGAGGAGACAGGCCTGGGGCAGAGACACCTCAGGGCATTTTCAGAAGACAGCCAAAGCAGCCATTCCAGCTTGCCCAGGTAGATGGCAAGTCAATGGGAAATGATTCCAGGAAGGTAGGGAAAGATGGAATTCTGGAGAGCATTGGACCTCAGATTGGGAGTCTGAACATCTTTCCATATGCATCAGGAAGTCATGGAAAATTCACAGACTGGAGTGACTTTGGCAAAGGTGGGATTTAGGAAGACTGATCAAGGCACGGGATAGACCCATGGATGAATAGCCTTCTGGTCAGTTTGTGCCTGTGGTTTTCTATGCTGAGGAGGTGGGAATGTCCTGGGTGAGTCAGCTGTGGATTTGTGTCCCTGCCTCACCTCACTCCCCACTGTCGTGGATTTGTCGGCTCATCTGCAGTGCGCTCCCTGAAGAAACACTCAGTTCACTCAGCTTGTTTCTAATCCAAAACACTCTGCAGGGCCCATCCTCTCGTCTTTGCCTGGGGATGCCAGACCACACACTGCGGATGCCTTCCGCCTTAGCACTAGTGGGCTAAATGATGACTGCCTTGCTGTCCCAACACCACCCATCAAAGGGAAGACATCACCACTGGGGTCAGTACAGCCCAAGTGACAAACTCTATTCCCTCCTTTCTCTCCATCCCATGGACCCTTGATTTGCTAAGTGGGAAGACACTTTCTCGTGGTTCAACATCACTTAATCGGCACAATTGCTTCTGCAGGCTAACTCAGCCAGAAACCCTGGATATCTGGGCAGAAGCGCATGGAACTTTTAGAAGGATTACTACTGCTTTTAATGTTCCCTCTGTCTTGAGTCAGACCACCACCAAGGGCAGATCAGAGTTAATATTATATATCAAAGTCCTGCCATCAGCCTGTAGGATTTATTACTAGCATCTGTCCACTTCAGAGCTATGAGAACCAATGGAATTGGATCTAAGGTTTTGAGTTGGCTCTTGTGCATGGAAATTTGATGCAAACACTCTAATTTATTGGCCCTAAAGGGCTTTGGCAAGTCATTTTGGCAAGTCACCCACTGAACACAGAGTGAAATTTGCAGAGGTTTCCCCTCTGCTCGAACAGTGGTGTTCTCAGCACGTACAGGGAAGTTCTGCCCCCTTCCAGCCAGGTGAGCTAGGGTATTTTGCCTACCCTTTCTGAACCTCAGTTTTCTCATCCATAAGATGGGAATAAAAACATGGTCCTGGATACATGTCTCATGCTAGGCACTGAGGCAGGGTACTCTCTCCCCTGAATGCCTTGCTATTGATGCATCACCAGTAAGGCATGCATTCATTGCACAGAAACTTAGGCATATGCCTACCAACATGCCCGATGTTGTGTGAGGCCTGACCCCTGTGAGGATGCACTTCCATCTGTGTGAATGGATTCATGAGACCAGCCCTCACTCTCAGGGCTGAGGGCATTGGTGCTCTAACTTGTCTGAATATGGAATCAGCTGGAGAGATTCTGTAAATTACCAGTCCCATTCCACCCCTGAGATTCTGGTTTCATCGGTCTGATTTCATTGCAGCCTGGTCATTAGGATGTTTAAAACTCTCCCTGGGAATTCCAATGTGCAGCCAAGTTTGCAACTACACGGAGCCAGGTTAGTGGTGCGGTCAGCATGGTGATAATTGGGCTCATGAACCCATGACCTCAGCTTCATCAGGAGACCCACTGCAAGTACTGGCCCAACAGGAGGGAAAGGAGCTGAGTCAGATGATACCACTGAGGGGCATGAGCAAATGAAAAAACAGGAACCCAGCCGTGAAGCTGGGCCTGAGTGTTGGAGATGCCACTATAGAGACCCTGGTCTTAGCAATCCAGACTTTTCCCCAGTAGAAGGGAAAGGCAAAGATTATCCTGGCCGGGACTGTGTAAGGACTTTGAAGGTCGGCCATCCATCTCACCCTGCTGTTTCCCTCCTTCCCTGCAGAACAGCCGTTCACCTGAATGTTCCAGGCTTTTGGTTAACAACCCCTGGTCTTCTATACCCATTCACACTCAAAATCAGGGGGAATTCCTTGAAATGGTTAAAATGCAAAAGTGAAATTTAGAAGCCCTATGAATGAAACAACAATCCAACAAAAAATTCCCAACACTTTAAGCAAATGCTTTTCAGGCAGAGCCTTCAAATTGCTACTGTCCCACTATCTTCTGGAATTGTGTGTGTGTGTGTGTGTGTGTGCGCGCGTGTGTGTGTGCACGCGTGTGTGTGTAGAGCAACAGGTGAAGCAGCAACCATAAGGTAGCCTACTTCAGGTCTGGCACCTGTTTTCACTGCTGTCATGTCCTCTTCACTGAGATCCTGACTTAAATATGTACACATGTGAATGCTGATTTCTTAGCATGAATTTTAACTCAGCTCCTGCTCGAGCATCAATGATTCCCAATTCCCATCAGAGTGAATGGCCCCTTCCTGGTCTCTGCAGTCAGTCCTCTGAAGCTGCTCAGCTGCACCCCTGGGAGCTGAGGGGCCAACTCTGACTCCCAAGAAGGTGACCTCTGTCTCCCTTCCAGGGCCAGAGATGCAACATCACACACACACTGCCTTTGGAACGTGTGATTAAGATTTTGGCTGCCAGTAGCCTGACAGCTTCCAGCAGCTTTGTCTGCCACTGTGTCCGCTTCTCTGTGCCAAAGTCACTGAAACAAAGGGACTGCAGATGTTGCTGTGAAGTCCTTCTGATTCTCCAGGACAGAGGATAGCACTACATTGGGTGGGGGGTAGAGTGGGGATGATGGACTTTGGGAAACCTGCATGATGGGCGTGAAACAATAAAAATGAAGCTGATTTTCTTCATAGCACTTGCTGCCGTAGAGATACATTTGTTTCTGTGTCCCTCTCACTGGAATGTAAACTCCCTGAAAGCAAGGACTTGGCTTATTTCTGTATCCCAAGAGCCTGACACAGTGCCTGGCACATGGTAGACACTCAATAGATGTTTGAGATAGGGAGGGAGGGAGGGAGAGAGGGAGGGAGGCAGAAAGGGAGGGAGGCAGAAAGGGAGGGAAGGAAGGAGCAAGGAAGGAAGGAAGGAAGGGAGGGAGGGAGGGAGGGAGGGACATAGACTGTGGAGTTGGATAGACTTGGCTTTAATCCTTTCTGTAGCAATTCTAGCTGTGTAAAAATACGCGAGTGAGTCATTTATTTTCTTCGAGTCTCTTTCTTCATCATAGTACCAATTAACAGGGCTGGGGTAGAGAGTGATACATGTAAGGTTGCTAGCACTATTGGCAATCAAAACATGAGAGCTACTTATTTACATTGTGAGTATTGCTACTACTGATATTATTAGTTCTGGACATTACTAATGATGTGAGCACTGGCCTTTCATCAGAGATTACTGGATAAGGAACATTTACCGTCTTGTCTCTGCACATTGTGCTAAAGTTCCTTCTTTATCCAACAACACTTTCTCCTGTTTTCCCAATTTAGTGAAAGGATTAATCTTTTCACTCTCATTCTTCCTGTTTTGTTTCCCATAATATGGGTCCCATCCTTCCTCATGAGATGGGTATCTCAGCAATTGAGCCCACCCCACCCACATATTTGACCCTGATCCAAGACCCTCATTTCTGGGAATGAACCCCAGATCAGCCATGATAGAGGATAGCCTGGTTTTATCTTTTTGCTTGTGAGCAGGATCCAACAATTCTCATAAAATTTTCCCCAGCCTGTTCAGTGGAATTGTCAAAGCATCATTTTCAAAAAGTGAAAATATGATTCTTATATAAGTCTATAGGGAGTGTGTATAAAGATCTATATACTTCACAAAAGAAAGAACCAGAAGATGGTAAAGCTGTTTGAAAAGAGAATTGGAAGGAGAAAGATTTGGATAGACCATCAGAAACAGCATGCTGACATAAGTTTGCTAATTTGGAAACCTCACTCGTTAATGTCCTGTAGAGCAATAAAATCTTTTTACAGGACAAAAATCATTTGTATCTCTACCAGACAAAAATTAACATGTAACTTGGCAGAGTCTGGGCCCTAATCAATAGTAAATAGTAAGTCAAACAAAAGTACATTCCCTTAGAGAGTTAAAAAAAGCTTTGGTGGTTTGTTAGGCAACCTTCCAGTATGGCATTAGAAAGACGTGCAGTCATCCTATTTTTACTTCCGAGTTTGGGATACTGTTTTTTTTTTGAGATGGAATTTTGCTCTTGTTGGCCAGGCTGGAATGCAGTGGCGTGATCTCACCTCACTGCAACCTCCACCTCCCCGGTCCAAGCAATTCTCCTGCCTCAGCCTTCCCAGCAGCTGGGATTACAGGTACACACCACCACGCCTGGCTAATTTTTGTATTTTTTAGTAGACACAGGATTTCACCACGTTGGCCAGGCTGGTCTCAAACTCCTGACCTCAAGTGATCTGCCCACCTTGGCCTCTCAAAGTGCTGCGATTACAGGCATGAGCCACCATGCCTGGCCAAGTTCAGGATACATGTTTAAAACAAAATTGGTCCCCCTCAGCCTGGTGGATGTCCCTGCAGAATTTTAAAATACTATTATGTTCTAGATGTCTGATGCTGTCAATTCTCAATGGCCAGAAGAGGGCATCTGCCCAGATCAGTTCAGGTGTCTATCCCTGGTCCGATCGCCTGTGCCCAGGGTAGCACATCAGGTACACAGGGCTGTTTCTTCCCTCCTATTGGTAGAATAGCTTTTCCAAGAAGGGGATAGGCTGGAATGGAAGAAAAGAGTCCAAAGAGGAAGGAACCACAACAGAAAGAGAATTGCTTTCCTTTCAGTTGTGGGAGCACCAGCTTAATGCCTCTTCCACATTTGCCCAGCAGAGGAAATGATTGGGCCGAATGACAGAAAACCTAGGATAGCCTTTTTGGTGCCTCCTGACAATCACAGAAGCGGGCTGGGATCCTACCCAGGTATGGCAGAGCAAGTGAGCCCACCTAGGTGGGAATCCTTACCCTCCTAATCCTGCAGGTTCACTTCACAATCTTGTGTAGACCTTAAACCATTGTTTAGACAGTTATATGAAATGGGGTATTTTCTGAAGAAAAGGACAGTGAATGGGGATATGGGGATTTTTTTTTTTTTTTTTTTTTTTTTGAGACAGAGTCTCACTCTGTCGCCTAGGCTGGAGTGCAGTGGCATGATCTCTGCTCACTGCAACCTCTGCCTCCTGGGTTCAAGTGATTCTCCTGCCTCAGCCTCCCGAGTAGCTGGGATTACAGGCGCCCACCACCACACCCAGCTAATTTTTGTATTTTTAGTAGAGACAGGGTTTCACCGTGTTGGCCAGGCTGGTCTCAAACTCCTGACCTCAGGGTATTCCGCCCGCCTTGGCCTCCCAAAGTGCTGGGATTACAAGCATGAGCCACCGCACTGGGCTGGGGATTTCTAAGTCCACTTGGATCTCTCCCCTCTGGGCCTCAATGGGCAGCATTTTATCTGTAGCCTTTTTATCTTATAATAGTTTAATGGATCTATTTTGAGTAAGGGATATGTACAAATTCTTTTGTGATTCCAGGAGGAGATGAGAAGTACAAAGTGCAATTATAAAATTATCATTGTCACCATTATCTCCAATCAGCACATCATTCACAGTGACAGTTCTAAGAGCTTTATATGGGAAAAGTGTAATCTATTGCAAATAGAGGGCCATCATTACTGCTCTTAGGCTCCCTTTAGGATTAGGGATGCAGGTTATCATCTAGGTCCTGTGGTCTCCTAGAGAGAGCAGGGAGCACCATCTCCATTAGTCGAAAGAAAGAAATGTAAATGTTATGAGATGAGACTAGGGCAATGACTCCCTGTTCTTGAGACAACGAGTCAATTCAGTGTCGAAGAAAAACTCAGTAAGCTTTGATGCCTTGCTCTTAACCTACAAACTTGGTAGAGCCACAGAAAGAACATGGAACAAAATGAAGAAATGGTTTAGTTCCTCTAAGGATCCTTTCATACTTAGGCATTGCTTAATCCAGTTGACTGATTTTTCAAAGAATCTTGCCATATCTGATTTGAAAGCACACAAAGTAGGTGGCTACTTCACGCCTCATCTCTTGGCTCTAGGATCATATTGGGATCAGGTTCTTTGCAGATCAGAAATGGCATAGGGGAGTGTACCGGGAATCAGACAAACCTAAGCACACATCCAGATTCTGCCATTTTTTTTTTTTTTTTTTTTTAGCTGTGTGGGAAAATCTCTTTGCTACTGACATGGTTTGGCTCTGTGTCCCCACCCAAATCTCATGTTGAATTGTAATCCCCAGTGTTGGAGGTGGAGCCTGATGGGAGGTGATTGGATCATGGGGGTGGTTTCTAATGGTTTAGCACTATCCCCCAGTGCTGTCTCATCATAGAGTGCTCATGAGATCTGGTTGTTTAAAAGTGTACAGCACTCCCGCTTTAGCTCTCTTCCTCCTTCTCCAGCCAAGTAAGACGTGCCTCCTTCCCCTTCACCTTCTGCCATGACTGTCAGTTTCCTGAGGCCTCCCAAGCCATGCTTCCTGTATGGCCTGTGGAACTGAGAGTCAATTAAACATCTTTCTTTTTTTTTTTTTTTTTTTTTTGAGATGGAGTCTCACTGTCACTCAGGCTGGAGTGCAGTGGTGTGATCTTGGCTCACTGCAACCTCCACCTCCAGGGTTCAAGCAATCCTCCTGCCTCAGCCTCCTGAGTAGCTAGGATTACAGGTGTGCACCACCACACCCAACTAATTTGTGTGTGTGTGTGTGTGTGTGTGTGTTTAGTAGACACAGGGTTTCACCATGTTGGTCAGGCTGGTCTCTAACTCCCGACCTCGTGGTCTGCCCACCTCAGCATCCCAAAGTGCTAGGATTATAGGCATGAGCCACCATGCCCGGCCCACCTCTTTTCTTTATAAGTTACCCGGTTTCAGGTAGTTCTTCATAGCAATGCAGACTAATACAACTACTTTGAGTCTCACCTTTCCTTATTTGGAAAAATATTTCCATTGAAGTGTTATGGTGAAGATTCAATACAATTAAATGATATAACATATGTAAAGGGCTTAGAAATAACCCAATGGCTAATAAGCAACCAAGGAGTGGTAGCTCTCAGTATAGTCAGCCTCTAAGAAGAGAGCAAATGTTTATTTTCAAGAAGAATTATGCAGAAAGGGCCACTTTCAGTCTACCATCCCCCCAAATTCCTTGAAGGAAGGATGATGTGAGCAGCAAGGGAAGACAGGAGAGTGGGCATGAAATACTACAGAACCTGCAAGGAATGAAGTCCCTCTGTCTGTGTGTGCCTATATCAATAATTTAAACTTACACATTCATGAGATGCACTGTGTTTATTAGGATGTACATGTGTCCCTAAGAATCTGAGAGTTCCTGAGGGACAGAGACGGTGTCTTACTCATCTGCTCTCCCCAGGTCCTGGCTTACTATCTGGCACTTATTGGGTAATAAATGTCTGTTGAATGCATGGAAAAAGAAAGGTAGGAAAGGTATGAAGGAGAAGATGGAGGTCACGACCAGTAGAAATCTCAGCTGTTCTGCCTGGGCTCCATGTCATCTCCCTGCTATTAGGCCCATCAGAATGTAAGCACAAATGCCTAGAGAATGACAAGCTTCTTTGGGACTCTGCTGACTAGACATGACATAAGACTGGACAGCTCCTGGGGAACTTCCAAGAGCTGGCTCCAGGCAGTAACTAATCCTAGGAGCTGCTGGCTTGGCTGCCTCTCTCCCTTCCTTATTTCCAAGATTGGTCACCTCCTGCTCTGAAATAGCAATTGATTTTCAGACATGAGTTGATAGAGCCATGATTTTCTAATACTGTTCCAAAGGGGCTAAAGTACCTCTGAGGAGCAGTGCAGGCTAGGATCAAACTCTCCCTACCTTCCACTCCACTCCCTACCTTGCCCCTCCACCTCTGCCCACTTTCTATTTCCTCAGGCACAGCAGCTTCTACCTTATGGATTACAAATTCTGGTCATCCATCTATGGTTGCATTAGGAAAAGAGTACTGCTACTTTCATTTTCTTTTCTAACCACTGCCCTAGAAGAATAACACCTCACATTCTCTGGTAGACTGAAGCCTGCAGCTGCAAGGATGCTCAGAAAACCAGACTTCTATTCATTGGCCACTTGCTGCACTTTCTGTCCCTCGATCCTTGCAATGTACCTTTGAGGTAGGCATAAAAATCCCCATTTATAAGTGAGAAAACCAAGGCAAAAGAGGTTCAGTTTATTTCAGGCTCAAATGTGCTTCCAATAGCTTATAGCCTCTACAGCTAGTGTTTGAACCCAGGTCTGAAACAAATAGGATTGACAAGGGGAGGGAAAAGAGGAACAGAAATTCTTTTCTATAAGACAATTGTTTATGCAGCCAGGATTTCTTAAAATCCAGTCTGTGCCTACGGACATAATCTTTGAATTTGCTTTGTTTCTCGATGAATAACTTGGAAGCTATTCAAATAACTTGGAAGCTTCCTTTAAAAGGAACATAAGGAGGTGATTTTTAACTAACCCTAGGTGTACTTTCTGAGCCAAATAGATTTTCAAATAAGAAAATGAGAGGACGTGAGCTTGAGGAAAATGATAGGCATTCCAACCTCACCTGCTTGCTGACAACCTCCACGTGATTTCAACAATGATTTCAAATATTTCACTTTTTAAGTCAGTGTGACTTAAGTATGAAATTGCCTCTCCCTAAAGCTCCCCTAAGGCCTAAACAGTTGTCATTACCATAGCTGTGACAGGGAGACTGTTGAATTTATAATCTATTGGCCATTCACAGCATAGCATATAAACCTAGCTCATGATTTCTTTGCAATAGAAGTGCACTTTTTCATCATATTCCCTTCACAACTTACTCACCAGATCAGACTTTGAGCTCTCCTCCAGGCTGGCTTAGCCTGGATCATTTGAAATGGTCATCCATCCTTTGGCCCCAATACCTAAACTAAGGTCTATGAACAATAAGATTATTTTCTTCAGTGGGACTTTTTTGTTTAATATAATATTAGATTTTTCCCCTGATACAAGGCTCAATCTTTTTCTTTTTAAAGCAATATTTCTCAAAGTACTTTTCACAGAACTTAAGTTTCATTAAGCACTTCACTAAAAGTCTGTGATCTAATAAATTTGGAAAATATTGAGAATTAGAGCCCCCTCTTAGATATGTACTGTAGCTACTCAGCTTGTTACAGATGAAGTAAACATTGTAATATTCACCCAGCTTTTGAGTGATGTCTATTAACGTCACCCAAATGAGTATTCCACAGAATGCACTTTGCAAAAACCTATTATTCAAGAAAATTCTGGAGCATGAAAGCTATTAACGATAAACCCATTCACAAAATCACACCAAATATCTAAAATCATGTTTAAAATCTCCTAGAAATGGGTTGAATTGCCCACTTCAGAGACAAAGTGATTCTTTTGTAATAACGAGTTTTGTTTAGTGAGTACTTATTATCTCATTGAATCCTGAGGACTACCTCACAAGGTAAGTATAGCTCTTTTCATTACACAAGACAAACAAGGCTCAGAGAGGTTAAGTAACTTGCTCAAGATCACAAAACTGCAGAGTGACAAAACTAGAATTTTGAATCGAAGCTCAAAGGGTCACCAAACCAAATTTGGGTCCACCCACCCAGCCTATCAAAGTCAAGCACTGATATCGGCATTGCTGAGACAGAAGTTGAGGAATTTATTGCAGGCAGCAAGCAAGGAGTATCAGGCAGCTAATCCTTAAGGCCTAATCTCCCTGATGGCTTATGTGTAAGGGTTTTTAAAGGTGGGAAGGCAGAGGTTGCAGGCAAGGTCATACAATACATGGAGGCTACATATTGGTTTGGCCAAAAAAGGCAAAATATCTCAAAGTGAGGGCCCACAGGATAGGTGACCATTAGATGAATTCAAAGATTTTCTGATTTGAGACCAGGCGCAGTGGTTCACACCTGTAATCTCAGCACTTTGGGAGGCCAAGGTGGGTGGATAACTTGAGGCCAGGAGTTTGAGACTAGCCAGACCAACATGGCAAAACACCATCTCTACTAAAAATACAAAAATTATCTGGGCGTGGTGGTGTGCACCTGTAATCCCAGCTACTCAGGAGGCTGAAGCATGAGAATCGTTTGAACCTGGGAGGCAGAGGGTTCAGTGAGCTGAGATCGTGCCACTGCACTCCAGCCTGGGCAGCAGAGTGAGACTCTGTCTCAAACAAACAAACAAAAACCCAAAGATTTTCTGATTTGTGATTGGTTAAGTTTTGGCTACAAACTTGGGGTCAGCAGAAAGGAATGTTCTGCTCTGGCCTGTGGGTGTGACTTCCTCCAGGTCCCTCAGGAAGAAATTTACAACAAAGAACAGTTGTGAGAGTTCAGTCCTCAGTTCCTCCTTATCTGAGATCTACGAGCCAACAGGTGGTATTTTCCATTTAGCGGGGTCTGGGTTTCTACAGAACAACTCAGGGACATATGTTAAGATGTTATCTCTAGTTTCTATAGGGAAACAAACATTTTGTGGCTCTAATTTTCTTTTTTTTTAATTATACTTTAAGTTTTAGGGTACATGTGCACAACGTGCAGGTCTGTTACGTATGTATACATGTACCATGTTGGTGTGCTGCACCCATTAACTCGTCATTTAAGATTAGTTTGTGGCTCTAATTTTCTTGACTATTGTTTTAAGCTATTATTACCTTCTTACTTATCAGGGTGCTCATCTACTTCTTGAGGCTAGCCAGGTGGCTGGAATTTTCCTTGGAGGGACTCAAGAGTTTCCTTTATTTTTCGTGCCTTAAATGGGTCTGTTCTCCCTCTTCAAAGCTCAAGCTCTTAAGGACTATGCTATTGTTAGATTTTTCGTATTGGAGCAGACCTTCCCTCCTACTCAAGAACACCCCTTCTTCAGACAGCCTGGCTGGGTCTTCATCCTGGGAGAGCTCATGAAACACAAACCAGATCTTGGCCCTCACGTGTGTCTAGGCAGAGCGGAGCCTGGGCAACACCAAGCGTTCCCCCGATTTTGCATGCCCCAGCCAATTCGGAGTCAAGATCCATGCTCAGCTCCTTCCCTGCAAAGTGCTAATGATGAAGGATGGGGATCAAGTCAGCAAACTCCAGAAATGGTCTTAGACTAGGAGTCAAGCCTTGAGATCCTATTACACACCAGATTCATTCCCTGATTAGAGCTGCTGAATTCTTTTACTCTCACTGCACTCATGCTAAAGTTTCTTTTCTCCAGCCTCCTAACCCCAGAGGAGGCTGAGCCATGATACCCATTGTCAAGCAATACATATTTAAGGAGCCCCTGAGATATGTCAGGCACCATCGTAGGTGCTGGGACAAGTGAATGTGACCAGGAAAGTCCCTCCCCTCTCAGAGGTTCTTTTCAAGTTGGAGGACAGCAAATACAGAAATATAGAGTCTAACATAACAACAGGGAGTAATAAACACTTTGAAGAAAAATAAAGTGGAATAAGAGGGTAGGGTTGCCATAGGGTTCTCTGGGCAGTCTTCTATGGGAAGGCCACTTGTTTGGGCAGAGAAACAAAAGATGTCTGAAAGGAGGACTACGGGCCCCCCATAAGTGCGCTCCGGTCCGCGCACAGGGCAATGGGCATGTAATGTCCTATGATTAAGACCTACAGTATGTACAATATTACTGCAACAGACACTGAGACTCACTTAGCATTGTTTCATAGCATCCGAGTTGCCCTGTTGGAGGAAAGTGCATGTGATGGGCATTCATTTGCTTCTGCCATCAGACAGATTCTCTACCTTTGTCCTTCCTACAAGATTCCCTAGGAAGGCAGGGCTCAGTGGCTCACGCCTGTAATCCCAGCAATTTGGGAGTCCGAGGCAGTCAGATCACAAGGTCAGGAGTTCAAGACTAGCTTGGCCAACATGGTGAAACCCCGTCTCTACTAAAAATACAAAAATTAGCTGGGCATGGTGGCACATGCCTGTAATCCCAGCTACTCAGGAGGCTGAGGCAGGAGAATTGCTTGAACAGGGACCTGGGAGGCAGAGGTTGCAGTGAGCCAAGATCGCACCACTGCACTCCAGCCTGGGCTACAGAGTGAGACTCTGTCTCATAAATAAATAATAAATAAATAAATGATTCTCTAGGAAGCTGACTCCCACTGAATGTGCCACTCAGGAGTCCCTGCTCTCTAGATTACAGTTGAGTTTGCTCAATGCAAGGCCCCAGCAGAAATGTTGAAAGTAAGAGCAAATAGATAGTTAACCACTCTTTAAAACAACAATGGATGTATACTTCTCTGGCCTCAGCTCCTGTGGGGAAGCTCCAGTGCCAGTCCCTGGGTGCTTCACCATTTTCAGTTAGTTCCTGAACCTTGTAAACAGACCCTTCACTAAATTCTACCTAGTTAACCCTTTGAGAATGAAACCATTTCCTGCCAGGACTCTGACAGATACAAAGAACCCACAGCCGACTGCTGGGTGCGCAGCAGACCTAGTGCATGGCTCCACACTGCCATCTTGGGGGCTGGCACAGGCTGGCACTGAGTCTGGGGAAGGGAGCTGGGGCTGGAGGTGTGGAGGGGAAGACCGTGCATAGTTGCTTCCTGATCAGCTCTTTATTTGATTGAGAGTGAGGCAGGGAAGATTAGAGGGAAGCTTACGGTGGAATTCAGGGCTGAGGCTGCTATTCTTTTGCTCCTTGTAACTTCCTACAGTGTTGTCAGCATCCACATACTTCTCTGTGGGGTTGGTCTCAGAGCCAGGTTACCTTGTCTTAGGTCCAGTGGCACCCTGACTGGCTTGGTGTCCTTGAACAAGTTACCTAACCTCTCCATACCTCAGTCCCTCAGCTGTAAAATTTAAAAAAAAAAAAAGAAGAAGAAGAGTACCTACTGTATAGCATTGATTTGAAGATTGAATGAGCTGGTATTATACAACGTTTAGAAGCAGTGCCTGACACGCAAAAGACTCTCAACAAATACTATCCTTTACTAATATCCCGTGTGTCTGTATCAGAGCTGGGGGGGTGGAGGGACAGAAAGAAGTGGGAGAAGGTAAAGAGATGGGCAAATGATCTCTAAAGTCTCTCTGGCACTAACACAATTCTTTATTATGTGTTTTGTCTGGCTCTTTATATTGATAGCTGTTCCAGAGGCAATCAATACCTATTAGTCGGTTTTATTCTTATTTTTCTGTCTGATCTTACAGGCGAGCAAACTGAGGCAAAGCATGAACTTACTTCTCAGGAAATTAACCATTATGTTGGCAATCGCTGTGATTATTTGAACGGCAGCATCTGGACAAATTTAGTCACATGAAGTACAGAAGAGAGATTTCTCATGGTTAAAATGAAGCTCTCTTTATTTGCTTCTGCTAATTAAAAAATCAGAGCTAAAGATACTTAAACACTACAGTTAAAATGCCATGGTTGTCTATTGGCTTAATGAATTCTCTTATGAAATCAACTCTAAAATGTTATCCATCATAAATTATGAAACACAATTTTTCTTATTCTTTTTAGAGCTTTACAATTCATCTTAAAGACCAGTGTTTACACTCTCTTCTGTAGGTTGTACAATAACCTTTGGCGAGAAAAAATAAAAGTCTGGCTTTCTGACTCATAGGTGTGTTCCCTTTAAGAGAAAAAGAAAATATGTCCTCTTTAAAACTGATGATCATTGGTCACCTCAATTTTATTGAAGTTCACTTCTGACCTCTTTCTCTACATAAAACTGCCCAACAGAATTCTCTGTCTGAATGCCTCCTCCACAAACAAAATTTTAAGAACTAAAATCATCATCTTTCCTTCCAAATGTGCTCTCCCTATGTCCCCAGGGCTCTCCATGTGTAGAGCTGAGACCATTTGCCACTCAGTTTCCCCTCACCCAATTAATTACAAGTCCCAACAATTTTCCTTTTTTTTTTTTTTTTTTTTAGACGGAGTCTTGCTCTGTCACCAGGCTGGTGTGCGGTGGTGCAATCTCAGCTCACTGCGACCTCCGCTGCCTGGGTTCAAGTGATTCTCCTGCCTCAGCTTCCCAAGTAGCTGGGATTATAGGTGTGTGCCACTACATCCAGATAATTTTTGTAGTTTTAGTAAAGAGGGGATTTCACCATATTGGCCCAGATGATCTCAATCTCTTGACCTCATGATCTGCCCACCTTGGCCTCCCAAAGTGCTGGGATTAAAGGCGTGAGCCACCATCCCTGGCCCAGTTTTGCCTTTTTAACATCCCTCAGCTCTTCAAATCCATTTTCTCTTCTCTAACACCTCCCCATTCCCCAGCTCGTAATGAACTCTTAAGTAGATTACTACAATCACCTCCCAAATGGTCTTCCTGGCTCCATCAGCCTTGTGACCTTCAAGTTCATTCTCCACATGGATGTCAGAGTAACTTTCTAAAATGAAAATCTGACCACATTACTCTCTTGCCTAAATCCGCCTATGGCCGCTGTTAGGATCAAGTCTAAACTCCCGACCCTGGAACATCAGGTCTTCGTGATCTGTTCACTGCTTCTCTACCTCACCTGCAACCAACACCACTCCCACATCCATATTCTGCTCACCGTGTATCAACATGAACAGGAGGTGGGTGTTTCATTCCCCAGGAAGACACTGGGCCTTTTCAATCATCTACTGCTGTGTAATAACCACCCCGCAAACTGACCACATGATTTCATTTTGCAAGGGTTCCTTCCTTGGGCTGTGTTCAGCAAAAGGGTTTACTGAGCTGGCAGGTCCAAGATGGCCTCACTCACAGGACTGGCTGTTGATGGGAGCCTTGATGCTCTTGGGCTCACCCCTTATCCTCCAGTAGGTTAGAGCTTCTTACAGTGGTTTCAGGCAGCATCTGAAGACAGTAAAAGCAGAAGCTCCAAGGCTTCTTACATTCTAGCCTGGAAAATCACATCACATTGCTTCCTTCATATTTTTTTGGCAAATCAGGTTGCAAGGCTTGCCCAGATTAGGGTAAAGAGGCTCCTTTTCTTTTTTTCTTTTTTTTTTTTTTTTTTGTTTGAGTCAGAATCTCGCTCTGTTGCCCAGGCTGGAGTGCAGTGGCGCGATCTAGGCTCACTGCAAGCTCTGCCTCCTGGGTTCACGCCATTCTCCTGCCTCAGGCTCCCAAGTAGCTGAGACTACAGGAACCTGCCACCACGCCCGGCTAATTTTTTTTTTTTTTTTTTTTTTTTTTTTGGATTTTTTAGTAGAGACTGTGTTTCACTGTGTTAGCCAGGATGGTCTCCATCTCCTGACCTCGTGATCCGCCTGCCTTGGCCTCTCAAAGTGCTGGGATTACAGGCGTGAGCCACCATGCCCGGCCAAGAGGCTCCTTTTCTTGATGAAAGGAGTAGTGAAGTCACATTGCATGTCCTTGCAAAGGGACATGCAGACCACATTAGTGAGAATATGTGTCTGTATTTTGCAATCTGTAACAATGGGCATAAACTAAATGTTTTCCAAAGGGAGTAAGGCAAAACAAAAAGGACCTTGACCACTCCTTTGGCCCTGAATAAATCTAGGAAGCCTAAGAGTATGACTATCCTGAGGTAGAAAGAGGGTCACATGCTGGATAAGAGGTACCTGGGCTCTCCACTTACAAGAAGAGAGCATGGTTACATTTATAATCACCATTCCCAACATGCTGTGAGTGCAGGCAGCTACCAGGAGGAGAACAAAGGAAATAACCAGGACACCCATCTCTAAACCTGTTAATGTAATCACACGGAACACTTCTATTTAAAATTCCTGAGGGTTAAGATGTAAGAATGCTTATCAAGGTAAATGCTGTTCACACTGCTTGGAGTGTCAGGCCTAGATCTCTATCCATCAGAAACAACAATATCAATAACAACAACAGCAACATGATGATGGGGCAATTTCTGAAAAGCACCATGTATTTTATCGATACATGTCCGTTGCAGAAAATCCAGGTAAATCCAAAGAAGTAATAAATGTCTTCCACAATCCCATAGCCCAGAGCTAACTAACCACTATAAAGAACCCAGCGTGGTTTTAACTAATGGATCAAAAGATGCTCATCAAAGGCTCTGAGCTTTCCTGAGTGCCAACAGGAAACATCCAGCATCACTGGTCTCTCCAAGGCTGCAGGTGTCTTTGCCCATAGTGCCTGTTTTGTGTCAGGGAAAGAATCAACCTGGGAGCCAAGCCCAGGAATCAGGATGACCAAGACATACTGCACAAGGAGGGAACAAAGCCATCCGAGGACACTCAAGGACAAATCAAGCAAATGAATTTAAGGGAGACGTGCTCATGGTCTGCTTTGCTGCTCAGCATGGCTGGGAGGCACAGTGGAAGATCATGCATCCTGCCCCTGGGACTCCTCTGCCAGAGCCTGAGAGCTTTCTCCTGCCCACAGGCTAGGGGTAGGACAGTTGGAATTGATCCATGCCTTCTAGCTAGACTGTGGGTCCCCTCAGTCTTGGGCATGGTGACAGCCCAGCATCAGACAGAGGTCAGTATCAAACTAGAAAATTTAATAAATGCTGTCAGATTTGTAGACCCAAGAAAATATAAACTGCCAATCACGGAGGAAAAAAATCTCTCAATGATCTTATCTTTATATGATTCCCTTGCTGCCTGGAAATTGACATTTCCTTGGGGATAATCTGGTCATAGGATTGGTGAAGGTGGAAGGGAGGCAACCTCCGAAGGTGGGGCCCTCTGCTTATCTGGGACAGGGAGGGCCTGAGGTAGGTGTCTGTGTGGGCTGGGGAGGAGGATGGGAGCAGTGCTTCTAGATGTTTCCACTTTCTCCTCATTAGATAATAATGAATGGGTGATTTCCCTAGTCACTGCAGTGTGAGGAAATCTACAAAATTAATTTCACAATACACTTTACAGGATAGGTGGAGAAACACATGAAGCACAACTGCAGTGGGTTATAAAAAACGGCCTTTCGAGTTGAGCAATAAATTCGTTCAAGCAGCCATTCTGAAGGACAAACTGGCTCTGTATTTAAGAGGGGCATTCCAGCACTTCTCTAGCCACTGGGTTGACAATGACTCACCAAAGCCTCTGGTAGCCACCACAGGACGCCCAGAGCATATGTTTTAAAGCTGAACACCAAACTGCGGACTTCGGGAGTAAGTGAACTGACTGGTTTTTATTTTGTTTTACTGCTTTTAACATTACAGTAACTGTTACAGGTTCCAGCAGGCTAACTGGGTGGAAATGAGTTTGGTTTCACTTAGTCTCTCTAAAGAGAAAGCAAGTCGGTAGACTAATACCTAATAAAAGCAAAGTTGCCAACAATTGAAATTGCCTGGGCTGCTCTGTGTGTCCCACATGCATGGGTGTGGGTGCCAGTGTGTGTGCGTGTGTGCATGCATGTGCATGTGTGTTGGGATAGAGTGGTAAGAAAATGGGAAATAATAAGAATGTTCAGTCCATAGCCCTTCATTATAAAAAGGTGAGCTGTAATAAATATTAGTGCCACATTTAGCCAAAACTTTACTCCAGCCAAAGGTGATATTTTCATGATAACATCCTGTGATTGCTTTGTTCTTCGTCTTTTATGTTCTTCCTAGATGGGCTCAGAACATACAAGAATTAAGTACACATCTTATTTTCCAGTGATAATGCTACCAGCAAATTCTGTTGTTTGTATAAACATCAGCCATGTTTATATAACTAAACTAGTGTTTTGTTTTGTCAATTCAGCAAGAAATTAGACCAAATGGTGGCTTAATGCTGCATTGATTTGGCTATCAATTTCTTTTCACTTTTCTGCAAAATATTTAATACATTATTAAATTGAATTATGCTGACGCCACAGTTGTTCTTATCTCAATTGTCTTAAAATTCATTTAATTTTTTTTCCTTTGGTTTCATTATTCAAATTTTAACTTCAGTTCTCAAGATTTTATCTGATGGAAGAGATGGAGTCCATTACTAAGGACTCCATTGTGCTCCATCATGCCAGAGTTGTAAAATAGATCTTTTAAAGGAAATTTATTATGATTTTTTTCTATTTAAGAGCTTCCTCTCCAGTTGAGCATGTAAGAAAATTACACCAGGAGAATACAGTAAACTCTATGAGGCAAGCTATAAACATGTAGCATTGTGATTAGGGCTGGTTCTCCTTCTAGAGACATGGTAGGATTGCAATTTCATACCATCCTTGAAGTTAGAGAGAGCCACGTGACTCATTTAGCCAATGAATGGTGAGCAGAATGACATGTCACTTCCAGCAGAAGCTTTAAGAATCTGAGAGACATTCATACGTTTTCCATGTGCTGTAGCCTTATACCCAAAGCCTGGGTCCCAAGTGACCATGACAGGCAGAGCTCCCAGTTGAGCCACAGAGATTTAGAGAATGGCTGTTAACACAGCATAATCCAGCCCATCCTGACTAATCTGATATTAACATGTATAATAAAGAATTCTATCAATGCTGAGGGAAGATGATTAGTTAAGGTCCTAGGTTGCAAGTCTCAAAACCTCTTCCAAGGATTGTAGACAGGAAATTAAATGACTTCTAGTCCCTAGAGTTCCCAATCTCCTACCATCCCATCCTAATATGACAGAAGTAATTCCTGAGTTGCTTCTGAAACCAGAGCTTCCCTCAGAACCCTTAGCCTGCCAGATGGCTTCTTGGAGAGCCCTCACTCACTTTTCTCCTTCTGCTATTGCTGCTCATTCATTCCAGCTTTTAAAAATTCATCTTTATCCAGGAACCTCGCTTCTAGAAAAGTCATACAGGTGCTTCCAGGAGGCTACATGGGCACCCATATTTTTCTAGCCACATTCATTAGACCAATGCAGCAGAGAAGAAAAGCCTCAATAATTATTATGACATGGCATGTTAGGATACCAAGTAAATTGCATTTGTAAAATGTGATTTTCTGTTGGTGTTCACTTCTGCTCTACTGACATTTGGTAAGTATTATTGACTGACTGACTAACTAATGTGGTCATTAGTCTTCATAAAGAAAGGCTCTCTACAAAAACGGAGGGATGCCCTTTTTCTGGCATTTAATACGTAAGAAATTGCCTCCGATGGAAACCAGAGTTGCCTGATTACTATCAGCACAGGAGAAATGTATTAATGTGCCTTTCTAGTAACAGGTTTTTAGAAAGTCAAATATAAACAAATCTGTCTGTTTGTGTGTGTGCATGTGGTGGTGGGGAGGGAAGAAAAAAGGAGGGGGAGAGAAAGAGAAATAAGAACCAAGTTTATTATACTGTATTCAGGGGGAAAACATTTTCCCAAGGTCCTAACAGAAGAGCAAAGTGCCACTGTCAATAGCCTCAGTAGTGTTAGGGTTGCTTTTATTTATTTATTTATTTACTTATTTATTTTTCCTTTTTTTTTCTTTTTTTCTTCTTTTTTTTTCTTTCCTTTTTTTTTTTTTTTTTTTTTTTTTGGACAGAGTCTCACACTGTTGCCTGGGCTGGAGTGCATTGGCGCAATCTCGACTCACTGCAACCTCTGCCTCCCAGGTTCAAGTGACTCTCCTGCCTCAGCCGCCCAAGTAGCTGGGATTACAGGTGTCTGCCACCATGCCTAGCTAATTTTTTTGTATTTTTAGTAGAGATGAGGTTTCACTATGTTGGCCAGGCTGGTCTCAAACTCCTGACCTCGTGATTCACCCACCTTGGCCTCCCAAAGTGCTGGGATTACAGGCGTGAGCCACCGCCCCTGGCCAGGATTGCTTTTATAGCCAGTCTTCGGGTGCCCACTGTAGGAACAATGTCATTTAACCCTCGGGATTATTCTGTGCCAAATCTGGATAATGACTAATATTCAACACAGATATTCTCAGCTCAGAAGAGCAATTAGCAAATTCATAAATTAAGTGCTTGCTTCCTTTTTAGTCAAATACAAACGTTTGTTAAAAGATATTATTTTGCTTTACACTTTTTCTCTCAGAAATAAACAGATGCTTGAATTCCCACAGTGCTGCTTGAGCCTCACTCCATGTCATCCTGCCAGGCACCCAGATCCAGTTCTAGAGTTTCACATGATCATGAGTGTTGGTTAATAAGTCAATGTGAACTGGGAGGGGAGATTTTTCAGGAGTGCCACAGGGCTCTCCCTTTAATCATATACACTCCCTGCTTTCATTGGAAAGTGTACAATGATGTCAGAGTGCCCCAGAATGGAGCTAGTTGGAAGACTGCCGTCATAGGGATGCCTTAGTGAATTAATAAGGTTTTAATTTCTGGCTCTCAACTTTGTAGATGTAAAAGTTGATTTATCAATATGTGAGAAAGGATGAATCTTTCTGAAGGTTATGTCATCACACTCACTAAGCACACAGAGAATAATGTCTAGAATCTGAGTGCCATGTTATCAAATTATACTGAGACTCTTGCAGTCACACAGGCTGACATGTAAGCATCGCCATGCCTAGTACAGACTCTCCCTGCAGATGAAATTATATGGGATGCTAAATTATAATCAGAACAATGTTTGGTGAGCCAAAACTACAACAAGGGAAGCTAATTGGATGAATTTATAAAAATATGCCTCAGCCAAAATAGCTTAATTCAGTCTCCCTTATCATAAGGATAATCTTGCCTAAAGGGACAGTAATATTAAAGACACTAGGAATAACCTCTGTACTTTGGACAGTAGACCTGCACAGCCCCTTAGGCCTCAATGAAGTCTTATGCAAGACCAGAAGCCAATTTGCCATTTTAAGGTGATTCTCCATGTTTCTGCTCTAACTGTGCTTCACAATACTCAAGACACTGAATCAGGATGTTTCCTGGAGTGCAGGGAGCTGTCCGTGTTACTGAGCAGTTCTCAGCAACACAAAGATCCTACTGACTCCTCATCAGACTTCTTTCTCACTGGAATTTTACACCTGGGCTGTTAACACCAGGCCAGGTCAAATTCAAAGGAGAGAAAAAAGCTCATTATGAAGGGTAAAATCCAAAACACTGTGCATAAAGATATGTGTGCACAATTTTTATACATAAAGATTTCATAAAGCCAAAGCATCAGGAAATGAAAAGAGATACAGAAAGAAAAATGATGGTAAGTGAGACATTAATTTACCCTTCTAATCTCTATCACAGCAAAAAGATAATTAAAAAATCTATATGAGGACCACAAAATACACAAAAATTATGTAGCAAAGCCTATAGCCTGAAAAAGTAAACATTGAAATTTGTATGTCCATAAAATGTTTACAAAATTCAGTACATATTACACACCCCACCCTAAAAACATCTAAGCAAAGTAGAGAATGTAGAAATGCTACAGATTATATTCTCTGATTATGACCCAACAAAACTAGAAATTACAGCATGGAAATTTAAAAGCTTTCTCTTAAATAATTCTATGTCAAAAAGAAATCCAGGCCGGGTACAGTGGCTCATGCCTGTAATTCCAGTACTTTGGGAGGCCAAGGTGGGCAGGTCACTTGAGGTCAGGAGTTCAAGACCAGCCTCGTCAACATGGCGACACCCTGTCTCTACTAAAAATACAAAAATTAGCTGGGCCTGATGGCGCATGCCTGTAATCCCAGCTACTTAGGAGGCTGAGGCAGGAGAATTCCTTGAACCCAGAAGGTGGAGGTTGCAGTGAGCTGAGATTGCACCACTGCACTCCAGCCTAGGTGACACAGCAAGACTCTGTCAAAAAAAAAAAAAAAGAAAAAAGAAATCCAAATAAAATTTCCAGAATATGTGGAAAATAGTGACAATAAAAATATTACACATGTGTAATCCCAGCATTTTGAGATGCCAAGGTGGCAGGATCACTTGAGACCAGGAGTTCGCAACCAGCCTGGACAACATAGGGAGACTCCATCTCCACACACGCCAAAAAAAAATTTTAAATAGCCAGGTATAGTGGTACTTCTTGTAATCCCATCTACTTGGGAGGCTAAGGTGGGAGAATCACCCAACCTCAGGAGTTCAGGGCTTCAGCAAGCCATGATCATATCACTGCACTCCAGCCTCAGCAACAGAGCAAGATCCTATCTCAAAAAAAAAAAAAAAAAAAAAAAATCACATGTGGGAAATAGCTATAGCACAATAAAAATAAATGTATTAAGTATGAACAACAAAAAAGCTAGTAAAGGTTGAACAACAACTATCCTTAGGAAAGTGGAAATAATGTATTAATAAATATGAAAGCAGGCTAGGCACGGTGACTCACATCTGTAATCCCAGCACTTTGGGAGGCTGAGGCAGGCAGATCACCTGAGGTCAGGAGTTCCAGACCAGCCTGGCCAACATGGTGAAATCTTGTCTCTCCTACAAATACAAAAATTAGCCAGGCTTGGTTGCGCACTCCTGTAATTCCAGCTACTTGGGAGGCTGAGGCAGGAGGATCTCTTGAACCTGAGAGGCAGAGGTTGCAGTGAGCCAAGATCATGCCACTGCACTCCAACTGGGGCAACAGAGTGACACTCCATCTCAAAATAAATAAATAAGAAAGCAGAAACTAATAAATTAGAAAACAGAAACATAGAACTAATTTATAAATCAAAGCACTATGCCTTGAAAAGAGGGAGAAAAATTGTGAATTAAGGAAGGGAAGAGATGGTTGGAGAGGAGGTGGGAGAAGGCAGAGATAACTGAAGGAGCAAAAGCATCTGGAGAAGCAAAGCCACTGAAAGATGAACAGGGCTCTGAAAGAAATGCTTGATTGCTATCTTTTCAAATGACTGCAGTTCCCAGTGACATCATTTTTCTCCTCCCTGGAAGTCTGAGGGGCAGTTCACTTATCTCCTCCCCTCCCCTACTCCTCACCCCACACTCAAAACCTGTCTATGCTCCTTTCATTCTCATATGACAGATTTCAGATGGCATTCTTATTTGCCTGATTTCTTTTTGAGATAGCTTGCATTTCCCTCCTCTATATAAAGCCACCGTTTATCAAATGCCTACATGGACCAAGCAGTCCACAAGGGCTTCACAGACAGTTTTACTAAACTCATGCCAAAACTTTCAGGTTTTATACCTACCTTATAGATAAAGAAATTGAAGCTTATAGAGTTTAAGTAATGTTCCCAAAGCCTCGTGGCTAGTAATTCAAACCTAATTTCTGCCTACTCCAAAGTCTATTTTTCCTCATGATACTATACTGCTTCTCCATGGATAAAGACAGAGATCACATATTAATAAAATTTGCACAAAGTCGGCAAATTGTTGAAAGGGAAGGCTAAGATGATTAATAAAATCAAGAGCCAGATGATCTCAACAACCTGAAATAACTGGCTGACAACCAATTTGAATAACTCCCTGCGGGTGAAGTTCAAAGTACTATTTGGGGTTTTTTTTTAAAGTTTGGCTGGGTGCAGCGGCTCACGCCTGTAATCCAAGCACTTAGGGAAGCCAAGGTGGGCGGATCATGAAGTCAGGAGTTGAAGACCAGCCCGGTCAACATGGTGAAACCCCATCTCTACTAAAAATAAAAAATTAGCCGGGCCTGCTGGTGGATGCCTGTAGTCCCAGCTACTCGGGAGGCTAAGGCAGGAGAATCGCTTGAACCCAGGAGGTGGAGGTTGCAGGGAGCCGAGATCGCACCACTGCACTCCAGCCTGGGCGACAGAGCGAGATTCCGTCTCAAAAAATAAAATAAAATAAAATAAAAAATAAAAGTTTGATATATTCAGAATCAGGGAGGTCTGTTGGGTGCAGTTCATTTGAAAAATTCCTCAGCATTTTAGTGATCTGTATGGTCCCTCTATCTGTCAGGGTCCTAGCAGGAAATTGTTGCACTCTCAAAGGATTAAGCAGAAAGAGTTTAATGAAGGGTCTCTTTCCAGGGTTAAGGGAACTGCTAGGGTTTGGATATTTGACCACTCAAAACTCATGTTGAAATGTGATCCCCATTGTTGGAGGTGGGGCCTAATGGGAGGTGTTTTGGTCCTGAGTGTGGACCTCTCACGAATGTCTTGGTGCCATCCAAGTGAGTTCTTGCTCGCTCTTTTTTTTCTTTTTGAGATGTAGTTTCACTCTTGCTGCCCAGGTTGGAATGTAGTGGTGCGATCTTGGCTCACTGCAACATCCACCTCACGGGTTCAACCCATTCTCCTGTGTCAGCCTCCAGAGTAGCTAGGATTACAGGTGCCCACCACTATGCCCAGCTAATTTTTGGTATTTTTAGTAGAGACGGGGTTTCACCATGTTGGCCAGGCTGGTCTCAAACTCCTGACCTCAGGTGATCCACCTGCCTCGGCCTCCCAAAGTGCTGGGATTACAGGCGTGAGCCACCGTGCCCACCTAGTTCTAGCTCTCTTAATTCCCACAAGAGCTGGTTGTTAACAAGAGCCTGGCACAAACCCCTCTCTCTCGCCACGTGATCTCTGCACATGCCAGCTTCCCTTCCCCTTCTGCCATGAGTGGAAACAGCCTAAAGCCCTCACCAGAAGCAAATGGTGGCACCATGCTTCTTGCACACCTTCAGAACTGTGAACCAAATAAACCTCTCTTCTTTAAAATTATTCAGCCTCTGGTATTCCTTTATAACAACACACACACACACACACACACACACACACACACACACGCAAAAGCAGACTAAAACAGGAACTAATTAGAAATGGTGATGCACCGAGGGATTGGCACCGACGCTCCCCAACAGGAACTGAGGCCATGGATAGAAGGACACATTCACGTTATTTTTTTCTAATGGTTAAGTAATTATTTGCTCTTACTCTCAAAATTTCTGCCAAGGCCTCCCATGGACCAAACTCAACTAGAATCTAGGAAGCAGAGAACCTGAGTGTTGCATTCAGCAGAAGTCAGCTTCCTAGGGAATCTTGCAGGAAGGGTGAAGGTAGAGAATCTGGTGGGGAAGCAAGCAAATGCCCATCACATGCACTTTCCTCCAACAGAGCGACTCAGATGCTATAAAACTTGCTAACGCAGTCTCAGGGTCTGATCACAGTAACATACAATCCAGGTTTTAATCATCAGAAATCACAGTCCTATTGTCTTCTGCACAGACCCAAACACACTTGGAGGTCATGTTCAATATGAATACCTCACAGAGAAGGAAATTTACACACGAGAAGTACATCTGCAGAAAGCCAGCTGGCATGTCAACCATTCAAAAACTCAGGGTGTTCGGGATAAAGAAGACTCAGGAAGACAAGTATGAAGCATAATCTGTGACATTCCATGCGGCAGACGTTAGACACATACAAGAGAGTTGTTGGAAAGCGGAATTTATCTTCATATAAACAACACTGAGCTAAATCTCAATATTTCAGATCTCTAGAACTATCCATCAGTGAAATGGATTGCAAATAGAAAGAGTAATACCATGTCACTTAAGAATACAATCATGGATGAGGCTGCCACCTGCTGTTGGGGGCCACTGCAGAAGAAATTCCAGAACACTGGACTGGAGAGCACCTCACTTTCCTTACAGCTCTAAGTTTCTGACTCAGTGACCTGATTCAGTACCATATACACAAAGACCCACTTACACAAATGACTGTTCTTCACACTAGGCCCATGGAGACAGGGATAAAATCCTGAATTTGCTCAGATACCTTCTCCGCTACTGACATCTAGGCATTACACAATTCATCCTTCATATTTAACCTTTGAAGTTTGCTACTTCTCAGAGAGACTAATGAGTAGTGAGCAAATATCCTGAAGCTGAGAATGCTTCTACCTCCTCTCAAAACAACGGAATATTCATCAAAACACAGCAGTTCTGCACTTAACTTTAGGCCTTTTCTAACACCTTGTTTCTTGGCAGTAACTGTGGCCAGAATAGCTCTTTCCACAGATAAAGGACCTTTTGAAAGGATAGGGTCTCTAGATAGAAAAGCAAATGCCTCATTCCAGAAGGTCTTCAAGAAGAAAATGTTGTGGTGATAACAAACATAACTGATTATAATCTATTCTATGAAAAAAGCTTATGAAACAGTAGATGTGTGTATCTAGTACATAAGAGCTGAATGTCAATATATATAGATATATACACACACTCAAATAAATAATAGTTATCTCTAACTAGAGAAATTCTAGTTGCCTTATATTTTCTTCTTTTTCCTTACTATATTTTCTACAATAAACATGTGTTTTTAACAAGAAAAGTCTTTTCTGGTGTGCTTTTTAATTTTCTTTGTTTAAGTGAGAGTGAGGCTACATAACTACATGGCTAGGTAGACTTTTAGAAAACTTGGCTGCTCTAGAAAATTGACATATCCTGATTTCTTCCATAGCTTGGATCTTGACCTAGAGGGAAATATAAAAATGTTGACTTGAACCTGAGGGGTGCCATTTTCACTGCTGAAGTAGTTTCATGGATCATGAATTGGAGAAATGACTTCAGCAACACGGGTGTTAAAAACAGAAAGCACAAGTGACCCACAATAGATGATGGAGAACAAAGAGCAAGCTGGGAAAAGCAGTGGCCTTTAATACAGAAAAGAAGAAGTATAGCCACAATAAATATTAGGCAGACAGCAGTTCAGCAGTTTATACTATTAAGCTGTTGTTTAGGGGAATGGTAAACCGACATGACCCTTGAGGTAGGTATATATAGGTAAATTCTATGTCCCCCTTGAAATAGGTGTATGACACAGCTTCTGGCGTCTACATGGATTTGGTCACTCTAAAGTAGCCATGAGGCTTAAGATAGTTCAGCTGTTTGGGGATAAGTTAAATCATTTGCCGTTGTCTTTCTGCAATTTGCATATCCTACAGTTATCATTGCCATTACTGAACGGCACAGAGAAAAATTCTGGTCTAAAGTGGTTCTCAAACCTGGTTGCTGGAGGGCTACCCTCAGTGATGATGATTTAATCTGTAGAAGAGTAGAACATTGATAGTTTTTATACATCTCCAGGTAATTTTAATATATAACTGGGGTGAGAATCATTGACATAATTGTAAGAGGATAATATTCAAGAAATGTGGAGATAAATAATTTTCTTCTCGACATTAAAAAAATCTAATAAAAAGTTTTATCTTTTCCCCTAACTCAGGGTCACCAGCCTTCAAGCTTCAGTCTCTGTGTGTTCACAGGTGCTGTAAACACACGCATCACTACTAATATCCCACTTCAGTGCTATTGCTGCTCCCAAAACTCCAGGTATTTTTAACCTTATAAACCTCCAGAATAATGAGACCACTGGGTTCAGTAAATTGCTTTGTTTTGAAGCAGTATTAGACAAAGTGGGAGACTAGAAGATATATCTGTCAATGACATGTCCTTTAAGACTACTTAGATTTTGTTGAATTTGTGGATCATTCCTTACTTGAGCAAATGGTAAATTAACTCTCTCTTTTCTCTCTCTCTCTAGCTGGCACACTTTTTCCAGTAGCCATTCTACTTGGTATGCTTACTTATCAGCTGTCCTCCAGGGGCCTCACATTAGATGTTTCTCTTGACTAACCAAACATGACACACAGCTGAAGTCAGAAAAACCAGATTGATAATTTCACTCAAACTATTTTCCTTCATTCTAACAATTTACTGGAGTACACAATTGTGACTATTTTTAGCCATAGGAACTCATAGAAAGACCAACTTCATTAGACCTACAAAATCGAATTGTGTAACAGTATATGCAGTATGTGTAGGAATAAAAAGCATTTCTCAAATATGCAGTACTGGATTTTGCAAAAGCACCTTACACTTAGCTATAAAGGAGTGGAAAACACAAAGATGAGTAACTGCACCTTTCAAAAGACTAGAGCTATACCAATAATACAAAGGTGTAAACAAATAATGATGAGATGACAAAGGCTGAGTGTTTTCTATTTGGAAGCTATGTTGTTGAATTAATATGTATATAATTTCATGCAATCTTCATGTTATGGGGGTGTTCTAATCCACTGTGACTCTGTCCTTAAATAAAAGGGAGATTTGGACATAGAGAGAGGCATACGGGGAGGATGCCATATGAGAATTGACACTGTGCTGTCACAAGCCAAGGAACTACTGGAAGGAGAGAAAGAGGACTGGAACAGTTCCTTCCTTAGCACCTTTTCAGGCAGCCTAGCCCTGCCAGCTTCTTGATCTGGACTTCTCACCTCTAGAATTGTGAGGCAATAAATCTCTGTTGCTTAAGTTACCCAGTTTGTGGTACTTTATTACAGGAGCCCTAGGAAAATAATTCATTATATAATCTGCTAAGGTAGATATGATCATTGTCTCCAATTTCCATATGAAGAAATTTTGCCTCAGGCATTGTGTCAGTTGTCCAAAATCATACATTCCTGACTCACTTCAATGAATTCTTCATTCAGCAAAATTTTTAAGGTACCTTAAAAAAATTATGTTAACTCTTAGGTCCTTGCTTTAAAGCTTCAATGGGCTTTTCCTTTGCAAAGAATAAAATCCTAATACTTAAGCATAGCTCTCTTTCCTGGCTATGTTTCTGACATCCTCTTGTACCATGCTCCTCCTTAATCATTCTGAGGTTACATCTTAAGTCCTTTCCCCTTGCCATTCCCACTTCTTGGAATACTTTCCCATCAACTCTTCAAAGAACTGGCTTCTTTAAGTATTTGGTCTCAGTTCAAATGTCACTTCCCTGTAAAAGCTTCCTGGCCATCAAGCCTTCTTTACACACTCTATTTTATTTTTTCATGGTTCCTATAACAACCTAATATATTCTCAATTGATTAACTGTTTTGCTGACTACTGCCTTCCATAAGAATGGAAAGAAAACGTGGCCAGGTGCAGTGGCTCACACCTGTAATCCCACCACTTCAGGAGGCTGAGGCAACATGGCAAAACCTTCTCTTCAAAAATTTTTTTAAAAGTTAGCTGGATGTTGTGGAGGCAAGAGGATCACTTGAGGATCACTTGAGTCCATGAGGTCAAGGCTGCAGTGAGTCATGTTTGCACCACTGCACTCTAGCCTAGGTGACAGAGCTAGTTCCTATCAAAAAAAAAAAAAAAAAAAAAAAAAAGAATGGAGAGAATGCTACATGAGAGAAAGGATCTTATTTATCATGTTCACCTCCCAAGAGGTGAACATATCCCCCAAAGCCTGATAGAGAGAAGATGCTCATTAATATTTAATGCATGACCATGTGCAGACTTGGGAGGAAAAATATGCATCAGCCTATCAAAATTGGATCCTTAATAAACAAGGATGCTTCTGCATCATTTCCCCACAACACCCAACAAGTGTGGCTCACTGTGGATGTTTAAGCAAATGCATTGTTTTTCCAGTTATATATCTGGTAGAGATGATGCCATTGATAGGAATGGGAAGACGATCTCCTTTTATTTTGATGACCCAGCATGGCTGAACGCTCAGTGACTACCACTGCACTTTGTTGTACTTTCAGCATTAGAGATGCCAGCCCTGTAGGATATAAAACAGGAACATCTAGTCCTCAATTATATTCAGAATTACTCAAGTCTTAGAAGCACCACTTGTCTTTTTTCAAGGGAGAGAAATGCTTAAGTGATGGGCTGAAGTGAAGGGAGGGAGTCACTCACTTAAACGGTTCCCTTAGGCTGTGTGGATGCAAACAGCATTAGACAATGACACTGACAGTGGGAAATGCACTGGAGACGATGATTGGCAAAGCCCTCCTTTTCTCCCCATCCACTATAGATACTGACAGCAAAGGGTTTGTCACAATGACAACTATACACTCCCAATATCACAGAAGAAGGAGGAATAAAAGGGTATATTATGAGTGACTGAAGTTTAGAATAAATTAATAAATATTATGTCCCTCATCCATAGAAACCACAAAGGTCTAGTAATGCTAAGGATATAACAAGAAAATAATATGAATATTTGCTTCCCCTTCCTAGTGTAATAGAGTAAGTTACAAATGGCTTCAGGAAGGGGAGAGAGGAAGAAGAGTGGATGAGATACGTAAGACTGCCTGAGGGCTAATTTTATGAAAGCTTTGGGAAGTTTTAAGAAAAAGAAAAGCTATTTTTCAAGGTACATGTGTGTATGCGTGCATGTGTGTGTGTGTGTGTGAAAGACAGAAGAAAGAGGGAGATCTAAGAAGACTATGAGACACTAAGAGAAAAATTAAGGTAAAAAAGACACACACTTAGAAAAACACACATAGGGAGGAGGGAGGAGGTTAAGACATTTTACTATGTGCTGTGAATGGAAACTACAAACCATTTTTGATATATGCAATATATATACATATATACACACATATACATATGTATTTAAAGATTTAAATTACATTTTCTCTTTTTTTAGAGATATGGTTTCACTATGTCACTCTGCCCAGGCTGCAGTACAGTGGTTGTTCACAGTCATGATCATAGCACATTATAGCCTTGAACTCCTGGGCTCAAGCAACCCTCCTGTATTAGTCTCCCCAGTAGTTGGGATTACTAGCATACGCCACCATGTCCACCTTTATGCTTTTTAAAGTGAAAAACCATACTAAGAATGAGGCAGCTCAACTTAATAATAAAAACATTTCGAATGTAAAGAAATTTACAAAAGAAAAACAATCAACCCCATTAAAATTGGGCAAAGGGAATGAACAGACACTTTTCAAAAGAATACATGCATGCAGCCAACAAACATACAAAAAAAAAGTTCAACATCACTGATCATTAGAGAAATGCAAATCAAAACCATAATGAGATACCATCTCACACCAGTCAGAATAGCTATCATTAAAAAGTCAAAAAATAACAGATACTAGTGAGGCTATGGAGAAAAGGGAATGCTTATACACTGTTGGTGGGTGTGCAAATCAGTTCAATCATTGTGCAAAGAATAGTGATTCCTCAAAGAGCTAAAAGCAGAGCTACCATTCGACCCAGTAATCCCACTACTGGGTATATACCCAGATGAATATAAACCATTCTACCATAAAGACACATGCATACAAATGTTCATTGCAGCACTGTTCACAATAGCAAAAGTATAGGATCAACCTAAATGCCCATCAATGACAGATTGGATAAAGAAAATGTGGTACATATACACCATGGAATACTATGCCGCCATTAAAAAATGATATCATGTCTTTTGCTGGAATATGGATGGACCTTCTATTATCCTTAGCAAACTAATGCAGGAACAGAAAACCAAATACAGCATACTCTCAGTTATAAGTGGTAGCTAAATGATGAGAACTAATGAACACAAAGAATAAAACAGACACTGGGGTCTACTTGAGGGTGGAGGGTGAGAAAAGGAAGAGAAGCAGAAAAGATAACTATTGGGTACTAGGTTTAATACCTGGGTGATGAAATAATCTGTACAATAACCCCCTGTGACACCAGTTTACCTATGTAACAAATGCCCCTAAACTTAAAATAAAAGTTAAAAAAAAAAAGAAAATTAAAATCTCCTTATCATCTACCTGATAATATGAAAAACACATATCTTTCATTCATTCCTTTCAACTGATGAGGAAACTGAGGCATCGGGAGTTAGTAAAAGTCCACATTGAGATATGAGACCCACCACTGGCTGGACGCAGTGGCTCACACCTGTAATCCCAGCACTTTGGGAGGCCGATGCTGGTGGATCACCTAAGGTCAGGAGTTCGGGACCAGGCTGGCCAACATGGTGAAACCCCCATCTCTACTAAAAATACAAAAATTAGCTGGGTGTGGTGGCAGGCACCTGTAATACCAGCTACTAGGGAGGCTGAGGCAGGAGAATCGCTTGAACCCAGGAGGTGGAGTTTACAGTGAGCCAAAATCACGCCATTGCACTCCAGCCTGGGCAACAAGAGCAAGACTCTGTCGGGAAAACAAAACAAAACAAAACAAAAAAACACCACCATCATTTTGCAAGTGTTACCACTATTGTGTGTTAATATTGTAGAAGTATTCCTAATTATGATTTCTTTGTATTCCTAATTGTAATAGCTTTGTATTTGAAAAATTATTGATTCATACTCTATATGTTATTATTTTGTATGCGATGACAACAGAAAATATTATCACGCTCCTTTTGTGAATCTCATTCATAATCTAAAGTACAAATTTGTGATTTTGCTTTAATTTGAAATATTAATTTCAAATATGTTATCACAATTTGAGACAAACTATTGACAGTAAATCTGTGGATTAAGTAATGTCTTAGTAGGTATTGGGAAAATTTGAAACTAGTAACATGGAGGACTATTGTCATTGTTTATTTCAAAGCCAGTTAAAATTCTGCAAAGCAGTGTAAATAAAAATAATTTCAAGAAATTTATAAAATACCGAGATTATGGTGTATAAACAACTTTAGATTCTTTGTTTAAGAAATTCTGCCAGTTTGTAATATATGCTTCATTCAAAGTAGCTAAGGGCTGTACCTGGCTAATAGTAGGCACCTAATATTTGTTGAAAAGGAATACTGAGTAGCTGGGACCTCCTGAGTAGCTGGGACCACACACATTTAACCTGTATTTATAAAATTACTGTTTAGAGAATAACATTTGATGGAATCATGCTTTTACTTTCTGCTTATGACTCAATTGTTTGTACTGACATTAACATCCCAAATCCTTAGCATGGCCTACAAGGCCCTGAGCAATGTGGCACCTGCTGAAGCCTGCTGCCTCATTTAATAACTCTTTGTCTCTTTCCCAGATCCAGCCACTCTAACATTTTTTAGTTCCTGGACCAAGACAAGCTCTTCCCAGAACCTGACCTTTGTACCTGTTCTTTATTCCTGGAGTATTTTTCCCCTGACAAATTACTTATCATCTATCATAAATCAGGTTAAATGGCACTAACTCAGGGAAGGCTTCCCTAACTGCCTCCCTTCTCCAACCAAATTAGGAACAATTATATGGCCACATAGTATCGAATCAAGTTCATAATTTTAAAACAATTGGGAGATTTTGTTGTTTAACACTTGTTTTCACTATAAGACTGTAATTACATGCAAGTAAGAACCATGCCTGTTTGTTCACTCCTGCCACAGTCAGAATAGTGCCTGGAATATGCAGTAAGGGCTGAACAAACACTAAATAAATGAACAAGTGAATAAATGGATATTGTCTCATTTTTAGAACAGAATACTAAATGGATCATGAACACTATCTGGTATGTCACGTAGGTAATTTACAAGGGCTACAATTTCAGCTCAGATTTACCTTTTCCTGGATACAGGTCTTGATAGGTCTCTTGATGTCATTTCACTTCAGATTCTTCTTTAGAAAACTTGGACAATAGCATTTGCTGTCTTGTCCAAATTGTTACTAAGAATCAAGAGAGATATCTGACATGAAATGACACTGGAAAACATTAAACACGATTGAAATAATGCTAGCCAATATGGTTATTATTAGAAACCAATTACATTTTCAACTTAAAAATAGTAATACTTATTGCAGACTCAAATGTGCTTATTCTAAAACAAGTAAATGTTTGCCTATGGTCTGAGATTCTAATCCACGGAGTTCATTCTAATCCACATTCAACACTATCATGTACCAGTGGGCCTCATAACCCACCTAGCCCTGTGATTTTTCAGGTTCACTTTTCTAAACTTGTGAATTAAATATTTATTTTCTTAGTTCAGAAGAGGAAAAAAACTCTTGTAATTGTTGCCCATTTCAGGAGAAATCTTGCATATGAAAACAAGAGATAAATATACACAACTGAGGGCTGTGGTTTAAACAAAATCTTGAGAATGTTTTTTGACCTTATACATTTGTGCTTTAGTATAACAAAATGATATAGACAAAGGTAACTTTTAATAGAACCAGTCACTAAATTAAAAAAATGACAAATTCTTCTGCTTAGCTAAGGAACAGAGAAGGTAAAATACTAATTCAATTCATCAATTTAAGCAATACTCATTAAGAGCCAAGTATGTGCTTACTGAATAAGCTGCTAAGGTTTGGTGGTTACAGAGTGTGCGGTGAAATGATGTCTACATCACAGTCCAACATTCACAGAGTTTAAAAGCCTACCAAGAATCAAGACAGACACAAATACCTAACATAGACGTTTGTATGTGATAAGAGAGCCAGAGTACAATTTAGGAGAAGAAATTGTATGGAAGGAAGGTTCATTTCCATTAGACCAGAAAAGACAGCACATTTGAAGGCCTGAATAAGAAATATTCTGGATAAGATATTGTGGCTGCTACCAGAATGGCTCTTGATGATCTCTACCTCTTGGTATTTATACCCTTATATAATCTCTTTCCTATAGTATAAGCTGGTCCCAGGTACTTGTTTCTATTGAATAGAATAGAACAAAAGTAATGAGATGCCACTTCTGAGATTAGATTATAAGATACTGTGAATTTCATCTTGTGCCCTCTCCCTCTCTCTCTTTCTCTTGCCCTCTCATTTGAATGAAGCCAACTGGCATGCTGTCAGTGGCCCAGTGTAAGTCCTGTTACAAGAAATTGATGATTACCTGTAGCCAACCCTAAGTGAAGAACTGAGGTCCTCAGTCCTACAAATGGAGAGAAACTGAATCTAGCTAAGAACCATGTGAGTGAGCTGGGAAGAAGATCCACCCTCAGTTGAAATTTAAGATGACATATTGAGCAGACATACTGAGACACACTGAAAGTAAGAGAGCAGGAGGAAACAAAACCAGGGTCATACAAAGAACACAACTGATTTTGAGATTCTCACATAAGTATTACACCTTCAGTGAGCACGTGTACTATAAATTAAAAAAATAAATAAAATAAACCTTCAAAGAGAGCTAGCAAATAAATTTCCCTATGGTCTCAGCTCTGAGTGGAGAGAGAAAATGTTCCCTGTGGAGTTTATAGCCAGAATCCAGCTCTCAAACAGGTTTCAGCCTGAACTCACACAATCTGTGTGGCTTCCAAATTTGCAAGCTGAGAATTTAATTCAAAGTGGTCTCAGGTTGATAGCAGTCCAAAATGCTAGGTAGGAAAAAAAATCCTCTCTGGACAAATAAATCATCAAAGCAAGCTCATAAGAGCAGGTTTCAAAGGTCATGAGCTTCTAACACACACACAAAAATCACACACACAAAATGCGGGTAGCAGCAACATGGGTAGCGTATTCAAACTTGAAAAGACTTTAAATATTTGTATTATTAGATGTAGATTATGAAACACATATTTTAATGTGGTTAATTTTTTTAAGGAATCAAAACTATGAGTAAAGACCAAGAAAATTGTGCTGGATGGCCACTTCCACCATGGCTCCCCTCCTATTTAAGTCTGGGTACTGTGTCACCCGAAGTCTTCAGGCACATTGTTCCAGGTTTGGGTTTGCCTATGAAAGAAACTCATGAGAGCTGGAAGTGAGGAGTGAAGAGGAGGTCTTCACATAAAGCAGGCTTAAGGATTAGACATAGCAGGTTTGACAGATGTGATGGCTTGCAGAATTCTTTATGAGCTCCCACTGTCCATCTGGATAAGATTTACAGACCTTTCAGAAATTCCTATAAGCTTGGGTTCTGTGCCCACACTCTAGACTGTCAGGCTAAGATCTCTGATATAAAACAGACCTCTTCTGATTTTGTCTAGCTGCTTTTCTAATATCTATTCACCAAGCTCTTCCAATAATAGCATAAGGCCCTAATTAATATTAAACTTTTATCATTATAATACATAGGATGTCTTCTGTTTTCCTGATCAAATTCTGACTACTATTAAAATATAAAGAATTGTCCAGAAATATATAAAAAAAGAATCACACATTGATCTTCTTTAAATGAAAATATAAAAATTGTATGGACTAGGATGATTACAGTTGTTCAGTTCTGACTGTTATTTGAAGAAAAAAGCAATAAGAAGCCTCAGCAACTTAACAGAAGGAGCTGCCATTTACTAGGAGAAAAGATTGTGGATGAGAGTGTAGCAAAGGTCAGAATTCTGTGAAGCTTGAGATGTCTATTATAATGAATTATCTTTTATACTCACTACAATTTCCTAACAATTTTGGGGTTTATATTTTTGAAAGAGATATACCTTTAATTTTCTTTCTTTGTACTATTGTTAGGTAACTTTAATGTGCAGATTATACTACAGCGAAAGTTGCCAATGACAAGGCAAAGTCACTTACATCAGACCCAAAGCAAAGTGGAGCCAGGTCATGAAAAAGGGGATCTTGTGTGTGTGTCCATGATAAGCACTATCACAAGGACTTTCTATAAACTCACAAGAAATTTCTGCCCACCCAGCACACTCTGTTTGTCCAGCTCATCCTGTAGGTGTCTCTATAATAGGACCTATCATAAAAAATTTCTCAAGACTGCAGCATTTCAGATAAGCCACCCTCACAAGAACACTTGCCTAGCAATGGCTGTTTCTGCCAGTAAGTTAACACCAGCTCCTGCATCAGGCCCTGTGACCAATGATGTTTGTTTCAAAACAGCTTGCATAGACTTCTTTTTGTCTTTAAATATTTTCCTTAACTCAACCTCTTGGGATGCACCTATGATTGATCATAGCACAAATATCTCAGATTATAATCCTTGTTTATTTCCAAATAAATTTATTTCTTTGGAGATCCACTTTTTCTGTTATTATACATTGACATTGTTATCATGAAATTGGTTGGGTGATGTGTCTTATTTTCTTGTCTCCAGAAGAATTTCTGTAACAGTGCAATTAAACGTTCTTTGCATGTTTGCTAGAACTCACCTGTAAAATTGTCTGAGCAACCAAAGCCTGGTTTTTGTGTTTAGTTTTTCTTTTGTGATTGGGGAGGGGGGTTTATCATACTGACTCAAGGCGTGAAGGTTACATCATTTTGATTTTATACATCTTCTTCAGTCCATTTAAGCATGTTACATAGCGTTGTTTGTTCTTTTCATGATATTCTTTACAGTAGTCTCCTAAATGTTCCCTCTGCTTCTGCCATGAGCCCCTACAATCTATTTCAACTCAGAAGCTATAGAGTTTGTTTAAAACATGTAACATATTATGCCACCTTTCTTACTGTAAAACATCCCATGGTTTCTTGTAGTATTTATAGTAAAAGTGAGATTTTTATGATGGCTTGAGAAACTTTTCCCATTAGATGCCCAAGTGCTGGTCTGGTCTGATCTTCTCATCTTCCCTTGGGTGATTCTGTGGCAGTCACACTAGCCTCCTTGCTGCTCCACAAAAACTCCAGCATGATCCTACTTCAGGATATTTGCCATTGTTACTGCATCTGCCTGGAACCTTTTCTCCCATATAAACATAGAGATTGCTCTTGCCTGTCCTTCAAGTCTATTCTTAAATGTCCCATTCTCTGTGAAGCTTTCCTGCCCACCCTATTTAAATTACAGACTTCACTCCCAATTCCCCATCTACTTTAAGAGTCTTCATTTATCATTCCTTGACAAACTGTAAATATACATGTTCACTTTTTTATCGTCTGTCTCCAAATACTGGAATGTTAAGTTCTGTAATGTCAGATATTTCTGTTTGGTTCACTGGTGTATTCTTAAAGCATGTTACATACTAGGTATACTCAATGAATATTTGTTGAATAAATATCACATTGGGCT
This sequence comes from Homo sapiens, assembly GCF_000001405.40. Classification (NCBI taxonomy): domain Eukaryota; kingdom Metazoa; phylum Chordata; class Mammalia; order Primates; family Hominidae; genus Homo; species Homo sapiens. The sequence continues at coordinate 223,933,055 of NC_000001.11, forward strand.
TATTCCAGAAATTCAAGCTTGTTTCAATAGTTAGAGCAATCTACAAATGTAATTCATTACATTAACTAATTAAAGGAGCTAAATCACATCACCACCACAATAATGCAGAAAAACACATTTGATACAACTCAATATTCATGTCTGCCTAACAAACATCTCATGATACTAGGAAAAGAGGAAGGGATATATTATTTTCATGTATAAAACACTAACCATTGTAGCATGCCAATATACTCAAAATTCAATGAAATTCCTATCAAAATCTTAGCATTCCTCTTAGTCCTCAACAAAGCATTTCTAAAATGTGTATAGAAGACCAAAGGGCCAAAAGAGTCAACTTCTGAAGAAGTGGAAAAAGAAAGTTGAGGAAATCTTAAAACATGTTATTGAGCTTAAAGTTGCAAAAATAAACTCATGTACCATAATTCATGAGTAGAAAAATAGACTAGTGGAATAACATAAAAATAAAAACAATGCTTACATAAAATGTTGTAACTGATTTGGATGTCATTAGAAATCAGTAAGTAAATAGATGGACAATGTAATGAAAGATGCTAGGCAAATAATGTGGTAGGGAGAATAATGGCCCTCAAAGATGCCCATGCCTAACCCTGGAACCTGTGAATATGTTACACTGAATGCAATAAAGGCTTATCAGATGTGATTAAGGATGCAAACCGAGATGGAGAGATCTTCCTGGGTTATCCAGATGGGCCCAGTCTAATCACATGAGTTCTTAAAAATGGAGAACCTTTCTTAGCTGAGTCCAGAGAGAGATGTGACAATGAAAGAATGGTCAGAGAAATGTGACATTGCCAGCTTTAAAAAGAGAGAGGAGAGGCAATGAGAAAAGGAATGCTGATGTTCTCTAGAAGATAGAAAAGGCCAGGATATGGATTCTACCCTAGCCGCCATAAAGAAACATGCCTGTCGACAACTTGATTTTAGTTCACTAAAATTCATGCCTGATTTCTGACTTGTGTACACTGTAAGATGACAAGTTTGTGTTATTTTAGGTCACTTAGTTTGTAGAAATTTGTTACAGCAGTAATAGAACAAGTGGTTATCCATATGAGGCAAATTAGATTGGATACCTATCTCCAATAGAAATCAATTCAAGGTGAATTCCAGGAAAATACTTAAAACATTTAGATTAAAAATAAATGAGAATTTTTGTTACTTTTGGTAGGTCATAGAACCAAGAAAAACAAACATTAAGGAGGAAAAATGAACATATGACTACATCAAAATATAAAGCTTCTCTATTTGGATGATATCATAAGGTGACAAATCATAAACTGTAATATTTGCAACATATATATGAGTGAATAAATATACATTTAGAATATATATGAACTCCCAAAAATCAACAGGAAAAATAAGACATAGAACAAGCAAAATGCATAAACAAAAGAAGGCAAAACAAAAATAATGACTCATAATTATATGAAAAGAAGCTCATCTTCATAGATGAGCAGATAAATGCAAATTAAAACCACCCTGAGATGCTTTTTACATCCATGAGCCTGATAAAAGTTAGAGTCTAAAAGTAATAATTAACAAAGATGGGAAGTAACAGAAAATCTTGTCCATTACTGGTTAAAGTATAAACTGATACAGCTACTTTATAGAATATTACATTATAGAATAAAGTTGTGAGTATGTATATGCAGTGACTCAGCATCTTCATTGCTAGTATGTACTCAAGAGAAACTTACAGGAGTGGACTAGGAAGTAAATACAAAATGATTACAACATTGTTTGTTATATCAAAAAATAAAAAAGACACCCAATTTTCCAGCAAAAAAAATAAGTAAAAATAAATCCTGGTGTATTCTAACAATGGAATAATATATAGACATTAAAATAAATCAACTATTACTGTACATATGAATGTAAGTATCAGCAAAACATATTGTTTAGTGAAAAAGTAAGAAGCTGAAGAAGAATATATACAATATGGTTACATTTATATGAAGTCCAAAAACTTGCAAAATGAAGAAATGTATTTAGAAATAGATTCACATGTGAGAAAACTAGAAGAAAATTAATGAAAGGATAAAAGGGATAGCAGTAATTCTGAGTAGTTGAGGGGATTTCAATTGGAAAAAAATAGTATCATATTCTTTAAGTCAGGTAGTGGGTATTAGCATTTGTTTTACCATCGTTCTTTATTCTTGTAGCTACACTATATATTTTCAATGTATTTAATGTATTTTTTGCATAATTAAATATTATGCAATAAAAATGAGAAAACAAAAAAGTAGAAAATGATAAATTACAATAAAGAAATGGAGAAAAAATTATAATCTAGTTGAGTAATGGTATATTACATAGCTATTTTCTTAAGTAGATGTATGTACATGATGTATGCACGACTGTACATACATGTTCTTAATTATATATAAATATATGTACATATTTTTAATATAAAATACTAAACAAAGTACACCAAAATATTAGCTCCTACGTTAGTGAGATAATGTTTTGTTTTTTTGTATTTTAAGTTTTACATAGTAGGTGTATTTGTCTGTTTTCATACTGCTATAAAGAACTGCCCAAGACTGGGTAATTTATAAAGGAAAGAAGTTTAATTGGCTCACAGTTCAGCACAGCTTGGGAGGCCTCAGGAAATCTACAATCATGGCGGAAGACAAAGAGGAAGCAAGCCAGCTTCTTCGCAAGGCAGCATGAAGAAGTGCAGAGCAAAGGGGAAAGAATCCCTTATAAAACCATCAAATCTCGTGAGAACTCACTATCACAAGAACAGCACAGGGGAAACTGCCCCTATGATTCAATTACCTCCACCTGGTCTCTCCCTTGACCTGTGGGGATTATGGGGGCTATGGGGATTACAATTCAAGATGAGATTCAGGTGGGGATACAAAGCCTAACCATATCAGTAGGCATGTGTTGAATTTTAAACTCAGAGAAAAATACTAGTGTTTTTATAGGATTCTTACTAAAGAAAAAACAGAAAGTAATAAACCATCTACGCTAAGACATAAAATTCAGTTGTTTAGTTACAAGATAGAATGTGGCCTTGTAAGAAAGCAAATTAACTTCTAACATACAAAGCCTTAGAGAAGATTCAAGTGACTGACAGATCTTAAACAGAGCTATTATTACAACTCAAACTGCAGAAAAATATCCTCAGCAGCATAGATGTGTGTGTTTCACTAGTCAGAGCAATACAAATTTAATGAAACTCCATTGGTGGTGTTTTTAATCAGACAATTTCTGAAGATGTCCTGGCTTATTCATAGATGCAAGCCAAATCTCTAGAAGAGTACCATAATAAGAAAAAAAAGAATACAGGCAATTGAGAGCTGTTCCAAAGTTTAGGGAGTTTTTGTAAGGAATTAATAAATAAAAATGTTCTTGAAAGAGAGAAATTAATATGCAGTTCATACTGCCAGAATTGCAGGCAATTTATCAAACTCCCCTAATCCTCCAAAATCGCTATTTTTTTTTTGACACACACTTTATAGTACAGAAGAAAATGTCTCCGGCAATAAATCACAAAGTTAAAATTACCTAGTCTACAATTAACTAGACAGTGATGGTAAATCATTTTCTACCAAAAGAAAGAAATGTCTTGTCTATTCAGGTTCTGCTCTACTTAAAAGTTTTCCTTGTTGGCGAGCAAGTGGTTAGAAAATCATATTTTATACGTACATTCAGCTTAACTATCATTCAGCTCAGCAAGATGACTCAGGGCCTTATCCATACCTTCAAGTTTGCTCTTAGCAAGTAATTGTTTCAGTATCTATATCAAAAATGGCTTAAGTCTGCAACATGTTTCTGAATGATTAACAAGGTGATAGTCAGTTCTTCACTGAATCCTGGATGCTTTATTTTTCTTAATAAGAGGAATTCATATGGATCAGCTAGAAAAAAATTAAGAGGAAAATCACATGGAAAGTTATATATTATATATCTATTATAGATATAATATTATATATCTATTATATCTATTATATATCTATTATATATATAATAGATATTATATATCTATTATATATCTATTATATATATAATAGATATTATATATCTATTATATATATAATAGATATTATATATCTATTATATATATAATAGATATTATATATCTATTATATATAATATATATCTATTATATATTATATATCTATTATATATAATATATATCTATTATATATATTATATATCTATTATATATATAATAGATATTATATATCTATTATATATAATATATATCTATTATATATTATATATCTATTATATATATGTATCTATTATATATATTATGTATCTATTATATATAATATATATCTATTATATATATATTATATATAATATATATTATATATATTATATATCTATTATATATAATATATATCTATTATATATATTATATATCTATTATATATATTATATATCTATTATATATAATATATATCTATTATATATATTATATATCTATTATATATAATATATATTATATATATATTATATATTGTATATCTATTACATATATAATATATCTATTATATATATAACATTATATATTATATATCATTTCCAAATTCCCCAGCGTTCATATTTGTCAGTGCAAGTAAAGAGCCTTAGTGCTGATGAAGTTTGAGGTATGACCATTTGGCCAGAATTTATGAACTCTACATGTCACTTGATGTGTGCTTCAGGGTACACTTTTTTTTTTTTTTTTGAGACGGAGTCTTGCTCTGTCGCCCAGGCTGGAGTGCAGCGGTGCCATCTCAGCTCACCGCAAGCTCCGTCTCCCGGGTTCACGCCATTCTCCTGCCTGAGCCTCCTGAGTAGCTGGGACTACAGGCGCCCGCCACTATGCCCTGCTAATTTTTTGCATTTTTAGTACAGACGGGGTTTCACCGTGTTAGCCAGGATGGTCTCGATCTCCTGACCTCGTGATCCACCCGCCTCGGCCTCCCAAAGTGCTGGAATTACAGGTGTGAGCCACCACGCCCGACCAGGGTACACTTTTAAGCAGAGACACTACTTTGAAGGTCATAAAAAATATAATGAGATAAGGCTAATTTCCTTTAATAATAATAATAATAATAAAATCCTTTAATAAAAATATAAAGGAATATAATAATTTTCTTTAATAAAATATAATAAGAGATAAGGCTAATTTCCTTTAATAAAATATAGTAACTACATACCAACAGAATTCCAAAAAAAGAAATGGAGAGGAAGGGAGCATGGGTCATTAATCTTGTCAAAAATATAAAATTATATACGAGGAATTCCTAGAAACTGTTTTCCTTGTCTGCGGCCATTGTGCTGCTGCTACATAACTACCGCAAGCAGCCCTTCACGCCCTCCTCCCAGTACAAAGCTAATTGACTTGTGAGAAATGTTAAGCTTGGAAGAGTCAGCATCGCTGCACTTATTTTTTATTCTACTCTGACATTAGAATAATCCTTGAGTGGGGGAAAGCTTAAAAACCCCCCTGGATAAGTGTTACTAATTAATGATGATTGTTTTAAACAATGTTTGGATAATTTTTCCTTGTCCCTTAACATAAACTTGATAAATAACTGAGAAGTGAGAAGGAGATTAGTGGGTTGATTAAATTCCATTCAGGTACTTAAAGTCAGCTCCAAAAATTTAGCTATTTATAAATTGTCATGCATTGTTAATGTATAAGAGATGCAGATTTCATTTATCTTTGGTGGAGCGAGATGAAGCAGTGAATCATTGAAGACTGAAAGAAAGAAAAAGGTCTTTTCCCTTTTCTTTAAGAAGCATCATTAGTTAAAAACATGTTAGTTGATACCAGAGAACTATATTTAAAGGGACAGCAATAAGCAAATTGATTACTCTGGTGATTATTGGAGTGACATTGCCTTTTAGTTGTACTTTCACAAAAATTCACAATATTTGCCAAAGTCAAGTTATCCATTACACTATTAATTTGTCATTCTTTTGTTTATATAGTCAATATCTCTATCTCAATTGGATCTCAACTGCTTCTAAACAAGCCACCATAGTCTCTCCCATTTCAACAATCTCTTCCAAGTACCATTTCATTTCTTCTTTTCATATTTTTGAAAACTTTTGAAAAACTACCTATTTTCCTCCTCCATTTCTTGTTCATTCCATTCTAGTGGACATGGAATCTGTTCCTCCTCCAAAACGGAATTTGGTAACCCTTAAATTACTAAACCCAAAACAATATGTTGTTTTTATCTTTACCTCTCTGTGGCATTTAATGATAAGACCACTACTTTCTTCTCTTTTACCCTTCTTTCTTGAATTCAGTCAAACAACGTACTTACATTTTTCGTCTTATTCTCCATCTTAGAAACCACCTCAGCTTTCTCCATTCAGCCATAAAATTGTGCTTTTCCTCAAAGATTAATCTGCCTCTCCTCTCACTCTATACTATCTCTGTTAGCTAATTTTATTTGTGCACATTGCTTATACTGGGCATTATATACACATATGCATGTGTGTACATGTGCACACACACACTGTATGTGGACATGTATATATATGTGTGTGTGTATATATATATAGTATATATATAAATTACAATAACATAAAGGTGGCATTTTAAATTAGTGGAAATTACCCTGATTTGATCACTACACATTCTATACATGTAAAGAAATATCACTCTGTATCCCAAGAATATGTACAATTATGGTTTGCCAAATGAAAAAGTTCATACATTGAAAAATTTTAGATAAATATCAAACTTTCTCTGAAACTGTAACTGTAAAATGTAAAAAACAGTAATTGCTATATTGCTTATTTCTGAGTAGAATATGAGACATTTCCCTAATCATTATGTGTAATTACAATTACATATATATGTATGTAATATATAAACATATATATATGTAATTGTAATTACACATAATGATTAGGGAAATGTCTCATATTCTATATATATAGACAGAAAGAGAGAAAATATATGAGGGAGAGAAAGAATCTTTCCATCTCCTTTGAGTTCCACGGTGTTGAGAGTCAGGACAACTACAATTGCTTCATCATGCCTGCTTGCAATTATAGGGCTTTTGAACCATTTGTTCCCTCCTTAGATATCCTCATTTTTTTCAGATTCTTGCTTAGAAGTCACTCCTCCGTGGACCTCCTCTGACATATTAAACATTGCAGTCCATTATAAGCTGCAAGAGGACAGGGATTTTTGCCTGTTTTATTCCCTACTGTATCACCAGGGGCTACAGCAATATCTGACAAACAGTGGGCATGTAATGCATATTTGTTAAGTGAAGTAATAAATTCAATCAAATCACATCACCTGTTTAAAGCACTTCATTGGCTTCACATTGCACTTAGAATAAAGAGAAATTCTTTTTATACAATATAAGTTCCTGCAGAATGCAGACACTTTCTACTTCTCCAGCCTCTTTTCAACTCCTCTCCTACTGGCTTCTGTATTTAAGCCACATTAGACCTTTCTTCAGTTTTTTATATAGACTTTGTTGCATCACACCTCAGAGATTCTGTACATGTTCTTCCTCCTGCCTAGAAAGGATCGTCCCTCCACTTTCGCCAACTAATCCCTGCTCAACTTTTCATCTCAGCAGGAGGCCCATTCTCTTTGGCAATCCTCTGGCCTCCAGCCCATTTATTATATACTCACATGTCAACATGTACTTCGTACAGCATGTAACACAATTGCACTTTTATATTTTAACAAATTATATTTCCCACATTGAACTGTAAGTCTCCTGAAAGGAGGAATTTTGTTCTTGCTCATCATCAACTTTTTCAACATCCAGTGCACCATTTAGAACTTAGATGTAGTCAATACAGGTTTGTGGAATGAAAGAGGAAAAGAAAGAATTAATATTCCTTTAAATTAGGATGGCAAAGATCGTATATAGAAAATTGGCTAAGTTGTGGTCCATTCATGTTTGCTCCAAATTAAGGAGCACAGCTATGAAAAGGAAGGCTTCAAATTAATAACCAATAGATTTTTTAAAAAAGAAAACTGGCCAGGTACTGTGGCTTATGTCTGTAATATAGCATGTTGGGAGGCCAAGGCAGGATTACTTGAGCCCAGAAATTCCAGACCAGCCTGAGAATTTGGCAAAACTCTGTCTCTACAAAAAATACAAAAATTAGCCAAGTTTGGTGGCATGTGCCTGTAGTACCAGCTACTTGGGAGGCTGAGGTGGAAGAATAGCTTGAGTCTGGGAGGTCAAGGCTGCAATGAGCTGTGATCGCACCACTGCACTCAAGCCTGGGTGGTAGAGTAAGACCCTGTCTCAAAAAAAAAAAGAAAAAGAAAAATCACTAAGCAAAATAAGACATGTGAAGGATCATGTCAAAGGTAAGAAAAATTAGGGGAACATTAAAAGCTTTCTTCCCAAGCCACTAAATCAACTTGACTAACAAAATTACCACTTGATTTAGCATTAGAAAATTACATTACATATCAAACATAAACCCATTAATCAAATACTAAAGAAATTTCTGAGTTAAATGGTATAATGTTAGCTTATGCCAGAGCTGACCTTGAAAGATTGTTCAAATATGGCTCAGTGTGATTGAAAGTTCTGTGTGAATATGTTTTTGGAAAGATCCAACAGCAACACCTTAGTGTATGTTTTTGAAATAAAATGTATCCGAGTAGCAGCAAAGTTATTCTCAAATTTCCATTTTATAGCTGGAGATGTTATACCGTGACATATATGATAGGACCCAATATGGATTAATCCCTTTTAGAAGTCAATCAGGAAGAGGGGAGCAGTTAAAACAGTTGCTTGGTTTACAAACAGTAGAACAATTTTCCTATTCACACCATCTGATTATTGTATTTTATTTTTTCCCCAACGTTTAGACTACACAACGAGTTAAGAATGATAAAAATAAGCTCACCAATATACTATGTACATATTTACCAAAATCTGTGCATGCTTATACATATAAACACAGCTGATAATTTATTAGTTAGGCTCATTTGTAATTTTTGTCACTATAGACCAGTTTTTTATTTAAATTGAAGATTAGTATACATTTTAAATGATTAGTCAAAATAAAAAATCTAAAATGTGCTCTAAATACCTCTTAGGTCAGAAAAAAAAAAGTCAAAAGCTAGAATATAGAGAAATTAAGAAATGCCCTAAATTTCTAATCTGACAAAAATTCATACGAGATTTAAATATTTTAATGGAAAATAGAACAGAACTAATCATTGAAGAAATTATAGAAAGGAAACAAAATAAACAGATTATATGGAGGATTTTTAGAAGATAAATAAATTAATATACTAGGAAAAAACAAGGGAAATATAATTGATAAATAAATACAGGTAAGAGTTCTTTTGAAATAATGATAAAATAGAAAATCTCTGTCAAAACTAAAAGGAAAGATGCATAAATATATAAATAAATGATAAAACGATGTTGCATACATATATGACTTTTTCAGAATCAAAAAATTTAAATTTCTGTAATAAAATTTAAATGTTTATAAATTTAAAAAACTAGAAGAAAGAATGTTGACTGTTCACAATACAAATAAATGACAAATATTTGAGGTGATGGATATGCTAATTATCCTTATTTGATCATTGGACATTGTATACATGTATCAAAATATCACTCTGTATCCCATGAATATGTACAATTATTTGTCTCAAAAACAAACAAACAAAAGATAATGGGAGAATGTTGAAAGCTCAGAGAGAAGAGCAACTCTCACAGATAGGGATCCAGATAATATTAGCAGCTGATTTCTTGGCAGAAACCTTGAAGGCCAGTAGGCAGTGGATTGTATATTTAAAATAATGAAGAAACCTGTCAATTGAGAAATCTATAGCTGGAAAACTTATCCTTCAAAAATGAGGGAGAAATTAAGACATTTCCAGATTTTTTTTTAAAACTGAAAAAAAATCCATTTATCCCTGAATTTGCCATTCAAGAAGTGTTAAGTCCTTCAGGTTGAAATAAATGAACTCTAGGTAATAACTATATAAGTAAATAAGCAAGCTGTATGAATATACAAAGCTCTCTGGTAAAGGTAAATACATAAACAAACGTAAAAACAGTCCTATTGTAATTTTGGTTTCTAACTCTGCTTTTTATTTTCTACATAATTTAAAAGGCAAATGCATAAAATGTAATTGTAAATCTGTTAGCTGGTATACAATGAATAAAGATATAATTTGTTACATCAATAACATAAAAAGAGTAGAGCTATATGTATAGCAGTAGAATTTTGGTATGTGATTGAACTTAAGTTGAAATAAATTCAAATTAAAATGTTATAACTCTAGGATGTTATATGTAATTCTCATAGTAACCAAAAACGAAATATACATAGAATATAAACAAAAGGAAATGAGACTAGAAACAAAATGTGTCACTACAAAAAAATCAACTAAAGATAAAAAAGAAATAATTGAGAAAATGGCAAAAATCAGTAACTCTGACGTATTAAAACTTTCCATGCTACATAAATCTGAAAACTCTATTTCACATAAAACTGGAGCTGAAAGAGACAAATATTTACCTATAAAGTTAAAAGTTATATAGGGAACAAACACTAATTTTTTTTAGAAAAAATTATAAAAAGAGTAAAAATATGCCTTATACTACCCCAATTTCATGTTTTACAGCTCTGGGAAAATAGAAAATAAAATGTTCTGTTAGCATGAATCCCTCTGTGCCCCCAAAAAACCCTATGGATTGCATCATTATTACCTAAAAAGTCTATTGTCAAATGCAGCAGAGTGATATTTTTTACAAGGTAGATATTAATTTTAGATATGGAATAATATTGGTGATTTCAATTTTATAACACTGGGTTAAGATGAAAGAATGAGAAGATAAAGGTCCCTCAGCAATATAACTCACAAACATGTTCAGAAGCAGTAAGAACTTACATTAATTATCTTTTGAAAGTCAATAATCTACATCTTTAATGTATGCATATAGCATAGCTAATGTACTATCGCTGGGTCCATTTATTCAATGAATAATTGCCGCTATGTGTCAGACATTTTTCTAGGCCTAGGAATGGATACATAAGTGAACAAAGCAAAGATTCTGGTTCTTGTAGAGTTTCCATTAAAAGACCATTTAGTAAAACTTTTCTTCCCCCAAATTATAAAATCTGTAAGATGATTTAACAACATGTGTAAAAGTCATTGTGGGCCAGGCACGGTGGCTCATACCAGGTGTGGTGACTCATAGCACTCTGTCACCCAGGCTGGAGTGCAGTGGCACAATCTCTGCTCACTGCAACCTCTGCCTCCTGGGTACAAGCGATTCTCCTGCCTCAGCTTTCTGAGTAGCAAGGACTACAGGTGCACACCATCACGCCTGGCTAATTTTTGTACTATTAGTACAGACGGAGTTTCACCATGTTGGCCAGGCTGGTCTCGAACTCCTGACCTCAAATGATCCGTCTACCTCGGCCTCCCAAAGTGCTGGAATTACAGATGTGAGCCACAATGCCCGGCCTTATTTTCTACAACTTTGGTAACTTTAGCATATACCCCAAATCTGTAAGACATAATATTATAATTCAAATGCAACTCATGGCTTCTCATTGTACTCTTTCTCTAGCTTTTGAATTATTTATTCTAATACCAGTTTTAATTCTGACACAAAAGCATGGGAGTTCTAATCAAAATCCAACCTTTTTATCATAAAAACTATGAAGAAATTATGAGTAGAACTTAAAAAGGAAAATAGGCCTATTAATTAGATTTGTCTTTGTAGCATTTAACTCTATAATAAATAACATATTTTATGCCTATGAGTACCCCAGCAAAGCCTCCAGCTTCTATTTAGATATAAAATGTAAAAGTCACTACTGGATCCACAAGCAAGACTATGGTAAAGAAATTTCTCCACCTAACCAGCTTCTTTTACATGATGTTACATGTTTCTTTTGTTTTTTCATTTTGGCAAATATTGATTGTCATCTTCGTCATCTTCGTGTTTGTCTATGTCCTAAGTGCTGGGATACAGAATCTGAAAAGATGGACACAGGACCTGCCTTCAAGTTCACCCTTTTTTTTTTTTTTTTTTTTTGAGATGGAGTTTTGTTCTTGTCGCCCAGGCTGGAGTGTAATGGTGAGATCTCGGCTCACTGCAACCTCCACCTCCAGGGTTCAAGTGATTCTCCTGCCTCAGCCTCCCAAGTAGCTGGGATTACAGGTCCCAGCCACCACGCCTAGCTAATTTTTGTATGTTTAGTAGAGACAGCATTTCATCATGTTGGTCAGGCTGGTCTCGAACTCCTAACCTCAGGTAGTCGACCCACCTCGGCCTCCCACAGTGCTGAGATTACAGGTATGAGCCACCACGCCCTGCTAGGAGTTCACGCTTTAGTTGGGGGAAAATATACAATAAGCAAGCCAATTTTTAAAAAGAGAACTGCAATTAGAGTTAAATGCTACAAAGACAATCTCACAGGAAGATGGGATGTAGAATGATAAGGCTCTCAGAATAGTAAGAGAAACTTGCTTCTTACGATGTTTGTCTTTCTTTGTATCAGTGCTCAGCTGAGTCTGCAGTGCTTCAGAGGCAGCTTTCATTTTATAAAAATCTATGATTTCTCCTTCCAGTTGTTTTTTCTCTTCCTCGAGCTTCCTTATCTCCTCCTGTTGAATCATTTTAAGATGCTCGAATTTGTCCTGCAGCTGTGAAACCAATGTGCAGTTGTGACACCAAAGCAGTGGGGCTGAACACCCAAAAGAATATGCTTTTTTCTGATTATCAAGCAAACCCAAATCATCACAGTAGAGCACGATCTTAATAACAATCTCAAAAACTCAGGAGTAAACACTCAGATATGGAATTTGTCTTTTCTTTCTTTTTTCCTTTTATAAGATGGAGTCTCACTCTGTTGCCCAGGCTGGAGTGCACTGGTGCGATCTCAGCTCACTGCAACCTCCATCTCCCAGTTCAAGTGATTCTCCTGCCTCAGCCTCTTGAGTAGCTGGGACTACAGGCATGCACCACCACTACAGGCATGTGCCACCACACCTGGCTAATTTTTGTATTTTTAGTAGAGATGGGGTTTTGCCATGTTGGCCAGGCTGGTCTCGAACTCCTGACCTCAGGTGATCCTTCCGCTTTGGCCTCCCAAAGACTTTTTTTTTTTTAAATATAGAGACAAGTTCTCAGTATGTTGCCCAGGCTGGTCTCAAACTCCTGAGCTCAAGTGATCCTCCCACGTCAGCTTCCCAAAGTGCTGGGACTGACTGGATGCAGTGGCTCATGCTTGTAAACTCAGCACTTTGGGAGGCCAAGGTGGGAGGATCGCTTGAGCCCAGGAGTTCAAGACCAGACTGGGTGATATAACACAATAGTAAACTTCAACAGGAGAGAGAATCTGTAAACTTGAATATAGATCTTCTGAAATTATCCAGTCAGAGGACAAAGAAAAAAAGAATAAAAAAGAGGAAAGAAGGCTGGGCGTGGTGGCTCAAGCCTGTAATCCCAACACTTTGGGAGGCCGAGGCAGGCAGATTAAGAGGTCAGGAGTTCAAGACCAGCCTGGCCAACATGACAAAACCCCATCTCTACTAAAAATACAAAAATTAGCCGGGTGTGGTGGCACACACCTGTAGTCCCAGCTACTTGGGAGGCTGAGGCAGGAGAATCGCTTGAACCCAGGAGGCGGAGGTTGGAGTGCAATGTGAGCCAAGACCACACATTGCACTCCAGCCTGGGTGACAGAGCACGACTCTGTCTCAAAAAAAAAAAAAAAAGAAAAAAAAAGAGACAGAGAAAAGAAAGCCAACAAGACACCATTAGGCAAACCATTGTCAGGTTATGGGAGTTTGACAAGGAAAGTAGAGAAAGGAGAAGAAAGCTTATTTAAAGAATGGCTGAAAACTGCCTAAATCATGGGAAAGATTTAGACATCTAAATCCATGAAGCTTAAAGATTCCTAAAGAGGTTCAAACCAAATAGATACTCACCAAGTCACAATATAATCAAATAGTCAAAAGTTAAAGAAACTTTGCAGGTCAGGACAGAATCGAATAATACATTCAAAGTGCTGAAAGAAAAAAACTGCCAGCAACTAATACTATGTCTGACAAAGCTGTCCTTCAGAAAGAAAGAAGAAATAACATGTTTCCTCGACAAACAAAGCTCAGGGCATTCAGGACCAGTAGGTCTACCTTAAAAAAATGCTTAAGGGAGTTTTTCAAGTAAAAATGAATGAAGTTGGGAGCGGTGGCTCATGCCTGTAATCCCATTTTGGGAGGCCGAGGTGGGTGGATCACCTGAGGTCAGGAGGTCAAGACCAGCCTGGCCAACATGGCAAAACCCCACCTCCAGTAAAAATACAAAAAATTAGCCAGGTATGAAGGCCACTGAGATCGTGCCACTGCACTCCAGCCTGGGTGACAAGAGTCAAACTACATTTCAAAAACAAAAAACAAAACAAACAAAAAAAACAAAACTTGAGGCCTGGCCTTCTGCTCCTCTCCAACCTCCCCTTCTCTGGGCCCAAGCCACCTTGGCTGAGGAGGGGGCGAGGAGGTGTGAGCCCCTGCCAGGAACCCCCTGCCCGGACCAAGTACTCGGCCCCCAGGCCTGCGTTCAGTGAGGCCTCCCGTGGCGTCAGCATGTTCGTGTGGAGGAATGTGGAAGTTCACTCTGTGGCCATGTTCCCCTGGTACTCCATCCCCTTCCTGACCCCTCCCTGCAGCCACACGAGGCCCAGCAACCTGCCAGTCACTCAGTGGCCTCCAACCAGAGAAAACAACCTGCCAAGTTGGCAGCTGTTGCTCATGAGTGTCCACCAGGTGGGACAGGGAGCGTTGACCCTGGGCGGCCCCCTGGAGCCACCTGCCCTGAAAGCCCAGGGCCCGCAACCCCACACACTTTGGGGGTGGTGGAACCTGGTAAAAGCTCACCTCCCACCATGGAGGAGGAGCCCTGGGCCCCTCAGGGGAGTCCCTGCTGGACAGTGACACAGAGAATGACCATGATGATGCTTTCCTCTCCATCATGTCTCCTGACACCCAGTTGCCTCTACCGCTCAGATGATGTCAGGCCCAGTCCCTCATTGCCCCGCGCAAGGAACAGGACTCATCTTCTGAGAAGGATGGACGCAGCCCCAACAAATGGGACAAGGACCACATCTGGTGGCCCATGAGTGGCGGTCATGATCTTGAGCAAGCGGCACCAGGCCCTGGCAGGGCGCACCAGGGTCACCCCAACCAGGATAACCGGACCATCAGCCAGATGCTGAGCGAGCGGTGGTACATCCTGGGGCCCAATGAGACACAGAAATACCATGACCTGGCCTTCCAGGTGAAGGTGGCCCACTTGCAACAAGGACCGAAAGAAGTCCAGCTCAGAGGCCAAGCCCACAAGCCAGGGGCTAGCAGGAGTGTAACAAGGGCTCGTGGGAGCGGAGCATATCAGAGACAGGCACTGCCACTGCCCCTGGGGTGTCCTCTGAACTCCTGTCAGTTGCAGCCCAAACACTCCAGAGCTCAGATACCAAGGAGCAGCTTCTGTGGGGCAGAACGGCTGCACACAGTCAGGAAACCTGGCTCAGCCTGGCCCAAGCCTTCTCCCACAGCGGGGTACACAGCCTGGAAGGCAGGGAAATAGACCGTCAGGCACTACGGGAACTGACACAGGTAGTGTCTGGCACTGCATCATACTCTGGCCCAAAGCCTTCTACTCAGTATGGAGCTCCAGGCCACTTTGCAGCCCCTGGTGAGGGAGGTGACCAGTGGGCAGCCCTGCTGCTGCCCACCTGAGCTGCTCATTCCCAGCACATGGCCAGTGAGGACATAGCGAGTGACGAGGAGCACACGGTCATCCATGAGGAGGAGGGGGTGATGATGTCATTGCTGATGATGGCTTTAGCACCACTGACACCGATCTCAAGTTCAAGGAGTGGGTGACCGACTGAGAGTGGGGACAACTCTGGGGAGGAGCCAGAGGGCAACAAGGGCTTTGGTGGGAAGGTATTTGCACCTGTCATTCCTTCCTCCTTTACTCCTGCCGCCCCCTTGCTAGATCCTGAGCCCCCAGGGTCCCCCGATCCACCAGCAGCTTTTGGCAAAGTCTATGGTCCCACCCTGTCCTCCTCCTACACATACTCGGATGCTTCCCCCTCAACCTTGGCACCCACCTCCTTCTTACTGGGCCCAGGAGCCTTCAAAGCCCAGGAGTCTGGTCAAGACAGCAGAGCGGGCCCCCTATGACCCCTACCCCTGGGGATGGGGGCCCAGGGACGCCTTCCAAGGTGACCTGTTTCCTCCCAATGGATCCTGCCACCTTCTGGTGCAAGAGACCAGAAAGTGTGGGCGACCTGGAGCTACCAGGCTCCTCAGTCATCAGGGTCCCTCCCAACACTAAGGCTTTCCTAGGCAGGAGCTGGGCTGAGCCACCCGGGGGGCAGAGCCTGAAGAGAAACTGACTGGGCTTTCGGGGTCAGGGCAGAGGGAACCCCACGGACATGGATCCCCCACACTGGAGGACCCCACCACGCCCAAATGCAAGATGAGAAGATGCTCCAGCTGCAGTCCAAAGCCCAACACCCCCAAGTGTTCCATGTGTGATGGGGACAGCTTCCCCTTTGCCTGTACAGGTGGAGAAGCCGAGGACAGGCTCAGGGAACCGGAGACCGAGAAGGCGCTGTCCTCTTCACTGCACGTGCCCTGGACCAGTGCCGGCCCTGATCATGCAGCTCTTCCAGGCCCACTGCTTCTTCCTGTCCACTAGGCCACAGCCACCCTCCAGGCCCACTATGCACACATCTTCCCCTCCAAGGTTTGTTCTGCCCCTGCCCTGACTCCCAGCCCTGTGGGGGTCCTGACCGCACCTCACCTGGCTCAGACTCTTGACGCTGCCCTGGCTGCCCCACCACTGCCTCTGCCCGAGAGTCACGTGAGGCTGAGAGTAGGGGCAGGGGCAGCAGTGGTGCCAGTCGGGGGGCGGTCCAGTGGGAGGAGCCTCAGCCTCACGGGCTGCTCCGTGGGACTGATGACTGCATGATCTTCTGGGCACCTCACGGATCTTCAACTGCAGGTGAAACGGATGCTGGTGGTGGGTGCAGGGCCGCTGGGAGCTGCTGCGTGGTTCCCAGAGGCTGGACTGGGGCAGGTGCCAACTGAAGCTGCTGGGGCAGCATGGGCAGGATGTTCTGCACACAAACCTTGGAGAAGATGTGTGCATAGCGGGTCCACTGCTGCTGCCCCTGCCCTGACTCCCAGCCCTGCCTGACCCCACCTCAATCTGCTCAGGCTCTGG
This sequence comes from Homo sapiens, assembly GCF_000001405.40. NCBI lineage: Eukaryota > Metazoa > Chordata > Mammalia > Primates > Hominidae > Homo > Homo sapiens. The sequence goes on from NC_000001.11 coordinate 223,950,295, forward strand.
CGCAACCCTGGCTGCCCTGCCACTGCCTCTGCCCCAGAGTTGGGGCCTTGACAGCCTGGTTGGAAGGGGACACCCCAGCCCTGCCTCAACACCTGGGGGTCTCCATAACTACCACAGGCAGGTGGGCAACCCCAAAGATCCCAGGACTCACAGTACCCCTTGAGAACATGGACAGTATGTGAGGGTAGCAACGGAGGGCAGGATGGTTATCTTCTCCCAGGTAAAGCCATTTAATCCTTTCAGTTTGGGACGGAGTAAGGCCTGCCTCTTTTTTTTTTTTTTTTTTTTTTTTTGAGACCGAGTCTTGCTCTGTTGCCCAGGCTGGAGTGCAGTGGTGCAATCTTGGCTCACTGCAACCTCTTCCCGCTGGGTTCACGCCATTCTCCTGCCTCAGCCTTCCGGGTAGCTAGGATTACAGGTGCACACTACCACGTCCGGCTAATTTTTGTATTTTTAGTACAGACGGGGCTTCATCATCTTGGCCAGGCTGATTTCGATCTCCTGACATCGTGATCTGCCTGCCTCCCCCTCCCAAAGTGCTGGGATTACAGGCGTGAGCCACCACGCCTGGCCAAGGCCTGCTCCTCTTATCTATACCCCCTACCCCTGCAGCTGTGCCGGGGGAAAGCTGGGCAGTTTCCCTCCTCCGAGCCCCTGTACATACCATGAATTGTGGGACCTTCAGAGCTTTTCACTTTTCAGAAAATAGCTCCTGCTGGGGCTACAAGATGGAGTGTGAAGAGGGCCTTGGGCCACAGGGAGGCGCCTGTGGACTAGGGGGAGTTCATGCACCCCTTCTTTCCCCAGAGGGGCTGGACTCAGGTGAGTATGGGGGTGGGGGCTCCTGCACTTCGACACAGGCAGCGGGAGGGTTTTCTCCCCATTCCCTCTGCACTCCCAACTTGAGCTATACTTTTTAAGAAAGTGATTCACCCTGCCTTTGCCCCCTTCCCCAGAACAGAACACGTTGATCATGGGCGATATTTTTCATTGTGCCAAAAAGTTGCCATGACTGTCATTAAACCTGTTTAACACCAAATAATAAGGAAAATAAAATAAAAAATTCGGGCATGGTGCAGAAACTCACTCCAAATAAATTACCGACCAAAATATATAATGGTGGAAATATTCCAAAATTCCATATTTTGGGATTTATACACAAAAGATAAACAAATTAGAAGCCAAGAGGCTGCCGGAAGGGAAAAACGGGGCCTGGAAAGGCCGTTGTGAGGAATGAGCTGGGCCTAAAGAGGCCACTGGCAGGCAGTAGCTGGACCTGCCGAAGTGGCCGAAAGGCAGGAGCTTTGGACTGGGGAGGCCGCAGTGAGGCGAGAGCTAGCTGGGCGTGGAGAGTCCGCTGTGAGGCAGAGGCTGGGCCTGTGCAGGCCTTCGGGAGGCAGGAGGCTGGGCCTTGTCGAGGCCTGCAGAGGCCACCAAAAGTCAAAAGCGGGGCTTGGGAAGGCCGCCGGGAGGCATGAGCTGGGCTGGGCCGAAAGAGGCCACTGGGAGGCAGGAGGAGCTGGGCCTGGAGAGGCTGCTGAAAGGCAGGAGCTTCGCCTGAGGATGCCACAGTGAGACACCATCTGGGTCTGGAGGGTCCACTGTGAGGCAGAGGCTGGGCGTGAAGAATCTGCTGTGAGGCAGATGTTGGGATTGTAGAGGCCGACGGGAGGCACAGGCTGGGCCTGGAGGGGCCACCAAGATGCAGGAGTTGGGCCTGGAGAGGCTGCAAAGAAGCATGAGCTGGGCCTGGTGAGGTCGACTTGAGAAAGTTCAGGGCCTGGAGAGAAGGCTGGGAGGCAGGAGCTGGGTCTAAAGAGGCCATTGTAACGATGGAGCTGTGCCTGTGGAGGCTGTTGTGAGGCAGTAGGCTCATCTGCGGAGACTGCCGTGAGGTAGGGTATGGGCCTAAATAGGCCATTGTGAGTCATGAGCTTGGTCTGTAGAGGCTGACTGGAGAAAGTTCTGGGCCTGGAGAGGCTGCCGGGAGGTAGGAGCTGGGCCAAAAGATTTAAGCACATTCACATTTATTAGGCACTTCATTTCCATTATTACACTGTAATATATAATAAAATAATTATAGAATTCACCATAATGTAGAATCAGTGGGCGTGTTAAGCTTGTTTTCCTGCAACTGGATGGTCCCACCTGAGCGTGATGGGAGGAAGTGACAGATCAATAGGTATTAGACTCTCATTAAGGACAGCGCAACCTAGATCCCTCACATGCACGGTTCACAACAGGGTGCGTTCTATGAGAATCTAATGCTGCTGCTGATCTGAGAAGGTGGAGCTCAGGCGGGAATGTGAGCAAAGGGGAGTGGCTGTAAATACAGACGAAGCTTTCCTCACTCCCTCACTCGACACCACTCACCTCCTGCTGTGTGGCTCCTTGCGGCTCCATGGCTCAGGGGTTGGGGACCCCTGCTCAAGTGCATCAGAAACGACCCTTCTTCCCACACCAGTCTTCACAGTGGTCAAGTGCAGCAACCACTTAGCTCCCAAGGCATGTGCCTCAGCTGGCATTTCGTCACAATCAACAGTAAGTGGTAGCTTGAGTCACTGTGAGGTCACCTACTGGAAATCACCAGCATCCCATTTCCCACTGGCAAAGAGCTCAGCACTGCCCAAATCCCATCTGTGTGGGTTTATCTCCTGGGACCCTTCCTAACATATTAGTCAGAGTCCAATCAGGAAGCATAAACCACTCAAAAGTTTAAAGTGGTAAAATTTAATACAGAGAATTATTCATTATAACAGGTGAACAGCATAATGAGAGATTGACTAGCACAAAGTAAAGAGAACTCTAGAGAATATAGGACTAGCCCAGGCCAGGCACGGTGGCTCATGCCTGAAATTCCAGCAATTTGAGAAGCTAATGCAGGAGGATTGCTTAAGGCCAGGAGCTAGAGACCGGTCTGGACAACACAGTGAGACCCTGTCTCTATCCAAAAGAAGAAAAAAGTTAGCTGGGGGTGGTGGTGCACACTTGTAGTCCCAGCTATTCGGAATGCGGAAGTTTGAGCCTGGGAGGTCAAGGCTGCAGTGAGGCATGATTATGCCACTACAGTCCAGCCTGGTGACAGAGCAAGACCCTGTCTCAAAGAACAAAACAACAATAACCATTTACAGACAGAAAAGAAATAGAGCTAATAAGCTGAGGAAAGATGTTGAAATGTGACAAGTAAAGTAATATGAGTTCTTTTGTCTATGTAAAATAATCAAACAAAAAATGACTTACTAAATTATAATACCCTGTGCTGGCAAAGGTGCAGTGAAATGGGCACTTTTTTATACTATGAGGGGTGTTTAAATTGTGTATAAGCCTTCCAGGGTAAAGCCTGTCAATTTTTTAAAATAATAGAGACAGGGTCTCACCATACTGCCATACTGCCTCCTCCAACTCTTGGCCTCAAGCAATCCTCCTCTCTTAGCCTCCCAAAGTGCTAAGATTATAGCTAGGAGGCACCCAAAACCCTGTCAATTTACATCAAGGGTAATGAGAATGTCCATTCACCATGACTCACAGTAATCTTACTTCTGGGGAGACAATTCAATCTAAACAAAAGGTCATCTGTACACACACAGTAAAAATCTGGGAGTAACTGAAGACAGAGTTGGTAAGTGAAATAAGAAACAGTTATAAGAAATTAAACTATGGTATCAATAGGCACCTGGTAAAAGGTCAGTTGATGTTAGCTGCTACTTTTTTGTTGTTTTGAGACAGGGTCTCACTCTGTCACCCAGGCTGGAGTGCAGAGGCCTGATCATGACTCACTGCAGTCTCAGCCTCCCTGGGCTCAAGTGATCCTCCCACCTCAGCCTCCCAAGTAGCTGGGACTACAGGAACATGCCACCACACTAGGCTAATTCATGTATTTTTCTGTAGGGATGGTGACTCCCTTTGTTTCCAAGGCCTATCGCAAACTCTTGACCTCAAGCCATCCTCCTGCCTCAGCCTCCCAAAGTGTTGCGATTACCAGTGTGAGCCACCACACCTGGCCAGCTGCTACTTTTATCAATATTATTATTATTCCACTCAATTAAAAATTATTATTTTCAAGGCTATGCAACAGTATGTATCCTACAGCGTAATTGTAAAAACATATACAGTCGTTCCTCAGTATACAGAATTAGTTCCAGCCCCCCATCTCTGCATATACCAAAATCCATGCTTACTCACATTTCGCTGTCACCCCTCTGGAATCCACGTATACGAAAATTCCAAATATTAGTTGGGCATAGTGGCAAGCACCTGTAGTCTCAGCCACGTGGGAGGTTGAGATGGGAGGATCGCTTCAGCCTAGAAGGTTGAGGCTGCAGTCAGCTGTGATAGCACTACTACACTCCAGCCTTGGACAACAGAGGGAGACCCTGTCTCAGAAAAAAAAACAAAATAAAACAGGTTAGAAATTGTAATGAGGTCTGCTGGGCAAAATTCCATATAAGCAAAGTATAAATTAATAAAGCAAATCGTGATAAATTAGTACGATTGACTTTCTGGAGTTTCTGACAATAAAAGTAAGGAAAATGCAGAACACAAAGACAGAGAGTAAAAAGAGAAATTAGGAAAGCATTCTACATGTTTAATAGGAAGACACTGGCCATGTTCGTGCAGCGGCAGTATGTTGTGACATGACATACCTTGGAGAGAAGTTAACAGATGAGGAAGTTGATAAAAATCATCAGAGAAGCAAAATACTGGTAGCGACACTCAAGTAAACCATGAAATTTCCATAACTTATGTCAGCAAAGTGGGAATATTGTACAGTGTGTGTTGAAGTTCCTATACAACATTGTTTATCTGCCTTTTGTTTGTTTGTAAGGAATGTATATACTAAAAGTTCTTCTTGCTGTCAAAAGAATATGTGTGAATAAGTCATTTTAACTTATTCTTCTGTTTTTCTTTTATCTTCCTGCCATCATCCCACAGCCTTACTTTAGAAATTTTTCCTTTAGAAAATTGAACAAGTGCTCCTTGTGGTGGCACATACCTCTAGGATGGGAGGCAGGGGTGGAAGGGTCACTTGAGGCCATTCGTTTGACACCAGCCTGGCCAACAAAGTGAGACCCCATGTCTACAAAACAATTTAAAAATTAGCCAAGTATCGTCATGTATACCTACAGTCCTAGCTACTCAGGAGGCTCAGGTAGGAGGATCCTTAGCCCAGGAGTTCAAGGCTGCAGTGAGCTGTGATAGCACTACTGTACTCAAGCCTGGGTGACAGGGTGATACCCCATCTCCTAAAATAAAAAGCAAAGAAAAAAAATAGTTCAAGTAGCAAGTTGTATGTGGCTTACTCTGAATATTTCTAAACTAGAAATTCTCAATCTTTTGGGGTCTAACATCCCTTTACATTTTTTAACTTTATTGAAGATCTCTAAGACTATTTCTTTCTGCAGATAATTATATTAAAACTAGAAAATAAGACACAATTTTTAAAATATTATTCATTACATATTAAAGCCATTACATGTTGATATAATACAAGATTTTAAAAATATTTAATATTCATTACATATTAATAATAAAACCATTACACGTTGATATAACACTTTTTTTTTTCTTTGAGACAAAGTCTTGTTCTTTTGCCCAGGCTGGAGTGAAGTGGCGCAATCTCAGCTCATTGCAACCTCCACCCCGCAGGTTCAAGCGATTCTCCTACCTCAGCCTCCCAAGTAGCTGGGATTACAGGCGCCCACTACCATGTCCAGCCAATTATTGTATTTTCTTAGTAGAGAAGGAGTTTCGCCACGTTGGCAAGGCTGGTCTTGAACTCTTGACCTCAGGTGATCCACCCGCCTGGGTCTCCCTAATTGCTGGGATTACAGGTGTGAGCCACTGCACCCACCCTGATTAATATATGTTTTAAAACACTGATTAATCAGGCAACAACACCGGGCAGGGGTCTCCTCATTCCCAGGGACGCAAACCCCACTGCATGGCTGAGGGGTTGCAAGGGCTGCAGAGCCAAAAGGCTCTGACTTGAGATATTATTTTACTTGTATTTTTATTTGTATTGTGAGACAGGTCCTGCTCTGTCACCCAGACTGGAGTGCAGCTGTGCACTTACAGCTCACTGCAGCCTCGACCTCCTGGGCTCAAGCCATCTTCCTGCCTCAGCTCCCCAGTAGCTGGTAGTACAGTTGAGTGTCACCGTGCCTGGTTATTTTTTTAATTTTTTTGTAGAGTGAGGGGTCTTGCTATGTTGCCCAAGCTGGCCTCAAACTCCTGACCTCAAGAGATCTGCCCACTTCAGCCTCCTGAGTAGCTGAAACTACAAGTACACATCACCATGCCTAGCTACATTTATTTAATTTTGAAAAATATTTTTGTAAAGAGCAGATCTTGCTGTGTTGTCTAGGCTGGTCTTGAACACCTGCCCTTAAAAGATACTTGCACCTCTGCTTACCAGACAGCTGGGACTACAGGCATGAGCCACTGCAATGAGCCTGAAGAGATTTCCTTAATCTAGCATCCCATACTTGGTAGGATTGGGAAAGGCAGTAGTGTTTTTTAAAATTACTTAATAATTTCAGTAACAATCAAACTCAACCTTGACCCCTGCCTTCTCTCACACCCCATATCCAGTCTGTCAGGAAATCCTGTTGACTGTCTTCGACATGTACTAAAGATCCCCACCCAGCAACTCCCTGGCCTCCTCCCCTACTTCTCCCCTCTGACCATCTCTCAACACCACCACGACCCTGGTCAGGACCACCATCATCTCCCGCCTGGATGTTGCCAAAGCTTGGCCCCCATGCTTCTATCACATCTTCCCACAGTCTTTCTCAACTCAGCAGCCAGAGAATGCTTTTAAATCGGGAGACAGATCATGTCGCCTCTCTGCTCAGAACCCTCCCGCAGTTTCCATCTGAGTCAGAGTAAAAGCCAAAGCCCCACCAATAACCTCCCAGGGCTTATGTGATCTGTACTGATCCCCACCCAGCAACTCCCTGGCTCCCTCCCCTAATTCTCTCCCTCTCTCCATCTGCTCCATGGGCCTCCTTCCAGAGCCTCAGACACACCTCAGACACTTTATTCTATTGTTTCTGCCTACAATCCTCTTCCCTCAGCACCTTGGCCACCTCCTTCCCCTCCTTCAAGTCTTTACTCAACTTTCACTTAGGAGGCCACCCCTGACCATTCTACTTAACATTGCCATCTGTCCCCATGCCCACCATGCTCATTTCTTCTTTCTTTACTTTCTTCTTTCTTTTTTTCAAGATCTCACCGTCACCAAGGCTGGAGTGCAGTGGCGAAATCACAGCTCACTGCAACCTCAAATTTCCAGGCTCAAGCGATCCTCCCACCTCAGCCTCCCGAGTAGTTGGGACTCCAGGTTCATGCCACCATGGCTGGCTAAATTTTTTAGTATTTTATTTTATTTTATTTTGAGACAGAGTTTCACTCTTCTTGCCCAGGCTGTAGTGTAACGGTGTGATCCCGGCTCACTGCAACCTCCACCTCCCAGATTCAAGTGATTCTCCTGCCTCAGCCTTCCAAGTAGCTGGGATTACAGGTGCATGCCACCATGCCCAGCTAATTTTTGTATTTTTAGTAGAGCCGGGGTTTCACAATGTTGGCCAGGCTGGTCTCGAACTCCTGACCTCAGGTAATCTGCCCGCTTCGGCCTCCCAAAGTGCTGGAATTACAGGTGTGAGCCACCACGCCTGGCCAATTTTTTCATTTTTTGTAGAGACAAGGTCTTACTATGTTGCCCAGACTGGTCTTGAACTCCTGGCCTCAAGTGATCCTCCTGCCTAAATTCCTAAAGTGCTGGGATTACCGGCATGAGCCATGATGCCTGGCTTCATGTTCATTTCTTCTTGCTGCTGCAACATAGTTTGCAGTTTCCTACATTTAGTGGCTTAAAACACCACAAATCTACCATCTTACAGTTCTAGGGGCCAGAAACCCAAACTAGGTCTATTAAGGCTAAAGTCAAGGTGTCAGCAGGGCTGCATTCCTTCTGGAGACTCTAATATGTTCCCTTGGCTTTTCCAGCTTCTAGAAGCCACCCCCATTCCTTGGATCATAGCCCCTGACTCCATCTTCAAAGCCAGAGGTGAAGCATCTTCAAATCTCCCTCTCTTACCTCTGCTTTCATCACCACATCTCCTGCTCCAATTCTGAATCTCCTACTCTCTTTCTTTTATAAAGACCCTTGTGATTGCTGGGCATGGTGGCTCCCACCCAGAATCCCAACACTTTGGGAGGTCAAGGCAGGAGGAACACTTGAGGCCCGAAGTTTGAAACTAGCATGAAAAACACAGTGAGACCCCCACCTCTAGAAAAAAATAAAAATAAATATTAGCCCGACATGGTGGTATGCGCCTGTAGTCCCAGCTACTTGAGAGGCTGAGGTGAGACAATCGATTTAGCCCAGGAGTTTGAGATCAGCCTGGACGACATAACTAAATCTCATCTCTACAAGGACGAAGTGGGAGGATCACTTGAGCCCAGGAATTTGTGGCCAGCCTGGGCAACAAAAGAAGACCCCATCTGGCCGACATGGCCAACCTGGCCACCATGGTGAAACTCTGACTCTACAAAAATGAGCTGGGCATGGGTGACATGCATGTGTAGTCCTAGCTACTTGGGAGGTTGAGATGGGAGGATTGCTTGATCTCAGAAGGCCAAAGCTATAGTGAGCTATGATCACATCACTGCACTCCAGCCTGGATGACACAGGGAGATTCTGTCTGAAAAAAAAGAAAAGAAATATATATTTAATCTCTGTCCCTGGTTCCTGGCACAGAGCTTCTAAAGCTCTTACAAAGACCTCAGTGATAGATGTGACAGGAACATCTTTTGTTTTAATATTTGGTCTTGGTCCCAGGTTTCTAACACAAGAGCCTCTAAGAACTTTGGGATCTCCAGCATGGTAAGAATGCATTTGGGGATGTTGTTGAGATGACTGCGTGACTGCAAGCTCCTAAATTTCTTCCAGAGGAGGGCTGATTACCATGCAACCACATGGTAAGAGGCTTGGAACTTTCAGCCTCATGCACTGAACTCCAGGAGGAGGAGGGGCTGGAGACTGACTTAATCACCAACAGCCAAAGATTTTATCAATCATGCTTGCATAATAAAGCCTCCATAAACACCCTGAAAGGGGTTTGCAGAGCTTTCAGGGTTGCTGGACACAGGAGATGCTGGGAGGGCCGCATGTTCAACAGAGGGCATGGGAGCTCTGTGCCCCTCCGAACTTAACTTGCCCTGGGTATCTTTCTTTTTTTTGAGACAGGATCAGGCTCTTTTGTCCAAGCTGGAGTGCAGTGGCACAACCTCAGCTTACTGTAACCTAAGCCTCCCCAGTCCCCAGCTTAAGGTATCCTCTCATCTCAGCTTCCCTAGTAGTTGGAACTCTAGGTGCACAACACCACACCAGTTATTATTATTATTTTTTAATTTTTTATAGAGACAGGTTTTCACCATGTTGCCCAGGCTGGTCTCAAACTCCTGAGTTTAAGCGATCCTCCCAAAGTGCTGAGATTACAGGCATGAGCCACTGCATCCAGCATGCACATCTCTTTCATTGACTGTTTCTGAGATGTATCCTTCACAATGAACCAGTAATAGGAAATGAACTGGCCAGATGTGGTGGTTCACATCTGTAATCCCAGCACTTTCAGAGGCTGAGGTGGGAGGATCACTTGAGACCAGGAATTTGTGGCCACCCTGGCCAATACAACAAGACCCCATCTATACAAAAAATAAAAGAAACTAGCCAGATGTGGTGGTGCAGGCATGTAGTCTCAGCTACTAGGGAGGCTGAGGTGGGAGAACCACTGGAACCCAGACAATCAAGGCTGCAATGAGCTATGACTGCACCATTGCACACCAGCCTGGGCAACAAAATAAGACCCTCTCTCTCAGAAAAAAAAGAAAATAAACTGTTTTTCTGAGTTCCGTAAACTGTTCTAGCAAATTATTAAACCCAAGAAGACAGTTATGGGAACCCCCGATTGGTAACAGGTTGGTCAAAAGTATGGTGACAACTTAGGACTTGCCATTGGCATCTGAAGTGAGGATGGCCTCGTGGGACTGAGCCCCTAACTTGTGGGGTCTGTGCTAACTCCAGGTAGTGTCAGAATAAAGTCATGGGATACCCAGTTAATATCCAGAGCACTGAAGAATTTGGTGTAGAAACTCCATACATACATTCAGTCGGAAGTGTGTGAGTAGAGACAAACATGGGTTTTTCTGTCACCTACCTGCTTAACTGCGTAGGAGAGGCAATATGTGGTGCTCATGAACAAAGCAAACATTAAAGTCAGACCAGACCCAACATTTGACTCAGTCTTAATAGCCAGGTGAGCCTGCGCAAATCATTCATTATTCCTAAGGTTTTCATCACTCCATTCATAAAATGGGGATAACTGTGGCACCTACATGTGATTCTGTGAGAATTAACGAAATATTATGCTTGGGGTTATTGTGATCATTATACCTGTTCCAAACTATTTGACAAGGACAGTGATGGATGAAGACATCAAAAAATCAGAAACTGCAATGAGGTCTCTCAGGCAAAATTCCATACAAGCCAATTACTGTGTCTACAAAGCATTCCTGCCACACTTAATTCACCATTCCCTGAACAAAATATGCCATCTTCGTTGTTCAGTTCTGTACAGTGCTGGTTTCCCTTCCCGGGCAGTTTATGCTATCCCATCCCGACCCATTCCCCATCCCTCCACCTCCCCCTTCCCTCCCCACTCTCATACAACTCTTCCTCATCTTTCAGGACTTGGCTTCAATGTCACCTTAACTGGAAGCTTCTCTCACTCTCCAGTGGAGCTTCCCATTGCACTTGATGCATGCACTATTATTTGATCATTTTTAAGTTACAGTCCAAATCTTTTTGTACCTGAATAACATGTTGCCCAGTCAGTCTCTCTTCCTGGATTCAGAAGTCTTTCATGGTAGATCCAGCTGGAAGTGACAAAAAGACATCTTTTGACATAAAGGGATGACACAGACAGACATAAGTTCTTAAATGTCTCAAATGTTATGTGAAAATTAAACAGAATTCAAAGACTTGTGGGGAGCACTTAGGAAGTTACTGGGAATGTCATAAAGGGTTAATTTGTATTTTATTTTATTTTTTGAGACAGTCTCATTCTGTCACCTAGGCTGGAGTGCAGTGGTGCAATCAGGCTCACTGCAGCCTTGACCACCTGGGCTCAAGTAATCTCACTTAATTTTTATTTGGTTTAAGAAAGTCTTGGTTGAGGGTGGTGGCTTATGCCTGTAATCTCAGCACTTTGGGAGGCTGAGAGAGGTATATTACTTGAGGCCAGGAGTTTGAGATCAGCCTGGGCAATATATTAAGACCCTGCCTCTACCAAAAAACAGAGTGAATGTGTGGAAGACAATTTTTCCACAGACTGGGAGTGAGGGAATAATTTTAGGATGATTCAAGTGCATTACATATATTGTACACTTTATTTCTATTATTACTACATAGTAATATATAATGAAATGATTCTACAACTCACTATAACGTAGACTCAGTGGGATCTCTGAGCTTGTTTTCCTGCAACTAGACTGTCCATCTGGGGTGATGGGAGACAGTAACAGAATATCAGGCATTAGATTCTCATAAGGAGTACACAACCTAGATCCCTCGCATGCACACTTCACAACAGAGTTTGTGCTCCTATGAGAATCTAATGCTGCTGCTGATCTGACAGGACATGGAGCTCAGGTGGTCATGCAAGCCATGGGAGGGGCTAGAAATACAGATGAAGTTTCCCTTCACTCGCCTGCTGCTCACCTCCAGCTCTGTGGCCCTGTGGTTGGAGACTGCTGCTCAAGTGCATTTGAAAGGATCCATCCCACGCCATTCTTCAGAGTCATCTTTACTGCTGCAGTGGTCAACTTGTAGCACCCCCAAGCTCGCAGGACATATGCTTCAACTGGCATTTCACAATCAACACTATGTGGCAGCTTGAGTCATTGTGAGCTCACTTCCTGGAAATCACCAGCATCCCATATCCCATTAGCAAGGAGCTCAGCACTGCTCCTTGGATAACCAAACCTATTCCCAAATCCCATCTGTGTGCGTCTATCTCCTGGTACCCTTCCTAGCATCAATTCTGTATTTGTAGGAGTCCAATCAGGAGACACAAACTACTCAAAAGTTTAAACTAGAATGAGCAAGATGGCTCACACCTGTAATCCCAGCACTCTGGGAGGCCAAGGTGGGTGGACTGCTTTGAGCTCAGGAGTTTGAGAACAGTCTGGGAAACATGGCGAAACCTCGTCTCTACAAAAAACACAAAAATCAGCTGGGTGTGGTGGCACTTACCTGTAATCCCAGCTACTCGGGAGGCTGAGGCAGGAGCATTGCTTGAGCCTGGCAGGTGGAGGCTGCAGTGAGCAGAGGTTGTGCCACTGTACTCCAGCCTGGGTGACAGTGTGAGACCCGGTATCAAAAAGAAAAAACATATATATATATATATATATGTAAATTTAATATAAAAAGTATTAATTTTGGCCAGGCAAAATGGCTCATGCCTGTAATCCCAGCACTTTGGGAGGCCAAGGCAGACAGATCACCTGAGGTCAGGAGTTCGAGACCAGCCTGACCAGCATAGAGAAACCCCATCTCTACTAAATATACAAAATCAGCTGGGCATGGTGGCACATGCCTGTAATCCCAACTACTCGGGAGGCTGAGGCAGGAGAATCGCTTGAACCCGGCAGGTGGAGGTTGCGCTGAGCCGAGATAGTGCCATTGCACTCCAGCCTGGGCAACAAGAGTGAAACTCCATCTCAAAAAAAAAAAAAAAAAAAAAGGTATTAATTTTTACAGAGGATCAGCACAATGAGGGACACACTAGCACAAAGTAAAGACAACTCTAGAGAATACGGAACTAGCAGAGGCCAGGCATTGTGGCTCATGCCTGTAATCCCAGCAATTTGGGAAGCCTAGGCAGGAGGATCGCTTGAGGCCAGGAGTTGGAGACCAATCAGTGCTAAATAGTGAGACTCTGTGTCTACCAAAAAAAAGAGACATTAGCCAGGTGTGGTGGTGGTGCACACCCATAGTTCCAGCTACTTGGGAGTCTGGGGTGGGAGAAATCCCTTGAGCCTGGGAAGTCTACACTACAGTGAGCCAAGATTGTGCCACTGCACTCCAGCCTGGGCGACAGAGTGAGACCCTGTCTTAGAAAGAAAAAAGAAAAGAAAGTGTTAATCCCCCTATGGGAATCTCCTCTTCTCCTGCCCTCTCTGGAACCTCACTTGTCAGTTCTTCCTCCTGCTTTCCTGTATCTTTAACCTATCCCCCACTTTTAGCTCCTTCCCATCATCATTTAAATTACTCAAACTTCTTCTGTTTTAAAAACCTCTCCCTAAACTCAGGGAGAGGTCTCCTGCACACCCATTGAGCCATCTGCTCTCCCTGGTGCCTTCTCTACAGCAGCCTGAGCCATGTCTCTAATCCATGAATCTCATCATGTTACTCCTCCATTTACATCACTTCTCCTTGCCTCAGGGATTAAGTCCAAACTCCTTAACAGCCCCTGCTCTGCCCTGCCTTGCAAGGCAGCCTCACTGCTTGCCCCTCTCCATTTCATCTGCTATGGAGTCCAACTGAGCCTCATCTGCCTCTTGAACGCACACTCTTTCTCCTCTGGGAGTCTCTGAAGTGGGTAATATCCTCTGCTTATAATATGCTTCCCCTTAAACCTCTACTCCCTTCCTAGCTAGCTTTGACTCCTCTGTCACTTGTCCGCTTTGGCATCACCTCCTCATAGAAGACTTCTCTGACTCCCGAGATTCTCAGGAGCATGGCAGGTGAAGTGCTCCTCCCATGAATGGATGGAGATTAGGGAGTGTGTGTTATTCATGCTTAATTCACCAGTGCTTAGCTGAGTACCTGGCATAAAATAGTTACTGTGGTGGCCAAAGTAATAACCCCCACCGCCACCAATTGCTCATGTCCTATGTTACACAGCACAATTACATAGGAAGGGGGAATTAATAGTGCAGATAAAATTAATGTTGCTCATCAGCTGACCTTAAAACAAGATTATCCTGGAGTATCTAGGAGAGCCCATGTAATTACAAGCATTCTTTAAAACTGGAAGAGGGAGGCAGAAGGTTAAGAACCAGAGACGGTGGGCACAATGGCTCATGCCTGTAATACCAATACTTTGGGAGGCCAGGGTAGGAAAATCCCTTGAGTGCAGGAGTTCAAGGTCAGCCGTGGCAACATACTGAGGTCCCATCTCTACAACAAAACAAAAACAAAATTCACTGAGTGTCACGATGCTTACCTGTAGTCCCAGCTACTGGGAAGGCTGACATGGTAGGATTGCTTGAGCCTGGGAGTTTGAGGCTATAATGAGCCATGATAGGACCACTGAACTCCATCCTGAGTGACAGGGCAAGGTCCTGTTTCTGAAGAAAAAAAGGACATTGGAATCAGGGTCCTCTCCATCCTGAGGTGCCTACAAGGCATCTCTCTCTGCAAATGAGTAAACATCACCCTCCAACTCCTTACAGAGTGGAGCAACAGGAAAACTCCTTCACCTCATTTCTGTGCTGCTTGGGAAGCCTGGACAGCCCAATAACCAGCTCCTTGCTGATGAAGCAATCAGGAAATGGCTCGAGTTGAGCTAAGGAGAATTTAGATCCTTCTTTTGGTTCTCAGTAGGCAGGGTAGGGGCCAGGCATGGTGGCTCATACCTGTAATCCTTGCACTGTGGGGGGCCAAGGTGAGAGGATTGCTTGAGGCCAGGAGGTCAAGACCAGCCTGGACAACATAGCAAGACCTGGGTGGCATACACCTGTGGTCCCTACTACTTAGTAGGATGAGGTGGGAGGATTGATCACTTGATCCCAGGAGTTTCAGGCTGCAGTGAGCCATGATCATACCACTGCACTTCAGCCTGGGTGACAGAGCCAGACTATGTCACAAAAAGTTAGAAAGAAAAAAAAAAAGAGAAAGGGAGAGAGACTATACACAGGCACCACCACATTTGGCTAATTTTTAAATATTCTGTAGAGACAAGGTCTTGCTAGGTTGCCCGGGCTAGTCTAAAACTCCTGGCATCAGGCTGGGCATGGTGGCTCATGCTTGTAATCCCAGCACTTTGGGAAGCTAAGGCAGGCAAATCACCTGAAGTCTGGAGTTCGAGACCAGCCTGGCCAACATGGTGAAACTCTGACTCTATCAAAAATACAAAAATTAGCTGGGTAGTAGTGGCGTGTACCTGTAGTCTCACCTACTCGGGAGGCTGAGGCAGGAGAATCACTTGAACCTGGGAGGTGGAGGTTGCAGTGGACCCCATCACTGCACTCCACCCTGGGTGACAGAGCGAGACTCTGTCAAAAACAACAACAACAATAACAAAAACAAAAACAACAACAACAAAAAAAACTCCTGGCATCAAGACATCTTCCTGTCTTAGCCTCCCAATGCCCTGGGATTATACTGTTTCCTATAATTGAAGACACTTGTTCTTATACTGCTTTAAGGTATAAAGGAAGAAAAAAAAACAGATAATGGCAAATGTTGGTGAAGGCCGGGCATGGTGGCAGCCTGTAATTCCAGAATTTATGGAGGCTGAGGTGCGCAGATCACTTGAGGCCAGGAGTATGAGACCAGCCTGGGCAACATGGTAAAATCCCATCACTACAGAAAAATATAAAAATTACCCAGGCATGGTGGCGTACACCTGTAATTTTCAGCTACTCAGGAGGCTGAGATGAGAGAATCACTTGTGCCTGGGAGGTCAAGGCTGCAGTGAACTGTGATGGCATCATTGCACTGCGGCCTGAGAGACAGAGCAAGCCCCTATCTAGAAAAAAAAAAAATGTCAGTGAAGATGTGGAGGAATTGGAACCCACATACATTACTGGTGGGAACATAAAATTGTGTAACCATTTTGTTTGGGTATTTCTTTTCTTGTCATTTTAATTGGATTTTTAAAAAATCAAGACAGGGTTTCACTATCTTGCCCAGGCTGGTCTTGAATTCATGGGCTCAAGCCATCCTCCTAGCTGAGCCTCCTGAGTAGCTGGGATTACAGGTGTGAGCCATTGCACCCAACTGGTATAGCCACGTTAGAAAACAGTCTGGCAGTTTCTCAAAAGGCTAAATGTACAGTCATCCTATAATGCAACCATTTCATTCCTAGGCATATATCCCAGAAAAATAAAAATATATGTCCACACAAAAACTTGTACAACAATCTTCATAGCAGCATTATTCATAATGACCAATACATGGAATACATGGAAACAACCCAAATATCCACCAACTGATGAACAGATAAACAAAATGCAGTGTGTCTCCACCATGGAATACTGCCATAGAAGGAATGAAATATTGATACACACTATGACATAAAGGAACTTTGAAAACACTGTGCTAAGAGGGAAAAAAAGCCACAAAAGATCACATATTGTACAATTCTATTTGTCCAGATTAGGCAAATCTATAGTGACAAAAAAATTAATCAATGGTTGCCTAAGGCTGGGGGCGAAGGTAGGTGGGGAGAGTAGGAGGTAGTGGCTAAGGGGTATGGATTTCTCTATAGGGTAATGAAAGGTTCTAAAAGTGACTGTGGTGATCGATGCACAGCTCTGTGAATATTCTAAAACCTACTGAATTGCAGATTTCAATAAATAAAGTGAATGGTATGTGAATATTTTAATAAAGCTATTATTTAAAATAATAATAATAGGGGGCTGGGCACAGGTGGTCATGCCTGCCTGTAATCCCAGCACTTTGGGAGGCTGAGGCAGGAGGATCACTTGAGGTCAGGAGTTTTGAGCCCAGTCAGAGCAACGTGGCAAGATCCCGTTTCTATGATAAAAAATTAGCTGGACATGGTGGCACATGTCTGTAGTCCCAGCTACTTGGGAGACTGAAGTGAGAGAACCGCTTGAGCCCAGGAGTTTGAGGCTACAGTGAACCATGATCATGTCACTGTACTGTAGCCTGACCAACAGAGCAAGACGCTGTCTCTGAAAAGGAAAGAAAACAAATGCAAGTTTTTATCACTTTGTGAGTGTAGCCAAGTTGGAGGAGAAATAGACAATAATAAAAGAGCACTGAATAATGACGGTGAGTGGCTGGTTAGGCTCAGTTGCTAGCTAAATGGCTTCTAAAAAATTCAATAAAGTTACAGCTCTGGGGACAGTCATGTAGTCAAAGAATGAACGCTAAATTCATTACAATTGCCCATGGTCTTTATTTACACGCCTTCTAGTGAAAAATTCCTAAGTGCCTAAACAGCAAGTCTGCAATGATAGCAGCTGTTTATTAAAGACTACAAAAAAGAAATGGAGGCCGGGCGTGGCTGCTCACATCTGTACTCCTTGAATTTTGGGAGGCTGAGGCAGGCAGATTGCCTGAGGTCAGGAGCTCCAGAGGAGCCTGGCCAACATGGTGAAATCCCATCTCTACTAAAAATACAAAAATTAGCTGGGTATGGTGGCGGGCACCTGTAATCCCAGCTACTCGGGAGGCTGAGGCAGGAGAATTGCTTGAACCCAGAAGGTGAAGGTTGCAGTGAGCCAAAATCGCACCATTGCACTCCAGCCTGGGTGACAAGAGAAAGACTCTTATCTTAAAAAAAAAAAAAGAAAAAAAGAAATGGCATCTTCTTCAAGAATTACATCGTGTTTCATGATAAAGAAGCTCTAATTTTGCATTTGTTCAAGTATTGATGAGATTTACCCAATATGACACCCATCTTGGATAAAATGCAAACAACACAATTTCATTTTCTCATTAACAAAACCGATTAAGTAGTCTAATATAAATTCTGATCTTATTAAAAACTGATCAGATTAAAAAAATTATGGAATTATGGAGCCAATAAGATGTTACAACCTGTTCCAAGGGGAATTCCAAAATCCACACATATCTGAGACCATCAAGTATGATGAAATATATTTGATTACTATATTGAAAAATAAACTGATTACATAGCCAACAATTGGACAGGGGTTTCCTCATCCACAGCCACACAAACCCGATCATGCAGCTATATGGTTACAAGGCCTACATAGCCTAGAAGGGACTGGTCTGACTTGAGATTTCATTTGTATTTGTATTTTGAGACAGGGTCCCACTCTGTCACCCAGGATGGAGTGCAGTGGTATAATCATAGCTCACTGCAACCTTGACCAACTGGGCTCAAGAGATGCTCCTGCCTCAGCTGCCCCCATACCTGGGAATACAGGCAAGTACCACCATGTCAGGCATTTTTTTCATTTTTGTAGAGAGAGAAGACTTGCTATGTTGCCCAAGCTGGCCTCAAACTCCTAGAATCAAGAGATCTGCCCATCTCAGCCACATGAGTAACTGGGGCCATAGGTACATACCATCATGCCTGGCTATATTTATTTTATTTTATTAAATTTATTTTTTTTATTTTTGTAGAGAGGAGGTCTTGCTGTGTTGCCCAGGCTGCTCTCAAACTCATGGCCTTAAAACATACTCCCATCTCTGCCTCTCAAACTGTTGGAACTATAGGTGTGAGCCACTGTACCTGGCCTGACTTGAGATTTCTTTTATCTAGCATCCTTTACTTGGTAGGATTGGGAAAGGCAGTAGTGTTTTTTAAAATTACTTAATAATTCAATCAGAATCAAACTCAACCTTGACCACTGCCTTCTCTCACAGCTCACATCCAGTCTGTCAGGAAATCCTACTGACTGACTTCAACATGTATCCAGGCTCTAACCATCTCTCACCACCACCTTGAACCCGATCAGGATCACTATCATCTCCCACCGGGATGTTGCCACAGCTTGGCCCCCATGCTTCTACCCAAATCTTCCCATAGTCTTTCTCAACTTGGCAGCCAGGTCGTGCTTTTAAATCAGGAGACAGATCATGTCGCCTCTCTGCTCAGAAGCCCTCGGTGGTTCCCATTTTAGTCAGAGTAAAAGCCAAAGCCCCAGCAATAGCGTCCCAGGGCTTACACGATCTGTACCGATCCCAGCCCAGCAACTCCCTGGCCTCCTCGCTGACTTCGCTCCCTCTATCTCTTTGCTCCACTGGCCTCCTTCCAGAGCCTCAGACACACCAGAGAGTTTCCTCCTAATGCCTTTATCCTGTTGACTCAGCCTACAATGCTCTTCCCTCAGCACCTTGGCCAGCTCCATCACCTGCTTCAAACTTTTGCTCAATATTCACTTATGAGGCCAACCCTGACCACTCTACTTAATACTGCCATCTGTCCCCATTCCCACCATGCTCATTTCTTTCTTTCTTTTTGAAACAAGGTCTTGCTTTATTGCCCAGGCTGGAGTACACTGGTGCAATCACAGCTCACAGCAACTTCAACCTCCCAGGCTTAAACAATCCTCCCGCCTCAGCCACCCTAGGAACTGAGACTACAGCTGCATGCCACAACACATGGCTTTTTTTTTTTTTTTTTTTTGAGACGGAGTCTCGGTCGCCCAGGCTGAAGTGTAAGGGTGCAATCTTGGCTCACTGCAATGTCTGCCTTTTGGGTTCAAGTGATTCTCTGCCTCCCGAGTAGCTGGGATTACAGGCACCCACCACCACACCTGGCTAATGTTTGTATTTTTAGTAGAAATGGGGTTTCACCATCTTGGCTAGGCTGGTCTTGAACTTCTGACCTCGTGATCCACCCTCCTCGGCCTCCCAAAGTGCTGGGATTACAGGCATGAGCCACTGCGTCTGGCCTTTTAAAAAATTTTTTTTTAGACATGAGGTCTCATTATGTTGCCCAGGCTGGTCTTAAGCTCCTGGGCTTAAGCGATCCTCCCACCTCAGCCTCCTAAAGTTCTGGGATTACAGGCGTGAGCAACTGTAACATGAGGTCCCAGCTTCATGTTCATTTTTTGTTGTTGCTACAACAAAGTACCCTACATTTAGTAGCATCAAACACCACAAATCTACCATCTTACAGTTCTGGGGGCCAGAAACCCAACTAGGTCTATTAAGGCTAAAGTCAAGGTGTCAGAGGGGCTGCATTCCTTCTGGGGGAGGCTCTAGACAGAATGTGCTCCTTTGCCTTTTCCAGCTTCTAGAAGCCACCCCCATTCCTTGACTTACCTCGTGACTCCATATTCAAGGCCAGAAGTGCAGCATCTTCAAATCTCCCTCTCTGACCTCTTCTTCCATTACCACATCACTTTCTCTAATTCTGACTCTCCTACCTCTTTCTCTTATAAAGATCCTTGTGATTGGTGGGTATGGGGGCTCCCATCTGTAATCTCAACATTTTGGGAGGCCAAAGAGGAAGGATTGCTTGAGGCCAAGAGTTAGAGATCAGCCTGGGGAAAATAGGAAGACCCTGCCTTTACAAAATTAAAATTAAAATCAGCTGGACATGGTGATGCATGCCTGTAGTTCCAGCTACTGGAGAGGCTAAGGTGGGAGGATTGCTTTAGCCTAGGACGTCAAGGCTGCAGTGAGCTATGATCACATCACTGCACTCCAGCCTCAGTGGCAGAGTGAGACTCTGTCTCCAATATAAGAAAAGAAATATACATTTGGTCTCTGCCCCTGGTTCCAGGCATAGAGCTTCCAAAGCTCTTATAAAGCCCTTCGTGACAGAGGTAATAGGAGCATTTTCTGTTTTGATATTTAGTCTTAGTCCCAGGTTCCTGACACAAGGGCCTCTAAGGTCTTTCAGATCTGCAGCATGGTAAGAATGCATGTGGGATGCTGTTGAGCTAACAGGGTGGCTGCAAGCTCCTAGACTGCTTCAGGAGGAGGGCTAGCTGCCAGAGAAAGCAACCACATTTTTTTTTTAAAACGGAGTTTGGCTCTTGTAGCCCAGGCTGGAGTGCAATGGCACAATCTCAGCTCACTACAACCTCCACTTCCCGGGTTCAAGCAATTCTCCTGCCTCGGCCTCCCGAGTAGCTGGAATTATAGGGATGTGCCACAATGCCTAGCTAACTGTTGTTATTTTTAGTAGAAACGAGGTTTCACCATGTTGGTCAGGCTTGTCTCAAACTCTTGACCTCAAGTGGTCCATGTGCCTCAGCCTTCCAAACTGCTAGGATTACAGGAGTGAGCCACCGCACCTGGCCCCAACCACATTTTTTGAGGCTTGGAACTTTCAGCCTCACCTGCTGAACTCCAGGAGGCAAAAGGAACTGGAGATTGACTTAACTACCAATGGCCAATGATTTTATCAATCATGCCTCCATAAAAACCCAAACTGCAGGGTTTGGAGAGCTTCTGTGTTGCTAAACACAAGGAGGTCCTGGGAGGGTAGTGTGCCCAACAGAGGGCATGGAAGCTCTGTGCCCCTCCCCACTTACCTTGTCCTGTGCATCTCTTTCATTGGCTGTTCCTGAGATGGAGCCATTACATTGAGCCAGTAATTGAAAATAAGGTGGCCAGATGCGCTGGCTCATGCCCGTAATCCCAGCACTGTGGGAGGCAGAGGTGGGTGGAATCACTTGAGCCTAGCAATTTGAGACCAACCTGGGCAACATAAGAAGACCCCATCTATACAAAAAATAAAAGAAATGAGCCAAATGTGGTGGTGGGAACCCTGTAATTCCAGCTACTTGAGAGGCTGAAGCAGGAGAATCACTTGAGCCCTGGAGGTTGAGGCTTCAATGAGCTATGATTGCACCACTGCACACCAGCTTGGACAACAGAGCGAGGCCCTGTCTCTTAAATAGAAAAGAAAAAAAACCTGTTTTTCTAAGTTCTGTGAGTTGTTCTAGTAAATAATTAAACTCAAGAAGAGGGTCATGGGAAACCCCGATTTCTAACTGGTTGGTCAAAATACAGGTGACAACCTAGGACTTGCAACTGGCATCTGAAGTGAGGGTGGTCTTGTGGGACTGAGCCCCTAACCTGTGGGTTCTGTGCTAACTCTAGGTAGTGTCAGAATGGAATTGTGGGATACGCGGTTGGTATCCAGAGAGTTGGAGAACTGGTGTAGAAACTCTGCACACACATTTGGTCAGAAGTCTGTGAGTAGAGAGAAACGTGTTG
Source organism: Homo sapiens (assembly GCF_000001405.40). Classification (NCBI taxonomy): domain Eukaryota; kingdom Metazoa; phylum Chordata; class Mammalia; order Primates; family Hominidae; genus Homo; species Homo sapiens. The sequence goes on from NC_000001.11 coordinate 223,972,262, forward strand.
CGGGAAGTCAGGGACCCCAAACGGAGGGACTGGCTGAAGCCATGGCAGAAGAACATAAATTGTGAAGATTTCATAGACATTTGTTAGTTCCCCAAATTAATACTTCTATAATTTCTTAGGCCTGTCTTTACTGCAATCTCTGAACATAAATTGTGAAGATTTCATGGACACTTATCACTTCCCCAATCAATACCCTTGTGATTTCCTATGCCTGTCTTTACTTTAATCTCTTAATCCGGTCACCTTCGTAAGCTGAGGATGATGTCCCCGCAGGACCCTGTGATAATTGCGTTAACTGCACAAGTTGTTTAAACAATATGAAACCTGGGCACCTTGAAAAAAGAACAGGATAACAGCAATTTCAGGGAACAAGGGAGATAACCTTAAACTCTGGCTGCCTGTGGGCCGGGTGGAACAGAGCCATATTTCTCTTCTTTCAAAAGCAAATAGGAGAAATATTGCTGAATTCTTTTTCTCAGCAAAGAACATCCCTGAGAAAGAGAATGCATCCCTAAGGGGAGGCCTCTGAAATGGCCGCTTTGGGGACAGCTGTCTTTTACAGTCGTAGATAAGGGACGAAATAAGCCCTGGGTTCGCGTGGCGCTCCCAGGCTTATCAGGACAAGGAAATTCCCGCCTAATAAATTTTGGTCAGATGGGTTGTCTGCTCTCAAACCCTTTCTCCTGATAAGATGTTATCAATGAAAATGCGTGCCCGAAACTTCATTAGCAATTTTAATTTCGCCCCGGTCCTGTGGTCTTGCCCTGCCTCCATTTGCCTTGTGATATTTTATTACCTTGTGAAGCATGTGATCTCTGTGACCCACACCCTATTCGTACACTCCCTCCCCTTTTGAAAATCACTAATAAAAACTTGTTGGTTTTGCAGCTTGGGGGGGCATCACGGAACCTGCTGACGTGTGATGTCTCCCCTGGACACCCAGCTTTAAAATTTCTCTCTTTTGTACTCTTTCCCTTTATTTCTCAGACCGGCTGACACTCAGGGAAAATAGAAAAGAACCTACATGAAATATCAGGGGTGAATTTCCCCCGATATCACACAGGCTCTTCTCTCACCTGTCTACCTGCTTAACTTAATAGGAGAGGCAATGCATGGTGCTCATGAACAAGGCAAGCATTAAAGTCAGACCAGACTAACATTTGACTCAGTCCTAATATTCAGGTGAGCTTGGGCAAATCGCTCATTAACCCCAAGTCTTCATCATTTTGTGCATATAATGGGGATAACTGTGGCACCCAACTGTTTTTGTGAGAATCAATGAAATATTATGCTTGATGTTATTGTGATCATGATACTATCTGACAAGGGTAGTGATGCATGATAACATCAAAAAATTAGAAACTGTAATGAGGTCTCTTGGGCAAAATTCCATACAAGCAAATTACTCTCTACAAAGCATTTCTGCCACACTTAATTCACCATTCCCTGAACAAAATGTGCCATCTTCATTGTTCAGGACTGTATAGTGCTGGTTTCCCTGCCTGGGCAGCTCACTCCATCCTATCCCAGCCCAATCCCCATCCCTCCACCTCCCCCTTCCCTCCCCACTCTCATACAACTCTTCCTTATCTTACAGGACTTGGCTTCAATGTCACCTTAACTGGAAGCTTCTCTCCCTCTCCAGAAGAGCTTCCGATTGCACTTGATGCATGCACTATTATTTGATCATTTTTGAGTTACAGTCCAAGTCTTTTTGTACCTGAATAACATGTTGCCCAGTCAGTTTCTCTTCCTGGATTCAGAAGTCTTTCATGGTAGGTCCAGCTAGAAGTGACAAAAAGACATTTAAAAAAAAAAAAAAAAAAAAGAGGGATGACACAGACAGACATCAGCACTTAAAAGTTTTAAACGATATGTGAAAAACAAAATTTAAGGGCTTCTAGGAGAAATGTAGGAGGGAAGGTGTTACTGGGAAATATGATAGAAGGTTAATTTTTATTTTATTTTTAGAGAAAGGGTCTTGCTCTATCGCCTAGGCTGGACTGCAGTGGTGCAATCACAGTTAACTGCAGCCTCAACCTCCAGGGCTTGAGCAATATTACCATCTAATTTTTATTTTGTTTAAGAAATGCAGTCTTGCTCTTAGCAAAGCTAAAGTGCAATGGTGTGATCATAGCTTACTGCAGCCTCAACCTTCTAGACTCAAGTGATCCTCCAGTCTTAGCCTCCCCAGTAGCTCGGACTACAGGTGTGCACTGCAACGTGTAGCTCATTTTTTTTTTTTAATTTTTAGTAGAGACAAAGTGTCACTATGTTGACCAGGTTGGTGGTGATCTCCTACACTCAGGCAGTTCTCTCACCTCAGCCTTGCAAAATGCTGGGATTACAGGTGTGAAGTGCCACACCTGGCTGAGGGGGTTAATTTTTAATTATATAAAGAGCTCAAAGCAAATATTAGAAGGAGCCTAAATGCCTCCAGCAGTTGACTGGTACTGGTAAATTGTGATACACCCATATAATAACATATTATGCAACCATGAAAAGTATTAAGATAGATCAATAGGTATTGGCACAAATGTCCACGAAATATGAAAATATGAAGTGATGTTCAATCACCATGTACGTATCTTGAAGGATATGGCCCATTTTCTCAACTGCAATTATTTCCTGAGATAAGATTATGGGTCTAAAGAGTGAAGGACATTTTTCACTTATTTAAAAGTATTTATTATTTTTATAATTTAATAAAAGATTAAACAGATCATTGAATTAGTAAAAGACAAAGTAACTCTATAAATAAATGGAAAAGACACAGATACCCCAGGCATGGTGGCTCATGCTTATAATACCAGTACTTTGGGAGGGGGTGGCGGGGGGATTGCTTGAGGCCAGGAGTTCCAGACCAGCCTAAGAAACAAAGCAAGACCTCCTCTCTAGTAAAAATAAAAAAATAAAAATAATTGGCCAGGCATAGTGGCATGTGCCTATAGTCCCAACTACTGAGGTGGAAGGATCACCTGAGCCTAGGAGGTCAAGGCTGCAGTGAGTTGAGACTGTGCCACTACACTGAAGCCTAGGAGACAGAGCGAGACTTCATCTCAAAAAAAAAAAAAAAAAAGGACAATAAAGAAATAAAGCTAATAAGCTAACATAAGGAAAGATAAAATATGTGACAAATAGGCTGGGCACATGGCTCACAGCTGTAATCAAGCACTTTGGGAGGCCAAGGCAGGTAGATCACGAGATCAGGAGTTCGAGACCAGCCTGATCAACATGGTGAAACCACGTTTCTACTAAAAATACAAAAATTAGCCAGGCATGGTGGCATGTGCCTGTAATCCCAGCTACTCAGGAGGCTGAGGCAGGAGAATCGCTTGAACCTGGGAGGCACAGGTTGCAGTGAGCCGAGATCACACCACTGCACTCCAGCCTGGTCGACAGAGTGAGACTGCGTCTCAAAAAAGAAAAAAGAATGGGTGACAAAGTAATAATATGAGGTCTTTCATTTATCACACAGAAAATAACTTGTTAAATTATAATACCTGTGTGGGCGAAGGTGCAGTGAAATGGCCATTTTCTTGTAGTATTAGTGGTGTTTAAAATGTATATAAGCCTTCCAGCATAAAGCTTGGAAATTTTTTTTAAATCATACAGACAGTGACTCATTATACTGCCTCCTCCAACTCCTGGCCTCAAGCAATCCTCCCACCTCAGCCTCCCAAAGTGCTGGAATTACAGGCTGACAGCCACCATGCCTGAAAGCTTTGTAATTTACATCAAGGGTAATAAGAATGCTCATGCTGTGTGACTCACAGTAATCTCACTTCTGGAAATTTCACCTTTCGATATAATTCAACCTAAACAAAAGGTCATATGCACAAACACAGTGAAAATCTGGGAGTAATTTTTTTCTCTTTTTTTAAAAAAATATGGAATGCTTCACAAATTTGCATGTCATTCTTTCACAGAGGCCATGCCAATCTCTCTATTGTTCCAACTTAAGTATGTGTGCTACTGAGGCAAGCATGAGTAATGTAAGATAGAGTGGTTAAGTGAAATAAGGAAGAATTATGGAGAATTTAAAAATCTATGCTATTTATAGGCACCTAGTAACAGCTCAGTAAATATTAGCTGCTACTATTATTATTTTTATGGTAATTTCACTCAATTAAAAACTGTCATTAAAAATTACCATTGTCATGGAACATAATGTCTCCTACTGTATAATTGTAAAAACAGATACAATTTGTCCCTTGGTATATGGGGGGATTAGTTCCAACTCTCCCATTTCTGTGTATACCAAAATCCACGCATACTCAAGTTTTCGAAGTCAGTCCTGTGGAATCCACATATAACACAAATGGGAAAATTAGTGAGGTGTGGTGACAAGCACCTGTAGTCCCAGCTACTTGTGAGGCTGAGGCAGGAGGATTGCTTGAGCCCAGGAGGTTGAGGCTGCAGTGAGCCATAATTGCACCACTGCACTCCAGTCTGGGCAACAGAGTGAGACAGAAGGTTGACTTTTTAATAGAATTTTTCTGTTCACTTGAAGATATGGTCAGGATTGTGGCATATGAAAATTCTTCATAAAATAACTATCTAATCCAATTAATGCTGGAATTGGGAACAGCAGAAGTGTCATCTCAGAGCTACTCACAATGAAAGGTGATGTCTGGTGCTCAGGTGTGTTGAGGTCCCCATGCCTGGACTATGGGTGCTGAGTGGGATTTACTTGTCCATCCATTTTCTATATTCCAGCACTGGGAAACTAGGGTTTATCCATCTTGATAAGATGTCATTTAAATTCCACTTCACAAGAACCACAAATGGAAGAAAGGCCATGAAACCGCAGGACAGTACTTGTTCTCAAGGGAATCTTCAGCTTAGGTGGCTCTGTAAAAGAGAAATTACATTGTTGAAAAATCGTCGCAGGTCAGGTGAGGTGGCTCATACCTATAATCCCAGCCCACTGGGAGACTAAGGCAGGAGGATTCCGTGAGGCCAGGAGTTCAAGACCAGCCTGAGCAACACAGTGAAACCTCATCTCTACAAAAAATTAGAAAATGAACTGGGTGCGGTAAAACATTCGTATAGTCCCAGCTACTCTGGAGGCTGAAATAGGAGGATCGCTTGAGCCCAGGAAGTGGAAGCTGCAGTGAGCTCTGATCTCACCACTGCACTCCAGCCTGGGTGACAGTGAGACCCTGTCTCAAGACACACACAAACACACACACACACACACACACACACACACACACACACACACCCACCCCCAATCTCAGTCTGTCCAGCCTTGACTAATCAAAAGGGCCTTCTGGTTACAGAAGAGGTATGCTCTTTTGTAGGACAGGGAGAGACCAGCAAGCTTGTTCACAGACTTTTCCTCATCCTCTGCTTAGTTTTCCAAGAACCCTCACAGTGGAAATGGAGTCTCTGGGAAAATGACCTAAATCTTTGGGTTACCAGGGGAGAAATATGCCTCCTTTGTCAATTAATAAATGGAACATCTGTCTTAAAATCCAGGGAGTTCTGCTAGAATGAATCACTCCCTAAGACCCTGACCAATGCATGGAACATGAAAAACTGAAGTTTAACTGGGCACGGTGGATCACGCCTGTAATCCCAGCACTTTGGGAGGCTGAGGCGGGCGGATCACCTGAGGTCAAAAGTTCTAGATCAGCCTGGCCAACATGGTGAAACCCCGTCTCTACTAAAAATACCAAAATTAGTTGGGCATGGTGGTGGACACCTGTAATCCCAGCTACTTGGGAGGCTGAGGCAGGAAAATCGCTTGAACCCGGAAGGCGGAGGTTGCAGTTACTTCTAGAAGAATTTCCATTAGCCCTTTGAAATCCTTCAACATTCATGAAGGCCAAAGAGTTTTCACCTAATTTAATCTGATGGGTATGTGACCAGAGTCTTTCTAGGGAATAGAGACTCCCAAACAGTTCAACTGGGAAGTGAGGAGAGAATTTATTACTCAAAATCAAAGGGAAATGAAAAGAGGCCAACATAGAATGTCATTATTCTTTCTTGGCGGGGAATGGATTCCAGAATCATTCTGTGACCTTTACATGACCTCCTTATTAGCATCTAAAAGCTTCCAGTGTAGGATGCAGCCAGCTAGGTTCTCTTCTAATGTAATAAAATTTGCTTCGGCAAATCTTATGCAGAGCCATCTCCAGGCTCCAGAAACAATAGGCTATAAATTACTGGATCTCCAATTTGATACAATGAAGTATGAGCACGGTCCTGAATGACTCCTCTACATACTACTCTGGGTGGCTTGAAGTGAATTTGATACAAGAACTGGAGCGAGCGCAAAGCAGAGCTAGATCTAGGATTAATGTGCTTGGGACCAGCTCCTCACTACTCACCTATGAGTCTAGTTCCAGAACCCAAGTAGAGGATGGGGGAACAAGGCTCCTGACTTTTTTTCCCTAATGTCTGCATCTCTTTCACATTTCTTATCTCCTTGCAAAGAAACTAAACAGGCTCAACTAACTAAATGATTAAACCCTATACAGAGAATCTCCAAAGACTGACAAAATATCATTCAAGACTGTTACACAGACAACCTTGAGGATGACTTGATGTACCAGTGATCTACAATATTTGGGATCATTCCAAATTCCCATCAAGGATCTCCCTATATCAACAAAGGAGCCAAGGACCAACCATTCAAATGGGCCCTGCTGCCAAGCCTTTTTTTTTTTTTTACAATGCCATCTCTTCATATTGTTCCATTTAACAAAACTGCAGCCCTTCATCTATCCTTAAGTCCCTTGGCCAATGGTACAGAGCCAGAGTATGCTACCCCCAGCAGGAAATCAACAGGATGACCTACTAAACACCATTCAGAAGATGCTAAGACCCATGAATTGCAACAGGAAAGAAAAGACAGAGAATTAGTCAGACAGGTACATGCTGTGCCAAAAATGCACTACAGCCCCCACCCAATTCTGCCTAATCCTAGCTGGGCTGACACCAACCTGATGAGACAGGCCTATAAGATCTCAAACTAAAACAGAAACTCCTGAACTGGGTTCTTTCGAGCCCAGGAAGCAGCAGTAAATCATTAAAGAACAGATAAGTTCTTAAGGTGAGGGAGAATTTCAGATAAATGGAATGCTGGTAGAACACAGGGCCCAAAGGAGCAAAAGTTAACCTAAGCCCAGGTAGAACCTTGTTTACTAGAGTATTAGGCATGGGTTTGGGCAACTATTCTAACCAGAGAAACTGGCTTCAGTGAGGGCAAGTTGGCAATCCAAGGTATAGCATGCATAGGGCTGGCAAAATTCAGGGTGACTGAAGCAAAAGCTTCAGAACCAGAAAGACCACATCTGGGGGTAGAGCACAGAACTCTCAAGAGATGAATCTTTTTAAGAGTGAGGCAGAACTATATAGCAGTTTTAGGAGATCTGTTGGTGCCCAGCAAAAGCTCCAAACGGGCTATATGCAGGGATGCAGGCTGTAGTCTCAGGAGAGGAGGTTCACAAAAGTCATTCAGTCCAAGACCTCAAACTGTGTTCTCTACTAAAAGGAATCAAGGTTCCCTAGAGAAATGGCTGACTCCATGTATGGTGCAGTATATTGATCCTGGAACATCTTTTTTGCCAGAAAGCAAGGAAGCCATCAAAGTCCAACAGGATCACGTCAAAAAGACATGAAAGTCAACTTGAAGAGATAATTATTAACCTAGATGAGACAATGTAAGCATCCAAAACAATAAAGACTGCAATGGCCTGAAATACATCAAATGCAAACAATAATCTATGAGTTCATAATGGTATTCAGAAGAAAAAACTACTGGTCATTAGAGGGAAGGTTACTAGGTCACTAACTTACTACTCTGAAAAGTGACTTAAGATGAGAGGTAGGGTGGAGAACTAGCTATTTATTCAGTCTTTCCTGTACAAACATAAATTTTTAGGGAGATTGAAGCAGACGAAACAAATCTGGAAAAATGGAGGTAACTGCTTAATCTGCAGGTTGGGTGCATGGAGGTTCAACATATTTCTTTTGTGTATATTTGAACCCCCTACAAAAAAAGCACAAGACAGAATGCGAGCCAAGCAGCTTAGGGTTTAGGCAAGGCTTCTGTCTACAAGAGACACTAGGATATGAGGGGTAGTTTTAGCCCTAATGGGCTGAGCCAACTGGAGGTATATAGGGAAGTGCTAAATTGCAGAGGTATCATGTTGCCCAGCACTTGATCAAATCCTAGATCCTAGGTCTGCTTGGTAGCATGCTTCCTAGGTAGTGGATCTGAGGCTACCTATAGAACTTCCTTTGCAGTCATAATTCGCTCAGAAACTACAAAAGTGCTTGCTCTTGAAAATGGAGTCTTTGTCCATTTCATGCTTCAATAAAAGAATACCACAGACTGCATAATTTATAAAAAGGAAAAAAGGAAGGAAAGAAAAAAGGAAGGAAGGAGGGAAGGAGGGAAAAAGGGAAGGAGGGAAGGAAAGGATGGGAAAGAAGGAAAGGAAGGAAGGGAAAGAGAGAAAGAGGGAAGGAGGAAGGGAGGGAAGGAGGAAGGGAGGGAAGGAGGGAGGGAGGGAAGGAGGGAGGGAGGGAAGGAGGGAGGGAGGGAGAGAGAGAGGGAGGGAGGGGAAGGGAAGAAAAGGGAGGAGAAGGGAAAGGAGGAAGAAAAGGAAAGGAAAGGAATAAATTTTATTTCTTAACAGTTCTGGATGTTAGGAAGTCCAAGGTTGAGGGGCCTGCATCTGGTAAGGGTCTTCTTGCCGCATCATCCCACTACAGAAGGCAGAAGGAAAAGAGAGTGCAAGAAGGCAAGAGGGCAAAAGGGGCTGAACTCTGTTTTATAATAAGCCCACTCTGTGATTACTAATCTATTACCACAATAACAACATTAACTCATTCATGAAGGCTATTTTATTAGGCCCCACATCCCAACTGTTGCATTGAGGATTGAGTTTCCAGCACATAAACTTTGGGGGACACATTTAAACCATAGCAGAGCACTTAGGTTAATTCAACTAAGAGGAGCTGGGAAAATCAAAGGCATGAGAAAGACAGCAAAAGCTAGCAGAGAGAAATGCATAGGTTAAGGAAAAAAGTCACAGTGAATCCTGTAGTGCAGGCTACTTTATCAAAAGCACCTAAAAAAGATCTCATTAACTCCCCCAGCTCACCTCCACCCACATCTAAAGAGCCACACACAGCACCACCAAAGGCAGCACAATGAGAACAGCATTCTCCTCAACAGACAAGCTGGGAGTATCTAGACACCTGACCTCAATAGCTCCAGAACAGCCCTAAAACATTTCCGCCCTAACCACCACTCAAGTCACCAGCTTGGAAAGTATTAAGAAAACCCAAATCCTGACACACCACTATGAAACAACTTAAAACAGCAAAGAACAACCCATTTAAACAGCAATGCCAGCTGTTGGGAAAAAAAGGAACAATGAGTAGAGGAGAAACAGACCTCTCGGGGTCCACCAAGACCCAGTCTCTCAGCTTCAGCACTTTTAAATGCAGAATCCATACCCCTCTGGGGCCTGTGGAGCTCCACAAGGCATGTCGTCCTCAAAGATAAATGAGCAGGCAAGCTGGCTAGAAAACCACTAAGGGTATTATTCTTTAAAGAATCTTTATAGGGTCAAAGAGGAATGGGTCTTAACTGGCTATGTGAACTCCCCACAGATTCTGAGGATGATGTCAGTATCCCTTTCCAGATGTGTTTAACACTTTGCAGTCACTTGTATTCCTGCCACTGAGTGCCAGTGCTTTGCTAATTTGAACTGATTCCAGCTCACGCTGACCCCAGCTCCCTGGATGTTACCATTAGCCAAGACTGTCACCCATACTGTACCCTTTCAAAGAGTCCTAAAAACAGCTCTTCACCTACTCTTCCAAGACAAGTAAAAATGTCTTCCAAAGAAATGGGGAAAAAAGATTCAGAGAGTGAAAACAATTAATATACTAACAAGAGAGCAAAAAGCAAAGGGGGAGGAGAAACTAGGAAAATCATAGATGGGCTCTCACCTATTTCCAAAGCTGGGCTAATGTCCTTTTGCTTGTGTCTGAATAAGGCACCAATTTTAAGCTGCTAATGAAAAAAAAAAAAAAAGAGAAAGAAGCAGGCCCAGGCTGGGCGCAGTGGCTCATGCCTGTAATCCCAGCACTTTGGGAGGCCGAGGCGGGTGGATCACCCAAGGTCAGGAGTTCTAGACCAGCCTGGTCAACATGGTGAAACACCATCTCTACTAAAAATACAAAAAATTAGCCAGGCATGGTGGCGCATGCCTGTAAATCTAGCTACTCAGGAGGCTGAGGCAGGAGAATTGCTTGAACCTGGAAGGCAGAGAATGTGGTGACCTGAGATCATGCCATTGCCCTCAAGCCACAGCAATGAGAACAAAATTCGGTAAAAACAAAACAAAACAAAACAAAACCACCATAAAATAACTCAGACTTAATTAAATACAACCCTAGTGGTGAATGACTAAAGATGGATTACTCATAACAGAGATAACAGTCCAATAAGAATCCAGGAATCTTACCTTTTAATAACAAAAAAATCCTTTCCTTCGAAAGTAACATCCTCTCAAGGCCAGGAATTCCATTAGTAGAAAGCCTTCCTAAAAAACAAAATTCCTGGCCAGGCATGGGTTCACGTCTGTAATCTCAGCACTCTGGGAGGCCGAGGCGGGAAGATCACTTGATGTCAGGAGTCGAGGCGGGAAGATCACTTGACATCAGGAGTTCGAGACTGGCCCGGCCAACATGGTGAAACCCCATCTCCACTAAAAATACAAAAATTAGCCTGGTGTGGTGGTGGGCACCTATAATCCCAGCGACTTGGGAGGCTAAGGCAGGAGAATTTCTTGAACCCAGGAGGCAGAGGTTGCAGTGACCAGCAAGGTTGCGCCATTGCACCCCAGCCTGGGCGATAAGAGTGAAAACTCCATCTCAAAAAAAAAAAAAAAAAAAAATTCCTTTGGGAAGGCCTTCTACATAAAAATCTTCAACATGAGACTGGAAAAAAGGGTATGGGATCATCACCAGACCTTTGGCTTTTACAGCTCGAGCTATAAGAACAAAAAGAAAAAGGGATATCATTTAAACGCAGTATATAGAAAAGAATAATTATTGAATCTGTACTGGTCTTTAACTTTTACATTTTGATCTTTAATTCTGTTATTGTGATTGAGTCCAAAGAAAAATAGTATGAGTAAAATAAAAAGAACACCAAAAATGCTAATATTCTGTTTACCAAAGTCTGTAGTGAAATATCCCATTAAATCCAAGTGCAGTGACACACCCATAATCCCAAGCACTTTGGGAGGCTGAGGCGGGTGAATCTCCTGAAGTCAGGAGTTCAAGGCCAGCCTGGCCAACATGGTGAAACCCCAACTCTACTACAAATACAAAAATTAGGCAGGCGTGGTGGCAGAGGCCTGTAATCCCAGCTACTTAGGAGGCTGAGGCAGGGAGAATTGCTTGAACCCAGGAGGTGAGCTTGCCATGAGCTGAGATCATACCACTGCACTCCAGCGTGGGTGACAGAACAAAATTTCAACCTCCAAAAAAAAAAAAAAAAAAAAAAAAACAGCTAGCAGGTGACATTTGCTATGGGGAGACTAGGGATATGATCTTGCTGCAATCCTTCCATTTTAGTAAATCTAAACAGTGTGAATCCATTCTGTTTCGTCCCAACTCCACTCCAGAGCCAAAACAAGAAAATCAATTATATTTCTAGTTCTTTAAAAACATATCTAACTAAATCATCTAATTAAAAGATAATATGCATGGTTCCATACTCTAAAAGAAAACTTATGTCCTGCATATCATGGACATTTGATGAATGCTTATTCAGTTGACTGGTGTAGACTTCAATAATAACCTGTTCAAATGCATTATGCCAGATGAATCTTGCATCTCAAAAGTAGAACAAATATTGTTCTTTCAGTTTTGTCTACCCATAAATGCAATATTTACTAATAAAAAGAAAATGAGTTTATTGTTCTAGAGAGTATGAGAATTTTGACAACATGAATTCTCCTGTCCTAGGACATAATTAATACTTAGAGGCATACTATTTCATGTGGAAGCTACCATTAAATCAATGTTAAGTGTTAATTACCTCACATAATCTTCTAATCTGACTTAAGACTGAAGACGTACCTCACAAAGTTGATTTATCAAGTTGTAAATCTTCACCTGTTGAATTCATAAGTTCATGTCTGAAAGGTGAGAATAAATACTTAATATTCACTAGGCAATATTCAGCAAAGTAATATCCACTAGTACATATTTAATATTTCATCATGAACTGTGGGTGTGAAGAGAAAAGACAGGCTGGGCACAGTGGCTCATACCTGTAATCCCAGCAGTTTGGGAGGCCGAGGCAGGCAGATCATGAGGTCAGGAGTTCAAGACCAGCCTGGCCAACATGGTAAAACCCCGTCTGTACTAAAAGTACAATAATTAGCTGGGCATGGTGGCAGGCACCTGTAATCCCAGCTACTCGGGAGGCTGAGGCAGGAGAATTGCCTGAACCCAGGAGGTGGAGGTTGCAGAAACCATTATCACGCCACTGCATTCCAGCCTGGGCAAGAGAGCAAGATTCTGTCTCAATCAATCAATCAATAAAAATATAAGGAGGAAGCATTTACTGTGTATTTATACGTCTGGTATTATGTGAAGCACTTTACTATCTTATCAAATCTTCGGGACAGATCTTCAGTTCTCATGACCACAAAAGAGGACAATAAAGCTCAGACAGGAGAAGAGACGTGGCCAGCCTGTGTCCCCAGGGCCTATGGTCTTACCACTAGGTTACAGTGTTTCCAGATATCACATGTTGTGAGATTTTTGCTTTAAAATGAACCAAAAAAAAAACAAAAGGTGAAAAAGGCATAAGCTATTAAAAAGTGGGAGAAACACTAAGAGAACCTTAAGCATGTAACTAAAAATATTATGGAAATGTTATTGAATTCATTAGCAAATTTAGTGCTAGGTTTTCATTGAGGAGTAGGTTATATTACTCATGATGAAGAAAAATGTTCATTTTAAGTATATTAACATAAATACCATCAATATTGTTTATCATGTCTAAATGTTCACTTAAAGCAATTCAGTTAAAATTCTGCATATCATACAATTTTATAGTTTGCTAGTAGGTTACAAGTAAACAGTCACCCAAATAAAAACATCATGTTTTCCACTGGTTGTTGCTCTTTTTTAGGTGAGTATTTGATGTATACCAACAGAGAGAGGATAATAACAAATCGCTAATTTCTTTCATCACTATATAAAGGTGGCTTCAGGATAGAATAGTATCAGGGCAATGATGAATTTGAAATCTAACATCAATTCAGTGATGCATCAAGATAAAAGTAGAGACAACAGGGGCACCTTGGTGTGTACTGAACATTTTACTTATTTATTTATTTTGAGATGGAGTTTTGCTCTTTTTGCCCAGGCTAGAGTGCAATGGTGCCAACCTCGCCTCACTGCAACCTCTGCCTCCTGGGTTCAAGCGATTCTCCTGCCTTGGCCTCCCGAATAGCTGCGATTACAGACATGCGCCACCACACCCGTCTAATTTTGTATTTTTAGTAGAGACAGGGTTTCTCCATGTTGGTCAGGCTGGTCTCGAACTCCCGACCTAGATATCTGCCTGCCTTGGCCTCCCAAAGTGCTGGGATTACAGGTGTGAGCCACCGCGCCCAGATGGATTCCAAATTTAACAAAGCAGACTAAGAGAAACAATTCATTTAAAAAAATAATATTTGGCCAGGCATGGCAGCTCACACCTGTAATCCCAGCACTTTGGGAGGCTGAGGTGAGTGGATCAGGAGGTCAGCAGTTCAAGACCAGCCTAGCCAAGATCATGAAACCCCGTCTCTACTAAAAATACAAGGGCTGGTGCCTGTAATCCTAGCTGCTCGGGAGGCTGAGGCAGAGAACTGCTTGAACCCGGGAGGCGGAGGTTGCAGTGAGCCGAGATCGTGCCACTGCACTCCAGCCTGGGCAACAGAGTGAGGCTCCGTCTCAAAAAAAATAAATAAATAATTCAGTGAAATTCCTAAGATCCAGGGCTTTGCAATAAATACGTAAATAAATTTCCAATCTCCATACTGAAAGTTTAGAAGAAATGCTAACTAAAGAAATACAACTTTTCCTCAGCTTTGCAGCAATCTAGAAACAAAGTGTGTAGACACTACAAAGCACCTTACAAGGAGAAACGTGTAAGGATGGCATGACTCACCGGCAGCCCTGGGCTTGTCCACGGTACCCCCATGATGAACAGTAACTCCATTGTGTAAACGCCCATGAACATAAGATTACAGGACTTTTCCAGTTTAGACATACCATATTTTCTTTCAGACAATTCTTCAGTTTGTTTACGTAGATCAGCGATACGATGATTCCATTTCTCTGAAAATCAAGCAAAAGTTGCTTCTCAATAATACGTCCCTATGTCAGAGCAGCACTAACGTATAATGACTGATTTCATATATTTTACATTCTAACAGTCCATATCATTTTACTGCTTTCAAGAAAAAATTTCCCCTTTTTGGTGGTTCTTAGAATTGGTTTAATGGGAGACTATTAGAGAAGCTGAAAAGCAGGAGGGCAGAAAAGTTCAATCAAATTAAACACAATAAAAGGGAGGTCACAATGAGGCGGTCTCCAGGGGTCTTTTAGCAAACTTCCTGAAACATGTCTCAGCTGTGTGAAATAAGACTTTACAGCAGCCGGGTGCAGTGGTGCAGGCCTGTAATCCCAGCACTTTGGCAGCAGAGGCAGGCGGATCGCTTTGAGCTCAGGGCAACATAGCCAAAACCCCCCTCCCTAGCCCCACCCCCACCCCCTCCCTACCAAAAATACAAAACAGCAGGGCATGGTGGCGGGCGCCTGTAGTCCCAGCTACTCAGGAGGCTGAGGCAGGAGAATCACCTGAACCCAGGAGGCAGACATTGCAGTGAGCCAAGATCACGCCACTGCCAGCCTGGATGACAGAGCAAGACTCCACCTCAAAAAAACAAAAACAAAAACACAAACCTCAGAGCACCCCCAGGTATTCCAACCTAATCCTGGTGCCCCGCCTCTCACCACCCTTCTTCCTGTTTAACCTCAACCCCTACACAAAGCCTGGGCCACTTAATGTGGCATCAAACAGATGCCTCAATAAATCAGTCTAATCTTGAAAAAAAAAAAAGACTTAACAGATATACAATTGCACGTTAGAATGCTAAAGACCATAAACATAGAACAACTTAAAGTACATATAAATTCAATATATATCCAATCGTTGTAACTATGACACAGTAGAATATTAAAATACTATTTTCAAAACGTATACAAGCTTAATGTTCTATGTATTCAAACTATTTATTCAAAATACAAATCATCAACATAAATTGCCACTAATATTCAGTCCCTTCACAGGACACATGATTCACTGGGAGTTAATAAATTAGCAGCCGGCAGGCAGTGACACACAGCAAAAATGAAAACCAAAAGGTGAAATAGTTCTGAAATAAAGGTTTTAAAGCTAACAGAAATCACTGAATTACTAAGTCATTAGCACTAATTTTGAGCCAACTGACTAATTAATATGAGATGATACAATGTCCTATACTTTGGTAAATACAGACTATGTTTAAACAATGTCTGTAACGTGACTTGTAAAATGCTCCTGGCTTTACAAAGATGTGATTAAGATGTAGTAACACATGCTAAACCATTTCCCCCTGCAGAGCATGTGGTAACTTTCATCAGTCACATTGAGAGTCCAGAAGATAAAGGAAAAGGTCATGGATTTCGCTGAGAACTTACCAGAGTTGAACTCCCTCATTTTCCGTTCCCCAGCATTGGCGGGTTCTGGGACTGGTGGCTGTGGTGGCTCGTTGGTCTTTGTCTCTTAGAAGGTGGGGAATAATCATCATCTTGAAAAAGAAAAAATGGTCATTACTGAAGGAACCATCTTAGGTTACAGCCACCTCTGGGTCAATTCCCAACATTCAAAAGCTGAGCAGGGCTTTAAAGCTATCTTATTAATAATTATTTCTGTATTGCGAACTTCAGCATACTTTTTTCTAGTTACATTTGAAATGTTATTCTTTTGGGATGTGCTCAAGTGAATACTGCTTTTTCCTCTGCCTTGCTTCATTACTTTTTAGTTTCCTTCATTTGAATCATCATTGTAAGTCTCCCCTTCTCCTCAAATAACTTTCAAATTGCTGCCAAGAACTATGTTCTATCTTAAGGCTTTTGAGAAAAAACTTTCAATGAAGATAGCCTCCTAAAGTTATACAAATATAGAAGAAACGGGATAAAATAAAGCTTAGATTGGAAAAAATATTTAAGATTATACAAAATTCACGCGTAAACAAGGGAAGCTGAGTAATTGTATGTTCAAATACTTTTAACAAGTGCAAAACATGTAGGCTTAAAGAAATAGAGCTGGCCAGGCATGGTGGTTCACGCCTGTAATTCCAACAGTTTGGGAGGCCGAGGCAGGCAGATAACTTGAGGTCAGGAATTCGAGACCAGCCTGGCCAACAGAGTGAAACCCTCTCTCTACTAAAAATACAAAAATTAGGCCAGGAGTGATGGCTCATGCCTGTGATCCCAGCACTTTGAGAGGCCGAGGCGGGTAGATCACCTGAGGTCAGGAGTTTGAGACCAGCCTAACCAACATAGAGAAACCCCGTCTCTACTAAAACTACAACATTAGCCGGGTGTGGTGGCACATGCCTGTAATCCCAGCTACTCGGGAGGCTGAGGCAGGAGAATCCCTTGAACCCGAAAGGCAAAGATTGTGGTGAGCCGAGATTGTGCCACTGCACTCCAGCCTGGGCAAAAACAGCGAAACTCCGTCTCAAAAAAAAAAAAAAGAAAAAATTAGCCAGGCGTGGTGGCGCATGCCTGTAATCCCAGCTACTTGGGAGGCTGAGGCAGGAGAATCGCTTGAACCCAGGAGGCTGAAGTTGCGGTGAGCTGAGACTGCACCATTGCACTCCAGCCTGGGTAGTAGAGCAAGACCCTGTCTCAAAAAAAAAAAAAAAAAAAAAAAAAAAGAGAGAGAGAGAGAAAGAAAGAGGGCTACATTATTTATGAAACAGATACTGTTAACTCAGTCACCAGAAAGCCTGTGTATAAATGAGCAGTGAGATATTCAAGCACAGCACACACACACTTATTAGGACAGCTGTCGTGAGAGTTCCATGCTCGTTTCCTTCTGGATACATCAGCAACTCACTCTGCTATGATCCTGCAAAACATCTCATGTTAGAATTAGAGACATCTGGGCCAGGCACAGTGGCTGACGCCTGTAATCCTAACACTTTGGGAAGCCGAGGCAGGCAGATCACCTAAGGTCAGGAGTTCGAGACCAGCCTGGCCAACATGGTGAAACGCTGTCTCTACCAAAAATACAAAAAATTAGCTGGGCATGGTGGCGCGCGCCTGTAATCCCAGCTACTCGGGAGCCTGAGGCAGGAGAATCACTTGAACCCGGGAGGTGGAGGTTGCAGTGAGCCGAGATCGTGCCACTGCACTCCAGCATGGGGGACGGAGCAAGGCTCTGTCAAAAAAAAAAAAAAAAAAAAAAAAAACAGAAAAAGAAAAAGAAAAAAGAATTAGAGACATCCGGATCAAATCAGCTGCCAGTCTCGCAAAGTGTCGGGTAACATCCTATTAAGATTGCTGCTTACACATCATCTATAAAATACTGAAAATATCATTTTAAGAAATCTTTTTTTTATGTTGAGACAGAGTTTTGCTCATTGCCCAGGCTGGAGTGCAATGGTGCGATCTCAGCTCACTGCAACCTCTGCCCCCTGGGTTCAAGCAATTCTCCTTCCTCAGCCTCCTGAGTAGCTGGGATTACAGGCATGCACCACCACGCCTGGCTAATTTTGTATTTTCAGTTGAGACAGGGTTTCTCCATATTGGTCAGGCTGGTCTCGAACTCCTGACCTCAGGTGATCCACTGACCTTGGCCTCCCAAAGTGCTGGGATTACAGGTATGAGCCACCATGCCTAGCCAAGAAACCCTTATTTTAAAACAAGCCAGGCGCGGTGGCTCATGCCTATAATCCCAGCACTTTGGGAAGCCAAGGCGGGTGGATCACTTGACGTCAGTAGTTTGAGACCAGCCTGGGCATCATGTTGTAACCCCATCTCTACTAAAAATATATTTAAAAAATTAGCTGGGCATGGTGGTGGGCACCTGTAATTCCAGCTTCTCAGGAGGCTGAGGCAGGAGAACCACTTGAACCTGGGAAGTGGAGGTTGCAGTGAGCGGAGATCACGCCACTGCACTCTAGCCTGGGTGACAATAGAAAGACTCCATCTCAAAAACAAAACAAAACAAAAAACCACTAAAAAAGACTCCATTTCAAAAACAAAACTAAAACCAAAAACACAACACAAATGTAGTACACAAATGAAAATAATTACTGTGTTAAACACAGTTTCATAGAAAATAAAAGACCAATCAAATACAATAAGCTGCCTTTTTAGATGGGTATGTTATTCTTCTTTCACAGCTAAAGAAACGGGCTCAGAGAATGTTATTTGATTGGACTGTGTTGCATTTCTGGACAGTGCAGCTGAGATCACACTTTGTGTGTAACTCCACTAGCCTACCAGGGTGCCTCTCATAAAGGTAAGAAATGTAAATTTGGCCTAATATACAAAGTTGCCAGGGCAGCACTGGGTCAATTCTACATACAGTACTTCTATGTTCATCAAGGGAAACCTTAAGGGAAAGTGAAAATGCTCCTAGAAGGCGACTGGACACGAGCGCCTTTGCTTGTTGCCTTTAGGCTCTTCTTCTAAGGCCAACAGTGACCTGAAATTATTGACTGGCTTTTCCAATCAAGTGGACAAAATGGTACCAAGGTCGCCAACATCAGACAAATTCACTTGAGGGCCTTATCTATGTGCTTTGAAAGACAAAACTGCTTTTGTAAAGGACACTGTATTTCAGAAAAACATAATCATATTAACAAATAATAACACTGTAAAATGCTGATGTGTTGAATGCTACTTTAGAAAAACATGCTCAAATCCAGGGAAAAAATTTGATACAAAACTACGTATCAATTATCTAGCTAGCTAGCTATCTAGAGACCTGCTTTCATTCTATTGCTCAGGATGGGAAGCAGTGGGATTATCATAGCTCACTGCAGCCTTGAGCTCCTGGCCTCAAGTGATCCTCCTGCCTCAGCCTCCTAACTAGCTAGAGCCACAGGTGGACACATTATGCCTGGGTTTTTGTTTGTTTGTTTTGTAGAGACAGGGTGTCACTACATTGCCAGGCTGGTGTCAAACTTTGGAGTCTCGCTGTGTCGCCCAGGCTGGGGTGCAGTGGTGCGATCTTGGCCCAATGCAACCTCCGCCTCCCGGGTTCAAGTAATTCTCCTTTATCAGCCTCCCAAGTAGCTGGGACTACAGGCATGCGCCACCATGGCCGGCTGATTTTTGTATTTTTTGTAGAGACTGGGTTTCACCATGGCCAGGCTGGTCTCCAACTCCTGACCTCAGGTGATACACCCGCCTTGGCCTCCCAAAGTGTTGGGATTACAGGTGTCAGCCACTGAGCCTGGCGGAGCACTTTCTTATGTTATTAAGTAGCCTAACCCAGGTGGGGCGCTGTCCCTCACGCCTGTAATCCCGACAACTCTGATGGCCAAGGTGAGAAGATCGCTTCAACTCAGGAGTTTGAAACTGGCCCGGGCAACATAGCGAGGCCCCCCCCCCGACCCCATCTCTAGAAAAAAATACAAAAATTAGGCCAGGTGCCCACCGCGCCCGGCTAATTTTTGTATCTTTTGTAGAGACGGGGTTTCGTCATGTTGCCCAGGCTGGTCTCGACTCCTGAGCCCAAGCCATCCATCCTCCCGCCTCGGCCTCCCAAAGTGCTGGGATTACAGTAGGGCCCAGCCAGCCTCATGTTTTATTTAGCAGTCCCTCCCTGTTGCACACCTGGATAGTTTTTTTAATTTTTTTAGACAGGGTTTACCTCAATCTCGCAGGCTGGAATGCTGTGGTGGGATCATAGCTCACTGGAGCCTTGAACCTTTGGGTTCAAGTAGCTGGGGGGCTGAGGTAGGACTACAGAGATGGGGTTGCGCCATGTTGCTACGCTGCTCTTGGCCTGAAGGGTCCTCCCGCCTCGGCCGCGCCAGACATAGTTTTCTATTTTTGACCAACATAAACACTGTGCTGGGTCTGAATTTTTCAGCTACCCTTCTTCAGCCGGCAACACACAGGACCTGGCGGGGAGGTCGCTCTTACCAGTCCCCACTCTGACGAGAAAACTGCCCAGCTCCAGGCACCATAGCGCCCCAGTGACGCAGCCGAACACCCGCGCCTCTGACGTCGCCAAAGGCCCACCTCTATGGTGTCGGCGAAGACCCGCCCTTGTGACGTCACGGAAGGCGCGCTCTTGTGACGTCGCAGGGAACTACCACTCACGCAGAGCCAATCGGAACTCGCGGTGGGGCTGCTGGTTCTTCCAGGAGCGCGCATGAGCGGACGCTGCCTACGGGTGGCCGGGCGGGATGTAACCGGCTGCTGAGCTGGCAGTTCTGTGTCGCTAGGCTTCTGCCCGGCCGCCGCCGCACATAAGCTGCGAGGAGGAGCTTTACGACTTCCCGGTCTTCGGGGCCGGGCGCAGCAAGGGCCAGACTCTGCGCTAGCAGGCGCTGCGCGCCAACCGGCCGGCACCTGTCGCAGAAGGTGCAACCGATCGCACTGTCGCGCAGAAGCTCCTCAATGGCCAGCGCCAGCTGCAGCCCCGGCCGCCCACTCGCCTCATCTGAGCCTGGGTACGTGCGCCCCACAACGCCTCCCCCAGCCAGGGCCCGGGGATCCCCGGGAGCGTCCCCGGCTACCTGGCGCCGCTCATCCTGGGTAGGGTCGGCCCCCTCTGAGGCTGCCTGGCATGAGGGAGCTGCACCCCTGAGCTTGACCTCTGACGGCCCTTTGTAATAGCATTAAGTCTTTGAAACTTTGTAGCGGGGTAGAAGGGGCTAGGAAATGAAGAAAACATCTTTTTAAAAATATAAGCAGTCGGCTGGGCGAGGTGGCCCACGCCTGTAATCCCAGCACTTTGGGAGGTCGAGGCAGGTGGATCACGAGGACAGGAGTTCAAAACCAGCCTGGCCAGCATGGTTTCACTGAAACCCCGTCTCTACTAAAAACACAAAAATTAGTCGGGCGTGGTGGCTGGTGCCTGTAATCCCAGCTACCCGGGAGGCTGAGGCAGAGAATTGTTTGAACCCGGGATGCGGAGGTTGCAGTGAGCGGAGATCGCGCCACTGCACTCCAGCCTGGGCAACAGACCAAGACTCCGTCTAAACAAACAAATATATGTGTGTATATATATGCGATCGAGCCCGGGAGGTTGAGATTACAGTGAGCTGAGATTATATAAGCGATCGAGCACTGGAGGTTGATGTTACAGTGAGCTGAGATTGCGCCATTGCACTCCAGCCTGTGTAACAGAGGGAGACTCTGTCTCTAAAAAATTATATGCAAGTGAGAGCTTTTCTTCCAGCGCTCATGCTCAGACTGAAGAAAGTAATTGGGCCAGGCCCGGTGGCTCACGCCCGTAATCCCAGCATTTTGGGAGGCGGAGGCGGAAGCGGGTGGATCACTTGAGCTCAGGAATTCCAGACTAGTTTGGGCAACATGGTGGAAGCCTGTCTCTACAAAAATACAAAAAATTAGCTGGGCATGGTGGCACGCACTTGTAGTCTCCGCTACTTGCCGGGCTTAGGCGGGAGAATCGCTCAGCTGCAGCCTCGACCTCCAGGGGCAATCCATTTCAGCCTCCCAAAGTGCTGAGATTACAGGAATGAGCCATCGTGCCTGGCTTTACACTATATTTTAATACTTTTTTTGAAAATGGAAACTTTTACAGGCAATTCACTTCCTTCAAACTAATGATAAGGAAGTGATGCTGTTCTGTTCTGTTTTGTTTTTTGTTTTTGTGGGTTTTTTTTCTTTTTTGAGATGGGGTCTTGCCCAGGTTGGAGTGAGTTGGTGCAAACAAGGCTCACTGCAGCCTTGACCTTCGGGCTCAAGGAATCCTTCCCTGTCAGCCTCCCCGGTAGCTAGGACTACAGGTGCATGCTACCACGCTTGGCTAATTCTTTTTTTGAAATGGAGTCTCACTCTGTCTCCCAGGCTGGAGTGCAGTGGTGCAATCTCGGCTCACTGCAGGCTGGTCTCAACCTCTGACTTCGGCTGGTCCACCCACTTCTGCATCCCAAAGTGCTGGGATTACAAGTGTGACCCACCGCGCCTGGCGATTTTGCTCATTTTAGATACTAGAACTTTTTAATTTAAATTTTTTTTTTCCTGAGATGGAGTCTTACTTTGTCTCCAGGCTGGAGTGTAGTGGCGTAATCTCGGCTCACTGCAACCTCCGCCTCCTGAGTTCAAGCGATTCTCCTGCCTCAGCCTGCCAGAGTTGCTGGGACTACAGGTGCGCACCACCACACCCAGGAGTTCAAGGCTGCAGTGAGCCATGATCGTACCACTGCACTCCAGCCTGGGCAACACAGCGAGACCCTGACTCCACAAATAAATAAATCAACATCATATGATCTGTACCAGGGTATAGGCAGGTGCTATGATCCCCACTTTTCATCCTCAACTCTAAGTTGAGTCATACATCAACCTCTAGTAAAAAGTGGCATGCTCTCAGTCAAAGGGGTAAGCCCAAACCACGCGGAGAGAATCTTATCTCTTTTGAGAGCTAATATAAAAAGAATTCCTCCTAGGCATAAAAATATTGTGACACCAGTTACTTAGGCTAAACATGCCTATTATGCTAAGTGAGTTATTAACAATAAATACTTTAACTCTGTGCCATGTTAATTATCATAATCTGATTTATAATTTGTTTTAACCTTAGGTTATATATACCTTGAAGCCATTTATATTTTGGTATACTTGTAATAATTACTATACACCGGACTATGTATATTGGACTAAACACGGAGAGTCAAAAAAGAGTATGTGGTCAGAGTAGAAATCATGCCCTAGCTTCCTTCGTGTCTACCTCCTACCTTGAGTAGAAGTGGTAGAAAAAGTAATTACCTAAGATTTTTTGGATTCTGGTTTGTGGAGAAGCACCCTTATATTTAGGCTGATGGGCGGCAAAATTAGAAAGTATTTTTTGTGATTTAGAATTTTATACGGAGATGTTCATTGTGATTAATTATTCTTTGTATTAGCAGATTTTTGCTTTTTATAGCTGCATGATTTCTTGTTTATTATTCATTCATTATTGTCTATTAATAAAGAAAAACTTTATTTCACTGAAGCAGTGATATATAATCCAACTTGGATTTTTAAATAATGACTGACTTTTTTTCTTTGGGAATACATTACTGTTAAAAATGTAATTATTAGATACATTACTTTTAATGAATATAAGTGGTATAATTAGAAGGCTGAAAAGAATCCTTGGAAATGTGAGTTTAATTTGATAGCTAAGAAACTGAGGACAAGTTACTTATTCTTTGTAGCATATTTTCTAATGTCATTTCATTGTCTCACCAAGAAATACTTGCATAAAGCAAGTTCAATTACAGCATCTGTTGAATATTTAAGGTTGAGTAAAGTGGGTGAGTTTAACAGATATTTTCCCTTATTTCTTTTAGGCGAATCTGGATTGGGAAAGTTGATATTAATCAACTCATTATTCCTCACAGATTTGTATTCTCCAGAGTATCCAGGTCCTTCTCAGAGAATTAAAAAGCCTGTACAGGTCTACATATTGGTATTTTTAATTGATGATAAGCTGGAATAATATTAATACACACAAAGCACGTGTTGTAACTTTCATTATGCTTCCCTAGAGGTAAGATGCAAATTTGCCCTTAGCCAGTGTAAGATGGTAAATATGACTTCATAAAATCAAAAAAACAGAGGAAGTACAGTTAATCGAAAGAATTATCTTGACTAGAACTTTCCAAATTTGTCCTAAGGATTCTCCTAGAGATGACACTGTGACATAGTAACCAATTCCCCTGGAGTTGTGCTATGTAGTATGATAGTCATTTGCCACATGTTTAAATCAATTAAAATTAATTAAATTAAAATGCAATTTCTCATTTGCTCCAGATACATTTCAAGTGCTCAACAGCCACATGTGGCAAGTGGCTGCCATTTTGTGCAGCACATATATGAAGATTTTCATCATTGTAGAAAATTGCATTGGACAGTGTAGAGAAAACATGATTCATAGAAAAACTATTGTTATTTAAATAGTGTTCTATATTAGTCAGTGGGATAATACCATATCATAGTTGAATGGCAATAGCAATTCTGTAAAACTCCCATGCTATATGTGATCTAATTTACTGCTTCTCAGTCTTTGCTACGCATTCCAATCCTGGGTATCCTGTTAAATTTATTTCTTCTAGTAGTTCTGAGATGGGCTGCCTTTCTACATTTCTAACAAGATCCCAGGTGATGCTGATGCCGCTGGATGGTAGATCACACTTTATAAAGCAAGGGGCTAGACTCTAGATATGCACTTTTTATTAAATAGTACAGCAGCCTGTAGCCACATGTGGCTATTAATCTTTGAAATGTGGGTAGTCTGAATTGTGATGTTCTGCAAATATAAAATATGCCACAGATTTCTAAGACTGAGCATGGAAAAGAAAATCTCCGTAATTTTTTATATTGATTGTATACTGCAGTGATAATATTTTGGATGTATCGGGTTAAATAAAATTGACTGATTTCACCTTTTTCCTATTTTAAAAGTGGCTACTAAGAAAATTTTAAATTACTTACATGACCGACATGGTATTTTTATTTGGCAGCGCTGCTCTAAGCTGTTGATGAAAAATATTGTTGGTGAGCTCTGCTTAGGTAATATGTAGGACACGAGCAGAGAGGAGGCACGTGAACAGTTCTGGCTGAAGTAGGCTTCATTGAGGCCGTGATGCTTTTAGCTGGATTTGAAGAAGTGGTAGTGAGCATCCCAGTGCACAGGATAGGAGGACAGTCTATATATTCTGAGCAGTAACTCATATATATCATACTGCAAGACCCCAAAGGAGTAATTTTTTGAAGTAAATATCTTATTTCTCCTTTTTAATGTTTCTATTTTGGGAATTTTTTTTTTTTTAGTAACCTTCATAGGGCTTGAGATTTAAAATTACCTGCAAAATTCTACTCTAAAAACTTGATCCTACATGCTTATTTATTTTGTGATAAATATTGGAAATTTTAAACCTAAGCAAGAAAATGAACTTTGAACTTTCTTAATTTGGGTATCTATTATGAATACCTTCACTTAAGTATTTATGAATTTAGATATGAAAGGTAAAACTAACCACTATCCAAATTAATATACAGTTCATTTCCAGAACCCTAGTTTCTTCCATGTGCTCACTCGCATTCAGTATTACAACCCCCAAAGATAAACACCTTACTGACTGCCTTCTCCATAAATTTGCCTGTTCTTGAACGTTATATACGTATACTTTTTTGTATCTGTTTTCTTTCAGTGAAGATTATGTCTGTATTATTTACTCATGTTGGGTGTAGTTGTTTTTTTCATCGTCGTATAATACTCCATTGTGTGAATGTATAAAGTATATCCTTTATTATTTATTGTAGATAAGCCTTTGGGTTTTCAGTTTTTTACTAACGGGAACATTCTTGTGCATGTCTTAGTAGACTTAGGCACTCATTGCTGTTGTGTGTGCATAAAGATATAAAGGTATTTGAGTTTATTTTATTTGATTTCTAGTGAGGTTGAACATGTCTTGTACTCAATAACTGTTCAGATTTCATTAAAGTCTTTTGGTAATCTTAATATTTTCTGTCATTTTCTTGCTGATTTATAGGAGTTTGAAAAATCTAATAATCCCCTACATTTTAGATATTGCAGACATTTTCTCCCCAGGTGAGCATCTGTTAAAGATGTGACATGCCCTCAATTTATTTTAGAATTCTTACATTGGCTTAGCTTCAAAATAAATTGCCTAAACCCATTTTACCTTCCTTTAAAGTAACACTTCAAAAATATCCTCTTCTGTTGTGAATATCTTCCCGGAAACTCTCTTTATCTTGAAAACAAAGGGGTAATGGAGGTACTAGAGAATATCTCTAGTAGGATTTTTAAGACAGGCCTGTGCACCACTGTTAAATATCTTTTCTGTACCAAAAAGAAGACCTGTAACATTTGAGAACCAGATTGATCCTTAGTAGAATCCTGTAGAAGTCCTCTTTCCTGATTGAACCATAGAGGTGTATTCCTTTATATACTGAAAACTAGCTGAAGATAATCTAAACTCTTGTGCCCAGTTAGGAAAGAACATGCCATATTATGGACAGGGTCAGAGTCATTCAAGAAGCCTGAATATAGTTAGAAAATGAGAATGTAATCTTTTTAATAGTTGGCTGGCTCTTTACCAAGCCCAGTAGTCTTGAAGATATAGGGGAAATAGTGTAAACGGTTGTCAAGATGAATCTAAAATGGAAATTAATCAGTTCCCTAGAATAGATTGAGAAATTAGCTTTAGGAAAAAGATAAATTTCACACACACTGTACCATGGAAGGTACAGTGCTGATTCAGACAGACTGGGAATGGTCTCATTTTTAAGTGGTGATGTGAGGTACTTCACTGAGCATTGTGACAGGCACGGGCTTGGGAAGAGCCTATTAGGAAATGGGAGAGGCATGAGACTAAGGAGCACATAAGAGTAATATTAGCAGAGAAATTCTTTTTGAGGTTGAAGGTCATGAATTTTATGGTATAGGAATAGAAAGAGGGGTTAATCCAGAATGGGATTTGAGTTGGAAAGGGAAAGAAATAAAGGTTTTGGGAAGGAGGTTGCTAATAGAAAATGAGAGGGGCAAGGGATTTGAGGTCTCAGTAAGGAGACAGGGATATGAGGAGTGGAGAGGTTCAGAATAGAAAGCCAAATTAGAGTTTTGGGATCAACTTTCTTCTCAGTAAAGTAGTCCTGGGTCTTCGTGAGAAGGAAGTATTCTTCAGGCATAACTGTTCTACTATTGGTTACTTCCTCTTTCATTGTCTTGTGGAACACGATGAAACATTTAAGATGATATTCATCTTTTGAGCCAATAAATAAGGGAAATAGATAGTTTTTGTGTTTGAGCTAAGTGGAGTATCTCAGGCCATTCCAATGTCTTCAGAGTTTTGGCTGTAATGCTACCTCTTGAGCAAGTGTAGGTAGAGGTAAGCTCTTGACAGAAAATTTTAACCCTCTCTTCAAAATGTTATATGCTTAATTAAATAACTTCTTAATTTACCTTAATAAATGGCGTATAAACATTAAGTTAGAAAAGGTTAGTGTATATGAAGCTGTATAATCAACATTGTTTGACTTTTTTTCCTCAGATTGTAAAACTGAAAACTCAGTATACTAATACTCTTGTATACTGTATACACTCAGTATTAGAAAATGAGTACCTTTGATTTCTGGAATCTCGGATGCCAAAAGAGGTCTCAATAGATGAATTATACATAGATGATTCATAGACGATAGTTTTAGTTTTATTTATTTTTCAGGGAAAAACATTTGACAATGTTCTTGATTCATTTTTTTGGTATTAAATTATGCAGCTAATCTTAGAGAACCCTGAGTGATGCCATAAAAGATGTTGATGTGGCCTGCTTAAGGAAAGTGCACGGGAAAGTGGCCATTTGGAATAGATTTGTTAAGAAAAGTTTGAAATTCTTGGACTCGAACTAATTTGTTTTCCATGGATCCCATGAGGATACTTGTAAAAGCAGATGATAGGGTCCAGTTGGATCCTGTGAATGGCACTAGTTTGCAGTTATGTTTTCTGGATCTCTTCCATATGTCGCTGACTTCTTTGTATTTGACCATGTATGGACATACAGAATTTCATAGGCCAGAGAAGAAAAGAAGCTTTATAAACATTCCTTATGTGTGTAAAATACAAATCTTCATTTGTCTTAGCAAGTCAATAAGTAATTAAGTTGTTGAACTGATTTTTTTTTTAAACAGGGAAATATCTTAAAATTTAAGCTGTTAGGTTAAAATGTGTGTTTGGTATACAGCATATTACTGAAGGTAGAATGGGCTTCATTTGGTAATAAAGGAACCAGAAATATTTTTAAGTAAAATTGGGAGATGATTCATGTAGATTAACTATATTTTTGTATCACTTTCTAGAATACAGTACTATGTTGTTTAAAAGAGTAAGTAGGTAAAGGAGTGGTATAATTACTTTGGATATTTCTGCGTCAGCCACAGTTACCATGAATAAATGATCTGTCTTTATAAAGGAGATGGAAGTGAATTCAAGATATTGAGATGTTAGATTTGACTGGGTTGTCCTTTGACTAGAAGATCACCAGATAAAGAAAATGTAAACTTCCTAAACCAGATAAGATGATATTGTTAAAAAATTTTTTTGGCCCAGCACTTTGGGAGGCTGAAATGGGAAGATTGCTTGAACCCAGGAGTTTGAAGCTGCAGTAAGCTATGATCTACCATGCACTCCAGCCTGGGCAACAGAGTGAGACCCTGACTAAAAAAAAAAATTTTTTTTCCTTTGGTTCTCATGATTTCACACTGATGAATCTGATTGTTTTCTCTGAGTCATTTTGCCTCTCTCATGTTATTAGGGTAACCTGATAATAGACATGTTATCTGAGTTATGTGGTATGTAACAGTGATCTTCTAAATGATGTGCATCCATCACTGATACTGAGGATGATCAGAAACTATTACAACTCTTATTTATTGATCTTTACTTTTAATCTACAGATAAATGATAATACATATTAATACTTAATATTCAGATTGCCAATAGTATATATTTGGTGGGTAAATATCTTTTGGATCTGCAAAATTTTCACTGATAGTTTGTATCAGGATCAAAGCAGTTTGAAGAACATTAATCTAAAAGATAAGACTTTGGCATCTCATTTCTCTAAAAGATAAGTCATGCATGTACACACTCAGGCAATTTTTTTCAGTTTTATAAGTTTTATTCTTGATAATAAAATTCTTTTAACAGAAAACTCTTGATTGCTATAGACCTCTGCTGTGTATTCAGTAGTCACTAGCCACATGTGGCTATTTAAGTTAATTCAAATTAAATAAAATTAAATATCAGTTCCTTATTTGCACTAGTCAGATTTTAAGGAGTAAGTAGCCACATGGGCAAGTGGCTACCATATTGGACAGTGTGGATACACAACAATTCCATCATCTCAGAAAGTGTTATTGGATAGTGTGGCTACAGACTTTTCTTGCTCAGCAATCTTAGTCTCCGCATGTTAGTCTCTTCATGCATTAGGTAGCATCTATAAAACATGCCAAAAGGAAATAGGCTATCTCTAAAAGTGTCCCAAACTTTTTGTCTTGTAAATTAGCTTATCAGCATACTTGGAGCCTCTTGCCTTAAAAAGGACTTGATATAAATGTGTATCAGGAGAAAGCCTATCTTATGAAGGAATTATTCCCTTTTTATTTGAATCCATGTTTGCTTTATCTTCGGCTCCTGAAAACTGATACTTTGCATTTAACAGCAGCATATGCCCAGGATGAATGATAATACATCTCCTGATACAGAGCTTGAGGTTACAGAATATCTTAAATTGTTCCAGGAACTGTTGTTATCATTTAAGTCCAATAATCAGTAAGATTTCACCCTACCAGAATACACTTTTTTTTATTAACTGTCTGGACCTTTGCTGATTACATTGTCCGGAATGTGGAGTATCGCATTTGAGAAGAGGATTGGATCCTAGCCATAACATAAATATAAGGGTAATTACATCCATGCTGAGAAAGATTTAGGAATGATAGTAAGTTCATTTGAGTGAGTGGTTTGGGCCAAACTTGATAGAGAATAGTCCAGGAAGACATTTACTATAAACAGTAGATTAAATGTTCTTGCCTGGTTAATTACATTTGAACTCTGTTAATGACTGAATCACTCAAACTGCTTAATTGTATTATTAGATGCACATTTAAGTTATGTATTACATGTCTTTAGTGGTGATCAGAATTTTATCAGTTCCTCTGTCTTTCTTTATACCAAGTATGACTCATAAACCCAGTATTAATTTGCCAAGAGATTGGCATACTATTTGTATATATGCTTTTCTTTCAAATAATCTGGATTCCCAATGCCCACAATCATTGATCCTAAAGAAAATGTGAGAGTAGGTAGATAAACTCAAACATCCCTACCATCACCCCTGGTAGGAAATCACTGGTGTAATGTATGATATTAACATCTGCACCAATTACTCTTATAGGTGGAACAATCCAAAGTTTTAATCAGAGAAGGTGGTGTTCAGTTGCTGCTTACAATAGTTGATACCCCAGTATTTGGAGATGCAGTGGATAACAGTAATTGGTAAAAAGGATTTGTCCTCACAACTTTCCAGTGTATTTGGGGTACTGGGGTGGTTAAACTTTCTCTTCTTAACATTTTAAAACTCTTCTTAGCAAAGGTCACCAAACTTCAAGTAACATGACAGGTTTGTATACCAACTTTGCCACTTATTTGACAAAGTTTAACTTCAAAGTTAAACAAAGAAGTTTAACTTCTTTGAACCCATTTACTTTTTGATAAAATGGAGATAATACCTATCATAAAATTGTTTTGAAGACATATTCCAAAATAACGTAGCTAGATAGAAGAATTCTCATTATTGGAAGAAATTTAAAATGCTTTGCTTTAATTTTATCCATTTGTATAAATTCTATCACAATCCTAATTTAAACCTGATATTTAGACCTTCAGTTTTTCCATAAGTCCTAAGTGAAGAAAACAACTATGAAATTTTAGTCTGAAGTAATTATCTTAGTATTTTATAAATAACTTTAATTTTGTTTGAATTCACATTGTTTTTGAGGTATTTTTCTGTCAACTCTTAAAACTCCTAAGTTCATCATGAAGTTTTTATATTATTTAAGTAATCTCTCATTTGAAATTTGAAACTGAATATAATCGTTTTCATATTATGAAGTGTGTTATTAATACACTTACTAGTGCCAATAGTATGCTAATAATTTAGCTGTGTTTCAACAATAAATATTTTCTTTCATTTGGAAAGTTTTGAAATAATGAATAAAGATTTATTCAACACAATTTATATTTTTGAATCTTTATATAGAATAACTTGACATATCTTCCATTGGTTAATTCATTTTGCCTATTTGAAAATATTGATTATTGTCCTTTAACAGTCATCAGTTAATTCATATGTAGAATTGCAACTTAATTGTTTTGTTTATTTGCATTCTATAGCTGGCAGCCTGCTATCAATTACATTGATAGTAAATTTGAGGACTACCTAAATGCAGAATCGCAAGTGAACAGATGTCAGATGCCTGGTAACAGGGTGCAGTGTTGTTTATACTTCATTGCTCCTTCAGGACATGGGTCAGTAACCTGATACTTCTGATTCCTTTTTGTTGTTGTTGCTTACTGTTACCTTTATGTGCATATTTGAGTAATCTTTAAGTTTGTGAAGTACATACAACTATACCCATTATTAAGTACCAAATTTCATGTAGAAATGTCTTAGTTGAAAAGCCTTTTTAAGTCCTGTGCAAGCTAACAGTGATTTTACTCCTTAGTTCTTATTCATAAGGATTTTCCCTGCTTCATGGAAATAAACAGTGTTGCCACCATGGTTTGAGGTCTCAATGTGGCAAATTTAGCTTTCATGTTGAACTACCAAATAAAGAGAAGCAGCCAAACCAGTTAGACATATTCAAAATAAATCCAGAGATGCTATTTATTATAAGTCTCATAAGAGATGGTTATCAAAAGCACTTGCATGCCAATGTTTTCTTGTGCCATTTCTTAATGCAAAAAATCTGTTTGGCTTCTGTTTCACCTTAGCTGTCATAGACATGTTTAAGTATCATGTTGTCAGTACTAACCTTTTGTTTATTAGGACATAAGACCTAAGAATCTAGACATTAATCTGATGCGATTGTTCTGTTTGTTATAGTTAGCCTGTACTCCCTTTTTTTGTTCTTTGTACTTCCCCTTTCATTTTGAGTACATATATGTGTCATTTGTAACTGCAGATTTTTCCAATTATTCTTCCTCAGTCTTTTCCTTTGGGTAAGTAACTCAGCATACATAATTCAGCCACCTGGTGACTGTAACTCCACCATCTCTCCACCAAAAGAACTGTAGTAGCATCAAGCTACATAGCATTAAGTTATCTAACACTCACATTACAGTAGAGTAAACCAATTCCTTCAGGTATATCTTTCTCTTCCATTTTTGGCTTCTCGCTCTCTTTTTTTTGTTTGTTTTTATAGATGGGTCAATGCCCATTATCACTCTAGATGGATAAGGGAGCCTTAATTATATACTTATATTTTTGCACTGTCAGATTGGAGTGGGGTAAAAATGTTTCTTCTTTTATGTGTAATACTCTTGTTTTTTTTTTGGTTTTTTTTTTTGCTGTGCCCTAGACCATTACATAACTGAAGACTCCCACCTTCAGGCAGGTTTGGGTAGTACACGTTTGTAACTACCTGGCATTGCCTTTTGTTGAAGTAATTTCAGTTTTTATTAGTAGTAGTAGTAGTATACTTTAAGTTCTACAGTATATGTTCACAATGTGCAGGTTTGTTACATATGTATACATGTGCCATGTTTGTTTGCTGCACCCATTAACTGGTCATTTACATTAGGTATTTCTCCTAATACTATCCCTCCCCCATCCTCCATGCCACGACAGGCCCTAGTGTATGATATTTCCCGCCCTGTGTCCAAGTGTTCTCATTGTTCAATTCCTACCTATGAGTGAGAAATACCTATGCGGTGTTTGGGTTTCTGTCCTTGTGATAGTTTGCTCAGAATGATGGTTAACAGCTTCATCCATGTCCCTGCAAAGGACATGAACTCATCCTTTTTTATGGCTGCATAGTATTCCACAGTGTATATGTGCCACATTTTCTTAATCCAGTCTATCATTTTATGGTGTTCTCAGTTTATATATTTAAATCACTAAACTGACTCTTTGACTTAAAAGGCTCAAAAAAAGTCATCTCAAAAATACAACACACTTTATAACCTTTTATAAGTATTTGTGTAGCTTCTTGAATTTATATTTTTAAATCATTCTCATTTAACTTGTCAGGGCCTTTTCCTGAAAGCCAGGAGAGTGAAATCTTAACCTGCAGTTAAGTCAATAAAATTTGTCAGCTTATAACCAATTTTATTATTTTAGATTTTCTGGACTCTCTCCAACTACAGTAATTCTCATGAAATCACATTCCTGCCATCCCCTTGGGGAAAATTTTATTTCTTAAAATTGCATGGGAAATGAGAGCTTTTTTAAAAGAAAAAAAGTTTTATATTCAAATGATATGTAGTGGCTTTGTGCCATTTCTTATTCATCACAAGGGGTAAGATGTTTAAAATTGCTATATCTTATATATAAAAATGTACCTTTGAATAATTTCTCAGTTTAACTATTTTTAGAAATGGAGCAAAGTTTTGCCCATTGGTACATGATATTGTGGATTAAGTGAAAGAATATGAGGCTGGGTGCGGTGGCTCACGCCTGTAATCCCAGCACTTTGAGAGGCTGAGGCAGGTGGATCACCTGAGGTCGAGAGTTCGAGACCAGCCTGACCAACATGGAGCAACCCCGTGTCTACTAAAAATACAAAATTAGCTGGCCGTGGTGGCGCATGCCTGTAATCCCAGCGACTAGGGAGGCTGAGTCAGGACAGTTGCTTGAACCTGGGAGATGGAGTTTGCGGTGAACCGAGATCACACCATTGCACTCCAGCCTGGGCAATGAGAGTGAAACTCCATCTCAAAAAAAAAAAAAAAGAATATGACACAGAATTTTATGTATAGAGTTCCAGGTACCCTGCTCACTACAGACTGAAATTCTGTGCAGTCTAATAAATGAATCAGAGCCTTTCCATCTTGTCTGGGTAGTCCCTAGGTTCCCTTTTTAGAGGGTTTTGTTTTTAGAGTGATTATAAATTCATCCAACAGTGCACTTTCAGTGCCTCCTACCTCCCTCTACCAAGTATGAACTGCATGCATGGCTGATATATGATTTTGGCTATTATCGCTTCATGTGCATTGTTCACTATTTTGTAACTGTTATTAAAGTAAAATACTGACTTGGAACATGAATTTTAAAATGGTGTTTTATCCTTCTAGTATTGATTCCCACTTTTAGAAAAATTGGTGTCATTCAGTGAGTTTTATATAGAAGGATTTTTTCCCTTAGAAATACATACATACATACATACAAAAAAAATTTGTTATTTTCCCTGTAGTTGTTTATTATGCTGTAGAATTTGAGGCTAAATAGTCTTTTCTCTCTGCTGTGGGTTTATCTTCTAGAAATGATAAAGGATTTTCTATTGCTTAAAAACAAGATTTAAAAACTAAATTTGTTGACGAAAAGACTAGCCAATATAAATCTAAATGGACAGAGGGAAAAAATTCAACCAGAATGTAATACACATGTGAACTAAATGTTTTCTGTTGCTGACGTTTTGTAGGCTTCTGAAATTTAATGAGACTTTTACAAGGTTTACCTTTTTTCCTAGAGTTTAATTTTTAAACTGACTTAAATGTTTTTTGACACTTTGGTTATATTTAAGAAGTTGACTTCTCTAATTTCCTTGTCATGTTTATTTTTAAATATCTTTCTCTTTAAAAGTTGGGATACTATAATAAATATTCAGCAAGTATTTTGTGTTTAAATATAAAATCTTGTTATTTGGATTTTAATACTTTATATATAGTATTTATATATAAATATAATATAAACAAAACTAAAGACTCTATGAAAGAATCAAATGGATTTTCTATAACTGAAAATTTCAATGACTAAAATTAAGATATTACCAGATAGGTTTAACAGCAAATTCCATAAAGTTGGTAAGAAAACAAGAATACTCAAAAAATGGAAAGAAGTAGAAAATAAAAGCACTGAGAAGCATAGAATGCAAATTTAGAAAAGAGCTTAAGAGACATATCAGACATGGTAAAAGGTTTAACACACATATAATCAAATTTTCCTAGCTCTGTTCACGGAAAGGGCCTGGGAGCTGCAACACCTCAACAGCAACGAGCACACCTGCTACCTAGAACTTGGTTTCTAAAAACCATCCTCCTCTAAAAGGAAACAGAGCTCTTTGAAGAAATGGTAATTTCAAAGCTAGAGCACAGAAAGTATAAGATGAGCCCAGAATATCTTTTTGTACAAGAAAGTAAGGCAATGCTCAAAGAATGATGGAGACATGCCCAAAAAAAGCAGAGAAGCCAACTTGAAAAGATTCCAACAGGCCAAATATGGGACAATTTGAACATCAGAATAAAATGGTGACAGTCACAGAATTATAACCCATTGAAGAAAGGAATTCATGACATCATATTAATATAAATAATAATTGAATATTGAAATTCGTTAAAGGAAATGAGATATTTATGTAGTCTTAAGGTATCTTCTCACAAATTATGTATTACTTACAAAGGGGAAAAGTGCACCTTGACATGAGAATCTTGGCAGAACCACTTTAATCAAGAGGTTTAGTTGAGCATTATCAGTAACAGAGTAAATCAAAATCATGAGCCACTTGATAGATACAATGAGAAAATAAAGCATCACTTCTGTGACACCCTATAAAAAATGAATCTAATAATGAGGAAACATTAGAAAAAAACCAAACTGAGGGATATTCTACAAATAAATGGTCCTGTAATCTTCAAAAATTTCAAGGTTATAAAAGTCAAGAAAAACAGACAATCTTTTCCAAACTCAGGGGAACTAAAGAGGCATGAAATCTAAATGCTTAATTCTGGATTTCATCTTTTTGATATAAAGAACAGTATTGAGACTATTGATAAAATTTGAGTGGGGTCTGAAGATTCATTGGTAGTAGTAAGCTCAATTTAATTTCCTCACTTTGATCATTGTACTCTGGTTTTTTAGAATGTTCTAGTCAACAGGTAATATGAATTAAACTAATCGAGGGTGACAGGGCATTATATCAGCCACTTATCAACAAACATTTCAGAGAAAAATAGTTCCTTGTATTGTTATTGCAATTTTCTTTGAGATTGCCCCCTCCAAAACAGTAAGAACTTTCAAAAACAAACAAATATATCAAGCCACAGATTCAAAGTGCTATAAACTCCATGCATGATTAGTTCTCACTCATAGGTGGGAATTGAACAATGAGAACACATGGACACAGGAAGGGGAACATCACACACCAGGGCCTGTTGTGGGGGAGGGGGAGGGGGGAGGGATAACATTAGGAGATATACCTAATGTTAAATAACGAGTTAATGGGTGCAGCACACCAACATGGCACATGTATACATATGTAACTAAACTGCACATTGTGCACATGTACCCTAAAACTTAAAGTATAATAAAAAAAAAATCATACCTAGGTATATCACAATAAAACTTGACCTCAGAGTTTCTAGCTCTCAAGGCCAATTCCTCCCATCCTGCCACTAACAGATTTCTCCAAACATCTCTGCACCTCAGAGTGCAAATACCATCAAACATTTCACTCCATTGATAGGAAGCATCCTTCACTATCTTCTACCAAGGCCTTTCTCCTTTGTTGCTTCAAAATTTTTTATGAAAGGAACATCCATTTTATTCAAAGCACCTCCAAACCTGCAGTCCTAAGTTCCAGGCAACTCAATCCCAAAAATCCACTGTAGATGCCCAAAGGGTGGGGTGTTCGGTCTTCAACATTTTTGCCTTTATGGCTCCCAGTCAAGATAGAGCTGCACCAAGTCCAATTCCATTCCTCATCACAGATGATTTTTTCTACTTTAAGATCAGAACTATACAAGCTTCTTGCTTTGTGTCAGCATGCTGTTGTACCCATGGGCAAATTCTTAGGTAAGACAAAAACACAGCCCCAAGGGCAGGTAGTAATTTTTTCAGAAAAAGGTAAGGCAATCATTTATCTCAGTCTGCCCAGGACAGTCCCAATTTACACATGTATATTCTCCCAATCTGTAGGCTGTCTTTTCATTTTGTTGATTATTTCATTTAATTTTTTATTATTTATTTATTTTATAGAGACAGATCTCATTATGTTGCCCAGGGTGATCCTTGATCTCCTGGCCTCAAGTGATCCTCCAACCTTGGTCTCCCAAAGTGCTGGGATTACAGATGTGAACTACCACACCCAGTCAACGTGCAGAAGGTTTTCAGTTTGATGTAGTCTGATGTAGTCTCATGTATTTATCCTTGTTGTTGTTGCCTGAGCTTTTGGTGTGATATCCAAAAATATCATTGCCAAGATCAATATCAAGAAACTTTCCCCCTATGTTTCTTACAGAAATTTTATGGTTTCAGATTTTTCATCTATTTTGAGTATATTTTTGTGTATGATGTAAGATAAGGGTCCAGTCTCCCCAGTGTTGGATATCCAATTTTCATAACACCATTTATTGAAGAGATTATTCTTTCTCCACTGTGTTTTCTTGATGTCCTTGTCAAAAATTAGTTGACTTTTATATGCTTGGGTTTATTTCTGGGCTCTATTCTGTTTCATTGCTTTACATCTCTGTTTTCATGCCAGTGCCACAGTGTTTTGATTACTATAGCTTTGTAATATAATTTGAAATCAGAATGTGTAATACCTATAACTTTGTTTTTTGCTCTAAAGATTTATTTATTTATTTATTTATTTTTGCCATTTCAGGTCTTTTGTGGTTTCATATGAATTTCAGAATTGTTTTTCCTATTTCTGTGAAAAATGCCATTGACATTTTGATAGGGATTGTGTTGAATCTATATATTGCTTTGGATAGTATGGATGTTTTAACACTATTAATTCTCCCAATCCATGAACATGAAATATCTTTCCATTCACTTGTGTCTTCTTCAATTTCTTTCATCAATGTTTTATAGTTTTCATTGTGCAGATCTTTCACTTACCTGGTTAAATTTATTCCTACAATTTCATTCTTTTTGATATTAGGGTAAATTGAATTATTTTCTTGATTTCTATAAATTATTTATTATCATACTCATACTTGTCAGGCCTCTGGGCCCAAGCCTGCATGTATACATCCAGATGGCCTGAAATAACTGAAGAATCACAAAAGAAGTGAAAATGGCCAGTTCCTGCCTTAACTGGTGACATTACCTTGTGAAATTCCTTCTCCTGGCTCAGAAGCTCCCCCGCTGAGCACCTTGTGACCCCCGTCCCTGCCCACCAGAGAACAACCCCCTTTGACTGTAATTGTCCACTACCCACCCAAATCCTATAAAACAGCCCCACCCCTGTCTCCCTTCACTGACTCCTTTTTCAGACTCAGCCTGCCTGCACCCAGGTGAAATAAACAGCCTTGTTGCTCACACAAAGCCTGTTGGTGGACTCTCTTCACACAGATGCGCAAGACAATACTAACACCAATATTATTTTGATTCGTCAGATGGAAAAGTAAGGCTTGAAGAGGTTAGAAATAACTTTTCCAAGGTCACAGAGCTAATTGCCACAACTATAACTCAGCTCTAGTATGTGAACAAAGATTTTTTTATACCAAACCAAAATTATTTATTTCTACTCCACTATTCTATCATGGTGCATTTTAGGTGCTAATGGGAAAAGGTGCTCTATGATGGTGTCCAATAGACAATTAAAATTCGAATCTGGAAATGAGATCTGGACTGAAGATTTTTTTTAAAATTAGCCCTCATCACATGTAGTCAGCTGTAGAAATCCTTAGCATGGCTGAAATTTTTCATATTAAGAAAAGACTAGAACTTGGCCAGGTGTGGTGGCTCACACCTGTAATCCCAGCACTTTGGGAGGCTGAGGTGGGTGAATCACCTGAGGTCTGGAGTTTGAGACCAGCTGACCAACATGGTGAAACACCATCTCTACTAAAAATACAAAAAATTAGCCAGGCGTGGTTGCACATGCCTGTAATCCTAGCTACTTGGGAAGCTGAGGTAGGAGAATTGCTTGAACCCAGGAGGTGGAGGTTGCAGCGAGCTGAGATCGTGCCATTGCACTGCAGTCTGGGCAAAAAAAGCAAAACTCCGAAGAAAGAGAGAAAGAGAGAGGGAGAGAGAAAGGAGGAGACAATGAGAGACAGAGAGAGAGAAGGAGAGAGAAAGAACAAAAGAATGAATGAACGAACAAACTAGAAATCGAGCAGGAACCTTGGAGGACCTATTGCTTAAGGTGTGGGCGAAAGAAAGTAAGTTAGGGCAAGAGACTAAGGTATGCCAGAGACCCAGGACAAAACACAGTGCAGAGTGATGTCACAGAGCCAAATGGGAGTGCAAGCTATGGCAAGCCCTCCCAAGTATGTGTGGGTTAAATGTGATTAAATTCAAAATCTCTCAACCCAAAAATTTTCTCCACAAAGGAAGTAGAGAAACAAAACAGTTCATTATTGAATAAGCATTAAACCAGAATGTGATGTGTGAATATAATGGAATGGAATGGATTCGAAAGAAATGGAATGGAATGGAATGGAGTGGAATGGAATGGACCCGAATGGAATGGAACAGAATGGAATGGAATGGAACGCACTCGAATGGAATGAAATGGAATGGAATGGAATGGAATGGAACGGACATGAATGGAATGGAATGGAATGGAATGGAATGGAATGGAATGGAATGGAATGGACACGAATGGAACAGAATGGAACGGAATAGACTCGAATGGGATGGAATGGAATTGAATGGACTCTAATGGAATGGACATGAATGGAATGGAATGGACTCAATTAGAATGCAGTTGAATTGAAAGGATCCAAAAGGAATGCAATGGAATGCATTGGAATGGAATGGAATGGAATGGAATGGAATGGAATGGAATGGAATGGACTTGAATGGGATGGACTCTAATGGAATGGAATGGAATGGAACTGAATGGAATGGAATGGACTTGAATGGAATAGAATGGAATGGAATGGAATGGACTCGAAAGAAATGGAATGGAATGGATTCAAATGGAATGGAATGGACACAAATGGAACCAAATGGAATGGAATGGACTCGAATGGAATACAATGGAATTTAATGGAATGGACTCTAATGGAATGGAATGGACTAGAATGGAATAGAACGGAATAGACTCGAAAGGTATGGAATGCAATGGAATGGACTCGAATGGAATAGAACAGAATAGACTAGAATGGTATGGAATGCAATGGAATGGACAAGAATTGAATTGAATGGACTGGAATGGAATGGAATGGAATGCAATGGAATGCACTTGAACGGATTGGAATGGAATGGAATGGAACGGAACGGAACGGAACGGAACGGACCCGGAATGGAACGGAACGGACCCGGAATGGAACGGAACGGAATGGAATGGAATGGAATGGAATGAAGTGGACTCTAATGGAATGGAATGGAATGGAATAGACTCGAATGAAATGGGATGGACTCGAATGGAATGGAACGGAATGGAATCGACTCGAGTGGAATGGAATGGAATGGAATGGAATAGAATGGAATTGACTCAATTTAAATGGAATGAAGTGGAATGAACTCGAATGGCATGCAATGGAATGGAATAGAATCGAATGGAATGGAATGGACCCAAATGGAATGGAACGGAATGGAATGGAATGGAACGGAATGGCATGGAACGGAATGGAATGGATTGGAATGAACTCCAACGGAATGGAATGGACTCGAATGCAATGGAACGGAATGGAATGGAATGGAATGGAGTGGACTGGAATGGAATAGAATGGAATGGATAGGACTGGAATGAAATGGAATGGAATGGACTCAAATGGAATGGAATGGAATGGAATGGACTCAAATGGAATGGACTCAAGTGGAATGGAATGGAATGGACACGAATTGAATGGAATGGAATGGACTGTAATGGAAAGGAATGGAATGGAACGGAATGGACTCGAATGGAATGGAAAGGACTCGAGTGGAATGGAATGGAATGGAATGGACTCGAATGGAATGGAGTGGAATGTATGCGAATGGAATGGAATGGAATTGAATGGATTCGAGTCAAACGGAATGTAATGGTATGGAATGGACTCGAATGGAATGGAATGTAATGGAATGAAATGGATGCGAATGGAATGGACTCGAATGGAATGGATGGAATGGAATGGAGTGGAATGGAATGGACTCGAATGGTATGGAATGGAATTGAATGGACTCGATAGGAATGGAATGGAATGGATTGGACTCGAAAGGAATGTAATGGAATGAAATGTGCTGGAATGGAATGGAATGGAATGGAATAAAATGTAATGGAATGGACTCGAATGGAATACAGTTGAATTGAATGGACCCGAAAGCAATGGAAGGAATGGAATGGAACGGATTGGAAGGGAATGGAATGGAATGAAATGGAAAAGACTCGAATGGAATGGAATGGAATGGAATGGAATGGAATGGAATGGAATGGAATGGAATGGAATGGAATGGAATGGACTCGAATGAAATGGAATGGACTCGAATGAAATGGAATGGACTAGAATGGAATGGAATGGAATGGAATGGAATGGAATGGAATGGAATGGAATGGAATGGAATGGAATGGAATCGACTCGAGTGGAATGGAATGGACTCGAAAGAAATGGAATGCAGTGGAATGGACTCGAATGGAATGCAATGGAATGGAATAGACTCGAACGGAATGGAATGGAATGGAATGGAATGGAATGGAACGGAATGGACGCGAATGAAATGGAATGGAACGGAATGGACTCGGATGGAACGGAACGGAATGGAACGGAATGGAATGGAATTTACTCGAATGGGATGGAATGGAATGGAATTTACTCGAATGGAATGGAATGGAATGGACTGAAATGGAATAGCATGGAATGGAATGGACTCGAATGCAATGGAATGGAATGGACTCGAGTGGAATGGAATGGACTCGAACGGAGTGGAGTCGAATGGATTCGAATGGAATGCAATGGAATGGAATGGAATGCAATGTACTCGAATGGAATGGAATGTAATAGAATGAAAATTACTCGAATGGAATGGAATGGAATGGAATGGAATCGAACGGACTTGAATAGAATGCAGTTGAATTGAATGGACCTGAAAGAATGGAATGGAATGGAATGAAATGGACTCGAATGGAATGGAATAGACTGAAATGAAATGGAATGTACCAGAATGGAATGGAATGGAATGTACTGGAATGGAATGGAATGGACTCGAATGATATGCAATTGAATGGACTCGCATGGATTGGAATGGACTCTAGTGGAATGGAATGGA
The DNA here is from genome assembly GCF_000001405.40 of Homo sapiens. Lineage (NCBI taxonomy): Eukaryota > Metazoa > Chordata > Mammalia > Primates > Hominidae > Homo > Homo sapiens. The sequence goes on from NC_000001.11 coordinate 224,014,486, forward strand.
ATAGAATGGACTCCAATGGAATGCGGTGGGATGGATTCAAATGGAATGGAATGGAATTGAGTGGATTTGAATTGAATGGAATGTAATGGTATGGAATGGAATGGAATGAAATGGACTCGAATGGAATGGAATGTACTCGAATTGTATGGAACGGAATTGAATGGACTCGAAAGGAATGGAATGGAATGGAATGGACTCGAATGGAATGGAATGGAATGAACTCCAATGGAATGGAATGGACTCGAATAGAATGGAATGGAATGGAAAGGACTCGAGTGGAATGGAATGGAGTGGAATGGACTCGAATGGGATGGAATGGAATGGAATGGACTCGAATGGAATGGAATGGAATGGAACCGAAAGGAATGGAATGGAATGGAATGGAATGGAATCGACCCGACTGGAATGGAATGGAATGGAATGCAATGGAATCGAATGGGATGGAATGTATTGGAATGGACTCGAATGGAATGGATAGGAATGGACCCGAATGAAATGGAATGGTCTTGAGTGGAATGGGATGCGATGGGATGGGATGGGATGGGATGGGATGGGATGGGATGGGATGGGATGGGATGGGATGGGATGGAATAGAATGGAATGGAATGGAATAGACTCAAAAGGATTGGAATGGAATGGACTCGAATGGAATGGAATGGACATGAATGGAACGGAATGGAATGGAATGAACTCGAATGGAATACAATGGAATTTAATGGAATGGACTCTAATGGAATGGACTTGAATGGAATAGAATGGAAGAGACTCGAATGGAATGGAATGGAATACAATGGAATTTAATGGAATGGACTCTTAATGGAATGGACTTGAATGGAATAGAATGGAAGAGACTCGAATGGAATGGAATGCAATGGAATGGACTCGAATGGAATGGAATGGAATGGAATGGACTCAGATGGAATGGAATGGAATGGACTCGAAAGGATTGGGATGGAATACAATGGAATGGTCTCGAATGGAATGGAATGCAATGGAATGGACTCAAATGGAATGGAATGGAACTGACTCGAATGGAATTGAATGGAATGGACCCGAATGGAATGGAATGGAATGGACTGGGCTCAAATTGAATGGAATGGAAAAGAATGGAATGGAATAGAATGGACTGGAATGTAATGAGTTTGGAATGGACTTGAATGCAATGGAATGGAATGGAATGGAATGGACTCAAATGGAATAGCATGGAATGGAATGGACTCAAATGCATTGGAATGGAATGGACTTGAATGGAATGGAATGGACTCGAATGGAATGGAGTTGAATGGACTCATATGGAATGGAATGGCATTGAATGGACTCGAATGGAATAGAATTATAACAGAATGGAATGAACCTGAATGGAATGGAATGGAATGAAATGAAATGTGCTCGAATAGAATGGAATGGAATGGAATGGAATAGAATGGACTCGAATGGAATGGAATATAATGGAATGGGAATGGGAATGGAAGGGATGGGATGGGATGGGATGGAATGGAATGGAATGGAATGCAATGGAATGGACACCTATGGAATGCAGTTGAATTGAATGGACCCGAAAGCAATGGAATGGAATGGAATGGAATGGAATGTACTCGAATGGAATGGAATGGAATGGACTCGAATGGAATGGAATGAACTCGAATGGAATGGAATGGAATGGACTCGAATGGAATGGAATGGAATGCACCCAAATGGAATTAAATGTAATGGAATGGACTCGAATGAAATGGAAAGAATGGACTCGAATGGAATGGAATCGAATGGAATGACATGGAATGGATTCGAATGAAATGACATGGAATGGATTCGAATGGAATGACATGGAATGGACTCGATTGGAATGGGTTGGGATGGAATGATCTAGAATGGAATGGAATGGACTCAAATGGAATAGAATGGAATAGAATGGACTCGAATATAATGGAATGAAATTGGCTCGAATGGAATGGAATGGACTTGAATGGAATGGAATGGAATGGAATGGAATGGAATAGAATGGAATGGACTCGAATGGAATGGAATGGAATGGAATGGACTCGAATGGAATGGAAAGGAAAGGAATGGACTCAAATGGAATAGAAGTTAATATGGAATTACAAACCACAGTGATATAACACACATGCATGAAGATTTCTAACATGCCATCCTAAATTAAGTCACTGTATCAGTCAGAGTCCAAGTATAGGAAACAGTCACTACCCATGCAAACCTGAACAGACCTTCATACAAGGGAGCTGAGGCATCCACAGCCTGCAGCTCTGTCTTCTAGTCTTGCAGGCATTCATTTAGTTAGTGGAAGCATATCTCCTCCCAGAGCCCAGGCTGCAAGAGTCTGAAATGGAGCTTTTAGCTTTCCAGCCTCTGTATCAAAAGGGCACACCAGAAAGAGGCTAGAATGAATGGTTGGGCACTAACAAATATTTTCACAACCTAAGCCCATACTCGCAGTTGTTTGCTGAACAGACAATCAATAAATCAAACAGCCCTTCCATGTAGAAATTAAGAAGGAAACACAACACCAAAACTCATTATTAAATAGCATTTTGTATTTGAAAACTCATTATTAAATAGCAAATAAATTGCACTAAAATACAAAATTGTAGAATTTGTATTCTGGGAAGCCACAGTAACAAATCCCTGTGACAGAACCCACGAAGTAGAGGTCTCCTGTGGGAATGATGACCGAGGCCCTCGCTGCTGCTCCACCTGCCCCTACAGGGATGCCCTGCTTTTCCAGTTGCCCTTACTCTGATGTGCATCATGGCAGGAAAAAGTGGGCTGCTGCTTTCCTTTAATGCTTTTTGTCCCACTTTATTTTTTACTTTTGCCTAGTATATCTTTTCATTCTTTTATTTCCAACTTTTGTAAATCTCTGTTTTAGGTGGGCTTCTTATGTACAACTTGGAGTTGGGTTTCACTTTTTGATTCAATCTGAAATCTTTTACCAGCCTTCAGGTTATGTGTATAAAGTTATGTGTTTACATGTATAGATACAACGTTTGGTCTTACTTTTATGACATGTTTTTGTAGCTTTTTGAAAAAGTTTGCGTTCTCTCTGTAGTTCTTCTGAAATTTAGAAATGTTTGCACTATTTTGTACTAGGGGTTACTTTTGGAATTTTAACTCTATGTAATTCCCTCTCCTTCGGAATCCTCATACAACACATCTTAGCCTGTTAGTTTCCTGTTCCACATTGTGATAAAACTGTCATTCATCTTGCTCCTTCTTCCTTCCATCCCTCTCCTCTACAACTTGATTTTAGTGAATAACATCTTAGTGCCTCCCTGTGATTATAGGTGAGACAGTCAACAAACCTCTAACCACCGACCTTTTTTTTCTCCTCTGCCCTCCACTCACACTCTGCTCCATCACCCTCAGCCACACAGCTGACGCTGTAGAGATTCACTGACATCCAGTCTGATGGACACTGTTTCTCCAGCCGAAACTGCTCATGAGAACAGTGAGTATTCCCTGAGTTCTCACATGATCAATAGTGTTTGTTTGCAGACTGGATACAAAAGATGTTTTGACTGGACATAAAATTCATGGGCCATTCTTTCTTCCTGGAGGATCCCATAAGTAAGGATTACTCCACTATCTGAAGAATTTGGAGAAATTTGAAGCCACCCTGATCTTTTCCCTCAGTAAGAGATGACATGTTTGTTTACCCATTGGGAGGTTCTTGCTTCATCTTCAGAGTTTAATAATTCCTGTAGGATATGGCACACTCATAACCTGTTCTCAGTCAACCTTCCCCAGCATAAAATTTGCCCTCTCACAATGTACACTTCCATCTATTTTTACCTGAGCAGAATTTTCCTGAACATTATCTTTAAATATTTGTTCTGTCCTTTTGTTTTGTTTTCCTGTTTGAAGATTCCAATGATAAATATGCTGGAACCTCTCTCCCTGTTCTCTTCAGCTGTAATTTTCTTTCTAGTTCCTTTTAAACTCAGGATTACGGTTTAATTCTTATTAATTCTCTCATTCGTATTTTTCCATCACCTTTTTTGTGTTTCCCAAAACATCTGTCTTCTCCTGGGCCCTTCCAATCGCACCTTCACCTCTGTGTTGGTTCTCCTGGCTGCTGCCATCCTTTCTTCTGCCAACTTGACTTTGTCTCCTGCTGTCTCACTTGGTTGTACAGGTTGAGCATCCCTAATTCCAAAATCCAGAATCCTCCAAACTCCAGAACTTTTTGAGCATGGACATGATGCCACAAGTGGAAAATTCCATACTTGACCTCATGTGATGGGTTGAACAAAATTATTAAAAATACTGTATAAAATTACCTTCAGGTTATATGTATAAGGTGTATGTGAAACATACATGAATTTCATGTTTAAGCTTGTATCCCAAGTTATCTCATTATGTATATGTAAATATTCCAAAATCTGAAAAAATCCAAAATCTAAAACACTTCCAGTTCTAAGCATTTGGGATAAGGGATACTCAACCTCATTAAAATCTCTTTTCTGTTTTGTGGCATTCCTGCACTGGGATCTTCTGCCACAGAACTGCTTCATGAGTTTCCTGTTTTTTTCATTTATGATGAACTGTCTGGTCATGATTCCATCCTGCTTCACAGACACATTTCCCACAATTTCCTTAGAGAATATCCATGCAGTGATGGTCACCTTCTCTAACAGGCATTTCAGAGTGAGGTGGGACTTCCTAGGGCACCTGTTTTGCAGATGCCCTCAGGGTGGGGGAAGGGCAGCTTCCAGCCTTCCCAGTTCCAGCACTCTCTCCCCAAGCCGCTACCTGCATGTGAATCCCTGGGAGACCCCACAGCCCATGTCTCTGAGTAAAACTGGATCCAGGAAGCCCTTTGCTGTCAGTGGTCCTCCCTGGAACTTCTGCACTCTGCAAGCTGGAGTTGAACATCTGCGACTCAGCCTCTCAGTGCACAGGGTATGTGGGGCTCGACTTCTAGACCTGGCCCTGACGAGTGCTTTTGTTAGCCTGAGCCCTTCTGCTCAGTTCTGCCTATACTATCACTACCCAGGCTTAGCTGCTTTTGGTAAGCCTCATGCACATTTTAGAGTCTGTGAATTGCATCTGCCTTTTATTTCTCTGAAAATGGAGTTTTTCATCCCTTCCTTCCAATTCTCCTTCCAGCCTTTCTTGATTTCCAGAATGAGAAATCACTAAGTCATATACTGAGCCACAAATAACATTATAAATGTGACAATTACATGATAATCTTTGGGGGAAAAACATTCTGTGATTTCTAACATATTTACATAAAAATATCTTACACTAAAACACACCAGTTGAGGGCACTGGCCAGAGATAAGATTAGGTTAGGCCAAGCAAAGCTGAGAAGACCATTGTTAAAATTTCAATCCTGTTCCTTTATCTTTTCAAATTAACTGAATATTGTTATTAAATTTCTTGTTTTAGTGTTGAATAGCACCCCTTTTCCCTGCTTCACTTTAGAATCAATTTAGAGACAAAGGATTCAGGCCAACTGAGGTTATCAGCATTATCGCTAATAATAGCTGGACTGGCGGATGCGATTCAGATTCACACAACAATGGATTTCCTAATCTGAATCCTAGACTGAGATGAAGCCAGCCAGCCATAAGCATTGCTTAATAACCAAAGCCTCCCCAGATAGGCTTCTTGCCCTACAGCACTGAAGACATGAAAGAAACAGACCAAAATGTACAAATATCTTTTATTCCTCAAAGGAAAAAGAAGAGTTACACATGCCTGTTTCTCACCAATAAGAGGGGTCAGGGCAGAGTGAGTCTGGGAGAGAGAGTTCTACCACCACGGTTCCCAAAGCATCGTCTAGGGGCCTGTTAGGGGAGCCCGAGGTCTAAACTATTTCCACAGTTTCACTAAGATATGATTTTCCTTTTCCATCCTCACATTCGTTAGTGTGCAGTGAAGTGCTCCAGAGGCCCCAGCGTGCTACATTACAGAAGACTGAACTCAGGAGAGATGAGGAATAATCCCCTCCATCACACCAGACACCAGGAGGGTGTGCCAAGGTGTGAGACATACAGTCCTTACTCTTTTTTTGTTTTGTTTTGTTTTGTGAGACGGAGTTTCACTTTTGTCCCCCAGGCTGGAGTGCAATGGCCCGATCTCGGCTCACTGCAACCTCTGCTTCCTGGGTTCAAGCGATTCTCCAGCCTCAGCTTCCCGAGCAGCTGGCATTACAGGTGCATGCCACCATGCCCGGCTAATTTTCTGTATGCCTGGCTAAGTTCTGTATTTTTAGTAGAGACAGGTTTCACCATGTTGGCTGGGCTGGTCTCAAACTCCTGATCTCAGGTGATCCGCCCACCTCGGCCTCCCAAAGTGCTGGGATTATAGGCATGAGCCAATGCACCCAGCCCAGTCCTTACTTTTAAATAAATGGAGAAATATTTTAAAAATTGTTTTAATTTCTAATGTGGCAAACGTTAATAGATATAACTCACATGACCAAAATCTCTTTGGGGTCCTCAGTAATTTTAAAAAGTGAAAAGGACCCCTGAGACAACATTTGGGTTTGGAACTGCTGCTCCACTAGGGGAAGAAATACCAGAACAGAGAATATGTGTTCCCTGGGAGATAAGGCCTTCCCGACTACCTCCTCTCCTATCATCGAAATAAGTTTTCTACATTTCTTTAATATCATGTTTTAAAATTCCTTTTAAAAGACTGAAATCATCAGCAGAAGGCACGGGATTAGCTTAGCACAGTCAGTTTAGACTAGTTACCCACAGAGGACTACAGAATGGACATCACGAGGCATACATAAGCATAGAGGTGAGAAGGGCCGTGTTCATAGTTGACAAGATTACATTTCAGGTTAAACTGGTAACTAAGATAACAGGGAAAAAGACAATTAACAAAGAAACTGTAATCGTCCATAAGCCTAATTAGCCATAAAGCAAAGTCTGTTGGGAATTTAATGAACATTTGTTAAAAACACAAATATTATAGGAAGTTTTTTATACAGTCATGGGTCGCTTAACAAGGGGGATACAATCTGATCCGAGAAATGCATTGCTAGGTAATTTCCTCATTGTGTGAACATCACAGAGTGTATTACACAACACCTACACAGCTAGGCTACAGACCTATACAACATATTAATGCACTGAACAGCAACTGTAACATAATGGCAAGTATCTGTGTATCTAAATATATCTAAACATAGGAAAGGTACAGTAAAAAAAGGAAACAATCTTATGTGGCCACTACACTACACGCGGTCGGTCATTGACCAAAACATCGTTATGTAGTGCATGACTGCATATCTCCTCAAATCTGACGATTCTAAACAAGTAAAGATGTGGAAGAATTAGATAAACAGAAAGAAAGTACATCCTTCAAATAGAGAATCTGTATTTTTTTCACACATCAATAGAATATTTACAAAAATCAATTATAAAGAAGGCCACAAAGGAAAACTTAATCATTTCAAAGAATTAGAGATCTTAAAGGCCAAACTCTCTGGTGGTAATATAATAAAACTAGAATTCAGTAAAGTTAAATAAAATCACAGCTATTTGAAATTCGAAGTCCACTTCTGAACACCCTTGGATCTGGGAGCAAATTGGCACTGCATGTGTGCCTGGGCTCCTGAAGGGCCTCACATACATGGGGAAGGGCAGAGAAAGAGAAACAACAACATCCACTACCTCTATTTTTAAAGTCAGCCTTACTACAAAATACAGAAAGTATTCTTCACTGGGCAGACCAAATCAACTTTGCTCAATCTTCGCCTTTGGGTTCCTTTAGATTTATAATGAACTGTAAGCATTTACTGAGTGATTATTATAAAGGCACCATTTGAAGTACCTGATGCCCTTTTAATGCTGTAATGCCCCTGTGAAGTAGGTCTTACTATTATCCCTGCTCTAGAGATGAGAAAACTGAGGCAGGAAGAGTTGAAGCTGGCCCCAAGGCCACACCACTGAGGAGGGAGGGGCCAGACCTGGAGAGCAGGGGGATCCCACAATCTGTGCTTCTGCCTTCCTGCTCTGCTGCTTCCCAGCTAGTGTGTGTGCTGGACACAGCCCTCAGTGATCTCAACTTTGATTATCTAATTTTAAAAAGACTTCTCAAGTTTATTGTCTTTTACAAAAAAGGGATGTAATCTAGCAAGCCAAAGCAGAACCAAGCAGACTTTGTAGTTTTCATCAATTTTCTGGACGCTCCAGCCACTTTCCTCAGGTCCTTTAGCAATGTGTGGACTGCCCGCCCACCGCTGCCCCGAGGTAAGGAAGCACCACACTACAACCTCATGCAGGCTGGATTAAAACACGTCCTCCACTTCAGGCTTAGGAACCAGCGCCCCTCCTACAGCTCACAAGTTGCTCAAGCAGTGGTCTGTGAGAAGTGATTCTATTTTTGGGGTTGTCCCTTTTCTCTGCTTTTCTTGGGAACCATTTTGACTCTCTGTCAAATGTTCACTGACTTCTAGCACTGGCAGAAAGAACGTCTGCTTTTTTATCTGAAACTGAACTGTTACACAACTTATAATTTTATTTTGGTAAAAGCATTCTTAGTTGCTGTGTTTAGTCATACTCTACAAATTATCTTGTTGGTAGGATAAATATGGTGAGAATTAAAAATGAAGATGGTAGTGGATATTTGCAGACTATTATCAATACCGGCATTTCAAACTTCCAATATAATTTGGATATTTGCCTGGAGGACAAACTTTTTTTGGCATGCCATATAATGAGGAGCCTTATATTCCCAGTGTGCTCAAACTGCCCTGACACCACCTATCCACCGTCGTCAGCAATCTATGTTCAATGTTTCTTAAAAACATCAGTTACAAGGTCAAATTTAATTCAACTGAGGTCAGACTCTCAGGGGAGCTGAGGAGCACTTCCTTCAATGGAAATGGCCGTTTCTGAGTGGTGACAACACTGTCATTTCTTGGACCTTCTTCAACAAATCTGTTCTCAGGAGCATTAACATACTTTGCTAATACATTTTAATCTGGCATTTTTATGGGGGTAATTATAGGAAATGCCTGGAATTAAATAGCCTACAACCAATTCTTGGATCAACAATTAGGAAAACTGAAAAATATATATGTAAATATATCTTTTTCTGTATAAGAAAAGTCCTGCTAACTTAGGAAATTAGAGGATATCTTTGTGTAGAATCTTTTTATAAAGTGGAAATAGGACGGGCATGGTGGCTAACGCCTGCAATCCCAGCACTTTGGGAGGCCGAGGCAGCCAGATCACCTGAGGTCAGGAGTTCAAGACCAGCCTGACCCATATGGCAAAACCCCCTCTCTACTAAAAATACAAAAATTAGCCAGGTGTGGTGGCAGGTGCCTGAAATCCCAGCTACTCAGGAAGCTGAGGCAGGAGAATCACTTGAACCCGGGGGGCGGAGGTTGCAGTGGGCCAAGATTACACCACTGCACTCCAGCCTGGGCGACAAAGTGACTCTGTCTCAGAAAAATACAAAATAAAAAAATAAAGTGGAAATAACTTCCTCTGCTTCTAGCTATGCAGTTTGCTTGAAAAAAAAAAAAAAAGTAACCTGTAGGTGCAGTACAACTATCAGCACAAATGTAATTATCTTAGAGTATCTTAATAGTTCCTACTTCAAGTAGAACTTATGAAGAAGTTTAACTGTGGTAAAAAAAAAAAATAATTGGAGTAACTTAGAAAACATTTATGTATACAATAGTTGGTTTGTATGCTCAGTCACTCATTCATTTTAGGAATAACAAGTGCCTACTACTTGCCAGGTGCTTGGGATATAGCAGGGCCTACTGAATAAATTATTATACAACAGTAAATTAGCATTGGATTGTGTTGCTTAAAACAACACTCACCAGAGCAAACAAAAGCCTGATTAGCAATATGATCTGAAATTTTAAAAACAGCCCTTTTCAACAGTTCCATCTAATTTGCCAGGTCATTATTTTATAATGTCATATGGGATTGCTGGGTCAAATAGTATTTCTGGTTCTAGATCCTTGAGGAATCACCACACTGTCTTCCACAGTGGTTGAACTTATACTCCCACCAACAGTGTGAAAGCGTTCCTATTTCTCCATGTCCTCTCCAGCATCTGTTGTTTCCTGACTTTTTAATGATAGCCATTCTAACTGGTGTGAGATGGTATGTCATTGTGGTTTTTATTTGCATTTCTCTAATGACCAGAGATGAGCTTTTTTTCATGTTTGTTGGCTGCATAAATTTCTTCTTTTGAGAAGTGTCTGTTCATATCCTTTACCCACTTTTTGATGGGGTTGTTTTTTTCTTGTAAATTTGTTTAAGTTCTTTGTAGATTCTGGATGTTAGCCCTTTGTCAGATGGATAGATTGCAAAAATTTTCTCCCATTCTGTAGGTTGCCTCTTCGCTCTGATGATAGTTTCTTTTGCTATGCAGAAGCTCTTTAGTTTAATTAGATCCCATTTGTCAATTTTGGCTTTTGTTGCCATTGCTTTTGGTGTTTTAGACATCAAGTCTTTGCCCATGCCTATGTCCTGAATGGTATTGCCTAGCTTTTCTTGTAGGGTTTTTATGGTTTTAGGTCTTATGTTTAAGTCTTTAATCCATCTTGAGTTAATTTTTGTATAAAGGTGTAAGGAAGTGGTCCAGTTTCAGTTTTTTGCATATGGCTAGCCAGTTTTCCCAACACCATTTATTAAATAGGGAATCCTTTCCCCATTGCTTGTTTTTCTCAGGTTTGTGAAAGATCAGATGGTTGTAGATGTGTGGCGTTATTTCTGAGGCCTCTGTTCTGTTCCATTGGTCTATATATCTGTTTTGGTACCAGTATCATGCTGTTTTGGTTACTGTAGCCTTGTAATATAGTCTGAAGTCAGGTAGTATGATGAAAAGATTATAAATCATTCTACTATAAAGACACACGCACACGTATGTTTATTGCAGCACTGTTCACAATAGCAAAGACTTGGAACCAACCCAAATGCCCATCAGTGATAGACTGGATAAAGGAAATGTGGCACATATACACCATGGAATACTATGCAGTCATAAAAAAGGATGAGTTCATGTCCTTTGCAAGGACATGGATGAAACTGGAAACCATTATTCTCAGCAAACTAACACGAGAACAGAAAACCAAACACCACATGTTCTTATTCATAAGTGGGAGCTGAACAATGAGAACACATGGGCACAGGGAGGGGAACATCACACACCAGGGCCTGTTGGGGGGGTGGGGGGCTAGGGGACAGATAGCATTAGGAGAAATACCTAATGTAGATGATGGGTTGATGGGTGCAGCAAACCACCATGGCATGTGTATACCTATGTAACAAACCTGCACATTGAGCACATGTATACCAGAACTTAAAGTATAATTTAAAAAATTTAAAAAAAAGTCATATGACGCATTTAAGAAAGTCACTTAATTTACATCAGAGGAAAATCAAAGTTTATAGACTTAGGAAATAAAGTCGTAATGAAAAAGCTCTTCACGGCTGTCAGGACAGCTACATTTTTGGTCTCTGTCCTTGATTCCATTGTGACCTTCAGCCCATCTCTCTGGGCCCCATTTTCTTGTCTTTACCTCTTGGGTCATAAATGGATCTCCGTGCAGCTGTCATCCCTCTGCCTAAATCCTCCTCAAAAGAAAATCAAAATAGTGGCTAACACAGAGTACAGACTGTTCCAAGAGCTTCCTATGATGGAACTAATCTAATCTTTATAACAGTGCTCTGAGGTAGATGCTAAAATCTACCAGATACTATGGATGAGATGATGAAGTCATATGCTTAAGATCCCTGAGTAAATAAATAAGAAAGAGACAGAATTCCAACAGCGGCCGTGTGGCTGCAGAGCCTCTCTCCCTCCCTGCCTCACCCTCGAGTCCACGCCTGGGAGGGCTCAGGGTCACTCACTAAGCATCTTTCCCATGCGCTGCTGTGAGGCTGCTGCTATTAAGTTGCTACTATGGAGTAGTCATTAGTAGAAATTGCGAAAAAATTTGAAAAAAAATCTTCATATAGCCAGAGATTCTAGCCTGAGATGTCTTTCCTTATTTGCTTATTATTATTTGTAAAAACAGGGTCTCCCTATGTTGCCCAGGCTGGCCTCAAACTCCTGGGCTCAAGTTATCCTCCTGCCTCGGCCTCCCAAAATGCTGGGATTGCAGGCATGAGTCACCGCACCTGGCCACCTTTCCACATTTAAGAGATCCCTGGGATACTGCGAAGCAGGAGTCCATCTCCAGACATGAGGAGCAGATGGGCTAAAGGAAACAGGACTGGGGAGTCTTGGAGGGGCAGAGCAATGCCCAGGGACACAAACTTTTGAATAAAGACAAGAGAGACCGACTCTTCGCCTACCTCTAAAGCAAATGAAAACATAAAAATAAATGATGGCAAGAAACTAAACTAAAAATACACTACCCCTGAAAGTATGTGACACTGGATGTACTATCTAATTGGTCTGCCACAGGTAGAGAATGAAGTACTTCAGATAAGTTAATTTATCAAATAACTAAAATTAGATATATAAACTTTACGATTCTGAAAACTTTTTTCCTACAGATGTGTGTACTTTAGGAAACACAGCATATTTAACATTTTTATAAATTTCAGTTGCACACCGTGCAGCTTTCAGGAAGCTTTCACACCGTGCACTGCCCTGCATGCACCTCCCAAGCCTCGGGCTGTTCATGCCTGGCTGTCAGAAGTCACCTCCTGGCTGCCAGAGGGGCAAGGGGGCAGGCTGTTCTTCTCAGTGCTATAAGCAAGCCCAGGACTCCAAGGGAATGATAACAAATGTGTAAAAACCACAGTCACATTAACCTATAGGCTCAGGACCCAGTTCTACTTCCTCCAGACAGCTTTTGGGTACTGGTCTCCCTCTCTGTGTTTACAGCCATCCTGGGTTTGCTGGGCACCTCCGAGTTCATGGAAGTGCAGCTCCTCACTGCAGTTGGGACACACTTACTCCACTTTGACAAAGGGGGTGTTATTTTCAGCAGTAGGTGAACAGCAGTGAACAAACCAAGCCCCTGCTCCTGGGGCTCAACTGGGATGGGGACGCAGACAACTTAAACACGTGACCACTGGCGTACCTAAGGGCCAGGGAATGCTGCTGACATGATGGGGGTGGCGAGGCCAAGGTCCCAGCCAGGTAGGCTTGAGTTGGTATTGCTACAACCTTGTGATCACTGGCAAACAAGATTTCATGGTGGGAATGTGACTAGAACTGGATTTCAAAGTTTCCTGAAAGCACTAGTTAGAAAAGACAAGGTACACTGATCTGCACACAGGAGGTGCTCAGCGACGCCAGCACTGATGGGCTCCTCCTGCCTTGAGTGAAGAGCATCTGCCCCTGGACAGTGAACAAAAGGTGGGGCCATTTTATGCCTCCAACAAGACATCTGGCTCAAACTCAACTTCAAAGATTAGAGTAAAAACGAAACTTCCATTCCAAACTACTTATCTTTATTTTGGCAACTGGAACAATCTGTAATTGAACACTAAATTCTATTACTAACTTTTATCCTAAGACTGTGTAGTAATTATTGATTAGTCTCAGTTTAAAATTGCTGTTTAGATGGAAAAAATGATTTTACATAAAACATTAGTTGAAAGATACAAGCTGGGCATGGTGGCTCACACCTGTAATCCCAACATTTTGGGAGGCCGAGGCAGGTGGATCACTTGAGGTCAGGAGTTCAAGACCAGCCTGGCCAAAATGGCGAAACCCCATCTCTACTAAAAATACAAAAAAGAATTAGCCAGGCATCGTGGTGCATGCCTGCAATCCCAGCTACTCAGGAGGCTGAGGTAGGAGAATCACTGGAACCCAGGAAGCAGAGGGTGCAGTGAGCAGAGATCGTGCCACTGCACTCCACCCTGGGCAACAGAGTGAGACTCCATCTAAAAAAAAAAAAAGATACACATTAAGTTTTTCACACAAATTCTTAAGGGCAGATATTACTAAATGCCATTAGAAAAAAGGAAACCTTTTATCAAGTATTTTAAAAAAATGCTTCTACATTTCTTATTTATAGGTATTCTAATAATACTGCATGACATTACGGACAACTTAGCCTAAATTATGGAAAATCAAATTACTTAGTAGAACTGCAAGACAATCCTCTCAGTTGTTGTAGTAAGTGTTGCTATAAACATTTAAAACAGCAAAAAAATACCAAATACCTGCACAGTATGTATGATAAATGCATATGATAAAGTAAAAAAAAAAAAGCACACACTGAAAGAAAGCCAACAGAAGAGGGCACTGGGCATGGGCCAGGGAGGGCAAGAATTGGGATGGGGACATGGAGGAGCCCAATCCAAGGCAAGACACAGGTTCAGGCTTTACCACAGTCACAAAGGCTGCTTCTTGTTTTTGTTTTTAGCAGAAGGTAAGCATGAGCAAATCACTTTTTAGAGGTAACTTTGCTGGACTTGTGAAGAATGGTGTGCAAGGTCCAGAGCGACTGCAGGAGAGGGAAGGTGGGATTCCCACAGAGCAGGAGCACAGATGAGCCAAGCAAGGCCCTGCTTAGAAGGCAGCAATCAACAGAGATGCACAGACCTGTGAGGGTGCCGGGACAGCCATGCAACAATGCAGCCCTTTTGCTTCCTAAGCTCACCAGTTCCCTCGCTCCACCTCTGAGAGGTGGTTTGGAGAAACACAGCCCTTCTCAAGAGGTTTGCAAGGTAAGTTTAGTTGGTACATGAGTGCACAGCACATTTTAATTTTTATAGTTATGCATTTATTTTATATGTACTAGACAAACGACCGACAGAAAATTTACCATTTCACAGGTATTAGTGTTTAGGATGAGGCTAAAGTAGGTATTTCTGTTTAAAAAAGTAAATTTGAAGAAAAGCTACCCAGCAAATTATAGTAGTATGTGGTACACAGACAAAAAACAAATTATGCAGTCGTCCAAATGACTGAAACTGATAAAATGCTGGTCCTGGTCTATGGATTCCCCCTCTGACAAAGCACAGAGTACTCGCACCTTCTCCAGAGTCAGTGACCAAAGATGAGAGAGCAGGGCACCCAGCACAGAAACCACCAGGAGCCAATGACTTCCTCCTGTGCTCCATCCTACTCTCTCACTCACACCAGGAATTAAATCCTTTTATGTAGACAGATGGTCAAGAATTGCTACTATAAAGCAACTCAGTATGGTCTGAACTATCAGAGAGCTACATGGAGAAATAGTTACTGCTAAACAGACCTCTCTGCTGATGTTTTTCCCAGCTACTTAAGTCCTGAAAATTTCCACAAGGCTGAGTCAAATCTGCGTTTCATCATCTATAAGAAAGGTACCTATCGAGAACACCCTGCTGGCCAGTGTGTAAATATCTAAAGGAGGACTCAGAAAACACCGGGGAAGTCCAGCCTGCATGTGGTGGCTGGGCTTCAGTGAAGCATGGAGCACAACAGGAGTTGTAAGTAGTAGTTACATCAGCAGCCCTGGAAATTCTGCTCAGAACCAAACTGAACAAATAACATTATCTAAAGCTTACAATTATTTAACTCCCTAAATTTTCTGTCCTCCCAGTAGCACTTTCAAATGCCTAAAAGCAATTAAAAGAAACATTTTTCCAATGTCTCACAGAACCATTAGAAACACAAAATTAATAGCTTCATAAACTATAGCTTCTATTTTATCCATAATAGAATGAAGGTGCATAAACCACATAGTAATTAATCTTTGGACAAAAGCAAACAATTAATGGAATATATGGCTAAGATCCTTTCTTTTTTAGTGTGGCCCAAGATAAAAATTTCTTCCAAAAGGGTATCATTAATGCAATAAGGCTTTTGTGGAATTCTATTTTGTATGAAATTCCTGTTTTCTATTAGCTACTTCTTCCTCTGTGACACAAGCCTCATTCCCTGTGAAAAACACGAAGCAGAAAACATTCGTGAAATCATCAGGTAAAGATCCCACGACCGTTCTATCACTGACACAGTATGTAGGTACATGGTACAACCCCCAAGGGACCACCTTGTGGCATCCTCAGCAACCACAGAGCCACAGGGCAAATGAGTGTTTGCTCCCACTGAGGCTCTGCAACCTCTGCCACCAATACTGGAGAAATCCTCCAACCTCACTGTTTTCTCCTGAACTTGTTCCCTTCTGTTTTTCGATTAATTCACAGCAAACAGGCACACCTTCAAGCTGCCAAAAGCATCTTAAACGTTGTACACTTACAATCTTCAAAATATAGTTGTTCAAAAGAGTCATCAAAGTAGTTTTTGAAATAGAACACTTACTTTGACCACATAATTGAACCTTCGGATATCTTGAATTGCACTTGAGAAGTCTAACCGATTAAAGGCTTCTCCCAAGGTGCAATAGCCATGCCTCTGGAAGAGCAACACAGAAGTTAAAATTAGTCAATTAGCCAAAAAGAATTGGCAGTTAATGTCAATTAATTGTGCGATTAAAAAAATTTTTGGCAAAGGACAATTTGTTTTTATTTTGAAGACTGACTTTAGATTTAGATGAGAGTATAGTAAAATTGTAGCAATGCTAATAATTTAAGCTGTTTATGTATACCTGAGACACCGTTAACTGACATTTTTTACAACCTGCTGAAGTAATGACAAAGACAAATATTTATTAAATATCTTGCTGGTTTGTTTTGTTGGGGACAAACTGGGGTGTGGACGACGTTAAAGCTAAGATCATAAAAGAACTGGATTCATTCTAGGCTACGCAACTAAAAATACATAAATCATCTGCTTAACTGCATTGTAAGGATGTAGGTGTTATAAATATCTAGTTGAAACACAGGATTTCTCTGCAGGGGAGGCATGCACTGCCCGAGTTTGAAGTATAACATGGGATTTCTCTCCAGAGCAGCCATGCACTGCCCAGGCTGGAAGTATGCTCAACCACAAGGATCAGGGCTGGGAGAGGCGCTTCGGTAGCAAGAAGGTGCCTCTGAAAACCAGCATTGGGATGGAGAGGGCTGAAGGCAAGTGCTGGATGTGACCATGGGCAGCTTTCAGGCTGGGAGCACGGATGCCAAGAACCCAAAACACCAAAAAAACTGGTGCTTAGAACCACAGGTCCAAGAACTGAAGGAAGAAAATGAAACAATTTATTTTCAGTACTGTAAACACTGCTGCTATTCTCTTAGATGTTTTTCTTCCATGATATACCCTGTATTGGTTTGTATAGATTAGCACATTAGGTTTCAGAAGTCATTTTAAACTCCATCTTCATCCTCCATATTTGAAATATTTAAAATCTACAGATTTTCAGGTCAAAGTTGTAGAGATAAGTAAGCTAGAAAACAATAATAGAAAACATGAGATGATTGGTCTCAAATTCCAAACAGGTGACTTGAGATGTCCTAGAGAAAGCAGCTGGAGTCATAGCACCTTTGTCTCTAACAGCCGATACACTCAGAGGCTCATGTGCTTCTGTGCGTCACCCCCAATCGCCCTGACAGGTGCACAACTCAACAAAATATACTCATTTAAAACATCCAAATATGTTGACTGAGTGCCTGCTATGTGGAAAACATTTTCCTGGGAACTCTGGGGAAAGGAAACACTCATTTTGATATAGATTATAATCTGAAATCCATCACAGCTGATATTCCACACGATGGTGTAGCAGACACTTTCCAAGGTCACCACCCATCTCACAAAAGGAAATTAAATCTGATTCACAGAGCAGACCACAAAGAGCATGTCTGGACCTAGAACCACAGCATGTAACCTCGGAAGCAGTGAGACACCAGCCAGCATGGACAAGCAGCAGGCACTTGATCTATACCAGGTGAGGGTGTGGAGACATGACGTGGTGCAGGGACACCAGCACCCAGTCCTAGTTCTGGTCCCTCTCAGCCTTGTTAGGTCCTGGTTCCTAGGATTCCAGGGAACATCCCCACAGCCTCACAATAAGATCCTCCTTTCCTGTATATGCTAGCTTGGATGGGATCCTCTGTTCTGTAATCAGTATGGCAACAGAGCAGATGAAATATTTAATGGTCTTTCATGAGCACTAAATTTTGTTTTTTACAAACTAGGTTAGATTCTGTCAAATAATCGTCTAATGGTGTATTCGAGTGTATATTAAGGATCTGATTCATTCTATACCCACTAACCATAACCAAACAGATTAAGTTTTCTTTCTCAGAATCTAATCCTTCAGTTTCTTGGAAGCTGGACTAGTTTCAGAGCATCTACAAACATTTCTGGAATATTTAACTTACCCTGAAATAACATATGATAGACAGTAATTCCCTAAATTATTTTCCCCAATTGTTGCAAAATAAAGCAAATGCAGAGTTTCTAGGACTATAAAAGGAACTCAACTTCCCGGATCCTAGTAAAGAAACAGGAAACAGCTTGAAGCTCTCTGGTTTGTTTTATGGCTCATGAAAAAGCTTTAGCCCAACTTGGCAAAAGAAAGGCAGGGAAAGAGTTCACATGGCTCTGCACAAACCCAACCCAATTACTAATTTCATGTTAGCCACTCTTTATGTGGAATTAGAGGGCTCACAGATGCCCTGCCCTCCAAAACACGCCACAGGGAGGACACATTCCCATCAGCATCAGGGGTTCATGCTAACACAGAGAAAATGCGTATGACTGCAGGAGTCCATGCTTGGTTTAAATAGCCCTGCTGTTGACTCAGATATGTACAGGTAGGCAGGAACCACACACTGCACACATATACCACATGCCACCACACACCATACATCCCACACACCAATGTGTGCACAAATACATGCACAACCATACATACACACCATACATACAACACACATACACCATACACACAACACACACCAATGTGTGCACAAATACACAGCCACATACCACATGCACATGCAAGCACACACAATGGAGAATCACTGCCTCAAAAGCTCCTCATATGCTATTATCTGTCAGAATGTGAACCATAGATCTGATATTGCAAAAGAAATGTGTTTTATGCAACTTTATTAATACATTTATTTAATGTGACTCCATATTCAACAGAAACAATCCAAGATACTCTCTTATTTATAATAGAATACTTACTTCTTTTGTGCTTTCTTTATGGACATAGATACATTTTTCATGATAAAAACCTAGAATAAAAATTACCTTTGTTTTTAAAATCTGGCAAATCATTTCAAAATGAAGATTTTAAAGGAATTTAAATAATTGGACATGTTAACAAAATTATCTGACTTACTATATTGACAAGAAATGCTTTTACTTGGTTGAATGCAAACAGAATTGCTTTGTTTCTTAAATCAGTTTAAGATATGAACAATGATTTCAGACAGTACCAAGTCCTAGTAACTTAGAAGAAAAGTAGTATTATTAATGACTGAAGCCATGTGAAGACATAAATGATTATAAAATACAATTACATTACTACATTCCTATGTACCCTAATAAAAAGTTCTATTCTTCTGTTGCTGTGTATAGTACTCCATAGAAACAAATTTTTCAGATAAATCTTAAAAGTTTCAAGAATCACACTAACTGTATTCTCCATGTGACCCTATCTTCTTCATAAAGTAGTCCCCCCGTATTCACAGTTTCATCTTCTACAGTTTCAATTACCCACAGTCAGCTTTGGTTTGAAAACATTAAGTGGAAAATTCCAGAAATAAACCATTCATAAGTTTTAAATTGTGTGCCATTCTGGGTGGTGTCATGAAATCTCACACCGTCCTGCTCTGTCCTGCCTGGGATGCAAATCCTCCCTTTGTCAAGCGAGTCCTACACTACCCGCCCCTTGGTCACTCAGTAGCCGTCCTGGTTATTGGATCACCTGTTGAGATATCACAGTGCTTGTGTTTAAAGAACCCTTATTGTACTTCATAATAGCCCCAAAATGCAAGAGCAGTGATGGTGGCCATCTTGCTATAACTGTTTCATTTTATTATTATTCTCGTTAATCTCTTACTGCACCTAATTTATAAATTAAACTTTATTATAAGTGTGTATATACAGAAAAAAAAACATAGTATCCATAAGGTTTGGTAGTATCCACAGTTTCAGGCATCCACTGGAGGTCTATCCCGAGGTAAGGGAGCCTGCTATACATTAACATGTGTCTTGGTAACTCACAGATATGCTGCATGATAGAACTCTGTGCCCTCTCACAGATAGGTCCCACCTCCAGCCTTCCCCTGCTGCCATCTAACATCCTAAACTCCAGCTCTGAATGTCTGTCTCCTGCTCTGAATCTTCAGTGACTTCGAAACTCAAGTCAGGACACCTCTCAGTTTGGCCTCACTGCTCAAGATTGAGCTGAATTCATGACCATAATTCAAGCATTCAGATTCATGGGCTGTTTTGTGGGTTTTGCTATCTCTTATTTTGTTTTTGCACATCTTACCCACTGAAACGTTGGGCTGCAAAAATTTGATCACTATGTAGGCAATGCTGGATACTGGGCTGTTATTTACACATTTGTATCACCTTTTATTTCATAAGATAGCATTGTCAGAGTAATTTAGTATTTCAACATAATCAACAAGTAAAATTAATGAGAATGATCTTACTTTGAGTATTTGTGTCATTTCTAAAATGGTCCTTTTTCTTTTTTTGGATGCATATTCATGCTCTTCATTATTGAATATTTCTCCTTCTTCGCTATTTAAGATACTGAAATAAAGACATATTCTATTAAAATATTTTTTCAGGGAGATCTTCATTTGGCTTTTCTTTTGTAAAAGGATACAAATACTTCAAAGTGACAGACTGTGGGCTTGAAATCACAGGGGTAATGTCTAATACATTTTTGTTTCATTTTGAGAAATAAGATGTATCCTGGTTCTTTGAGAATATTGTACCAGAAAGTGCTGAACATGTTTTAGAATCTCTGAAGGGTCTTGATATGCTTATCCAAGGTAGTTTCAAACATCAAAATGGCTTATTAAAACAGAGATTTTTTAAAAAACAACTATTAAAACTCCAGAAAAAAGATGGTAAGAACATGATGATACCCAATACTGACCAATGACTTGATGTATCCCTTACCCCATGCTGAGTAACCACTCAACATTTCTGTTTACTCCCTATATGTTTAAGGGTTTAACTGAAGTTAATTATTACTGCACTGAACATGTTTTTATTAAGCACCAACCACATACACTGTTAACACATTTAACTGGAACCAGGTGAAGTGACATGTATATTTTTACTATTTAAATACATTTAATTAAAAGCTGTTCTTTGTGAAACAAGAAAATCAAATCATAAGGCAATAACTAAACAATGGGAACACCTTTTACTTTTTTAAAAAAGTCTTCCTTACAGAAAAAAAAAAAAAACCTGTAAATAGTAATCCACATCCTCAAAACTAAAGATGTGTAAAATTTTTATTTTCCACACACTGATAACAGATTTTCAGTGTAAAGTGAGGAAGGAAGCTCTGTGGAGACAAGGTGGTTGGTGGAGGCATGCAAGAGTGGTGCTCAAATCCAAGGAACTAAAATTGCTTATTTGCCGGTCATCGTTCTTTGACAAGAAAATTGTATACAAGCCCCTTTCCACTCACCAGTAGTCACTTTTAGTAAAAAACAGCTGACTTTGCCAAATGAGTCACTTTCTCACTGTCAGAACAGACTTAAACAGCAGTGCCAACAGTTGTAAATCATCAAGACAAGCAAAGCACATTTGAAAAACATACAAACAACTGAACTTTTTGTGGCAGACATTATAACAGCAATTTATGGAAATGTGTTGATGTTTGTATTTTATATTTAGTCTTACACCAGTTTGTTATCATTGATTGAGATACTGAATGTAGAAGCTTTAGAATCTAAAAGGGCTTTTCTAACGAAAATTACAAACATATCAAAGGAAAAGCACAAATACAATGTTCTCCAGAAATAGTGTCGCAGAAATAAAGACAGAATATGGAAGGAGACAGGACTGCTGACTAATCTCATACGTACAGGGAGAAGGACACTCCATGCAGCTTAGCTCCAACATGTGAGTGTGGGACAGAAAAGCAAGGTGAACCTAAAGACATCCCATGGACACACTGAGCTGGAACCAACTCTGCCCATAGGTGGTGGGGCCAGGTTCAGATGCTTGCAGTAACCGCATCCTCCTGTGAATCTGGGCCTACATGGCTGTGGCTCCCTGGGGGCTACCCACACTGTGGATTCCACAGGTGGAGGTGACCTTCTTGGGCACTGCTGGGACACTTCCTGGGTCTGCCTGGGCAGTGGTAGGGCTCAGAGAACTTCAGCGTTAGGGCCTTGGGGAGTCTATGTCAGACTTGAGGACCAAGCCTGGGCTCACAAATGACAACTAGGCTACTATTTTTACAAAGTATTTTAAATGGGGAAAAAGCCATTATTTTTTGGTTGGGGGTTTTACACTGTCAGGTAAATAAAAATGTACAAGTAGAGAAGAAAGATGAATGCTTCTGAAATTTAAATTCGACACATTAAAATGTTAATAAAGGAGTATTTAATTTATAAATCTTTCTATTCTGCATGTATCAACTACATTTCATAGCAATCAACTACATGTCATAGCAAACATGTTCTCTTTTTATAACCTTCAAGACAAACATCACCTACTCTGACTTAAAAACAAGGGTACCTGCCCAACAACTTGATTAAAAAATGTCGAACAACTTCAACAGACACTTCTCCAAAGAAGAGGCACAGCAGCCAACAAGCCCATGAAAAGATGCTCCACATCACGAATTGTTAGGTAAATGCAAATTAACACTACAATGAGATACTACCTCACGCTCATTATGAGGCTACTGGCAAATTAAAAAAAAAAAAAAGTTTAACAAGTGTTGACATGGATGTGGGGAAACTGGATCCTTCGTGCAATGTTGGTGGAAATGGAGGATGGTATAGCTACTATAGCAAACAGTATGGAGGTTCTTCAAAAAATTAAACACAGAATTACCATATGATCCAGCAATTCCACTTCTGGGTATATATTCAAAAGAACTGAAAGCAGAAAATGAAAGATACTTGTATACCCACGTTCATAGCAGTATTACTTGCAACAGATAAACATGGAAGCAACCCACATGTCCATCAGTGGATGAATAGATAAGCAAAATGTGGTGTACACTATACACAATATGGAATATTATTCAGTCTGAAAAAGGAAATGCTGACACATGCTACAATAGGGCTGAAACTTGAGGATGTTACGCTGAGATAAGACAGTCACAAAAGGACACATACTGTCTGATTTGACTTATATGAGGTACTCAGAAAAGTCAAATCATACAGACAGAAAATAGAAAGCCAGTTACCAGGTCTGGGGGTGCTGGAGAATGAAAAGTTAGCGTTTAATGGGGACATAGTTTCAGTGTGGGAAGATGTAAAAGTTCTAGAGATGTATGGTGGTAATGGTTGCACAATAATGTGAATGTACTTAACACCACTGAACTGTACATTTAAAAATGGTTAGGATGGCAATTTTATGTTATGTGTATTTTGCTGCAATTAAAGATAAACAGGGTGCAAGAGAGGAGAGGAAGTAGCAGCTTGTCTTGTTCATGCTGTCTGAGGTGCATGTCGGAGGGATGGGGTGGGGGCGGGAAGTGTTAAAAACAAAGAATAGAACATTATACAACACAAGCGGAAAATACAGGGCACAAACGCACTTGTATAAAACACAGAGTTTCCATAAACTTAAAACATGTCTGAATGATGGAGCTAACAGCCCTTAACTCCCCACACCCAGGCTGCACCACAGCATATGTCACCCCCTTGCTTGCAAATGTGCCCAAAAGGCAATGACATTCCAAGTTTCCTCTGACAAGCCCAAGGACAGGGCATGAGTTTTCCAAGTTCCTTTCCATTCAAGAAAAGGAAGAGAAGAGAATAGAGAAGAATCAACAAAACAACTCCAAATAGAAGTAAACGAGAGCCAAGAACAGAACTATTTCTCATAATTAAACCCCAATTTCTATAAATTACAATCCTCATTCTAGTGATGACCTATAATAAGATTTGCATTTTCCTCTGATGGTATTTTCCTTAAGAGATGGATAACAAGGTCTTAATCTTCATCTCCCAGACCACTCTAGGGTTCGAAGCACAGGCTTTACAGAAATGTGCTGTTATGGGCCATCATCTTCAAATCATTTCCACACAAGTCTAGGAAAATAAGACAGGCTAGGATAAGCCTCCGGTTTTTAAAATTGCTAATCAAGGGCATCAGTTCTTAACTATATTGCTGTAAGATATGTCACAAAACTTTTGTTACCAGTAAGAAAAATGACCAACATTTGTGAATGATTTAACTTTTAATAATTATTAAAGTACTACACTACACATAATAAAAAATAATACATACTCATAAACTCAACTTCCCTGAGTTGCCAGTAGGAAGCAACCCTGCCGAGCCCTTGATTTTGGATTTCTGGCCTCCAGAATTGTGAGGACATACATTTCTGTGGTTTTAAGCCACTGAGTTTGTGGTTATGGAATCCCAGAAAATGAATAAAATTATCTATCTTTTCAAGTTACTTCAGTTTGATATTGATTATGAAAGGTACATATATGCTGTCAAACAGAAGAGACTTTAGGGAGAAAAAATCTCGCATAAATGCAACAAGTTGCCATGACTCTAAGTGCCAAGGTCATATAACATGCAAACTGTGATAATTTCACCAAAACCAAAACAAAGTGGAACAAATCCTCAGACACAGTTGTTGATAATTCCCACCCTGGCCTCCTCTGACATTTCCTTTGGATCAATTTGGCTGCACCTCTTCTGTCAAGCAGGAGCTGGACGACATTTTGGTCAGCTCCTCCCCAGAAGGGAGCTACAATCTCTGCTCTAACAATCCCCAATTGTTGTCTTAAGTTAGACTGTGTTCATCAATGGCTACCTACTAAACTTAGCTTTTTATCTGTACATTTTCCAATCAGGTCGTATTATTTTCTCCTGGTAGGCAAGTGTTTACATTTATCCATTTTCCTGATATAAAGCTACTTCGTATCAGTGTGTTATTAGTCTCTAATTATAAGAAGATAATCCAGAAGAGAAAAGTCCAGTCAATTTTATATAAGTTAAAAAAAAAGATGTGAAACCTATTTTTAGAATTAACATTTCCTTCCTAAATATCTGACACGACACACTTACGGACTCTTAACACATCCTTCTTACATGAAGGGAGCAGCAGAGCAGAGGGCGACAAGAGCACCAAGGCCAGGTGGAGCCACAGCCAATGTGGGCCCATCTCACTCCGCAGGGAGAAGCAACTGCACTGTGCACAGTGTGCAATCTGGCAGAAGGGAAAGGCCGTCTTAAAGAGCTTCAGATGCAGCAACCTTGAAGAAGGGCTGTGCCAGAAAGTCCACCAGATGAGGCCGCAAACCTATCAAAGGGCATCAGACACTCTGTGCACAGGGTACACAAAACAATGCCTCCCACATTCTGTGACTTCCTGCGTGTGCCACTTGGACCACCACACTCCCTACCTGCACCATCTTACCTGGACAGACTAAATCTCAGCCACCTCATGACTAGGATATTAACATGGCTTCCAGTTCTATAAATTCCTCCCCCTTAAGAATGCATGTCTGTAAAATCAGAAATGATGAAAACTGGACTTGTGAGTGGCTTTGTAGTAGGGATTACAGGTCCAGAATAGAATAGGTTCAGTAACATATTTAAGATATTTAAGGGAAAAAATATAAGCCAAAGATTTAACATCTAAATAGTGACTATCCAGGGTAAAAGTCACACATATTTTTTATGAGTACACACAAACACAGGAAGTACGGTGACCAGGAGCTGAGGGATGACCCACTAAAGAATAAGCTCCGGAAACCAAAATGACTAGAGGCAGACGCAAAGGTGAGCTGCCGGGTGGTCTGTATTTATCTGTGGAGCTGCTGGCACATGACGGTGATAAAAGTGCAGCATGCCATGGTTACCAGCTTGGACAATGCAGACAAAGAACAACCACCAGAGAAGTGGTAGGGGCGGGCAGAAGATGTGCAGGGGCCAACTGGGACTGGGGTGTCCATCAGATACCTGCAGTATCAGGTACTATGGGGAGCCAACCAAAGAAACTAAGTGTTTGCTATAAAGGCATTAGGATAAAAGTGGAAAAAAAAAGGGAGGAAGAAAGCCCTCTTAAATACCAGAAGGGTAAAAGCAAATAAAATAGAACAAGGTGGTTCCCTGTTATCTGTGATGTAAAAAATGGACTTGGCTCACCTATTAAATGGAAAACAGTCTTGGATTGGCTCACAAAGCAAAATCAAACACCATACTACATATAAGATATACAGCTATAAAAGGCTGGGAAAATATATAGAGAATTTATAGGACTCAGAAAAAAAGTAACTGTCACAGGAAACTTTATAGCATTAAATACCTATATCAATACAAATTTAAATAATAAAAATAAATTATTTAAACATATAACTGAAAAAGCCAGAAAAAGAATAAGTGAACCAAAAGAAAGGGGTGAATTATTACAAATGAAAGCAGATATTATTAAGTAGAAAAAGAATAGAACTAAGAAGTAAATCCAAAAGCTGGCTCTCAAGAGAAAATAATCAACCAAAACAAACCACTAGGTATCTGATTAGAAAAAAAAAAATAAGAAAGTTACAAGTGCTAACAGAAGAAAATTTAAACATTGTAAAAGATAAGGAAAAGAAAGGGATAGAGAGAAAAACGTGTAGATTAAAAGAGACTTTAAAAACAGTCTCCACCACAACTCATATGTACAGGTATTAGTAAAAAGTTACAGACAAGTCCCAGACTGTCCAAGTGAGACCTCATGTAGGTCTGCCCTAGTCTCAACTCTGCAGGACACTGATGTCTACAGCAGGACCCCGTTCCATCCTCAGCTCACCCTTCGAAGTTGTTGTGCCTCTGTTAGCTCCCTGGCTGTGCTTTTGCTTCTTCTATGAGGCTGCCTGCTCCAGGAACACATCCTATTGCCTTCTGGCTCAACCAGGATGTGGCTCAAACCCTTCCTGGCTCAAGCCCCCTTCCCTGCTCCCAAGAAATCTCCCAACCCCTCCTCTTTCTCACCTTGGCCTTGGGAATGAGAACACAGAAACTACAAAACCCGGACTTGGCCTTTTCAAGAGGATGATGGTAATAAATGGTGACTACAATGAGTACTTTTAGCCTCAAGGACCTTCTAAAGCAGCCCAAAGCATGGAGATTGGGTTCATTATTACACAGCTGCCAGAATGATCTTCCTGGCACAGATCAGTTATGCCTTAAAGGAATATTATCGCCTTCAGAAAAAAAAATGTCCAGAGCACTTTGCCTGGTGATCAACATCCTGCATGGTCTCACCCAAACTATCATCCACATCATGTGCCTCCTGGTTCCCCTTCGCACCATTGCTGACCAAACTGAGCTACCCTGTTGATGTTTTCCTAAACAGATCCCAGGGAGCCCCTTCTCAGATCTTTGATCATACATTCCCTTCCCCTGGCGTAGTCAGACAGCATTTTGTATATGAAGCTCATCCCTTTAAGGCACTTACTGTGCACCAAAAGACAGCAGAGGTGAGAGCCACAAATAGCCTCCAGAATCCTGTTTCCCAGCGGTCAGTCACACCTGGGAGCACGCTCTCAGGCACCCTTTAAGAGGACACTCCCAGATATCCCCCAGCTACTACCAAGAAGTCTGTGCCTGTTTCCCCTCTTGGAAAGTTTCCATTTTTGTAGACTTTTTGGGTCTTGGCTTGGGCTCCGCCTTTGTTATTTTTCTCTTCTACTGTGCCCATCTGAGCTTCAGGATCAGGTCCTCCCAGCCCCCCAGCACTAAGAGTTATGACAAGAATTCCTTTCCCTCAATTTCACAGGTCTGCATCCTCCCCATCCTTCCAGGCCCTGCTCAAATCCCACGTCCCCTATAATTTTTTTCAAATTCTTCAGGCTACAAGAACCTCCCTCTCATCTGGACCCCTGGCACACTTGATTTATTTTTCTCTTGACACTTGAACTTTCTTTTCAAGCTTTCTATGCATTTGGCCTAACCCCTTTCTAGATATGAAAATTCAAGTTTGGTAAATCTAAGTTTTACTTTTAGTTTATCTTTGTTTCCCTCCCACACTAGAAACACAGTACATGGGCCGCCATATATATTTTTTTCACAATGTATTTTAAATATTTTGCTGAATGGGTGAATAGGTGAATGATCCTCTTGCATGGGAGCCAATGTTGCAGTCTTTACATAGATTTTCCGGTCAGAGCAGAGTATCTCAGCCTTTCAGGAAATAAGCCCATAAAC
Source organism: Homo sapiens (assembly GCF_000001405.40). Classification (NCBI taxonomy): domain Eukaryota; kingdom Metazoa; phylum Chordata; class Mammalia; order Primates; family Hominidae; genus Homo; species Homo sapiens. The sequence continues at coordinate 224,042,656 of NC_000001.11, forward strand.
AGTCATCCAGTTACTTCCACCCAATTTAATCACCAAAACCTCTAGGCTGCCTCTGTTAGGTGAGCCCACTAGAATGGTGTGTTACAAACTCATAATTACAAAAGACAGAATGACAATCTAAAACCTCTCTTTTTTGACAGATATCAGTTGTCAGTATAAGTAAACACTTAAATACCAGAGGAAATGGAATGTTCACATAAGTAAGATCTTGTCCACACTTCAGTGTAGAGCCCTATGTAATACACATGCTTGGTCTGACAAATGATGAAGTGGCCACGGGTCCTTTTCAGTGGCCAGCATCCAGATCAGCAAAAACACACTACACTGATCTCCAAAAGAAAGGTTGTTACGGAGGTTAGGGAGGACTGCCAGAGGGGAGGTGGGGTTTGGAGCTACATTTCCTTGCAAATGCCCACTTTGAGGAATTGTAGACCCAAACACCACCTTCCGTCCTGCACTGCTCCCTAATCTCCAGCACAGCTACTCCCCTCCGGCACTCCTCCCTCCCCTCCAACACTCCCCCCTCCCTTCCAGCACTCCCCCTCCCTCCAGAACACCCCCCTCCCCCGCAGCGCTCTCCCTTCCTCTCCAAAACTCCCCCCTTCCCTCCAACACTCCCCCCTCCCCTCCCTCCCCTCCAGCACACCCCCTCCCCTCCAACACTACCCCCTCCCCTCCAACACTACCTCTACCCTCCAACACTCCCCCCTTCCGTCCAACACTCCCCTCTCCCGTCCAACACTCCCCCCTCCCCTCCAACACTCCCCCCTCCCCTCCAGCACACCCTCCTTCCCTCCAGCACACCCTCCTTCCCTCCAACACTCCCCCTCCCTCCAACACTCCCCCCTCCCCTCTAGCACACCCCCTCCCCTCCAACACTACCCCTCCCCTCCAACACTCCCCCCTCCCCTCCAGCACACCCCTCTCCCCTCCAACATTCCCACCTCCCCTCCAACATCCTCCTCCCCATAAGCACTCCCTCCTCCCTTCCAGCAAACCCCCTCCTCTCTAACACTCCCCCCTCCCCTTCAGCACACCCTCCTCCCCATAAGCACTCTCACCTTTTCACCAGCACTCCCCCTCCCCTCCAGAACACCCCCCTTCCTTCCAGCACTCCCCTCTCCCCATCAGTACTCCCCCCTCCCCACCAGCACCTCCCTGTCCCCAACGGCACCCCTCTCCCCACCAGCATCCCCTCCCCCACCAGCACTTCCCCCTCCTCACCAGCATCCCCTCCCCCACCAGCACTCCCTCCCCCCCAAAGCACACCTCTCCCTCACCAGCACTTCCCCCTCCCCACCAGCACCCCCTCCCCACCAGCGGTTCCCTCCTCCCCCTCCCCCACTAGCACTCCTCCCTCCCCCATTTGATGAAGCTCCACTCCTCCATTAGAATGAAGCTACATAGGCTTCATCAAATCCATAAAATGAAAAGGCAAAAACCATGTGTTTTCCAGGGGTGGGATGAGGAAGAGGTTCAATACTAAATCCAGGCTTCATTTTCTCAATAGCTGGCCAGGAATGAGTCGAGGAGACCAATGCTATTAAATGGAGTGTCCTTTGGTGACCATAACCCAATTTCACCACACATGAAAAAGTGAGCAAGATTCCAAGGTTCTAAACCGGAGAACAATGCCAAAATGGTTTTCACTTAGAATATTTTTTAAAAAGGGTTCCAGTAAAATGTATGGTTTTGAGCAACCTAATTTTCAGAGTATCTATCATTATGAATTAGGAGAAAAATTCACATTTATGGACACAACCACTTTGGAAAACCTTTGGCAATTTCTTCCAAATCTGAACACATGCGTACCCAATAACTGAGCATTTGCACTCCTAGGCATATACCCAATAGAAATGCAAACATATATTCACAAAAGACATGCACAAGAATATTCATAGCAGCACTATTTATAATCAAACACTGGAAAGAACCCAAATTCTCAGCAACAGTAGAATGGGAGAGAAACATTGGGAAATGCAGGCATGAGCATAACCAACTACTGCCGCACGCCACAACATAATGTTGCATGAAAGCCTCAAGACACAGAATGTACACGCTGCATGATTCATTTATAATTAAGTTCAAAACAGGCAAAGCTCATCCATGGTGATATAAATTGCAAGAGGAGTCATTGTGGGGACAGAAAGGAGCAAGGAAGGAGCAAGAGGGAAGCCTCCAGGGAGTGGTAATGTGTTCTCTGATCAAGGTACCATACGGAGGTACACTTAAGATTTCTACAGTTTCTGTAGATGTGTTACACTTCAATAAAAATTTACAACACACCCATCCTGGCTAACACAGTGAAACCCCGTCTCTACTAAAAATACAAAAAATTAGCTGGGCGTGGTGGCGGGTGCCTGTAGTCCCCGCTACTCGGGAGGCTGAGGCAGGAGAATGGCGTGAACCCAGGAGGTGGAGCTTGCAGTGAACCGAGGTCCCGCCACTGCACTCTAGCCTGGGTGACAGAGTGAGACTCCGTCTCAAAAAAAAAAAAAAAAATTTACAACATACACACACACACACACACACACACACACACACACACACACCCCTAAGTAACAACCAAGCTGCTAAATGGCTGTCATAACAACTACCTTTTCAAAATATCCACAAAAATAATAATTTAAAATATGAAGTCTCCATCCTTCTTTCTGACAATAATCATATCACAAAATAAAATGTTTATGAGACCACTTCTGGCTCAAGACAATAAAACCACACCATTGGCTGGGGTCAGTGGCTCATGCCTGCAATCCCAGCACTTTGGGAGGCCGAGGTGGGAGGATCGCTTGAGGCTGGGAGTTCAAGAACAGCCTGGGCAACAGAGCGCGACCCCCGTCTCTACAAAATATTTTTAAATTAGCCACACCACTAGCATCTTTGATAAGGGGAATGGGAGTGAGTATTTGAAGCATCTGAATCCAGTTTCTGGTCATTAAATCTCTTACGTTGGTATGAAAATCACCTGCCAGAGGACCTGTTTCCCCAAGCTCTAAAACTAGTCTGTGTTCAAACATGGGAATCAGAGCACGTGGAACAGCCCGGATGAGCATCAAGTGACACAGCTGTTGAGTCCCAAGGCCTTAAGGAAGGCATGGGCCTCCGATCCATTCCTGGGACAGAGCCCATCCCTGTGCGCCTGCTCCCAGCAGTGGGAATTTGCCTGATCCTGCGTCCCCAGATCCCTGCTCTGTTAATGCCACCGCTATCCTGGTTCTCCCAAGACTAGAGCTCTGCCCTGTTTGTACATTTTCTGTAGTTTTTGGTGGTTTTTTAAAAATTCTCCTTTCCTCTATTACTCGTCTATTTAATTTTGTATTCCTTGCTTCAGCTGAATGTAAAAATAAAAATGCTAAGGTACTTAAAGAAACATGGGGAAAGTGCTACATAATCTTCGGAGGGGAAGCTGTTCTAAGTATACACAAAATCCAAATGCCATTTCTTAAAAACTGATAAAATAAATTACATTTTAAATTGATTTCATAACTACACAAAGGAAATTTATTTCAATAAATTACTAACATAATGCACCATTAGCGAGACATATTGTAAGGACAGAAAGAACTGAGGAAGAGATTCAATACTAAATCCAGGCTTAATTTTCTCAATGCTGGCCAGGAATGGGTCGAGGAGACCAATGCTATTAAATGGAGACCCCTTTGGTGGCCATAACCAGAAAGAAATATTGAGCTTTACTTAGCAGTTTTATTGTCAGTAGTGGCATTGGTGATGCAGCGCTGCAACTATTTGTTTATTTGTTATGTATTATAAGATAGAACAATGAGCAAAGTCATTGAGATCCCACAGAAAATCCCACAAGATTCTCTGCGGGAGAAGGGAGATAGGATAGTGAATAGGAGGAGTTGGGGAAGAAGCTTGTGATGTCATATTCGGATAGGAATATAAACTCATGATATGTATTTACGTGTACATATGCATTTAATACAAGTGGTCCCTGACTTAACTTTTTTATTTTATGATGTTGGAAAAGTGATAAACATTCAGTAGAAACTGTACTTTCAGCACCCATACAACCATACTGTTTTTCACTTTCTGTACAGTATTCAATAGATTACATGAGATATTCAACACTGTATTATGAACACTTTATTATAAAATGTATTAGATTATTTTGCCCAACTGTAGGCTAATATAAGTGCTCTGATCACATTCAAAGGTAGGCTAAGATAAGCTGTGATGTTTGGTAGATGAAGTGTATTAAATGCATTTCTGACTTAACAATATTTTCAATTTACCATGGATCTATCAAGATGTAATCCCATCATAAGTCAAGGAACATCTGTATGTGCTTTAACTGTACATATTTAATTTTACATATTTTTTAATTCTGTAGGAAAACATAATGAACAAAATGAGACATAGGTGGAAATTCCAGAAAACATTTGTAACACATATGACAAAAGGCTAATTTCCTTAATATATAAAGGGCCACTTATAAATCAATTTTTAAAACTCAGCAAAACACAAAGAACATGAACAGATATTTCTCAAGAGAGAAAAAATAGATGGCTTCTTGGCAGGGCGCAGTGGCTCATGCCTGTAATCCCAGCACTTTGGGAGGCTGAGGCAGATGGATCCCTTGAGGCCAGGCATTAGAGACCAGCCTGGCCAACATGGCGAAACCCCGTCTTTACTAAAAATACAAAAATTAACCGGGCCTGGTGACACACACCTGTAATCCCAGCTACTTGGAGGCTGAGGCACAAGAATTGCTTAAACCCAGGAGGCGGAGGTTGCTGTGAGCCAAGATCACCCCACTGCACTCCAGCCTAGGTAACAGAGTAAGACTCTGTCTCAAAAAAAAAAAAAAAAAAAAAAAGTTGGCTTCTTATATCAAAAAATGCTTAACCTTGAAACAACAAGATACTCTACACATCTATTTGATTGGCCAAAATGCAGAGCACTGACATCAAATGCTGGTGAGAATACGGAGCAACAGGAACTCTTGTTCATTACTGATGGAAATGCAAAATGGTACAGCTACTGTGGAAAACAATTTGGTGGTTTCTTTTGTTTGTTTTCTTTTTTTCTAAAAGGCCATTACAGCGTTAGACAGTTTGGTGATTTCTTACAAAACTAAACATGCTTTTACCACATGATCCAGCAATTACATTCCTTGGTATTTACCCAAAGGAATTGAAAACTTATGTCCACACAAAAACCTATACACCAATGTTTATAGCAGCTTTATTCATAATTGCCAAAACTTGAAGCAACCAAGATTTTACTGAGTAAAAGAAGCCAATGTGAAAAGGCCACGTACTGTATGATTCCAACTATATAACACTCTAGAAGGGCAAAACTATGAAGATAGTAAAAAGATCAGCAGTTGCCGGGAGTTAGGAGGACAGAGGGATGAATAGGTGGATCACAGAGGATTTTTTGTGTAGTGAAGCTACTACATATGATGCTATAATAGTGAATACATGTCATTATACATTTGTCCAAACCCACAGAATGTACAACATGGAGAGTAAACTCTAAGATAAACTATGGACTCTGGGTGGTAATGATGAGTGAATGTAGGTTCATCGATTGTAATAAGTGTACCCCATCTGGTGGGGAATGTTGACAATGGGGAAGGCTATGCATGTGTGGGGCAGAGGACGTACTGGAAATCTCTGTACCTCCTGCTCAATTTTGCTGTGAACTTAAAACTGCTCTAAAAAATAAAGGCAATTTTTAAAATATTGCTGACTTTAAATGTTTAAAATGCAAATGAAAAAAACTCAAAGGGGGAGAAAATGGTAATAGCTACCAAATTTCAAATTCAGATACTTTTGACGCATAATTTCTCTTCTAAACATTTATCCTAACTGGGCGCGGTGGCTCACGCCTGTAATCCCAGCACTTTGGGAGGCTGAGGTAGGCGGATCACTTGAGGTCAGGAGTTTGAGACCAGCCTGGCCAACATGGTGAAACCCCGTCTCTACTAAAAATACAAAAATTATCCGGGTGTGCTGGCATGTGCCTGTAATCCCAGCTACTTGGGAGGCTGAGGCAGGAGAATTGCTTGAACACGGGAGGCGGAGTTTGCAGTGAGCCAAGATCGCACCATTGCACTCCAGCCTGGGTGAAGAAGCAAGACTCCATCAAAAAAAAAAAAAAAATTATCCTACAGACACACATGGATGGATGCAAAAATGTGTACACCAGGATATTGATTACACTACTATTTGTAGCAACAGAAATTTACGGATACCGGCTCATGCCTGTAATCCCAGCACTTTGGGAGGCTGAGGCGGGCAGATCACGAGGTCGGGAGATCCAGACCATCCTGGCTAACACGATGAAATCCCGTCTCTACTAAAAATACAAAAAAAAATTAGCCGGGCGTGGTGGCGGGCGCCTGTAGTCCCGGCTACTCGGGAGGCTGAGGCAGGAGAATGGCGTGAACCCGGGAGGCGGAGCTTGCGGTGAGCAGAGATCGTGCCACTGCACTCCAGCATGGGCAACAGAGCGAGACTCTGTCTCAAATAAAAAAAAAAGAAAAGAAAAGAAAAAAGAAACTGTTTACTGAATTACAACATATCCATCCATACAATGAAATACTACCCAGCTGTTAAAACAATGAGATAATTCATACATCTTGACATGGAAACATGTCCAAGATACATTGTTAAATTTTTTAAAAGGCAATGCACTAACATGATGTATTTGTAGCTACTCTCGGTGTTTAAAAACAAAAGGATATATATATATATAGTTTATATCCATTAAATATATCTACAAGAACATGAAAACAAAAACCAAAACAGTGGTTGCTTCTAGGGAAGGAAGCTGGAAGACTTGGTGGGGGTGTGGTGGTTGATGTTGAAACAACTTTTCACTTATGCTCTCTTAAACTTTTTGGATTTTTATTAAGCTATTTAAACATAAGTAATTATTCAAGTAAACAGTTTCTTCACTAGAAAAATGTAACTTAAAGGTTTTAATGAAAATTAAAAATTAGAAAAATAGGCGTGAAAAACATAACTTACCAACATAGTATTAAAAAATGGATAACATTAGTGCTCAGATTTCCCCTGATGAGTGGTCAGAGTTGTTAAGTGGTTTCAGACAAGTAAATACAGACAGGTTAATTGCTGGGGAGGGCCGAGCCTTGTTACTAATGAAAGAAACACAGATTTAGGCAACATCAAGAAGCATTATACTATCAATAATGAAAACCAATAAAACTGGAGCTTTCCAAATGGTTCCACTCATTTGAATGATGTGTGCATACCTTTTCCCAAATAATGCTGATACACATCTGCTCAAATACATGAAAGTTCCCATCCTGCCAACTCTTATGGAAGGAGCAAGTTTGCATGTCAGCTGCACAGAAAAGAGGGCAAGTGGTAAGAAGAGGAGATGGGGAGGGAGGCATTTGACAACTTTTCAAGACACCGGCACCAACAACTTACTTGTTTATTGGGGGTTAGCGGCTTTAGGAAAAAATGGTAATTAAATAGAATGTTTTATTTCTGTAAGGCAACTTGGGAATACATAAGAATTATAAAATCATTCTTTGATCCTCTAGTTCTACTTTGGGTCCAAAGTTCCCACATTCATATCAATGCTACTTACGTTAATGAACAAAATTAGAAGTATAATAAAACATGATTGTACTTTTTGTTTTTTGAGACAGAGTCTTCCTCTGTCACTCAGGCTGGAGTGCAATGGCAAGGTCTCAGCTCACTGCAACCTCCACCTCCTGGGTTCAAGCGATTCTCCTGTCTCAGCCTCCTGAGTAGCTGGGATTACAGGCACACACCACTTTTTCCAGCTATTTTTTGTATTTTTAGTAGAGACGGGGTTTCACCATGTTGGCCAGGCTTGTCTTGAACTCCTGACCTCATGATGCACCCACCTTGGCCTCCAAAAGTACTGGGATTACAGGCGTGAGTCACCGCATCCAGCCATGATTTTACTTTCTAAAATGTAAGTATGTAGATAGACTAATTCTAGCATATTAGGTAATATTGAATTAAAAGCAGTATACCAAATAACGGATGAACACTTGTTACAATTATATAAGTCTATGTAGAGACATGATCAAAAGTAGAAAATTAATTTGGAGGAGTGGAAATAGTTTATAATGTATTCATTAGGTTGTGTGAATGGTTGTTTAAATTCACAGAAGAGACCCTATCCATCTGGCAGGCAGTCCAACAGAACAAGGAGGACCAGATGGGCACAGTAATACGTCAGTACTGGCAGAAGAAAGAATATCCAGGACAGGATTAATTACTAATGCCCCCACCCACCTTGGGACCCGGGACAGGCCAGTTGGCCGGCTCGACTTGTCCTGCAGGCACCCAAGGGAATTAAAGGCCACCTGGTGGCTATATCAGAAAATTACAGCTCAGTTGATTCCTGGAGGGCAGCTGCAGCAAGAAAAACTAAATAGGACCTAGACTGACCACAATGTATTGGTTAGCTTCACATACACACAGAAGTATCTTAACAGATTATAACTATTTCCTGCAAATCCTGTTACTTCCTCTTCATTTTTGCCAGGGTCCTCAGTCATGCCTTCTCTCACATTCAATCAGCATAAAACAGGTTGAACATCCCTAATCCAAAAATCCAAAATTCAAAATTCTCCTAAATCTGAAACTTTTTGAGAGCTGACCTGATACCACAAGTGGAAAATTCCACACCTGCCTTCAAGTGACAGATCACAGTCAAAACAGCCAAAACTTTGTTTCATGCACAGAATTATTTAAAATATTGCATAAAACAGACCAGGCATAGTAGCTCAAGCCTATAATTCCAGCACTTTGGGAGGCCGAGGCAAGTGGGTCACTTGAGCTCAGGAGTTCGAGATCAGCCTGGGCAACATGGCAAAACCCCATCTCTACCAAAAATACAAAAAAATTAGCCAGGCTGGCCGGGCACAGTGGCCCACGCTTGTAATCCCAGCACTTTAGGGGGCCGAGGCGGGTGGATCACTTGAGGTCAGGAGTTTGAGACCAGCCTGGCCAACATGGTGAAACCCCGTCTCTACTAAAAATACAAAAATTAGCCCGGCGTGATGGCGGGTGCCTGTAATCCCAGCTACTGGGGAGGCTAAGGCAGGAGAATCGCTTGAACCCGGGAAGAGGTTACAGTGAGCCGAGATTGCGCCATTGCACTCCAGCCTGGGCGACGAGCAAAACTCTGTCTCAAAAAATAAAAATAAAAAATAAAAAAATTAGCTGGGCGTGGTGGTGTGCGCCTGTAGCTACTCAGGAGGCTGAGGTGGGAGGATCCCTTGAGCTTGGGAGGTGGAGGTTGAAGGGAAGTGGAGGTTGCAGGGAGGTAGAGGTTGCAGGGAGGTAGAGGTTGCAAGGTGCCAAGATTGCACAACTGCACTCCAGCCTGGGCAACAGAGCAAGACCCTGTCTCAATAAGTAAATAAATAATAAAATACTGTATAAAATTACCTTCAGGCTATGTATATAAGATGTATATGAAACAAATTAATTTCATGCTTAGACTTGGGTCCCAGCTCCAAGATATCTCATTATGCAAATATTCCAAAATCTGAAAAAGTCCAAAATCTGAAACACTTCTGGTCCTAAGCATTTCTGATAAAGGATACTCAAGCTATATCTCTATCTTCTTTCCTCTGAAAATGCCACATGCAGAATTCATTACTATTGCATGTGAATGAGCAAGATTTAGCATTTAAATAGTCAAAACCATCCCTTTGCTTCAGCACATCCTCTAATTCTTCTCCAGAAACATGGCAATATACATATTTTGTTATTAAACAATAACAATGATAACTGTTTGATTCACAAAGACAAATATGTGTTTTGTTTCACTATCTTTTTTTAGTGACTCATTCATTATTGAACACTATTCCCATCATTCAGTCAACTCTTGAATATCCTTTGAGATAGTTTGAGTAATTAAAATAGCAGCATTTAATTTCAGGTCTATTTTTGATAGAATTATTATTAGTACCCTCAGCGAGGTCTCTCTGCCTGAAAGACAGCTCCCCCCTCCCTCCCACCAAGTGACAAGTCCTGATATGACATTAAAAACGCATGAATCCCAGCTGCTCGGGAGGCTGAGATGGAAGAATCACTTAAGCCCAGGAGGTCGAGGCTGCAGTCAGCTATGATCACGCCACCGCACTCCAGCCTGGGCAACAGAGGTATACCCTGTCTCTAAAATAATAATAATAATAATAATAATAATAAGTAAAAAGCATTTTAAAAGATAAGGAAAGTCTCTTTCAAAAGGAACTTCTGGACACTGACACCTGACTCCCTGGGCTTTTGTTTGATTCCCTTTTCCGCTGAGGTCTACTTCCTGATTACTCAGCTGACCATTCCTCATCTATTTGTCATGAAAGTGAGTGGATCACAGCAGAAGCTCAAAAAACATGAGTCCCTCCTCTTCCCATCCATTTGGACCAGCATGCCTGTGTAAAGGCCAGAAGTGTGAAACAGGATGGCAAGCACCAGTTGTACATTAGAATGCAGGATGTGAATGAAAGAAGGCATTAAGGGGGGGATCAGGCCCCTCCTCCCCATCTTTGGGTCCACCTGTGGCTTTGGTAAGTCCCAGGACCAGAGTATGCCCTTCATGACCCCATCCACCTTAACACCTGCTACTCAAAGATGGGGTTTCACCAGCCCTTCAGTCCATCTTCTCCAGCCTGGGCTTAGTCAGGAGATGTTTCAAAGCCTTCTTCCTTAAATTCATCTTGCCACAGTACTATCATTATTTACTTTTCCCAAACAAATTGAAAATGAGAAGGTGTGTCCAAAAGGAAACTTGGAAACAGAGACACCAAAAAAATTCAGGTAATGCATGGCACTCGCCTAAGAAGTCCTTCCACTTAACTGGATTCCAACACATTGGTTATTCTTTGTTTCCCTGGTTCTTATACTGCTTGTCAACGATCAAAACGTCAGAAAATAATTAACATCATCAACAGCAGGACAAACTGACAGTTATGAGTTTCCTGATGTACAGCCCCAGGAAGGATGAACCACCACTTCCGGCTATTGTCACCATGTTCTCATGTATAGCCTGAATCTCATCATGAGAAAACATGAAACAAACCCAAACGGAGAGACAGTCTCTAAAACTACAGGCCTACACACCTAACAGCAAGGTCATGAAAAATAAACCAAAGCTGAGGAGTTGTTCCAGATTAAAGGAGACTAAAGAGTCATCTCAAGGAGATTATTAAGACAAGTGGTAAAATTTGAACAGGGACTGTATATTAGATAACAATATTATATCTAGGTTAAATTTCCTGAATTTTCTAATTGAGCCACGGTGATAGGGTTTGGCTCTGTGTCCCCACCCAAATCTCATGTCGAATTGTAATCCCTGCATGTCGGAGGAGGGGCCTGGTGGGAGGTGATTGGATCATGGGGACAGACTTCCCCCTTGCTGTTCTCGTGATAGAGTAATCACAAGATCTGGTTGTTTGAAAGTGCATAGCACTTTCCCCTTCACTCTCTCTCTCTCCTGCCTCACCATGGTAAAACACACTTGCTTCCCCTTCACCTTCCTCCCTGATTGTAAGTTTCTGAAGCCTCCCAGTCATGTTTCCTGTACAGCCTGCAGAACTGTGAGTCAATGAAACCTCTTTTCTTCATAAATTACCCAGTCTTAGGTAATTCTTCATAGCAGCCTGAGAACAGACTAATACATGTAGTTATGCAGGAGAACGTTCTTAGGAGATTTCTGCTAAAGTATTTTGACATAGAAGGGCACCAATCATTTAGGAAAAAAGTAATGTGAATACGTAGAGAGTAATAACATAGGGAGTGATAGGCAAATGTGGCAAAATGTTAAGAATTGGGGTAAAGCAATGTGGAAATTTTTTTCATAACACTGCTGTAAGTTTGGGATTATTTCTAGAAAGAGAAAAGAGAAAACACAAAAATGGAACATTCAAAAATCAGATCCTTCACCTCTATTTTCTGATAGATTATTCATGTAAGAAAAGGTGAGAGTTTACCTGCAACTCTCCTATCAGTAGCATTTTTAAGTTGAGTAGTAATAGTGATCATTGGGAAAGGGATTCGGTTATTTGGTTACATGGACTGTATGAGTTCATTTTCACACTGCTATGAAGAAATACACGAGACTGGGTAGTTTACAAAGGAAAGAAATTTAGTTGACTCACAGATCCACATGGCTGAGGAGGCCTTGGGAAACTTACAATCATGGTGAATGGGGAAACAAACAAGTCCTTCTTCACATGGTAGCAGGAGAGAGAAGAAGTGCCAGCAGGGGGAATGCCAGACGTTTATAAAACCATCAGATCTCATGGTACTCACTCATTATCATGAGAATGGCATGGGGTGGAACCACCCCCATGATCTAATTACCTTCCAAGAGGTCACTCCCCCAACATGTGGGGATTACAATTTGGATTACAATTCAAGATGAGATTTGGGTGGGGACACAGAGCCAGACCATACCGTGGGTCTACCAGCTTTTTTCCCTCATTAGAGAGAAGGCATTGATTTGCCTCATAGGTTCTCCTAATTAATCCTGAGGTCCTGTACCCATCTGGTCCAATGGAGAGTTTGCCCTTCTATGTTCACAAATAATAGTAGTGGATGAGCCAGGCGCGGTGGCTCACGCTTGTAATCCCAGCACTTTGGGAGGCCGAGGCCAGTGGATCACCTGAGGTCAGGAGTTTGAGACCAGCCTGGACAACATGGTGAAACCCCGCCTCTACTAAAAATACAAAATTAGCCCTGTGTGGTGGCGCATGCCTGTAATCCCAGCTACTTGGGAGGCTGAGGCATGAGAATCGCTTGAACCCGGGAGGCAGAGTTTGCAGTGAGCTGAGGTCACACCATTGCACTCCAGACTGGGCAACAAGAGCATAGTATATCCACTACAAAATAGTAGTGGATAAGTATTAAATGCTTATATATGAAACACTGTACCTTCTTAATTTTTATTTTATTTTTTAAAATTTATTTTTGAGACAGTGTCTTACTCTATCGCCCAGGCTGGAGTGCAGTGGCATGAATGGCTCACTGGAGCCTCATCCTCCTGGGCTAAGCAATCCTCCCACCTCTGCCTCCTGAGTAGCTGGGACCACTCAGCTATGCACCACAGGTATGCGCCACCATGCCTGGCGCTAGTTTATTTATTTTTTGTAGAGACAGGTTTCCCCATGTTGCCCAGGCTGGTCTTGAACTCTTGTGCTCAAGTGATCCTCCCACTTTGGCCTCCCAAAGTGCTGGGATTACAGGTCTGCACTACCACACCCAGCCATGCTAACCTTTTAATAGCATTAAGGCATTTAATTCTCACAAGAATACTCTAAGCTATGTACTATTATTTACCCATTTTTACAAATGAAGAAACTGAGGCACAGAGAGGGCAATACATTTCATGACCTCACAAAATGACTTGGTGGATGAGCCAGGAATTGAAATCAGGTGAATCTGGCACCAGCGTCGATGCTCTTAACCATGCTACTACACGACATCTAGGCAGAAAGAGCCCTTGCTGGGGCAGCATTTTGTTGGGAGGAACGTTGATCTGGCATTCCTTCTCTTGGCACTAGGATTGAATACTGCCCTGAGTCTGGATATCTACCTAATCGTCACATGCCAGAGATGGCTACAAAGCCTTTAAGAATAGAAGTAGGGGTCAGGCGCGGTGGCTTATGCCTGTAATTCTAGCACTTTGGGAGGCCAAGGCGGGTGGATCACCTGAAGTCAGGAGTTCAAGCCCAGCTTGGAAAACATGGCAAAACCCCGTCTCTACTAAAAATACAAAAATTAGCCAGGCGTGTTGGTGGGTGCCTATAATCCCAGCTACACAGGAGGCTGAGGCAGGAGAATGGCTTGAACCTGGGAGGCACAGTTTGCAGTGAGCCAAGATAGCACCACTGTACTCCAGCTTGGGCAACAGAGTGAAACTCCATCTCAAAAAAAAAAAAAAAAAAAAAAAGGATAGAATAGAATAGAATAGAAGTAGGGCCTCTTTCCCTGCTCCCCTGGCCCCTTCTTCCCCCTTCCACCATCTGTATATGAGTCTCAGGGATTGTAAAGACAACCAAGATGATGATGGAACCCATACCATGGAGTGAGAAAGACACAAATTCGGCCATGATGAATTGTGATGTTAATGTGCCTCCATCCCCCGTTTCCCTCGCTACCTTGTCTGGTTCTGTGGGCCTCCTCCCTATTCCTCCTTTTTCCGTGCAGCTCCTCTGCAGGAGGTTCAATGCTCATTTCACATCAAGGCTCTCCCTTTCACTTTGCTCCACACCAACTGAAATCCAATATGGGTTCTTTATTTCCCTCACACCCACCATACAAAATGCCCACAGCCGGTTACATCTTCTGCCGCCTGTGGTCTGAGTGTTTCTTTCTAGGAGAGTTCTCTGGTAGTGACCTCTGTACTCAGCTATTCTGTCCCCTGCTCTGCCTTCATTGGGGCAACAGAGGAACTATTTTATATTCTGCTTCTTTGGGCAGCAAAAGTAAATTACACAAGGTGTGGGTGGAGGGGGGTCCAAGTTGAAAACAGATTTCTATGTCAGGCAGAAACATGGATGCCTGTGACACTCTGAGTAACGACATTCAAAACCCATTCTGGATGCAGAAACCTGTAAACAAAATGTAGGGAGTGTGTAGGGATGGGAGGGAGGAAAGAGCAGATCCTTTTAACTTTCCAGAGAGGGAAAAATTTGTAATGATCCGAAAATAATAGAACTGTTGGAAACACGTGAAATCCGCCTTATGGCAGGCTCATCATTCCTTGAAAGACAGCTCTGTTTGTTCTGCAATGATGTAGAAACCACTAATCATGTGCCACCATCAACTTGGACCCCCCTCCACCCACACCTTGTGTAATTTACTTTTGCTGCCCAAAGAAGCAGAATATAAAATAGTTCCTCTGTTGCCCCAATGCAGGCAGAGCAGGGGACAGAATAGCTGAGTACAGAGGTCACTACCAGAGAACTGTCCTGGAAAGAAACACTCAGACCAGAGGCAGCAGAAGATGTAACCGGCTGTGGGCATTGTGTATGGTGGGTGTGAGGGAAATAAAGAACCCATATTGGATTTCAGTTGAACTTTGAGTTGGTGTGGAGCAAAGTGAAAGGGAGAGCCTTGATATGAAGTGAGCATTGGCCCTCCTGCAGAGGAGCTGCACGGGAAAAGGAGGAATAGGGAGGAGGCCCACAGAACCAGACAAGGTAGTGAGGGAAACGGGGGATGGAGGCACATTAACTTACTGCCGTCCCATCTGGTAATCTTCATTTCCATTCACTGAGTCACGCTATGGCCATGCTATATCACTTTGAGTGCTAGCACAGCAGCAAGATGGGTAGATCTGAACTTCATGTGGTAGCAGGGGTGTGGCAGGTGCTTGGGTAATGACTGGTAGTAGGTAGCAGGACAGCACCTGCACTGAAGAGAACATTCTCCAGGGGTTAAAGGTGGAGTGTGTCCAGGTTCTTAACGTCCTGAGCAAAGAATTGGACAAAACGCACAAAGCAAGGAAGGAATGAAGGGATTTATTGAAAATGAATGTACACTCCACAGTGTGGGAGTGGGCCTGAGCATAGGGTTCAAAAGGCCCTGTTACAGAATTTTTGGGAGTTTAAATACTCCCTACAAAATTCCATTGGTAACTTTGGGTACACCCTATGTAAATGGAGAGGATGAAGTAAAGTTACAGTCATTTACAGCATACGCTCTATGGAGAGGATGTTTTCTGTTATAGCCGAAGTGTGAATCAGCCTTATGTTCCCTGCCTCCAGACCCTATTTTCCTGCCTCACAGGAAGGCAGAACAATGACTCAGATGATATACAAAGTCACAGTGAGTACCCAGTGACTAACATGATGTCTCGGGGTGTCCTGCGAGACAGGTGAAGCCCTACCTATAATACTCAGAAATCAGGGAGTTAGCATTGTGTAACAGTTAGCTGTATGCAGGCCACCAATCTCCAGGCCATGGCTCTTGGATAGACTGGCTTTTTGGAGTAGACGGTACTGGTGGGAAGAAAGTAAACTTTGAGATTTGAATAGAGAGGGTACTAGACAGACCTAAGCACATTAGCGATCACATCGAACCAGGCATCAGAACCAGCTCACAGGCTCCTCCAGTCTAGAAGCAAGAGTGAATTGGAGGCAGTCCTAGAATGTTGATTTACATGGTCAAATGCCTCTCTATGAGGTCAGGATTGGTCCTACAGATCAAAGCTCCAGGCCACACATGTTAAGGACCCTCAGCCCAGGGAGGTGGCTTTAATCTTGGTTCTCCAGTGTCAGGAAGAGATCCTTCAGTCATGGGGTAAGTATTTTCTGAGCACTTAGTACGTGGCAGGCGCTGGACTATAATGGAGAATAGTCCCTGCCCTCAAGGAGCTCCGAGAAACAAGACTCATTGGACCATCAGTCTGGATTCACTGAGGCAGGATTCTTTACAGCACTTCTGATGCAATTGTCACGGACTGGAGACCAGCCTCCATACAGGACCTGCAGGCATATTTTGTTACGCCCTGCACAGCGAAATACAAATCCAATAAAAGTAAATGCGCAAGTCTGAGGGGAACAGCTTGAAGATCTTATATACCACCCCACCACAGTGTTTCTAAAGGTTAGGCAATGTCACTGAAAATAGAGAAGAGGAAAGGTACATCCAGAAGGTGGAATAATAACCCTCCAAAGACATCCACATTCTAATCCCCGGGATCTGTGAAGACGTTACCTGATGGAGCGAAAGCGACTTTGCAGATGTGATTAAATTAAGGGCCTTAAAAAAAAAAAAAAAAAAAAAAGAGAGACAGAGAGATCACTTGGGTATTCGGCATATTCGATTCCCTCTAAAAGGTTCTGTATCATATTTATTCACTGAGCAAAGTCACCCTGTCAGTTTCAGAATTTGAGGTCAAAGTCATTTTGAGAAATAAAGGCAGATTGTCTTTTGGTTGTTCGATTTGTCTTGAAGGATATGGTATTTGTCAAAACAGCAGTTATTCTCAAAAAGAATTCTATTATGTACTCTTAGAGATCAGAAGCTTTTTACTAATACTTGTTTATTTTCATTAACTGGGGAAAATATGAGTATTGTTTATTTTTACTCCTTTCTATGCTGCAAGTTAATAAAAATAAATCCCTTCAAAGTTAGTGATCAATGCAATGAAACAATATATTTAAAAACATTTCAATTAAATTAACTAAATATAAAAAAAAAAAAAAATAAAAAAAAAAAATAAATAAATTAAGGGCCTTGAGGTGGGGAGATTATCCTGTATTATCTGGATGGGCCCAATCCAATCACACTGTTCTTTTCATCAGAGAACCTTTCTTGGCCGAGTTCGTAGTCAGAGGGAGATGTGACTACAGAAGAATGGTTGGACACGTGCAACACTGTGGGCTTTACAGAGGAAGGAAGGGGACATGAGCCAAGGAACTCTGGCAGCCTCTAGAAGCTAAAAAAGGCAAGGAAACAGATTCTCCCTTAAAGCTTCCAGAAAGGGACACAGCCCTGTAACACTTGGATTTTAGCCCAACTGGGTGTGTGTCCCGCTAGTGATCTCCAGAACTGTAAGATAAGTGTGTGTTGTTTTAAGCCATTAGGCTTGCTCGTGATTACTTGTTATAGCAGTGATAAGAAACTGATACACTGGCTTTTTTTTTTTCAAACAGATTCTCACTCTGTCACCCAAGCTGGGGTGCAGAGGCATGATCTCAGCTTACTGCAACCTCCAACACCCGGGTTCAAGCAATTCTCCTGCCTCAGCTTCACAAGTAGCTGGGACTACAGGCATGCACCATCACGCCTGACTAATTGTTGTATATTTAGTAGAGATGAGGTTTCACCATGTTAGCCAGGCTGGTCTTGACATCCTGACCTCAGGTGATCCACCCACCTCGGCCTCCCAAAGTGCTGGGATTACAGGCATGACCCACCACGGCCAGCTGGCATATTTTATGATGCTAAAAAGATTGGGTACTATCTATTCTCTAATACTTGCTAAATCTTCATCTATTGTAACAGGAAATAAATTGATAGTGGCCAAAAAGGATAAATTTTAAAATAACAGTTTAAGCATATTCTTTACATATAGAGGTAAATATCAAAAGAAATGCCCAAGAGAAGTGAAAGTGGTTGCCTCTGCCGAGTGAGACTAAAAGATGGGGCAGGAATCTGCTGTTTTGGTACTACTGATGCAATTTTTAAGAATCAGAATGCACTAAAACTTTGACTTAAGAAATGCTAAAACAATGTAATTAGACCAGTGTTTTCTTTCATATAAGCAGGTATTGTCTAGAGCTGTACTGTTCTACATAGTTAGCCACTAGCTCTATGTGGCTTTTACATTTCATGTTAAAATTAACTAAAATTGGCCGGGCATGGTGGCTCACACCTGTAATCCCAGCATTTTGGGAGGCCGAGGTGGGTAGATCACCTAAGGTCTGGAGCTCAAGACCAGCCTGGCCAAGATGGTGAAACCCTGTCTCTACTAAAAATACAAAAATTAGCCGGGCGTGGTGGCATATGCCTGTAGTCCCACCCAGCTACTCAGGAGGCTGAGGCAGGAGAATCTCTCGAACCTGGGAGGTGGTGGTTGCAATAAGCCGAGCCTGCACCACCGCACTCCAGCCAGGGTGACAGAGTGAGACTCTGTCTCAAAAAAAAAAAAAAAAAAAAAACTAAAATTAAATTAAATTAAAAGTTCAGTCCCTCATTCACACTAGCCACACTTTGTGTGCCAGACAGTGTATTGGATTCGTAGATTAAGAACTTTCCATGAGAACATTCTATTAGGCTATGCTGGTCAAGGTTCTTTTGTTCTCTGCCCTGCACACCCCTGAAGCCGTTTGGGTTTGTAACTATTGCCTAGCGGCAAGATAGGGCTACAGATGTGAGTGTATGGGAGCCTGCAGGCCAGTTAAAGGAGTTACATCTGCCAGTCAGGATTAATGGAAAGCAAGATTAGAAAAGGAACAGACCAGCTCACCAGTTATCTAGGACTGCATACCAAACCACCTCAAAACATATGTGTTGTACAATAACCATTGTATTTGACCCTCAGCTGGAACATCTAAGGATGGTCTCTCTGTGTGGCCTGGGCTTCTTCATCACATGGTGCCTGGGTCCAAGAAACAGGAAGTGGAAGCTGCCAGGTTCTGAAGACCTGGTCCTGGAGACTGGCACTGCTCACTTCCACTATATTTCATTAGCCAAATAAGCACAGAACCCAGATTCAAGGAGAGGTGACATAGACTCCACTTCTCAATGAGAAGAGTATCACAGAATTTGGGGGCCATGTTTTAAAACCACCAAAGCTCAGAACTCCTCTTCTTCCTTATCAATGTCTACTTTTCAAGGAAAGATTTTTTTTTTTTTTACAAAACCTTTATAAAGACAGTTTTTACAACTTGCATGCCTTTGCTATTCTATAACTATAAAGTACCCCACTACATGTCAAACGCTGTGTAGACTGTTACTCTTTCAAGCAATGACATAAAGGAAGAAATAGAGAAATGCAATATGAAGAGAGATTCTTTTTTCTTTTTCTTTTCTTTTTACATTTTTTTACATTTTTCCCTAAAAATTTCACTGAAGTGAGAAAGCTTTTTTAGATGGAAGAAAACATGAACATGTTTATAGACAGGAGAAAAAGGGTGTTGCCAATATAGAAAAAGATTCTAAGTGTTGGTAGAGAAGGAAGGAATTGGCTAAAGAGTAGCAGGGAAGGTGGAGCTGATTTCCAGATTAATTTTTTTTAAAAAGGCCAGATGCGGTGGCTCATTCCTGTAATCCCAGCACTTTGGGAGGCTGAGGTGTGTGAAATGCTTGAGCACAAGAGTTCAAGACCAGCCTGGGCAACATGGGGAAACCTGTCTCTACTAAAAATACAAAAATTAGCCAGGTATGGTAGTACGTGCCTGTAATCCCAGCTACTCAGGAGGCTGAGGCAGGAGAATCACTTGAACCCAGGAGGCGAAGGTGAGCCAAGATTGTGCTCACTCCAGCCTGGGTGACAGAGTGAGACTCCATCTCAAAAAATAAAATAAAATAATTTAAAAATTTAAAAAAGAGTACCAGGGAAGGAATTTACATCAGGCCACAGGTGGCTACTAATCCTTTGTCCCTTCCAGAAATTTTTACATTTTCCTTTTAACGAGTCTGTGTCTTTCTCCCTATGAACATTAAAAAGCACATTTGCACAGAACACTGTGCGGCCCACTTGGAATCCAATTCTAAAGGCGAAATAGCCTTCAATTCCATTATTTCTACCACTACCTCGCCCCACTTAGAAGAGGGTGTGCATGTCAGTGTTAAATGCTGCTCCTCCAACGGTTCTTCCAAGAAGCAAAGAAAACAGACTGCTGCAATGGGATCTCTGAGCAATTCTGATTTGCTGGGAATTGCAAAGGTTTTCTTTTACTCAGTGTTCTTGAGGTTTTGCTTCCATCTTCGAGAAATGATCCTTTTACCACTCCAAATTATTCACCTAGAGAGACACTTGCAAGTCCACAGAACACAAAAATGGCACTTATTAAACATTTAAATCACCTATAGGGTAATTATCAGATAAATACAGTATAAGGTTGCATTATTATCGTCTCTATGCCTGACATTTTCATAAAGCCATTTTATTCTGCAGTTTAAGAGAAATGATTACCAATAAAGCTTTTTTTTTTTTTTGAGACAAGAGTCTCACTCTGTCGCCCAGTCTGGAGTGCAGTGGCGTGATCTCAACTCACTGCAAGCTCTGCCTCCCGGGTTCACGCCATTCTCCTGCCTCAGCCTCCTGAGTAGATGGGACTACAGGCGCCCACCTCCACGCCCGGCTAATTTGTTGTTGTTGTTGTTGTATTTTTAGTAGAGACGGGGTTTCACCGTGTTAGCCAGGATGGTCTTGATCTCCTGACCTCGTGATCCGCCTGTCTCAGCCTCCAAAAGTGCTGGGATTACAGGCGTGAGCCACCACGCCCAGCCCAATAAAGCATTTTAATTGAATATTGTCAGTGATTGAGCTTTGGAAGGTTTTTAATTGGGTCATGTGATTTTCTAAAACTACTAAGTTCCTACTTTCTGATTTGAGAAATACATGTGACATTTATAAGTGTAACATCTAGTTACCAAGGGGGAACAAAATCCAAAAACCATAAGAAATCAGAGGGGCAAGGCTGTGACTCCTATCATGCATTCATGCTGCTCCTCTCAGGTGTCTCCTGCCGTCTCTCAGATTACAGCTGTCCACAGCTCACAGGTAATAAACTCAGGCTATTCCAGCTTTCTGACTTCATTTTCATTCAAATCTCAACAAATATTTACAAAGCACTTACTGTATAGTAACACTGCACATGAGGCCAGTCAAATATGAGGAAGACAGTGGTAAATGTGTAAGATGGAGCAAGAGCTGCAACTAAAGAATCAAAGAGGATATCTCTTCTAAATCCAGAGATATGAGAAAGAAAATAGAAAAACTCTTATTAGACGTAGGAGTCAGGGAGCTTACATGAGCAGAAATGCCCAACCCAAGGACAGAATAGAATAAAGAAACCAAGTTAAGACAGTAAATTCTGAGCCAAATCTTTTCTTTCTTTATCTTTCTCTCTCTCTCTTTTTTTTTTTTTTTTTTTTTTTTGTAGCTCCTGGTCTCTGGTTGAAGAGCCAAATCTTTTTGAAGAGTAGTCCTGCGGAGGACCCACTGGGCACCCGCTAGGGAAACAATGGGAGGGATGAAAACAGAGAAGGAAAAGAAAGCGGATCCAGGGTTCCCACCTCCCTGGGTGAACCCGACTATCAATGCCCACATTAGACAAAAGGAGACGAAAAGATGTTTTCCTGGGCTCCTGGTTTGTGTTATTTGAGGCCTTCCTTTTTCAAACAATCTAATCTAATGTATCAGGTATCTGATTCAAGAGGCACATTCATTGACTTTCATAGTTAATTTATGGACTTATGGCTGCTAATATTTGTTGGCTGTTACAAAACTTTATCCACAGCTCATAAAGATTTCTTAGTTGTGAGCAATAGCAATTTAAATCTTTTCTTAGGGCAGGTTTGTTTTTTAGTTTAGTTTTTGTAAGATTATTACAGTAATAGAACTTTGGCACTTTTACTAAGGGAAGGGAATCTTGAAGGATTTCATAACCAACTGTGTTTTCTAGTAAGCTCAGACACACAAAACCCTAGGAAAGAGGCTCAGAAAACATGAGATGTAAGGTGAGGTTTGGCATAGACTTTGAATGAGGAATGGCAAAGGCTGGCATCTTCATTCCAAAGTACCCACTGGCACACAGCATTTGCTAAGCAATTTACCAAGACAACAGGGGTAGCTTCCTTGGCTTTTTATTTATAAAAGCATGCTAGACACATCTTAGAACAGTGACTGGGAAGTCTGTCTGATATTATTGTTGTTACTGTTATTATTATTATTATCACTTTTTTGACAATCCTGAGATTTTTTGAACTCTGATAATGTGCCATGTAGAAGACAAACTAAGAGGCTGGGCACAGTGACTCACGCCTGTAATCCCAGAACTTTGGGAGGCTGAGGTCAGGAGTTCGAGACCAGCCTGGGCAGCATGGTGAGACTCCCATCTCTACTAAAAATACAAAAATTAGCCAGGTGCAGTGGCAGGCGTCTGTAATCCCAGCTACTCAAGAGGCTGAGGCAGGAGAATCGCTTGAAGCCAGGAGGCAGAGGCTGCAGTGAGCCAAGATTGTGCCACTGCACTGTAGCCTGGGCCACATCTCAAAAGAAAAAGAAAAAGAAAGTAGACAAACTAAGATAGAAAGGAAAGAAGAGACTTTTCAGAAAATCTATTTTTTAAGCTCTTGATTCATAAAGTACAAAATGATACTGGTCAAATAATTGCTTCAGAAGTCTAACCCTAAAGAAAATCGTATCACCTTCTGTAAGAAATCTGTAAGATTGCCAAAGTAAACAGTATGTTCTCACTGCCCAGAAAGGCCCCACCTGTCACCTTTCTGGCAGAAGAGTGAAGGGAAGTAAAAGGTGAAAGTGCACAAGGAAGTTGCAACCTCAGTGAACCACAAAACCATCCCCACAGGCAGGCAGTTGATATATGAAAATTCCATTGCTATTTGGTCATTTTTAAGAATAATTTTCTTAACTGTTTTTACTTAAATTTTTTCAAAATCAGTTATAAACTTTCCTTATGGGCCGGGCACCATGGCTTATGCCTATAATCCCAGTACTTTGGGAGGCCAAGGCAGGAGGATTGTGTCAGCTCAGGAGTTTGAGACCAGCCTGGGTAATATAGTAGGACCTCTGTCTCTTCAAAAAAAAAAAATAACATAATTAGCTAGCATCAAGGCACACGCCTACAGTCCCAGCTACTTGGGATGCCAAGGCAGGAGAATTGCTTGAACCCAGGAAGTTGAGGCTGCAGTGAGCCATGATCACGCCACTGCACTCCAGGCTGGGCAACAGAGCGAGACCCTGTCTCAAAAAAAAAAAAAAAACTTTTCTCATGAAAAATTCCCTGAAATATAAAAATGTATTCCAAGGCTGGGTGCAGTGGTTCATGCCTGTAATCCCAGCACTTCGGGAAGCCAAGGCAGGTGAATCGCTTGACGTCAGGAGTTTGAGACCAGCCTGGCCAGCATGGTGAAACCTCATCTCTACTAAAAATTAGCCAGATGTGGTGGTGGGCGCCTGTAATCCCAGCTACTCAGGAGGCTCAGGCAGAAGAATTACTTGAACCCAGGGGGTGGAGGTTGCAGTGAGTCAAGATTGTGCCACTGCACTCCAGCCTGGGCCACAGAGTGAGACTCTGTCTCAAAAAAAAAAAAAAAAAAAATTGTCCAAGCAATAGCACACACACCAAGCCTCACAAATCACCACCAGCTTTACATTTTAGATTGTGATCATACGGAGCATACACAGGCTGAGGGCTCTACTGGAACTCATTTTCCATCTGCAGAAACCACTATCTGGATAAATCTTTACCCAGAGAAGAAGCATCATCTTTGTCCCAAAAGCCAGATGGTCTAATAGTATACCGGGGCTCTCTGTACCTCAGTTTCCTCATCTGTAATTGCCTTATGCAGTTGTATACATGCCCTAGTACTGTTTCTTTTTTTAACTTTTTTTCTTGCCTCAGGAACTTTGCACCTAGTACTGGTTTTAAAAGTGTACTACCAACATTAAGATGAGATCCAAAGGAAAATTTGAGTGGAGCCTGAGCAGTACAACTTGTAGCTTCCCCCTCTAAGAATTTTTTTTTTTTTTCTTGAGATGGAGTCTCACCCTGTTGCCCAGGCTGAAGTGCAGTGGCGTGATCTCGGCTCACTGCAACCTCCACCTCCCAGGTTCAAGTGATTCTCCTGCCTCAGCCTCCCAAGCAGCTGGGATTACAGGCATGCACCACCACATCCGGCTTATTTTTGTATTTTTTTAGTAGAGACGAGGTTTTGCCATGTTGGCCAGGCTGGTCTCGAACTCCTGGCCTCAAGTGATCTGTCCGCCTCAGACTTCCAAAGTGCTGGGATTACAGGCGTGAGCCACTGCACCCGGCCTCCCTTTAAGAATTAATTTCCCTATTGAATCATTTAAAACAAAAAAGGCTCTGTAGATTATCACTGGGTTTAATCCTGTCTAGAAGCAAGAAACACCAGGGTGAATTTAGCTAAGACCCAATTCTTAAGTACTTGCCTAAATGTCTAGGATAGTTATGAGTGTTTTCCTGAGAATCTTCAAGGAAAGAAATTCAGTTTCCTGAAATAGTTCAGGCTTCAAGTAAAACTGCTACATAGGAGAGTTAAATTAAATAACCTCTAAAAGTTTTTTTCCAACCATGGCTTTCATTTTTAATTGTCTTATGCTTCCCCCTCTCTCTCATTTCAAAGGTAATCAGGAAGTCTCCTAGGATAAGGTTATTATATTCAAGTCCTGCCAAAAAATGTAAGAAAAGAAGCTCCTATTTGAGTGGACCAAAAAGAACAATTATACCTCCTAAAAATAAAATGAACCTAAGCTAAGAAAATGAAAAGGTTTCTAAAGAAGGTCAGTACTTCTTTTTTGGTCTCCTTTCATCACTGTGTGATTTACTTTAATAGTACCCTGTCAAACTAGATGACTCAGTGGCCTCATCACAGCTTACAGAGCATTTCATCTGTGGTCATTCATCCTGCCTATGAAGAAATTGACATGTAGTCACTACAGAGCAACACTGCTCACCAATGGTTGTTCACCACCATACCCTCCTGATCCTTGCCTAATCAAACAGAGAGATGCTATCCTGCTTTTACCTACACAGAAAAAGAAAGAAGATAAAACAATGTTAGGGGGTTGTGGCTCATTGATGGTCAGATATGAAAAGCTGCTTCAAATGCTGTCCCATCAGTTCCTAAAACTGCAACATGAAAATGCATCATCATGACTACCCTTTACCTATCTCCCAAGCGTGAAATTGTTTTCCCCAGTAAAAGTTTAAGGAAATGAAGTAATTGCTGTTTGGGGCAGGAATGCTATGAGTATTACCATGCAGTTTTTTCCTTAAATGTTTAATTAGAAGGAAGTATGGCATTCTTACAGCTATTTTTTAATTAAGCCAGCAGACTCTACCAAGAATCTGATCCCCTCTCTAAGCAGATAATTACAGTGACAAGTGACTTTCAAGTTTATGCCCATATATACTCCTAGACTTCTGATGTGCCCCAGAAGGACGTTACCATTCATGTTCTGAGTGCTGGCCTCTGGGCCTGACCCTGTCTGCCTGGATTTGGAACTTTGCCTTTCCTTAACTTGTGACTTGCCCCCCTAGATTCCAGCCTGTCCTTGACCTCTGGCAACAGCAAACTCGTTAACACCTGCTCCGCATGCATAAATCCTTGCCTTCTGCCCAATTCTTAATTCTGATTTTTGGACTTCTGGACCAGGCTAATCCTTACAGTCTGGGGAGAATGAAAACATTGTTAGACTGAAATAGCTAAGCCCAGAGTTTATGATTAATGAGGACAGACAGGCCAAGGAGTCAGTAACCATACAAATGTTCACAAATGATTTGCCATAAGGCCTTAGATTTTACATATTATATATATGAGGTTCATATGTTATAGCCAGTGTCAGGACACTAACAAGTGAAAGACTTTTCAAACCCAGGTCAGGGAACTCAAAGCATAGCCCTCAAAACGTACCTCAGATCATAGGGCAAATATATGCAGACATATGTAGTCACTGTTGCTGAGCTGAAAGTGTCACCCGTGCCCTGAGGACACGTTTGGTATCTATTTAAGACCTGAGCATTGAGAGGCTGTAAGAGGTGCATAAATTCTGGGAAAGTCTTCATCCTTTACAAACACAAATGCATTGTATGTAAAATTACATGCATTTCTTTGAGGAAACTCTCACTATAAATGTTCAAATATGGTAGGGGCTATAAAATAACAAATGGAGTTTGAACTATAAAAGGCTGGTGTGGAAGACCAAAAGGAATGCACAGTGGAGAATTAGAAGACTTGGTTGGAGAACTTGCTCAGGCACTGATCAGCTGGCTCTCAATTTCTTTGTTAAAAAAATGAGGAATATATTTCTAAATCACGTTTATAGCCCTTTCAGCTCTGAATGATTCTTTGACCTTGACATAGAATAACAGGACTGGAAAGGACCTTAGTTACTTAATTCAACCACTAATCCTTCAGGGACAGAGACAATAGTATCTCCCGGGCCAGCCTATGCCCTTTCCAAAGAGCTCTTATCAGAAGAAAGGTCTTTTTTATCTTGAACTGGCACCTTTCTCTCTGTATTTTCTAGCATTAGTTCAAATGCTGGCCTCCTGGAAAACAATCCAAATTTAATCCTTAACCCACATGACAGCTTTTCACACTCCCCTCTCAAATTCTGTCTCAAGCAAAGCACCGTTAGTTGCTTTAAACATTCTTCATATGCTGAGGTTTTTTTGTTTTGTTTTGTTTTGTTTTGTTTTGTTTGAGACAGAGTCTCACTCTGTTGCCTGGGCTGGAGTGCAATGGTGTGATCTCAGCTCACTGCAACCTCCGCCTCCTGGGTTCAAGTGATTCTCCTGTCTCAGCCTCCCAAGTAGCTGGAATTACAGGCATCCACCACCACACCCGGCTAATTTTTTGTATTTTTAGTAGAGACAAGGTTTCACCATCTTGGCCAGGCTGGTTTCGAACTCCTGACCTCATGATCCGCCCACCTCGGCCTCCCAAAGTGCTGGGATTACAGGCATGAGCCACCGCGCCTGGCCCATATGCTGAGGCTTTAAACCCTATCTCCAACCATTCACTTTTTTTTTTAGAGATGGAGTCTCATTATGTTGCCCAGGCTAGACTCCTAAACTCAAGGGACCCTCTTGCCTCAGCCTCCTGGAGTAGCTGGGAATACAAATGCACACCGCCATGCCACACCCCACCCATTCACTTTTGTCTGCTTCTGTTATATGCTGTCATTGTCCTTCTTAAAGTATGGGGTGGGGGACATCAGAGCATCCAGAAGCAAATACTAAGAAGGCGAGAGGGAGTATCACCTTCTCTCCCCTGTTCTGAGCATTATTCTTCATTAATGCAGCCCACTTATGAATTAGCATTTGAAGAACAGTC
Organism: Homo sapiens; assembly: GCF_000001405.40. NCBI lineage: Eukaryota > Metazoa > Chordata > Mammalia > Primates > Hominidae > Homo > Homo sapiens. The sequence goes on from NC_000001.11 coordinate 224,070,213, forward strand.
ATATCACATCATTGAATTACTGCATGTTTATCTTACAGTTTTTTCCACGTGTGGACATTAAGCAACACCTCTTCTATTCCGGGTTGTTTAATCAGGGTTTTTATTCCAAGTATAAAACCTTACAGTTTATCCCTGTTGGATTTCATCTTGTTAATGTTGAAATATCCTATAAGAAAAGTCCGAAGCAAAAAGGAATCAGTAATGGGTCTTAAAGGAAAAAGAAATAGGAAGTAGTCCCAGAAATGCAAGGAGTTAACTAGGAAGCCTAGCTGAGGGACTACTAAATTAAGAGGGCAGATGGAACCCTGTGTTTATTTTTGCTTCCTCCTAAAACTCTAATGAATCAACATAACAAGATTCTTTCTAAGGCACAAACTCACAAAGAAGGATGGAAAAGCCGTAACAGCAATAAAATTTTGGAATTTGAAAAGGTGATGACCAAGTGGCAACTAACTAGCACATCTGAGAAAGCAGTTCTTAAGCTAGAAATGGGGAAAGCCAAAAAGCAATTTGATATTCACCCCCCAAGTCCTAAAAGGCTCAGGAATTGGTGGTATGAGGTTCTACTGAAAGTGAGGGGGAAGGAGGGCTAAAAGCAGATTGATTGGATGAAGAGTGTTTTAAGAACACGTAGGATCCCTGGAGCTTCTGCTCCACCTCATCAGTAGGAGGCATATTATCTGGACAATAAGGCACTATTGAAGGTTGGCGTACTGTTTCCAGGAGATTAAAGGGAGTATTCTCAGCTCAGTCTTTTTCTTTTTTTTTTCTTCTCTTCTCTTCTCTTCTCTTTAGACAGGTTCTCACTCCATCAACCAGGCTGGGGTACAGTGATACAATCTGAGCTCCTCTGCCTCCCCAGCTCAAGCCATTCTCCCACTTCAACCTCCTGAGTGGCTGGGACCACAAGTGCACATCAACATGCCTGGCAAATTTTTTGTATTTATTTTTATTGTTGAGATGAGGTCTCGCTATGTTGCCTAGGCTGGTCTCAAACTCCTGGGCTCAAGCAGTCCACCCACCTTTGTCTCGGAAAGTACTGTGATTGCAGGCATGAGCCACCATGCCTGGCCAGCTCAGCCTTTTTTTTTTTTTTTTTTTTTTTTTTTTTTACAAACAAAATATTAGAGCATCTTCTCTACAGAATCCGACCAGTCCAAGAGGAAATACCAAATAATTTCAACTTTAAGGGTTCCTCAATGACATTCCTCCCTTCCATGGTACCGGTCCATGGCCTGTTAGGAACTGGGCTGCACAGTAGGAGGTGAGCAGCGGGCCAGCAAATGTTATCACCTGAGATCCACCTCTTGTCAGATCAGCAGGAGCGTTAGATTACATAAAGGTGTGAACCCTGTTGTGAACTGCACATGTGAGGGATCTAGGTTGTGTGCTCCCTATGAGAATCTAATGTCTGATGATCTGAGGTGGAACCAGTTTCATCCTGAAACCATCCCCCAACCCCAGATCATCATACAATGAAGCCCACAAATAAGCCCCACCCACATGCTCAGATCTTCCAAACAGCCTGCAAGAGTGCCTCTCTTGAATATAAGTAGCTATCTAAGACTCACCAAGCATCTGAGGCAAACCTCCAGTATGATAAACAGACCACAACAAACAGAAAACAAAACACCTAACTTGGAGGAAACAGACTGCAGAGAAAATAAGACACCACAAAACTGTAATTAATAACCTTAGAAAGATAAGAAGATATTGCATTCAAGAAATAAGGATATTTAGAGATTATTAGCAGAAATGAAAATCTCAGTGAAAGATTTGAAAGATACAGTTGAAGAAATTTCCCAGAAAGTGGAGCAAAATGACAAAAAGACAGGAAATAGGAATGTAGAGATTTAAAGAAAATAAAAAGATCATTCAAGAATACCTAGCACTTGAATAACAAGAATTCTATAAGACAGCAGTCCCAAAGCTTCTTGGCACCAGGGACCGGTTTTGTGGAAGACAATTTTTCCATGGATAGGGGTTGGGGTTGGGGCATGGTTTCAGGGTGAAACTGTCCTGTCTCAGATCATCAGATATTAGATTCTCATAAGGAGCACACAACCTAGATCCCTCACATGTGCAGTTCACAATAGGGTTCACACCTCTATGAGAATCTCCTACTGATTTGACAAGAGGTGGAGCTCAGGCAATAACACTCACTTGCCCGCTGCTCACCTCCTACTGTGCAGCCCAGTTCCTAACAGGCCATGGACCGGTCCCAGGCCATGAACCAGTACCAGTCCACAGCCCAGGGGTTTGGGAATCCCTGCTCTAAGAGAAGAATTGGGAAAAAAAATCAAAGGGAGGAAATTATCAAAGACATCATTCAAGAAAATTTATCAGAACTGAAAGGCATAAGTTTTCAGATGGAAAAGGCCCATCTAATCCCAGCACAATATGTGAAAATAGAACCACAGAAAAAAACACATGTACATGACATTTAAGAACACTGGGGTTTATAAAAAATTTCAGAAAAGAAAACAGGCCATATATAGAGTAGAGAGTCAAAATGTCTAGAATCCAGAAGAAAATGGAGCAGTGCTTTCAAAATTCTGAGGAAAAATTATTTCCAGCCCAAAATTCACATATTAATTAAGCATAAGGGCAAAATGAAGACATCTTCAGACATGAACTGTCTAAAAATTACCTCCTATGTACAGTTTCTTAGGAAGCTACTGAAGGATGTATACCACCCAAACAAAGGAGATAATGAAAGGAGAGAAAGATATAAGAAACAGAAGCTCCAACTCAAGAGAAAAGCATAAAGCATCCCTAGGAGAATGGTGAAGAGATATCCTGGGAAGATAATTATGCAGCAGGCACAGAGAGCAGCCAAGTCAAATGGAGTAAGTTGGAAATCTCAGGGAAAGATTTCTCCAAAAAGATGAAAATGATAGAATATGTGACGAGCTTGAAACTGTTGAGAGATTTAGGCAGTTGGGGAGAGATTGTGGTTGAATTAGTTATAACTACAGAGAAAACCAAGGGGAGGGGGGAAATAAGACAATTATTAACCTCAGAGAAATTAAAAAGTTGTGCAAGAAAGAATAAATAATCACAATATACTACACAGTTCATCTGCAAATAGTGGTTATTATAATGAAAACTTGGAATTGTGCTCCAACCAGAATAGAGTGGGCCAATGGAAAGTGTACATAGATATGGTAGTGGTGTGGTGGCGGGGGCAGTGGTGAAAGAAAATTCAATCTTTATCTTTCATGGTAGGAAGTCAATAGATAATGTCTAACACTGAAATACCAAGAAATAACAATATAAGCATGTTATTTAGAAATAGGAAGATAAATACCAAAAAAGCAGTGTAAGTATTTGAAAATTGTTGCCTCTGAGGAAAGAAGGATGCAGGGTAAAGCAATATTTTTGTAACAAGGCTTGCAGAATTACTCATCTCTTTAAACTATGAGCACAATAACAGTGATATAGTTAGGATGTTTGTCCCCTCCAAATCTCATGTTGAAATACAATCTCCAATGTTGGGAGTGGGACCTAGTGGGAAATGTTTGGGTCATGAGGGCAGATCCCTCTTGAATGTCTTGGTGCTGTCCTTGTGATAGTGAGTGAGTTCTAGCAAGATCTGGCTGTTTAAAAGAGTGTGGCACCTCCCTGCTCCTCTCTTTCCATGTGATACTTCGGCTCTCCCTTTGCCTACTGCCGTGATTGGAAGCTTCCTAAGGCCTCATCAGGAGCCAAGCAGATGCTGGCATCATGCTTCCTGTACAGTCTGCAGAACCACAAGCCAATAGAACCTCTTTTCTTTATAAATTACCCAGTCGCGGGTACTTCTTTATGGCAACACAAATGGACTAACACAAATGGTAGTAGAAATAAAAACTAATTTGAAACCAGAATGAATAAATGAATGAAGAAAGCAAGTAGGAAAGCCATGTACCCTCCCTAAGAAAACCCTTTGATGATGAATAAAGAGAAAATAGAAAAAAAAAAAAAAAAAAAAAAAAAAAAAAGAAAATAGAACTCATCCAACACATCAAAGCCAAGTGGGAAGGGGACCAGAAGTGAAGCCAGGGAAGAAAGACCACCACTTGAACATATAATTAGATTTGTGAGGAAGAAGCATGGGTCAGTCACCAAGGACTGTCAATTTCATCTTCTGGATGTTTCTTGATTTCATTTACTTTCCTCCAACTTTATTCCTGCTATCTCAATTATGGCAACCAGCATCACCCTCCTGTGATCCCTCTGATAAAATACTGTTGTGGTTTTTCATTGCTCTTAGCATAAAACCAAGTAATTTATCAGGGAAATGATATGACTTATTTCCTTCCTTCCTTCCTTCCTCCCTTCCTTCCTTCCTTCCTTCTTTCTTTCTTTCTTTTCAGAAAAAAAAAATTCCACCCTGTCGTCCCGGGTGGAATGCAGTGGCACAATCTTGGCTCACTGCAACCTCCGCCTCCCGAGTTCAAGCAATTCTCTTGCCTCAGCCTCCCGAGTAGCTGGGATTACAGGCGCCTGCCACCACAACCAGCTAATGTTTGTATTTTTAGTAGAGACAGGATTTCACCATGTTGGTCAGGCTGGTCTCAGACTCCTGACCTCAAGTGATCCACCCGCCTCAGTCTCCCAAGATTTCTATTTTAGAAAGGGAATCTGGCTGCTGTGGAGAGTGGATTGAAAGAATAAAGCTAGAGCAGGGTGACTGTTGCAGTAACATAGGAGAGTGCCACATTCACCTCATATACTCAGCATCCAGTGAGTGGCTGACGTGGCAGATGTTCAATGACTATTTGTTGATGAGAGCCACTTATGCCCTGAGTGCATGATACTATATCTATTGCTGGGAATAATTTAGTAAAAACGTGATTGCTATAGCCAATTAGAAGAAAATAATGATAATAATTGCAAACGTTTACGTAACTTTTCATGACACTACACTAAGGACTTTATGTACATTAACTCAATCTTAAAACTCTATGAGGTAAATACTATTATTAACGTTGTTGAAATTGGGATTGTATTTAAAGCATTTCATCTGGAGAGGCTAGCAACAACAACAGATACTAACTGGTAATTTAGAAGCCGTGGAGGTGGAAGGAGCAAGTAACTGTTGACACCAAAACTAAGTCCCACCAAAGAACTGACTGTCCTCATTCTGAAGATGTTGCTGGACTCTTTAGTAGCTACACTGTCCCGGGGAGATTCTAAGAGAGTAATAACTGCTAAAACCATGGCCATATGTCATACCAGGGCCTTGCTTCGTAGAAACCATGTCCCCACCTCCTTGAGAACGATATTCTTACTGCACCCTTTATTCTTCCCCGTCTTGACAAACACTTTGCTCTGAGTTACAGAGGAGCTGCAGATAAGGGTTCCTCAAACTGAACCCCTCTCCGCTCTCCTAACCAAGGTCATAGGAAAAGTGGAGACAGACACACAAATGAAGAGAGGGAGATTAGAATAAATAGTGGACCGGACACAGTGGCTCACTCCTGTAATCCCAGCACTTTGGGAGGCCAAGGCAAGCAGATCACTTGAGGTCAGGAGTTTGAGACCAGCCTGGCCAATATGGTGAAACTACTATATGGTCTCTACTAAAAAACACAAAAATTAGCCAGTTTTGGTGGCAAGCGCCTGTAATCCCAGCTACTCAGGAGGCTGAGGCAGGAGAATCGCTTGAACCCAGGAGGCGGAAGTGGCAGTGAGCCAAGATCACGCCACTGCACTCCAGCCTTGGCGACAAGAGTGAGACTCTGTCTCAAAAAAAAAAAGTGAATTAAAATAAACCAATTAAATTCCATTTATCATTATGACCAATAGATACCATTACTTTATTCACTATGCACAGGCACTGAAACAGGCCCTAGTGAAACAGCAATGTTAAGGTAGCACTGTCCTCAATAAACCCAATCTGTTAGGAGTTTGCTGTCTTCATTTGATTTTTCTTCAGAATACAGCTCTTTTAGAAATGGGGAACAAAGAGACGGATGCCGGATGGAGTGCTAAAATGCCTAGGGTGCTCTGCTGGTTCACACTAAACTCTGCTGAACTTTGCTTTGACAGCTTATCAGGTACACTATTACATGTACTTGATAACTACAGGTACACTACCATGTGTGCCTGTAGTTTCTAGCATATCACCTTTTCTCCAAGAAGTTTAAGCCATACTCAAATGGCTAGTGATAAAATTTAGCACAGCATAACCTCAAGCTGGGACCAGGGACAGCCAAAACTCAACCTGAGAAACTCTAATTCCAAGAACATTTGGGGGAATTCCTGATCATGTTAAGGGAAAAAGAAATGGTTTCTGAAAAGAAAGAGAAAAATAAAAGCCCAAAATCAATAGTAAATGGAGAAACATAACTTCATAACTGCCTAAGCAATCTTTCATTGGCTTATAATACCGTAGCTCTAGGGTTACTCAGAAATAGAATGATGGCGTGTTTCTATGGGTTCCTTGAGGAGTTCATTCTTTCATGTAATTAGTTTGCTTACTTATTTGTTTGAGTGTGCATTTAGAACCTGTCTTAGTCTAAAAAAGATTTAAGGTAACATGCTACTATAATATCTTCGGAGAGAAATTGAACAATCTATGTGGTTTTCTTTGCCCTCATTAAAAGAGATTTCTACTGACTGGAGAAAAAGATTATCTAAGTAGGAAAGTAGTACAATACTCTGGTATGCCAAAATAACATTAAGAAATTCTCTGCATCGAAACAATGCCATTTGGCTGGGCGCAGTGGCTCATGCCTGTAATCCCAGCACTTTAAGAGGTCAAGGCAGGAGGATCACCTGAAGTCAGGAGTTCAAAACCAGCCTGGCCAACATGGTGAAACCCCATCTCTACTAAAAATACAAAAATTAGCTGGGCATGCTGGCACATGCCTATAATCCCAGCAACTTGGAAGGCTAAGGCAGGAGAATCTCTTGTACCTGGGAGGCAGAGGTTGCAGTGAGCTGAGATCGTAGCACTGCACTCTAGCCTGGGCAACAGAGCGAGACTCTGTTTCAAAAAAAAAGAGAAAAAATGACATGCAAAATATGCATTTTGAAGCCAATATTTTGCAGAGGAAAGAATATTATGCGCAATATACTTAGAGGAAGTCAGATTATTATTTTTATAAGCTACAGAGATGAAGGTGATACTGTCAAAGATGCCTTTTTGGTATAATGACATGTGAAGCTTTGTGATAGGAGCTGTTTACTGCAAGAGTTTAGAATGTGGCCATAAAATAACCCACTAATGGCAAACTATAGATATGTCAAGAAGACATTATTTTTCACTAGAAAAAAAAGGGTGAGCCCTTTCTAGCCTGTTAAGTGTATTGATGGCTTTTTGGCAGAGCTTTATTATTGTGAATCTCTCACTTGAAAAGCGTATTTCCGACATTTGTCACCTTGACTCCTTGGGGAGATTATTACACTGGTGGATTTTTAAGCTTGCTTTACAGGATATAAAAGTGTAGAGGATTAAACCATTTTTCCTTGGTCACTGCTAAGGGGACAGGCTAGGAACCATGAACTTAGATGGCGGCAGCCCTTTGCTGCCACCTCAAATTTCAAACTTCAATGACATTTCAGAAAGCCTAGGAAGCTTTTAAATGTAAATGGGAAGAGAAATCGATTTTGGCATTCCTAAGCCTATAGCAGGTCCTTCTAGATTCTAATAGAAATCTCAGTTTCAATTTTCAACATTTTGGTTTTGTTCAAAACTAATGCTGCACATATTTTCACTAACCATTAGTATAAGTAAGGTTTGGTGGAGAGTAAGCGGTCTCCACCAACTTGTACAGGTGGAAATGGACCTGAAGATCGTTCATCCAGTCCATGAATATTTACAGAGCAACAGTTGTGTAGTGCCCTCCTAAATTCCAGCATAACCAAGTGCCAGCTGTTAAGCAGCCTTCAGGCCAGAGGGGAAATAAGATAATCACATACAAAAAACGAAATAAGAACATAGGTCTGTGCATTCTTAAATGATCAATGAATGGGGCAGGCATTAAGTAGCCATCAACTGGTTCATTCTTTTCTTTTTCTTTCTTTTTTTTTTTTTTTTTTTTCTTTTTTTCTGAGATGGAGTCTGGCTCTTGTTGCCCAGGCTGGAGGGCAATGGCATGATCTTGGCTCACTGCAAACTCTGCCTCCTGAGTTCAAGCGATTCTCCTGCCTCAGCCTCCTGAGTAGTTGGAATTACAGGCACCCACCACCATGCCTGGCTAATTTTTGTATTTTTAGTAGAGACGGGGTTTCACCATGTTGGCTAGGCAGGTCTTGAACTCCTGACCTCAGGTGATCCACCCACCTCAGCCTCCCACTTTTCTTTTTTCTTTTTTCTTTTTTTTTGAGACAGGATCTCATTCTGACACCTAGGCTGAAATGCAGTGCCACTATCGTGGCTCACTGCAGCCTCAACCTCCCATGCTCAAGCAATACTTCTGCCTCAGCCTCCTGAGTAGCTGGGACTACAGGTGCACACCAACATGCTTGGCATTTTTTGTTTGTTTGTTTGTTTGTGTTTTTGTTTTGTAGAGAAGGGATCTCCCTATGTTGCCAAGGCTGAGCCACTAACTTTCTGAGAAGGGAGGTATCATTAGAGGATAGAGAGGCATCATTACTCAATGGAACCCGGCTTCCTGTATTCAAATCTTGGCTCAGCCATTTGCCAGCCCTATGACCTGAAGCAAGTTACTTTACCTACCTCTGCCTTGGTTTCTGATCTGTAAAGAGCCGAGGTAAGGGTGGGGATAATGTAGAAGCAAAAACTGACACTTTGCATTGTCTCCAATAAGATCAAACGTCTTACATTCCATAGTGAGGAAAAAAAAAAACAGAATGCTTTGAATATGAGATAAACCAAAAATAAGTCACCCTGTCTCATTCTGATCCCCAAAATAAAATCTTAAATATCTCCACAAACTCCTTAAAAAAAAAAGAATCTCTTGTTTTTGCTATGTTGGTATCTGAAGACGTGTCATGACTTTCGTGAACAGAATGATCATGTGAGAAAGTTGTTCCTTTTCCACCATAAGCAGATATGCAAACTTTGTACCTTTGTTAATTTTGTAGGTTTTATTCCTTTAAATGACTGTATTTTGTATTTGGTAAGCCCGAACTTCTGAAGTCTCACTCTGTTATATTCTTTGCAAGTAAACTTTCTTTTTCCCTTTTTCTTTCTTTTTTTCTTTTTTCTTTTTTTCTTTTTTTTGAGATGGAGTCTCGCTCTTGTCACCCAGGCTGGAGTGCAATGGCGTGATCTTCGCTCACTGCAACCTCCGCCTCCCAGGTTCAAGCGATTCTCCTGCCTCAGCCTCCCGAGTAGCTGGGATTACAGGCGCCCACACCCGACTAATTTTTGTGTTTTTAGTAGAGATGGGATTTTGCCATGTTGGCCAGGCTGGTCTTGAACTCCTAACCTCAGGTGATCTGACTACCTCGGCCTTCCAAAATGCTGGGATTACAGACATGAGCCACCGTAACCGGCCTTTTCTTTCCTTTTCTAAATGCTTCTGCCTCTGAGTCTTCCCTTAAGTTATAACAGTACCTACCTCCTAAGGCTATTGTAAGGATTGAATGAGTAAACATTTATAAAACACACAGCACAGGTGCAAGGGTTTTGTTAAATAATAAAGTGGAGGCCAGGGGCAGTGACTCACGCCTGTAATCCTAGCACTTTGGGAGGCCGAGGTGGGCGGATCACTTGAGGTCAGGAGTTCAAAACCAGCCTGGCCAACATGGTGAAACTCCGTCTCTAATAAAAATACGAAAAACCTTTTAGACAGGCATGGTGACAGGCGCTTGTAATCCCAGCTACTCAGGAGGCTGAGGCAGGAGAATTGCTTGAACCTGGGAGGCGGAGGTTGCAGCGACCCGACGTTGTCGTTGCGGCACTGCACTCCAGCCTGGGTGACAGAGTGAGACTCTGTCTCAAAATAATAATAATAATAATAAAGTGGAGAGAATTAGAAGGCTTCCCGGAGAAGAGTAGATTTTACTTGGTCCAGAAAAATGAGTAAGATTTAGATGGGATGAGGAAATGGCATGAGGACGAGGATGTGACAGCGTGACTAAGGAACACTGAGTAACCTCGTTGGAACGGAACAAAGGACTCACTTTGAGTGTGATGAGAGAGATACCATTGATGGGAGTTTCCAGTTTTGAATTACACATTGAAGGGCCTGTTCTTGTTGGTGAAGATAATAGGGAGTCAGTGACATATTTCTACTCAGTGACATGACTTGGCCACGACTCCGCTGTAAGCAGAATTTTCTTCCACAAATGCCTCTGGAAGCCAGAGCTTCCAGAAATCACAGAAATTTAACTTTATTTTGCATGCTGCCTGCTGCCTTTGCTGAAAATGAAGCACAGCACTGCTTGCTGCCTGCTCCCTCCAACCTCCATAATGTCAGTGGCTGCTGTTTCCTGCAATCTGCTTAGAGGCCACAATTGAAGTTATTTTGTAAACTAATTAGAGAAGCCACAATTAGCTTCTTGCGTATGTTCTAGCAGCATTTTTTCTGCCCATTGTATCTGAGGTCAAATCACTTCAGCTCATGATACAATTTCTGTTAGCACATTGAGTGCTGCGCAACCCTCACTGAGAACTAGTTCCAGAACTCTACTGCCACTGATCACAACACTAACCAAGAAGAGAAATTCATTTATGGGCCAGTCTAGACAGCATTGCTAATTCTCTGTAAAGTATTGGTGTGAAGCTTGCTTTTGTTTTGCTTCTTCACTTTGTTTTCTAGCATCTGAAATTCTATACTTCCTTTTTGATTTTCTAATTTTTAACAAAAATCGACCAGACGTGGTAGCTCACGCCTGTAATCTCAGCATTTTGGAATGCTGAAGTGGGAGGATCATTTGAGATCAGGACTTTGAGACCATCCTGGGCAACATAGCAAGACCTTGTGTCTACTAAAAATTAATAAAATACAAAAACAAGAAATTTAAAAATTCAATGCAACAGAAGACAAAGAGCCTTTCACAATTTTCTGCCAGTCAAAATACTTGCTGCCAAAATCTTTGACCCTACCTGAATCTTCCAATCCTTGGTGTTTTTCTGTCTCTGCAAGGGAGTCCAGAAGCTCTATGGGTGTGTTTCAGGGAATGTAACTACTCACCTGTAGCAATTCCAATTTACTTGGTAGCTAGATTAAATCATTTAGTCAGCATGGTATTGGGAAAAGAGCACTGGGTTCCTGTCCTGACCATGATACTCACACGTTACATGTTCTCAAACAATACACCTACATTCACTAAGCCTGATTTTTCTCATCTGTAAAACAAGAGGGTTGAACTAGACTAGACAACACCTAACATCCTTTCCACTATTAAAATTCTACAATCCATGATCTCATATGTATTAATTAATCAAGATTCCCTAAGTCAAGTCATCACACTCTGGGATACACTAATTATGATAGAAAACTTCTGACATAGCTCCCAATGTTCCATGACTCCTGATGTTCATTCCCTTATGTAATCCCCTGCCCTTCAGTGTGGGGTGGACCTGGCAACTTACTTCCAATCAGTAGAATACAGCAAACATAATGTGATGTCACTTTCATGATTAAGTACAATACTGCAATGCCAACTAATGCTAATCTGACGCTAACCACCTGGGGTTAGAGCAGACTCCACAGATGTAAAAGCACAGTCCCCAGACTGCCAGCATGTCAGGCACCAGCTACAAGTTTAGGGGTCCCCAGGCCACCGTCACTTTTGAACAATGAGCTACAAGTATGGGGAGATTTCACTCCCCCCACCACCAGGGTCAATAATTTACTAGAGCAACTCACAGAATTCAGGAAAGTGCTACACTTACAATTACAATTTTGTTAGAAAGGATACAAATCAGAACCAGCCAAATGAAGAGACACACAAAGCAAGGTCAGGAAGGGTCCCACACAGAGTTCCTGCGTCTGCTGTCTGTGGGATCAAGACACATCACCTTCCTGGTACATCAATGTGTTCACCAGCCAGAAAGCATACCCAAACTTCAGTGTCCAGAGTTTTTTATTGGCGTTCCATTATGTAGGCATGATTAACTGAATCACTGGTCATGTGATGTGATTAAACTCCATCTCCACACTTCTCTGCTCCCTGGGGTTTATGCTGAAAGTTTCAACCCTATAATCACATAATTGGCCGTGCTAGAATGGCCAATCCCTATGCTGAAACTATATGAGGACCCATCATGAGTTATCTCATTAGCATGAATTGAGGTGTGGTTGAGGGGCCCACCATGAGTAACAAAGACATTCCGAGAACTCAGGAAATTCCAAGGATTTAGAGGTTTTCTCCCAGGAACCAGGAGCAAAGACGAGACTAACTTTTTATTAAACAACATTAGGTCCCAAAATAATGTAACTTTTGTCTTGCTAGTAGAACAACTCTTTAACTGGCTTTGATGAAGCAAATGGCAAGGTATTGAGGGAAGCCTCAGTCAGTGATGCTGGAGAAACTGAATCTCATCAACTGTGTGAGTGAGGTCGGGAGTCTATCGTTCCCCAGCTGAGCCTTCAGATGAGGCCCTTGTAAATGAAAAATAAAATGCTAAGCGCCCCAGCTGACTGAATGGACCCCTCCTCTCAGCCAAGGGGAGTTCAAAGAAACCTTTAAAAAACTAGTTTGGGCCATGATGGGAAGTTGGGGGTCAGATACGCCTCATTATACTCTCCTCTCTTTGGAATTCAGGCACAACTGACCATCATTAATATTAAAGCAGAGATCTTAAGACTGACAAAAGAGACTCTTTGTAGCAATAAGATGCCAAATTCCAACCTGACTCTAGGATAGCATCGTGACAGCAGGCCCTGAAAGTATTTTACCCTAAAATATATTTCCCTGACTTTTTTTTTTTTTTGAGACAGAGTCTCACTCTGTCACCCAGGCTGGAGTGCAGTGGCATGGTATCTCAGCTCACTTTAACCTCTGCCTCCTGGGTTCAAGCAATTCTTCCACCTAGGCCTCCAGAGTAGTTGGGATTACAGGCATGTGTCACCATGCCCAGCTAATTTTGTATTTTTAGTAGAGACAGGGTTTCACCATGTTGGCCAGGCTGGTCTCGAACTCCTGACCTTGTAATCCACCAACCTCAGCCTCCCAAAGTGCTGGGATTACAGGCATGAGCCACTGTGCCCGGCCACCCTGATATTTTTTCAATGGCCCTGCAAAGTTAACTTGTGTAGGGGAAATCTACATTCTGTAGAGAATCCTCTTCTCTTTCCAGGTCTGTTTCTGATCCTGAAGAGATTAGCTGAGCGTTTAGCACCTTTTGAAAGTCTGAATAGAAAATATTTGGCTGGGTGCAGTGGATCATGCCTATAATCCCAGCACTTTGGAAGGCTGAGGCAGGCAGATCATTTAAGGTCAGGAGTTCAAGACCAGCCTGGCCAACATGGTGAAACCCCGTCTCTACTAAAAATATAAAGATTAGCCAGGCATGGTGACACATGCCTGTAATCTCAGCTACTTGGGAGGCCAAAGCAGGAGAATCACTTGAACCTGGGAGGCAGAGGTTGCAGTGAGCTGAGATCATGCCATTACACTCCAGCCTGGGCAACTTAGCAAGATTCTGTCTCAAAAAAAAAAAAAGAAAAAAAAAGTTTGCCATCTATTTCTTGTAAGGGTGGCCACCTATGAGACTTCTTCTATGTAATAAGAACCTTGGTCTTCACAGCCCCTTGTCTTAACCCAGACACTCCTTTCTATTAATTCCTAGTCTTTAGATATTAATTTAACTCTTTCAATTTATTGCCAATGAGAAAATCTTTGAATCCTCTTACGACCTGTAAACTCCCACTTTGAGTTGTCCCACCTTTTCAGATTAACCAATACACACCTTACATGTATTGATTTATGTCTCCTTAAAATATATAAAACCAAGCTGTAACCTAACAACCTTGGGTACATGTTCTCTGGACCTCCTGGAGCTGTGTCGCAGGTCATGGTCCTCATATTTAGCTCAGAATAAATATCTTCAAATATTTTACAGAGTTTGGCTTTTTCATCAACACCCTTGATTTCAGTCTTGTGAGAACTCCTGAAGCAGAGGACCCGGCTAAACCCTTCCCAGTTTCCTGATTCATGGTAACTGTGAAATAATAATTATGTGTTGTTTTAATCTGCCAAATTTTGAAATAATTTGTTATACGATACACATAACTACTACACTGGCTCTATTATGACTAAAAGCCAGTGATGTCCTGAACACAGAGAATGGGGAAATTAAAGAAATAGATTTTCTATGCTAATGCTAAGTGAATGATAAAATGAGATGGATTTGTTTAAGCAGAAAACTACCAGGATTCTGAACTTCTTATCTTAGAAACAAAGTTGGAAAAGCTTGGCAATAAATCCTAATGTTAACAATGTTCATCTTAAACTGTATGCCAGGCATGGTTCTAAGTACTTTATAGTAATTATCTCATTTAATTCTCAAAATAATTCTATGAGGGAGTTATATTTATCGTTCCTATTGCAGATAGGAAAACTGAGGCATGGAGAGACTGAATGACTTACCTTAGATAAAATAGGAAGTAAGCTGTAAAGTGAAGATTTGAACCTCTAGTGGCCAGAATTCAGAACTATTGCACTAAAACACTACATTACACTGCCTCCAATAAAAAAAACTGCAGGCTGGGCACTGTGGCTCACACCTGTAATCCCAGCACTTTGGGAGGCCAAAGTAGGTGGATTGCCTGAGCTCAGGAGTTCAAGATCAACTCTACAGGAGATGAAACCCCAGCTCTACAAAAAATACAAAAATTAGTCAGGTGTGGTGGCGTGCACCTGTAGTCTCAGCTACTCAGGACACTGAGGCAGGAGGATCGCTTGAGCCTGGGAGGTCAAGGCTGCAGTAAACAGAGATTGCGACACTGCACTCCAGCCTCAGAGTGATATCCCATCTCTACAAAAGAAAAACCAAAAAACAAAAAACCTCACACTGCAAAGCCTCACATTAATTTCCCAAAGTTCCACTTTCAAAGAGTTGCTTCCCCTAAGGTTTAACTACTATTCATATGTCATTGTTACAAAAGAGGATATAAAGTATCTCAATAATTCTACAGTACGTCATAATTAAAATAAAATCAATGGAGTAAATTGGAACAAGGAGAATATAAAAATTAAAAAAATAGAATGAAGCTCAGAGCAAAATGAAAGCTATGAGGGTTTATTCACCGGAGAGATAGAAATTACAAAGTTAACTCTGAATGTTCAAGATTCCAGGCAAAGAAAAAATATATATGATCAATTACATGGTCCACAGTGCTCTCAAAAGATTAAAGAAAGTAGTTGCACAGGAAAAAAAATATATTATCCCTAGTTGAAACCAGAAGAAAATTTTTCCTGTAGGCTCCCACAAAGGAGACACTGTGTAATACAGTCATCAACCACCTCAAAAATATCTATAGGATGCTGAAACAATGCTATCCAGCTTCCTGCTGATGGTCCAACACATGCACAGATTTTAGAATCATTAGAAATATTGATGAAATGCCTAACTTATCTTTTTTTCTTTTTAAATTTTATTTCTCAATTTTTTTATTCCTCCTACTCTCTGATACCTGCTCTTTTGTGGTTTGAACATTAGTGGAAAATCTGTAAAATTTGGGGCTGAAAATGAAGACCAGGTATAAAATCACCATAGCCACTAAAATGGCTACAACGAAGCAGAAAAGGAGGGGGAATAAAAGGAGGGTGTGGTTCCCTCAATAAAGAAACTGCTTCCTTCATGCTGACAAACTAACCCTCATCTCTCTATATATATATATATGTTCTGCATTCTGTTATTCCCCCAGTCAAATTTATTATTTTTTTTTAATTTTTTTTTGAGACGGAGTTTCACTCTTGTTGCCCAGGCTGGAGTGCAGTGGTGAGATCTTGGCTCACCGCAACCTCTGCCTCCCGGGTTCAAGCGATTCTCCTGCCTCAGCCTCCCGAGTGGCTGGGATTACAGGCAAGCCTCACCACACCTGGTTAAGTCGGTATTTTTAGTAGAGACAGTGTTTCTTCATGTTGATCAGGCTGGTCTCGAACTCCCGACCTCAGTGA
Source organism: Homo sapiens (assembly GCF_000001405.40). NCBI lineage: Eukaryota > Metazoa > Chordata > Mammalia > Primates > Hominidae > Homo > Homo sapiens. The sequence continues at coordinate 224,086,245 of NC_000001.11, forward strand.
TCCACCCGCCTCGACCTTCCAAAGCTCACGCCTGTAATCCCAGCACTTTGGAAGGTCTGGGCGGATCACCTGAGGTTGGGAGTTCGAGACTAGCCTGACCAACATGGAGAAACGCTGTCTCTACTAAAAATACAAACTTAGCCAGGTGTGGTGCCGCATGCCTGTAGTCTCAGCCACTCGGGAGGCTGAGACAGAAGAATTGCTTGAACCTGGGAGGCAGAGGTTGCAGCGAGCAGAGATCATGCCACTGCACTCCAGCCTGGGCGACAGAGCGAGACTCCACCTTGTTAGATATGAGTTCTAAATTTCTTTTCAAATAATTAATATGTCAGTATGTTCAATTCTTTGCCTTCTACTTTTAAACTTAACTTCCTCGTAAAGCAACCTTTTTCGATTACCCTCCACCCTGACTCCTTCCGATTACCTACTCCACCCTGACTCATTCCAATCACCTGCTCCACCCTAACTCATTCCAATTACCTGCTACCTGCTCTGCCCTGACTCCTGCCAAAGCACTCACCCCGTCATTCTCTTTAAATTAGCCAATCGGAATTAGTTTAGCCTGTGTGGTCTAACCCTAGCCAATAGGGGAACGACACAGCAGCAGGGGCCACATGTGTCAGGGATAAGAACCCCTTCCCCTCCCTTGTCCAAGTGTGTGCTCACCATTGTTCCATCTATAAGGGTGCACCCTTCTATATAGAAGTACCTTGCCTTGCTGAGAATTAAAAAGAAAATTTTATACTCGAGTGTTATTCCTTTTGTGGCACCGAAACTTTATATATAACACACCTCAAAAAAAAAGAAAACAGACAGGGTCTCACTCTATTGCACAGACTGGAGTGCAATGGTGTCATCATAGCTCACTACAGCCTTGAACTCCCAGCCTCAAGTGATCCTCCCGCATTATCCTCTCAAGTAGATGAGACTACAGGTGTGTGCCACCACAGCTGGCTAATGTTTTTATTTTTTGTAGAGGTATGGTTCTCACTGTGTTGCCCAGTCTGCCTCAACTCCTTGGCTTCAAGTGATCCTCCCTCCCTGACCTCCCAAAGTGCTGGATTACAGGCATAATTGCATCTGGCCCTAGTCAAATTGTAAATATGCTATTCAGACACACTAGATTCAAACACTTACAGCTTCTTATTTTGAAGTTGCAATATGATACTTATTCTTTGCTGTGAAATCTAAATCCTCTGAAACCACCCTCCACAGCCCAGCAGGAAAATGTCCTGCCACACGTAGCTATTTGAAGTCTCTGGCTCGCCTATTTGAATGCTCATTATTTCCTAGATTCAAATGGCCTTATAAATGCACCTATTGTATGATTATGGAAGAACTATTAAAAATAATTCAGGAAGCCAAAGGTTATAAAACAGAGACATGAGTAATTGCTTTGGTCTGTGATCTTTAAATGGCATGCATAAAAGACCAAGCATTTAAAGTGGGGCAGGATAAGGCAAAACACAGCACAACTTCCCAGAATGTCCTTTAGCAGATCAATGCTTATGGCTGTCTAATTTCATGTGATTATTAGAATAGACAAGTGAAGGCCGGGCGCGGTGGTTCATGCCTGTAATTCCAGCACTTTGGGAGGCCGAGGAGGGCAGATTCCTTGAGCTCAGAAGACCAGCCTGGCAACATGGTGAAACCCTATCTCTACTAAAAACACAAAAAATTAGCCAGGTATAGTGGCATGTGCCTGTAGTCCCAGCTACTCAGGAGGCTGAGGTGGGAGAATCACCTGAGCCCAGGAGGTCAAGGCTACAGTGAGCTGAGATCATGCCACTGCATTCCCACCTGGGCAAATGGAGTGAGACACTGTTTCAAAAAAAAAAAAGACAAGTGAGTCTCAAAGGAAAGAACTAACCATGAAGGGGACTTCTCAGAACCTGGAGAAGTGGACTATGTAAATTGAAATCACATTATAATGTTATACTATTATTTATATTGGTTAAAGGAAAAATGCATATCTTCATTGTAAAAACTTCTTCCTCTTTTCCTTTTTTTTTTTCTTTTTTTTTTTTAGATGGAGGGAGTCTCCCTCTGTGGACCAGGCTGGAGTGCAGTGGCACGATCTTGGGTCACTGCAACCTCCACCTCCCGGGTTCAAGCAATTCTCCTCCCTCAGTCTCCCGAGTAGCTGAGATTACAGGTGTGCACCACCACACCCGGCTAATTTTTGTATTTTCAGTAGAGACAGGGTTTTGCCAGGTTGGTCAGGCTGGTCTCAAATTCCTGAGTTCAAGTAATCTGCCCATCTTGGCCTCCCAAAATGCTGGGAAAGGTGTGAGCCACCATACCTAGCCCTGTAAAAATTTCTACAAGTAACATTTGCAAAAAACAATCTTGGCTGCTGAGAATACAAAGAAACAATGATTCTCAGAGTCATAAGAAAGCAGGGGAAATGAGGGTGTGCCTCTCTGTGGATACACTCAGCACCTCAGGACAGGACCTGAGATATCTATGATTATGAAAGATAACAGGGGCCATGCACAGTGGCTCACAAACACTTTGAGAGGCCAAGGCAGGAGGATCAGTCGAGCCCAGGAGTTCAAGATCAGCTTGAGCAATATCACAAGACCTCATTTCCACAAAAACAAATTTTAAGTTAGCTGGGCTTGGTGGTGTGCACCTGTAGTCCCACCTACTCCAGAGGCTGAGGCAGGAGGTTTGCTTGAGCCCATGAGTTTGAGGCTGCAGTGAGCTATGATCACAACACTGCACTCCAGCCTCTGACACCACAGGTGACAGAGTGCAACCCTGTCTCAAAAAAAAGGATAATGAAGAAGGTATAAAAGAAGACATGGACTTAAAAGTTTAGAAAATTGGCCGGGCATGGTGGCTCACACCTGTAATCCCAGCACTTTGGGAGGCCAAGGCAGGAAGATCACGAGGTCAGGAGTTCAAGACCAGCCTGACCAACATGGTGATAGCCCGTCTCTACTAAAAATACAAAAATTAGCCAGGCATAGTGGCGGGCGCCTGTAATCCCAGCTACTCAGTAGGCTGAGGCAGGAGAATCGCTTAAACCTGGAAGGCAGAAGTTGCAGTGAGCCAAGATCATGCCACCGCACTCCAGCCTGGGTGACAGAGACTCCATCTCAAAAAAAAAAAAAAAAAAAAGTTGGGAAACATTGTACCAGCCAGTGGGCTGTGTCTAACTCATCTTCCTTTCCCCCAAGCCTATAATTCCATTTAACAAAACTCTAGCACAAATAAATCTAATCTATGGTGATGGAGTGAATATCAGTGGTTGCTTGGGGCAGGGGCTGTGGGAAATGGAAACTGATTGGAAAGGGGCAAAAGGAAACCTTTCGGGGTAATGAAAATGTCCTATATCTTGAGTATGGCGGTGGTTGTATGAGGATATATATTTATTATTCATCAAACTGTACCAATAAGTGTGTACACTTTATTATATGCAAATTGTACCATTATTAAGGTTTTTTTAAGACTATGTTGCCCAAGGTGAACTTGAACACCTGGGCTCAATCAATCCTCCAGCCTCACCCTCCTGAGTAGCTGGGACTACAGGCACACGACACCACGCCCATCTGTTAAGTTGATTTTAAAAGGAACCACAACATGTTCAAAAGAGAACCCTTGCCCTAAACCTGCTCCTCAAGTCTTCCCCATCTCAGGAAATGTCAACTCCATTCTTTCATTTATTTAGATCTTGGAGTCATCTTTGACTGCTCTGTCTATTTAATCTACATTTTCTTTATTTTCATTTACATTTGAAGGACACCCAGACTCTGATCTCTTCTTAGTACTTTTCCCTCTTCCATCCTGGTGCAAGCCACTGTCCTCTCACTGATGCAGGAAACTCTGAACTGGTCTCCCGCTTTCATAGCCTCCTGGCTTCTCCACTATTCTCCCTGCCATGACCAGAGTGGTCCATTTGTAATATTTTTGCTCACATGACTCCTGTGCTCAACACCCCCCATAGTTTCCTTTCTAATTCAGTACAAATTCCAGAGTGCTTACATGGCCTGCAAAAGAACCTACGTGATCTGTCCCCAACCCTCTCCCTCACATTCACATATTCTCTCCCACCCTCAACGCACACACCTCTACGCTTCTCATTACAATTCTCTATGCTCACTAGGCTCACTGCCCTCTATGCTGTTTTTCAAACACACCAAGCACACTTCCGCCTCAGGACCTTTGACTTGTGCCTTTGCCTTCAATAACATTGACATCCTCCCAGATATCCCGAGGCCTCATCAGAGAAGCCATCACTGACTGGCCCATATAATAGCATTCCTTCTCTCTCTCTATCCCTCAGTCCTGCTTTATCTTTCTTCATTTAACTTGTCTTACAGATTGTATGTGTTTTTTCTCTCCCCTAACTAGAATGTATTTTGTATGTTTTGTTTGCTGCTGTATCCCAAGAGCCTAGAGCAATACCTGGCATATTAAAGATGATCAACACATTTTTGCTAAATGAATTAATGAGTCCATTTTTCTTTCCTTTCAAGTCCTGACCATGAATATTTTAAAATTGGCCTGACTAAAATGTAACTCTTGGCTGGGCGTGCTGGCTCACACCTGTAATCCCAGCACTTTGGGAGATCAAGGAGGGCAGATCACCTGAGGTCAGGAGTTAGAGACCAGCCTGACCAATATGGTGAAACCCTGTCTCTACTAAAAATACAAAAATTCCCCAGGCGTGGTGGTGGACACCTGTAGTCCCAGCTACTCAGGAGGCTGAGGCAAGAGAAAGAGAATCACTTGAACCCGGGTGGCGGAGGTTGCAGTGAGCTGAGATACTGCCACTGCACCCACCCTGGGTAACAGAGTGAGACTCTGTCTCAAAAAAATAAAAAATAAAAATAAAATGTAACTTTTGATTATTCTCATTGTGCTGAAACCTGTGCCTCCTTTAGTCTCTTTTTCCCATTTAAAGGACTCATCCTTCACCTTCGTGCTCAAAAGACTGGAAATCATCCTTGATTCCTCTCCTTACCTCATCTACCACATTCAATCCATCAAAGATGCTTTTATTAATAGATCTATCTCCAAAATATATCCTAATCCAACTATTTCCTTATATCTCTACTGCCACCATCCTAGTGCAAGCCAACATTGTCTCTGCCCTGGATTATTAAAATAGATTCCTGACTATTCTACCGATATCCTCTTCCAATTCAATATCCACACAGAAGCTGGTGACATTTTCTTTTAGTGGTTGTTGTTTTTTTGTGGGTTGTTTTTTTTTTTTTTTTTTTTTTTGAGACGGAGTGTCCCTCTGTCACCCAGGCTGGAATATAGTGGCGCAATCTTGGCTCACTGCAACCCTCGCCTCCCAGGTTCAAGCAATTCTCCTGTCTCAGCTTCCCCAGTAGCTGGGATTACACATGTATGCCACCACACTCGGCTAATTTTTGTATTTTTAGTAGAGACAGGGTTTCACTATGTTGGCCAGGCTGGTCTCAAATTCCTGACCTCAGGTGATCCACCTACCTTGGCCTCCTAAAGTGCTGGAATTACAGGTGTGAGCCTCCATGCCCAGCCGCTGGTGACATTTTCAAGTCAGAATATATTATTTCCTGATGAAAAGACCACAAACTTCAGTGTCCAGAGTTTTTACTGGCATTTCATTATGTAGGCATGATTGATGTAGGTCATGTGCTGTGATTAAACTCAACCTCCAAACTCCTTGCTCCCTGAAAGTTGAGCTGAAAGTTCCAACCCTCTAATCACGTAGTCGTTCATTCCAGCATGGCCAATCCCTATACTAAAACTATACAGGGGTCCATCATGAGTCATCTCATTAGCGTAAATTCAGGTGTGGTTGAGGGGCCCACCAAGAGGAACAAAGACACTGGTATAACTCAGGAAATTCCAAGGATTTAAAGGTTATCTCTCAGGAACCAGGACCAAAGACCAGAAAAATTCTGTATTATACAACAGACCAACTGTTCTGGTCTGAATGTTCAGCTGCCTTGAGCCCTTAGAATAAAATGTAATCATCTTCCTATGACCTAGAAGACCCTATGTAATCTATCTCTTGCCTATTACCTCCCTCTCATTATCCTCCAACCCCCTGGCTTTCTTTCAGAAGCACCAAATTCATTCTGACCTGGTATTCTCTTGCTTGAATCCCGTGATGGTTAATTTGATGTGTCAACCTGACAGGGCTATGGGGTGAAATGGCCTTTTGAAGACTCAGTGACTCAAATGTCCATGGTCTGCACTCCTACAACTAAAGGAAAATGCACTTATAAATATAAAGAGATGGAGGAGATGTATTAGAGAAGGTTTGCAAGTATTCCTATTGCAAGTAAACATGAAACTACTTTACCAATTTCTACCAATGTTGAAATATCTTATGTTCCAGTATTAGCCACTCTGACCTTAAAATATTCAAACTCTTTAATTCATTAATGTCTGATATAGTTTGGACATTTGTCCCCTCCAAAATTCATGTTGAAATGTAATCCCCAATGTTGGAGGTAGGGCATGGTAGGAGGTGTTTGTGTCATGTGGGCAGATCCCTCATGAATGTCTTGGTCCTGTCCTCGTGACAGTGAGTGAGTTCTCACAAGATCTGGCTGTTTAAAAGTATGTGACACATCCTGCCCCCCTTGCTGCCTCTCACTCTTGCCATGTGACGAGGCTGCTCCCACTTCACCTTCCACTGTGATTGTAAGCTTCCTAAGGCTTCACTAGAAACAGATGCTAGAGCCATGCTTGTACAGCCTGCAGAACTGTAAGCCAGTTAAATCTCTCCTCTTTTCTTTATAAATTACCCAACCTCAGTTGTTTCTTTATAGCAATGCAAGAACAGCCTAACACAATATCACTCCTGAGAAATTATTCTAAAATAGTTTTAATTTTTAATTTTAATCTGTAATGTAAGTAAAAAATTAGAAACAACCAAAGTGTCCAATATTTGGTAAATGGATGGGTTAACTGTAGACATTTTTTTTTTTTTTGAGATGGAGTCTCACTCTGTCACCCAAGCTGGAGTGCAGTGGTGCCATCTCGGCTCACTGCAACCTCTGCCTCCCAGGTTCAAGCAATTCTCCTCCCTCAGCCTCCCGAGTAGCTGGGATTACAGGCACATGCCACCACACCCAGCTAATTTTTGTATTTTTAGTAGAGACGGGGTTTCTCCATGTTGGCCAGGCTGGTCTCATACTCCTGACTTCAAATGATCTGCCTGCCTCGGCCTCCCAAAGTGCTGAGATTACAGACATGAGCCACCCTGCCCAGCCTAGACATTTAACATTATAATTACCAATTGCTGTGGTCTGAATGTCTATGCTCCCCCAAAATTCATATGTTGAAACCTATTCCCTAATGTGATAGTATTAAGAGGTGGGGGTTTGGGGAGGTGATTAGGTTATAAGGGTGGAGCCCTTAGGAATGAGATGAGTGCCCTTATAAAAGAGGTCCAAGGAAACTTATTCATCCTTCCCATCAGGTGAGGACACAGCAAGAAGGCATCATCTATGAAATAGAATGAGCCCTCACTAGACATGAAATCTGGTGGCACTTTGATCTTGGACTTTGCAGCCTCTAGAACTGTAAGAAAGAAATTTAAATTGTTTATAAGCCACCTAGTTCATGGTATTTTTATTACAGCAGTTTGAATGAACTAAGTCACCAACCTTATACAACATCAAGGAAAAAAATATTTCTAATATGTTATATATTTTTTAAAAACCCACCAAAATGTATTTGTTTACTTTTTTTTTTTTTTTTAGACAGGGTCTTGCTGCGTCACCCAGGCTGAAGTGCACAGGCACAATCATGGCTCACTGCAGCCTCAACCTCCTGGACTCAACTGATCCTCTTGCCTCAGCCTCCTAAATAACTGGGACCACAGGTGCTCGCCACAATGCCTAGTTATTTTTTTATTTTTTTTTTTAGTAGAGACAAGGTCTTGCTATGTTGCTCAGGCTGGTCTTGAACTCCTGGGCTCAAGCAATTCTCCCACCTCAGTCTCCCGAAGTGCAAAGTTTAAATTTATAGATTTTTGGCCGGGCCCAGGGGCTCAGGTCTGTATTCCCAGCATTTTGGGAGGCCGAGGCAGGTGGATCACTTGAGGTCTGGAGTTCATGACCAGCCTGGCCAACATGGTGAAACCCTGTCTCTACAAAAAATACAAAAATGGTACCATGCACCAGTATCCCCAACTACTCAGGAGATTAAGGCCGAGAATTGCTTGAACTCAGGAAGCAGAGGTAACAGTGAGCCGAGATTGTGCCACTGCACTCCAGCCTGGGTGACAGAGTGAGACTTTGTCTTAAAAAATAAATAAATAAATAAATTTGTAAATATTTATGTTAAAAATATGTAAAATGAGAGTATAGTATACAAGGAATTGCAGAGAAGTGAAACTACTGTATTAGAACAGCAAAAATAGAGGTAGTTTATGTTTTTTAATTTTTTCTTTAATGCTGGTTCAATAAATTTTTACAAGAAAAATTTTATACAAAACACAATGATGTTTACTCTCAGATCTTGTGGGTACTATTCAGCAATGTATGCCTGAAGACTGGGTTTTCGAAACCTGCTGAACCTAAGAACTTCCTGAAGTTCTTGTTAATATAGGTTCCCTGGATGCACCCCAGATGCATTGAATCCACGTCTCCAGAGAAGGTACCCAAGAATCTTTGTTTTTAATAAGCACTGATGATTTGGCAACCACTAATTTCGGGCAGCAAATGACATCATTGTGACTTGAAAGAGCCAGTGTCTACCAATTGACTTGCACCCATAAGTATATGTTTCTCATGCCTCCTTATTCCCTCTTATTAAAGAACCTCAACCTTGTTCTTTTATGAGCTCAAAGGATAGCAATGTTCTCAAGTAATACATGCTAACAGAAAAAAAAAATTAGAGCCTGCCTTGGGTTACTCAATGAATTACAGGTAGAGAGCAGACCAAGATATTGTTTATGCAATCTGCAGGCAGAAAAAAAGAAGCTATTTTTTTAGTGGCATTAAAATGATTGCAATGATAGATTGGGAAGAGGGTAATAACAGAAGAAGGAAGTAGATAGGAACACAAAATCAAGCTTCCTATAGTCAGAGGGAAAGATGCCCCTGTTCCTTCATTTTCCTTCCCACCCTCAGCCAAAGTTAAGGGTGAGTGGCTACACAGTCAGAGTCTGTCCAGGAACCCAGCTCAAGTTTTGTTAGGCTAAATGCTGTGAAGAAGTTCCCAGGGGGAAATGGTGGCCATATATTCATTTCCAATATGTGACAAGGTGGAAGGGTGTTTCCAGAACCTGTCAAATGAACTGTGAAGATATGTACTGGGAGACTCAAGAGAAAGAACAAAGTACAAAACAGGTCAAGTGACTCAGTGGTTTGGTTCTTGACTGCATACCCCCTTTTTTAGGCAACAGCCAAACTGATGATGAGAGCAGCCAAGTTACTTAGCGCCCCTATATTAGTCTGTTCTCACACTGCTATAAAGAACTGCCTGAGACTGGGTAATTTATAAAAGAAAGAGTTTTAATTGACTCATAGTTCCACATGGCTGGGGAGGCCTCAGGAAACTTTAATCATGGCAGAAGGAGAAGCAAATAAGTTCTTCTTCACACAGCAGGAGGAGAGAGAAGAATGAGAACCAAGCAAAAAGAGAAGCCCCTTATAAAACCATCAAATCTTGTGAGAGCTTACTATCACAAGAATAGCAGGGGGGAACCACCCCCATGATTCAATTACCTCCCACCAGGTCCCTCTCACCACACATGCGGATTATGGAAACTACAACTCATGAAGAGATTTGGGTGGGGACACAGCCAAACCATATCAGCCCTCCACTGTACTGGACAAGAGCCTCCCCCTACTATGCATCTTGCTGGCCCAGCCCATAAGATTAAGAACCTGCCTGCCCTGGTTTTCCACTTAACTCTGCAAGTTCACACTTAATCCAGCCCAGAACATTACTAGCTCACCTAGGAATTCTCATTTATGCCTTTTTCTCATCAGCCTCTCCCCATTCACCTCCTGCTCTCTGAGATGATTTCTTAAACCATAGTTCTGCCAAATATTGCTCCAACCCACCAGACAAAATGTCCTTTGATAAGAATATCATGGTCCATGTACCACTGCACCCCAGCCTGGGCAACAAAATAAGAACACTGTCTCAAAAAAAAAAAGAAAGAAAAAGAAAAAAATAATGGTCCAGTTCGTGAAACCCCTGGGTTAATGGACTGCTGCCTCCTCCATCCTAAGGAGCAGTTTCTCCCACTCTGGTTCCACCTAGTGCCTTAACCCGAACCCTTGACATTATACTTAAGTCACCATAAGAGATGACTGATACACAAAGGACATCAGAATGATGCTCAATGATTGTAGCTACATGCATGCACCTGAAATTTTGTAATAGTGCTGAGGATAAAGACACCTTTACAAGGTAACAATTGTTTATTTCCTTCAGAGACAATAATGCCTCAAGAATCTCAGAACCCGAGCAGAAAGGCAGGCATGTGGCTCTTTAAAAGTTCTTCTCCCCAGTCTCCTACTTCCTGAGATGCATTCAAATCTGGTGAATGGGGTCTGAACCACAATTATTAGTTCAGAACCCATCATTTAAATTCAGAAATATTCCTGACACCCCCAAGTCTTCAGCCTTTGCCATCCAGTTTTATCCTATAATATTAGTTCTCCCATTCCATGCCTCCAAATCTATAATCCACCCTTCTCAGTTCTTGGCATCTTCTGTTCTGACATGCGACAAGTTGGCTTTGCCCCTTGACTCTGTCCTCACTTCCTAATCTGGCTCTGATGTACTTCTGCTGCACCTGCTTCCACTACTGATACCCTAAAACATGCCTCCTCCAATGGGCACAAGACAATGACCAGGGGACAGTAAAGACATCAGAAATGCTGTGTGGTGTGTTTCCATGCAAAGTTTGCAGACTTTTCTTCTTTTGAAAGCTGCAGAATCATTCTGGCTTATTGTTTATGGCTTAGGACTCCAAACCATGGTGTCATATTTAAATGAAACCTAGAAAAAAAATGAAGCAGTTATTAATGAGAGTTGTCATCTCCAGGACCATAATTGCTGTCAAAGACTCCATAGACAGGAGTCTCCAGTTAGTCTTAAATCAGAAACACTTGATCCTGAAACTGCATAGATTAGGATTTCATTTGGGGAAAAGTATCCTTCACAGTGCATACGGGCTCTGGCTCACACAGCTGACAGCTGCTCTATCCACAAATGCCCAACCCCTGAAGATGGCAGGCAGTGATGCTGAACCCTCATTGTTAAAGAGCTGAACAAACACCTCACCCCCATTCCAGACCAATGGCTAATTAACTTTGAACACTGCCCATTGTGCATCATTATAGTTTTATCTAATTCATTAGATATTTGCAAGCCTCTACTATGCCAATGTACCATGCCAGGTACTTGAGGCATACAAAGATAAATGGGACAAGTTCTCGGCTGGGCGCGGTGGCTAACACCTGTAATCCCAGCACTTTGGGAGGCCAAGGCAGGCGGATCACTTGAGGTCAGGAGTTTGAGACCAGCCTGGCCAACATAACATGGTGAAACCCCGTCTCTACTAAAAATACAAAAATTAGCCAGGTGTGGTGGGTGCCTGTAATCCCAGCTACTCAGGAGGCAGAGGCAGGAGAATCACTTGAACCTGGGAGGCAGAGGTTGCAGTGAGCCGAGATCGTGCCACTGCACTCCAGCCTGGGCAGGGGAAAAAAAAAAAAAAAGAGAGAAACAAGTTCTGTCTTGAGAAGAATTATAAATCCAAACCTAGATTTTAAAAATCAAACATTTATCCATTAGAAAAAGTCAAATGATGACCTATCTCCCTCAAAGCTTTATGAAAATCACTTAAGTAGAGGCCAGTGTCTGAAAGTAAGAGGAAAACGGCAAAAAAAAAAAAAAAAAGTAAAAAGAGTTCTGAAATATTTACTGCTCAGAAAATCTGAATTACAATGGTACTATGAATTTGATTACACAATTACGCAATTACCACAGCTTTTTTACAGATTTGGGGGTAAAACATAAATACAAACAGAGCCTACGGTATGCCTGAGAAACAGGTGTGGAGCGTATTTACCATGAGATTCTCAGAGTTTCTGATTTGGTAGATCTTGGGTATGGTGCAAAAACCTTAACTTTTTTTTTTTAAACAAGATCTTACTGTGTTGCTCAGGCTTACCTCAAACTCCTGGGCTCAAGGGATCCTCCCACCTCAACCTCCTGAGTAGCTAGGACCACAGGTGTGTGTCACTGCACCTGGTTAGAACCTTATTTATTATTATTATTATCATTTGTATTTTCTGTAGAGACGTGGTTTTGCCATGTTGGCTAGACTGGTCTTCAACTCCTTTCCTCAAGTGATTGCCCACTTCAGCCTCCCAAAGTGCTGAGATTACAGGCATGAGCCACCACACCCAGCCTAGAACCTTAATTTTTAACAAATGCCCCAGGTGTTTCTGATCCAAGTTTCTCACCAGAATTTTGAGAAATACTGACCTTTAGCAACAAGAGATGGACAGATAATGCCTAGCTGGCTCAAGACTAAATTGGTATATTGAGATTCAAATATCCAAATGCCCTGCTGTCTACCAACTCCTCAGCCCTTATTATCCTCCATTAAAATGTTCTCTGACTAAAGGCCATTACCCTAAGTGAAATAAATCAGAAACAGAAAGTCAAATACTAGATGTTCTTACTTCTAAGTAGCAGCTAAACAATGGGTACACATGGGCATACAGAGTAGAATAATGGACACTGGAGACTCCACAAGGTCGCAAGGTGGAGACGGGACAAGGGTTGAAAAATTACCTATTGTGTGCAATGTTCTCTATTTGGGTGATGGGTACACTAAACGCCAGAGTTCACCACTATACAATATATGCATAAGAAATCTGCACTTGTACCCCCTAAATCTATAAAAAAATAAAAAATAGTTAATTTTTTAAAAATAAAATAAAATGTTCTCAGAAAGTGAGAGAAGGGTCCTGTAGCAAGTGAAAGATGCCGACACTCAAGATGCATTTGCTTTATGAAGCTGGGCATGGTGGCTCACGCCTGTAATCCCAGCACTTTGGTAGGCCGAGGCAGGTGGATTGCTTGAGCTCAGGAGTTCGAGACCAGCCTGGGAAACATGGCAAAACCCAGTATCTACAAAAAAATACAAAAATTAGTCAGGCATGTGGCATGCACCTGTAGTCCCAGCTATGCAGGAGGCTGAGGTGGGAGGATGGTTTGAGCCTGAGAGGGGGAGATTGCAGTGAGCCAAGCTTGCACCACTGCTCTCCAGCCTGGGCAACAGAGCCAGACCCTATCTCAAAAAAAAGAAAAAAGAAAAAAAAAGATTCATTTGCTTTATGGAAAATCCAATTCTGCAAAAAAGTGAGCCATGGAAATATTTGGGTAAAGGACTTTCCAGGCCAAAAGAATGATGCTGAGGAGGGAGAAAGTTTGGTGTGAGAAGGAAAGAAAGACAGTGAGACTGAAGCAAAAGAGAGATGAGGCGTAAACTATGAGGTCAGAGCAAACCCAGAAGACAGACCTCGTCAAGTCTTACGTGTCTTTGTGAGGACGTTGGGCTTTTATTGGGTGGAATGGGAACCACTGAGCAAAGAGATGTGATCAGACTTATATTACAATAAGATCATTCTAGCTGCTGGATTGAGAATAGATTGAAAGGGGGTCAGGGAGGATGCAGGGACATCAGCTAAGAGGCTGTTACAATAACCCAGGCAAGAGATGATGGCAACTTGGTCAAGCAGCAGAGATGGTAACAAGTGGTAAGATTCCCAATGTGTTCCCGAAAGTTGAGCCTATGGGATTTGCTGATGGACTGGATGTGGGATGTGAAAGAGAGGAGTCAAGAATGACTTCAACTAAGGAGTATGGGGTTTCCTTGTGGGGTAATGAAAATGTTCTAAAATGGATTTTCAAACAGGAGATTTAGAAGTCAGTGCTCCCTCTCCCTCTCCCTCTCCCTCTCTTTCCACGGTCTCCCTCTCCCCACAGTCTCCCTCTCCCTCTCTTTCCACGGTCTCCCTCTGATGCCGAGCTGAAGCTGGACGGTGCTGCTGCCATCTCGGCTCACTGCAGCCTCCCTGCCTGATTCTCCTGCCTCAGCCTGCCGAGTGCCTGCGATTGCAGGCGCGCGCCGCCACGCCTGACTGGTTTTCGTGTTTTTTTGGTGGAGACGGGGTTTCGCTGTGTTGGCCGGGCTCGTCTCCAGCTCCTAACCGCGAGTGATCCGCCAGCCTCAGCCTCCCGAGGTGCCAGGATTGCAGACAGAGTCTCGTTCACTCAGTGCTCAATGGTGCCCAGGCTGGAGTGCAGTGGCATGATCTCGGCTCGCTACAACCTCCACCTCCCAGCAGCCTGCCTTGGCCTCCCAAAGTGCCGAGATTGCAGCCTCTGCCCGGCCGCCACCCCGTCTGGGAAGTGAGGAGCGTCTCCGCCTGGCCGCCCATCGTCTGGGATGTGAGGAGCCCCTCTGCCTGGCTGCCCAGTCTGGAAAGTGAGGAGCGTCTCTGCCCGGCCGCCATCCCATCTAGGAAGTGAGGAGCGCCTCTTCCCGGCCGCCATCACATCTGGGAAGTGAGGAGCGTCTCTGCCCGGCCGCCCATCGTCTAAGATGTGGGGAGCACCTCTGCCCTGCCGCCCCGTCTGGGATGTGAGGAGCGTCTCTGCCCAGCCGCCCCGTCTGAGAAGTGAGGAGACCCTCTGCCCGGCAACCGCCCCGTCTGAGAGGTGAGGAGCCCCTCCGCCCAGCAGCCACCCCGTCTGGGAAGTGAGGAGCGTCTCCGCCCGGCAGCCACCTCGTCCGGGAGGGAGCTGGGGGGTCAGCCCCCCGCCCGGCCAGCCGCCCCGTCCGGGAGGGAGGTGGGGGGGTCAGCCCCCCGCCTGGCCAGCCGCCCCGTCCGGGAGGTGAGGGGCGCCTCTGCCCGGCCGCCCCTACTGGGAAGTGAGGAGCCCCTCTGCCCGGCCACCACCCCGTCTGGTAGGTGTACCCAACAGCTCATTGAGAACGGGCCATGATGACAATGGCGGTTTTGTCGAATAGAAAGGGGGGAAAGGTGGGGAAAAGATTGAGAAATCAGATGGTTGCCGTGTCTGTGTAGAGAGAAGTAGACATGGGAGACTTTTCATTTTGTTCTGTACTAAGAAAAATTCTTCTGCCTTGGGATCCTGTTGATCTGTGACCTTACCCCCAACCCTGTGCTCTCTGAAACATGTGCTGTGTCCACTCAGGGTTAAATGGATTAAGGGCGGTGCAAGATGTGCTTTGTTAAACAGATGCTTGAAGGCAGCATGCTCCTTAAGAGTCATCACCACTCCCTAATCTCAAGTACCCAGGGACACAAACACTGCGGAAGGCCGCAGGGTCCTCTGCCTAGGAAAACCAGAGACCTTTGTTCACTTGTTTATCTGCTGACCTTCCCTCCACTATTGTCCTGTGACCCTGCCAAATCCCCCTCTGCGAGAAACACCCAAGAATGATCAATTAAAAAAAAAAAAAAGAAAGAAAAAAAAAGGAAAAAAAAAAAAGAAAAGAAAATGTTCTAAAATGGATTGTGGTAATATGGTTGCATCACTGTGAATATACTAAAAGCCAGTGAATTGAATACTTCAAGTGGGCAAACTGTTTGATACATATTATATCTCAATAAAACTTTTTTTTTTTTAAAAGAATGACTTCAAGATTTTTGGTCTGAGCAACAGGAAGAGTGAAGTCACCCCTCTACTGAAATAAGGAACATTTTGAAAAGAGCCAGTTTAATGGAGCTCAGTTGGGGATACAGCAAGTTGGGAGATGCTAAATTTGAGATGCCTATTAAATATCTAAATAGAGAAACTCCTTAGACAGTTGGATATTTGAATCTCAAATTCACAAGAATGGTCTGGGCTGGAGATATGTTTGTTTTAAAAGCCAAGCACGGTGGTTCCCACTTGTAATCCCAGCACTTTGGGAGACCAAGGTGGGAAGACTGCTTGACCTCAGGAGTTTGAGACCAGCCTGAGCAACATAGCAAGACCTCATCTCTACTTAAAAAAAAAAACAAATTTGGTGGCACATGCCACGTGCCTGTAGTCTCACAGTCTCCGCTATTTGGGAGGCTGAGGCGAGAAGATCACTTCAACCTAGGGCATAAAGGCTGCAGTGAACTATGATCAAGCCACTGCTCTCCAGCCTGGGTGACAGGGCAAGACCCTGTCTCAAAAATAAATAAATAAATATTTTTTAAAATTATAATAAAAATTAAAAGGACTAGATGAGATCACCTAGAGAGTCAATGAAGGCAATAAAGGGAAGAGGTCCATCTGGATATGGTGGTTCACGCCTGTAATCCCAGCACTTTGGGAGCCTGAGGTGGGTGGATCACAAGGTCAGGAGTTCCAGACCAGCCTGACCAACGTGGTGAAACCCTGTATCTACTAAAAATGCAAAAATAGCTGGGTGTGGTGGCGTGCGCCTGTAATCCCAGCTACTCAGGAGGCTGAGGCAGGAGAATCGCTGGAACCTGGGAGGCGGAGGTTGCAGTGAGCCCAGATCACACGACTGAACCCCAGCCTGGGTGACACAGCAAGACTCCGTCTCAAAAAAAAAAAAAAAAGAGAGAGAGAGAAAGAAAGAAGAAGACCAAGGACTGGGCCCTGGGGCACAGCAATGTTAAGAAGGAGGGAGATGTTTTGGTTGCTATAGGCTTGTAGTATGATTTGAAGTCAGATAATGTGATGCCTCCAGATTTGTTCTTTTTGCTTAGGATTGCTTTGGCTTTTCAGGCTCTTTTTTGATTCCATATGAATTTTAGGGTTGCTTTTTCTAATTCTGTGAAAAATGACATAGTACTGGTATAAAAGTAGAAACACAGACCAATGGAACAAAACAGAGAACCCAGAAATAAAGCCAAATGCCTACAACCAACAGATCTTCAACAAAGCAGACAAAAACACACACTAGAGAAAGGACACCCTATTCAATACATGGTGCTGGGATAAATGGATAGCCGCATGCCAAAGAATGAAACTGGATCCGTATCTCTCCCCACATACAAAAATTAACTCAAAATAGATTAAAGAAGTAAATGTAAGACCCGAAACCATTAAAATTCTAGAAGAAAACATAGGAAAAATTCTTCTGGACATTGGCCTAAGCAAATAATTTATGACTAAGAAAACAAAAGCAAAAGCAAGAAAACCAAAAATAAATACATGAGACTTAATTAAACTAAAAAAGTGTCTGCCCAACAAAAGAAATAATTAACAAAGTAAATAACCTACATCTGACAAAGGACTAATATCAAGAATCCACAAAGAATTCAAAAAACATCAAGAAAAAATCCCATTAAAAAGCAGGCAAACGACACGAACAGACATTTTTCAAAATAAGACACGCAAATGGCCAAGAGGTTGGGCGCAGTGGCTCACACCTGTAATCCCAGCATTTTGGGAGGCCAAGGCAGGCAGATCTCTTGAGGTTAAGAGTTCGAGACCAGCCTGGCCAACACGGTGAAACCCCATCTCTACTTAAAACACAAAAATTAGCCAGTGTGCTGATGCACGCTTGTCATCCCAGCTACTTGGGAGGCTGAGGTGGGTGGATCACTTGAACCCAGGAGGCAGAGGTTGCAGTGAGCCAAGATCGTGCCACTGCACTCTAACCTGGGCGACAGAGCAAGATTCCATCTCAAAAACAACCAAACAAACAAATGGCCAAGAAACATATGAAAAAATGTACAGCATCACTACTCATCAGGGAAATGCAAATTAAAACCACAATGAGATACTACCTGACCTCAGTCAGAATGGCCATCATTAAAAAATCCATGGCCAGGCAAGGTGGCTTATGCCTGTAATCCCAGCACTTTGGGAGGCTGAGGTGGGCATATCACTTGAGGTCAGGAGTTTGAGACCAGCCTGGTCAACATGGTGAGACCCCGTCTCTATTAAAAATACAAAAATTAGCCAGGCACGGTGGCAAGTGCCTGTGGTCCCAGCTACTCAGGAGGCTGAGGCAGGAGAATCACTTGAACCCAGGAGGCAAAGGTTGCAGTAAGCTGAGATCGTGCCACTGCACTCCAGCCTGGGTGACAGAGCAAGACCCTGTCTCAATAAATAAATAAATAAATAAATAAGTCCAAAAATGATAGATGTTGGTGTGAATGCATTGAAAAGCGAACATTTATACACTGTTGGTGGGAATGTAAATTAGTACAACCTCTGTGGAAAATAGTGTGGAGATTTCTCAAAGAACTAAAAGTAGATCTACCATTCAATCAGCAATCCCACTACTGGGTATCTACTCAAAGTACAAGAAGTCATTATATCAAAAAGACACCTAAACCCATATGTTTATTGCAGCACAATTTACAACTGCATAGATATAGAATCAAACTAAGTGTCCATCAACCAATGAGTGGATAAGTATATACTACATTTATATCCCATAGAATACTACTCAGTCATAAAAAAATGAAATAATGTATTCTGCAGCAAC
Organism: Homo sapiens; assembly: GCF_000001405.40. NCBI lineage: Eukaryota > Metazoa > Chordata > Mammalia > Primates > Hominidae > Homo > Homo sapiens. Next base: position 224,104,708 of record NC_000001.11, read on the forward strand.
TTAGATGGAACTGAAGGCCATTATCCTAAGTGAAGTAACTTAGGAATGGAAAACCAAATACTGCATGTTCTCACTTATAAGTGGGAGCTAAGCTATGGGTACACAGCAGTGTAATAGACATTGGAGACTCAGAAGCAGGGAGGGAGGTGAGAGATGAAAACTTACCGGCTGGGTACAATGTACACTATTTAGGTGATGGGTACACTAAAAGCCCTGACTTCACCATTATGTAATTCATTCATGTAACCAAAAACCACTTGTACCCTAAAGCTATTGAAATTAAATAGTAATAATTTTAAAAGATGCAATTGATTGATAAAGTATAAGATTGTCTTGAAAACTTACATTTGTTACAATAATTTCAGTCTTGTGTAAAGCTGCTAGAGCTAGTCCACTGATTAAAGACTCTCTAGGAAGTGTTACCATATCAACAAATGCAATCAGATCTAAAAAGAAAAAACAAAAAGAATGAGGGAGATGAAGAGAGGTAGAGGAACGGCCAGTGGAATAGAAGGAAAATCAGGATGGCATATTGACCTAAAAGCCAAGTGCAGGAAGTGTTTTAAAGAGGGTAGAATCATCAACTGTGTCAAATGCTCCTGACAAGTCAAGTAAGATGAGTACTAAGAATTGACCCTTGGATTTAGCAATGTGGAGGTCCCCAGAGAACTTAATAAGAGCCATTTTGATGATATGGTCAGAGTAAAAGCCTGATTGAAGTGGGATCAAGAGAGAATACGAGAAGAGAAATCGGAGGCAGCAGCAAGAATGGCCAACTCTTTAAAGACGTTTGGCTGTGAAGAGAAGGAGAGAGATGGGGTAGTAGCTAGAAGAGTAGATGAAGCGAAGAGATGTTTTCCTAAGATGGGAGAACTAATGGCATGTGTATATGTGGAAGAGAAATAGAAGCAATCAGAAGAAACATCCACAGACTCTTACATTTACCCATCAGTCTGCACCTACCTGTGTGCTCTGCCTCCTCTTCTGTTACTTCAGATGAACTTTTTCAGTTCCCAGCTAACACCCGTGTTTCCACTTGCATAAAAGATCCTGTCCTCTCTCCTCTACTCAAGAAATCAGCAATTCCTTCTCTCCCACCAAAGTTTCCTTGTCTCCCACTAAAATTTCTCTCTTTACCTACTATTTTGACATTGAAATAAAAAGTCAGGTCAATAGTTGGATGGGGGATCGAAGGTTTGAGAAGAGAGGAGAAGATGTAAAATAATCATTTAGAAAAAGAGTAGAGGAAGTGAACTTGGAAAATATGCAGTGACTTCAGGGTAGCAGTAGAACCCACTGGAGGGTCACAATTACAAAGTTAAAGTGAAAACAGTCAGCAAGGTTGCATATATTTTGGTAGCCACTCTCAGCTCTCTAATGCAGGAAGGAGTAAGTAGAGAGTTGGATTTAACAATATTCTAACCTGGCCGGGCGCGATGGCTCACACCTGTAATCCCAGCACTTTGGGAGGCTGAGGCAGGCAGATCACCTGAGGTCAGGAGTTCAACATGGTGAAACCCCCTCTCCACTAAAAATACAAAAATTAGTCAGGCGTGGCGGTGGACGCCTGTAGTCCTAGCTACTCGGGAGGCTGAGGCAGGAGAATTGCTTGAACCCAGGAGGCAGAGGTTGAAGTAACTGAGATCGCCCCACTACACTCCAGCCTGGGCAACAGAGTGAGTGAGACTCTTTAAAAAAAAAAAAAAGACTTAATAACTGTAGCAGGGAATTGGAACAATGAGGGATTGGCTAGTAAGAAGTAAAGAAAACTCTAAAGAATAAAAGAATAACAAATAAAGTAGCAGCCATGTTCTTTGAGCTGGGATAGAGTATCCAGGGAAAAGGCTCCCCAGGCCCAGGACCCAGATCTTGGAGGGCACAGGTATGGCTCACTAGGCAGCAGAGAAATTCTTGTGATTCTGTGCTGGCAGAACTGGCTGGAAATCTGCCCTTTGGAATTTACCAGAAATCTGTCCTCTAGGATGTCAGGGAAAGCAGGTCATGGAGAGGTGTCGCACCAGACACTTTACTACAAAGCCATTCAAGGGAGAAGGTGATGCCAAGGGAAGCTGCTGGTCAATGGGTGCTACTGACTACCCTGCCAGGCAGGACATGGTGCTGGAGAATCTGCCCGTGTGCTGCAGGAGCTGCCAAGCAAGCACACCGTAACCAGGAAGCAAAACTCTTTGCTCTTGCAATGTCTGCCCAGAGCCCTCTACTGACATAGCTTCACACTGCGCCAGCTGATAAAGAAAAAAACATTTAATGGGCCCGTTAGTATTTTCACAAAGCAAGCAAAAAAGGGTGAATATAGAGCTCAGAGGCAATTAAATGATAATTGACACAAACATTTTTTAAATAATTAAAAGCAAAAACAATCACCACTGGTCTACAGAATTAAAGTCCAAAATCCTGTGCACACATGCACTTCTCTCATCTTTTGGATGTTTACCTAATTCATGCTATTTGCTTTTACTGTTACCTTTGTTTGAAATGTCCTCACACCCTTTTTCAACTTTTAATTAACAAAACCACTGCAAGTATCCCAACATCATCATCCTTCTAAGTCAAGCTGAAAAAGAACCTTCTCCATGAAACTTTCCCTGGTGTTCCCATAAGTTTTGTTTACACACCTTTCTAATGGCAGAACAGAGGCAGCTGAATCACATGTCCAGAATAGTCCAGGAAATTAAGCTTTTCTTCCTGAATATACAACTTTAGGAAAACTGCACATGAGAAAATAAGGAAACACCAGTCCAGTCTGCCAGGTCAATGGAATAAATTCAGGCCATCAATGTGGTGACTGGTACTGCAGCCAGATTCATATCATCCCCAGGGTGGGAAATATTGTTTATATCTTAGTATCTTCCTAGCATTACCCATGTAGCAATCAATAAACACTTGCTGAATTGAAAGTCTAGTGGACTACCTTTTTCTGGAGTCAAACTTTAAATTTTAAAAAATTTATCTAATCATAAAATTTCATATATTAGTCATGATAGAAAATGTCTTATCTAGTCAAAAGATGGATCTTTAGGCTGGGTGCAGTGGCTCACGCTTGTAATCCCAGCATTTTGGGAGGCCAAGGCAAGCAGATCACTTGAGGCCAGGAGTTCTAGACCAGCCTGGCCAACATGGTGAAACCCCGTCTCTACTAAAAATATAAAAACCAGCCGGGCATGGTGGCTTGTGCCTGTAGTCCCAGCTACTTGGGAGGCTGAGGCACAAGAATCTTTTGAATCTGAGAGGTGGACGTTCCAGTGAGCCAAGATCACACCACTGCACTCCAGCCTGGGTGACAGGGCAAGACTCTGTCTTAAATAAATAAATAAATATTTAAAAAGATGGATCTTTAAAAACACAGTTAATTGCAATCCATAGAAACTTCAAATCTCTTTTTAGTTAGGATATGAGCTCTTCCTTCATTCTTTCTAAATATATTACAAATCTGCTAGCAAATAGAAAAATAATATCTAGTTTTAGCTTCTTTTTTAATATATAAAGCCCATCTTCCTATGGAGGTACCATTGAATAGGCTAGATCACCCCTCACCATGTCCCACCACACCCAACACCCCCCATCTCCTCAACACACACCCTAACCAGGGAAGCAGAAGAATAACAGAGTCCTCATTGTAGTAAATTGATTTTAACACCTTTAATCAGAGGCATTCCAAACCCCACCCATTTGCAGTCTCAGTTCATCCTCATTTCAACTGTGTGATATAAGAGAGGTAATATTCTCCCCTTTTACAAATATGAAACTAGAAACACACAGATCTTAAGAAGCATGTGTCCATCTCATACCCGAGACCACTGTCTTGCAAAGGTCCTATTGTAGTCTGTTGGCATAAAACTATATTTAGAACCTAGAACTACTCTTGAATTCAAATATTTGTATTAGTTACAAATAATTGTTGTGATTGGAAAGCATATCCAAAACAAGCACTGATTTTAATAATTGAAACAAATCCAAAACAAACATTGATTTTAATAATTGAAACAAAGAAACCATTTGCTTTGAAATTCTCTTATTAAAAATATGTACGGGCTCACACCTGTAATCCCAGCACTTTGGGAGGCTGAGGCGGGCAGATCGCTTGAGCTCAAGAGTTCCAGACCAACCTAGGCAACATGGTGAAACCCTATCTCTACAAAAATACAAAAATTAGCCAGTTGTGGTGGTATGCACCTGTAGTCCCAGCTACTTGGGAGGCTGAGGTGGAAAGATGGCTTGAGCCCAGGAGGCGGAATTTGCAGTGAGCTGAGATCATGCCACTGCACTTTAGCCTGGGTGACAGAGTCAGACCCTGTCTCAAATAAATAAATAAATATGAACTTAAATAAATTTTAAAATGTAGGAGATATAAGGGCACAAATCCAATATACATAAACAGAACCATTTGAATGAGCTACTGGCAGGAACTGGTTTAAATTGTTCCCTACATTGTATTTACTCTATTGTTAGATCAGTATTATTCTATTCAATGTATTCTATTGTTAGGTCACCTAATCTGGATGTTAACTAGCTGTCTGCCAGTGGAGAGTTAAGGGAGTGGGAAGGCTTTTCATGTGTCCACTTCAAGCAAACAAGTAATGATTGGATTTACAAAATAAAGTTAGAGAGTGATGATTCATATTTTAAAGGATTTTCTATGGGTTTCCTTTAAATGAGTTTCCATAATGAATTTAAAGCATGATTCTATTTACAAAAATTATATTTCAACCTAACCTATCAAGAAGCCATCTAGTTTTAATTAAAAAGGTAGAAAATGAATTTAATTAAGACTAAGTTGTAATGGGTTCTATGAAGAGATAGCAATATCATAGAAGAAAAGTAAAATTACAATCTATTAGTGGAGATAAAACTAACATATTATAAATATGCAAACATGTCAGAAAGAGTCAATCATAAAGCATATGTTGAATGCTAAACAACCCAAAGTAGGAGAATCAAAGGAACAACTTCAAAACTTTTGCAACAATCATAGGTAAAATGATAATTGTTCACATGCCAAGTGAATGGGGAAAGGATGCCAATTCTAACAAGCTCAACACCACCAATTAATTTCTTTGCTTCAGTTGCCCCCACTTCCCTTAACCTTTAGTCATACTTAGTTTTTTCTGCAGTTTTCACATCTACTGTGCAAACATTAGATTCCAAAAGAAAGCTACAAAAGAAAGGACATATTGGAAGCTTTAAGAATAAGACCAAAGCACTAGGGAGAAGAAAGCTTCAAAATTTAATGATTTGGCAGGCATGGTGGCTCATGTCTGTATCCCAGCACTTTGGGAAGCTGAAGTGAGAAGATTGCTTGAGCACAGGAGTTCAAGACCAGCCTGGACAATATAGTAAGACCTCATCTCTACAAAAAATTTAAAAAGTAGCCAGGCATGGTGGCGCACACCTGTAGTCCCTACTTGGTAGGCTGAGGTAGGAACATTCCTTGAGCCCAGGAGGTCAAGGCTGCAGTAAGCCATGATCATGCCACTGCACTACAGCCTGGGCAACACAGTGAGACCCTGTCTAAAAAAAAATAGTGACTTGTATACCTTTATCTTTGTCATAGGATATTATAAGTATACAAACATACAGAAAGTTTAGGCAACCTTTAAATTTTTTTTCTGAAATAATTACAAGATAGTACAAGGAAGACTCTGGTATACCCTTCAACCAAATTCATCAATTAATAACATTTGCTGTATTTGCTATATTAACCTCATTCTCTATCTATTTACTTGAACCATTTGAAAGTAATTTGAGGCATCATTTCCCTCTACCCATAAATACAGAAATACCTCTGAGATATTGAGAGTTAGACCACACAGGCCACCATAATAAAGCAAGTAGTGCAATAAACCCAGTGACACAAGTAAGTTTTGGTTCCCAGTGCATATAAAAGTTATGTTTATATAAAACTGTAGTCTATTAAGTGTGCAATAGCATTATGTCTAAAAAATGATATACTTTAATTTTAAAATATTTTATTGCTAAAAAATGCTAATCATCTGAGCCTTTGGTGAATCATAATCTTTTTGCTGGTAGAGGGTCTTACCTCAATTTAACAGCTGCTGATCGATCAGGATGGTAGTTACTGAAGGTTAGGGTGGCTGTGGCAATTTTCTAAAATAAGATAGCAATGAAGTTTGATACACTGATTGACTCTTTCACAAAGATTTTTTCCATGGCATATGATGCTGTTTGATAACATCTTGCCACAGTAGACCTTTTTTCAAAATTGGAGTCAATCTTCTCAAACTCTGCCATTGCTTTATCAACTAAGTTTATGTAATATTCTAAATCCTTTGTTGTCTTTTAATAATGATCACAGCATCTTCACCAGGAACAGATTCCATATGAAGAAATCACTTGCTTTGCTCATTCATAAGAAGCAACTCCTCATCCATTCAATCCATTCAAGTTTGGCTTTTTTTCTTTTCTTTTTTGAGCTGGAATCTCGCTCTGTTGCCTAGGCTGGAGTGCAGTGGCACGATCTCAGCTCACTGCAACCTCTGCCTCCCAGGTTCCAGCAATTCTCCTGCCTCAGCCTCCCGAGTAGCTGGGATTATAGGCGCATGCCACCACGTCTGGCTAATTTTTGTACTTTTAGTAGAGAAGGGGTTTTGCCACATTGGCCAGGCCGGTCTCGAACTCCTGACCTCAGGTGATCCACCCACCTGGGGCTCCCAAAGTGCTGGGATTACAGGCGTGAGCCACCGCACCCGGCCTCCATTCAAGTTTTATCATGAGATTGCAGCAACAATTTAGTCACATCTTCAGGCTTCACTTCTAATTCCAGTTCTCTTGCTATTTCCACCATAGCTGCAGGAGAAGAAGAGAGATGGGGAAACAGCAGCCAGTCAGAACACCTACATGTATTGATTAAATTTGCCGTCTTATATGGGTATGATTGGTGGCACCTCAAAACAATTACAATAGTAACATAAAGATTACTGATCTGCCAGGCATGGTGGCTCACTCTCGTAATCTCAACACTTTGGGAGGCCAAAGCAGGCAGACTGCTTGAGCACAAGAGTTCAAGGCCAGCCTGGGCAACGTGGCAAAACCCTGTTTCTACAAAAAAAAATCAAAAATTATCCAGGTGTGGTGGCACACACCTGTAGTCCCAGCTACTCAGGAGGCCAAGGTTGGGGGATTGCTTGAACCCAGGCGGTGGAGGCTACAGTGAGCCATCATCCTGTCATTGCACTCCAGTCTGGGCAACAGAGCAAGATGCTGCCTCAATAAACAAAAAAAATTACTGATCACAGCTCACCATAACAGATATAACAATAATAAAAAGTTTTAAATATCAGAGGAATTATCAAAATGTGACAGAAAGAAACAAGGTGAACACATGCTGTTGGAAAAATGGCACCAAGAGACTTGCTCAAGGGTTGCCACAAACCTTCAATTCATTTTTAAAAACGCAATATCTGAGAAGCACAAGAAAGCAAAGTGTAAAATACAAAGCATGCGGCCGGGCGCCATTGCTGCCTGTAATCCCAGCACTTTGGGAGGCTGAGGTGGGTGGATCACAAGGTCAGGAGTTCGAGAGCAGCCTGGCCAAGATGGTGAAATCCCGTCTCTACTAAAAATACAAAAATTAGCCAGACGTGATGGTGGGCGCCTGTAATCCCAGCTACTCAGGAGGCTGAGGCAGGAGAATTGCTCGAACCAGCTGACATCGCACCACTGCACTCTAGCCTGGGTGACAGAGCAAGACTCCATCTCAAAAAAATAAATAAATAAATAAAGGAAAATAATAGAAGCATGCTTATCCTTCAATGTGTATTTCCTAAAGACAAAGACATTGTCTTATATGACCATAATACAATTACCCAAATCGAAAAATTTAATATGATTACAGTATAATCTAATATACTGTCCATTTTTAAATTTTGCCAGTTGTCACAATAACGTTCTTCATAGTTATTTCTTCCTTAATCCAGGATCCCATCCAGGATCACCCATAGATTTAGTTGCCCTGTCTCTTTAGTATCCTTTAATCTGCCACAAACCCTTAGTCTTTGTCTTTTGTAACGTTAACACTTTTGAATAATTTATGGGCCCGTCATCTAGCGATGTCTACCTCAAACGCAACTCGTGCTTTTTTTGCATGAATACTACATTATGCTGCGTCCTTTTCAGGGTATTATATTAATAGGCATATGATATTGGCTCCTCCTATAACTGTGGCGTTAGTCTTGATCATTTGGTTATGATGGTGTCCACCAAATTTCTCTATTGTAAACTTTTTTTTTTTTTCTCGCTCTGTTGCCCAGGCTGGAGTGCAGTGGCAGGCTGACGGTTCGCTGCAGCCTCGAACTCGTGTGGCTCAAGCAATCCTCCCATCTCAGCCTCACGAGTAGCTAGGACCATAGGACCTAGCCACCACATTTGGCTAATTTTTTGTATTTTTTGTAGAGATGGGGTTTCTCCACGTTGCCCAGGCTGGTCTCCAACTTCTGGGCTAAAGTGATTCTCCCGCTTCAGCCTTCCAAAGTGCTGGATTACAGGCGTGAGTCAACACGCCCAGCCTTGTAAACTATTTCTTTTCATCTTTGTAAATAATACATAATTTATGGGGAGTTATTTTGAGACTATGGAAATATCATGTTCCTCATCACGTTTACCTCCTAGTTTTAGTACCTTTTGATGATTCTTGCCTAAATCAGTTATTAGAATACAATTCATATATGATAAAATTCATTAAAGTATATAGTAATTCAGTGGTTTTTGTATATTCATACGGTTGTGTAACCATCACCGCTAATTCCAGAGCATTTTTATCACCCCGAAAATGAAACCCTTCACCCATTAGCACTCATTTCCCCATTTCCCCCAGCCTCTGGCGACCACTAATCTACTTTTTATCTCTATGGATTTGCCTATTTAAGACATCCTATATAAATGCAATCATACAATATGTGGTCCTTTGTGTCTAACTTATTTCACTTAATATGTTCTCACGGTTCATTCATGTTGTAGTTCTTATTGATATTTCATACCTTTTTATTTGCCTAAATCAATCATTTCTATGATTCCTAAAAAATGGTGCTAGTCTAACTACATTATTTCCATCTACACTTACTAGGCAACATCTTTATCATCCATTGTCAGGAAGCCCTTTAAGAAAACTGCACAGTGAAGTTCATTTTAATAAATAGGGTTTCCTTGCTCTCAAGTAGTTACTAATCTTAGACAAAAGGGTCTAGGATGACCACCTTTCTTGAGGTTTACATGATCTTCCCTGACTTCCACTTGAAAGGCACCCTGTGAGTCTCTCTCCGCCTGTTATCCCACAGGCTCCTCCCCACTCCTCCAGGTACCCCTTCCCCGGCGGCTGCAGGAGGAGGAAGTGACGCACCGGAAGTGTCCCTGTTCCCCTTGCTGTGGGGGTAAGGAATCAAGCCCCCAAGATGGCGGCAGCGGCGGAGGAGCGGATGGCAGAGGAAGGAGGCGGCGGCCAAGGCGACGGCGGTTCCTCTTTGGCCTCCGGCTCTACCCAGCGACAGCCTCCACCGCCCGCGCCACAGCACCCGCAGCCGGGGTCCCAGGCGCTCCCAGCCCCCGCGCTGGCTCCGGACCAGCTGCCTCAAAACAACACGCTTGTGGCGCTGCCCATCGTAGCCATCGAGAACATCCTCAGCTTTATGTCCTACGACGAAATTAGCCAGCTCCGCCTGGTGAGGCCCCCGCAGAACTCCTGCCTCCCTCTCCCCCCGGCCGAGGTCTGGGAGATGAGAAGGGAGCGCGTTCCCCGGGAAGGGAGCCCCCCGCGAGCCCCAGCCGGCTACAGATCTGGGAGGGAGCCGCTCCCGTCCCGAACTCTCCCTTGGCGTCAGTCAGCAGGAGTGGGCTGGTTCCCGATTGCGTCCTAGCTGCGGAGCTGGGGTTACTTCCTGAGGGGACTTCGCCTTGGGGGCTCCTTGCCCCCCGCCCGGAAGCGGGCCCTCTACGGGAGGGGTAGCGGAGTTGGTCTTCCCACCTTCCGCCTGGCCCGAGAGTAGACCCGGAGAGGTCATGTCGCCTGCCTTTTGTATGCCGCTTCCAGCCCCCGGCCTGGGTTTGGGGAGAAAACTCAGAAGTAGGCAGATGATCCCAGCCAGGTTTGGTTTATCTTGCAAGAATAACGAATTGTTCCCCACCCCAACCACCCAAGTTTTCTTGTTCGAGAAGATTGAGTAGACTAAGGTGGCTCAGTGACCCCAAACCCAGGTAGAGGTTCCGAAGAATTCGAACGTGTTTACTTAGCGTTAGCCCCAGCGCCCTAATTGACCACTAAAGTAGAGCCTTGGGAAATGACCATTCCTGCTTTGCCTCATCCTAACGCTTCCCACCGTAGAGAAGCAACTTACCCCTTGACGGGTTTTTTCTCTTTTGCAATTTATTTTTAACTAGTGATTTACGCCCACCCACCTGCTTTAGGAGAGGTTTCTTTATACCTTAAAATCACAATAGGTCAGTCCATGATTTTTAAAAATAATGAATTTGCCATTGGGGTTTTACTTCACTCCAGAGGTTTGAAGATGTGGTGATTGTTAGTTCAGTTAGATATTTTGCTGCCTTTCAATGAAATTATCTTTAAGTGGTAAAGAAATTGAAGGAGGTGGACATTTTGAAGTGATTGCAAACCGATTCCATGGAGAAGCTAAATCTGTGCTGGGAATTGTTTTTAAGAGGACAAAGATATTTCTGAATGTGCTGTGTATAACATCTTCTTATTACTCAATATGCTATATTGTAGGCATACACCTCCACTTTCAAGTGGATTATAATTACATTTTTAAAGGAAATCATAACATTTTTAAAAGAGAACTTATAAATATTAATTCAAACTGATGGCCAATTTTTTTTCTAGTCAACACAGCAGTTCAACCATGCCAGTCTGCAGGATGGAAAATTTCTTCAGCTGAAAATAGATATTTCACAATTGATTGCCTCTGAATTTCCAAAACGTTTTCATTCTAGAATTTCATGTAGAATCTTAAATATTCCTTCAGATTTTTACAAACAGTGGCGTTTAATCAAAATTCGCGCTGTACATATACAGTGTTTGGAAAATTGGGCATATAACATTTGATTGAATTGAACCATTCAACCAGACAATGGCTTTGTAAATCTTGGAATATTCACAGTTCTGTTTTGTAAGTGTTGAGAAAAACTGAGTTTTATTTGTTTGTTGATCATTTTACTATTTTAAAAAAATGTAGTGGGGAGGGGGGAACCAGCCTGTCCTAACTAGAGTTAAAACACATCCCACAACTTATGAATAAATGACATCTCTGTCAGGTGAGATATTCAGCTGCATTCTTAATTTTTAAGCAGTTTTCTGGCCTTTTAAGGTTATAAATTTATAATTTCAAACTCAGATTTTTCATAAGGAGTCCCTTCAGTACAACTGCCCACCCCCAGGAAAAGATTCTGCCCCGTTTTACATGTGCAAATATGATTTTTGAGTAATGGGGAACTATTTTTTTTACTTAAGGCTAATGGATAATTCTTGAATAGATTAAATGGATAATCCTTTGTGGGGAGTTGGAAGTGTCTTTGCTTGGAAGGTACAATTCAAGTAACGTTAGAAAAGAAAGATGTTCTTTTTTGCCACTAGGTGTCAGCATTAATTTAATTATGATCTTTTCTGAAATTGGCAGTCAAGAGAGTACCTAGGTGAGCTGTACATGCCTTCTTAAGTAGCCATTTATACCTAAAGAATCGTTTGCAAAAAATCAAGGGACTTTAGTGTATGCTGCTATCTGACATATAAGTTACGTAGTTCTCTTCATTGTAAGCATATTTTTGAGTGGAATTAAGGCTGGATATGCTTTGAAGGGGGTAATATTAAGAACAGAATTAGTTTTCATAAAGCTAAATGTCAGTTGTTAGGTAGGAGTTAGTTTATGTATTGTTCAGGGACTTTTTTTCTTCCTTCTCAGTTTGCTTGTCTTATTGGAACCTCAGTTACAACTTTGCTTAGCATCTAATGTAGACAATAAATAGGTACACAATCCATGTACTTACTACTCTGCATTTTCTTTAAAAGATTTGCTCTAGGTTGAAATTGCTACAATAACATTTTTCAGTTATTTGTACTGTTTAGTTGATAATAGTCTTTGCTTCCTCTTACCATGAATAACTGATTTCCAAGGGACTGTGTGAATGCCTTATTAAATTGGATTTTTGGCTGGGCGCAGTGGCTTACACCTGTAATGCCACCACTTTGGGACGCCGAGGTGGGCAGATCACCTGAGGTCAGGAGTTCAAGACCAGCTGGCCAACATGGTGAAACCCCATCTTTATAAAAATACAAAAATTAGCCAGGCATAATGGTGGGTGCCTGTAATCCCAGCTACTTGGGAGACTGAGGTGGGAGAATTGCTTGAACCTGGGAGGCAGGGGTTGCACAACGTGAGCCGAGATCGCCGTCTCAAAAATAAAAATAAAAATAAATTGGATTTTTTTTTTTTTTTTTTTGAGACGGAGTCTCGCTCTGTCACCCAGGCTGGAGTGCAGTGGTGCCATCTTGGCTCACTGCAGCCTCCACCTCCTGGGGTTCAAGCGATTCTCCTGTCTCAGCTTCCTGAGTAGCTGGAACTACAGGCGCACGCCACCATGCCCGGCTAATTTTTCGTATTTTAGTAGAGACGGGGTTTCACCATGTTGCCCAGGCTGGTCTCGAACTCCTGAGCTCAGGCAATCCACCCACCTAGGCCTGAATTTATTTATTTTATTTTATTTTATTTTATTTTTTGGCCATTGACTATTGATCAAAAGATGTATCCTGAGTCTGGTGGTTTCACAGAAATTACTCCTTAAATATTTAACTCCTCCAATGTAAAATTATTTGGCTGAACACAACCTTTGAAATGACAAAACATGTACTTTGAGTTGTTTTTCCAGTAAAACAGAGAAATTTGTGCTGATGCAGCATTAGTATGTCACCCAGGCCCCCTTGGCAGGTGGGTGAGAGACTCTGAAACAAGTGGCAAAGGTTAAGAAGTGAGATCCTGGCTCACTTACAGTGCGGTGGCTCACGCCTGTAATCCCAGCACTTTGGGAGGCCAGGGTGGGCGGATCACTTGAGGTCAGGAGTTCGATACCAGCCTGGCCAACATGGTGAAACCCCATCTCTACCAAAAATATAAAAAATTAGCCAGGCGTGGTGGCACACGCCTGTAATCCCAGCTACTTGGGAGGCTGAGGCTTTGAACCTATGTAACTTTGGCTTATGAGCATTATATTCTTACCTACTGAAAAACAAGTATAGGGAGCTTTTTAATTAATTAATTAATTTATTTATTTATTTATTTATTTATTTATTTTTAATTTTTGAGACAGGGTCTCCCTCTGTCGCCCAGGCTGGAATGCAGCGGCGTGATCACAGCTCACTGAAGCCTTGATTTCCTGTATTTTTTGTGGAGATGTGATTTCTCCATGTTGCCCAGGCTGGTCTTAAGTTTAAACTCCTAGGCTCAAGTGGTCCGCCCACCTCAGCCTTCCAAAGTGCTGGGATTACAGACGTGAGCCACTGCACAGTATAAAAAGGGTAAAAAATTTTTTTTCTATTTATTTAAAGTACAATATAAAAAGGGAAAAAAAATTATCCTGTTTCAAACACTGCATTATATAATTTTACCTGCCCTACAGGAGGCTTTTAAAAGATGTTTTAGAGAGATACTATCAATTTTTTTCCTCTGCGATTCAACTGGAGCTCTTATCATTTTAATTGGAATCATATTAGTGGTTCAGAACATGAATTTGACTAAAGGTTAAGTTGAGAATTCTTGCCTATTTTCTGGAATGAAATTTTCCAGTCAGCAACAAAATACATAAATACGTGCTTTTGTCTCAAGATATTTCTCTAGAGCACTTTAGCTAATTAAATCTATTACCTATTTATAGTTCCTTTCACATCTTTTCTTCAAATATGTTAGAAAATTTTAGTTATAGAGTGGGTTGGTTGGTAGGAAATATGAAGGAAAATGAAGAACCATTACTTCTTTTTTTGTTTTTGTTTTTAAGTAGGCAAGCTGTCTTGTATCTCTCACTCTGCACAAGAGTTCTCAGTTTTTTTGGTCTGAAGACACCTTTACACTTTTAAAAGTTATTGAAGACCCATAGAACTTACCTTGGAAAATTCTAGAAAACACAAGAATACACATAACATATTCCATTAGCTGTCAGAACAATAATGTCAGCACATGTCATATTGCTTCTGGAAAATTCCACTGGATACTCGTGAGAGAATGAGTGGAAAAGGCAAATAACTTCTTGGTACTCTGAGAATAGTTTGGCCTTGCAAACCTCCTGAAAGGGTCTCCAGGACCCTGGGGATCTCCCACTGCCCAGACCACACTTTGAGGACCACTGCTCTGTATTGCTCTATTCCAGAGAATACACTCTTGCTGATTTTTTCTTTTTTTTCTTTTTTTTTTTTTTTTTTGACGGAATCTCGCTCTGTCGCCCAGGCTGGAGTGCAGTGGCGCGATCTCGGCTCACTGCAAACTCTGCCTCCCAGGTTCATGCCATTTTCCTGCCTCAGCCTCCCAAGTAGCTGGGACTACAGGCACCTGCCACCACGCCCGGCTAATTTTTTTTTTTTATTTTTAGTAGAGACGGGGTTTCACCGTGTTAGCCAGGATGGTCTCGATCTCCCGACCTCATGATCTGCCTGCTTCGGCCTACCAAAGTGCTGGGATTACAGGCATGAGCCACCGTGCCCGGCCCCACTGATTTTTTCTTGTATTTTTCTCCCACCATCTCTTCAGGCTATTGATTTTATTAATGAGTGCATAAGTACAGGTAAGAAATTATAATCTCTTGGGGGCAGTTCGTTCTTCCAGTTCTCACAAAGTAAAGAGGTTCAGTCAGTAACTCTGTCCACTGTGTCGTCATCAAGAGAAAATATACATACCTTCCTTGAGCACACTTACACAGCATCAGGATAACAAATGCAAAGATGGTAAATATGAGTGTTGAGGTTGATTAGGACTTAATCAGGAAAGACCTCCTCAAGATAATAAGTTTTTATCCAGTTAATAAAGGTAGAAGAGCATTCCCAGCAGAAAAAAAACGATGTGTAAATTATTGAAGTGATTGGAGAAGAATGACTTAGAGGGATTCAGATAAACTTGAATTTGGATATGTGAAATTGTTAATGTTCTAGATTAGTGGTCACCTGTCCTCCTGTCTCCCCAGCTTTTTTATTTCACAGACCAGTCAGATTTAAGAAACTGTTTTTGAGAACCTCCAGGGCTGACATCTTTTGGTGGGTGGAGCAAATAAGGGCATTTTAAAAAACAAAACAACTTCCGTCTCGTATCATCATCATTTCTTAAAAGACACCAGATATATCTGCATACCTTGATAAACTGAGTAGTATGAATTCTTACAAAATTGAAGAAGATACTATGTTAAAAGGATGACCTGTGCATATAAATCCAATTTCATAATTTTTGAGACTGGGAGCAAAAGATAACCTTTAACAGAGGTTTCCCTTAAACACCTACTTCTAGCATCTTGTACTTAAGATTGATTGAAACAAACATCAAGCTCTTCAGTTTCCCAAATATCTTGGGCCTCTGCAAACACATGCTTTTTCCTGTTTCGCTCTCCTAGAAAATATTTGTACCTTTGGCATATACCTCATTCTATAATTCTTCTCTGAACTTTATGTAGGTAATATTTCTAAGTTTCCATTGCATCATTATTGCACTTACTACATTGGAATTATCTTTGGAGGAGCCTGTTTTCCAATTACCTTAGTCTGTGATGCAATATAAGTACTCAGTAATTATTGAATAAATGAAGTAGCTCTTAAAAACCATTTCACTGCTCTGAATAAACAATAGAAAATATATGTCATTGTAGGGCTGGGCGTGGTGGCTCACGCCTGTAATCCCAGCACTTTGGGAGGCTGAGGCAGGTGAATTACCTGAGGTCAGGAGTTCGAGACCAGCCTTACCAACATGGTGAAACCCCGTCTATACCGAAAATACAAAAATTAGCTGGGCATGGTGGCGGGCACTTGTAATCCCAGCTACTCAGGAGGCTGAGGCAGGAGAATCACTCGGACCCGGGAGCCAAAGGTTGCAGTGAGCCGAGATCATGCCATTGCACGCCAGCCTGGGCAACAAGAGCGAAACTCCATCTCAAAAAAAAAAAAAAAAGAAAGAAAGAAAAGAAAATGTATGTCATTGTAAGATAAATGTTTTCTGTATAAACTATAATAGTGTTACAAAATCAGTTGCTTAATATTTACTTCCAAGAGAGGAGATTAGAACTTTTTTTTTTTACATTTTTCATTCACCCTAGAATGTCTTTAACATTTTACAAGACCATTTTAAGAAAATGAGTGACTAAAGAAAACTCTTAGGAGTTATTAAAATTGATTGATACACTGATCTGAAGCCAGTATGTAATTAACAAGATAGCCATTTGCAATAGTGCATCAGGGTTCCTTTGTTTTAGTCAACATTTAATTGATTTATTAATGAGAAAAATAATGGTACAGATAATCAAAAACTGAGAACAATCCAAAAGGCTTTTTTATGTGGTGGTTAGGATGCATTATAGGAATCCTAAGAAGAAATTCTTCCTAATTGTTATACTTAGACTGAAATTAAAATGAATTTATATTTTCTTTCCAAGTGAATATCTAGGGTATATACGCAGAGAATCTAAAATTTGTTGTAATTCTACCAGCAGATAATTGAGAATTTCATATACATATATATGTGTAGTATATTCACAACACACACAATATAGTAATACAAGTGGTGTGATCTTAGGCAGTAGGTAGAAGAGAGTTGCTCTGTCACCCATGCTGGAGTGCAGTCGTGAGATCACAGCTCACTGCAGCCTCAAACTCTTGGCCTCAAGCAGTCCTCCTGCCTTGGCCTCTCTAGGTGTTGGGATTGCAGACGTGAGCCACCACACTTGGGCAAATAGAACTTTTTTTTTTTCTTTGAGACAGTCTCAAGGCTGGAGTGCAGTGGTGCGATCTTGGCTCACTGCATCCTCCACCTCCCAGGTTCAAGTGATTCTCCTGCCTCAGCTCCAAATAGAATTTTTTTTTTTTAGACTGAGTCTCGCTCGCTCTGTCGCCCAGGCTGGAGTGCAGTGGCACGATCTCGGCCCATTGCCACCTCTGCCTCCTGGGTTCAAGTGATTCTCCAGCCCCAGCCTCCCGAGTAGCTGGGATTACAGGCCTGCACCACCACGCCTGGCTAATGTTTGTATTTTTGGTAGAGACAGGGTTTCACCATCTTGGCCAGGCTGGTCTTGAACTCCTGACCTCGTGATCCACCTGCCTTGGCCTCGCAAAGTGCTGGGATTACAGGCGTGAGCCACTGCCTGGCCCCAAATAGAATTTTTTTTAAAGATTAAAGTATTCTTTTGGAAGAGGTGGGAAGTTGTATCCATATTTAGGTGAGGGAAATTAAGATGAGTTCACTGAAAACACAAACAGGACAAGAGAAGAGCCAGAATGGTTGTGATTCGTTCATTATTCATTTTTTAAATGATTTTTTCGTCCATCATTAACTTTTTGCCACATTTGCTTTATCTGTTTCACTTTTGTGCTCATTTTCTCTCTCCTGAATGTGTGTATGTGTGCATCTATCCCAGGAACATTCTTATTTTACCAAACCATTTGAAAGTAAGATGAAAATACTGATATTTTGCCCCAAGTACTTTTTATAATGTGATCACAATATCCTCATTTCCAGGGGATTTAACATTACAGTTTGTATTCAGATTTCTCAGTTGTCCCCAAAATGTTCTTTATAGCTCTTTGAGGCGGGTTTATTCAGTCTAATTAAGGATTGTTCTCTAATCTAGAACATTGTCCCCACTTTTTTCATTCTTTCATGCCATTGACTTTTTTTTTTTTACAGCCCCCCCCAAGCCCCGCCAACACACACAATGAATGCCATTGACTTTTTGAAGACTAGGCCAGATGGCTTGTAATGGTTCTGTAATTCACATTTGTCTAATTTTTTCCTTGTGATTGACTTCAGGATTTTGAACTTTGGAAGGATTATAGGAAGGTCTTGCGCTAGCTCCATCTGTCTAACCTTTAGCAGTGTGGTGAGAATGCCTGTTAATGTCCTTAAAAATCCCTTATTACCTCAAGAAGTCCTACCTTTTAGAGTAGTGCCAGCAGTTCTATAACAGCAGAGTATCAGTTGGGACTCTAATCAATTTGAAATAAATAGGATAATTATTTCAGGTTATATAGCTGTGGGTCACCAAGTTTAAAATGGCACAAATTAGAAGACCTGGATTCTTAGTTTCCCTTTTGCTGCTGAATAGCTGGATGACCTTGGACAAATCACATAATTTCTTAAGGCCTCAGCTTTCTCACTTTAAAAAAAAAGGATAGGTTCTGATGTCTTTAAGTTCCTTTCAGTTCTGGAGTCTTAACAAGCAGCCTAATCAGCTTGTGATCATTTAAGAACTGTAGAGTGCCAAACTAATACATTTTATTTATTTATTTTGGTTCTCTGTTTATCTTACACAATAATGAATACATTTTAAAACTGGGTTCCAGCTGGGCGCAGTGGTTCATGCCTGTAATCCTAACACTTTGGGAGACCGAGGTGGGTGGATCACTTGAGCCCAGGAGGCTGAGGTGGGAGGATTGCCTGAGCCCCAGGGAGGTGGAAGCCTCAGTAAGCCGTGATCGTGCCACTCCACTCCAGCCTGGGCAACAGAGGGAGACCCTGTCTCAAAAAAAAAAAAAAAAAAAAAAAATTGGGTTCCAATACAATATTTCCATGATTCTAAGATATAAGGGTCTCATATTTAACATTTTTGAAATCAGTGCATCTTGATCAATTTGTATGTATATTATCGTGGTGGTGCCTTTTTTTTCCCAGAAAAGTTTTTATTAAGTTGGTAGCATGTCTCAAAGTCTCTACAGCATCTTAAAATCGAAGGAGTTGAGCATACCATATTTCAAGGCATCTAAGAAAAAAATGCCGCCAATTATAATGCTAAGACATTATATATCGTAGGTCTATTCCACTGTCAAATGTTTAAAAATGTGCATCTTAGAATCAGTTAAGACTTAAATAAATAAAAATTTTTGTAAAACAATCAGTTAAGACTTGAGGCCAGGCATGATGGCCCATGCCTGTAATCCCAGCACTTTGGGAGACTGAGGCGAGTGGATCACCTGAGGTCAAGAGTTTGAGACCAGCCTGATCAACATGGTGAAACCCTGTCTCTACTAAAAACACAAAAAATTAGCCGGGCGTGGTGGGAGGTGCCTATAATGCCAACTACTTGGGAGATTGAGGCAGGAGAATCACTTGAACCCGGGAGGCAAAGGTTGCAGTGAGTGGAGATTGCACCACTGCATTCCAGCCTGGGCAACGAGAGCAAAACTCCATCTCAAACAAAAAAAGACTTGATATTAAAGATTAAACAGGAAAATCACATTTCACAAATGTATAGCCTATGTGTCTTGCATTATTAAGAAGGACCATGGTAGCACAACAAATCTAAAAACAAAGAAAATTTTTCATTACTGACCACAACTAAGAAAACTACATTTATTCTCTTACAGTAGAACAGTGAGTAACAGGAGCCCAAGCTATATCTTTGTTCTTCAGTGATTTATTCTATTCATTCCCTTTTGTTTTTATAGTATATACTTTTCCTAATCTTTCAGTGCCCTGATAGTTTTTGACATGGTCATCATCTTTAGGCTCCATATATTAGGCTTCAGGATTTTATTTTACTGTCTTGGGTAAATTGCCAAATTGTTAGGATTTTTGTTTGGTTGTAGTTACTAGGGAAATAAAATTTCTTCCCTTTAGCTTTGGGAAATTATTAAAATACTCCTAAATTTAGAGCTACACTTTAAATGAGAAAATTTGAGTTACAAGTTAGCATACATTATCAGCAGCTATCATTAAACTGCTTGTCCTGGGGAAATTTAGTATATTTCTTTTTTCCAGATGTGACTTCTTTCTGAATCCTAAACAAAAGTTATATGGTCTCTTTTGTTGTATTGTTTCGTTTTTGAGATGGAGTCTCGCTCTGTCACCCAGGCTGGATGGAGTGCAGTGGCGTGATCTTGGCTCACTGCAACCTTCACCTCAGGTTCAAGCGACCCTCCTGCCTCAGCCTCCCAAGTAGCTGGGATTACAGGCGCCGGCTACCATGCCTGGCAAATTTTTGTATTTTTAGTAGAGATGGGGTTTCACCCTGTTGACCAGGTGGTCTTGAACTCCTAACCTCAGCTGATGCGCCCAGCCGAAAGATGTATGATCTCTTGTGTTTTTGTGCTGTTGGTTAGTCAGTGCTTCTTGAACATTTGAACATACAGGAAAACTACCACATTAAATACTGTTCTTTCCTTACAATATTGCCTAATGTTTAAAATAATTTTTCTTTTTTTTTTTTTCTTTTGAGAGGAGGTCTTGCTATGTTGCCCAGGCTGGAGTAGTGCAGGTGTGATCATCATACACTGCAGCCTCAAACTCCTGGGCCCAAGTGATCCTCCCACCTCAGCTTCCCAAGTAGCTGGGAAGCTGGAACTACAGGCTCATGCCTCTGTACCTGGCTATGCTTAAAATCTTTTTGATGTTGGCTTGTGTAGTGTCATTCTAATTTGTCCATCTTTGTGACCTCCTATTCTCTAATCTTTTTATCAGCTTTTAATTATAAATGTCAGTTGAGGCTCCATTTATAGGCCTTTTTCTCTTATCTTTCACTTCATTTGGGGTTCATGTACATTTATTTCACTATCTCCAGTGAAATTTCCAGAACCACGTCTTTAGTCCTGGTATGATAGCGCTTGCAGAAAATGACCAGCCAGCTCTCCCAATACCAGATCTTTCAAAAGATGGGTGGTCTTTTCCTTTTCTTTTCTTCTTTTTTGTTTATTAAGTCCAACTTCTGCAGAAGGATACTCATTCTCTTTTTTTTTTTTTTTCTGACACGGAGTCTCGTTCTGTCATCCAGGCTGGAGTGCATTGGTGCCGTCTCGGACCACTGTAACCTCCACCTTCCGGGTTTAAGCGATTCTCCTGCTTTAGGTTCCCAAGTAGCTGGAATTACAGGCGCCTGCCACCACACCCAGCTAATTTTTATTTGGGGGTTCACCACGTTGGCCAGGCTGGTCTCAAACTCCTGACCTCAAGTGATCTGCCCACCTCAGCCTCCCAAAGTGCTGGGATTACAGGCGTGAGCCACTGCTCCCGGCCATTCATTCTCTTTTTAAAGTTATTTATCTGATTTCTCGACTCAAAACATGGGAAATTTTATTCCTCTCAGCTTGGCCCACACATCTCATCTGTCTTCGGAAGTAGTTTGCTTGCTAATGGTTTGTTCATTCCAGACTTTGTGCCTTTGCATACACCATTACATCTAACTTAGCAATCTTTGCCCTCTCCTCCTTCAAAGCCTAATTCAAATCTTTTGTCATGTGAGATCTTCTTAATTGGGCCTATCTGGTTATTCTTATTCTCATCACCCAGCCAGTACTTAAATACTACACTAGCCAGCACTCATATTCGAGTTTATAGATTATTGAAAGATATCTAAACCCTAGAAGTTAGCTAGATTCAGTGCAGCAAAACTAGTAAAATAATTTTGACTGAACCTTGAAAATTGTTACAGCAGTAATTGACCTTAATTTTTGTCTTTGTAAATATATTGCTGCTAAAAATTATTTCTTCTCAGAAATTATCAACAAGGTTGTAGAGTCTACAGAGACAAGAAGTGTTTTTCTACAAGGTTGTGTTAGAGGGTACCTCAGTTTATTTTTAAGTCCACTATCTACTCATCTGATAACTTAACATATCAAATAGGCTGGGTGCAGTGCTCAACGCCTGTGAACCTAGCACTTTGGGAGACCAAGGCAGGAGATCACTTGAGGTCAGGAGTTCCAGACCAGCCTAACCAACATAGTGAAGCCCCATCTCTATTACGAAAAATTAGCCAGGTGTGGTGGCAGGCGCCTGTAATCCCAGCTACTTGGGAGGCTGAGGCAGGAGAATCGCTTGAACCCAGGAGATGGAGGTGGCAGTGAGCCGAGATCACGCCACTGCACCCCAGCCTGGGCAACAGAGCAAGACTCCCTCTAAAAATAAATAAATAAGTAAAATAAAATATCAAATAGTTTTAATAACAAAACATAGTTTTTATAGTCCCCAGTTTTTATTCCCCAGAGGCACCACTTTCAAGTCTTCCGGCTGATTTTCTTCTATTTGATATTATCTGTTAACTTCCTAATAAGTTGAGAAGTTAGCCCTGTTGCCCTCATTCCTTTCTTTCCTTCAATAACATAAAAGTTTTTTTTTTCCCCACATGAAGTTCAGTACTGGTGTTTGTGGTCATGTGATTATTCAGGACTGGGGCACTGGTTCTCAAAGTGTGGTCCAGAAACCCCAGAGAGGTTTCCAGGATCCTGTCACAGGGTCCATAAGATGTAAAGTATTTGTGTGTGTGTGTGTGTGTATGTGTGTGTGTGTGTGTGTGTGTGTTTATGTTTGGCACGCTTATTTTTTCCACAAGTATACATGGAGTTTTCCAGTAGCCACATGACGTTTGATGACATGATGGCATCACACTGTTAGCTAATGAAACGTGCACTTGTGTGTTCTTGTGTTTTCCAGAATTTTCTGAGGTAAGAATACCTCAGTCGATTGAATGCAGAGACAGGTATGAAAATTGACCTGTGTTCTGTTAAACCACATATCAAAAAGCCTTGCAGAAATGTAAAATAAGGCCAATCACTAAATGTTTTGTTTTGGAAAAAAGTTACTTTTCGTTAAAAGCAGTTACATATATTGATATGTATTGTGTTTATGTCTTTGTTTTTTTCAGTAGACACTGAACAAATACTGATAACTGGTTTAGTTTAGTTAGAAATAGATTCTACCATATTTTAACATATTATTGGCCAAGCAGGGTGGCTCACCTGTAATCCCTGCACTTTGGGGGGCCAAGACAGGCAAATCACCTGAGGCCAGGAGTTCAAGACCAGCCTGGCCAACATGGTGAAACCCCATCTCTACTTAGAATGCAAAAATTAGCTGGGCGTGGTGGCACGCAACTGTAATCCCAGCTACTCGGGAGGCTGAGGCAGGAGAATGGCTTGAACCTGGTAGAGGGAGGTTGCAGTGAACCAAGATCACGCCACTGCACTTCAACCTGGGTGACAGCGAAACTCTGTCTGAAAACAAACAAACAAACATTATTTATTAGAAATTACTTCGTACTTAAAGTTTATTGTGCTTTAATTTTGAAATTGAAAAGAACAGTTTTCCTTAATACCCTTTTAGGAAGTTATCTGGTTTTTAATATTAGAATATTAAAGCCTTCTTGAGCTTCAACCCAGTTTGCCAGGATTTTTGTCAGGCCTGTGTTCTCAGGAGAAAACAAACTTACATCAAGAGTTTCATCAGCATTTCGTTTCAACAAATATTTGTTGATCGTTTGTGCTTGGGTGCTATGAGAGATGGAAAGAAGCATAAGACAGATCCTAACTGTCCATGTCTTTTTTTATTATTATTATTATTTTTTTTTATTTTATTTTTTTAACTGTCCATGTCTTGTACTGCAACGTCTACCCCATATGGTGAGAATTAACCTTCAGGTTGATGACTCAGTTGCTGCAGAATTCTTAGAGATCAAATCACAAAGGAATTCTGTATACTAGATCTAATTAAGATAAGAAAGATGCTAGGATATCTCAGAAATATAACAAATGAAACAAAGTTTTCAAATTAGTACTAAGATAAACAAAGTTTATTTAACAATTTTATATAGCACTTTAGAGTTTACCAAGTGATTTAGTGTGTGTTTCGTTTAATCCTAATGATATCCTATGGGTTAGGTATTATCCATGTCTTACAGGTAGCTGACTCAGGTTTTCAAATGTAAGATGACTTGGACAAGAATGCATATAAGTTGTACTCAAATTTAGCTGTTCTGACTTCTGATCCTGTGCTTTTACTGTATAAAAACACCATATCTGGCTGGGCATGGTGGCTCATGCCTATAACCATAGCACTTTGGCAGGCCAAAGCAGAGGATTGCTTGAGCCCAGGAATTTAAGACCAGCCTGGGCAACATAGACCCCCATCTCTACAAAATTTTTTTTAAAAATTAGCTGCGCGGGGTGGTGCATACCTGTTGTCTCAGCTACTTGGGAGGCTGAGACAGGAGGATTGCTTGTGCCCAGGGATAGGATGCTGCAGTGAGCTGTGATCGTGGCACTGCACTTCAGCCTAGACAACAGAGCAAGACCCTGTCAAAAAAAAAAAAAAAAAAAACTATATTAAGGATTCAAAGTAGTTGATGTTCTACTACACATGCTAAGATATTTTGGGCCGAGTGCAGTGGCTCACACTTGTAATCCCAACCCTTTGGGAGGCCAAGGCGGATGGATTACTTGAGGTCAGGAGTTCGAGACCAGTCTGACCAACATGGTGAAACCCTGTCTCTACTAAAAATACAAAATTAGCTGGGCGTGGTGGCACATGCCTGTAATCCTAGCTACTCAGGAGGCTGAGGCAGGAGAATCACTTGAACCTGGGAGGCACAGGTTGCAGTGAGCTGAGATCACACCATTGCACTATAGCCTGGGTGACAAGAGTGAAACTCCATCTCAAAAAGATATTTTGGAGGATATACAGTGTCTAATATAAAGGCCTTGGCCATCATAAGCTCTCCATAGTTAAGCCAGATCACTAGAAGAAATAAGTAATAATTCTCATTCTGGTTATAGATCATATAAACTTTGTAAGAGGTTAGACTCAAATGGATACATTTCTGACTAAAAAAGAATTTTTTTTGTTTCAAACTATTAAAAAACCTTTAAATGTATTGTTTTACTGATCTTCAGGACTATAGTCTGTGACCATAATAATGGGAATACATTCAGAATGTCCAACAAACACCTAAAGTAAATGATACTTTTTTGCCTGCACATAGTATTAATTTCTTAATGAGATATTTCAGAAATTACATGGTGTGAGGCTGGGCACGGTGGCTCACACCTGTAATCCCAGCACTTTGGGAGGCCGAGGCAGGCGGATCACAAGGTCAGGAGATCGAGACCATCCTGGCTAACACAGTGAAACCCCGTCTCTACTAAAAATACAAAAAAATTAGCCGGGCGTGGTGGCGGGCACCTGTAGTGCCAGCTACTCAGGAGGCTGAGGCAGGAGAATGGCGTGAACCCAGGAGGTGGAGCTTGCAGTGAGCTAAGATCGCGCCACTGCGCTCCAGCCTGTGCGACAGGGTGAGACTCCATCTCAAAAAAAAAAAAGAAATTACATGGTGTGAGAGATTCACCCACAGATACTGAATCAGAGTTACATACAGCAGGCCAGCTGTGGTGGCTCACTCCTGTAATCCCAATATTCTGGGAGGCCAAGGTGGGCAGATCACTTGAGGTCAGAAGTTTGAGACCAGCCTGGCCAGCATGGTGAAACTCTGTCTTTACTAAAAATACAAAAATTAGCCAGGCATGATGGCACACACCTGTATTTCCAGCTACTGGGGAGGCTGAGGCAGGAGAATCGCTTGAACCTGGGAGGCGGAGGTTGTGCTGAGCTGAGATTGCACCACTGCACTCCAGCCTGGGCGACAGAGTGAGACTTCGTCTCAAAAAAAAAGATATATACAGCAAACTGAGGAATAATAGTGGGATACAGAGAGCTTTAAGCCATCAGTTATGAGTCTCAGTTGTCTCTTATTAATTTGGTTATTGATTTTTGTTCTTTTTTCTCCTTGAAGGTTTGTAAAAGAATGGACTTGGTCTGCCAGAGAATGTTGAATCAGGGATTTCTGAAAGTGGAGAGGTACCATAATCTATGTCAGAAACAAGTTAAAGCACAACTCCCAAGGTATGTTGTGGGTGGCAATGACAATGATGTACAGTTGGTTTTGTTTGTTGCTTGACTTCTTTTTTTCAGTCTCATGGTTTACATATTGCTTCCCAAGTTTTTATAGCAAAGGGCACAAAGATCACAATGTGATTTCTGCAGTGGTTTGTCCATTCTCACCGTTTGTGATCAACATTTTACTGGAGGTTCTAGCCAGAGAAATTAGGCAAGAAAATGAAATACAAGGCATCCAAATGGGAAAAGAAGAAATAGAACTCTCTGTTCACAGATGATATGATCTTGTGGATAAGGAGTGCACTAATTGATTATTAAAGCTAGTAAACCAGTTCAGCAAGGATATGGGATATAAGAATAATATACAGAAACCAATTATATTTATATACACTAGCAATGAACAATCCAAAAACGAAATTCAAAACATTTTATCATAGTTTCAAAAAGAATAGAATACTTAGTAATACATATAACAAAAGCACAAGACTTGTATACTAAAAACTACAAAACACCATTGAAAGAAATTAAAGAAGACTTAAATAAGTGGAAAGGCATTCTGTGTTCATGGATTTGAAGACTTCATATTGTTAAGATGACGGTACTCCCCAGATGAATCTACACATTCAGTGTGATAGGGGTTGACAATAAGGTACAATATGTTTTGTTTGTTTCTTGACTTTTTTTTTTGTAACCCCTGTCAAAAATTCAGCTGTCTTTTTTTTTTTCCCCAAAACTTGATACACTGATCCTAAAATTCCTGTGGAAATACAAGAGTCTGACAATAACCAAAGCAATTTTGAAAAAGGAGAGCAGTATTGGAAGACTCACACTTCCCACTTTCAAAACTTAGTACAGAGCTATAGTAATCAAAACAGTATGGCACTGGCATAAGGATAGACCTGTAGATCAAAGAAGCAAAAGCAAAAGTCTGGATAATAAACCTTATATTTTTAATCAGTTGATTTTAACAAGGATGTCAAGATAATTCAATGCAGTAAGAATAGTATTTTCAACAAATGATGCTGGGACAACTAGTTATCTTGAAAATGAATGAAGTTGGACCTCTTCCTCATACTGTATATAAAAGTTAACTCAAAAGGGATCATAGACCTAAGTGTAAATGTCAGCACTATACTATATAACCCTTAGAAGAAAACATAGTAGTAAGTCTTCATGAACTTGGATTAGGCAGTGACACCAAAAGCACAAGTAGCAAAAGAAAAAATTAAGCAAATTGGACTTAAAATGTAAAACTTTTGTGGCTCAAAAGACACCGTTAAGAAAATGAAAAGACACCCCACAAAATGGGAGAAAACCTGCGTAAATCATGTATCCAGATTATATGAGGAACTCTTACAACTCAACAATAAAACCTATTTTAAAAGTGGGTAGAGGGGCCAGGTGCAGTGGCTCACACCTGTAATCCCAGCATGTTGGGGGACTGAGGTGGGTGGATCACCTGAGGTCAGGAGTTCAAGACCAGCCTGGGCAGCATAGTAAAACCCTGTCTCTACTAAAAATACAAAAACTACCTGGGCATGGTGGCGGGTGCCTGTAATCCCAACTACTCAGGAGGCTTAGGCAGGAGAATAACTTGAACCCGTTGGCGGAAGTTTCAGTGAGCCAAGATCGCGCCACAGCACTCCAATCTGGGTGACAGAGCAAGACTCTGTCTCCAAAAAAAAGGACAAAGGATTTGAATAGACACTTCTCCAAAGAAGATAAGTAATAGCCAACAAGCACATGAAAGGTGCTCAACATCATTAGTCGTCAGGGGAATGCAAATCAAAACCACTACGAGATTTATATCCACTAGCGCTTTATATCCACTAGGATGGCTACAATGGAAAAATGTTGGGGAGGATGTGGACAAATTGGAACCTTCATATATCAATGTTGGGAATGTAAAATGGTGCAGTCACTTTAGAAAACAGTTTGGCTGTTCTCAGGCCGGATGTGATGGCTCACGCCTGTAATGCCAGCAGTTTGGGAGGCCAAGGCAGGTGGATCACCTGAGGTCAGGAGTTCAAGACCAGCCTAGGCAACATGGTGAAACCCAGTCTCTACTAAAATAGGAAAATTAGCCAGGCATGATGTCGGGTGCCTATAATCCCAGCTTCTTAGGAGGCTGAGGCAGGAGAATTGCTTGAACCTGGGAGACGGAGGTTGCAGTGAGCCAAGATCGTGCCATTGTGCTGCAGCCTGGGCGACAGAGTGAGCCCGTCTCAAAAAAAAAAAAAAGAAAAAACAATTTGGCTGTTCTCAAAAAGTTAAACAGAGAGTTATTGTCTGAGCCACCAATTTCATTCCTAGATAAGTACCCAAAAGAAATGAAAACATAATGTTTGCACAAAAACTTGTACACAAACGTTTTTAGCAGCATTATTCATAATAGCCAAAAAGTGGAGACAATCCAAATGTCCATCAGCTGATGAGCAAACAAAGTATGATATATCTGCATGATGGAATATTATTGGGCAATAAAAAGGTACATGCTACAACAAGAATGAACCTGGAAAACTATGCTAAATGAAAGAAGCCAGAAACATAAGGCTACTGTATGATTCCATTTATCTGGAATGTTCAGAATAGGTGGATCCAGAGAAACAGAAAGTAGATTAGTATTGCCAGGGGCTGGGAGAATGGGAGTGGCTGATAATGGTTACAGGAGTTAATTTTGTGGTAATGAAAATATTCTGAAATTAGATAGTGGTGATAGTTGTACAATCCTGTGAGTATACTAAACACCACTAAATTTAGTCCTCTTTAAGATAATTTTATTATGTCTGAGTTATTTCTTAAATTGCTAAAAAGTTTAAAGGAGTTAAATTTTATCATCAAAAGCATATCATCTCCTGCCTATATTTCCATGTGTAATCCATTCATTTATCTAATTTCTTTGGTTCTAATAGCCACTAGATTTGATAGCCAAAAAACCTTTACTTTTATTTTTATTTTTGAGATGGAGTCTTGCTCTATCACCCAGGCTGGAGTGCAAGTGGTGCAGTCTTGGTTCACTGCAACCTCCGACGCCCGGGTTCAAGCGAGTCTCCTGCCTCAGCCTCCCTAGTAGCTGGGACTATAGGCATGCACCATCACGCCTGGCTAATTTTTTAGTAGAGACGGGGTTTCACCATGTTGCCCAGCCTGGTCTCAAACTCCTGACCTCAGGTGATCCACCCGCCTCAGCCTCCTAAAGTGCTGGGATTACAGGCGTGAGCCTCCAAGCCCGGCCCCAAAAAACCTAATTAAAATATATATATATATATATAATTTGTTTTGTTTGTTTTCAAATATTTTGTCAATGAGTACCAGTCTTTGGTAACGATTTCTAGGCATAGTGATTCATTCATCATTACAGTTAAATTATGACCCAACTGTAGATTTCTAAATTAACATGTAAAAGACTGTTTCATTAAGCCATCTTGATTGCTTAATATTTTAGTCCACAATACTGCTTTAATGGTTGCCTTGCTTTTATTATTATTATTATTATAGGAGAGAGTCAGAAAGGAGAAACCATTCATTAGCTCGTCATGCAGACATTCTTGCTGCTGTTGAAACAAGGCTGTCACTATTAAATATGACTTTCATGAAATATGTGGATTCCAATCTCTGTTGCTTCATCCCAGGAAAGGTAAAATAGAATTGCTTGCCTAGAACAGCTGGACTGCCCTACATAAACTTATTATACAGTTATGAATTTCTGATTTTAGAAATGTTAGAATTGTTTCTACTTCTCTGAGTTTCTACTAATGAATTTGTTTGCTTTCTGTACAGTTATAAATATGTATCATTTGTATGATCTTTATATTTAAAATTCTAATTATGAAATAGTCGAAACCCTAATATTCTTTAGAGAAGTTTTTTAAGAGTTCATACTCAAGAATAAAATTTGAGGTTTTACTGGTGGTTATGATGCCAGAGATACAGCAATGAACAACATACATATTGTCCCTGCCTTCAAGACTATTATAATTTTGGGGAGGTAGAAAAGGAGGGACAAGCTGGTTTTTGTTTTGTTTGAGAAATGTTTCATAACGACAACTTTATAAACTTTCTGATTTGACAAGAATAAACAATTGCTATTTACCAATATTCCCAGAACTAAATAACAGTCCTTTTTAACACAGAAATAACTATATTGTGGCATATTTACCATTACTAAGTTAATAAAAACTCCAACATTCAACATACTACTTATACCTTCAGTAGTACCCTACTCCTTGAATTAAGTGTAAATTGACATATGTCTGTATCTTTTTATATGGAAGTGGTAGAGATATAATTAAAGGTCATTTTGCTACTTGGTTGATGCTGGCAAAAGTTTCCCTTAACATGGTTGGAAATAATTAATATCTAGTAAAATCTGAATGTTCGCTTTTTGTTATTTCCAAAGATAATTTACATTGGCAATATTTAATACGTACTTTGTCCATTTTTAGTTTTCTTTGACATTTATTTTTGGGGGGAATCCCATTTCTTATGATTGTATTTGAAATATTTTGGTATATCTCACTTTCTTTGCATTATATACATTTTCTTTAAAAGATCTTGTTGCATACCAACACATTACCTGCTAATGCTTTTTGTAGGGTGCTATAAGAGGATGACCAGTTAGAAACTTCAGAGTGATTCTTATGCCAGATTTTTCTGAATCTGACTTAAAGGCCTTAACTTTTAAGTGTTCCTGAGTTCTTTGAACTTAGCTTGTTTCATATAGCATCATAGTTTTTATTGAATATCTCATTGTTAGAAACATGAATATCTAAGAAACATCTCACAGTTATCATAACTTCAAAGAGATTCAGTCAGTTGTTAAGTAACAGAGTTGAATAGTTTGTGACAGAGTTCATGTGGCCTACAAAGATTAAAATATTTATGATCCAGGCCGGCTGTAGTGGCTCGCACCTCTAATCCCAGATACTTGCAAGGCTGAGGCAGAAGAATCGCTTGAACCCGGGAGGCGGAGGTTGCACTGAGCCAAGATCACACCACTGCACTCCAGCCTGGGCAACAGAGCAAGACTCTGTCTCAAAAAAAAAAAAAAAAAAAAAAAAGAAAAAGAAAAAGAAAAATTTAGTATCTGGCCTGTACAGAAGAAGTCACCAATTTCTGTGCTAGTTGATCAGGCTCACGTGTTTGGAATGGTGATGTTGACAGTCTAAACAAATAATGTTGCCAGGTGCCGTGGCTCACACCTGTAATCCCCACACTTTGGGAGGCCGAGACGGGCAGATCACAAGGTCAGGAGATCAAGACCAGCCTGGCGAACATGGGGAAACCCTGTCTCTACTAAAAATACGAAAATTAGCTGGGCATGGTGGCATGTGCCTGTAATCCCAGCTACTCGGGAGTCTCAGGCAGGAGAGTCACTTGAACCAGGCAGTCAGAGGTTGCAGTGAGCCGAGATCATGCCACTGCACTCCAGCCTGGCGACAAAGCAAGACTCTATCTCAAAAACAAACAAATAATGTTAAATCCACTGGAGTCCTGTCATTTTTGGAAACCATTTGTTGACTTCAGTTTTTTTTTTTTTTTTTTTTGAGATGGTGTCGTGCTGTGTCACCCAGGCTGGAGTGCAGTGGGGCAATCTCAGCTAACAGCAACCTCTGCCTCCCGGTACAGGTGCATTATTTGGATTGTTTTATGAGTGTTCCCTTTTTTGTACTTCTCATGCTTAAACTTTTCACATCCTGTCTGCAAAATATAAGGATGCGGCATTTAATTTCCACATGCTGAAGTAAGAACATTATACAAAATAATTTTCAGTCTAACATATAATCTTCATTTAATATATGGTGTTTATGATAAGTTGTTCTTGTTTTCCCTGAGATCTTGCTTCTGGGATGTACTTAAAAGTTTAGGCCGGGCGCGGTAGCTCACACCTGTAATCCCAGCACTTTAGGAGGCCAAGGTGGGCGGATCACAAGGTCAGGAGGTCCAGACCATCCTTGCTAACATGGTGAAACCCCATCTCTACTAAAAATACAAAAAAAAAAACTAGCTGGGCATGGTGGCGGGCGCCTATAGTCCCAGCTACTCGGGAGGCTGAGGCAGGAGAATGGCATGAACCTGGGAGGCAGAGCTTGCAGTGAGCCAAGATCGTGCCACTGCACTCCAGCCTGGGCGACAGAGCAAGACTTTGTCTCCAGAAAAAAAAAAAGTTCAGAAGTCTTTTTGTTTTTGTTTTTGAGATGGGGTCTCGTTCTGTCGCCCAGGCTGGAGTCCATTGGTGCAATCTTGGCTCACCGCAACCTCTGCCACCCAGGTTTAGGCGATTCTCATGCCTCAGCCTCCCAAGTAGCTGAGACTACAGGTGCACACCACCACAGCCAGGTAATTTTTGTATTTTTAGTAGAGACGAGGTTTCACCATGTTGGCCAGGCTGGCCTCAAACTCCTGATCTCAAGTGATCCGCCTGCCTTGGCCTCCCAAAGTGCTGGGATTACAGGTGTGAACCACTGTGCCTAGCCACAGAAGCTTTTATACTTTGTTAAGAAAACTAACTTTTGTGGTTTTATATAGACTACATTCATTTTGTCAAACTTAAGGTCTACAGTAAGCATTTTATTCACTTAAGTGAATCTGAGTAGTAGCAACATTATAGTTCAAATTAGATAGCCAAATATGTACCAAAATTTTGGACCTTTAAAGTAATAGTTGGGACTGGGCACGGTGGCTCACGCCTGTAATCGCAGCACTTTGGGAGGCCAAGACGGGTAGATCACAAGGTCAAGAGATCGAGACCATCCTGGCCAACATGGTGAAACCCCATCTCTACTAAAAATACAAAAATTAGCTGGGCGTGGTGGTGTGCACCTGTAGTCCCAGTTACTCAGGAGACTGAGGCAGGAGAATCGCTTGAACCTGGGAGGCAGAGGTTGCAGTGAGCCAAGATCATGCCACTGCACTCCAGCCTGGCAACAGAGCGAGACTCTGTCTCAGCAAAAAAAAAGAAAAAAGAAAAAGGAAGACAGAAATCCACAAGAATGGTGAGATTAGGGGAGAAGACAGTAGCAATAAAATTTTGAAAGCTATAAAGTAGAGAAACAAATGGTAACTGATTTAGCAGAACTGAGAAAGTTAAATCCTACACTGACAGTGGGGAAAGCCAAGAGGAACTCCTTGCACAAAAGAAAGCTCTAGAGTTAAAAGCTCCAGCCAGACACCTGTGAGAGTGGGACTGATAACAGGAAGGTTGGTTGAGAATCTGTAGTTAAGAATGATTCAAACCTACAGGTTACCTCTCCAATTGCAGGCAAGCTAGATCATTGCCCTTCTACTCAGTGAAAACCAAAGGCTTATTCACTAGAGGGGTTAAAATGGAGTCCATTGACAGGGGGACTATATTGATAGGGCATTAAAAGCTGTGTAAAGAATTCAGACAACCTGTAATCCCAGCACTTTGGGAGGCTGAGGCGGGCAAATCACTTGAGATCAGGAGTTCAAGACCAGCCTGGCCAACATGGTGAAACCCTGTCTATACTAAAAATACAAAAATTAGGTGGGTGTGGTGGCAGGCACCTATAGTCCCAGCTACTCAGGAGACTGAGGCAGGAGAATCACTTGAACCTGGGAGGCAGAGGTTGCAGTGAGCCGAGATCACACTGGTGCACTCCAGCCTGGGCTACAGAGTGAGACCCTGCCACAAAAAAAAAGAATTTAGACAGGTTACAAGTTTGCTATTATCTAGGACAGGAATCAGCAAACTTTTTTTGGTAAAAGGCCAGTTTATAAATATTTTTGGCCCTGTGAACCTTGTGCTCGCTGTGACAGCTATGCAATTCTGAGAAACAGCCGTGTGCAATGTGTGGTAAATGAATGCTTGTGCCTGCGTTCCAGTAAAACTTTATTTACAAAACCAGGCATAGGCTAAATAGGGGTATAGTTGGCCAACCCTAAGTACCACATTGATATTCTCTTTATCTTCTCTCAGAACTAAGATGTTATAGAATGTTGGCTTACTCCTGTATACATTTCTCAAATCTTCTATCTAACACATGGAAGTTACACTTTTTACAGTAAGCTCATATTAGTATCAGCAGTTCACATATACTGACACACAACCGTATGTGAGCATTGAGCAACCAGCCATTCATAGAGATGATAATGAAAAAACAAAACATGTGGATAGTCTCTGCTCTTCTTTTTTATTTTTTTGTTTTTTCTTTTTTTTTATATTTTTAGAGACGGGGTCTCACCATGTTGGCCAGGCTGTCTTGAACGCCTAGACTCAAGCAATCCACCCACCTCAGCCTCCAGCTGGAGTCTCGGCTTACTGCAACCTCCGCCTCCTGGGTTCAAGCGATTCTCCTGCCTCAGCCTCCTGAGTAGCTGGGACTACAGGCACATGCCACCATGCCCAGCTAAGTTTTTTTGTATTTTTAATAGAGACGGGGTTTGACCGTGTTAGCCAGGATGGCCTCAATCTCCTGACCTTGTGATGCGCCCACCTTAGCCTCCCAAAGTGCTGGGATTACAGATGTGAGCCACTGCGCCCAGCCCAGTCTCTGCTCTTAACTGTCACTAGTAGCCCTGGTAAACCTTTTGTTCTTATTGAAACACAATGGTCCCCAAAAATTAGGGTTTTTACAGTATAATTGACTACATAAGGCCATGAAGCTATATTTCCCTGAACAGACGTAAAAATCTATATATTAGGCATTATTGGCTTGTATTTATTTTTCTGGGAAAGAAAATTGGTGGTGGTAAATTTTTTTATTCTTTTTTTTGTGTGTGTAAATTTTTATTCTCTTGTAATTTCAAGTTTACACAAAAATTACAAGACTAGTACAAGGAGCTCCCATATAGCTTATTTGCAAATCTAGCAGTTATTTACCTTTCATCCTGTTTGCTTTTATTTTCTCTTTATAAATACATTTTGGCCGAGCACAGTGGCTCACACCTGTAATCCCAGCACTTTGGGAGGCCAAGGCGGGCAGATCACAAGATCGAGAGATCGAGACCAGCCTGGCCAACATGGTGAAACCCCGTCTCTACTAAAAATACAAAAATTAGCTGGGCTGGTGGCACACGCCTGTAGTCCCAGCCACTTGGGAGGCTGAGGCAGGAGAATCACTTGAACCCAGGAGGCGGAGGCTGCAGTGAGCCGAGATTGCGCCACTGTATTCCAGCCTGGTGACAGAGTGAGACTTCGTCTGAAATAAATACATACATGCATGCATGCATACATACATACATACATACATACATACATACATACATTTTGGCCAGGCGTGGTGGCTCATGCCTGTAATCCTAATACTTTGGGAGGCTGAGACGGGCAGATGGCTTGAAGCCGCCAGGAGTTCGAGACCAACCTGGGCTGCAAAGTAAGACCCCCGTCTCTAAAAAAAAAATTAATTAGCTGGGTGTGGTGGCATGCACCTGTAGCCCCAGCTCCTTGGGCGGCTGAGGTGGGACGATTGCTTGAGCCTGGGCAGTCAAGGCTGCAATGAGCTATGATCATTCCACTGCACTCCAGCCTGGGTGACAGAGCAAGATCTTGTCTCAAGAAAATAAAATATAAATACTTTTTTTTCCTGAACCACTTGAAAATAAGTTGGAGACACTGTGCTCCTTAGTTCCTAAATATTTCATTGTATTTCCTAAAAGCTAGGATACTCTTACTTAACCACAGTACAGAGAGCAAAATCAGAAATTTGTAACACTGATGTAATACTGTTCTGTAGTTGACAGTTCATATTCAAGTTTCATCACATATTCCAATAATACTCTTCCTAGCAATTTTTTTTGTTAATACAGAATGTAATCGAGAACCATGCATGGACTGTAATCTTATATCTGGAACAGTTCCCTAGGCTCTCTTTGTGTCACTTGATCATCACATTTTTGAAGAACGTAGGTCAGTTATTTTGAGGGATATGCTTCCATTTAAGTTTAATGCTTACAGAATGTTGTTTTTGTTTCTTTTAAAGTTGATTTTAATGTGGCGATACTCTTAAAAATCAAGATTAGTTGGGAACATTTCTCCTTTTACTATGCTTGTCCCAAAATAAATATATACAGCCATGAGCCTTTAAAAAAAATAAAAGTCTGTTTTCATATTAAAGAGAATATAGCAGGCCGGGCAGGATTGCTCACACCTGTAATCCCAGCATTTTGGGAGGCTGAGGTGGGCGGATCACCTGAGGTCAAGAGTTCTAGACCAGCCTAGCCAACATGGTGAAACCCCATCTCTACTAAAAATACAAAAAATTAGCCGAGCATGGTGGCACGTGCCTGTAATTCCAGCTACTCAGAAGGCTGAGGCAGGAGAATCGCTTGAACCTGGGAGGTGGAGGTTGCAGTGAGCCGAGATCGTACCACTGCACTCCAGCCTGGGCAACAGAGTGAGATTCTGTCTCAAAAAAAAAAAATTATTCTGAGAAATAAGAAAAGATATGCCAGCCTGGCCAACATGGTGAAACCCTTTCTCTACTAAAAATGCAAAATTAGCCAAGTGTAGTGGCAAACACCTGTTGTCCCAGCTACTCATGAGGCTGAGATAGGAGAATCGCTTGAACCTGGGAGGCGGAGGCTGCAGTGAGCCGAGATCAAACCACTGCACTCCAGCCTGGGCAAGACATAGTGGGGAAAAAAAGATACAATCGGCCGGGCATGGTGGCTCACGCCTGTAATCCCAGCACTTTGGGAGGCCGAGGTGGGCGGATCACGAGGTCAGGAGATGGAGACCATCCTGGCTAACAGGTGAAACCCTGTCTCTAATTAAAATACAAAAAATTAGCCAGGCATGGTGGCGGGTGCCTGTAGTCCCAGCTACTTGGGAGGCTGAGGCAGGAGAATGGTGTGAACCCGGGAGGCGGAGCTTGCAGTGAGCCAAGATTGCACCACTGCACTCCAGCCTGGGCGACAGAGCAAGACTGTGTCTCAAAAAAAAAAAAAAAAGATGCAATCATGCGTCATTTAGCAAAGAGGATCCATCCCAAGAGATGCATTGTTAGGTCACTTTGTCATGTGAACATACATCATAGAGTGTATTTACACAAACCTAGATGGTTCTTACACACATAGGCTATATGGTATAGTCTATTGCTCCTGAACTACAAACCTGTACAGCATGTTACCGTACTGACTATTGTAGGTGATTATAACACAATCATATTTGTATATCTAAACATAGAAAAGGTACAGTAAAAGTAGGGTATAAAAAAATGGTACACCTGTATAGGGCATTTATCATGAATGAAACTCAGTTTCTCTGGGTAAGTCAGTGAGTGAGTGGTGAGTGAATGTGAAAGCCTAGGACATTACTGTACACTTTGTAAACACTGCATACTGAGGCTACATTAATTTTTTTTTTTTTTTGATACTGGGTCTTGCTGAATCACCTAGGCTAGAGTGCAGTGGCATGACCACAGTTCATTGTAGTCGTGACCTCCTAGACTCAAGACAATCCTCCCACCTCGACCTCCCAAGTACCTGGGACTCTACAGGCACATTAAATTTTTTTTTTTTTTTTAATTTTTGGGGCCAGGCATGGTGGCTCACGCCTGTAATCCCAGCACTTTGGGAGGCCGAGGCAGGCGGATCACCTGAGGTCAGGAGTTAGAGACCAGCCTAGCCAACATGGCAAAACCCAGTCTCTGCTAAAAATGCAAAAATTAGCCAGGCGTGGTGGCGTGCACCTGTAGTCCCAGCTACTCGGGAGGCTGAGGCAGGAGAATCGCTTGAACCCAGGAGGTAGAGGTTGCAGTGAGCTGAGATTATGCCATTGCATTCCAGCTTGGGCGACAGAGCAAGACTCTGCCTCAAAAAAAAAAAATGGGGGGACAGGCATGGTGGCTCATGCCTGTAATCAATCCCAACACCTAGGCCAAGGTAGGCGGATCATTTGAGCTCAGGAGTTCTTTAAGTTTTAACTTCTTGACTTTTTTGTAATAACACTTAGCTTAAATGTCGTTTCGTTATAATATTGATGAGAAAAAAAAATCAGGCTGGGCTCAGTGGCTCACGCCTGTGATCCCAGCACTTTGGGAGGCTGAGGTGGGTGGATCACCTGAGGTCAGGAGTTCAAGACCAGCCTGGCCAACATGGTGAAGCCCTGTCTCTACTAAAAATAAAAAAA
This sequence comes from Homo sapiens, assembly GCF_000001405.40. NCBI lineage: Eukaryota > Metazoa > Chordata > Mammalia > Primates > Hominidae > Homo > Homo sapiens. The sequence continues at coordinate 224,142,667 of NC_000001.11, forward strand.
TTGCCAGGCACAGTGGCTCCCACCTGTAATCCTAGCACTTCGGGAGGCCAAGGCAGGTGGATTGCCTGTGCTTAAGAGTTTGAACCGGCCTGGGCAACATGGTGAAACCCTGTCTCTACTAAAAGTACAAAAAGCCAGGCATGGTGGTGCGTGCCTGTAATCCCAGCCACTCGGGAGGCTGAGGCACGAGAATCGCTTCAACCCAGGAGGCAGAGGTTGCAGTGAGCCGAGATCTTGCCACTGAACTCCAGCCTGGGGGACAGAAAGACACTCTGTCATAAATAAATAATCGTGCCACTGAACTCCAGCCTGGGGGACAGAAAGAGACTCTGAAATAAATAAATAAGTAAGTAAGTAAATAACAGAATGAGACTCTGTCTTAAATAAATAAGCAACCAAGCAAGCGTGCGGTGGTGCGGGCCTGTAGTCCCAGCTAAATAAATACATATATTAGCCGGGTGCAGTGGTGCGGAACCCAGGAGATGGAGGTTGCAGTGAGCCAACATCGTGCCACTGCACTCCAGCCTGGGTGACAGAGTGAGACTCTGTCTCAAAAAAAAAAAAAAAAAGAGAAGGAGAAAAAAAAATCAGTTCCCGGCCAGGGCCACTGTCTGTTTAGTTTGTGCATTCTCCATATATCTGCATGAGTTTTCTCTGGGCACTCTGACTTCCTCCGACATCTCAGAGCTGTGCCTGTTAGGTTCATTGACATGTCTTAGTGGTCCCAGTCTGAGTGAGTGTGGGTGTGAGGGTGCCCTGCAGTGAGATGGCATCCTGGCCAGGGTGGATAACGACCTGGTGCCCTGAGCTGCTAGGATGGGCTCCAGCCACCTGCAACCCTGAACTAGAATAAGCAGATTGAAAAATGAATGAATAGGACGGGTGTGGTGGCTCACGCCTGTAATCCCAACACTTTGGGAGGCCGAGGCGGGCAGATCACGAGGTCAGGTGATCGAGACCATCCTAGCTAACACGGTAAAACCCCATTTCTACTAAAAATACAAAAAATAAATAAATAAATTAGCCAGGCGTGATGGCGGGCACCTGTAGTCCCAGCTACTTGGGAGGCTGAGGCAGGAGAATAGCATGAACCCGGGAGGCGGAGCTTGCAGTGGGCTGAGATCACGCCACTGCACTCCAGCCTGGACGACAGAGCAAGACTCCATCTCAAAAAAAAAAAAAAGAAAAATGAATGAATAGCCAGGCATGGTGGCTCACACCGTAATCCCAGCACTTTGGGAGGCTGAGGCGGGTGGATCACTTGAGGTAAGGAGTTTGAGACCAGCCTGGCCAGTAGAGATAGTGAAACCCCATCCTCTACTAAAAATACAAAATTTAGCCAGGCATGGTGGCATGCACCTGTAATCCCAGCTACTCGGGAGGTTGAAGCACAAGAACCACTTGGACCCAGAGAGAGATGGAGGTTGCAGTGAGCTGAGGTTGCGCCACTGTACTCCAGCCTGGGAAACAGAATGAAACTATGTCTCAAAAAAAAAAAAAAGGAATGAATGAATGGGCCAGGTGTGGTGGTTCATGCTTGTAATCCCAGCACTTTGGGAGGCCAAGATAGGAGGATCACTTGAGACCAGGAATTCAAGACCAGCCTGAGCAACATAGGGAGACCTCGTCTCTACAGAAAAAAAAAATTGCCAGGCATGGTGGCACACACCTATGGTCACAGCTACACAGGAGACTGAAGTGAGAGGATCGCTTTAGCCCAGGAGGTCAGGGCTGCAGCGAGATGTGGTCATGCCACTGCACTCCAGCCTGGGCAACAGGGCGAAGACCCTGTCTCAAAAAAAAACAAAAAAGGCTAGGTGCAGTGACTCACACCTATGATTTCAGCACTTTGGGAGGCGGAGGTGTGTGGATCACGAGGTCAAGAGATCGGGACCATCCTGGCCAACATGGTGAAACCCCATCTCTACTAAAAATACCAAAATTAGCTGGGCGTGGGTGTGTGTGCCTGTAGTCCCAGCTACTTGGGAGGCTGAGGCAGGAGACTCACTTGATCTGGGAGGTGGGGGTTGCAGTGAGCCGAGATCGTGCCACCACTGCACTCCAGCCTGGTGACAGAGCAAGACTCCATCTCAAAAAACAAAAAACAAGCCCTCCTATTTGTTATTGTTTCTGAACTACATGTTGGTAGGAGGTGCTCCTTAAAATTTTTGCTTTACAAACATGTATTCCCTGAAGTAACCCACCACCATGATGACTGCCATAGCTCACTGATTGACCAAAAATTGGATACATTATCTTGTTTTTATTAATCTTTCTTAAATGTGTGTATAGTTCACATTTATTTCAGTGTTTGATATTAGAAGTGTTTTAGGGGCCGGGCGCGGTGGCTCACACCTATAATCCTAGCACTTTGGGAGGCTGAGTCGAGTGGATCGCTTGAGGTCAGGCGTTCAAGACCAGCCTGGCCAACATGGTGAAACCCCATCTCTACTAAAAAATAGATAAATAAATACTAAAATTAGCCGGGCGTGATGGCGGGCATCTGTAGTTCCAGCTACTCGGAGGCTGAGGCAGGAGAATCGCTTGAACCAGGGAGGCAGAGGTTTCAGTGAGCTGAGATCGCGCCACTGCACTCCAGCCTGGGCAACAGAGCAAGACTACATCTCAAAAAAAAAAAAAAAAAAAAAGGAAGTGTTTTAGGTCTTTATTTAGAGGTTTGGTGGTTTTCATGACCAGAACTATGCCTTAGGAACTTAACACTTGTTTATATTAATTAGCCTATGATAAAATTGGTTTCATTACATGTCATTTCACTTAAAGTCGGGATTTTCAAGAACCTATCAACATTAAAATGAGGACTTCTGTATAATATAGTAAATACTAGGCGATGGGAATTTTCCAACTCCATTATAATCTTACAGGATGACCCTCATATATGGTTTGTCATTGACCATAACATCATGATGCAGCACATAACCGTATTCAAACAAACATGCCATATAAAGAATATTGAGGCCAGGCCTGGTAGCTCATGCCTGTAATCCCAGCACTTTGGAAGGCTGATGCGGGCAGATCACCTGAGGTCATGAGTTCGAGACCAGCCTGGCCAACATGGTGAAACTCCACCTCTACTAAAAGTACAAAAATTATCCGGGCATGGGCCAGGCGCAGTGACTCACACCTGTAATCCCAGCACTTGGAAGGCCAAGGCAGGTGGATCACCAGAGGTCGGGAGTTTGAGACCAGCCTGACCAACATGGAGAAACCCATCGCTACTAAAAATACAAAATTGTCCAGGTGTGGTGGTGCAAGCGTGTAATCCCAGCTACTCAGGAGGCTGAGGCAGGAGAACTGCTTGTATCCGGGAGGTGGAGGTTGCGGTGAGCTGAGATTGTGGCATTGCCCTCCAGCCTGGGCAACAATAGCGAAACTCCTTCTCAAAAAAAAAAAAAAAAAATTATCCGGGCGTGGTGGCACACGCCTGTATTCCCAGCTACTCAGGAGGCTGAGGTAGGAGGATCACTTGAACCTGGGAAGCGGAGGTTGCAGTGAGCCGGGATCACACCATCACACTCCAGCCTGGGCGATAGAGTGAGACTGTCTTCAAAAAAAAAAAAATTAAAAATAATATTTAGAAAATTTTAGATGCACTTAGGTTTTTTAAATATGGAGGAAATTTTTTTAAAAAATAAAAGGGGTAGAAGGGAAAGTTAAGGAAATCTCAAGTACAACAAAAAGACAGATGAAAAATGAGAAAAAAATGAGCATTTATGAGGTTCAGTATTCTAGCAGGAGCTTTGTTTGCTAAACAGTAGATTAAAAAATTATTTCTCACCCACAGTCTAAAGGCCTAAATGATATTCATCGTATATAATTTGTTACTGTACCATTTTAGACATAAGCGTGGTACTTCTACTGTGTGTTAGAAATGTGATGGTGTACTTTTTAATTTTTGTAGAGACTGTTTCTAGCTATGTTGCTCTTGAACTCCTGCCTCCCTTGGCCTCTCAAAGTGCTGAGATTACAGGCATAAGCCACCAGCCACAGCCTGTACTGTACTTTTATAAAACTAAAATTTTTTTTTTTTTTTTTTTTTGGGAGACTGAGTCTTGCTGTGTCGCCCAGGCTGGAGTGCAGTGGCACGATCTGGGTTTGCTGCAACCTCTGCCTCCCAGGTTCAAGCGATTCTTCTGCCTCAGCCTCCCGAGTAGCTGGGACTATAGGCACGTGCCACCATGCATGGCTAATTTTTGTATTTTTAGTAGAGACAGGGTTTCACCATATTGGCCAGGCTGGTCTCGAACTCCTGACCTCGTAATCCGCCCTCCTTGGCCTCCCAAAGTGCTGGGATTACAGGCGTGAGCCACCGTGCCTGGCCAAAAATATTTTTTATAACCTGTAGTCAGCTCTGTATTCGTGGGTTCCACATTCATGGATTCAACCAACCGTGGATAGAAAATATTTAGTGAGACTCTGTCAAAAAATATATATGTATATTTAGAGAAGAAAAACAATTGCCGGATGCGGTGGCTCACGCCTATAATCCCAGCACTTTGGCAGGCCGAGGCAGGCGGATCACAAGGTCAAGAGTTCAAGACCAGCCTGACCAATATGGTGAACCCGCATCTCTACTAAAAATACAAAAATTAGCTGGGCGTGGTGGCAAGCGCCTGTAGTCCCAGCTACTCGGGAGGCTGAGGCAGGAGAATCACTTGAACCCCGGAGGCAGAGGTTGCAGTGAGCCGAGATCATGCCACTGCACTCCAGCCTGGGCAACAGAGCGAGACTGTGTCAAAAAAAAAAAAAAGAGAAGAAAAACAATTTTTAAAACCACAGCTGTTTTTAAAATATGAATTTTAAAATAGTACAATGTAACTACTATTTACAAAGCTTTGACATGGTATTAGGTAGTGTAGGTAATCTAGAGGTGATCTAGGTTATATGCAAATACTATGCCATTTTATATAAAGGACTTGAGCACACACACATTTTGACAATGTGGTCCTGGACCCAAACCCCTGAGGATGCGGAGGGACTGACTATTTTACTTCTTACAGCCTGGGTAAGGTTCAACATGTGGTATATCATTTGAAAGGTGTAGAAACAGCCATTAAGAGTTTAAGTGACCTTCCTAAGGCCTGTGGTCTTTCCACTAGACCTCAAAACTCATACCATTACATTCTCGTTAATGTAATTTGCAAAAAAAAAAAAAAAAAAAGATTAAATCTACTCAGAAAATGAACTGTTTTGAAAATTTGTTAAATACCTTGCTTTCTTAATATATACCTCTAAAGCCATGGCAGCCACTTAAAACTCTGAATGGTAGAAGCAGTATGGTTCTCACACACATACTTTCCTTCACCTTATCCTCTGCTTAAAGCTTTTGGACAAAGAAAAGAAACTATTTTGAATTTTATTGAAAACATAGATTATCCCATTTGACTAAAATAATCTCTATACAGTAAGATTTTTAAATGTTCTTTTTTAATGGAAGACTGGGGCAAATGGAAAGAGTGAACTTGCTTTTACACTACATTTAGAAGACTACAGTAAAGATAATATTTCACAAATTGTAGATGTATTTTCACATTACTTTTAATGGCAAAACCACAGTTACTTTGGAACCGATCTAATAATTTACTGTCAGTTAGCAATCCCTGTAGGATATTTTGATAATGAAAGTTATTCTGAAGAATAAGTATCATGGAAAAAGACTAATTGTATAATATATGTTAAGAAACGGCCAGGCACGGTGGCTCACGCCTGCAATCCCAGCTCTTTGGGAGGCCGAGGCAGGCGGATCATGAGGTCAGGAGATCAAGACCATCCTGCCTAACACGGTGAAACCCTGTCTCTACTAAAAATACAAAAAAAAGAGAAAAAAATTCGCCAGGTGTGGTGGCGGGTGCCTGTAGTCCCAGCTACTCGGGAGGCTGAGGCAGGAGAATGTCGTGAACCTGGGAGGCAGAGCTTGCAGTGAGCCAAGATCGCACCACCGCACTCCAGCCTGGGCGACAGAGCAAGACTCCGTCTCAAAAAAAGAAAAAAAAAAAGAAAAGAAACACCCTAGAATAAATGCTTGGTACATGATAGTACTGCATAACTACTGTATAAATGTTGAATTGCTATCCTATCACCTATCCATCCACATCATCCCTGTGCTCAACTCCACACTGTTTAGCCAGGTGTACCTTCCTCCTGCTCTAACTTCCCTTACCTGTTGAAATTTACTTACTAATGTCCTTCATTAGACCTACCCAGTTCTCTCAACTGGATCTTAATCTCTACTCTGTTTTCACACAGCACTTTGCTTATACATTGAACTTATTACAGTCTGAGTTTTGCTTTGCTGTTTATGGGTCTTTCATGGAGTCATGTTTCACTGGATAGGATCTGTGTCTTATGCCTATACCATTACAACAGTCCTATTCTAGCCCAAATACACTATAAATATTCTTCTGTCTACCAGTATTTATAAACATATAATATCTAGAGGTATATTAATAAGGCTGTGGGTATTTTATTAAACATATAAGTACTATTTTAAGTATTCTATATTTTTACAAGTCCGTCTCAATAGAGATCTTGTTTACAATGACCTTTGTGTTCAAAACATAATCATCTGACTTCTGAAAAACCATATAATCTTTTTTTTTTTTTTTTTGAGACAGTCTTGCCCCATCACCTGGACTGATCACAGCTCATGGGACTATAGGCATGCGCACAGCTAATTTTTTAATTTTTTGTAGAGACAGAGCTCACAGTGTTGCCCAGGCTGGTCTCAAACTCCTGTCCCTAGACAGTCTTCCCACCTCGGCCTCCCAAAGTGCTGGCACCGTAGGTATGAGCCACCACGCCCAGCCAAAAAACAAATTCTTGTGTTGAATTAACCCTTTCATTTGCCCTTAAACAGTTTTGTTTAGATGTATCAATTAATGTTAAACAATTAATATACTTAACCATCTTTACCCCTTATTTACTGAGTATCTGCCATGTGCCAGATGCTGCTAGGCTCTGGGGATCTGACAGTGAAACATGGTATGATCTCTTCTGTCATAGAGTTTACTACATTATATGGAAGATAGAAATTAACAAAAAGATGTACTTACAAATTGTAATGTGTGTTCTGAAGGGGAATAAAGGGTTGGATGAAGATGTTAACATGATTTAAATTGGAGGAGGGTTCAGAAAAGACTTCTGAGAAAGTACAGTGTTACTGTGACCTCGTGTATAACTAAGGAATTTGAAGTGAGGGAGATACACAGGGATGGCATTCCAGGAAAGGGATCAGCATGTGCAAAAGCCCTGGGGCAAAAAGGTGGGGAACTTGATTTAGTTCAAAGGGCTGATGGCCAGTTTGTATCTATAGATGCAACATATTAGCCTTTGGGGACAACATTTAAAAATTATGGAAGGCCAGGTGCAGTGGCTTATGCCTGTAATCCCAGCACTTTGGGAGGCCAAGGCAGGCAGATCACCTGAGGTCAGGAGTTTGAGACCAGCCTGGCCAACATGGTGAAACCCTGTCTCTACTAAAAATACAAAAATTAGCCAGGCTTGGTGGTGGGTGCCTGTAATCCCAGCTACTTGGGAGGCTGAGGCAGGAGAATTGCTTGAACCCAGGAGGTGGAGGTTACAGTGAACCAATACCATGTCATTTCCAGCCTGGGCAACAAGAGCGAAGCTCCGTCTGAAAAAATTATGGAGTACTGTGGTACTTTTCCTATATATAACCCATATGTAAAACGTTGATAAACACAAAACTACTATGGGTCAATTAATATCCTAGCACTATACATAAAATATCAGTCAGTATGAAGGACCCTTTAAATACTGATTTTCTACTTTGGTTTATATTTTTAATTTTATTAACTATTTCTTGATTATGTATAAATATTATATAACTTTTAAGCTTTGAGTAGCTAGCTTCCACAAATATTTACTCTTTGGAGATATACATGTATATATAAAATTTGTCTATTTCTAGTCCTTGAACTCCTTGAACAAGCCAAGCTGACACTGACCTTGGGGCCACTATCATTACTATTTCTACCTGAAAGACTTTTCTCCCCATATCTTCAATTGATCAGTTCTTCCTCATCCTTCAGTCTTACCTTACAAATGGCAAAGAATCCTTTCCCAACCACCCATCTCATGTTATTCCTGCCTTTCCTGATAGAAACTGTCACATTACCCTCTTTTTTCCATGTGGCACTCCTTTAAATTATTTTCCTGTTTAGCTTCATGAGAATGATAATCTTGTCATCCTTATTTACTGTTTTTTACTCCAGTACTTTGAAAAGTGACAAGTACATAGTAAGAACTCAATACTTGAATAATGTTTATCTTACAAGTTATGATAGGCTTACGTAATTAAATTGTAAGTCCAAGGGAAAGTACTCCATTTTTCATTTCTTTGTATATATAGTTCCTAACATAGTAGTTCAGTAAGTTTTTATTGGGGAAAGGGGTTATCTTCTTCTAAAGTGAGCTCGTAATATAGTAATATTGCCAGAAATAAATATGTTTTCTCCTTTGGCAATCAGCCATCATCCAAAATTCCTCTCCTGAACTCCCATCCTGTATCTCAAGCCACCTGCTAGCAAATATCACCTACATGTCCCATGTGATTCAAAATCACACATCTCATCTCCCATTGCATCTGCCTACGTACACCACCTCAGCCCAAGCCATTTCCTGTTCAGTTCTCCAAGCCCACAAACCTGGCCTCTCCTATGATGTCTTCTCAGGCTTATGATAAGGATACATCCTAAGGTTAGATTTTGCTGACATTTATTAAGCATACATCATGCTCCATTAACAATGATCATCATATTATGCTGAGAGTCTAGAAAATGTGAAGGGCTGTGAATTTGTCCTGATACGATTCTGCAAGATTGTTTCTCTGGCTGTGCTCAGCAGCCTAAATAAGTAAAGGAGAAGGGAAGATGGATTATAAGATTGATCCAGAGTTGGGAGCAAGCTAGATAAATGCAGTGGGAGGAATATGTGGGATGCCAGGTTGTTTGAGATTTTGGTGACAGAATGGTTTGGTTGATTAACCCTCAGTTCTTACGAGGTTAAGGGCCCATAGATGTCATCCAGATTGGGGTCTTTAGAAGTAGGAATTTTAGGTCGGGCATGGTGGCTCACACCTGTAATCCCAGCACTTTGGGAGGCCAAGGAGGGTGGATCACCTAAAGTTAGGAGTTCAAGACCAGCCTGGCCAACACGGTGAAACCCTGTCTCTACTAAAAATACAAAATTAGCCAGGTGTGGTGGCACATGTCTGTAATCCCAGCTACTTGGGAGGCTGAGGCAGGAGAATCACTTGAACCCTGCGGTTGGAGATGACAGTGAGCCAGGATTGTGCCACTGCACTCCAGCCTGGACAACACAGTGAGACTCCATCTTAAAAAAAAAAAAAGGAATTTTATCTTCAGGTCTATTCTGAAGCCACAGGGAAGAATTAAGGATAACCTCACCGAGATGAAAGCTAATATCACAAATGCCTAAGGAAGGTTCACTTACTGTTCCAGCAAGAGAGTTAGGTGTTCTCCCCATTACAATTATCATTAAAACAAAAAAGGATCTTCTGCTACCTTTTGGTGGTGACAAGGAAGTGACAAGACTTCATTCCAATCCGTAACAAGTCTCAGAGAAACAAAACTTAAAGGGATAGAGCACATGGGGGCAGTATTAAAAAGAGCAGAGAAATCAGGCTGAGTCCCTGCAGCTTAGGGGAACAGATTCAGGTTTGGAGGATTAATAAAATGGGTTTGGGCAATCTCCAACCCTACCCAGCTCCCATACAGGATTTAATTTCTTAGTTTAGTCCTCTAGTGTCTATAGCAATTTGTATACCTGTTTGTATCACTTATGTACACACATATCTCCCCAGTTACACTGTGATTTCCTTCAGGGTTAGAAGCTTTATTTTATTCATCCTGATTCCTCAGTCCCAACATAGTACCTGATACATAAAAGGTGCTTAATAAATGCAAGTATGAAGTATGTAACAGGCCGGGCACAGTGGTTCACACCTGTAATCTTTGCACTTTGGGAGGCCGAGGTGGGTGGATCCTGAGGTCAAGAGTTTGAGACCAACCTGGACAACATGATGAAACCCATCTCTACTAAAAATACAAAAAATTAGCCACGCGTGATGGCGGGCAACTGTAATCCCAGCTACTTAGGAGGCTGAGGCAGAGAATTGCTTGAACCCAAGAGGCAGAGGTTGCAATGAGCTGAGATCGCACCACTGCACCCAGCTTGGGCAACGAGTGAAACTCTGTCTCAAAAAAAAAAAAAAAAAAAAAAAAAAAAGTACTGTAACAAGTCCAAAAGCCATGTGTTGTAAATAGCAATATTCATCAGTGGCCAGTACATCACTTAAATCACCCTACAGGTCTTTACTGGAATTGCAAAACAAGCAGTTACTTCTCTGCCTGTTTAGCTATTTTCTTTATTAAAAAAGAAAAATCTAAAGTGCTAATGAGAATTCATTATTTTAGGTGATTGATGAGATTTATCGTGTGTTGAGATATGTCAATTCTACCAGAGCCCCTCAACGAGCTCATGAAGTACTTCAAGAATTAAGGGATATATCCTCTATGGCAATGGAGTACTTTGATGAAAAGATTGTTCCAATTTTAAAGAGGAAATTACCAGGATCAGATGTTTCTGGAAGACTCATGGGCTCTCCTCCAGGTATCTCTACTTTATAATCATGCTTGTACATAATTTTGTAACTTGCTTCCGGTTTTTTTCCACTTAACCAGTGTCTTGAACTTTTCTGTGTTAGTAGTTGTTTATTGGCAGCATCATTTTTAATGAGATTGGATTATCAACCATAACTTACACAACTAATCCACTAGTTAGGCTCATTTCTTGTTTCTAGCTTTTCAGTACTTATACTCTGAAGAACAATCTGAGCGGTCTTGCGACTAAATCTTTGCACATATCCATATTGACTTACAATAAACTTATTAGAAATAGAATAGCTGGGCCCGGCCAGGCGCAGTGGGTCACACCTGTAATCCCAGCACTTTGGGAGGGCAAAGTGGGTGGATCACCTGAGGTCGGTAGTTCAAGACCACCCTGGCCAACATGGTGAAACCCCGTATCTACTAAAAATACAAAAATGTGCTGGGCATGGTGGCGCACACCTGTAATCCTAGCTACTCTGGAGGCTGAGGCAGGAGAACCGCTTGAACCTGGGAGGCAGAGGTTGCAGTGAGCCAGATTCGCGCCATTGCACTCCAGCCTGAGCAACAAGAGCGAAACTCCATCTCAAAAAAAAAAAAAAGAAATAGGATTGCTGGACCAGGCGCAGTGGCCCACGCCTGTGGTCCCAGCACTTTGGGAGACTGAGGCGGGAGGATCGTTTCAGCCCAGGAGTTCAAGGTGAAAAGTTACATACAGATGCTCCTTAATTTACAATGGGGTTACATCCTGATAAACCCATCATAAGTAGAAAATATTGTAAGTCAAAAAATGCACTTAATACACGAACCTACCGAACATCATAGCTTAGCCTAACCTACCTTAAACATGCTCAGAACACTTCCTTAGCTTACAGTTGGGCAAAATTATCTAGCAAAGCCTATTTTATAATAAAGCATCCTTGTGTAATTTACTGAATTCATTTTCTATTGTACTGAAAGTGAAAAACGGAATGGTTCTGTGGATACCTGAAGTACAATTTCTACTAAATGTCTATCACTTCCATACCATTGTAAAGTCAAAAAATCATTAAGTTGGCTGGGCGCGGTGGCTCATGCCTATAATCCCAGAACTTTGGGAGGCCGAGGCGGGCCGATCACCTGAGGTCAGGAGTTCAAGACCAGCCTGGCCAACATGGTAAAACCGTGTCTCTACTAAAAAATACCAAAAAATTGGCCGGGCGCGGTGGCTCATGCCTGTAATCCCAGCACTTTGGGAGGCCAAGGCGGGCGGATCACGAGGTCAGGAGATGGAGACCATCCTGGCTAACATGGTGAAACCCCGTCTCTACTAAAAATACAAAAAATTAGCTGGGCGCGGTGGTGGGTGTCTGTAGTTCCAGCTACTCAGGAGGCTGAGGCAGGAGAATGGCATGAACCCAGGAGGCGGAGCTTGCAGTGAGCCGAGATTGATCGTGCCACTGCACTCCAGCCTGGGTGACAGTGCGAGACTCCGTCTCAAAAAAAAAAAAAAAAATTAGCCAAGCGTGGTGACGCATGTCTGTAGTCCCAGCTACTAGGGAGGCTGAGGCATGAGAGTTACTTGAACCCAAGAGGCGGAGGTTGCGGTGAGCCAAGATCACGCCACTGCACTCCAGCCTGGGCAACAGAGTGAGACTCCGTCTCAAAAAAAAAAAAAAATCATTAAGTTAAACCATTGTAATTTGAGGACCATCTGTATTTTTTTATGTTTCTGATGAATTAATATTCATTTTTTAAAAAACAAATATACCAGATAAAATGCCAAAAACTCTTCAGGGACATATTTGGTGAATTATTTCAGCCCCCAAAGTGTCTGCCTGCTACTTTATTTTTTATTTTTTATTTTTTTTGAGATGGAGTCTCACTCTGTCGCCCAGGCTGGAGTGCAATGGCGTGATCTCTGCTCACTGCAACGTCCGCCTCCCAAGTTCAAGCAATTCTCCCGCCTCAGCCTCCTGAGTAGCTGGGATTACAGGCGTGTGCCACCACGCCTGGCTAATTTTTGTATTTTTTAGTAGAAACAGGGTTTCACCATGTTGTTCAGGCTGGTCTTGAACTCCTGACCTCGTGATCCACCTGCCTCGGCCTCCCAAAGTGCTGGGATTACAGGCATGAGCCACCACACCCGGCTGCTACTTTAAAAGAAAGGGTTCATAAGGCTATTTTGAACAGTATCACTTCATCTGTGCTAAATAACTGTTTTTGCAAAAGTATATTGGCTCCTAGAGATTTGTGCCTTTATCTACTGAAAGACTAAATTATTTAATGTCCCTAACTCTGGCAAGTACTTTAAATTAGGAAAGAATTTAGTAAAACTTTTTGTTTTGTTCAGATTAGTTAGCTCCCTGTAGTACTCAGTGAGGCAACCGAGTGGCTTTCTGTAATTGAGTAATAAAGCCTACACATCTCAGCATTAATGTATCTGTTATTTATTGAGTACCTATTATGCGCACAGCACTGTACTGTGTCCTGTGGAGACTAAAAAGAAGTGTAATACGTGGTGTCTGCTCTCAAGGATCTTACTATTTCAAAAGGTAAGATATACCCAGACTTGAAGTTAAATAAATTATCATAGGCAAAACAAATAAGGCAATGTCCAATTAAATGTCAAATGAGAGCAGAGAAACAATTTTAAGGTAGATAAGATCAGTGTTGGCTGGTCTGATGGAAACATCACAGGAAGTAACGATTGATTTAAGCCTTGGTGAATAAGTAGAAGTTGGATACGGATAAGCAGAGAGGGAAAGAAGAATGCATCCATAAAGGAAATACAGTTATTTAGATGTGCAAGGAGAAGATTAACATTATGGTTTAGGATATGAATGGACCCATCTGGTTCTTTTAGAAAACCTTCAGTAGATAAGTTTAAAAGAAAGTAGGTTCTTTGTTTAAAATAGTTATTTTTATGCTTGTGTTACATTCTAATTATTCCTAAAAGAATAGGTCCAAGGCCTTCCTACACCATGTCAGGAATTCTCTGTGGTCATAATGTATGATGTAACCCACTGTTTAGTGGAGTCCCTATCATTTGGCTAAAGTTGAAGCCTTTGTATATAACTTAAGTGCAGAGTGAACTTAAGAACACGATACAGGCTGAGTATCCCTTATCCGAATTTCTTAGGACCAGAAGTGTTTCAGATTTCGGCTTTTTTTCAGATTTTGGAACATTTGCATTACACTTACTGGCTGCACAATCTCTTATCCGCATACCCACATTCCAAAATGCTCCAATGAGCATTTCCTTGAGCATCATGTTGGTGCTCAAGAAGTTGCAGATTTTGGATTTCAGATTTCTGGATTAGAAACGTGCAACCTGTAGGTGTGTACTTCTAACTTGAAAGTTTATGTTTGTTATGTGAATTAGATAGAAAATAATTATTTTCTGACCGGGCGCAGTGGCTCACGCCTGTAATCCCAGCACTTCGGGAGGCCGAGGCAGGCAGATCATGAGGTCAGGAGATCCACACCATCCTGGCTAACATGGTGAAACCCCATCTCTACTAAAAATACGAAAAGAAATTAGCCAGGCGTGGTGGCGGGTGCCTGTAGTCCCAGCTACTTGGGAGGCTGAGGCAGGAGAATGGCGTGAACCCAGGAGGCGGAGCTTGCAGTGAGCCGAGATCACGCCACTGCACTCCAGCCTGGGCAATAGAGTGAGACTCTGTCTCAAAAAAAAAAAAAAATTATTATTTTCTAATTTTACTGCTTGTATTTTGTTACTAGGTTCTAAAAATATTGTACAGTATTTTAAATTCAAGTTTATGCCATTAAATGCCCTTCTCCGTTTCCTGGCAGTCTACATACTGCCACATGAGCAGGAGAATCAGAATTTAAACTCATTTATAGTTAAAATAAGGTGTTAAATTATGATGATTAACCCAACTGACCAAATGGATTGCAAAGAAGAAGAAATTATCAGAAGTGACATAGTAAGGGTATTCCATTTTTAAATAAGTGTAAGTATTACTGGTAGAGAGACATTTTAAGTGACTGACCCTTTTGAATTATTCCTCCACAGTTCCAGGACCGTCTGCAGCCCTAACAACAATGCAGCTCTTCTCCAAGCAAAATCCTTCAAGACAAGAGGTTACCAAACTCCAGCAGCAGGTTAAAACAAATGGTGCTGGCGTGACTGTTCTCAGGCGTGAAATTTCTGAGCTTCGCACCAAAGTGCAAGAACAGCAAAAACAGCTTCAAGACCAGGACCAGAAACTGCTAGAGCAGACCCAGATCATAGGTGAACAAAATGCACGGTTGGCAGAGCTAGAACGCAAACTACGAGAAGTAATGGAAAGTGCTGTAGGAAATTCCTCAGGGTCCGGGCAGAATGAGGAGTCTCCTCGGAAACGAAAAAAGGCCACGGAAGCCATAGACTCTCTTAGGAAATCTAAACGTCTTCGGAATAGAAAGTAAATTGGAATGTGGTTCTAGTTCCAGAGGAAGACACAGCTTAGTAGCTTAAGCAGTTATGCATATCAGGATACTGTGAGCAACATGGTGTCCCTTAAGCTTCTAGGCTTTCAGAACACAACTTAAACTTGAACTCTTATGGTTGGGACATTCTTTTCCTGCTTCTCCTGATTGAACTGATGCACAGAATCTTTTTACTTTGCAATAGATTTGTACTAACCAGACCTGTTCTATCATGTTTTGAGGAGTTAACTTTTTTCTGTGCAGATAATGTTGAAAGTAAGTTAATTTGTTTCTGCATATATGCACATACATACGTAAGGATCTTAAACCCAGTCTTGACAGACTAGAAGTTAAGTTTAATACAGAAAATGTCCTGTTCACTTGAAAGAAAAGACCTACTTTTTAAATGGACACTATCTTGGTTCTTTTTTTTTTAAGTCATCTTTTTGTTATAAGTGACCTTTGTCTGGAATGTCTGAAAAGTAGTTAATGCTTTTTGGTATTGAAGTAATGGGTAACTAAAATGGACTTCCATAGTATTGACTGTAGAAGGAGCCTCTACAATATTGACTATATATTTTTATAAACTACTGGCAAGGAACTTACCCAGCTGTTATACATGTTTTCAGTTCTCTTTGGGGGCCATGTCCTACATTTGCATGGATGGATGCATGCATTGCCTAGTCAACTCACTTAAAAAGCTCTTGCACTGGTATTGATCTTGAACCTCTATACTTCTCCACTTTTTAGAGCGGCGTCTTAGTTTATTTAAACGCTTAACATCTTCCACCGCAACAGCTTGCCTCTAGAGGGGGAATTGTTCATCCATTTGTCCTCCAGTTTTATAGGAACAAGAGACTATTAAAGCCCATTGCTTTATCTGCTCTCTGTAGGGTTCAGGTACACTGGCTAAGGCAGAACCCCAAATTTCAAGGCTCTTTCTATCAATATTGGACCTCTGGGAGCTAATACTCCTCTTTGCTCACCACCATGTGATCATTGATCAGATGTGGTGAGTGAGTAGGGGACTCGACTTGCGGGATGCAGTTTTGCCATTGCAGCAAAGTTCATTGAGGAAAATTGTACCATGAAAAAGCATTTTGATTATTTCATTTCTGGAGGATGACCTTGAGGGAAGCTTTTTAATATTAGTTTCAAGCTTTCCTTACCCTACAACTTTAAACAAAAGCTTTAATTTTGTTTGCACTCCTATTTTGAGCTTGTAACTGGAAAAGCATGTCTTGCACTGTTCAACCTCCTGAGTGGTCGCTTTAACAACCTCCAAATTGTGTACAGTGGTTATTTTCCCCAGTTGTATAGTTTTGAGACATTCAATTATCACTGTCTTAGTTGTATTTTAATTTACTAAATTATGTAGCTATTTGACTGTTAAGTTCTTTTAAACAACTGTTTCCTTGGGCTTCAGTTATTTAAAGTAAATTTAGGTGTAATATAGAAAACTGTCCCTTTCCAGGTGGGAGCTTAACACCTGTATAAAACCTAAGGTTTTGGTAAGTACCTTAGTTGAATAAAAGCACAAGGTTATCACCTTTTTTATCCGTCCACCGTGACATGGTTATGCATCCTTTAGATTAACCTCACCAAATGAAGCTTTTTCTATCCATTTTTAATATTGTCCTTACATAATATTGTCCTTAGATTTTGATCAATTCTATGTCTGACTTTGAAATTCCATTTACAATGTAGTATGTTTTCAATGAAAAACCATAAAGTAACATCCAAGTGTTTCATGGTTTGTTGGGAAGGTAATTTTAAAATAAAACAATTTCCAAAAAACATTTGTCAGCCAAGGTCATCCATAAAAGTCCCCGTCTGGAACTCGTTTTCTCAGCACTTCTCATTTTTATAATCATAGTATTTAGCCATATTAGCATATCTTTAGAGGAGGCCTGGTGGAATACCCGGGGCCTCTACTAGTCTGCTTTTCCGGTCATAGGAAGACTTTTTTTTTTACGTATCAAAGCATGTGTTTACAGATTTACAGAGTGTGATCCGTATGCATCAAAGGGATACAGCCCCAGACTGTTTCTTTAATGGTCATTCATGAACTATTAAAAATTTCCTGAATTTCTTTTTAAACTACATCTAGATAGCCTAAACATCTATGTAGTCTTCCATTAGTTAACATGTGTATAGGGCTTTCATAATAAGTAGTCACACTGTTACAAGGTAAATTTTCTATTACAAAATCCAAATTTCTATTGCATACACTTATAATCATCTATTCATAAAGCTAATTCATTGTACTTGTTAATGCATGAATGTTCCATGCAGTAGGAGAATAAAGCACTACAGTTCGGTTGTTCAAATCTTAAATCTTAGGCTATTTAGCTAAAACATGTTAGGATATTGCCTTCACCACTTGTTAGGACAGTTATTTGATAGCCATTATGCTTACCTATGGATAGCATAATGGTATTTAAGGTTCAACAAACCGCAGATTATTATGATCAGCTAGAACTGACATATGTTACAAGAAAACTGTAAATTAACCTCCTGAGAGAACCATTCTGCCCTGCATTTTAAGTCAGGTATTTAAATACTGCGTGTTGTTAATATTGCGTTGTCTTAGTGCAACATTTCTTAAAGTATTCCCGTTATCTTCCTTGGCTGTTTTTCAGAGGAGACGTCTCCATGTTAATGGGTCCTTCCCACATAGAAATGTATTCTGGTACAGCGCTGCACACATGGATAGCAATGTGAAAAGGCATGCCTAAGAGACAGAAACGGCTGACCTTACCCCACCCCAGCCGGATCCTCTGCTTATCTCCCACATGCACTTGGCTTAACTGGTTTTCACAGATTCTGAGGTTATAGAACCTGTTGTTTTTCAAACTCCTGTACAGAGCCTGGAAATAATGGAGCAAACGCAAATGTATTGAGAGTCATTATACTTTAAAATAGTTTTAAAGACTATTGGGGTACCATCAGGTCAAAAGCCACTGATTTGGGAAGCAATTTTTTTGCAAAACACTTTTTTTGGAGTACTGAACTTTACAGGGGCTTGCCTTAATCTCTATTTAGTAGTTTCAAGATATATGCGCAATTATTCTACGTGTTAAAAATGTTAAAATATTCTATGTAGCCCCAAAGGTGGGTAAAACAGTATAAGTAATGCCTAAATTAATAAGCTAAAAGGTGTCACTACAGCTGGATTTTTGAGAGAAAATGGACATAAAACTAGGCTATGTGTAATAAAAATAATGGCACCTTAAGATTGCACTATTTTATGCATTATTTTATATGCCATTTCATAGCCTGCACTTTAATCTCCAAAGAAACGATGTATGATGTCCCACTTGTTCCTTATTCTTAATAAACTTTTTCCTGAGACAGGGCACTTAATTCTATTTTACTATACTGAATTAGTTTCTTGGAGGTAGATTCATTTCTTGAGTTCTCTGTTTCCTTAGCCATAATATTTTCTAGGATCCGGGAACTCCCTATATTGTCTATTTCCAACATTATATAATTTTAATTTAATGTAATGTAAATCTCATACTTGGTGATCAGCACATTCTTATATCCTGCTCTAGCAATGAGTACCCATTTGTTACACTTACCAAACTCTCTAAAAACATATACTGTGAGTAAGATTTGAAGCCAGGAATAAAAGGCAGTCTGAAAGAAAACGTCCTATACGATGCAGTTGTTTGGAAATGGCTGATTTCTGATATGAAACCCAACTTGATACACTGTTTGGTTCTTTGACTTGGGATCTATCTGAATTGCTTTCACTAGTACACAAAAGGTTAAGTTAAAACTACTTTAAACTTGTATAGCCTGCCATCTGAGGTGAATTATTTTCAAAAAATACTAAATCTATGAACTGAGACTAGCAATTAGTTGGCTGCTCCCTACCATGATTTTACTTTTAATAGCAATACAGTTATATTGGTGATAAATATGACAGGCTTAAGTACTGCTGTCCTTTTGCATCTTCCTAAGCATCTTGGTTAAATTTCTGAAGTTTAAAAATTAGATCCAGATTTCTTCTGTTGTGTCTGAAGAGAACCATGACATTTAGAAGTATATTGGTAATCTATTAGGTCCATTGGCAAAGTATATTGGTCCATATTCAAACCTATTCCAAAAGGTTAGAAGTGTTTAAGATTCCTTTATTGTGGTACCATGTCTGTTTACCTATGCTTATGAGCAACAATAAATTACTAGTTTACCTTCTGGAATTTTAATTGTTATAACCGAATCAATTATTGGAAAGTGAAAAACACCTCCCGGTCACACAACAGGGTACGTAAATAAATGTGTTGTTACCAGTGCTACTTGTTTTCTTTGTATTTCATGCACAAAAGAATATGGAGCTCTATTGCTAACATACCATATTGATAGCTACTGTCTTTTGGAGCACTGTACTATGTGTTTTACAGATGTTACAGTGGTCCTCACAGCTACCTTATAAAGTAGGTTTTACTCTACGTGGGGAAGTTGAACTCAGGCTAAGCAACATGTCCACAGTGTTATGCAAGTAAGTGGCGTAAGTGGGATTTGACCCATGAGCTCTGAAGTTTATAAACTTGCTACTACACTACACTGCATCCTAGAAACCTGAGAACAATGAGACTCTGAACTTAATATAAGCAAGACCATCCCACACATCCACTAGAAGCAGTCAATGCCCAAATCACTAATGCTAACAGTAGTATATAGAACTGAGATCAAGAAAAGGCTGGGCTAGGCCGGGCACGGTGGCTCACACCTGTAATCCTAGCACTTTGGGAGGCCGAGGCGGGGCAGATCACAAGGTCAGGAGTTCGAGACCAGCCTGACCAACATGGTGAAACCTCATCTCTACTAAAAATACAAAAATTCGCCGGGCGTGATGGCAGGTGCCTCTAATCCCAGCTACTCGGGAGGGTGAGGCAGGAGAATTGCTTGAACCTGGGAGGCAGAGGTTGCAGTGAGCCAAGATTGTGCCACTGCACTCTAGCCTGGGTGACAGAGTGAGACTCCGTCTCAAAAAAAAAAAAAAAAAAGCTGGGCTTGGAGGAGGCAACTTTTAAGGTTATTTGCACACAAGGGGTTCACCCTAGGTGTACAAGTAAAAGAGAATGTTTAAAAGGCTTCCAGAACCTGTAATCTTAAAATCAGAGAAGTCCTGGCAGTAGATGTGCGCTAAGGCTACTGACATGTCTAAAGTCACCTTCTGGCCGGGTGCGGTAGCTCACACCTGTTACTGCAGCATTTTGGGAGGCCAAGGCGGGTGGGTCATTTGAGGCCAGGAGTTTGAGACCAGCCTGGCCAATGTGGCAAAACCCCTCTCTATTAAAAATACAAAAATTAGCCAGGCATGGTGTCGCACACCTGTAGTCTCAGCTACTAGGGAGGCTGAGGCATGAGATTCGCTTGAGCTGGGGAAGTGGAGCTTACAGCGAGCCGAGGTCACGCCACTGCACTCCAGCCTGGGCAACAGAGAAAGACTGTTTCAAAAAAGTCACCTTCCTGTATAATATATGCTGCTGGTCAGTAGAAAAGTAGCAACTACCAATTCTTTCACCCTGCGAGGGTGGGGTACTAGTTCTCTTTTCAAGACTACGTCCAGTTCCAAAACTAAATGGTTAGAATTTCAACAAAATAAAATTATATAAATCAGTTTAACCTGTTCCTTAAAGGTGTAACTGATAGGGAATTGCTGAAAACAATTCTCTGAAGAAGAGAAAACTTATCTAAGTTCTTTAACCCCAGCCTGTAGACAGCTTAAGATTTTCAGAAAAGAGATCACAGATAACTTTATACTGTGGGTGAGGGTGACAGCAGTGGTGTCAATTGTCCTAGCACCATTACTGCATTCTAGTCATCCAGATAGCCTAGAAAGATAAAGGTGGCTACTGTGTATCCCAGTCTTCAGAAGG
This sequence comes from Homo sapiens, assembly GCF_000001405.40. Lineage (NCBI taxonomy): Eukaryota > Metazoa > Chordata > Mammalia > Primates > Hominidae > Homo > Homo sapiens. The sequence goes on from NC_000001.11 coordinate 224,163,638, forward strand.
TAGATGAGGGTGGAAATTTGAATTTTCATATTCTCCAGGTGGCTCAATTGCTGTGTAATAGATTCACGTTATTAGAAACCAAGGATCTTCACCAGTATTCTTGCTTTTTTGCTTTTCTTTAAAAACTTTTTTTAAAAGATCTCACCTGTATGAACTTTCCCATGTTAATTGCTGAACCAATTCTTACAGAATTCATTAAAGATGATGTTCTTTCCAAAAAGATGTATCTCAACTCGCTGGTATACATTCCTCTGGTTTTTTTGTTTGTTTGTATGGAGTCTCTGTCGCCCAGGCTGGAGTGCAGTGGCGTGATCTTGGCTCACTGCAACCTCCGCCTCCTGGGTTCAAGTGATCCTCCTGCCTCAGCTTCCCAAGTAGCTGGGATTACAGGCGTGCGCCACCATTCCCACCTAATTTTTGTATTTTTAGTAGAGATGGGGTTTCACCATGTTGGCCAGGCTGGTCTCGAACTCCCGACCTCAGGTGATATGCCCGCCTCGGCCTCCCAAAGTGCTGGGATTACAGGCGTGAGCCACCACACCCGGCCTACATCCCTCTGGTTTCTGATTAATCATTTCCTCAAAGCAAAATTAGAGTAAATCGTACACAGAAGAAATATGAGCAGTTGGGTGTTTGAGCAAAATGTACAACTGATAACTGGAAAGGAAATACAAATCAAAGATAAACTTCCCCTAATTCAATAAATTCTGTTCAAAGAGACGCAACTAAATAGCTTTCAACTTTCTCAGCTTTTGTGTTTTTAAACTCTTTTTTTCCTCTTGTCCTTTGGATTGTACAAAAGTCAAATTCAAATTAACTGATTTGTTAGGAATCTGTGATGCAGCAATGTAAATAGCAAAACTGACTCCAGAATACAACACCTAAGATATACTTTCCTGTGATAAGACAAGGGGAACATGCTTCCCTCCGCAAGGCCAAGCCAAAGAGAATTAGCTGGGGTGGGGTAAAGAAGAGAGGGCTAAACTGCTTGTTCTTTCTTTGGAGAGTTGGAGCAAGCTTACAAGAAAGTGCTCTTTAGATAAACAGTTTCTGTAACTCTACTGTAAGAGGACACTGCCTGTTACAGTGTAGCCCATGGATCAACAGCCTCAATCACCTAGGAGCTTCTGTGAAATGTAGAATCTCAGGCCCCATTCCAGAATCAAATCTGCATTTTAACAAGATCACCTGGTGATTAGTTTGCACATTAAAATTTGAGAAATGCCACTGTAAGGCACATTTGTCATTTTGAATCTAAATGCTAAACAACCCTTAGCTCCCTATATTTAGCAATAACAAAGAAAATGGAGAGAGAGAAGAGAGGAAGGAGAGTAAAAGGGAGGAGAAAGCAGGAAGAAAATACAAAAGTTAGTATTGGTCAGGGACAGTTCTTGAAACCAGTAGAGGTCATGACCATCAGCCATCCCAAACAGAAAACAGTTTCATCGCCTTTGGTGTCTTTTTTTTTTTTTTTTTTTTTTTGAGACGGAGTCTCCCTCTGTCGCCCAGGCTGGAGTGCAGTGGCGCGATTTCAGCTCACTGCAAGCTCCGCCTCCCAGGTTCACGCCATTCTCCTGCCTCAGCCTCCCGAGTAGCTGGGACTACAGGCGCCCACCACCTCGCCTGGCTAATTTTTTGTATTTTTAGTAGAGATGGGGTTTCACCACGTTAGCCAGGATGGTCTTGATCTCCTGACCTCGTGTTCCGCCCGCCTCTGCCTCCCAAAGTGCTGGGATTACAGGCTTGAGCCACCGTGCCCGGCCAGGAAATTTATATTACAATTCCCACCAGTATCAATCCAGTCACTATCATTTGAGAATAAAGAAATTATTTTTAAAAATACACTTTGGGAGGCCAGGGTGGGAGGATCGCTTGCATCTAGGAGTTCACGACCAGCCTGGGCAACATACCAAGACTTCGTCTCTACCAAAAACAAAAATTTTAAATTTAAAAATTAAAAAAAAAAAAATTAGCCAGGCTTGGTGGCATACACCTGTAGTCCCAACTACTTGGGAGGCTGAGAAAGGAGGATCGCTTGAGCCCAGGAGGTCAAGGCTGCAGCGAGCTGCCACTGCACTCAGCCTGAGTGACAGTAAGACCCTGTCTCAAAAAATAATAATAAAATATCCATCAATAGGAGACAGGGTTCATAAATTGGGATATATCCTTACAATAGAATACTAGGCACCAGTAAAAATAAGAAAATTATCTATATGCTAAGAAATATTTCTGGCCGGGCATGGTGGCCCATGCCTGTAATCCCAGCACTTTGGGAGGCCAAGGTGGGCAGATCACTTGAGGTCAGGAGTTCAAGACCAGCCTGGCCAACATGGTGAAACCCCATCTCTACTAAAAATACTAAAAGTAGCTGGGCATGGTGGTAGGTACCTGTAATTCCAGCTACTCGGGAGGCTGAGGCAGGAGAATCGCTTGAACCCGGGAGGCAAAGGTTGCAGTGAGCTGAGATCATGCCACTGCACTCCAGCCTGGGAGACAGAGCGAGACTACGTCTCAAAATGAAAAAAAAAAAAAAAAGGCCAGCGTGGTGGCTCATGCCTGTAATCCCAGCACTCTGGGAGACCGAGGTGGGTGGGTCACCTGAGGTCAGGAGTTTGAGGCCAGCCTGGCCAGTGTGGTGAAACCCTGTCTCTACTAAAAAATCCAAAAAGTAGCCAGGCATGGTGGCGTGTGTCTGTAATCTCAGCTACTCAGGAGGCTGAGGCAGGAGAATCACTTGAACCCAGGAGGTGGAGGTTGCAGTGAGCTGAGATTGTGCCACTGCACCCCAGCCTGGGAGACAGAGTGAGACTCTGTCTCTAAAAGAAAAAAATATATATGTATTTCCAAGACTGCTAAGGGAAATAACAAAATACAGAACAATATTACAGTATACTAACTTTTGTGAAAAATAAAGAGGGAAATAATATAGAGTCATGCTGAATAACCACATTTCAGTCAACAAGCAGCAGCATATTTTATGACAGTCCCATAAGATTATACTACCATATTTTTACTGCTTCTTTTCTATGTTTATGTGTTTAGATACACAAATACCACTGTGCTACAAGTGCCTACAGTATTCAGAACAGTAACATGCCATACAGTTTTGTAGTCTAGCATCAATAGGCTGTACCATATAGCCTAGGTGTATATAGTAGGCTAAACCATCTAGGTTTGTGTAAGTAAACTCTATTATATTCATACAACAAAATCACTTGATGCATTTCTGAGAGCACATCCCCATCTTTAAGCAGTTCATGACTGTACTGCTAAGTAGTGGCATGCATATGCATAAAGAAACTCTAGGCCGGGCACGGTGGATCATGCCTGTAATCCCAGCACTTTGGGAGGCTGAGGGGGGCAGATCACTTGAGGTCAGGAGTTTGAGACCAGCCTGGCCAACATGGCGAAATCCCACCTCTACTAAAAATACAAAAATTAGGCAGGCATGGTGGTCTGTGCCTGTAGTCCCAGATACTCAGGAGGCTGAGGCAGGAGGATCACTTGAATCTGGGAGTCAGAGGTTGCAGTGAGCTGAGATTACACCACTGCACTCCAGGCTGGGAGAAAGAGTGAGATTCCATGTCAAAAAAAAAGAAAGAAAAGAAAAGAAAAAAAAATTCTAGAAAAATGCACAGGGAATCAATAACAGTGGTTATATTTTGGGGTTTGACAACATAACAACAGGAACAGGAGCTGGGAGGAGCTTATCACTAGACACCTGTATGTTTTTCTATTTTTTTTTTGAGACGGAGTCTCGCGCTGTCGCCCAGGCTGGAGTGCAGTGGCGCGATCTCGGCTCACTGCAAGCTCCGCCCCTCGGGGTTCACGCCATTCTCCTGCCTCAGCCTCCCGAGTAGCTGGGACTACAGGCGCCCGCCGCTACACCCGGCTAATTTTTTGTATTTTTAGTAGAGACACGGTTTTACCATGTTAGCCAGGATGGTCGCGATCTCCTGACCACGTGATCCGCCTGCCTCGGCCTCCCAAAGTGCTGGGATTACAGGTGTGAGCCACCGCGCCCGGCCATGTTTTTCTATTTTTAAACCATGGAAGTGTATTCAACAATTAAACCAGCTGCTATAGACTGAAAGTTTGTGTCCCCGCAAAATGTATGCCTTGAAGCCTAATCCTCAAGGGGAGGAGACTAGGAGGTTGGGCTTTGGGGAGGTGATTATGTTCATGAGGGTGAAGTCTTCATGAATGGGGTTAGTGTTCTTTTAAAAGAGACACCAGGCTGGGTGCGGTGGCTCACGCCTGTAATCCCAGCACTTTGGGAAGCCGAAGCAGGCGGGTCACCTGAGGTCAGCAGTTTGAGACCACCCTGGCCAACATGTGAAACCCCATCTCTACTAAAAATACAAAAATTAGCCAGGCATGGTGGGGTGCACCTGTAGTCCCAGTTACTTGGGAGGCTGAGGCAGGAGAATTTCTTGAACCCAGGAAGCAGAGGTTGCAGTGAGCTGAGATCATACCATTGCACTCCAGCCTGGGTGACAGAGCGAGACTCCATCTCAAAAAAATTAATTAATTAATTAATTAATTAAATAAAAGGGACCTCAGAAAACTCCTTCACCTCTTCTGCCATGTGAGGTTATAGCCAGAAGACGGCCATCCACGAACAAGGAAGCAGCCCCTCACCAGATACTGAATATGCCAGTGCCTTGATCTTGGACTTCCCAGGCTCCAGAATTTTTTTTTTTTTTTTTTGAGACGGAGTCTCTGTCACCCAGGCGGGAGTGCAATGGCACGATCTGGGCTCACTGCAACCTCTACCTCCCGAGTTCAAGCGATTCTCCCACCTCAGCCTCCCGAGTAGCTGGGATTACAGGCATGCGCCACCATACCTGGCTAATTTTGTATTTTTAGTAGAGATGAGGTTTCTCCATGTTGCTCAGGTTGGTCTCAAACTCCCGACCTCAGGTGATCCACCCACCTCAGCCTCCCAAAGTGCTGGGATTACAGGGGTGAGCCACCACGCCCAGCCTAATTTTTGTATTCTTAGTAGAGACGGGTTTTCACCATGTTGGCCAGGCTGGTTTCGAACTCTTGACCTTGTGATCCATCCGCTTTGGCCTCCCAAAGTGCTGGGATTATAGGCGTGAGCTACTGTGCCTGGCCAGACTGTTTTCTTAAAAACCAAAAGCCTGGGAAGAAAAACAAAATATCTTGCAAATGTATTCTCAATCCCAGTCAATCCCCTGCAAAACTCAGACTCTGGAAGAATGAAAGCTATGCGCTCTTTTCTCCACTCATTCATATTGTTGGCTTCACACAGATAGAAAAAGCTACTTCATCCTGCAGAACTGCTCTATCAGTTCATGGTGTTTTCCTGGATCCTGGACCCCTGCCTTCCCCACCATGAGTCACCTCTGGATCGAGTCCATCTTCTATTTGGGATTTGGAACCAGACAACCTTTGTCCCTTTTTAGCCTCTGCTGCACTCTAAGCTGTGTGATCTAAGACACGTCACTCACATTCTGGAAGTATTCGCTTCCTCATACATGAAATGGGGGAAATTTCTCTAACCATAAGCCTGCGGTTTTGATTTCAGTGCTCACTAGTTCAAGACTTTTCTTCTTGCCTATGCCCCTTCACCCTCTTCCTTTGTCAATTTCCTTTTTCATAAGCTGTGGCTGCTGGTGAGTAAAATAGTCATCTGAGTACAACTGCTTTTGCATGAGCTAGACTTGGAAGGGTGCAAATGGAAGCAGATTCATTTCTTCTCAGTAACTGCTCTTTTAGACTGTCCTGTTGCATTGTTCTGCCCTGATCCCAGAAGGAATCTCAGGCAGATCCCAGAGCCTTGTAGACTCTCCTGGTCACTAACAAATTAATCACCTTTATCCAGTTATTAAAAAATCCAGCCCGATCCGAAGAAAGACTTTATTGTCTCAATTGATTAAAGCTTCTTTCCTCTTTTTTTTCTCTTTTTTTGAGACGGAGTCTTGCTCTGTCGCACAGGCTGGAGTGCAGTGGTGCGATCTTGGCTCACTGCAGCCTCCACCTCCCGGGTTCAAGCGATTTTCCTGCCTCAGCCTCCCAAGTAGCTGGGATTACAGGTGCCTGCCACCAAGCCCAGCTAATTTTTGCATTTTTAGTAGAGACGGGGTTTCGCCATGTTGGACAGGCTGGTCTTGAACTGCTGACCTCAGGTGATCTGCCTGCCTTGGCCTCCCAAAATTCTGGGATTACAGGCATGAGCCACTGTGCCCTCCCGCTTCTTTCTTCTTTCTGTAAGTCAGGCCTGAGTTGGACTTCGGAGAAGCTTTGAGTTGGGCTTCTCCTTTTCAGTGGAGAAGGGCAGGAAGGAGGATGTCTTCCATTTATTCTCTTTGCTTTTCCTCCTCCCCCTCCTGCAAGACTCTCTGCTGTCTAACTCAGTGGGGAGGAGAGACAGAATAAAGAAAAAAAATCTGCATTACTGGTATGGTTGGAATCTGTCATGTGTGTCTCTTGGTTGAGGCAGAGATCACACTTTGGGGCTGTTTTCCCCAAGGCATTTTCCACTGTTGTTGTTGCTTTCTTTTTCTTTTTTTAAGAGATAAGGTCTTGCCCTATCACTCACTACAGTCTTGAACTCCTGAGCTCAAGTGATCCTCCTGCCTCAGCTTACTGAGTAGCTGGGACTACCATGCCTGGCTAATTATTTTTATTTTTGATAGATGCAGAGTCTTGCTACATTGCCCAGGCTGGCCTCAAACTCCTGGCCACAAGCGATCTTCCTGTCTTAGCCTCCCAAAGTGCTGGAATTACAGGCATAAGCCACTGCTGTCAGCCCTCCATTGGTTTTTAAATAATCTCCTCACGGGTTACCTTCACCATGAATTTTTCTTCCAAGTTACCATACAGCTGACTCATAGGAACCCCTCCTTAGCCCTAGGTATCTGGTGGTAAATGTTCTTTCAAAAAGAAGCATTAGGATGCATGACCTATGAGGCCATAGACAGCAACCAAATCTAGCCCTTGTCAAACGGTTACACATCTGGTCCACCTATACCTGATCAACCTGGCAGAAAAGCTACTATCAGCAGAGACCCTCTGTCCATACTCAGTGACCACGGACAGCTTCTGATTTCCCCTCACCTTTAGGCATGCTCAAGTCCAAGTCAGGTACCAGTCCCTGTGTCTCTCCAAACACAAAAGTCAAGTTGGAGGAATGGTTCTGAGAAACTCTTCACTTGGCTGTAATTAACAAAGCAACAGTTCCTTCTGCCACCAGAGGGTGTGCAGCAAGGATGGGCAGCACAACCTGCTACCAACTCTCTCTAAAGAAATTCTTTTCTCTTTTTTTTTTTTTTTTTTTGAGACGGAGTTTCACTCTTGATGCCCAGGCTGGAGTGCAATGGCGCAATCTTGGCTCACTGCAACCTCCGCCTCCCAAGTTCAAGTGAGTCTCTTGCCTCAGTCTCCTGAGTAGCCGGGACTATGGGTGCGCACCACTGCGCCTGGCAAATTTTTGTATTTTTTTTAAAGACAGGGTTTCACCATGTTGGTCAGGCTGGTCTCAAACTCCTGACCTCATGATCCGCCCTCCTCAGCCTCCCAAAGTGCTGGGATTACAGGCATGAGGCACCACACTCAGACCCCTTGCCCTCATTTTTGACAGATAGTTTTGCTAGACACAGATCCTTGGTTGATAAGTTTTTTCTTTCAGCACTTTGAATACGCCATCCCACTGCCTTCTGGCCTCCACTGTTTCTCATGAGGAGTCACCTGTTCATCATATCAGGGTCTCCTTTTCGGTGATGAGTCATTCTTCTCTTGCTGTTTCAAGATTTTCTCTTTGGCTTTCAGAATTTTATTATAATGCATGTGGGTGTGGATCTCTGTCTTGTGTTCATTCTACTGGGGTTCTTTTTTTTTTTTTTTTTTTTTTTTTGAGATGGAGTCACGCTCTGTCGCCCAGGCTGGAGTGCAGTGGCACAATCTCAGCTCACTGCAACCTCTGCCTCCCAGGTTCACGTCATTCTCCTGCCTCAGCCTCCTGAGTAGCTGGGACTACAGGCGCCCACCAACACACCTGGCTAATTTTTTATATTTTTAGTAGAGACGGGGTTTCACCGTGTTAGCCAGGATGGTCTTGATCTCCTGACCTCGTGATCCGCCCACCTCAGCCTCCCAAAGTGCTGGGATTACAGGCGTGAGCCACCGCACCCGGCCTCTACTTGGGTTCACTGCATCTCTTGGATGTGTAGATTAATGTTTCCATCAGATTTAGATCATTTTAGATATATTTTTCCTTTGTTTTTTTTTTTTTTGCCCTTTTCTCTCCTCTCCTCTGGTATTCCCATCAGCTGTATTTTGATGAGCTCAATGATGTCCCAAATTTCTCTGAGGCTCTGTTCATTTTTTATCATGGTAGATACACATAACAAAATTTACCATTTTAACCACTTTTACACGTACAATTCAGCAGCATTAAGTATATTCACAAAGTTGTTCAATCATCACCACTATCCATTCACAGAAATTTTTCATCATCCCAAACAGAAACTGTATACTCATTAAAGACTGGCTCCCCACTCCCCTTTTCCCCAACCCCTGTTAATCTCTATTATTCTTTCTGTCTCTAACTTTTATAGTTTGATCATAACAATCCCCTTTTCATCAGGTTTTCATGGAGCGTAGGAGGGGTAATTCTTTGACTTAAAAATATAATTTGAAGAAAATGACTGCTTAGGAGAGAGAGACAGAGAGAAAGAAAGTGAGAGAGAGAAAGAGAGAGAGAGAGAAAAGAGAGAGAAAGAAAAGAAAGAATAAGAAAGAAAGGAAGGAAGGAAAGAAAAAAAAGAAGGAAGGAAGGAAGAAAGGTGGGAAGGAGGACGGAAGGAAGGAAGGAGGGAAGGAAGAAGTAAGGAAGGAAGGAGGGAGGGAGGGAAGGAAGGAAGGAAAAGGAGGAATGAAGGAAGGAGGAAAGTAGAGAGGGAAGAAGGGAGGGAAAAAGAAAGCTATGAAAGCCATTGACCACAGGTCGGGATGGGAATGGGGATAATTCATCAATTTTTCTACGCTGACATAACTCCCGAGAGTTCTGACTATTCATTGGCTTTAACAGATTTGCCAAGAGGACAAATCTCAGCTTAATTAGCAAAGGATAAAATCATAAAATTAGTGGATTCCCTAATCTGGGCATGCCACATAGATGAATATGATTGCAAGGGCAGGTTTGGAAAAGGGAATGATGCCTGAATATACTGGAATTCCCAAATATTTTGGACCTCAAAGTTTGGGCTTTTAAGGAACTACCATTTAAATCTGCAGTTTGCTGTAAAGATGGTTAACAGAGTTCTGGGCCAGGCACGGTGGCTCATGCCTGTAATCCCAGCACTTTGGGAGGCTGAGGCGGGCGGATCACCCGAGGTCAGGAATTTGAGACAGCCTGGCCAACGTGGTGAAAACCCGTCTCTACTAAAAATACAAAAATTAGCCAGGCGTGGTGGCATGTGCCTGTAATCCCAGCTACTCGGGAGGCTGAGGCCAGAGAATTGCTTGAACCTGGGAGGCAGAGGTTGCAGTGAGCCACTGCTCTCCAGCCTGGCCAACAAGAGCAGAAACTCTGTATCAAAAAAAATAGTTCATTGTGCAGAATTTAACATATTTGTCAAATAATAGGCTGACCAGCCATGGAGAGAAGCTCCTATTATAGTCACAACCTATTCAAAAATATTAATGTGGGTGGGGTGCAGTGTCTCATGCCTGTAATCCTAGCACTTTGGGAGGCAGAGGTGGGTGGATCACTTGAGGCCAGGAGTTCAAGACCAGCCTGGCCAACATGGCGAAACCCCATCTCTACTAAAAATACAAAAATTAGCCGAGTGTGGTGGCACATGCCTGTAATCCCAGCTACTTGGGAGGCTGAGGCAGGAGAATCACTTGAACCAGGGAGGCAGAGGTTGCAGTGAGCCAAGATCACGCTACTGCACTCCAGCCTGGACGTAGAGTGAGATTCCGTCTCAAAAAAAAGAAAAAAATTATAGTGCATTTGAAGTGCATTCAAAAACTATGAGAACACGATTTTAGCTGTGAGCTTGTAAAAACAAAAACAAACAAAACTTATGAGAACACTTGTACCTCCCTAGCCTGAGGGGCATGATGTATAGCCTCTTTCAGGACTGTTGGTACATGTCCCTTTGAATATTCACTGTGGAGAATCTTTTTTAGCAAGCGTAGCTAAATTGTATCTGCTCCTCTAAACATTTGCCAGAAGAAGAAATAGTTTATTTTCAGGTTCAGGCTCTACACATTCTCTTTCTTTTCTTTTCTTTTTTTTTTTTGACAGAGTCTCACTCCTTCACCCAGGCTGGAGTACAGTAGCGTGATCTCGGCTCACCGCAACCTCTGTCTCCTGGGTCCAAGCAATCCTCCGGCCTCAGCCTCCCAAGTAGCTGGGATTACAGGAGCCTGCCACCATGACCAACTAATTTTTGTATTTTTTAGTAGAGACGAAGTTTCACCATGTTGGCCAGGCTGGTCTTGAACACCTGACCTCAGGTGATCCACCTGTCTCCGCCTCCCAAAGTGCTGGGATTACAGGTGTGAGCCACCGCACCGGGCCCTCTTCTCCCACCCTTTCCCTTTCTTTCTTTCTTTTTTTTTTTTTTTTTTTCTTTGACAGAGTCTCACTCTGTCGCCCAGGCTGGAGTGCAGAGGCATGAGCTTGGCTCACTGCAACCTCCACATCCTGGGTTCAAGAGATTCTTGTGCCTCAGCCTCCCAAGTAGCTGGGATTACAGATGCGTGCCACCACACCCGACTAATTTTTTGTATTTTTAGTAGAGATGGGGTTTAGCCATGTTGGCCAGGCTGGTTTTGAACCCCTGCCCTCAAGTGATCAGCTCACGTTGGCCTCCCAAAGTGTCAGGATTACAGGCATGAGCCACCACACCTGGCTTCTACACATTTTATGAGCAATAAATAATGTTGATAATCTCTCAGTTTTCTTCTTTCTTCCTGTCTCTCCCTCCCCAGTGGTCCTGCAGCAGTTCTAATCCCATTCCCATCACCAGTTGATCAGAGACCTAGTATTTTTAGGAAAGTAGCAGCCTTTATTTATTTTTTATATTTATATTTATATTTTTACTTATTTATTTATTTATTTTTGAGACAGAGTTTCACTCTTGTTGCCCAGGCTACAGTGCAATGGCACAATCTTGGCTCACTGCAACCTCCGCCTCCTGCGTTCAAGTGATTCTCCCGCCTCAGCCTCCAGAGCAGCTGGGATTACAGGCATGTGCTACCATGCCCGGCTAATTTTGTATTTTTAGTAGATCTGGGGTTTCTCCATGTTGGTCATTTTTAGTAAATCTGGGGTTTCTCCATGTTGGTCAGTTTCCATGTGGAGAGAGAATTTTGCCATGTTGCCCAGGCTGGGCTTGAACTCCTGGGCTCAAGTGATCTGTCTGCCTCAGCCTTCCAAAGTGCTGGGACTACAGGTGGGAGCCACCATGTCCAGCCTGCATACTTTTTATGTTATCAGAAATGCTATCTTTCTCTTTGGTTACATTTCTTTTTTTTTTTTTTTCGTAAATCAAAGTACTATTTTATTAAATGAGTTATTTTACACAATATGAACATCAATATAATTACAATTGTAAAAAATTTTTTTATAACAAGGATGGACTGATTTTCATATTTCCAAATCAGAGTCAACTGTACATTTACACAGAATTGTCTTTGCATGAAGCCCAAAAGGGAACAGCATAAAAAATGAGTGTTTCTGTAGCCCCTTTATTTTTGCTGATCAACAGTTTGTTAGAAAAGCAGCTGCAGGTATGTTACCTAAGGTCTGAGACAGTAGAAGAGTCAAAGGTGTCGTGAATTCACCTGTAAACAACCTTATGCCTGAACATCAGCTAATTCTGGAGGAAGTGAAGTCTTAGGATGCTTGCTCTCAAAGTGCTGCTTGAAGGTCTTAGGGTCTGGCATTCGTGTCCTACAGACAGTGCAGGTATATATTAAGGCAGCTTTGGCAGCAGCCTTTTGGTCATGTCCTTGTTTCTTCTTTTGTCCAGCTTGCTTTTTGGCATTATTCTGCTGAGACTGAATTTTCTGCTGTCCACGAGCCATATCCGGGCCAGGAGAATCTTGCGTCGGAGAGACAGTGCAGCGCGAGAGGGCCGGGAGAGGACGCCGGAGGGAAAGGAAGGGGGAGCGCGCCCAGCATCGCTTGGGCCTCCTCCACCCGCTCAGGAGGGGAAACAGGAGAGCCGGGAGCACAACAGCCTCGCGCGCCCGCCGCCGCCTCAGCCTTAGGGGAGGCCACTACGCCTCTGGTTACATTTCTTGATCATGGTATCTCCCCAGCTAGGTAAGTATCTCTTTGATTACATTTCTTTTTTTTCTTTTTTTGAGATGGAGTCTCACTCTTGCTGCTCAGGCTGCAGTGCAATGGCGCTTTCTCAGCGCACTGCAACCTTTGCCTCCCGAGTTCAAGCGATTCTCCTGCCTCAGCCTCCCAAGTAGCTGGGATTACAGGCACCCGACACTACACCCAGCTAATTTTTTGTAAAGCCACCATGCCCCCCGATTACATTTCTTTCTCTTTTGAGACGGAGTCTTGCTCTGTCGCCCGGGCTGGAGTGCAGTGGTGTGATCTGGGCTCACTGCAAGTTCCGCTTCCCGGGTTCACGCCATTCTCCTGCCTCAGCCTCCGGAGTAGCTGGGACTACAGGCGCCCGCCACCACGCCCAGCTAATTTTTTGTATTTTTAGTAGAGACGGGGTTTCACCGTGTTAGCCAGGATGGTCTCAATGTCCTGACCTCGTGATCCACCCGCCTCAGCCCCCCAAAGTGCTGGGATTACAGGCGTGAACCACCATGCCTGGCCTATTACATTTCTTAACTGGCTGTTGCTGGTGTATAAAAATACAAAACATTGGCTGGGCACGGTGGCTCATGTCTGTATTCCTAGCACTTTGGGAGGCCAAGACAGGCAGATCACTTCAGGTCAGGAGTTTAAGACCAGCCTGGCCAACAGGACAAAACCCTGTCTCTACTAAAAATACCAAAATTAGGCCGGTTGTGGTGGCTCACACCTGTAATCCCAGCACTTTGGGAGGCCGAGGCAGGAGGATCACCTGAGGTCAGGAGTTCGAGACCAGCCCGGTCAACATGGTGAAACCCTGTCTCTACAACAAACACAAAAATTAGCTGGGTGTGGTGTTAGGCGCCTGTAATCCCAGCTACTCGGGAGGCTGAGGCAGGAGAATCGCTTGAACCTGGGAGGCAGAAGTTGCAGTGAGCCAAGAATGCACCACTGTACTCCAGCCTGGGCAACAAGAGTGAAACTCTGTCTCAAAAAAAAAAAAAAAAAAAAAAAAGCCCAATAATTAGCTGGGTGTGGTGGCACATACCTGTAGGCCCAGCTACTCGGGAGGCTGAGGTGGGAGAATCCCTTGAACCTGAGAGACAGAGGTTGCAGTGAGCTGAGATTGTGCCACAGCACCCCAGCCTGGGTGATAGAGTGAGACTCCGTCTCAATAATAAAAATAAAAATAGGGGGGAGGGGGGAGGGATAGCATTAGGAGATATACCTAATGTTAAATGACGAGTTAATGGGTGCAGGACACCAACATGGCACATGTATACATATGTAACTAACCTGCACGTTGTGCACATGTACCCTAAAACTTAAAGTATAATTTAAAAAAATTAAATAAAAATATATATACATTAAAATAAAAAATATTTTTGTACATTAAGGTTTTTTGTTTATTTGTTTTTAAGATGGAGTCTCACTCTGTTGCCCAGGCTGGCGTGCATTGGCATAATCTTTGCTCATTGCAACCTCAACCTCTCGTGTTCAGGAGATTCTCTGCCTCAGCCTCCTGAGTAGCTGGGACTATAGGTGCTCGCCACCATGCCTGGCTAATTTTTGTATTTTTAGTAGGGACAGGGTTTCACCATGTTGGCCAAGCTGGTCTCGAACTCCTAGCCTCAAGTGATCCGCCTGCCTCAGCCTCCCAAAGTGCTGGGATTATAGGCATGAGCCACCGCACCCAGCCCCTGCTTTCAACATGATGTGTATGCAATAGATTAGCACTCTTTAAGGGAAGTGTCTAACCTGATGGGCCTGAGGACAAACACACAGAATCCTGTACATCCCTTCATGGACGAGGCAATCAGCTGAGAGAGATCATCCCTCCACAGGAGTGAGACCCAGAAGCCCAGAGAAGGCTATGGACTGGGAGAAACCTGCAGGGTCCGAGGGAAGACAGGTCTGGTGTATAGATCCCGAGACTGGAGGTCACTGTGGTACTAAAGATAACAGGAGTAAATGGCAGCACATCATGCCCCCAAACTGGCCAGGACTAGCTACACTGAGTGAGGCCAGCATGGCAGAAGACAAAACAGGCAAGGGATTATTTCCCCTGCCACACTAAGTCAGCTTTAGTTATGAACAAATTCGCGAATTTTTTTTTTTTTTTAGACGGAGTTTTGCTCTTGTTGCCCAGGCTGGAGTGCAATGGTGCAATCTCAGCTCACTGCAACCTCTGCCTCCCAGCTTCAAGCGATTCTCCTGCCTCAGCCTCCCAAGTAGCTGGGATTACAGGCATGTGCCACCAAGCCCAGCTAATTTTGTAGTTTTAGTAGAGACGGGGTTTCACCATGTTGGCCAGGCTGGTCTCAAACTCTTGACCTCAGGTGATCCACCTGCCTCAGCCTCCCAAAGTGCTGGGATTACAGGCATCAGCCACCGCATCCAGCCTTATGTCATCTATTTCTTGACACCAATAACAGACAACTACTCTAGTCAGTAATTAGTTGTCAATATATATTTTTCTTACTTAAAATGTATTATTTAAATATAAAATTAGCACATGTAAATTTATAGTTAAAACATTCATGAATTTGGGCCAGGCGCTGTAGCTCATGCCTGTAATCCCAGCACTTTGGGAGGCTGAGGCAGGTGGATCACCTGAGGTCAGGAGTTTCGAGACCAGCCTGACCAATATGGTGAAACTAAAGTACAAAAATTAGCCAGGCGTGGTGACATGAATCTGTAATCCCAGCTACTCGGGAGGCTGAGGCAGGAGAATCACCAGAACTCAGGAGGCGGAGATTGCAGTGAGCCAAGATTGGGCCATTGTACTCCAGCCTGGGCGACAGAGCGAAACTCCATCTCAAAAATAAAATAAAAAGAAAAGAAAAGAAATAGATAACATAAAATTCTTACGATTATTTGCTTGAAGTGAATAAAGAATGTTTTCTGTATTACTCTTCTATGAATTACAGTAGTCAATACCATTCAATCTCAACTGTTATCACTATTGAAATGGCCTCAAAAATAAACTGCCCTTTCAAAAATCAAGCAGATGGAAAAGGAAAAATCCATATTGATTTCAAAAGTACAGCTGCCCTCATCTGAAAACTACTTCATCTTAAATTTCCTAATATGATCATGGCTGGCTGCGATTCACCACAGCTTCCAACAGCCGACTGGAGAGCGTTTTTCCAGAATAACTAGTATGTTTGCTTCAAGACAAATTATTTGACAAGGTTAAGGAAAAGATGTGAAAGCTAGATAATCCATTAAGAATCTTTTTTTAAAACTTCAAGGCATTTTATTTATACTTCTTTTTTTTTTTTTTGAGACAGTCTCGCTCTGTCGCCCAGGCTAGTGTGCAGTGGTGCAATCTCAGCTCACTGCAACCTCCGCCTCCCGGGTTCAAGCTGTTTTCTGCCTCAGCTTCCCAAGTAGCTGGGATTACAAGCACCCACCGCCATGCCCAGCTAATTTTTGTATTTTTAGTAGAGACGGGGTTTCACCATCTTGGCCAGGCTGGTCGTGAACTCCTGACCTTGTGATCCACCCACCTCGGCCTCCCAAAGTGCTGGAATTACAGGCGTGAGCCACCATGCCTGGCTATACTTCTTAGCTTACTTTTTTATTACGCGTATATATTAAGAACTTTTAAAAGTCCAAATTAAAGAAGCATGCCTAGACATCATTAAAATAGCTATCAATGCCCATGACAATCCTGTAGCTCAAATAGTTTACTTTAGAATGTCAAAATTGATTTTGTAATAGTCAGGACAGGATAAACAGTCGCTATATTAAGACCATGTACGTGTCCCTAGACCTAGTTCTTTCCCTACGTCTGTTTTTATAAATGCTGGTGATAAACCAGGTCTGATTAATATATAATCATTTTGTGTGATTATGTAACGGCTATAATTCTAGGTTATCTTTGGTCAACCTTAAGAAAAATGGCAGTATATGTAATGACTTTTGCAAATGATCAGTGCTAATTTGCAGACTTTTGTTTAAAGAGGGTTTAAACAAAATAAGAAAATTTCATGATTACCAGTTGCTATTAAATGAATTGTAACTTTTTTTAAAAAAAAAGAATGTCCAAGCCAGGTGTGGTGCTCATGCCTGTAATCCCAGCACTTTGGGAAGCCAAGAAGGGCAGATCACTTAAGGTCAGGAGTTCAAGACCAGCCTGGCCAACATGGTGAAACCCCGTCTCTAGTAAAAATACAAAAAGTTGCTGGACGTGGTGGCACACACCTGTAATCCCAGCTACTCGGGAGGGTGAGGCAGGAGAATCGCTTGAACCCAGGAGGCAGAGGTTGCAGTGAGCCAAGATCTTGACACTGCACTCCAGCCTGGGCAACAGAGCGCAACTCCATCTCAGAAAAAAAAAATGGTATATCCAGATTCACATTTTTTTTCAAACTCTGCATTTTTCTTTCTTTCTTTTATTTTTTAATGTTTTTGAGACAAAGCCTCACTCTGTCACACAGGCTAGAGTGCAGTGCCACAATCTCAGCTCATTTCTCAGCTCATTGAAGCCTCGACCTCCTGGGCTCAAGCAATCTTCCCACCTCAGCCTCAGCAATAGGTGGGACCACAAACATGGGCCACCACGCCCAGTTAAATTTTTTTTTTTTTTTTTTGAGACGGAGTCTTGCTCTGTCGCCCAGTCTGGAGTGCAGTGGTGCGATCTCGGCTCACTGCAAGCTCCGCCTCCCGGTTTCATGCCATTCTCCTTCCTCAGCCCCCCAAGTAGCTGGGGCTACAGGCGCCCCCCCCACCATGCCTGGCTAATTTTTTTTGTATTTTTAGTAGAGATGGGGTTTCACCGTGTTAGCCAGGATGGTCTGGATCTCCTGACCTTGGAGACCGCCTTGGCCTCCCAAAGTGCTGGGATTACAGGCATGAGCCACCATACCCGGCATAATTTTTGTATTTTTTATAGAGGTGGGTTTTTGCCATGTTGCCCAGGCTTGTCCCGAACCCCTGCCCTCAAGCGATCCCCCTACCTCGGCCTCCCAAAGTGCTCAGACTACAGACGTAAGCCTCCGCACACCTTTTGGACTGGTGTGCCAGTTCACACATGCCTGTGATAGCAACTGCGTTCTGAACTGCAGGGATACATTTACTTGTCAGCACCTGAAAACTTCCTCCTGAGTTGAGTCCAATTATCAGCTTCATGTGCCATCTGCCAATCCAGATGAAACTTGGCAAATACAAAGCTGTCCTTTTCCAGGTGACACTCCCCACCTTCTTTTTCCTCCACCATTTCATTAACAACTAAAAAGCTCCTGCATGATCAGACCTGTGTATCTATCCATCATCAAATCCCACTCCTTTTTCGAGACTGGGACCCTCTGGAGGCTGACCCAGCCACGCATTTGCTAGCATGCCCTGCAGACATGACCCTCGCTGGGCTCTGATCAGCCTTCAGGCCTCCACTCCAGGTGTCACTGTTCTGTCTCCCCTCTGCTCTCACAGCCTTCTCTGCTAGATGTCTCAGCCGTGCTGGCCCTCTCTATTTCAGAAGTGAATGTACTGAGAGGGTCTTAGGGACTTATTAATAATGCTCCTGGGGTCGGATGTAGTAGCTCATGCCTGTGATCCCAATACTTTGAGATCACTTGAGCCCAAGCGTTTGAGACCAGCCTGGGCAACAAGGTGAGGCCCCATCTCTATCAAAAATTCAAAAAAGTAGCCAAGCATGGTGGTGCACGCCTGTGATCCCAGCTCCTCGGGAGACTGGGGTGGGAGGATGGCTTAAGCTCAGGTCAAGACTGAAGTGAGACATGAGGCCACCACTGCACTCCAGCCTGGGCAACAGAGCAGGACTCTGTCTCAAAAAAAACAAAACCCACTATAACCATAATACTATTATCACACTTAAGAAATTCATAATTCCTTAATATCATCACATATCCAATTGATATCTGAGTTCAATTATTTCATGTCAATGTTTTTAAACTATTTCAATCAGAATCTAAATGAGGTCAACACGTTGCAATTGGTTGGTATGTCTTTTAAACTCCTTTTAATCTACAGGTTTCTCTTTTTTTGCCTTGAGTTTCATTTATTAGAGAACCCAGACATTGTCCCATATAGTCTCCCAGAGTTGGATCTTGCTAGTTTCATCCCCACGGCCTAGTTTAACACATTCCTCTGTCCTTTCTATTTTCTTTTTTTTTTCTTGAGAGGGAGTCTCCGTCTGTCCCCCAGGCTGGAGTGCAGTGGCTCCGTCTCAGCTCACTGCAACCTCTGCCTCCCAGTTCGAGCGATTCCCCTGCCTCAGCCTCCTGAGTAGCTGGGATTACAGGCGCCTGCCACTACGCCCAGCTAATTTTTTTATATTTTTAGTAGAGACGGGGGTTTCACCATCCTGATCAGGCTGGTCTCGAACTCCCGACCTCAGGTGATGGACCCGCCTCTGCCTCACAGAGTGCAAGGATTACAGACGTGAGCCACCGCACCCGGCCAAATGTCCTTTCTATTTTCTATAAATTAACAGTCAGATCTAGGGGCTCGATCAGATTTGTGTGTGTGTGTGTGCCGTGTGCGCGTGCACAGCATGTTCTTTGACTAGGAGGCACACCTGCTTTGGTTATCTTCTTTTTGTAATCTTTAAGTTGCTCTTTGATGTAGACGTGGTAACTAATGTTGAAACAAAATTAGTTTCGTTTCAAAACCTTTCTTTCAGGAAGAGGTTGTGGTTGATTACTTCTGCGACAGGTAGATGCAAGGTTGAGCAATCATCTCTTAACAGAAGTGGTCACACTAGAATAATTCAAGCACAACAACAAATCCCACATCATCACCCCCTCTTAATAATGGTGTTTTCTTTTTACTTGATTAGCTTTTAATTGTCACGCACTCTGCATTTTTTCCCTGAGGTATTATTTCCAGAAGGCAGCGAAATATGACTCAATGGCTAATTTGCTTTTTAAAAATTAAACAAAACTTAGGCCAGCTGCCATTTAAGAAGGGCTCCGGGGCCTCCAGACTCGGTGTGACCGTAGCCGTGCCCGGTGCTCCCCTCGCGGAGGCGTTAGGGCGGCAGGTTTATCTCACTTGAGACCATTCCTTCCTTTTTCATCTTCTCCGGGCTCCGGCGCAGCAGGCCGCAGGGGCGGGCACTCGCAAGAACGCGGCATCCTGGATGGTGGCCGAGTCACCGAAGCTCAGAACCCCGCGTCCCAGAATCGCTGAGAGCCGGCCCCGCACGGGGGCCTGGGAGCGCCACGCGCCCTCCACCCAGAGAGGCAGGCGGGCGGGCCGGGGGGGGCGGGGCCTCGGGACTCCGCCCACGCCTCCGTCTCCTCCGCGCTCCGCCACAGCCGGCCGACACCACACCAGCCGGGGAGCCGCCGCCGCCGCCGCCACCTCTGAGCAGCCGGCTGGGAGCGAGAGCCGACAGCTAGTCTGCAAGCCACCGCTGTCGCCATGGGGAGCCGCGTCTCGCGGGAAGACTTCGAGTGGGTCTACACCGACCAGCCGCACGCCGACCGGCGCCGGGAGATCCTGGGTGAGGGCCAGCGGGCGCCCCGTTATGTGCGTGCGTGGCCTCCCGGCGCCGGGGCGCGCTCTCCCCTCGCGGGCCCTGCGCGGTCGTGGGCGCCGGAGGCCCGTTAGCAGCCTGCTCCCCGTCGCGTCCCGTCGCCGCTCGGGCCGCCAGCCCGCGGGTCAGCGCGGGAGAGGCTGGGCGAGGAGCGGGGGGAGGGACGGGTCCTCGGAGCCGCGCAGCTCCGACCCTTCCGCGAAGAGGCGCAGGCGCGTCCCCGAGCGCGGGAGTCCCCGCCAGGCCCACGCCGGCCGGTTGGGGCGAAGGGTGTCCCCGGCTGTGCCAGCCTTGAGTAGATCTTTTCGCTAGAAGATTCCTGTGCCCTCAGGTGGGCGCCCTTTCCTCTCACCACTCCCTCTCCTCCGGAGCGGGCCGAGGTGAGCGGGTGCCGGCCTTGGGGCTGCCTGAGTGCTAGGCAGGGTGTGGTCCTGGGCATCCTTGGGCCTACCAGCGAGCCCTGCTCAGGGTGTCGGGCGCCGGCGGGCAGTACTGGCGGGGGCGGCCGCAGTCCCGGCCTTGGGCCCGTTAAGGGGGCCGGCGTCCCTCCATATGCCCCCCGGGGCTTCTCGGACTTGATGGGCCCTGGTCGGTTCACGCCGCTTGTCCCATTGATCCTCACGACAAGCCTGGGACGTAAGAACGGCGGATTCGTAGGCATTTTTCATCCATCTCGGTTTTGTGGATGAAAAGACTGAAAATGGAAGACTTGCCAAATAAGGAAAATATGTGGCGTGGCCTGCTGGTCCCCTGACAGCTAATTGAGAGGCCTTAACTCTCCAGAGGATTCGGGCCTTCTGTGTTACATAGAGAATGCTCATCTCTCCCAGGCTACTCCTAATATGCTAGGGATTGTGTGGAATGCTTTACAAACATTACCCAATTTCATCCTCTTGGTAATTCTACTTGGTTGGTATTATCGCTGTTTTAAAAAATGAAATAAGAACGCGTGACTAAATGCTAGGGGGATTCTAATGCGCATTCGGTTGCCTCTTCCAGAGCACGTGTTTGTTTTTTGTTTGTTTGTTTTTTGAGACTGCACGTGTTTGTTTTTTGTTTGTTTGTTTGTTTGTTTTTTGAGACTGAGTCTCACTCTGTTGCTCATGCTGGAGTGCAGTGGCGCGATCTCCACTCGCTGCAACCTCTGCCTCCTGGGTTCAAGCGATTCTTCTGTCTCAGCCTCCCGAGTAGCTGGGATTACAGGTTCCCACCACTACGCCTGGCTAATGTTTGTATCTTTTTTAGTTAGAGACGGGGTTTCACCATGTTGGCCAGGCTTATCTCGAACTCCTGACCTCAGGTGATCCGCCCGCCTTGGCCTCCCGAAGTTTTGGGATTACAGGCGTGAACCACCGTGCCCGGCCAGAGCACGAGCTTTTTAACCTCTGTTGAGGAAACGGGGACCGGTCACGGTAGCTCAGGCCTGTAATCCTAGCACTTCGGGAGGCTGAGGCGGGAGGATCGCTTCAGCCCAGAAGTTTGAGACCATCCTGAGTAACATAGTGAGAGCCCCCCGTTTACACACACACACACACACACACACACACACACACACTTTTTTTAAATTGAGGAAACGGTGAGTTGAACATGAGCAATTATTCCTTATATATAGTATTTCCTTAGTTTTTCTTCTCAACATTCATTTGCCCAGTGAAAAGAAAAAGCAAGTAGCTGGGACCACAAGCGCACACCACCATGCCTGGTTGATTTTTCTATTTTTTGTAGAGATGGGTTTCTCCGTGTTGCCCAGGCTGGTCTTGAACTCCTGGGCTCAAGCAATCTGTCCGCTTTGGCCTCCCAAAGTGCTGGGATTTTAAAGGCGTAAGCCACTGCACCCGGTAACTTTGGGTTCTTGAATTCCCTTCCTCCTCTTCTTCCTCCTCCCCTACACTCCATTAGAGAAAGGGTCTTGCTTTGTTGCCCAAGCTGGAGTGCGGTGGTTGTTCACAGGCATGATGATCACTGCAGCCTGGGCTCCAGTGGTCCGCATACCTCAGCCTGCCAGTAGCAATTTGTTTGGCACATCACTTACACATACTTGATATGAGATAGCATGATACTTTTTTGAGACGGAGCCGCACTCTGTCACCCAGGCTGGAGTGCAGTGGCCCAGTCTCGGCTCACTGCAACCTCTCCCTCCTGGGTTCAAGCAGTTCTGCCTGCCCCAGTCTCCCGAGTACCTGGGATTACAGACGCCCGCCACCATACCTGGCTAAGTTTTTCTATTTTTATTTTTAGTAGAGACAGGGTTTTGCCACATTGGCCAGGCTGGTCTCAGATGATGCGCCTGCCATGGCCTCCCAAAGTCCTGGGATTACAGGCGTGAGCCACCCTGCCAGGCCACATATGATATATTTTATCAATGCCTTATCTACATGTTACATAGGAATAATCTAGCGTCCTACCTGTGTAAAAACCAACTCTGGAATACTGAAACTGAGCTACTTAATATTCTGAAAATCAGGACGGGTGTGGTGGCTTTTTTTTGCCTGTAATCCGAGCACTTTGAGAAGCTGAGGCAAGAAGATCGCTTGAGGCCAGTTCAGAACAGCCCCATCTGCACGAGAAATTAAAAAATTAGCTAGGCGTGCATGCCTGTCCCGCTACTCAGAAGGCTGAGGCGAGAGGAACACTTGAACTCAGGAGTTCGAGGCCAACCTGGGCAACATGGCAAAACCCCATCTCTACCAAAAAAAAAAAAATTTAATTAGCGGGACATGGTGGCATGTGCCTGTGGTCCCAGCTACACAGAAGGCTGAGGTGGGAGGATTGCTTGAGCTGGGGAGGTAGAGGCTGCAGTGAGCCGTGATTGCCCCACCGCGTTCCAGCCTGGGCAACAGAGTGAGACTGTCTCAAGAAAAAGAGATGAAGGAAGTGAGAAGGTGCTGATTGATACTTACCTCACACTGAGCCTTTTTTCCCCCCACAGACTTATCACTGAACCATTTCACTGGGAAAGTAAAAGGACCACATATTTCTTGGCCGGGCATGGTGGCTCACGCCTGTAATCCCAGCACTTTAGGAGGCTAAGGTGGGCGGATCATGAGGTCAGGAGATCGAGACCATCCTGGCTAACACGGTGAAACCCCATCTCTACTAAAAATACAAAAAATTAGCCGGGCGTGGCGGCAGCCACCTGTAGTCCCAACTACTCAGGAGGCCGAGGCAGGAGAATGGCGTGAACCCGGGAGGCAGAGCTTGCAGTGAGCTGAGATGGTGCCACTGCACTCCAGCCTGGGCGACAGAGTGAGCCTCCGTCTCAAAAAAAAAAAAAAAAAAAAAAGAAGGACTACATATTTCTCAATGAAAATACAGTGTACAATGTTTTCCATGCAGGTGTAAATACTAACTCATGTTCTGTTTCAGGGTGGGAGATGGAATAACCTGTAGAAAGAATCTTTAGATTTGTTTAAATTATACACAAATGATAAGAGATCTTTCTGAAAGTATTGACTTTTTGGCGGGGGAGGGAAGGGGCCTGATAGAACAACCAACAATTGTACACTTTAAGTTTACATTTAGAGTTCACATTAAAAGTTCATTTACAAGGCATCTGTTTGAAATTCGTGAGGATGAGCTGGGCTGGGTGGCTCATGGCTGTAATCCCAGCCCTTGGGTGGCTGAGGTGGACAGGTCACCTGAGGTCAGGAGTTCAAGACCAGTCTGGCCAACATGGTGAAACCCCGTCTCTACTAAAAATACAAAAATTAGCTGGGTGTGGTGGTGGGCGCCTGTAATCCCAGCTACTGGGAAGGCTGAGGCAGGAGAATTGCTTGAACCCAGGAGGCAGAGGGTGCAGTGAGCTGAGATCTCACCATTGCACTCCAGCCTGGGCAACAGAGCGAGACTCCGTCTCAAAAAAAAAAAAGAATAAATCACAAGAAATGGTTCCTTCACTGTTATACTTTAACATGATACAGCTTTTTAATGTTTTATTTTTTGAGAGAGAGTCTCACTGTGTTGCCCAGGCTGGAGTGCAGTGGTGTGATCATAAATTCTTGGGCTCAAGTGATGCTCCCGCTTCAGCATCCTAAGTAGCTGGGACTACAGGCTTGTGCCACCTCACCTGGCTAATTTTTTTTATTTTTGGTAGAAATAGAATCTGTTTGCCCAGGCTGGTCTTGAACACTGGGCCTCAGGCAGTCTTTGTGCCTCAGCCTCCCAAAGTGCTGGATTAATGGTGTGAGCCACAGCACCTGGCCAATAGCTTTATTGAGATTATAATTCAACTATCATGATTTATTCATTTAAAGTGTACAGTTCAGTATTTTTTAGTATATTCACAGAGTTGTGCAGCTGTCACCACCATATAACCTTAGAACATTTCATCATCACCAAAAGAAACCCTATACTCATTAGCAGTCCCTCATATCCCCTGCTTCTACCTAGGTAACCACTAATCTACTTTGTGGCCTATAGATTTGCTTATTCTGGACATTTCATATACATGAAATCATAAAATACCTGATCTTTTATGATTGGCTTTTACTTAGCATAATATAAATTTTTTTTTTTTTTTAATTTGTAGAGACAGGGTCCTGTTATGTTGCCCAGGCTGATCTTGAATTCCTGGGCTCAAGTGATCCTCCTGCCTTGGCCTCTCAGAGTGCTGGCATTATAGGTGTGAGCCACTGCACCCAGCCATTAGCATAATATTTTAGCTGGGCACAGTGGCATGCTCCTGTAGTCCCAGCTACTAGGGTGACTGAGGCAGGAGGATCACTTGAGTCCAGGAGTTTGAGGCTGTAGTGAGCTATGATGGCATCACTGTACTTCAGCCTGAGTGACAGAGGTAGACCCTGTCTCTAAATATTTTAAGGTTCATTAAAATAATATATTTTCAATAAAATAATATTTCAATAAAATAATATTTTAAGGTTCATTCATGTTATAGCATATGTCAGTGTATGATTCCTTTTTCTGGCTGAATAATATTCCTTTGTATGGATATACCAGGTGTTTAACATTTTGAGGAACTGCTGTACAGTTTTCCAAAGCAGCTGCACCATTTTATATTCCCACTAGCAAAGTATGAGGGTTCTAATTTCTCCACATCCTTGTTTTTACCTACCTTTTTTTATTATAGTCATCCTAGTGAGTGTGAGGTGGTATCTATGGTTTCAGTTTGCACTTTCCTAATGACTAACGGTGTTGAGCCTCTTTCATGTGTTTCTTGACTGTTTCCGTATCTTTTGGAGAAAAGTGGGTTCAGATCCTTTGCCCATTTTTTAATTGGATTATTAGTTGTAAGAGTTCTTCATATATTCTGGATATAGGTCCCTTATGAGATACATGATTTGCAAACATAACCCCGCTTCTGTGGATTGTCTTTTTACTTTCTTGACAGTATCATGTGCAACAGAAAGTTTTTGATGCTGTCCGATTTCTCTGTTTTCTTTTGTCACTTGTACTTGTTATAGTATCTAAGAAACCACAAAGGCCATGAAGATTTATTTCTATGTTTTCTTATCAGAGTTTTATAATTTTCTTATAAATTTGGGTCTGTGATCTGTTTTGAGTTCATTTTTGTGTATGGTGTAAGGTAGGGGTCTGAATCCATTCTTTTGCCTGTTGATAACAAGTCGGTCTAGCACCATTTGTTGAAAGGACTGTTCTTTCCCTGATTATATTGGTAGCCTGTAGTATTGGTTTTTATATACTATTACAATTTTGGGAAAATTCAGTACAGAATTACTTGGAGCATGTTGATTTGTCTGAGAAAACTGTGAATACCAGTTTCATGATTTTAGGGTAACTACAAAATGTATATTATATTCTATCCTTTGTCAGATGTGTTAATTTAATCGTTTTATATAAGGTAAGAATGCTGTACCTCTGTCTAAACACAGA
This sequence comes from Homo sapiens, assembly GCF_000001405.40. Classification (NCBI taxonomy): domain Eukaryota; kingdom Metazoa; phylum Chordata; class Mammalia; order Primates; family Hominidae; genus Homo; species Homo sapiens. The sequence goes on from NC_000001.11 coordinate 224,189,302, forward strand.
AATAACATGTATTTTAATATAAAGAATGTGGAACTTCTAAACTTTGAGGCTAATTTTTCCTGCATAAATTCTCAAATTATTGTGACATGATATTTCATAACTTTACTAGTAGAATCCTTCCCTGTGTTATTAAATATCCACTAAAGTCTCTAGTAAAGGGAATATGATTTACAGAACAAATTTAATGTGTTAGTTTAATTGGTGTTAATTTAATTATAATTGGTGAACTATTACATACTTTTCTTAGTTCCTGTTTTTTTGTTTTTTCTTTACAGCAAAGTATCCAGAGATAAAGTCCTTGATGAAACCTGATCCCAATTTGATATGGATTATAATTATGATGGTTCTCACCCAGTTGGGTGCATTTTACATAGTAAAAGACTTGGACTGGAAATGGGTCATATTTGGGGCCTATGCGTTTGGCAGTTGCATTAACCACTCAATGACTCTGGCTATTCATGAGATTGCCCACAATGCTGCCTTTGGCAACTGCAAAGCAATGTGGAATCGCTGGTTTGGAATGTTTGCTAATCTTCCTATTGGGATTCCATATTCAATTTCCTTTAAGAGGTATCACATGGATCATCATCGGTACCTTGGAGCTGATGGCGTCGATGTAGATATTCCTACCGATTTTGAGGGCTGGTTCTTCTGTACCGCTTTCAGAAAGTTTATATGGGTTATTCTTCAGCCTCTCTTTTATGCCTTTCGACCTCTGTTCATCAACCCCAAACCAATTACGTATCTGGAAGTTATCAATACCGTGGCACAGGTCACTTTTGACATTTTAATTTATTACTTTTTGGGAATTAAATCCTTAGTCTACATGTTGGCAGCATCTTTACTTGGCCTGGGTTTGCACCCAATTTCTGGACATTTTATAGCTGAGCATTACATGTTCTTAAAGGGTCATGAAACTTACTCATATTATGGGCCTCTGAATTTACTTACCTTCAATGTGGGTTATCATAATGAACATCATGATTTCCCCAACATTCCTGGAAAAAGTCTTCCACTGGTAAGTAAAGGATTTGATACATATTCTAATTTTGTTTTTTCATTTGTTTGTTTTTTGAGACGGTGTCTCACTCAGTCGCCCAGGCTGGCGGGCAGTGGCACGATCTCGGCTCACTGTAACCTCCACCTCCCGGGTTCAAACGATTCTCATGCCTCAGTCTCCCAAGTAGTTGGGATTACAGGCGCATGCTACCACGCCCAGCTAATTTTTGTATTTTTAGTAGAGATGGGGTTTTGCCATGTTGGCCAGGCTAGTATTTTGTCAGTCCAAGCAGTTCATTAAAAAAAAAAAAAACAAAAAGAGCAAGAATATAAATACTGCATCTTCCAGCCTACTTTTACAAAGGGTTCACTCTTGGGTCCTTAAGCTTAGTGGTTACACTTAGGATTTATTTTTAATTTTATTTTTTAACTTTATGTTTTTTTAGAGACAGGGTCTTGCCCTGTCACCTAGTCTAGAGTGCAGTGGTACGATAGCTCACTGCAGCCTCAACTCCTGGGTCAAGCGATCCTCCCACCTCAGCCTCCTGAGTAGGCAGGATTATAGGCACGTGCCACCATGCCTGGCTAATTTTTTATTTTTTGTAGAGGCAGGGTCTTGCTGTGTTGCTCAGGCTGGTCTCAAACTCCTGGATTCAAGTGATCCTCCTGCCTCAGCCTCCCAAGTAGCTAGGACTACAGCCACATGCTATGACAGGCTGATTTTTTAAATAATTTCTTTTAATCCTCCAAATGGTTTGTTAAAATTTTTAACATTTTTAACATTTTTATAGAGCTGGAGTTTCCTGGATGGGTGCAGTGGCTCACACCTGTAATCCCAGCACTTTGGGAGGCCTAGGTGAGTGGATCATCTGAGGTCAGGAGTTCGAGACCAGCCTGGCCAACATAGTGAAAGCCTGTCTCTACTAAAAATACAAAAAACTTAGCTGGGCATGGTGGCGGGTACCTATAGTCCCAGCTACTCGGGAGGCTGAGGCGGGAGAATCGTTTGAACTCGGGCAGTGGAGGTTGCAGTGAGCCGAGATTGTGCCACTGCACTCCAGCCTGGGTGACAGAGCGAAACTCCGTCTCAAAAAAAAAAAAAGAGAGAGATGGGTTTCCCTGTGTTGCCCAGGCTGGTCTCAAATTCCTGGGCTCAAGTGATTCTCTTGCCTTCCAGAATGATGCTGGGATTATACATACGAACCACTGTGCCCATCCAGATAGTTTTTTAACTTGAGATGAAAAGACATTTTTAACTTGAGATGGCAGAATTGCACATTTGATAAGTGCTTTTTTTTTTTTTTTTTTTTTTTTGAGATGGAGTCTCTCTCTCACCCAGGCTGGAGTGCAGTGGCACAATCTCGGCTCACTGCAACCTCCGCCTCCCGAGTTCAAGCAATTCTCCTATCTCAGCCTCCTGAGTTGCTGGGACTACAGGCGCACGCCACCATGTCTGGCTAATTTTTTTGTATTTTTAGTAGAGATGGGGTTTCACCATATTGGTTAGGCTGGTCTCGAACTCCTGACCTCAGGTGATCCACCCGCCTCGGCTTCCCAAAGTCCTGGGATTACAGGTATGAGCCACCGCACCCAGCCAAGTGCTTAATTTCTATCTAATTAGCATGCCACAATTTATTAGTATTTGTAAGTTCCTGGATGGCAGGGATCAGATGTTGCCTTTATATTCTATGGCGTCATCCATGCAGTACATTCTTTAATAATATCAAGTTAATCTAATTGTATGTATTTGTTGTTAATTTTACAAATAAGCCAGATATTTAGTCCCTTGGAATGTGATGGGAGAGAGACCTAGAGGGTCGAGTGTATTCAACTGCTGCTGAAATGTAGACTGCTTTTTGTTTAGAATTCCCACAGCTGCTGCTGCTGCTGCTTTTTTTTTTTTTTAAGAGAGAGGAGGGAGGCAGGTCTCATGGTTTCCCTTCTCAGTGTTTGTGTCAACCATTCATCAGTCATCTTTGAAAGAACCTAGTAACACTCATTTTTCATCTTGCTGTATTTTTTCCCTTCTAGGTGAGGAAAATAGCAGCTGAATACTATGACAACCTCCCTCACTACAATTCCTGGATAAAAGTACTGTATGATTTTGTGATGGATGATACAATAAGTCCCTACTCAAGAATGAAGAGGCACCAAAAAGGAGAGATGGTGCTGGAGTAAATATCATTAGTGCCAAAGGGATTCTTCTCCAAAACTTTAGATGATAAAATGGAATTTTTGCATTATTAAACTTGAGACCAGTGATGCTCAGAAGCTCCCCTGGCACAATTTCAGAGTAAGAGCTCGGTGATACCAAGAAGTGAATCTGGCTTTTAAACAGTCAGCCTGACTCTGTACTGCTCAGTTTCACTCACAGGAAACTTGTGACTTGTGTATTATCGTCATTGAGGATGTTTCACTCATGTCTGTCATTTTATAAGCATATCATTTAAAAAGCTTCTAAAAAGCTATTTCGCCAGGCACGGTGGCTCATGCCTATAATCCCAGCACTTTGGGAGGCCAAGGTGGGTGGATCACCTGAGGTCAGGAGTTCGAGACCAGCCTGGCCAACACGGTGAAACCCCATCTCTACTAAAAATGCAAAAATTAGCCGGGCGTGGCGGCACATGCCTGTAATCCCAGCTACATGGGAGGCTGAGGTGGGAGAATTGCTTGAACCCAGGAGGCGGAGGCAGAGGCTGCAGTGACCCAAGATTGTGCCACTGCACTCCACCCTGGGCAACAGAGCAAGACCCCATCTCAAAAATAAATAAATATATATAAAAAATAAAAAGCTATTTCTAGTTTATTTCACTATAAAGTTTTGCTTTATTAAAAAGCTAATAAACAGCTATTAATCACAGTGTATTAGTATTTGTTACATTTTTGTATTTCACTATCTTTATACTATATAATATGGTAACTTGGGTACCGGGGGAACTTTAAAATTTCATCTCAAAAATAATTTTTAAAAAGCCTGAGGTATGATATAGCATAAAAGATTGAGATGAAAATATATTTCCCTGTAAGCTGAATTACTCATTTAAAAATTTTAACTTCTATATGGGACCCGAATTAGACACTGCTGAATCCTGTACAGCCTTACTCATAAATAAAGTACTTACTGAATTTCCACCATTCAAATTCATTTTTCAGGTGTGTTGACTCTCACATTAGAAACTGCTCAACTGATAAAGACTTTCATGTTATTTCACTGCAGTGGGAACTGGCTGTGGTCTGATGGTAGATCGTTGGTCTCAAGTAGCTGGTAGCATGGGCTGTTGTTATGTCAGCAGTCTTGCTTACCTCAAATATGTCACTTGGATACGTTTAGTGTAATATGGTGAATTATTTTAAAAATACATCAGCAGCTGGGTGTGGTGGTTCACACCTGTAATTCCATGCTTCGGAAAGCTGAGGCAGGAGGATCGCTTGAGACCAGGAGTTTGAGACCAGCCTGGGCAACATAGTGAGACCCCATCTTTTTTTATTTTTTATTTTTTGAAATGGAGTCTTGCTCTGTTGTCCAGGCTGGAGTGCAGTGGCGCAATCTTGCCTCACCACAACCTCTGCCTCCTGGGTTCAAGCGACTTTCCTGCCTCAGCTTCCTGAGTAACTGGGATCACAGGCGTGCACAGCCATGCCCAGCTAATTTTTTTTTTTTTTTTTTTTTTTTTGTATTTTTAGTAGAGACAGGTTTTCACTATGTTGGCCAGGCTGGTCTCAAACTCCTGATCTCAGGTGATCTGCCTGCCTTGGCCTCCCAAAGTTCTGGGATTACAGGCATGAGCCGCTGTGTCTGGCCCCCATCTTTTCAAAAAATAAGAGTGGTGTGGTGGTGTGCACCTGTAGTCCCAGCTACTTGGGAGGCTGAGATTGAGACTACAATGAGCCATGATCGCACTACTACGCTCCAGCTTGGGTGACAAACACCCTCTAAAAAAAAAAAAAAGTTGGCTACATTGCAGTTTCGTAAAGAATAAAACAACACCCAGAATGCTGAGGGCGGGGTGAGGAGTAGAATCCTCTGTGGGACTGCCAGGCCTGTCTCACAGACCTCATTTCATCCCCAAAATACTTTGCTTTCCCTTCCTGACCCCCTTGCCTAGGAAAATTCCTAGTATCTTCTAATCTGTTACTCAAAGAACAATCAAAGAGTGACAATAGAACCAAGTTTACAATTCAGATTTTACTCAGTCACTAAAGTATCTGCAAAACATACCCCTGGATTTGATGCTAGATCATAGAGATCATGTACTCCCATCAAGTCTATAGAACTCTGGCCAATGGCACCGGGCGTGGTGGCTGTAATACCAGTACTTTGGGAGGCTGAGGCAGGTGGATCACGAGGTTAGGAGTTCAAGACTAGCCTGACCAATATGGTGAAACCCTGTCTCTACTAAAAAAAATACAAAATTATCTGGGCATGGTGGCATGTGCCTGTAGTCCTGGCTACTCGGGAAGCTGAGGCAGGAGAATCGCTTGAACCCAGGAGGCAAAGGTTGCGTGAGCCGAGATCACGCCCTGCACTCCAGTCTGGGCGACAGAGCAAGACAACGTCTCCAAAAAAAAAAAAAAGGCCAGGCGCGGTGCCTCACGCCTGTAATCCCAGCACTTTGGGAGGCCGAGGTGGGCGGATCACGAGGTCAGGAGATCAAGACCATCCTGGCCAATACGGTGAAACCCCATCTCTAGTAAAAAATACAAAAAATTAGCCAGGCGTAGTGGCCGGCGCCTGTAGTCCCAGCTACTTGGGAGGCTGAGGCAGGAGAATGGCGGGAACCCAGGAGGCGGAGCTTGCAGTCAGCCGAGATCGAGCCACTGCACTCCAGCCGGGGCGACAAAGTGAGACTACGTCTCAAAAAAAAAAAACAACAACCAAAAGAACTTTAGCCAATGGCTGCAGCTGCCATGTAAATGCTGAAAACCTCCAAATCTATCACTTCAGACCTCTCACTACCTGCTGGATGCACAGAGTGGGTTGTCATCCCTCTCCAAAACTCCAGTCTCCACTTACATAACCACTTCTTTCCTGAATGGAAGTTTCAGTCTTCGTAGCAGGCATCCCGATTATTCTGGCTCCCATCTGCCAACTCGATCCATTCTTTAAGAGAGCTACCAATCTGGGCAGTAAGAAGGCTGGGCCCCATAACCTCTAAAGAATAACTCCAAACAAAATTATCCGGGCCTGGTGTTGTGTGCATCTGTGGTCCTAAGCTACTCAGGAGGCTGAGGTAGGAGTTTCGCTTCTTTTTTTCTTTTTTTTTTGAGATGGAGTCCTGCTCTGTCGCCCAGGCTGGAGTGCAGTGGCTCGATCTGGCTCACTGCAAGCTCCGCCTCCCGCGTTCACGCCATTCTCCTGCCTCAGCCTCCCGAGTAGCTGGGACTACAGGCGACCACCACCACGCCCGGCTAATTTGTATTTTTAGTAGAGACGGGGTTTCACCGTGTTAGCCAGGATGGTCTCAATCTCCTGACCTCGTGATCCGCCCGCCTTGGCCTCCCAAAGTGCTGGGATTACAGGCCTGAGCCACCGCCCACGGCTGGAGTTTCGCTTCTTGAACCCAGGAGGCGGAGGTTGCAGTGAACTGAAATTGCACGCCATTACACTCCAGCCTCGGTGACAGAGCGAGATCCCGTCTCAGACAGTCCTAAGAAATCACTCAGTAGCTTTGCATGAGTTCTCCCTTCTGTTGTAAACTCCTTTCTCCGTTTCTCTTCTGGTTCAAAGTTTCACACCTTCAAGGCTCACAGCAGCCTTCTGTTACCCACCCCCAGTCCCCAGCAGGTCAGGTGTCAATTTTTTTGACTTTGAGAACCAATGATTATCTCTTCATGGCCCTAATCATACCATTGTGTAAATAGGCACTGTTTCTCCATAAGTTGTAACTCCTTAAGAGCAGGACACATCTTTTATTTCTGTTTCCCAAACCTAGCAGGGTGTTTGACTTAAAGTAAGTGCTTGATAAATGGAGAGAGACCAGCAGGGAGAGTCCTTGAACTTGAGAAGCTTTTTCTAAAACAAAAACACAGCCAAAGACAGGGCACTTGTATAATCTTTAGGTAAAAGTATTTTATGCTACAAATAATGGACATTCAATGAGAATCCTTACTTTTCACTGAGTCCTGTACCAAGTGTTTTACATGAACTATTGTACTTTTTTGTTGTTGTTCCTTTTTTTTTTTTTTTTTTTTTGAGACAGAGTCTTGCTCTGTGGCCCAGGCTGGAGTGCAGTGTTGCAATCTCAGCTCACTGCAACCTCCGCCTCCCAGGGTCAAGCAATCCTCCCACATCAGCCTCCCAAGAAGCTGGGACTGACTACAGGTGTACACCACCACACCTAGCTAATTTTTGTATTTTTTGTAGAGATGGGGTTTCGCTATGTTGCCCAGGCTGGTCTCAAACTCCTGAGCTCAAGTGATCCAACCACCTCGGCCTCCCAAAGTGCTGGGATTACAGGTATGAACCACAATTTATTGTATTTAAGTCTCAACATTTATATGCTATAAGCAGTACTATTAATATCTTCATTTTGTAGATGACAGAAAAGGCTTAGAGAGATTAAGTAACTGGCCGAAGGTCACACTTAGTAAACTGCAGAAACTGAACCTGAAATGCAGACTCTGTGGACTCCAGACCCAAAAGCCTTAACCATATTCCATTTGGCTTACATTATGAGCCTCGTCCTGAAACAGTAATGAGAATGAAAAACACATGTTCCTATTACTACATACATACTCTACTGCCTCATTAACCATTTCCTGTATGCCAGCATTTTGGCTAGGTCTCTGTTTTTTTCCAACTCTTGAATCTAAAATTCAAATATGAAACATTAATGTTTAAATCCATGCAAAAAATGCATTTATGTATTCATTTATTCATTCTACAGATGCTTTTGGCAGGCTTGCACTAGGCAGTGAGGATACAAAGACAAAATGTTGCCCCAAATTAAGGAGCTAATGCTCTAGTGCTGGGAGGTACATGTTAAGAAAGAAAGGACTTAAAACAGGAGAATTAGGATGTGGCTGGGACTGAGTAGAGGGCACACATTGCTATCGCTGATCAGGGTGAGTGCTCTGCCAGGCTGTACGTGCAAATATTGTGCTAATCCACGGCAGCCTGGGAAGGTAGGTATTGTCTCCCACACTTTTCACAGGAAGAAACAGGGTTAGGCAAGTAACTAGCCTGAGGTCACACAACATGGGCCAGGGCCTGAAGCTATGTGTGTTAAAGCCAATGCTTTATGCTATTCCTCTTGGAAGCTCTTTGGACAAGTTCATGTATTTCTTGTTAGGAAAATCTTCTAGAAGCCTTAGCCATTTGGAAGGAAGCAAGAACAGTTTGATGACCTAGGGCTAGGAAGGCTCTGAAAAACTGTGCCCTTGAAATCCAAGAACATTATTATTATTATTATTATTATTTTGAAACAGGGTCTGGCTCTGTCACCCAGGCTGAAGTGCAGTGGTGGGATCATGTCTCACTGCAGCCTTAACCACCTAGGTTCAAGCAATCCTCCCATTTCAGCCTCGAGTAGCTGGGACCGCAGGCGTGCACCACCATGCCTGGCTTTTTTTTTTTTTTTGAGATGGAGTCTGCTTCTATCACCTACGCTGGAGTGCAGTGGTGTGATCTCAGCTCACTGCAACCTCCACCTCCCGGGTTCAAGCGATTCTCCTGCCTCAGCCTTCCCAGTAGCTGGGATTACAGACACCTGCCACTATGCCCGGCTAATTTTTTTTTTAAATATTTTTAGTAGAGGTAGGGTTTCACCATGTTGGTCAGGCTGGTCTCGAACTCCTGACCTTATGATCCGCCTGCCTCAGCCTCCCAAAGTGCTGGGATTACAGATGTGAGCCACTGCACCCGGCCCCTATTTTTATTTTGTATAGGGACAGAGTCTCACTGTGTTCCCCAGGCTGGTCCTAAACTCCAGTGGTCCTCCTGTCTCGGCCTCCCAAAGTGTTGGGATCACAGGCGTTAGCCACTGCCTCCAGCCCCAGGAGCATCACTAATAAATCCCTAAGACCTGCTCAGTACATTGACTTCTGAGACAGAGGGCCAGCATGGCCGAGGCGCCTGGCAGAGGAGGCTCTGAGAGCAGAGGGGAGACAGAGCAGTGACACCTGGAGTGGAGGCCTGAAGGCTGATCAGAGCCCAGCGAGGGTCATGCCTGCAGGGCGTGCTAGCAAACGCAGGGCTGGGACAGCCTCAGGAGGGTCCCAGTGTTGAAAAAGGAGTAGGATTTGATGATGGATAGATACACAGGTCTGATCATGCAGGAGCTTTTCAGTTAATGAAACGGTGGAGGAAAAATAAGGTGGGGAGCGTCACCTGGAAATGAACAGCTTTGTATTTGCCAAGTTTCATCTGGATTGGCAGATGGCACATGAAGCTGATAATTGGACTCAACTCAGGAGGAAGGTTTCAGGTGCTGACAAGTAAATGCATCCCTGCAGTTCAGAATGCAGTTGCTATCACAGGCATGTATGAACTGGTACACCAGTCCAAAAGCAGGCCAGGTGTGGAGGCTCATGTCTGTAGTCTCAGCTATTCAGGAAACTGAGGTAGGAGGATTGCTTGAGCCCAGAGGTTCGGGACAAGCCTGGGCAAACGGCAAAAACCCACCTCTATAAAAAATACAAAGGCCAGGCATGGTGGCCCACACTTTGGGAGGCCAAGGCGGGCGGATCATGAGGTCAGGAAATGGAGACCATCCTGGCTAACACGGCGAAACCCCGTCTCTACTAAAAATACAAAATATTAGCTGGGCGTGGTGGTGGGCACCTGTAGTCCCAGCTACTCGGGAGGCTGACGCAGGAGAATGGTGTGAACCCAGGAGGCGGAGCTTGCAGTGAGCCGAGATCGCGCCACTGCACTCCAGCCTGGGTGACAGAGCGAGACTCTGTTTCAAAAAAAAAAAAAAAAATACAAAAATACAAAAATTGGCCAGGCATGGTGGCTTAAGCCTGTAATCTCAGAACTTTGGGAGGCTGAGGCGGGTGGATCACCTGAGGTCAGGAGTTCGAGACCAGCCTAGCCGACATGGCGAAACCCCGTCTCTACTCAGAATACAAAAATCAGGTAGGTGTGATGGCAGGCACCTGTAATCCCAGCTACTTGGGAGGCTGAGGCAGGAGAATCACTTGAACCTGGGAGTTGGAGGTTGCAGTGAGCAAAGGTTGTGCCACTGCACCCTAGCCTGGGCAACAAGAGCGAAACTCCTTCTCAAAAAAAAAAAAAATTAGCCAGGTGTGGTGGCATGCACCTGTGATTCCAGCTACTTGGGAGGCTGAGGTGGGAGGATCCTTTGAGCCCAAGAGATAGAGGCTGCAGTGAGCCGAGATCATGCCACTGCCCTCCAGCCTGGGTGATAGAGCAAGACCCTGTCTCAAAAACAAAAAAAAAAGCAAGGGTGAGGACAGTGTCCTGGGGAGTTCTCTGTAACCCTGGCTGCATGAGAGTGTTTGAACAGACAGCACCGTCTGGGAAGAAAGGTGGAACCCAAAGAAACATAAGTCACTTTTTTATGGAGTCAAGAGTGGATCTCCCGGTTACTAGGTACACTTCCCTGTATTAGTAATCCCTGAGAAAGAAATACAATAGATGCTTTGTGGAAAAGGCCTGGAGGAATTGAGCTGCCCTCAATGTTGTGTTCTAAATCCTTGCAGGTCAGCAATTTGCTAACCCAAGGAGGGCCTGTATAATCTCCCTCCCCTATTAGTGTATTACCAAGGGCTGCTCTCACAGTCTTCACAGAGGGGCCAGTAACACCCAGAATAGCCCTTCATTTCTCTACTTGGTGGTTTAAGCCTTACATTCCCCTCCCATTAGGTAGCTGAGATGTATATATATATTTTGGCACAAGGGGTTGTCCCATTCCCTTCTTACTTTGAACTGTAGTCTCCCCTCCTTAGCCACCATAAACACAGGTTAAGAAATCTGCTTTTCGGCCGGGCGTGGTGGCTCATGCCTGTAATCCCAGCACTTTGGGAGGCCGAGACGGGCGGATCACTAGGTCAGGAGATCGAGACCATCCTGGATAACACAGTGAAACCCCGTCTCTACTAAAAATACAAAAAAATTAGCCGGGCGTAGTGGCGGGCGCCTGTAGTCCCAGCTACTCGGGAGGCTGAGGCAGAAGAATGGCGTGAACCCGGGAGGCAGAGCTTGCAGTAAGCCGAGATGATGCCACTGCACTCCAGCCTGGGCGACAGAGCGAGACTCCGTCTCAAAAAAAAAAAAAAAAAAAAAAAAGAAATCTGCTTTTCTCCTCTATGCTGGCTGTTAAATAGGCTAGAGAGTGTAGAAAGTGGGTTCTTTTAAGGCCGGGGGTGGTGGCTCATGCCTATAATCCCAGCACTTTGGGAGGCCGAGGCAGGTGGATCACTTGAGCCCAAGAGTTTGAGACCAGCCTGGTCAACACGGTGAAACCCTGTCTCTACTAAAAATACAAAAATTAGCCAGGTGTGATGGCAGGCACCTGTAATCCCAGCTACTTGGGAGGCCGAGGCAGGAGAATCACTTGAACCTGGGAGGCAGAGGTCGCAGTGAGCCAAGATCGCACCATCGCACTACAGCCTGGGTGACAAGAGCAAAAATTCTGTCTCACAAAAAAAAAAAAAAAAAAAAAAAGTTTTTTTTTTGTTTTTCTTTTTTTGAGACAGGGTCTTGGTGGCGCATACCTGTCTTGGTGGCACGCACCTGTCATCCCAGCTACTCAGGAGGCCTGAAGTGCAAGAATCGCTTGAACCCGGGAGGCAGAGGTTGCAGTGAGCAGAGACTGCGCCACAACTACATTCCAGCCTGGGAGACAGAGTGAGACTCCATCCCCCCACCGCCCCCCAAAAAAAGGATCAGAGACAAGTGTAAGCAAATATTAGGAAAATGACACTCCCTATTTTAATCAAAATATGATCTCCTTGTAACATACACAATGTAAAGTAGATAATCTTATCCTTATTTTAGGGAGGAGGAAACTGAGAATCAAGGATGTTAGGTAACTTGCATCAAGTTGGCCAGCTTGATCTCTGAGTAGTGGCAGAACCAGAACCCGATTTGAACCAGCCTCACTCTAAGCCCCAGCCCTTGCCACACCACCACCACCCATCAATTACATATCCACAAAGAACCTCCGTCTGGTCACGTATGAAATGAGGGATTGCTGCCGTCCAGTTGGGAATCCTGGAGTCTGAATGCCCCACCACAGACGGCAGTGATCAGAAAGATATTCTTCTCTGGGGAGGGCTGGGCCCCATCCACTCCCCAGTCAACTCCCCACATTCCAGGGAGATGCAGTGAGCTCTTCTCTGCAGCCAGCTCAGGCTCATGACTGCACTGCCAGGGAAGAGAGTAACATTGCTCCAGACCCATTTGTACCTGACTGCTCTAAAGGTTACCTTGGATCTGGGAAAGTTTGCTGAGTAAATTAATAACATAAGCAAGGACGTAAGAAGAACTTTAACCTACCTCACAGAATTCTATACTAAGAGGCCAAACTGTTTTTGAGAACCAAAGGACAATGCATACAACGAGTCTGGTTATTCCTAGAGAATCCTAACTGGGAGCTGACAATATTGATGGGGCTCCTGCCAAGTGCCGGGGCCTGTGCTCATCTCTTTATGGACTGTTTCATCCTTACATTGGTATTATCCTCATTTTGCAGCCAAGAAAATAAACTAATAGGAAGGAATAAGTAACTTGTCTAAAGTCATGCAGCCAAAATTCTAACCCAATGTCTACAAAGTCCATGACATTGCATTTTTCTTTTTCTTTTTTTAATTAAAAAGAGACCAGGCCGGGCGTGGTGGCTCATGCCTGTAATCCCAGGACTTTGGGAGGCCAAGGTGAGTTGATCACTTGAGGCCAGGAGTTCAAGACCAGCCTGGCCAACACAGTGAAACCCCATCTCTAGTAAAAATACAAAAAATTAACTGGGTATGATAGCGTGCACCTGTAATCCCAGCTACTTGGGAGGCTGAGGCAGGATAATTGCTTGAACCTGGTAGGAGGAGGTTGCAGGGAGCCGAGATTGCGCCCCTGCACTCCAGCCTGGGTGACACAGGGAGACTGTGTCTCAAAAAAAAAAAAAAAAAAAAAGAGACTGGGTCCGGGCTCACTATGTTGCCCAGACTGCTCGTGAACTCTTTGTTGTTGTTGTTGTTGAGACAGAGTTTCCTTTAGCTCTTGTTGCCCAGGCTGAAGTGCAATGGCACGATCTCGGCTCACTGCAACCTCTGCCTCCCAGGTTCAAGCAATTCTCCTCCCTCAGCCTCCCGAGTAGCTGGGATTACAGGCACCCGCCACCACACCTGGCTGGCTAATTTTTGTATTTTTAGTAGAGACAGGTTTCACCATGTCGACCAGGCTGGTCTCGAACTCCTGACCTCAAGTGATCTACCTGCCTCGGCCTCCCAAAGTGCTGGGATTACAGGTGTGAGCCACTGAGCCTGGCTAAGAGAAAGGCCTTGAACTCTTAAATTCCTGGCCTCAAGCAATCCTCCCATCTCAGCCTCCCAAGTGCTGGGATTACAGGAGTGAGCCACTACACCTGGCCAATATTTGTGTTTTTTTTTTTTTTTTTGAGATGGAGTCTCACTCAATAGCCCAGGCTGGAGTACAGTGGCGCGATCTCTGCTCATTGCAGCCTCCATCTCCCGGGTTCAAGCGATTCTCCCACCTTAGCCTCCCGAGTAGCTGGGACTACAGGTGCATGCCACCACGCCTGTCTAGTTTTTGTATTTTTAGTAGAGATGGGGTTTCATGACGTTGGCCTCGAACTCCTGATCTCAGGTGATCTGCCCACCTCAACCTCCCAAAGTGCTGGGATTACAGGCGTGAACCACTATGCCCGGCCCAAAGTTTGTATTTCTTAAAAAGGATTTTACAATGATAATTTTCCTCAAATTCAGAGCCCGCTTTCTACTTAGTATAACTGATGGGGTTTTCTAATGATAATATGAACCGTCCCACTCCCAGGAACACAGGCAGCAGGCCAAGCAGTGGCTCTCAGTGAGGGTGAGTGTGTGGGTTGGGGGAGGGGCAGCCCATGAACACCCCAAGCTACTTCCACACTCCAATGGTCAGGAGAATGCAGAATTGAAAGCAGGAACAGGAGTCTGTGGCCTGGAGCTCACATTTAACCAAATAGTTTTCAGAGCTGGCTCAGAAACAGTTCTCCAAACCACAGCACTCTGCAAAGCCCAGCTGAGATCATCAGATGGCCATCCCAGGACAAGCAAGCAGAACTCCTCGGCCTGGGGTCCTGTTTGCCAAAAGGAATCTGGATGTTGTGAGTGCCTCAAGTCACTGACTCCCCCTCCTCATGACCAGGGGATGATGAGCAGCTGTTTAATAAGCCACCGGTGTCAAACCCGGTGGCCGGGGGCCCAGGAAGAACCCCGACTTGGGAGTGCAGCCCCTTAGGCATCTCAGAGCCAGGGACAGGAAAGAAAGACAGGTTGTGTTGCCAGTGTGACTGAAGCAAATTACCTTCCCTGGGCTGGTTTCCTTTATCTATCTTGTCTATCTTTTCTTACCTCCCTCCCGGGACCTTGAGATGCCTTGGAAATCAGATGGGAAAAGCACTGTCACTCACTGCAGGGGTTGTGGTAATGCTGGTTACTGATGCCACTGGGAACACCAAGCTACAGGAGTCAGTCATTTGGGACAGTGCCAGCAGTCAGAGCACAGGTCACACTTGTTCCAAACCATGGCAGTCGGTGCTTGCTGCCCAAACTATTGTCTGAGTTTATTTTTTAAGAAATAAAAAAAAAAATTATCATAGAATACAAAGAACATAAAATACACCATTGTTACCATTTTTTTTTTCTCTTTTTGAGACAGAGTCTCACTCTGTTGCCCAGGCTGGAGTGCAATGGTGCAATCTCAGCTCACTGCAACCTCTGCCTCCCGGGTTCAAGCAATTCTCCTGCCTCAGCCTCCCAAGTAGATGGGATTACAGGCGCCCACCACTGCACCTGGCTAATTTTTTTTTGTATTTTTAGTAGAGATGGGGTTTCACCATATATGGTCAGGCTGGTCTCAAACTCCTGACCTCAGGTGATCCACCCGCCTCGGCCTCCCAAAGTGCTGGGATTACAGGCATTAGCCAACGCACCCAGCCCATTGTTACCATTTTCACGTGTCCAGTTCAGGAGTATTACATACATTCACATTGTTATGCAACCTATCTCCAGAACTTTTCATCTTGAAAATCTGAGATTCAAAAAATAAAAATAAAAAAATGAAAGAAAAAGAAAAAAAAAATAAAAAGAAGAAGAAGGAAAAAAGAAAAACCGAAATTCCATGCTCATTAAACAGCTCCCTATTTTCCCTCCCCCAGCCCCTGGCAACTAGCACTTTACTTTCTGTTTCTATAAATTTGACTTGAGTATTTTTTTTTTAATCAACAAAACTCTTAACTTGCACTGTCAATATATTCCAAATATTCCAATATATTCCAAAATATTCCACAGCAGGCCTGGGTCATGCTGGATTAGCAAAGACAAGGACTGGCCTAGATGGAGTCACACCCTCCCCAGCCTTGGGTTTGGGTAATTCTCAACACCCTAATTCATTCTCCCCTGGCAGCTGGAGAGACCCGTGGGACAGCCACTCACTGCAGAAGGGGCTGGTGAGAGACATGCTCGTCATCTCCGAGGGCCTGGCTCTGCGCCAGCCACACACTTATCTGCCTGCTCCATCTCCGGAGTTTCTGTCTCTGAGCTTTGGCAATGGAAGTTGTGCTTCCACTATTAGCCAACACCGAGCTGGACTCTGGTAACTGACACAGCCGTGCATCTAGTGTAGCTCGGGTTGAGATGACTTGGCTTTTTTTTTTTTTTTTTTTTTTTTGAGACGGAGTCTCGCTCCGTCACCCAGGCTGGAGTGCAGTGGCGGGATCTCGGCTCACTGCAAGCTCCGCCTCCCGGGTTCACGCCATTCTCCTGCCTCAGCCTCCCGAGTAGCTGGGACTACAGGCGCCCGCCACCACGCCCGGCTAATTTTTTGTATTTTTAGTAGAGACGGGGTTTCACCGTGTTAGCCGGGATGGTCTCGATCTCCTGACCTCGTGATCCGCCCGCCTCGGCCTCCCAAAGTGCTGGGATTACAGGCGTGAGCCACCGCGCCCGGCCGACTTGGCTTTTTAAATTGCCTTCTATGAATATATATTTGTCCTAAGACTGGACTGGCCACATGAAATCAGGTTTTCAAAACGGAACTGCCTGTGAGGATGTGTGAGTGTGGATGTCAGGTGGCAAGGGGCTGAGAAGGAAAGTGCAAGGGGGCCTCCCATCCCACATGACTCACACGTTGCTCACATACACACACCCAGCCCCCCCCCCCCAACCCCAACACACACACGCAGGGCTGTAAACCATATGATTAGGCTCCTGCCTGACTCTCCCAGGCCATCTCTCCCTGTGGTCCAGCCACCATGGGCTGCTTTCTGCTCCAAACACACTCAGGATTGCTGTGTCCCAGGGCCTGCTTGGTGTCCTCTGCGTAGACACTAGACCAGAGCTCACAGAGCCACCTCCCTCTCAATAATCAGCTCTCAGCTCAAATGCCACCTCTTTAAAGAAGACTTCCTTAGAAACGGCCTGATTTCTAGTTTCACCAAAAACTGACCCTGAGATGAGAATTTGGGTATATGGCTTATTTGGAAGGTGATCCTGAAATGAGTGAGAAAAGGAAATCCAAAAAAGCAGGCCAGTAAAGCGTGTGTCACTTAAGGAGCAGGTAACCACTGTAGGCAACTGGAGCTCATTCCCCAGGACTCCTGAGAGCTCTCGCAATGTCCCACCAATGGTTACAGAGGTGTTTGCCTTGGAGTAATTCATTAAGCTGCACGTTTGCTCTGTGTATTTTTCTGTATCTGGATTTTACAATACAAGATTTTTTGTTTTGTGTTTTGTGTTTTTTGAGACAGAGTCTCGCTCCGTCACCCAGGCTGGAGTGCAATGGTACGATCTCGGCTCACTGCAACCTCCGCCTCCCAGGTTCCAGCGATTCTCCTGCCTCAGCCTCCTGAGTAGCTGGGATTACAGGCACCTGCCACCATGCCTGGCTAATTCTGGTATTTTTTTAGTAGAGATGGGGTTTTACCATGTTGGCCAGGCTGGTCTCAAACTCCCAACCCCAGGTGATCCGCCTGTCTTGGCCTCCCAAAGGACTGGGATTACAGGTGAGAGCCACCATGCCTGGCCATTTTTTGTTTTTTGAGAGAGTCTCACTCTGTCACCCAGGCTGGTGTGCAATAGCGTAATCACTAAGTGCAGCCTTGACCTCCCAGGCTCCAATGATCCTCCTACCTCAGCTGATACTACAGGCATATGCCACTGTGAAAGAAAAATAAACCTTGGAGCCCTAAAAGCACTAAGCTAAAGGGAAAAGTCAAGATGGGAACTGCTAGGACAAACCTACCTCCCATTCTGTTGAAAGTCATTTCTCTGCTCAGCTGGGCAGGTGGCTCATGCCTGTAATCCCAGCACTTTGGGAGGCCGAGGCAGGCAGATCACGAGGTAAGGAGATTGAGACCATCCTGGCTAACATGGTGAAACCCCATCTCTACTAAAAATACAAAAAATTAGCCGGGCATGGTGGCAGGTGCCTGTAGTCCCAGCTACTCGGGAAGCTGAGACAGGAGAATGGCGTGAACCCAGGAGGTGGAGCTTGCAGTGAGCGGAGATCATGCCACTGCACTCCAGCCTGGGTGATAGAGCAAGAGTCCGTCTCAAAAAAAAAAAAAAATTAGGAAGTCATTCCTCTGCTTACTGAGATAGATGCATATCTGATTGCCTCCTTTGGAAAGGCTAATCAGAAAGTCAAAAGAATGCAACCCTTTGTCTCTCACCTACCTGTCACCTGGAAACCCTCTCCCTGCTTGAGTTGTCCCACCTTTCCGGACAGAACCAATGTACATATTACATTGATTGACTTCTCATGTCTCCCTAAAATGTATAAAACCAAGCTGTTGGCTGGCGCGGTGGCTCACGCCTGTAATCCTAGCACTTTGAGAGACCGAGGCAGATGGATCACCTGAGGTCAGGAGTTTGAGACCAGCCTGGCCAATGTGGTGAAACCCCGTCTGTACTAAAAATACAAAAATTAGCCGGGCGTGGTGGCGGGCACCTGTTATCACAGCTACTCGGGAGGCTGAGGGAGGAGAATCGCTTGAGCCTGGGGGGCAGAGGCTGCAGTGAGCTGAGATCACACCACTTCATTCCAGCCTGGGTGAAAGAGCGAAACTCCGTCTCAAAAAAAAAAAAAAAGAAAAAACCAAGCTGTGTGGCCGGGCGTGGTGGCTTACGCCTGTAATCCCAGCACTTTGGGAGGCCAAGGCAGGCAGATCACCTGAGGTCAGGAGTTCAAGACCAGCCTGACCAACATGGTGAAAACCCATCTCTACTAAAAAATACAAAAATGAGACGGGTGTGGTGTCATGTGCCTGTAATCCCAGCTACCTGGGAGGCTGAGGCAGGAGGATCGCTTGAATCCAGGAGGCGGAGGTTACAGTGAGCCATGATCATGCTACTACACTCCAGCCTGGATGACAGAGCAAGGCTCCGTCTCAAAAAAATAATAATAATTTAAAAAGTAAAAAATAAAAATAAAACCAAGCTGTGCCCCCACTACCTGGGCACATGTCATCAGGACCTCCTGAGGCTGTCATGAACTGGTCTCAAGTGATCCGCCTGCCTCGGTCTCCCAAAGTGTTGGGATTACAGGTGTGGGCTGCTGCTCCCAGCCAAAAATAAACTTTCTAAATTAACTGAGACCCTTCTTAGATTTTTACGGTTCCCACCACGAAGCCTGGCTAATTTTAAAATTTTCTGTAGAGATGGGGGTGTTGGCGGGTTGGGCCGAGGGAAGAGGGAGGTCTCACTATGTTCCTAGGCCTGGTTGTGAACTCATAGGCTCAAGCAATCCCCCCATCTCTGCCATGCAGCCAATACAAGATTTTTTTAAAGTTCCTCGGAGAGGTGAGGAGGCTGAGGTGCATGTTCACCGACTCCTGTCCCTCTTTGGTTGAAGGTTGCTCGTGGGGACACTTCGGATTGGTCTGGGGTAGAGGAGCAGAGAAAGCCCTCAGGCAGAGACCCAGGACAGCCTCTGCACAAATGGGCACTGTCTGGAGTGTACAGAGGACAGGAGAGGCCCTGAAGGGTGTCCAATGCCACCTCACCAATGTCACACCCACCTTCACCATGACTTTCTCTATCCAAATCCCAGGGGCCTAAGCTTCAGGACCCCTTACTGGCATGCCCCGTCCAGGCCCTAGGAGAGAGGTGTTGTTACTATTATCCTGTGTTTACAGATGAAGAAAATGACACACAGTGAGTGGAAGGAACTTGCCCACGGCTAGAGAGCAGCAGAAGAGGGCAAGTCTTATCCGCTGACAATCCCTTTCCTAATCTTTAAGGAAACAAAGCACAATGATGAAAAATTTAAAGGTTTAAGGTTTTAATAATGCTCCAGGTAGGCCGGGCATGGTGGCTCACACCTGTAATCTTAGCACTTTGGGAGGCTGAGGTGGGTGGATCACAATGTCAGGAGTTCAAGACTAGCCTGGCCAACATGGTGAAATCTCGTCTCTACTAAAAATACAAAATTAGCTGGGTGTGGAGGCACTTGAACCCAGGAGGCAGAATTTTTGGTGAGCCAAGATCACGCCACTGCATTCTAGCCTGGGCAACAGAGCAAGATTCCATCTAAAAATAAATAAATAAATAAATAAATAAATAAATAAATAAATAAATAAATGAATGAATAATAAAATTTTTCCAAGTATAGTCACAAGACAAAAAGGAGTGACTCATGAAAGGAGAGAGGACTTAAATACTCTTAAGTACTGGCTGTGGGTTAGCACAAGAAAGGAGTAAATGCAAGGAACTGGATAGAATGACTGATTTAGTGGCCGGGTGCAGTGGCTCGCGCCTGTAATCCCAGCACTTTGGGAGGCTGAGGCGGGCGCATCACCTGAGATTGGGAGTTTGAGACCAGCCTGACCAACATGGAGAAACCCCGTCTCTACTAAAAATACAAAATTAGCCGGGCATGGCAGGAGAATCACTTGAACCCAGGAGGCGGAAGTTGTGGTGAGCAGAGATCATGCCATTGCACTCCAGCCTGGGCAACAAGAGTGAAACTCTGTCTCAAAAAAAGGAATGACTGATTTAGGTACAGGAGAGCAGTTTGTTAATACACTTGTGCATAACTTTGCTCACCTTCTTTTTCTGTTGCTAAAGTAATTTGTAGGCCAGGTACAGTGGCTCATGCCTGTTATCCCAGCACTTTGGGAGGCCGAGGCAGGTGGATCACTTGCAGTCGGGAGTTCAAGACCAGCCTGGCCAACATAGCGAAACCCCATCTCTACTAAAAATAGAAAAATTAGCCAGGCGTGGTGGAGCACACCTGTCGTCCCAGATACTTGGGAGGCTAAGGCAGGAGGATTGCTTGAACCCAGGAGGGTTCAGTGAACTGAGATCATGCCCCTGTACTCCAGCCTGGGCGACAGAGCCAGACCCTGTCTCAAAAAGAAAAAAAAGTAATTTGTAGAAATTCACATAAAAGTAGCAAAAAGGTATATAAGTTGTCCATAATCCCAGCTCTCAAAGGCCACCATTATGAATGCTTTTGTAAGTTATGAATGAATGCTTTTGTAAGTCATTATGAGTGCTGGGGTTACAGGCTTGAGCCACCCATGCCCGGCCAAAGCAGATCTGTGTTCCCTGTTCTGTCCTTCCCAGTCTACTTACCTTCATTTATCCAATCACAGACCCCAAGACCCACAGACCCCAAGACCCACAGACCACAGTAAAAGGTCCTAAGGTAGAAAAGCCAGACCAGAAGCTGAGCGCTGGGCTTTTCCCCCACCATGTGCCACTGTCCCCTAACATTTGTACCAGCTGCTTCATCATAACCATACAGAAAATGGTACCTGGCCAGCCTCTTCCTAGGTTAGCGTGCAGCTCCCTGACATACTTGCAAGTCTCATTCCAGGTCAGGTCTGTGGTGCTATAAATCCAGCTCTGTCTATCTCTCAACTAGAGGCGTCTGGGTCAGGGGCATTGCCTCTGACTGATGGACACTGAAGTTCTGCAGCTCCCGAAGGTCACAGGAAAGAGGCGTTGAGGGGTGGAGGGTGAATGTTACCCTCTATTTGTAATCTTGGAATGCAGAGACGTAGCCTTTGCTCTTCCCTCTGCCCAGCACTATCTTCCTCCCAAAAGCTGCACCACTTACTCTCACTTCCTTCAGAGATCATCTTGCCAGAGGCCTTTCCTGGCCAATCTCTCTTTTTTTTTTTTTTTTTTTTTTTGAGAGGGAGTTTCACTCTTATTGCCCAGGCTGGAGTGCAATGGCACGATCTCAGCTCACAGCAACCTCTGCCTCCCGGGTTCAAGCCATTCTCCTGCCTCAGCCTCCCGAGTAGCTGGAATTACAGGCATGCGCCACCACGCTTGGCTAATTTTGTATTTTTAGTAGAGATGGGGTTTCTCCATGTTGGTCAGGCTGGTCTCGAACTCCAGACCTCAGGTGATCCGCCCACCTCGGCCTCCCAAAGTGCTGGGATTACAGGCGTGAGCCACTGCACCCGGCGTGGCCAATCTCTATACAGTAACCACCCCACTCACGCACACCCTTGGCCCTTTCCAGAGCCTTACCCTGCTTCTTCTTCACAGCACATTCCACTTGTTTTATATATATATCTGTGTGCATACATAAATATATATATTTGGATTTATTGACTGTACCCTGTACCCTCTTCCCACTGGAAAGAAAGGCCCATAGGGGAGGAACTTTGTTTTGGCTCTTAGCTGTATTATCATTACCCACTAGCACAGCTGCAGTCAATAAATATTTGTTGACGGGATTAATGAAATCTCTCCTCCCACTTATATTACTGTCCTTGCAGTTTCTAATTTCAACTTACAAGTGGACTATGAACTGCAAATTACTACACTGTGCACTGATGCTAATTAAAAAATCATTAGGATGGCCTGGAATGAACTTGGCTTAATTTTAATCTGCCACCTGAATGTGGTCCAGGTTCCAGGTGAAAACAAATACAGGATCCTTCAGGATTTGAGACCTGCAGTACAGTAATTCCAGCAGAGATAAGCAGGGCTCCCGGAATTTGTCCCTTATCCCCTTCACTGCTTAATCACACATTGTTCCCTGCCCAGGCCAACTGGCATTACCTCCAGACTTCAAAATGCCCTTCTGCAGCTCCTGTGCTGGTTAAAGAAAGAAAAAAACACAGTGAAGTCCACTGGAGCACATTTTAGTTTTAATGTGCCAGGTCCCAAAGAGCCAGCTGAGTCGACTTGGCTGCCGAGGAAGGAACGGTGAAAAGTATGTGGACAAAAGAGATCATTTGTTGTTTTTACCCCAAACAATTCTCAAAACATATTTCATATTGAGAATGAGACAGGCACAAATGCACATCTGGACTGTACATATTGTTGAAGGTAAATTCATTTGCTCAGTGAGTCAAGGTTGGCAGGAAGCCAAAATGTTCAGCCCTTGCTTCTGATGCTGAGGCTTCAGCCAGTCATAAAATTATCTAGATCATTTAAGACATAATTACTTCTATCTCAGCCAATTATTTCAGTAGAAAGTTTTTTTCTTTTCCAGAACAATCCTTAATTAATTAAAAGTGCTTATTTCAAAATATTTTATAGAGAATGTGTATGTACAGGCCAGGCACAGTGGCTCACGCCTGTAATCCCAGCACTTTGGGAGGCCGAGGCAGGCGGATCACTTGAGGTCAGGAGTTTGAGACCAGCCTGGCCAACATGGTGAAACCCTGTCTCTACTAAAAATACAAAAATTAGCCAGGCGTGGTGGCACACATCTGTAGTCCCAGCTACTCAGGAGGCTGAGGCAGGAGAATCGCTTGAATCTGGGAGGTGGAGGTTGCAGTGAGCGGAGATCACACCATTGCACTCCAGCCTGGGCGACAGAGTGGGACTCCATCTCAGAAAAAAAAAAAAAGTGTATGTACAGATTAAAGAATAAAGTGAACCTCACGTGACTACACTGGAGACAGGAGCACCTCCAGAGACCCTTGAGCACTCTGCCATTCCATCCCCTTTCCTCTCCAGAGGTAACCAATATCCCCACCTTTGTGTTAACCACCCCCTGGCATTTATTCCTAATTGCTTTTATCTCTCTGTGAATCTCTCAAAAACATTGTTTAGTTTGGAAAAAAACTGAGCAGTAAGCACAGACCTAGCTTTGAAAGGGGAGGGCAATGATGCTCCCACGGCTCCCTGAAGATGACCTGAGTGGAGCTTCCGGGCAGAGCCTGGCTTCCACGTCCCCTTGAGTTCTCCAGAGTCTGTCTGGGGTTGTGTCACAGGGCGTAGTGTGAGTGAGGTGCAGGCTGACCAGCAGAAACATGGTCAAAGGGCATGGGCTGCTATGAATTTTCTGCCTCTAGACTCACCACAGCTGCAGTGGGTGGAAACAGACCTGGAAGAGATCACCAGTGTCCCCGGGCGCTCTGGGAGGCAGGGCCTTTCATCTTCTTCAACCTGGGCACACCTGAGCATTTTTATCTTCATGTACAAGGACCATCGTTGCTCTGTGATCATAACCCTCCGCATGTCTATCTTCTGAGTCACGGCGGCAGTCTGGACCAGCTGCTCGCTATTGCTAGGCCGGAGCACAGCTGTCCTCCCAGGAGCTCCCTTGTCCTCCGCCGGCTTCAGGATCCCTGTATCCCGTGTCTCCTTTTTCCTGGCACTACTTCTTCATCTGGGGGAGCACATCATCTGATAGTTTCCTGAGAAAGGGCGAAAGGATGTAGATAGACAAGCCTACCTGACGCTACTCGGGGGAGGTGGGCTGTGTCCAGGTGCCCCCTATGCACCGCTCCTCTCCGAGGGCTTCCTGGGAGACAGCCCACCAGCTGGGATGTTCTAATTTGGACTCAGTAGAAACTATCAAAGTGGATGCAGTCTCAGAAAACTAGGAAGGTCAGGAATTGAGTCTGTTATTAGCTGATCTCATCTCCGACAAAAAAAAAAAAAAGAGAGAGAGAGAGAATTGAGCCTGTTGTAGTGCACAGCATTCTAGCCTGGGCAACATAGTGACACCCCTCTGTAATTAAAAAAAAAAAAAATTCAGCCTGGAGGAACTTAAATTAACATTGTCCTGGCCTTGGAATGCCTTTAGAAAAACAATAGGAAAACCCCTAGGCCCAGCGGTGCCAGTGGGAAATAAGGGGAGCCTGTCAAGCACTGGTGCACCAAGAATTCAAGGCCTGGGCCCCACAGCTCTCTGGCAGCAGCATTTCAGCCTTATAAGGCAGTGTAAGTTGTTTCTAGGTGCTGAGGAGACTGGAGATATGGGCGGCAGTGAGTCCACATCTCTCCTCCCCTACCTGGCAGTCCCCTCCCCATCCAGGCACTGATAAGATATTGCAGTCCTGACTGTGTCTCCCTGAGATTTAAGAGAGGTATCGGGAGACACACCCTATGTGTTTGGCTTCCATCCCCAGCCCTGCCCATTTGCTGCTGGGAGTAAACCAAAGCAAAAAGCACTCTGAAATGGAACCAAGTCACCATTCTCTCCTATCTGGAATCTGGGTGAGACTCTGTGGTCTTAGTCAAAGCATGCTGACCTGGGGGCAGGGGACTTGGGCCCCACCCCTGGGAGCCACTAGTGCATGCTCCTGGACAGTCATTATCTGGGCCCTGGGTTAGTTCCTCTTCTTTAAACTGGAGGTTGGGTGTCAGGGGTTCTCCTCTCATGGAA
This sequence comes from Homo sapiens, assembly GCF_000001405.40. Lineage (NCBI taxonomy): Eukaryota > Metazoa > Chordata > Mammalia > Primates > Hominidae > Homo > Homo sapiens. The sequence continues at coordinate 224,214,068 of NC_000001.11, forward strand.
CATCAGAATCACCTGGAGAGATTTAACTAGCTGCAGCCGCCCAGGCCCCACCTGGAGACTCTGATATAATTGGCCTGTAGGGAGGCCCAGGTAACATATTTTTGAAAACCCTTAGTTGATTCTTGCGTCATCCAGCTGAGAAACACTCACAGATGACTCTAGGGACTTTTGTAGCATTATGATTCAGTAATTCTGATAAGAAACTGTAGGTAATTTTTTATATTTTTTTAAAGAGTCTCGCTCTGTCACCCAGGCTGGAGTGCAGTGGTGCGATCTCAGCTCACTGCAAACTCTGCCTCCCGGGCTCAAGTGGTTCTCGTGTCTCAGCCACGGAGTAGCTGAGATTACAGGCAAGCGCCACCGTGTGTGGCTAATGTAGGTAATATTTTGCAACATAAAATCCAAGGGTAGGCGAGAAGCAGTGGCTCATGCCTGTAATCCCAGCACCTTGGGAGGCTGAGGTGGGCGAATTGTATGAGCTCAGGATTCGAGACCACCCTGGGCAACACAGTGAAACCCTGTCTCTACTAAAAATACAAAAATTAGCTGGGCATGGTGGTGCACACCTGTAGTCCCAGCTATTTGGGAGGCTGAGGTGAGAGAATCACCTGGCCTGGGCAAGTCAATGCTGCGGTGAGCTGAGATCACACCACTGCACTCCGGCCTGGGTGACAGAGTGAGACCTTGTCTCGGGAAAACAAAACAAAACAAAACAAAAAAAACGGCCGGATGCAGTGGCTCACATCTGTAATCCCAGCGCTTTGGGAGGCCGAGGCAGGCAGATCGCGAGGTCAGGAGTTCGAGACCAGCCTGGCCAACCTGGTGAAACCCTGTCTCTACTAAAAATACAAAAATTAGCCAGGCGTGGTGGCACATACTTATACTCCCAGTTACTCGGGAGGCTGAGGCAGAAGAATCGCTTGAACCCGGGAGGCAGAGGTTGCAGTGAGCCGGGATCGCGCCATTGCACTCCAGGCTGGGCAACAAAGTGGGACTCCGTCTCAAAAAAAAAAAAAAAAAAATCGAAGGGTAACCTCAGATCTCCTGACAGGTAGTCCTGTAAAAGAAATGTCCATTGTTATCTAGTATTCAACAGGACTTAACTACAATGCAAGCACTGGCTTCTAATTATGCCTAAGGAGAGACATTAGCATTCTTTAATGTCCCTAGAGTTAAACATTTGTCCACTTTCTTAAATGTTTTACTCTCTAGACTAGACAGGAGGATGGGTGTTTCCTCACTTCCATCCTATCCATTTAAAAATCACTTCTTTATTTATTTTTGAGACGGAGTCTGGTTCTGTTGCCCAGACTGGAGTGCAGTGGTGTGATCTTGGCTCACTGCAACCTCCGCCTCCCAGGTTCAAGCGATTCTCCTGTCTCAGCCTCCTGAGTAGCTGGCACTACAGGTTCCTGCCACCACGCCCGGCTAATTTTTGTATTTTTAGTAGAGACGGGGTTTCACCATGTTGGCCAGGATGGTCTCCACCTCCTGACCTGGTGATCCACCTGCCCCGGCCTTCCAAAGTGCTGGGATTACAGGTGTGAGCCACCGCGCCTGGCCACTTGTTTATTTTTTATTTATTTATTTTTAAGACAGAGTCTTACTATGTCACCCAGGCTGGAGTGCAGTGGCACGATCTTGGCTCATTGCAACCTCTGCTTCCTGGGATCAAGTGATCCTGATGCCTCAGCCTCCTGCGTAGCTGGTATTACAGGCACATGCCATCATGCCTGGCTAATTTTTTGTATTTTTTGTAGAGATAGGGTTCTGCCATGTTACCCAGGCTGGTCTTGAACAACTGGCCTCAAGTGGTCCGCCTGCCTCGGCCTCCCAAAGTGCTGGGATTACAGACGTGAGCCACAGTGCCCGGCCAAGCTAATGTTTCTAAGTCCACCTGTCTTTTTCCTCTATCCCATGCCACCAGGAACTATTAATAGCAAGGCCTGTGACATTTTGGCTGCTAAAGCACAGAATCTCCAAACCCGTGCCATGCAAGATGCCAAATTAAAGTGGATACAAATAATTTCATTCTTCACAAATGAATCTAGAGTAGACTATAAACTGAGACTGGCAATAAAGGATTTAAGAATCTTTCATTGAGATTGTTACTTCAATGTTAGTTCTTAGTGGGCTGAGAAAAATAAAGCAATTGTTTTTTGAGAAAGTGTCTTGCTCTGTGGCTGGGTGCGGTGGCTCATGCCTGTAATCTCAGTACTTTGGAAGGCCAAGGCAGGTGGATCACTTGAGGTCAGGAGTCTGAGACCAGCCTGGCCAACTGGTGAAACTCTGTCTTTACCAAAAATATAAAAAATTAGCTGGGAGTGGTGGCATGTGCCTGTAATCCCAGCTACTTGGGAAGGTGAGGCAGAAGAATTGCCTGAAACCGGGAGGCAGAGTTTGCAGTGAGCCGAGATTACACCACTGCACTCCAGCCTGGGCGATGGCGCGAGACTCTATCTCAAAAAAAAATACAAAACAAACAAAAAAGGAAAGTGTCTTGCTCTGTTGCCCAGGCCTGAGTGCAGTGACAGGATCTTGGGTTACTGCAACCTGAACCTGCCAGGCTCAAGCAATCCTTCCACCTCAGCCTCCTGAGTAGCTGGGACTATCGGCACATGCCACGATGCCTGATTAATTTTATTTTTTTGTACAGATGCGGGTCTCACTATGTTCTTCAGGCTGGTCTCAAACTCCTGGACTCAAGTGATCCTCCTGCTTTGGCTCCTAAAGTGCTGGGATTAGAGGCATGAGCTACTGCACCTGGCCAAATGAAGCAATTTTTAAAAATCAGACATGAAGGCCAGGCGCGGTGCGTCACACCTCTAATCCCAGCACTTTGGGAGGCCGAGGCAGGCGGATCACAAGGCCAGGAGATTGAGACCATCCTGGCTAACACGGTGAAACCCTGTCTCTACTAAAAATACTAAAAATTAGCTGGGCGTGGTGGCGGGCGCCTGTGGTCCCAGCTACTCAGGAGGCTGAGGCAGGAGAATGGCGTGAACTTGGAAGGCGGAGCTTGCAGTGAGGTGAGATCGCACCACTGCACTCCATCCTGGGTGACAGAGTGAGACTCTGTCTCAAAAAAATAATAAAATAAAATAAATAAAAAATCAGACATGACATAGGTCCTCAAAAAGCGTTGTTGAATTAATTTGCTTTTCATCTCCTTTTATTCATTTTTCTTTATTTTTCTCCACCTCCTGTTTTAATTTTTTTTAGAAACTGGGCCTCACTCTGTCATGTAGGTTGGAGTGCAGTGGCACAATCACAACTCACTGCAACCTTGATCTCCTGGGCTCAAGCAATCCTCTTGCCTCAGCCTCCCGAGTAGCTGGGATACCACCATACTGGCTAATTCTTTTTCTTTTTCTTTTCTTTTTAAAATTTTTTAAATTTAAATTTAAATTTTATTTTACGTATTTATTTTTTTTGAGGCAGAGTCTCGCTCTGTTGACCAGGCTGGAGTGCAGTGGCACAACCTCAGCTCACTGCAACCTCTGCCTCCTGGGTTCAAGTGATTCTCCTGCCTCAGCCTTCTGAGTAGCTGTGATTACAGGTGCATGCCACCATGCCCAGCTAATTTTTGTATTTTTAGTAGAGACAGGGTTTTACCATGTTGGTCAGGCTGGTCTCAAACTCCTGACCTCAAGTGATCCGCCCGCCTCAGCCTCCGAAAGTGCTGGGATTACAGGTGTGAGCCACTGCACCCGGCTTCTTTTTTTTTTCTTTTTCTTTTTTTAGAGATGGGGTCTTGCTATGTTGCCCAAGCTAGTCTTGAACTCCTGGCCTCAAGGGATCTTCCCCCCTTGGCCTTCCAAAGTGCTGGGATTACAGGCTGAGCCATGGCCCCTGGCCCTGATCCACTTTTCTAATATATGGCTTTTTAATTTGAAAAACTGATTTCCTTATACACTGTGAAACAGCATTTCTATAGCTCCCTGGACTATGCTAGTTCCCTCACCCAATGTCTCCACTTCTAAAGTCCTCAGTTACTGTGAAACTCATTTATCTTTCTGCAACATTAATTTTGAGAAAGTTGAAGTGAGCAAAACTTCCTGGAATCTGAAAAGAAGATCCATTGTCCCCGTACCAGGCTCACAATCAGCCAAAGGGGGAAGTAGATTTTCCTGTCTGTACAAAAGAAGGTAATTAGAATTTTGGTTGTAATAAATTATCTATAGTCTCCTCTTTGAAGCTGTTTTAGAGAATGTTCCTGTAGGCCAGGGTCTTAGAAAGTTTCTTTTGAACGCCTTGACCATATTCAGGGCTCCTGGGCCCCTCATCATGAGAGAAGTATTGCTAAAACGGCTTCTGACCAGCAGTAACTAAATACCAGAGGAAGCCCCACCTCCAAAGCCTTATGGCTTGTCTGCAGACAGCCATGAAATCTTAGTTTGGTGGAAATGACATCAGATCTCTTCACTGTTAACTGTGCTTTGTGCCATAGAATAAAGTGATTCAGTTGTTCAATTATTATAAAAAGTCACTTGCTGGCCAGGCGCGGTGCCTCACGCCTGTAATCCCAGCACTTTGGTAGGCCGAGGAGGGTAGATCACCTGAGGTCAGGAGTTCAAGACCAGCCTGGTCAACATGGTGAAACGCCATCTCTACTAAAAATACAAAAATTAGCCGGGCGTGGCAGTGCATGCCTGTAGTCCCACCTCCTCAGGAGACTGAGGCAGGAGAATTGCTGGAACCCGGGAGGCGAAGACTGCAGTGAGCCGAGATCGCGCCACTGCCCTCCAGCCTGGGCGACAGAGCGAGACTCTCAAAAAAAAAAAAAAAAGTAACTTGGTGCTTATTATGTGTCAAGTGCTATAGATGCCAAAATGAGGAGAGGACATGCTATTGTCAATTTTAGCCTAGCACTTAAATAGCAGATCTAGTATCAGTGCTGGTCAGTCCAGGTCAGCATAGAAGGCAGTCTGAGCTGAAAGCAGATGGAGGAGGGAAAGCTGCTCAGGAAATGGTATTGAAATCCCAAAGCAGTCCCTATGGGTGGTAGGGAGGAGACATTCTAGGAAGGGGGAACATCATGAGCACAAACTCAGAGGTGTGATAGAACATAGCACTGGAATGGAATGGCAATCAATCCAATCAAGGAAAGAGGAGGGGCAGGTAGCAAAGGTGGGTTGATGTCAGATTACAAAGTCCATGTGTAATTAGACTAATGAATTCATGCCCCTGAAGAATATTCCACAGAGAAGTGACATGATTTATTTTGTTTTATTTTTTTGAGACAGAGGCTGGAGTGCAATGGCGCAATCTCAGCTCACTGCAACCTCTGCCTCTCAGGTTCGAGTGATTCTTGTGCCTCAGCCTCCCAAATAGCTGGGATTCAGGCGTGCACCGACATGCCCAGCTAATTTTTTGTATTTTTAGTAGATGGGATTTCGCCATGTTGGCTAGGCTGGATTAATTTGCATTTTGGAAAGCAACTCTGGTTTCAGTGTACAAGAGATTTGAACAGGAGATTAACTAGGAAGCTAAAGTAATAGTTATGAAAGGTGATGAGAGCCTGAAATTAGGTCAGTGTCTATGAGAACAAAGGGGATGGATTTCAGAAACGTTTCTAAATCATAAATGACTGAACCAGAAGAACTGAAGCTGATGTCAGATTTCTCGCTTGGGTGATGAGGAACAAGGCAGGAAGAGCAGCAATGAGGATAGAGGTGGAAGGGCAGCTCAGGAATTTCCCTGGAGTTTTCCCATCTTGAGACTTCGGTCTTGGAAGACAGAATGGCTGTGACATAATGTGGACTTTTTACTTCCACCTCTAGGAAAGCGTTCTTTGGAACACCTTTGCTGAGTCTCTCTCTCCTCCGCTCAAGGGTAAGGCTTACTTGGTAGTGGGGCCAGATTGCACAGTGTCAACATGCTTTCTAAGGAAAATCCCAGAAGGCGGCATTCGTCCAGATAACCTTGCTGGCTGCATACATATTTGAAGCTTATGTGCACAAATGGAGTTCTTCCAGAAAGAGAGAATGGCATTTGTGGAGGGTGAATCAATTAATTCAGCTACTGCTTTTTCCAACCTCAGTTTCTCACCGTAAACAGACAGAACAGCATGAGCAAAGTATCTGGTGTTTTAGGGTAAAAAGAGGGAGGAAAGGGCGGCTAACTTATCCACCAGGCATACTAAAGTATATGTGGTTCTTTACTTTTAAGCAACCCACATATTCAACATTGATATCCCTATTGTTTTTTATTTTCATAATATGTATTTATAGCACTTCTTCAGAATCAGATGAAGAATCATGATATACAGTTTTTTTTTTTTTCCTAAGGCGGACAGAGTCTCACTCTGTCGCCCAGGCTGGAGTGAAGTGGTGCGATCTCGGCTCACTGCAACCTCCGCCTCCCGGGTTCACGCCATTCTCCTGCCTTGGCCTCCCAAGTAGTTGGGACTACAGGTGCCCGACACCACGCCTGGCTAATTTTTGTATTTTTAGTGGAGACGGGGTTTCACCATGTTAGCCAGGATGGTCTCAATCTCCTGACCTCGTGATCTGCCCGCCTCAGCCTCCCAAAGTGCTGGGATTACAGGCATGAGCCACCGTGCCTGGCTGTATATACAAATTTTTACCTTAAGTTTGTTAACTTTTTTTTTTTTTTTTTTTGAGACAGAGTTTTGCTCTGTTGCCCAGGGTGGAGTGCAGTGGCATGATCTTGGCTCATGGCAACCTCTGCCTCCCAGGTTCAAGCCATTCTCCTGCCTCAGTCTCCCTAGTAGCTGGGGTTACAGGCACATGTCACCACTCCTGGCTGATTTTTGTATTTTTAGTAGAGACAGGGTCTTGCCATGTTGCCCAGGTTGGTCTCCAACTCCTGAGCTCAAGCAATCCTCCTTCCTCAGCCTCCCAAAGTGCTGGGATTACAGGCATGTGCCACCGAGCCTGGCTAACTTTGTTAACTTTTTAACATAAGTAAACATACTTGCAGAAAAGAGCCCAGATAGGCATATAGCATGATGGATCTTCACAAAGGAAACATGACCATGTAAGCATCACCCGGATCAAGGAGGGCATGGTTGGCACACCAGGGGCAGCCCTAATGCATGCTCCCTGCCAGCCACCACCCCCCCTAAGTAGCAGCCTACTAATGGAATCAATTGGCTTTGTCTTTGAACTTTATATATATTAATCAGTAGAATCACACAAGAACTGGCTTCTTTCAATCAACATCTATGAGAGTCACCCATGTTGTCGTAGCCAGTTTGTCATTGCTGGGTCGTACTACGTTCTAGTGTGAGAAAACACCACATTTATCTGTTCTGCTGATGAACATTTGGTTTGTTTCTAGTTTTGATCTATTATGAATTATGCTGCTATTTTGGTGAACATATGTATGCATATTCATTTATATGTGTGTAGGAGTGGAACGTTGAGCTATTCACATGTCTCTCTCTTTTTTTTTTTTTTGAGACGGAGTCTCGCTGTGTTGCCCAGGCTGGAGTGCAGTGGCACCATCTCGGCTCACTGCAACTTCCACCTCCCAAGTTCAAGTGATTCTCCTGCCTCAGCCTCCCGAGTAGCTGGGATTACAGATGCGCAACACCACACCCGGCTAATTTTTGTACTTTTAGTAGAGACGAGGTTTCACCATGTTGGTCAGGCTGGTCTCAAACTCCTGACCTTGTGATCCGCCCACATCAGCCTCCCAAAGTGCTGGGATTTCAGGTGTGAGCCACTGCACCTGGCCAGCCACCGCGCCCGGCCGACATGTCTCTTTATCGTTTTTATTTTTTTGGGTCTTGCTTTGTCACCCAGGCTGGAGTGCAGTGGCACAAACATGGCTCACTGCAGCCTCAACCTTCTGTGCTCAAGTGATCCTCCCACCTCAGCCTCCCAAGTAGCTGGGACTACAGGCAGTCACAACCACACCCAGCTAATTTTTGCATTTTTTGTAGAAACGGGGTTTTTTCACCATGTTGCCCAGGCTAGTCTGGAATTCCTGAGCTCACGTGATCCACCTGCCTTGGCTCCCAAAGTGTTGGGATTACAGGCATGAGCCACTGCACCCAGGTCTTTATCATTTTTCATATGACAAAATCAAACTTCTTTTTATTTTTGAGACAGAGTTTCGCTATTGTTGCCCAGGCTAGAGTGCAATGGCATGATCTCAGCTCACAGCAACCTCTGCCTCCTGGGTTCAAGCAATCCTTCTGCCTCAGCCTCCTGAGTAGCTGGGATTACAGGCACACACCACCATGCTTGGCTAATTTTTGTATTTGTAGTAGGTATGGGGATTCATGTTGACCAGGCTAGTCTCAAACTCCTGACCTCAGGTGATTTGCCTGCCTCGGCCTCCCAAAGCATTGGGATTACAGGCATGAGCCACTGTGTCTGGTTCATATGACAAAGTCAAACTTCTATTACCTGGTGAGCAAACATTAAAAATTCTCACCTGGAGGAGCTGTGCCCCAGCAGTCTAATTTGGACAAACATGTTGTTGAAGAACAGTTCATTCACTTCACTTTATTCAATGCTTCCTGCATGCCAGAATCCGGGCTGGGTGCTACAGAGACACTGACTGACAGAATCCTTGCCCTTGGCCAGGCACAGGTGCTCACGCCTGTAATCCCAGCACTTTGAGAGGCTGAGGTGGGTGGATCACTTAAGTCCAGGAGTTCAAGATCTGCCTGGTCAACATGGTGAAACCTCGTCTCTACTAAAAATACAAAAATCAGCCGGGTGTGGTGGCACGCGGCTGCAATCCTAGCTACTCGGGAGGCTGAGGCAGGAGAATCCCTTGAACCTGGGAGGCAGAGGTTGCAGTGTGCCGAGATCATGCCACTACACTCCAGCCTGGGCAACAGAGGGAGACTCCGTCACCAAAAAAAAAGAAAGAAAAAGAAAAACAAATGCTGATAATAGTGATAAGCGTAAGTCTCATAATCCAAAGCAAAAGTGATAAGGTTAGAGTCTGAATCATGAGCAATACCATCTCACCCAAATCTATTTGGCTTCTCAGCTTTGGAAGGTGAGTAGTGCAATTTCAAATAGTGAGGGATTTGTCCAAAAAATGTATCCAAATCTGTTCAGTTCCTGAGTTCAAACAGTGAGATCTAGAATAGTGACAGATACAAAGTATAGAATACTATACTTTTACCTAAGTTATATCTACTTATACTTTTTAGGGTAATAAGGCATTTTACAACATTTTTACCTTTTGGAAATAAGATCTTCCAGTAAATACTACTTGGACATGTTTTCAGCAATAACCTACATACAAACATGAGAGACCACCTGCTTCTTCCCACTGACACCAGCCCCTCCCTTATCCAGGCCTTTGTTCTCTGCTCAGGTCATTTACCTCCTTCCTTCATCTTCTTTGCCTTCAGGATTCCGCTGACACATTGCATTCTTGGGAGAACCTTCCAATTCCAATTATGGACTAGCTGCTCCTACCCTGTGCTCTTCGCTTGGTGACTATTCTTATCCCTTTTCAGCCCTTCTCACACTGTTTTGTGACTGTCTCTTTATCTGTATTAAGTTGGATATGAATTTGGCTCCTTTCACACAGACCAAAATATAAATAGCTTAAGCAATATAAAGATCACACACACAAGTGAGGCAAATGACCATCTGAGGGTTGAGGAAACTCTGCTGCAAGGGTTGCCCACGATCCTGGTTTCTTGTGTTTTATTACTTTGTCATTCCCTAGGATGTTGTCTCCATTTACAAGGCCAAAACAGGTTCATCATCAGCTCATCACTCTCTAGTCCCGGGAAGGGCAGCATGGAGTTAAAATGACAGGTAGCACCTTCTTTTTTAAACAAGTTATGACTTTTCAAGGACATAGCCAGGGTCTTTGCTTCTGGGAGAAGGTGTGTTGAGTTCAATGTAGGCTGCCCTGAGTTAATGATGGGTTAATGCAACCCAAGTCACTTCCTTATAAGGATGTAACCAGAAGCTGTTCCCATCGCTTCTGTTTATATTATACTAGCCAGATGTTTGTTAGTCACTTTCCTGGCAGCAAGAGCCCTTCTTACTAAAAGGTAGAAGAAAAGAATGGACATTATAGGGCGATAAGCTCTCTGCCACACACACCACACTGGGCATTAAGTTCTGAGTTTGTTCACCATTATGTTAGTAATGCTCAGTACAAAGTGTTTAATGAAATGGCTAAATCTTTGACAGTGCTAGAACAGAGGACATAATTCCGGGAGTTTCTGAACAGAGGACTGGATCTTTTTCACAAGAGAAAGAAAAGTTAGACCGCTGTAGACCAGAATTCAGACTGTTCCGCGAGTCCCCTTGAACAGGCTCTGAACCTTGTTCTTTTTGATGATATGGGGATAACTCTATTTGATCCCTAGTATGAGTTGGGAGCGTTAAGATAACATTTGGCAGTGTGTAGTACACAGATCATGCTGAAAAATATGATCTTCCCTTCCATTTGCAGAAGTGCTGGCAACATCCACTGTCACACTACCTGTCGCAGTATCTGCCTGCTGTTCAACATGTACCATACCTGACTGGCAAAGCCAACGAACACGCAGCCAGTCTGCTCTCTTATGCGTTCTACATTTTATGTCGAGGTTAAGCTAAACTACCAGCAAGTTGGATACTTAGACCTAACATTTAATAGTCAAGAAGATTTTTGCTTTTTCTCATAACCCACATCTATGATATACCTGACTGTGTTTCTCAGGATTGGGTGGATGTCAAGCAGAGTTGAATCTGCTCCTCAAATTTAAGACCTTCTGGTGCATATTCCAATTTTCCCTTCATTCTTTTTTTTTTTTTTTTGAGACAGAGTCTCACTCTGTCACCAGGTTGGAGTGCAGTGGCACGATCTCGGCTCACTGCAACCTCTGCCTCCTGAGTTCAAGCAATTCTCTTGCCTCAGCCTCCCGAGTAGCTGGGACTACAGGCCATGCCACCACACCCAGCTAATTTTTGTATTTTTAGTAGAGACGGGGTTTCACCATATTGATCAGGATGGTCTTGATCTCTTGACCTCGTGATCCGCCCGCCTTGGCTTCCCAAAATGTTGGAATTACAGGCGTGAGCCACCGCACCCGGCTTCCCTTCATTCTTAATCACCTACCTTTAGTATGTGATCCTGATTTGCCTTTTTTTTTCTTTTTTGGTGTTCCCTCTTCTGGTGTCCTAAGGTACCCTCTTCTTCATGCCCTTTCACTGGGCATGGTCATACTCTGCTGAGATGTCTGAATCCTTCTGCGAACTCCTCAGAAAAACGACTGTGTTGGCTGGGCACAGTGACTCACGCCTGTAATCCCAGCACTTTGGGAGGCCAAGGTGGAAGGATAACAAGGTCAGGAGATCGAGACCATCCTGGCTAACACGGTGAAACCCCGTCTCTACTAAAAATACAAAAAATTAGCCGGGCGTGGTGGCAGGCACCTGTAGTCCCAGCTACTTGGGAGGCTGAGGCAGGAGAATGGCAGGAACCCGGGAGGTGGAGGTTGCAGTGAGCCGAGATTGCACCACTGCACTCCAGCCTGGGCAACACAGCAAGACTCCGTCTCAAAAAAAGAAAAAAAAAAAGACTGTTTTATTGACCTTTGTAACCCTGATTTGCTTTTAGTAACATTTTTTCACCACATTCTTTTTGTAAATTTTTTTTTTTTTTGAGACAGAGTCTCACTCTGTTGCCTAGGCTGGAGTGCAGTGGTGCGATCTTGGCTCACTGCAACCTCCGCCTCCGGGTTCATGCGATTCTCCTGCCTCAGCTTCCTGAGTAGCTGGGATTACAGGTGCCTGCCACCACGCCCGGCTAATTTTCATATTTTTAGTAGAGACGGGGTTTCACCATGTTGGCCAGGTTGGTCAAGAACTCCCGACCTCAGGCGATCTGCCCGCCTTGGCCTAGTGCTGGGATTACAGGCATAAGCCACCACGCCTGGCCTTGTAACATTTTTTTTTCTTTTTGTAGAGATGTGGGGGGTCTCACTATGTTGCCCAGGCTGCTCTCGAACTCCTGAACTCAAGTGATCCTCCCACTTAGGCCTCCCAAACATGCTAGGATTACAGGCATGTGCCACTGTGACTGGTCCACATTCTTAAAAGTAGCCTAAAAATTTTTGTAGAATGAGGTGAAGTAAAAATTTAAGAAGAAAGAAAAGTAGGTAACCCGACCCATCTATATATAACTTCCGGATATATTGTGAGCAACACTGTAAATTATGAGTTGAACACAACAAAAATCAAGCCCTTCACAAAGTATTGCCTAGGGACTCATCAAACATATAGAGGCCAAAGGAGAGTCAAATCTGGGACAGTTTGAATATCATAATGATAATAATGGATAATATATTAAAAATAGTAATACTTGACTTTGATGAGGAATGGACTTTATAGAGTTTCAAAGTAACTTCCCATAAAATACACATACATTACAAAGTGAAAAAAAAAGAGTAAAGAGTAACTTTGTAGTGTGAGAAACCTGGAAGAACTACCTCAAGTGATCACAGTGAACATCATGAGTAACAGGACAAACTGAAATCGCATGCCACATGACAAGCGCACAGTGTCACTTTGTAATCTGCCAAAGATGCATAACTTGAGTCTAATCACAAGGAAAACATCAGACACATCCACACTCAAGGAATTTTACAAAGTAACTGGCCTGAAACCTTCACAAGTGTCAAAAGTCAAACCTGAAGAAATGTTCCACGCTTAAAAGAGATTAAAGAATGTAGCAACTAACTGCAGTGGCCTCCTTTTAAAGCAGTGGTCCCCAACCTTTTAGGCTCAGGCACTGGTTTCGTGGAAGATAATTTTTCCACAGACAGGGTCAGGGGAGGTGGTTTCAGGAAGAAACTGTTCCACCTCAGATCATCAGGCATCAGATTCTCATAAGGAGGGTACAACCTAGGTCCCTCAAGTGCACAGTTCACAACAGGGTTCACGCTTCTATGAAAGTCTAATGCTGCCACTGATCTAACAGGAGGTGGAGCTAAGGCAGTAATGCTCGCTCGCCCACCACTAACCTCCCACTGTGCGTCCTGGTTCCTAACAGGAGACAGATAGGTACCTGTCTCCAACCTGGGGGTTAGGGACCTGTTTTAAAGGACATTATCAGGACAACTAGAGGAACGTGAATGGAGGAGGATTAGATGGCAGTGATGTATCAATGTATTAATTCCCTGACTTTGATGGTGGGTTATGTAGGAGAATATCTTCAAGTGTAGAAAATACACATGACAGTATTTGGGAGTGATAGGGCATCAGGTTGGCACTTATTCCTAGATGGTTGTGGAAGGCGGGGGAGGAGATCTCTGTAACTTTTCTGTATAGTCAAAATAGTTCAAAGTAAAAGTTTTATTTGAAAAATGTAACAGTCATTTTATTTCAGCAGTTTAAAAATTGTCCTTTTTCTTAAAGAGGAAGAAGGCATTTTCACACAAGGCTGGCCAGATGGGAAGAATCTTCAGCTTCAGCTTCAGCTTGGCCTCATTCATTTGAAAATAAAATGTTTACATGAGGCCGCGCCTGTGTCCAGCTGAAAGTGGGTCCTTCAGAGCGTGTGGGGGATTCTCTGCCGGCTTGATGGGCTAGCTCCTCTAAGCCGGCTGCTGGAGACATCACCGGCTGAGGGACTCCTGCAAACGTTCATACATGATTTGATCCTGAAAGGAGGGAGAACACAGAATACAGAGACCGTCACTGCTTGTTTTGGGCTGAATGGTGCCCCCCAAAATTCACATGCTGCAGTCCGCACCCGCAGGACCTCAGAATGTGATTGTAACTGGAGAGAGGGTCTTTATAGAGGAGACTGGATTAAAATGAGGTCATACAGGTAGACTCTTATCCAATATGACTGCTCTCCTTACAAAAAGAGGGGATTAGGGCACAGGAGGGAAGAGCATGTGCGCAGAGGGAAAAGCACATGCAGGCGCTGGGAGAAGACAGCCATCAGTGAGGACAAAGGCTCCAGAAGAACCAATCCTGCCCAACACTCTCCAGAACTGTGAGAAAATAAATTTTCCACTTTTTAAGCCACCCAGTCTGTGGTACTTTGTCATAGTAGCTCCTGCTGACTAACTTACTGTTGAAGAGAGGTGATATTTTACCTTCCTGCATCTAAATCCTAATCTAAATCCTACACATGCTCCTTTCCACAGGGGACTCCATGACATTCACAATCGTTGACTCAAGTTTTCCTAAAAAATCAGGTCAAGAGTCTTATGTCTATCTAATTAGTGAAGAAAGCACAATTCTAAACTACACTGAATCCAGATGGAAAGGAGGCAAAGGCAGAAGCTTCTTTTTTTGTTTTTTGAAACGGAGTCTCACTCTGTCGCCCAGGCTGGAATGCAGCGGTGCAATCTCGGCTCACTGCAATCTCTGCCTCCTGGGTTCAAGGGATTCCCCTGCCTCGGCCTCCTGAGTAGCTGGAACTACAGGTGCGCACCACTACGCCCGGCAAATTTTTTGCATTTTAGTAGAGATGGGGTTTCACCATGTTGGCCAGGATGGTCTCAAACTCCTGACCTCATGATCCACCCGCCTCGGCCTCTCAAAGTGCTGGGATTACAGGTGTGAGCCACTGCGCCAGGCCGGGAAAGTAGAAGCTTCTTACACTACATTAACATTCATAAGAAACTGCCAGAATGGGCCGGGCGCGGTGGCTCACACCTGTAATCCCAGCACTTTGGGAGGCTGAGATGGGTGGATCACGAGGTCAGGAGATCGAGACCATCCTGGCTAACATGGTGAAACCCTGTCTCTACAAAAATACAAAAAAATTAGCTGGGCATGGTGGCGGGCGCCTGTAGTCCCAGCTACTCGGGAGGCTGAGGCAGGAGAATGGTGTGAACCTGGGAGGCGGAGCTTGCAGTGAGCCGAGATCGCGCCATTGCGACAGAGCGAGACTCCGTCTCAAAAAAAAAAAAAAAAAAAAAAGAAATTGCCAGAATGTTTTCCAGTGTGGTTGTATCTACATTTTCAGCAACAATGTATAAGAGTTCCAGGCCAGGCGTGGTGGCTCAGGCCTGTAACCCAGCACTTTGGGAGGCTGAGGCGGGCCAATCACCTGAGGTTGGGAGTTGGAGACCAGGCTGACCAACATGGAGAAACCCTGTCTCTACTAAAAATACAAAAAATTAGCCGGGTGTGGTGGCACATGCCTGTAATCCCAGCTACTCGGGAGGCTGAAGCAGGAGAATAGCTTGAACTCAGGAGGCAGAGGTTGTGGTGAGCTGCGATTGTGCCATTGCATTCCAGCCTGGGCAACAAGAGTGAAACTCTGTCTCAAAAAAATAAATAAATAAATAAATAAATAAAAAGAGTTCCAGCTGTTTCATATCCTTGCCACCATTTAGTGTTGCCAATATTTTAAATTTTAGTCATTGTGGTAGGTGTGTAGTAGAATCTCACTGTGGTCAAATTAAAAAAAAATTTTTTTTTTTGAGACGGAGTCTCAATCTGTCGCCCAGGCTGGAGTGCAGTGGTGCAATCTTGGCTCACTGCAACCTCTGCCTCCCAGGTTCAAGCGATTCTTCTGCTTCAGCCTCCTGAGTAGCTGGGACTACAGGTGCGCAGTAGCTGGGACTACAGGTGCGCGCCCAGCTAATTTTTGTATTTTTAGTAGAGATGAGATTTCACTATATTGGCCAGGCTGGTCTTGAACTCCTGACTTCGTGATCTGCCCGCCTCAGCCTCCCAAAGTGCTGGGATTACAGAAGTGAGCCACCGCGTCTGGCAAATTAACATTTTAAATGTTGGGTGGCAATTCCACTCCTGTGTATTCATCCCAAAGAAATACTTGAAGTGTGTTTTTTCTTCTGTGTTTATTTGTTTGTTTTTGAGACAAGGTTTCGTTCTGTAACCGAGGCTGGAGTACAATGGTGTGATCATGGCTCAGTGTAGCCTCAACCTCCTGGGCTCAAGTAATCCTTCTGCCTCGGTCTCCTAAGTAGCTGGGACTACAGGTGCATGACACCATGCCTGGCTAAGTTTTAATTTTTTTGTAGAGACAGGGTCTCACCATGTTGCCCAGGCTGATCTTGAACTCCTGGGCTCAAGCCATTCTCCCACCTCTGCCTCCTGAGTAGCTGAGATAACAGGCATAAGCCCCTGTGCCCAGCTCCAGAGTGATTTTTTTTTAACCCTTCTCCCACCTATGGTGAAGATGTTTTTATTTCCCTGAAATGTATGGGTAAGTCCCTATGGCTTAGTTTGGGTACAGTCTAGCTCCAAGAAATACAAAGCCATTTATCAAAAAGCGTAGAGTAGGTCAAATAATACTTGAATCAGATGATTAAAATTCTGAGATTGTGGGCTGGGCGCAGTGGCTCACGCCTGTAATCCCAGCACTTTGGGAGGCCAAGGCGGGTGGATCACGAGGTCAAGAGTTTGAGACCAGCCTCACCAATATGGTGAAACCCTGTCTCTACTAAAAATACAAAAAATTAGCCAGGCATGGTGGTGCGCACCTATAGTCCCAGCTACTCAGGAGGCTGAGACAGAAGAATCGCTTGAACCCAGGAGGCAGAGGTTGCAGTGAGCCAAGATCATGCCACTACACTCCAGACTGGGTGACAGAGCGAGACTCTGTCTCAAAAAAATAAAAAAAAAATCTGAGATTGTGGAGGCAGAAGAGGTCATTCTCTTTCTGAATAAAGTTGTTAGAGAATCTAGTTAGGAAAACTGTGTTCTAGTCCCTAAGAAACATATAAAATTAAAATCTCTCAAGAACATTCTCACAAAGGCAATTATTTTGCTTGTTTTCAGATCAAAATGAACCATGTAATTTCTTTTTAGGAAGTAGAAGTAGTATACAAAACAATCTGTAAAAGAGTTTAATTCAGCCGGGCGCGGTGGCTCACGCCTGTAATCCCAGCACTTTGGGAGGCAGAGACGGGCGGATCACGAGGTCAGGAGATCGAGACCATCCTGGCTAACATGGTGAAACCCCGTCTCTACTAAAAATGCAAAAAATTAGCCGGGGATGGTGGCGGGCACCTGTAGTCCCAGCTACTTGGGAGGCTGAGGCAGGAGAATGGTGTGAACCCGGGAGGCAGAGCTTGCAGTGAGCAGAGATCGCACCACTGCACTCCAGCATGGACGACAGAGCAAGACTCCGTCTCAAAAAAAAAAAAAAAGAGTTTAATTCATGAGGTCATATCTACTGGTCTAAAATTCTAGTTTCCTTTCTCTATGCATTTAATGGCATTGCTTACCTTTTTTGATATAGATGATCTTACTTTCTTGAAAGCTTCTTCAAAATGCTTATGACTAACCTTGAGTTCACCTATGGAGTAAATGCACAAATATACACATCTCAGTATCGTATGGTAACTGACTTAGAACTTAACTTCCTTTGAAAGACTTCAAAACTTTCAAGGGGTCCACTAAAGAGATCAGTGATGAGATGGGCTCTGTTCTTTTTCAGAACAGTATTCTAGCCAGATATATTCTGCTCATCAGATTTTAATCCAAAACCACCCAAAGAGATCTGCCACTCATAAGTTGGTAACTTTTTGTAGGCCTCTTTGCATTGTTTAACTTAATGGTGATGCCTATGAACAAGAGCCAGAATTATTCAGATAATTCAAATAAATGTAACTGGAATAGAAAGTAGGATTCCATAGTATTAATATTTAAGAGTATGCAACACACAATGAGATCTTATGGAGCCATAATATCATAGAATATTTTATATATAATATATCTCAGCACTGGTTTAGAAGGGAGCTTTAGGTCGGGCGCGGTGGCTCAGGCTTGTAATCCCAGCACTTTGGGAGGCCGAGGTGGGCGGATCATGAGATCAGGAGTTCGAGACCAGCCTGACCAATATGGTGAAATCCCGTCTCTACTAAAAATACAAAAAAAATTAAGTGGGTGTGGTGGCACACGCCTGTAGTCCCAGCTACTCGGGAAGCTGAGGCAGGAGAATTGCTTGAACCAGGAGGTGGAGGTTGCAGTGAGCCGAGATCGCGGCACTGCACTCCAGCCTGGGCGACAGAGCAAGACTCAAGTTTAGAAAATAAATAAATAAATAAATAAAAATACAGACAGGGAGGCCGGGCGCAGTGGCTCACACCTGTAATCCCAGCACTTTGGGAGGCCGAGGCAGGCGGATCACGAAGTCAGGAGATCGAGACCATCCTGGCTAACATGGTGAAACCCCGTCTCTACTAAAAATACAAAAAAAAAAATTAGTCAGGTGTGGTGGCCGGCGCCTGTAATCCTAGCTACTTGGGAGGCTGAGGCAGGAGAATGGCATGAACCCGAGAGGCGGAGCTTGCAGTGAGCCAAGATCGCGCCACTGCACTCCAGCCTGAGTGAGAGCGAGACTCTGTCTCAAAAAAAATAAATAAATAAAAATAAAAATAACAAAATAAAAATAGAGACAGGGTTTTGCTCTGTCACTCAGGCTGGAGTGCAGTGGTGCAATCATAGCTCATTGCAGCCTCGAACTCCTGGGCCTCACCCTCCCAAGTAGTTAGGACTATAGGCATGCACCACCATGCCAGTCTAATTTTTAAATTTTTTATAGAGATGGCATCTTGGTTTGTTGCGCAGGCTGCTCTCAAACTCCTGGGCTCAAGCAATCCTCCTGCCGCAGCTTCCCAAAGTGCTGGGATTACAGATGTGAGTCACCACACCCAGCAGACAATTTTTTTCCCCCATATGCACTCAAATAATAACATTAAAGACACTGTCAAATGTGAAGGATGGTGCAAAGCTTTTGAGATGGCCCCAAAGCATCACATAACACAATACACAGATTTTATATTTTGAAAGGAAAGTCTCAACATATGGAAAGTTATTCCAAATTTCACTTCTCTTGTGTATTTTCTAAGCTCTCCAATTTAGGCTGCATTTTAACAGGCAAGTAGATATCACCTTAGCAAAAGAATACGTTTTTCCAGAATTGATAAGCAGCCCAGACTCATGATGAAGACAGCGAATGGATCCATTTGCCTATAGGGACAGTACTCTTTATTAGAGAGGTACTAAATAACTTTGCTATTATTATAATTGTCAGCAACAGAGGTTACCTAATATTTCAGAACAGCTTCTAACAGTCTTATTAGAAAAACGTTAGCTTTAATATCATAGATAATAGACACTAGAAAATGGTCATTTTCCAGGGCAACAGTGGTTTTAAGTATCATAATTAGAATTGAGAGATTCTGGAGAGAATTGTACCTTTTTCATTTCCACTCTTCTGTCTTGCCATTTCCTGTCTCAGGGCACAGATAGAAGCTTCTCGTACCAAAGCAGAGAGATCTGCGCCCCTACAATAAAATAATAGTTATCTACTTATTCTTAGATACTGCAAAATCCCAGAAAAAAACCCGGAAAACAGTTTTCATATAAGTCATATATTAAATAATCAGGAGAAAAAGTGACCAATAAAGATGAGAAATAAATTGATTATCAATCAATAGAAAAGAGCTCTTAGCTTTTATATAAGATATTTCTAGGCCAGGTGCAGTGGCTCACGCCTATAATCCCAGCACTTTGGGAGGCCGAGGTGGGTGGATCACTTGAACAGGAGTTTGAGACTAGTCTCAGCAATATGGAGAAATGCCATATCTACAAAACTACAAAAAAATTAGCTGGGCATGGTGGCATGCACCTGTAGTCCCAGGCACTGGGGAGGCTTAGGTGGGAGGATCACTTGAGCCCGGGAGGTGGCGGTTGCAATGAGCCAAGATCGCACCACTGCACTCCAGCCTGGGTAACAGAGTGAGACTCTGTCCCAATTAAAAAACAAAAACAAAAAAAAACTAAACTCAAGAAGAAAGGAAATTATGGAGGAAACAATACAATGCATAAAGGGCTAAAGTGCTGACTAGCATATTCATGTATTACATAATGTCTAAAGTAAGCTTATTAAAAAGTCATTTATGGGCTGGGCGCAGTGGGTCATGCCTGTAATTCCAGCACTTTGGGAGGCTGAGATGGCAGAATTGCTTGAGCCTGGGGGGCAAAGGCTATAGTGAGCCTGGGTGACAGAGTGAGACCCTGTCTCAAGAAAACCCCCCAAAAAGTCACTTGTGGCTCCAAGTTCAGAAGGGAAAAATACAAACCCTGGAAAGTCTTTAATGCACCTGATTCAAGTTAAAACTGAATGAACACATCATAAGTTACTTAAAATATGACAAATACAAAACAGGCCTTCACTTATTTAATTAGTTCATGTAATAATATGCTGAGTCAGCACAGTTCTGAGTTCAATGAAAGACACTCATGTTGACTGGAGTTTCACTACATTACAGCTGTAACAGGGTTCTTAGAGATTATATGAGAAAGAGTTTGAGTTTGGGGATAAAAACATCACTTCTATGATTCACAAGTCTTGGAAAGAAAAGATGAAAATGAAAAATAAATTTTTTTAAAAAACCTCATCTCTGGACATTAAACTTATTATATAATGTTGATAATCCCCATACTATATAACTTTTTTTTTTTTGAGATGGAGTCTTGCTCTGTCACCGAGGCTGGAGTGCAGTGGTGTGATCTTGGCTCACCGCAACCTCTGCGTCCTGGGTATGAGTGATTCTCCTGCCTCAGACACATACTATATAAAAGTAAAGACCCACAGAGCTTAAATTTTTAACTGAATCTGGTGTTTTGTTGGCTAAATGTTAGGGTTATAACATTATTTAATAATCACATACCTGCTGGGGTATTCATTCCTTCCCATACTATGAAATCTAACATTGGTGGAAACACCATTAACTAACACAAGCAGATAGCTATAGACTGTAGTGGTGTAGTGTCTCTCAAACTGTAATTATAGTGGCATGAAAATCCAAAATGTACACCATTCAACTTTAGCCCTAACCCCTTCACAGACTGATAGCCTACTTGGTATATCCAAAAGATTTAGCCCAGGGCAAGTTCCGCCACCAAAATCACCTGTTACTCACCGAAAATCTTTTCAGATTTGAGCACTTAAAGCTGTATTATTATTATTTTTTTTGTAGAGATGGGGTCTTACTATGTTGCCCAAGCTGGTCTTGAACTCCTGGCCTCAAACAATCTGCCTGCCTTGGCCTCCCAAAGGGCTAGGATTACAGGTGTGAGCCACTGCTCCCACCCTTAAAGCAGTAAACTACTCAAGTAGTAGTCTCCTAAGCATAAGGCCATTTCTTTATTTTTAATTTTATTTATTTTTATTTTTTGAGATGGAGTGTCGCTCTGTTGCCCAGCCTGGAGTGCAGTGACACGATCTCAGCTCACTGCAACCTCCACCCGCTGGGTTCAAGCAATTTTCCTGTCTCAGCCTCCCTAGTAGCTGCGATTACAGGTGTGCACTACCATGCCCGGCTAATTTTTGTAGTTTTAGTAGAGACAAGGTTTCACCATGTTGGCCAGGTTGGTCTCAAATTTCTGACCTCAAGTGATCTGCCCACCTCAGCCTCCAAAGTGCTGGGATTACAGGCGTGAGCCACTGTGCCTGGCCACATCATTTAAATAAAGACTCGTATGGATTTGATTCCTAATTAGGGGGTGAGGCACATCCTATTTAAGGGGAGGTAGAGGCATTTACATCTGCCCCTCACCACCCCTGCCTGAGACTCTGATCAGTTTCTCTTCACTGAGAATCACTGCTACATTGGAAGGACATAATAGAGAAAAAAAAAGGGCCGGGTGTGGTGGCTCACTGTAATCCCAGCACTTTGGGATGCTGAGGCATGAGGGACTACTTAAGCTCAGGAGTTCATGACAAGACTGGGCAATATGGCGAGACCCTAAAACTACAAAAATTTTTTAAAAAAATTAGCTGGGGATGGTAGCATGCACCTGTAGTCCCAGCTATCCAGGAGGCTGAGGTCAGAGGATTGCTTGAGCCCAGGAAGTCAAGGCTACAGTGAGCCATGATCATGCCACTGTACTCCAGCCTGGGTGAAAGAGGGAAACCCTGTATGGAAAAAAAAAAAAGAAAAAAAAGAAAACAAAAAGCCGGAGGGGGCATTGTCTCTGTTAGTTAAACTTGAGTTTCATTTCCTCCCTCTGTGTCCCCAAATTGGGAAAGTTAACAAACAAATTTACTTCAAAACATATGAAGAAAAACTAATAACTGTAACAACACAAACATAGGAAGGATGAAGGCAGAAATGTCAGATTTCCTGATGTTACTACAGGCTATGTGGAGGTGAAAATGCATCCTGAGGGCTGCAAAATGTGGCACTTGTAGATTAGTCTCTTTTAAATGCTGACGCACCAGTACAATTTGTAAAGGACAGCAGTGCTGGTTAGGGTAGGTTAAGTACCAAGAGTCAACATATGAAAGGACTCCCCTGTTCCCAGGAATTCCTTCAGGGCCTCCAAATGTGCAGTCTCTTCTCTAAGAAGGGAGATGCCAGACACTTTATGTGCTTCATGGGATACCTCATTTAATCCTCCCAACAATCTGCTGAGGTGAGCATCATCACCCCTCATTTTATAGATGAGGAAATTGAACCCCAGAGAGTGAATTGACTTAAGATTTAAACACTTACGTATAGCAATCACAGCGAAGGTCACCAGCAATTGCTTCCAAATTTACATCTGCATCCAGTGGTGGTTTGGTACCATTCTAAGTAAGAGAGAAAAATGATTTTTCATTGGAGCTTTAAAGACCATGCCGGGTGCGATGGCTCATGCTTGTAATCCCAGCACTTTGGGAGGCCAAGGTGGGCAGATCACCTGAGGTCAGGAGTTCGAGACCAACCTGTGGAACATGGTAAAACCCCATCTCTACTACAAATACAAAAATTAGCTGGGCGTTATGGTATGCACCTGTAGTCCCAGCTACTCGGGAGGCTGAGGCACGAGAATTGCTCAAGCCCTGGAGGTGGAGGTTGTAGTGAGCAGAGATCATGCCACTGCACTCCAGCCTGGGCGACAGAGTGAGACTGAGTCTCAAAGATAAAGACCATATTCATCTACATAATAGGTTCTTAATAATGGCTGTTTGACTAAATGAGTATAACTGACTTCCAGACTGGTGCTGTTAAGGTTTATACAAATTTCAATGTTGAGAAATGAGGCTAAGAAGCAGATTCCAAACTTGAGAAAGCTAAAGGCAAACAATTTATGCTCATGAAGTTTGAGGAATTTGTGTACAGCTGCAGCAAATACTAAACACCATCAACAAGAATGAAAACTAGCACCTCGATCTTTCCAAAGGTGAAGAAACACATTTCCTTTCCAGCTTAAACATGGCAAATACTTAAGCAATGCTTAGTGTTGGTGTGAGGCTGGCTAGGACGGAAGAAATAATACTGAACCTGGCCAGGAGAGAAGGAGCAGTATCTGCTCTAAAATAAAAGCACAAAGCACTCTAAGCTCAGTATATTCTTTCTTAATCATTTAGCTAACACTCAATCTTGATTTTGGTGCCAATTCCCCTTCAGCTCATTTCAAGACACATTAGCAATGACAAGTATGTAACTTAGAACTCTTAGAATTTCTCATGAGACTGGATGTAGAGGAAAAAAAACCAACCCAGAATTTTAACACTTAACCCAGTAACTTGCATGCATACATTATGTTTAATAATATTTTTAGTGACAAACTGCAGAGGCAAACAAAACAAGCTTTTTCTTCCCTCCAGGGTATTGCTCTGTCGCCCAGGCAGGAGTGAGTGGAACAACCACAACAGACTTGACCTCCTCGGCACAAGAGATCCTTCTACCTCAGCCTCCCGAGGAGCTGGAACTACATGCCACCATGCCTGGCTACTTTTTTTTTTTTTTGAGACAGTCTCGCTCTGGAGTGCAGTGGTGCGATCTTGGCTCACTGCAACCTCTGTCTCCTAGGAGCGATGGGGTGGCGTGTGCCTGTAATCCCAGCTACTCGGGACACTGAGGCAGGAGAATCACTGGAACCCGGGAGGTGGAGGCTGTAGTAAGCCATGATCGCACCATTGCACTCCAGCCTGGGTGACAGTTGGAGAGTTGGAGACTTGGTTTCAAAAAAAAAAAAAAAAAAAAAAAAGAAGAAACACACACAAAAGTGAATAAACACAAGCCATTAAGCTTTTCTCTTTTCTTTTTTTTTCTTTGAGACAGGGTCTGGCTCTGTCATCCAGGCTTAGTGCAATGGCGCAATCTCAGCTTACTGCAACCTCCACCTCCCGGGCTCAAGCCATCCTCCCACCTCAGCCTCTTGGGTAGCTGGGACTATAGGCACCCACCACACACCTGGCTAATTTTTGTATTTTTTGTAGAGATGGGGTTTCACGATGTTGCCCAGGCTGATCTCAAACTCCTCAGCTCAAGCGATCTGCCCGCCTTGGCCACCCGAAGTGCTGAGATTACAGGTGAGGGCCACAGCACCTGCCCAGTAAGCTTTTCTTAGTGTAAAACGTCAGCCTGGCAAAGTGCTCCAGGCACAGGGTTCGGCGACCTGGCTGAGAGGACTGGAGCTGCCGGCCTTGTGCACTAGTTACCTGTTGCTCTGCCCACACTCACATACCAGCGTCTCACTGCCTCCCAGCAGGGCATGTTCAAGAACTGCATAAATTATACATCTGTTAGTTGCTATCACTAAATAAAATGGACATGTTATCTACCACAGGTTCAAGAAACAGTTAATTTCCCATTCAATCCATTTTGACCTGGGACACAAACTATGATCTTAGGCAAACAATCTTGTGCTTTTTTCTCTAAGTAATAAAACTAAAGGGTCAGAATGTAGGATTGCTAAGCATCTTTTAGTGTAAACAATTTTCAACCGAGTCAGGATAGTGGTCAATCCTGGGGGCAGGTAGAAGTGGGTAGTGGCTGGAAGTAGAAGGGCAGCTTTTGTCGGTGTGGGAATGTTCTATTTTATTGTGGCAAAACATACAAAAAACTGACCATTTCAACCATTTTTCTGTGTACAGGTCAGTGGCATTAAGTCCATCCACATTGTTGTATCACCCCTATCCGGCTCCAGAACTCTTTTATCTTCCCAAAGAAAACAATGCATCCATTAAACACTAACTCCCCATTCTTCCTGCCCCCGCCTCCCAACCTCTGGCAGTCACCATTGTACTTCATAGTTCTATGAATTAGACTTGGAGTGTTCTCTTTCTTGATCTGGAGACTTTGTAACAATTCATGGAGCTGGACATTTACCACTTTTTAATTTCTTTCTTGAATCTCTAAATCTACTTTACATTTACCACTTTTCTGTAGGTGTATCATACTTCAATAAAAAGACCTAAACAGTGCAAGTAACACTGGGCGAGGAATTAGAAAACCTGAGTTCTAAAGTTCAAATTTGCAACTGAATGGCCCTTATAGAACTTTGTTAATCTTTATTATTTAATTTTTTAAAGTATCTTAATAGATAAGTATCTTATTTCCAGATGAGTATATATAATTTTGTGCTATATTTGAGAGGGGAGGGGGGCATCAGTGAACATATAATAGTGATTTCTTAAAATGAAGACTAGCGTAGACTTTCTTGCTATGGTGGTGGGGCTGCCACATTATGTAGGAGCCCTTGTTAGGTGCTTTCTATGATTTTAAGAACCTATCAACTTACCTCGACTGTCACACTGTCACATTAACTGTACGGATCTTCCCTAAGGACACTCCGCGTGCTGTTAGACAATCTAATCTCAAACTATCCAGTGCCCTGTTTTAATCAAAAGCTGAATCATAAGAAGACAATTCTTTTATACTTCTCAATATCTAAATTCTACCCTTGGGTTAAGCTGGACCTCCACAAGGTCCTGTGCATCCTCAGAGTGCATTTCTTGGACCTTCATCAAATTGTATTTAATGAACTGGCTTTGTGTAATACCCTCAGTTTATATTAAGAAAATGACAAGCCTCAGTCCCAAGAGGCTTATTGTGTTTGTGTCAGAAATACCGTTAAAGACATTGTGCATCGCATCTTAGTGTTCTCTTTGTGAGGACCCAGAGGAGGAATTTTTCTTTTTTCTGTCTCGCTGTGTCACCAGGCTGGAGTGCAGTGACGCAATCTCGGCTCACTGCAACTTACGCCTCCCAGGTTCAAGCGATTCTCCTGCCTCAGCCCCGAGTAGCTGGGATTACAGGCATGCGCTACCACGCTGGGTAATTTTTTTTTTTTTTTTTTTTTTGAGACGGAGTCTCACTGTCACAGGCCCAGGCTGGAGTGCAGTGGTGCGATCTCAGCTCACTGCAACCTCCGCCCCTCAGGTTCAAGCGATTCTCCTGCCTCAGCCCCCCAAGTAGCTGGGATTACAGTTGCCCGCCACCACGCCTGGCTAATTTTTTGTATTTTTAGTAGAGATGGGGTTTCACCATGTTGTCCAGGCTGGTCTTGAACTTCTGACCTCAGGTGATCCACCCACCTTGGCCTCCCAAAGTGCTAGGATTACAGGCGTGAGCCACCGTGCCCAGCCAACGCTGGGTAGTTTTTGTATTTTAGTAGAGACGGGGTTTCACCATGTTGGTCAGGCTGGTCTCAAACTCCTGACCTTGTGATCTGCCCGCCTCCGCCTCCCAAAGTGCTGGGATTACAGGCGTGAGCCACAGCGCCCAGCAGAGGAGGAATTTTCCTCACATTTGCATAATGGGAGCAATTGTCAGCTTCCTATTCTTAGCATATCCTTTGTTTAAGAAAAATCTTTTGTGAAAGAAAGCTCAGTATATAAAGGAACACAATAAATAAATGAGGTGGGGTATGAACTTCACAAAACGAATTCACTGTTATATGTTTAGATACTCTCAGAAGTTTCCTAATTCTTAGAAGATTAAACCTTTAGAAAAAGAAATAATTTCAAGTACCCTCACTTGAAAGAAAGTAACAAACTGTCCTTTTTTTTTTTTTTTTTTTTTTTTTGAGACAGAGTCTCGCCCTGTGGCCCAGGCTGGAGTGTGATGGCATGATCTCGGCTCACTGCAAGCTCCGCCTCCCGGGTTCAAGAGATTCTCCTGCCTCAGCTTCCCAAGTAGCTGGGATTACAGATGTACACCACCATACCCGGCTAATTTTTTGTATGTTTAGTAGAGATGGGTTTCACCATGTTGGCCAGGCTGGTCTCAAACTCCTGACCTGGTGATCCACCCACCTTGGCCTCCCAAAGTGCTGGGATTACAGGCACAAGCTACCACGCTCAGCCAAACTCTCCTTTTTTTGAGGGCATGAGGTGTGCTCTACCTAGGATACCTCCAAAAGTTTCATTAGCAACATTACTTTCTAATTAGTAGAAATAAGGGCTAAGGAATCTTTGGATCACTGAAATCTAACTATTCTTTAATTGAAATGTGGTTATGTTTCTGACTTATAGTAAGAACTAAAATGAATTCTATTTATTCTCAAGTGAGAGCAAAGAGAAAAATTTTAAATGGCATAATAAAGAGCTTATAAAACAAAATATGAGGATTTTGGAAAATCATTTATTGAAATGGTACTAGGATATTTAGAAGTATTTAGAAGCTTAAATTAATTTGGTTTTTCTTTATGACATTATCTCTATTACGATAATATTATATTATTTTTTAATAAAGGCCCTAATGGAAATCTCAAATAGGTTGGTAACTATAGAAAGCTAAGCTAAAGGAATTATTAGAAAAAGAAGGAAAATAGTCTCTTAAGGAAATTATAGGCCAGGCGTGGTGGCTCATGCCTGTAATCTCAGCACTTTGGGAGGCCGAGGCGGGTGGATCACCTGAGGTCAGGAGTTTGAGACTAGCCTGGCCAATATGGTGAAACACCATCTCTACTAAAAATACAAAACTTAGCCAGGTGTGGTGGCAGTTGCCTGTAATCCCAGCTACTTGGGACACTGAGGCAGGAGAATCGCTTGAACCCGGGAAGAGGAGGTTGCAGTGAGCTGAGATCAAACCACTGCACTCCAGCCTAGGGAACAAGAGTGAGACCTCGTCTCAAAAAAAAAAAAATAAAAAGAAAAAGAAAAACAGGTGTGGTGGCAGGCACCTGTAATCCCAGCTACTTAGGAGGCTCAGGCAGGAGAATCACTTGAACCTGGGAGGCAGAGGTTGCAGTGAGCCAAGACCACGCCATTGCACTCTAGCCTGGACATCAAGACCAAAACTCCGTCTCAAAAAAAAAAAAAGTTATATCCCACAAATATTGTATGATTCTACTTGTATGAGGTACCTAGAATAGGCAAAGCATAGAGACAGAAAGTAGAATGGTGGTTGCCAGGGGTAGGGAAGAAGGAATGGGCAGTTTGTGTTTAATGGGGACAGAGTTTCAGTTTGGGAAGATGCAAAAGTTCTGGAGATGAGTAGTGGTGATGGTTGCACAACAATGTGAATGTACTTAATGCCACAGAAATATATACTTAAAAATGGCTAAAATGGTAAATTTTATGTTATGTATCTATAGTATTTTACTAAAATCTGAAAAAAGTTATGGCTCATTTACACTGATATTTTCCTATAATTCGTATTAAACATTATATGTTATGAAATACTCAGGTTCAAAAAGTAATTCAAGATGTGCTACTACTTTTATTTTAACAAATATTTTCATTTGGTCATACAAATCTATTCTTTTTTTTTTTTTTTTTTGAGACGGAGTCTCACTCTATGCCCAGGCTGTGCAGTGGCGTGATCTCACTTCACTAGGTTCAAGCGATTCTCCTGCCTCAGCCTTCCGAGTAGCTGGGACTACAGGTGCACGCCACCATGCCTGGCCAATTTTGGTATTTTCAGCAGAGATGGGCTTTCACCATATTGGTCAAGCTGGTCTCAAACTCCTGACCTCAGGTGATTCACCTGCCTCGGCCTCCCAAAGTGCTGGGATTACAGGTGTGAGTCACCATGCCCAACCAAATTTATTCTTAAATCTATTCTTAACTACACATCAGAGTTTAGAATCATTAATGCTTGTTTTTTTTTTTTTTTTTGAGACAGAGTTTCGTCCTGTTGCCCAGGCTGGAGTGCAACGGCGCGATCTTGGCTCACTGCAACCTCTGCCTCTGGGTTCAAGCGATTCTCCTGCCTCAGCCTCCCGAGTAGCTGGAATTTACAGGTGTGTGCCACCGCACCCAGCTACTTTTGAATGAGATCACCTCATTCAGGTGATCTGTCCGCCTTGGCCTCCTAAAGTGCTGGGATTACAGGTGTGAGCCACCGTACCTGGCCAGTAATTTTATTTATTTATTTATTTTTTATTTTAAAATCCAGCTTCTGCATGAAGCAATTTTTATTCACACAGTCGACTGTGAAAAATTAATGAAAGGGCCGGGTGTAGTGGCTCAGTCTTGTAACCCTCTACCTTGGGAGGCTGAGGTGGGTACATCGCTTGAGCTCAGGAGTTCAAAACCAGCCTGGGCAACATGGTGAAACCCTGTTTCTACAAAAAAAAAAAAAAATTAGCTAGGCCTGGTGGCACGTTCCTGTAGTCCCAGCTACTCAGGGAGCAGAGGCGGGAGGATCACTTGAGCCTGGGAGGTTGAGGCTGCAGCGAGCCAAGACCGCACCACTGCCCTCCAGCCTGGGTGACAGAGCAAGACCTTGTCTCAACAACAACAACAACAAAAAAGTTTGTAAAAAGTTTGCTCATCAGTAAAAGGAAAATATTTAAATATTTTGTAAGACATACACTTCAAAGGGAGTTTCAAGGTTTAAGCATGTGTATAAATGTAAAATGAAAATACTACATGGAACAGAGTAAGGGCTTAATAAATGTTAGCTATTATTATATCAGGTATTCTTAAGTCATACTTTTTTTTTTTTTTTTGAGATGAGGTCTCGATCTGTCACTCAGGCTGGAATGCAGTGGTACAATCTCGGCTCACTGCAACCTCCACCTCCCGGGTTCAAGAGATTCTCCTGCCTTAGTCTCCCAAGTAGCTGGGATTACAGGCACCGGCCACCACACCCAGCTAATTTTTGTATTTTTAGTAGAGACGGGATTTTGCCATTTTGGCCAAGTAGGTCTCGAACTCCTGACCTTGTGATTCGCCTGTCTCAGTCTCCCAAAGTGCTGGATTACAGGCGTGAGCCACCACACCCGGCCTTGTCACTCTTTTAAAGACTGTATTTTATCTGAAAGTATTTGGCAGATATCAAATAATGTTTCTGGTTTTCTGAGATATTTTAATGACACTTAAAAGGAAGTAGAAGTTATGAAAAAAAAATCTGGGGGCCGGGCGTGGTGGCTCATGCCTATAATCCCAGCACTTTGGGAGGCCAAGGAGGGCGGATCACATGAGGTCGGGAGTTCGAGACCAGCCTGGCCAACATGGAAAAACCCTGTCTCTACTAAAAATACAAAATTAGCTGGGCATGGTGGCAGACACCTGTAATCTCAGCTATTTGGGAGGCTGAGGCAGGAGAATCACTTGAACCCAGGAGGCAGAGGTTGCAGTGAGCTGAGATCGCACCATTGTACTCCAGCCTGGGCGACAAGAGCAAAACTCCGTCTCAAAAAAAAAAATTTCTACTTCTCAGGCAGCTTTTAGTGATAGACCTCTTATCACCACATCATCACTAGAAATACCAAATAAAAAATATAAAAAAGTAGTATATGGCTCGCTCTTTTTTATTTGAGGTGGAGTCTCCCTCTGTTGCCCAGGCTGGAGTGCAGTGGCGTGATCTCGGCTCACTGCAACCTCCACCTCTCTGCTTCAAGTGATTCTTTTGCCTCAGCCTCCTGACTAGCTAGGACTACAGGCGCATGCCACCACGCCCGGCTAATTTTTGTATTTTTAGTAGAGATGGGGTTTCGCCATGTTGGTCAGGCTGGTCTCCATTTTTTTTTTTTGAGATGGAGTCTCACTCTGTTGCCCAGGCTGGAGTGCAGTGGCGTAATCTCGGCTCACTGCAATCCCTGCCTCTTGGGTTCAAGTGATTCTTTTGCCTCAGCCTCCTGAGTAGCCGGGACTACAGGCACGCACCACCACGCCCAGCTAATTTTTATATTTTTAGTAGAGATGGGGTTTCACCATATTGGCCAGGCTGGTCTCGAACTCCTGACCTCGTGATCCGCCCGCCTTGGCCTCCCAAAGTGCTGGGATTACAGGTGTGAGCCACTGTACCTGGCCCACTCGCTCTTCTTTTACAAAACTTAGATCCCAAAAGATATGAAGAAGTTGCTTTGACCTACAAAATATTTCAGACTTTTAAGAACAGGACTAAAGATCTTTATTCTAATCTCCTTATAATATTTCAGATGTTAATAGGAGAAAGAGAAAATTGTATATAAAACAATCTGAGGAATTAAAGTCAAAAGCCAGCAAACTGAAATAAAAAGGGTAAACATTAAAAATGCCAATTTTCCTCACTTTCTGTTGACTTACAAAGAACATACATGGGCAGGAAGTCTGCCTTGTGACTTCTCCCCTCTGAAATTAGATATTGTGCTTCCTCTTCCTCTCAATCTGCCCTGCTTTAGCCATCAACAAAGCTTTTTAAACAAAAACATTCATGACCTCTGAAGGATGAGGTAAGATAAGGATGTGAAATTGCACTGCTAACAGCTCTCTTGAGAGGGCACCAGGCCAACGCAGGCAGACAGGGCACAGGGAGGCTGCATGTGGGTCCTGCTCCTCCTGGGCAGCTCTGCCCAATGAGGTTCCAAGTCTTAGAATAGGACACAGTCAGAATTGGAGCAAAAATGCACTCTCAAGTCAAAGAGAATAAACTAACAAAAGCCCTTCTGCCGTTGGCACAGACAGAGGCTGAGGACTGACTATGCAGCAGTCTAAACCACAATCTACAAAAGTTGCTTTTGGCCCAGCATGGTGGCTCACACCTGTAATCCCAGCACTTTGAGAGGCCGAGGTGGGTGGATCACCAGGTCAGGAGTTCCAGACCAGCCTGGCCAACATGGTGAAACCTCATTTCTCTAAAAATACAAAAATTAGCCGGGCGTGGTAGCACGTGCCTGTAATCCCAGCTACTCGGGAGGTGGGATCCGTCCACCTTGGCCTCCCAAAGTGCTGGGATTACAGGTGTGAGCCACCATGCCCGGCCAAAGTTGACCTCTATTGAAATGTCTTTTTTGATTTTTTTCTTCTTCCATATTCACAACTTTGTGCTTGGAAGCTGCAGGGCTCCTCTCTGTTACCCACCCCATTTATGCCAGATGACTTTTTTTTTTTTGGAGACAGAGTTTTGCTCTTGTTGCCCAGGTTGGAGTGCAATAGCACGATCTCGGCTCACCACAACCTCTGCCTCCCGGGTTCAAGCTAATTCTCCTGCTTTAGCCTCCTGAGTAGCTGGGATTACAGGAGCACACCATCACACCCAGCTAATCTTTGTATTTTTGTAGAGACAGTGTTTTGCCATGTTGGCCAGGCTGGTCTTGAACTCCTGACCTCAAGTGATCCACCTGCCTCGGCCTCCCAAAGTGCTGGGATTATAGGCATGAACCACTGTGCCTGGCCGAAGTGGGGTACTTTAAATATTCACCCTTTGGTCTGAGGCCTAATGATTTTGGCAAATAGCACTGAAATTCTAGATGAATGAAGTATAAAGTTGTTCTGGTGTGAGTACCATACATTGAATGAAACACAGCAGGAAGAATGAGCCAATCATTCTCTGGTTCCAAATCTATAAAGCTCTGAATACCACATGCCTCATGTCTGGCATGTCTAGAAATAAATACCAATCCAACTTTTCTCTTTAGTTCATGAAATCCCAAGGACAAGTGTGAAAGCATTATCATTATGTCACCATGACTACAGGAAATTCATAGAAACAAAATTGGATTATATGTGTGTGCTTATTTGTATATACATACACATCCACATACATTGACCAAAGCAAACAAAATCTCAAGACCATAGTTCCTAATGACAGAGCCAAGAAGGCCGGGCATGGTGGCTCACGCCTGTAATCCCAGCACTTTGGGAGGCCGTGGTGGGCGGATCACTTGAAGTCAGGAGTTTGAGACCAGCCTGGCTAACATGGTAAAACCCCGTCTCTACTAAAAATACAAAAAAAAAATTAGCAGAGTGTGGTGGCACGCACCTGTGGCCCCAGCTGCGTGGGGAGGCTGAAGTAGGAGATATGCTTGAACCCAGGAGGTGGAGGTTGCAGTGAGCTGAGATCACGCTACTGCACTTCAGCCTGGGCAACAAACAGGGTCTCTTTTTTTGACATACTGTGTCAAAAAAAAAAAAAAAAAAACAGAGCCAACGAAAGGGAGAGAAGATGCTATGATGCAGTCATCATCAAGCTTGTTTGATGCAAAGAAATAAGTATATGCAACCAAAGCAGGGTTTCTTAACTTTGGCATTACTGACATTTTGAGTCGGATAATACTTTTTTTTCCTTTGAGACAGGGTCTCAGCTCTGTTGCTCAGGCTGGAGTGCAGTGACGTGACCATGGCACACTGCAGCCTCGACTTCTTGGGGTTAAGCCATCCTCCCACCTCAGCCTACCAAGTAGCTGGGACTACGGGTGCATGCCACTATGCCCAACTAATTAAAAAATTTTCTTGGCCAGGCGCAGTGGCTCACGTTTGTAATCCCAGCACTTTGGGAGACTTGAGGCAGGTGGATCACGAGGTCAGGAGTTCGAGACCAGCCTGGCCAACGTGGTGAAACCCCGTCTCTACTAAAAATACAAAAATTAGCTGGGCTTGGTGGTGCACGCCTGTAATCCCAGCTACTCAGGAGGTTGAGGCAGGAGAATCACCTGAATGCGGGAGGTGGAGGTTGCAGTGAACCGAGGTGGCACCACTGCACTCCAGCCTGGGCAACAGAGTGACACTCTGTCTCAAAAAAAAAAAATTTGTTTTCTTGTAGAGACAGGGTCTCACTCTGTTGCCCAGGCTGGTCTCCAACTCCTAGTCTCAAGTGATCCTCCTGTCTCAGCCTCCCAAAGTGCTGGGATTACAGGCCTGAGCCACCATGCCTGGCCTTGGATAATTCTTTGTTGTTGGCTGTCCTGTGCACTGTGGAATATTTAGCAGCATGATCACTCCTCTGCGTAGTGGTAAATGTCCCTAGACATTGCCAAATGTTCCCTGGGGACGTGAGGTGGGGTGGTGGGAAAATTGCCTTAGGTTGAGAACTACTAAACTAAAGCAACATGTTTTCATGGCTTTGACCACCAGCTATGTCCTGAAGACAGACAAAACTATAGCCCAGCCAGAGGACTCTCCTGAACTCCCAACCACAGACCCAACATCCTGCTCAACTTTTCCACTTGATAGTGCCCAGGCACCTGAAACTCAGAGAGCTCATCTCCCAGACCTCTAATCCTGGTAGATGCCACCAGCTGCACAAGCTGCAAATTCATCTACCTTTTCCTTTAACTCCCAACTCTACAGTTAATCCAATGTCCTACTAATTAAAACCTTTAAACAGTTCTCATGTCTATATCTTCTTTGTTATTCCCGTGATAATGCCTTAGTTCGTTATTTTTTCTTTTTCATTGATGTTTCTCAGTCATATTGCCTTAGTTCTAACATGCTTAATTTCATAACTTTTACTTTACTGGCTTCCAAGCTATTTTCCATACTGTGCATCAATAGAATCTTTCTACCCTACAAAGATGATCATTCTTCTGTTCTCATCTGCCCTGTTCTCCCTCCTCGGGGTGATTTTTAGGAACATTGCTAAAGGCAGTTTTAAGTAACGATGGCCCAGTGAGGCAGGATCACAGAATCTTCCTTTGTCAGCATCAAAAGAATACTAAAAAAAGTTAAACAATTTACCAGTAGCAACCAAAGAAAGGGGTAAACCTTCATGCTGCAAATGTTGAAAAGTGGGTGCGAAGAGAAAATTTGAAAGTGGCTGATAATTAGGCGTCCATTCCTGGGAAGGAGTATTGAAGAAAGAAGGTAAGTTAACAAAATCTTGTGATGTCTATTAATATTCCAAGCTGGAGACAAGCAGCCTGAGGAGAAGATAGCTCTAGAAAAAGTTAGACACACACAATCAAGGGATTTCAGCAGATTCAGGAAGAACTGCCAAGGTATGCCACTTTCCAGGGAGCTGGACAGAACTGGGTACAATCCCATGGGAGTGGGACAGCTCCCATGGGGGGAGGTATCTCCAACTGGATGGAGAGAGCGGGTCCAGGTACAAGTGATTTCATCCCCAGAAGGATTAACACCACCAGCTTAGCTCCCTCTCCCATCCCAAGGCTATAGAAATGTAGAAACAAAGCACTTCTA
This sequence comes from Homo sapiens, assembly GCF_000001405.40. Taxonomy (NCBI): domain Eukaryota; kingdom Metazoa; phylum Chordata; class Mammalia; order Primates; family Hominidae; genus Homo; species Homo sapiens. The sequence continues at coordinate 224,249,072 of NC_000001.11, forward strand.
CAGACCTCAAAATGTGATGTGTGAAGGGCAGAAAAACTAGTTCCAGGTAGTGAGAAGTGGGATGACAGAAGTCATTCAATTTTTTTTTTTGAGAGAGGGTCTTGGTCTGTTACCCAGGCTTGAGTGCAGTAGCACGATCTTGGCTGACTGCAACCTCCACTTCTTGGGCTCAAGGGATTCTCCAGCCTCAGCCAGGCATGAGCCATTGAAGTCCAGCTAATTTTTGTATTTTTTGTAGAGATGGGGTTTCCCCATGTTTCCCAGGCTGATCTTGAACTCCTGAGGTCAAAGCAATCCACCTGCCTTGGCTTCCCAAAGTGCTGGGATGACAGGTGTGAGCCAACGTGTTTGGCCCACTTATTTATTTATTTTTAAATATAGGGTCTTGCGGGGTCTGGTGCGGTGGCTCACGCCTGTAATCCCAGCACTTTGGGAGGCCGAGGCGGGTGGATCACGAGGTCAGGAGATCGAGACCATCCTGGCTAACACGGTAAAACCCCGTCTCTACTAAAAAACACAAAAAATTAGCCGGACGTGGTGGCGAGCACCTGTAGTCCCAGCTACTCGGGAGGCTGAGGCAGGAGAATGGCGTGAACCTGGGAGGCAGAGCTTGCAGTGAGCCAAGATCATGCCACTGCACTCCAGCCTGGGTGACAGAGCAAGACTCTGCCTCAAAAAAAAGGATAGGGTCTTGCTCTGTTGCCCAGGCTGGAGTACAGTGGTGTGATCACAGCTCCCTGCAGCCTTGACCTCCTGGGCTCAAGCAATCCTTCCACCTAAGCCTTCTGAGTACATGGTCCCACAGGTGGGTGCCACCATATCTGGCTAATTTTTTCTATCTTTTGTAGAGACAGAGTCTCAGTATATTGCCCAGGCTGGTACCAAACTCCTGGGTTCACCTCGCCCTCCCAAAGTGCCAGTTTCTCCAAAAGTTTCTACTCCATTTCAAATATGATCTGATGTAAATTATTTTAAAGTAATAATCGAAGATCAGTTCACCTTCCCTTTGGGAGATATAGGCTGGGCAAACACAGCTACAGAAAAGAAAGTAATCAGTCAACGAAAATTACTACCTCTTATAACTGTCTCTATTTAAAACAAGAGAAACATATACAAAAATATACCATTTCCTTTACTCACTTTTGTGATAGTTTTTAAGATGGCAAGGCGATCTGCAGGGGGCGGTAAACCCACAAACAGTGTTTTGTCCAGGCGGCCCGGGCGCAGGATTGCAGGGTCAATTATATCTAGAGAAGAAGGGAGAAAAAAAGTCTTAAATAAAACCTTTTATTTTTATTTTTTTATTTTTTTGAGAGAGGGTCTTGTTCCATCTCCCAGGCTGGAGTGCAGTGGCATGATCTCAGCTCACTGCAGCCTCGACCTCCCAGGCTCAGATGATTCTCCCACCTCAGCCTCCTGAGTAGCTAAGACTATAGATGCATGCTATCATGCCTGGCTAATTTTTTTTCTTTTACTTACTTTAATTAATTAATTAATTTTTATTTCAATAGGTTTTTGGGGAACAGGTGGTGTCTGGTTACATGAGTAAGTTATTTGGTGGTGATTTCTGAGATTTTGGTGCACCCATCACTGGAGCAGCATATACTGTACCCAGTGTGCAGTCTTTTATCCCTCAACCGCTCCCACTCTTTCCCTCGAGTCCACAAAAGTCCACTGTATCATTCTTATGCTTTGTGTCCTCATAGCTTAGCTCCCACTTATGAGTGAGCACATAAGATGTTTGGCTGGTTAATTTTTTATTTTTAGTAGAGACAGGATTTCGCTATGTTGCCCAGGCTAGTCTTGAACTCCCGAGTGCAAGCAATCCGCCCTTCTCGGCCTCCCAAAGTGCTGGGATTACAGACGTGAGCCACTGTGCTCAGACCAAATAAATAAAATCTTTTAAAAAATGCAATTAACGGCTGGGCGCGGGGGCTCACACCTGTAATCCCAGCACTTTGGGAGGCCAAGGCAGGCAGATTACCTGAGGTCAGGAGTTCGAGACCAGCCTGGCTAATATGGTGAAACCCCGTCTCTGCTAAAAATACAAAAATTAGCCAGGTGTGATGGCACACACCTGTAATCCCACCTACTCGGGAGGCTGAGGCAGGAAAATTGCTTGAGCCTGGGAGATGGAGGTTGCAGTGAGCTGAGATCGTGCCACTGCACTTCAGCCTGGCCAACAGAGTGATACTGTCTCAAAAAAAAAAAAAAAAAAAAAGCAATTAACATGAGATGAGAATAACCTCTTTATAAAAAATAAAAAATTAATAAATTGCATTTTATTTAAATGAAAAGCTTCTGCTCATCAAAATACATCTCTTCGGCTATGCATGGTGGCAGATCACCTGAGGTCAGGAGTTTGAAACCAGCCTGGCCAACATGGTGAAACCCTGTGCCTACTAAAAAAAACAAAACATTAGCTGGGTGTGGTGGTCCACACCTGTAATCCCAGCTACTTGTGAGGTTGAGGCAGAAGAATCACTTGAACCTGGGAGGCGGAGGCTGCAATGAGCGGAGATCGTGCCACTGCACTCCAGCCTGGGCGACAGAGCAAGACTCTTGTCTCAAAAACAATAACAAAAAAACAAAACATGTCCTTAAGTAAATGAAAAGTCCACCCCACCTTCCGGCCCCAAACTGCTCTTCTTCCAGGATTCCCTATCTCAGATAATGATCACCACACCACTCCACCCCACCCTACCTCCCAAATACCAGGCAGGTTTCTCCCTTCCCTCTAACCAATTTCCATCAAGCATTCCTCTGATTACGTCAACCCTCAGTAAAGGCAAAATGTGAGTCCTCCTAAATGGTCCTGCCTCTAGACTTCCTCTCTCTGGGCCTCTTTACAATGCCGCTAGTGTTATTGTCCTAAAATACACGTCCAATTCTCTCAAATTCCGCTCCCACTGCAGAATGAATCCTCCAGCTGTCACTATGGCAGGAAATCCCTTTAGGATCTGACCATCTTCCTTTCTGGTTTTATTCTTCCTACACATTCTTCCAACTCCCACGCCCTGTTTACACCAGATGTCTTGCTGTTCCCTAAACAATCCAGAAGCTTCTTGCCTTCTCTGTGCTCTCAGTGGTTCCCTTCCCTGAAGTGCCTCCCTCCTCATTTATACCTGTGGGAATTCTCAAAGGACACCTCTTTCAGGAAGTTTTCCTTGAGTCCCCCCAGATAAACTCTCTCACCTTCCTTTGTGCTTGCCAGACCCTTGGTATCAGGAGCACAGAGCAAGCCCCATACCTGAAGCTCATTTTGACCATTCCTGACTCCTCCACAAAGACCCCATTTTTAATAAAATCACATCATTTCCAACAGTCCCTTAACCATTAATATGAGGGTTCTTATAGCTCACAATGTTCAGACACAGGCTATAATTAATGAGATTCACGTTTCTAATAAACCTACTAAGACTTAACCAATGAGTTACTCCTCTACAAAGAGGTAAATTATTATTATTCCCTTTTTAGCTAAAATTCCAAACCTGTTAGATGTTGTTCTTTAACCACCTTATGGAACCCATATACTTATTATTCAATGGTTTCATCACTATTCAGCACATTGTTGGAATTCTCTCTTGGAATGCTAGGATTCCATACTTGGAAATAGGAAAGAATATTACTGCATAACACTTTCAATATCATACTAGAGCATGGTTCAACAAGCCTAAGGGTCTTCTGACTCTACAGAGCAGAGGTTGTCAAATATTCATGTCTCAGAATCCCTTTGCACTCTTAAAAATTATTGAGGACTCCTTTGTAACCTTTCTCTCCTGCCCTTACCTGCTCTCCTTTATCCTTAGGCAGCCACCTATCTGTTTTGGCACTATAGATTAGTTTGCATTTTCTAAAGTTTTATGTAAGTGGAATTATACAATATGTACTGTGCTTTCTTTCATGCAACATAATCATTTTGGGTTTCACCCAAGTTGTTTCATGTGTCAGTAATTTTCTTGTACAAGTCTTTGTATATGCTTTTTTTTTTAATGACAGAGTCTCACTCTGTCACCCAGGCTAGAGTGCAGTGGGGCGATCTCGGCTCATTGCAACCTCTGCCTCCTGGGTTCAAGCAGTTCTCTGCATCAGCCTCCCAAGTAGCTGAGATTACAAGTGTGCCCCCCTGCCCCCCACGCCCGGCTAAGTTTTCTATTTTTAGTAGAGACAGGGTTTCACCATCTTGGCCAGGCTGGTCTTGAGCTCCTGACCTCATGATCCACCCGCCTTAGCCTCCCGAAGTGCTGGGATTACAGGCCTGAGCCACGGCTCCCAGGCTGTATATGCTTTCATTTCTCTTCAGTAAATTACCTAAGTGTAAGATACCAGTAGTATGGCCATATCAAACTGTAGGTATATGCTTAACTTTTAAGAAATTGCTGGCCGGGTGGAGTGGCTCACGCCTGTAATCCCAGCACTTTGGGAGGCTGAGGCGGGAGGATCACAAGGTCAAGAGATTGAGACCATCCTGGCCAACATGGTGAAACCCCGTCTCTACTAAAAATACAAAAATTAGCTAGGCGTGGTGGCACATGCCTGTAATCTCAGCTATTCAGGAGGCTGAGGCAGGAGAATCACTTGAACTCAGGAGGCGGAGGTTGCAGTGAGCCGAGATCAGGCCACTGCACTCCAGCCTTGGGACAGAGCAAGGCTCGGTCTCAAAAAAAAAAAAAAAAAGAAAAGAAAAAAAGAAATTGCCAAACTGTTTTCCAAACTACTTGTACCATTACATTCCCATCATCAGTGCATGAAAGTTCCAGTTCCTCCATATCCTTGCCAACATTTGGCACAGCCAGTCTTTTCAATCTTTTAGTTATTCTAAGGTTTGTAGTGCTTACTGTGGCTTTAATTTGCATTTCCCTAGTGACTAATGGTGTGAAGCATTTTTCATGAGTTTGCCATTTGTACACCTCCTATGGTGAAGTAACTGTACAAATCTTTTGGCCATTTTTATGTTTAAAGTTGATTAAATAATTTTGTAAACTGACAAAGAAAAATGGTATATATTTAGGTTGTACAACATGTTTTTTTTTGTTTTGAGATGGAGTCTCACTCTGTCGCCCAGGCTGGAGTGCAGTGGCATGATCTCAGCTCACTGCAACCTCTGCCTCCCGGGTTCAAGTTCATTCTCCTGCCTCAGCCTCCTGAGCAGCTGGGATTACAGGTGACCACCACCATGCCCGGCTAACTTTTGTATTTTTAGTAGAGACGGGGTTTCACCATATTGGTCAGGCTGGTCTCGAACTCCTGACCTCGTGATCCACCTGCCTTGGCCTCCCAAAGTGCTAGGATTACAGGCATGAGCCACAGTGCCTGGCATTTTTTTTTTTTTTTTTTTGAGATGGAGTTTTGCTCTTGTTGCCCAGGCTGGAGTGCAATGGCGCAATCTCAGCTCACCGCAACCTCTACCTCCTGGATTCAAGTGATTCTCCTGCGTCAGCCTCCCAAGTAGCTGGGATTACAGGCATGCACCACCATGCCCGGCTAATTTGTTTTTTTTGTTTTTTTTTTTTTTGTATTTTTAGTAGAAACAGGGTTTCTCCATGTTGGTCAGGCTGGTCTCGAACTCCCAACCTCAGGTGATCTGCTCATCTCGGCCTCCCAAAGTGGTGGGATTACAGGCGTGAGCCACTGTGCCTGGCCAACATGTGTTTTTAAAATGTGTATACATTGTGGAATGGCCAAGTTGAGACAACTGACACAGGCATTACCTCATATTCTTATTACTTTTTTTGTGGTAGATCACTTAAAATCTACTTTCTTGGCAATTTTCAAGTACCTTTTGGCTACTTTTAAAATGGTGTAGTTTTTTTTTTTTTTTTTTGAGACGGAGTCTCTGTCGCCAGGCTGGAGTACAGTGGCATGACCTTGGCTCACTGAAACCTCAACTCCCAGGTTCAAGCGATTCTCCTGCCTCAGCCTCCCAAGTAGCTGGGATTCCAGGCATGCACCACCACACTCAGCTACTTTTTGTATTTTTGGTAGAGACGGGATTTCACCATGTTGGCTAGGATGGTCTCGATCTCCTGACCTCATGATCCGTCTGCCTCGGTTCCCAAAGTGCTGGGATTACAGGCATGAGCCAATGTGCCTGGCCCAAAATGGTGTAGGTTTTTTTTTTTTTTTTTTTTTTCCTGAGACAGGGTCTCGCTCTGCCGTCCAGGCTGGAATGCAGTGGTGCGATCTTGGCTCACGGCAAGCTCCACCTCCCTGGTTCTCGCCATTCTCCTGCCTCAGCCTCCAGAGTAGCTGGGACTTACAGGTGCCCACCACCATGCTCAGCTAATTTCTTTTGTATTTTTAGTAGAGACGGAGTTTCACCATGTTAGCCAGGTTGGTCTCGATCTCCTGACCTTGTGATCCGCCCACCTGGGCCTCCCAAAGTGCTGGGATTACAGGCGTGAGCCACCGCGCCTGGCCTAAAATGGTGTAGTTTTTAATCCTTTATCAGATATATGCTTTGCAAATATTTTCTCCTAGTCTGTGGTTTATCTTTATATTCTCTTATTTGCATTTTTGTAAGAGACTGGGTCTCACTACACTGCCCAGGCTGGCCTCGAAGTGCTGAGCTCAAAGGATCCTCCCACCTCAGTCTCCTGAGTAGCTGGGTTTACAGGCGTGTACCACTGTACCTGGCTTATTGGCACTTTTGAAGAGCAGTTCAGTTTATCTATTTGCTCTTTTATGGTTTACGCTTTTAATATCATATAGGAAATCTTTGCTTAATTCAAGGTAGAAAAAAATTTCTCCAGTGTTTTCTTCCAAGAGTTTTATAATGTTGTTTTCAATGGTCTTTGATTCATTTTGAGTTATTTTTTGTATGTGGTAAAAGGTATGAATTAAGGTTCAATTTTTCTTTTTGCATATGGATATTCAGTTGCTCCAGTACCATTGTTGAAAAGACTATACATTCTCCACTGCATTGCCTTTGTGCTTTTTAAATACATCAACTATCTAGATATGCATAGGAATATTTCTGGATTTTTTTTCTGTTCCTTTTATTTATCTGTCTCAGCTCTATGCCAATTACCATGCCGTTGAAACATCTTTTAATTTAAACATATAAATACATGCCAGGCATGGTGGCTCATGCCTGTAATCCCAGCACTTTGGGAGGCTGAGGCGGGTGGATCACTTGAGGTCAGGAGTTCGAGACCAGCTTGGCCAACATGGTGAAACTCCATAACTACTGAAAATAAAAAAATTAGCTGAGCATGGTGTTGCATGCCTGCAATCCCAGCTACTCGGGAGGCTAAGGCAGGAGAATCGCTTGAACCTGGGAAGCGGAGGTTGCAGTGAGCCAAGATCGTGCTACTGCACTCCAGCCTGGGCAACAGGGTGAGGCTCCATCTAAAAAAAAAAAAAAAAAAAAAAAACCCACAGAAAACTCCCCACAAAACACATCTTAAAGCCAGTTCTACATGCCCCAAGGTAAAGGGGAATACTGATGATAATTATAAAGCATTCTTAGTTTGGGAGTCCTATAATCACTTAACATCTCTGACAAATATCACACTTAATATTATGCAGTTTATTATTTTAATAAGTTATTTACAGTAAAAGGCATTCTGGACACTTTATATAAATTTTAGTATTAGATGACTTAAACTACACTTCACTAAAGGCTCCTGCAAGATTCTATGTATTACATCATTAGAAATGAGATGCTAATCTCTTCCTAGCTCTTCCCTAAACAGGCCCCTACCATTGTCTTTCCCGTCTTAGTTAATGTGAACTCATTCTCCCGGTTTTTCAGGCCCAGACCTTGGAGCCATGCTTGATTCCACTTTCCCACATCCTTAACTACTCCATTAGCAAATCAGGTCAACCCTATGACACAATATATTCAGATTCCTTCTACATCCACAGCTATCACCCGGCTCAAACCACCACCACCTTGCACCTGCATTATTCTTACAGCTTCCCAACTGGTTCCCTATCTAATTATGTCAGAGACAGAATTCTTTTTTTTTCCTTTTGCCCTCTCAACCCAGCTTTTCCCAACTTTGGGAAATCTGGGAAGAGAAAGCCTAAGAGACAGAATTCTTAGGTAGAAGACAAAAAATAACAATTCTGATATTTACAATAAAAATGGCACTAACAATCCCAGCACTTTAAAGAGAAAGTGCATTCACTCACAAATGAGATGGTTGCCTGAAAAAGAACCCTCCTTTCATCTGTTGATAAGCAGCACCTACTGTTCTTTATAAAGCACCTACCTCCCCTCAAAAAAGCTATTACAGCTTGCCATGGGTAAAAAACATTAATTAAAAAAGAAAAAAAAAGTTAAAATTGAGAGGTAACAGTAGCAACTTTTAACTTTAGGAAAACATTATTTTGTTATAAATGGACCCTCAATTTTTAACAAAGGTAACAAGACAATTCAATGGGGGACTAATTAATCTTTGCAACAAAGGTGCTAGGACAAGTGGTTTTTTGTTTGTCTGTTTGTTTGTTTGTTTGTTTCTTTTTTTGGAGACAGGGTCTCACTCTGTAGCGCAGGCTGGAGTGCAGTGGTGTATCATAGCTCACTGCAGCCTTGATCTCCGGGACTCAAGCAATCCTCCCGCCATAGCCTCCCAAGTAGCTAAGACTACAGGCATGCACCACCATGCCCATTTAATTTTGTTTTGTTTTTGTGTATTTTTTGTAGAGATGAGGTCTCACTATGTTGCCCAGGCTGGTCTTGAACTCCTGAGCTCAAACAATCCTCCCATGTTGGCCTCCCAAAGTGCTGGGATTACAGGCATGAGTCACTGCACTGGGCCCGACAAGGGATATTGACACTCAAAAGAATCAATTTGCACACTTTCCTCACAACACGCAACAAATTAACTCAAAATGGATCAAAGACCTAAATGTAAGAGCTAAAATTTTATGAGAAGAAAATGCAGGAGTTAATTTTAGTGACCTTCGGTTAGGCAATGATTTTTACACCATTGATAACACCATCAAAATTGCAAGCGGTAAAAGACAAACACATAAATTGGAATTTATCAAAATTAAAAACTTGTGTTTCAAATGACATCAAAAAAGTGAATAGACAACCCACAGATTGGTGAAAACATATGTAGATCACATATCTGATTTTAGATTTGTATCTAGAACAAAGAACTCTTACTACTCAATGACAAGGCAAATAACCTAATTGAAAAATGACCAGACATATCTCCAAAGAAGACATACAAATGACCAACAAGCACAATAAAAGATGCTCAACACTATCAGTTATCAGGGAAATGCAAATCAAATCAGAATGAAATACCACCTCACATCCACTAGAATAACTATAATAAAAAAAGACAATAACAGGTATTAGTAAGAATGTGAATAAATCAGAACTGTCATATATTTTAATGTCAAAATTACTAGTGGGAATATAAAAATGATGCAGCCACTTTGGAAAAGAGTTTAGCAGTTTCTCAAAATGTTAAACAGGGAGTTACCATATGATCCAGCAATTCCACTCCTAGGTATAGACCCAGGAGAAATTAAAACATATGTCCATACAAAAATGCATACATGAATGTTCATAGCAGCATTATTCATAATAGCCAAAAAACAGAAACAGCCCAGATGTCCAACTGGTGAATACACAAAATGTGGTATATCCATACAACGGGATATTATTTCATAATAAAAAGGAATGGAGTATTGATACATTCTATAATATGAATAAATCTTGAAAACATTATGCTAAAGAAGCCAGATTTAAGAGCCCTCATATTGTATAATGCTATTTACATAAAATATCCAGAATAGACAAATTTATATAGACAGAAAGTAGATGATGGCCAGTAGCGACACATGCCTAAAACCTCAGTACTTTGAGAGGCCAAGGCAGGGGGCATGCTGCAGGCCAGGAGTGCGAGACCAACCTGGTTAACATGAGACCCTGTCTCTACATTAAAAAAAAAAAAAAAAAAAAAAAAGGAAAGTAGATTAGTGGTTGCCTAAGGCTGGAGATGAGAAAAGGAAAACTGAATGCTAACAGGCATGAGATTTTTTAAGGGTGATGAACATTTTTTTTTTTTTGAGATAGGGTCTCACTCTGTTGCCCAAGCTGGAGTGTAGTGGCACAATCTCGGCTCACTGCAACCTCTGCCTTCTAGGTTCAAGCGATTCTCCTGCCTCAGCCTCCTAAGTAGCTGGGACTCTAGGTGCGCACCACCATGCCCTGCTAAATTTTGTATGTTTTTGGTAGAGACGAGGCTTCACTGTGTTGGCCAGGCTGGTCTCAAACTCCTGGCCTCAAGTGGTCCACTCGCCTCAGCCTCCCAAAGTGCTGGGATTACAGGCATGAGCCACACATGGCCCAGGTGATGCAAATATTCTAAGATTAGATTGTTGGGATGGCTGTAAAGCTATGTAAATATACTCAAAACCATTGAATGATATACTTAAAATGGGTAAATTTTACGATATGCCACTTACATCTCAGTAAAGCTTTTTAAAAAAATGAATCCTCAGACTAGCAACACTATAAATATATCCATTGAAAATAATTACAAGATCAGACAACCTTCATGAAATAGGTTTCTACTCATGATTCATTAAACAAATAATAATAATAAGAATGATGTTTTTTGTTTGTTTGTTTTGAGACAGAGTCTCCTTCTGTTGCCCAAGCTGGAGTGCAGTGGCACAATCTCCGCTCATTACAACTTTCACTTTCCAGGTTCAAGCAATTCTTGTGCCTCAGCCTCCCAAGTAGCTGGGATTACAGGTGTGTGCCACCATACCCAGCTAACTTTTTTTTTTTTTTTTTGTATTTTTAGTAGAGACGAGATTTTTGCCACGTTAACCCAGGTTGGTCTCAAACTCCTGGCCTCAAGTGATCTGCTCACCTCAGCCTCCCAAAGCGCTGGGATTACAGGCATGAGCCATCGCATCCAGCCGTAAACAAATAATTATTGAGCTCTACTACATATCATAGCATCTATAACTCAGCCAAAGTTCTGGCTGGGCATAACCTAATTTTAAAAGGGCAGTACTGTGCCAAAGGGCAAAACATACAGGGTTGACCATGGCACCAAGTCATTGTTCAATTACCTTCAAATGCATTCAACAATGACCCAAAGCATCCAGACTAGATGTGTAAGGAAACACTCTATTTAGCTTGGAACTTCAGTGGTAAATATCTTAGTACAATGAAATAAATACCTTCTCTGTGAGTCATCCACTCTTTCATCTGATAATTACTATTATTTTTTGAGACGGAGTCTTGCTCTGTCACCAGGCTGAAGTGCAGTGGCGCGATCACTACAACCTCCACCTCCCGAGTTCCAGCGATTCTCCTGCCTCAGTCTCCTGAGTAGCTGGGACTACAGGCACGCGCCACCATGGCCAGCTAATTTTTGTATTTTCAGTAGAGACGGGTTTCACCATGTTGGCCAGGATAGTCTCGATCTCCTAACCTCGTGATGTGTCTGCCTCAGCCTTCCAAAGTGCTGGGATTACAGGCATGAGCCAACACACCCAGCCTTCATCTGATAATTATTAAACGCTTAGAATGGGCAGAGCCTCTAACTAGAACCTATCTCTCAGATATAAAAGTGCAGAATGAATCCCTGCCCTGCAGAAGCTTGCACATCTAATCATAATTTGCTTATTTATTTCTTCTTTTCCTTTTTTTTTTTTTTTTTTTTGAGACAGGGTCTTGCTCTGTCATCCAGGCTGGAGTGCAGTGGTGCAATCATAGCTCACTGTGGCCTCAAACTTCTAGTTTCAAGTGATCCTCCTGCCTCAGCTTCCCAAGTAGCTGGGATTACAGGTACACACCAGTGCATCTGGCTAATTTTTATTTTTATTTTATATTTTTTGAGACAGAGTCTTGCTCTGTCACCCAGGCTGGAGTGCAGTGGCGTGATCTCGGCTCACTGCAACCTCTGCCTCCTGAGTTCAAGCGATTCTTCTGCCTCAGCCTCCCGAGTAGCTGGGACTATGGGCACGTGCTACCACGCCCAGCTGATTTTTTTATTTTTAGTAGAGACGGGGTTTCACCATGTTGGCCAGGCTGGTCTCGAACTCCTGACCTCATGATCTGCCCGCCTCGGCCTCCCGAAGTGTTGGGATTACAGGTGTGAGCCACTGCACCTGGCCTAATTTTTATTTTGTAGAGATGGGGTCTTGCTTTGTTGCCCAGGCTAATCTTGAACTCCTAGCCTTAAGAGATCCTCTTGCCTCAGCCTCCCAAAGTGCTGGGATTACAGGTGTGAGCCACCACACTTGGCCCTTATTTATTTTTTCAACTGAGCCATGCATAGAAGGCAGAAACTCTTTCTGGATTATACTACTGGTAGAAAATACGTAATTATTGAGTAGAAGAGAAAGTAATAAGATATTTGGGTTTCATAATTGTGCAGGAATATCTTTTTTAAACAGCTAGATAATAGATTAAGGGGGAACAGGTAGTTCCCTAACTGAGAACATCGTTTACTGGAGTTGGTATGTGAAAAAGAGAATGCAAAGATGTGCATAGGAGAGACTAAGGTTAGGGTACAAAGAACTGCATTTCCTCTGGTTAAGCAAAAGGAAGTTCGCTTATTTCCAGAAGAAGATGTGGACTTTGATATAGCACACATTAGAAGAGGGCTAGGGCTATGCACGGTGGTTCACACCTGTAATCCCAGCACATTGTGAGGCTGAGGTGGGAGGATCGCTTGAGCCCAGGAGTTTGAGACCAGCCTGGGCAACATAGTGAGACGTCATCTCTACAAAAAAGTTTTTTTTTTTTTTAATTAGCTGGGTGTAGTGGTGCGTGCCTGTAGTCCCAGCTACGTGAGAGGCTGAGGTGGGATGATCTCTTGAGCCTAGGAGGTTGAGGCTGCAGTGAGTGGTGATTGCACTACTGCACTCTAGCCTAGGCTATAGAGTGAGACCCTGTCTCAAAAATACAAATAAATAAATTAAATAAAAGAAGAGGGCTGTCCCAGTTCTTCAGAATAACCAAAGGTGGAATGGTGAGAGGACAGTATTTTCATTTACTTTCTAAGCATTAATACCTCAATAATTGGGAAAAAAATTAAAGGCAAGAAGATGAAAAATAAGAAAAAAGAGGACATTTAGGAGATCAGTCCAGGAGGGTTTAAGATCCAAGTGCTAAGCACACAAATTAAACAAACAAACAAAAAGTCACATAGAAGGAATGAGAATGACATGGAACCTTTAAAAGAAAAAAAGCAATGTCTATAAATTATGAAGAAAAATAATTTTAAACTCAAAATTATATCCCAGCTAGGTTACTAATCAAAATTAGGGTGGAATAAAGATATTTTTAAATATAAAAGAACTATGGGGGATGGTCTCACATTTGGAAAAACAAATCAAATATACAAGCAGTCAAAAAAATCTACTTCCTACATAATCTTTCTTAGAAAAGCCACTGAAAGATAAGTACCAGCAAAATGAGGGTGTAAGCAAGATAAAAAAAGTACACACAAAAAACCCATGAGATCAGAAAAAAAGGGCAAACAAAGGAGAACAGTCAAGGAAGTCCTGAAATAACAGCTGTTTAGACCACAGGCCTAAAGCAACCAGTCCAGATTAGAGCCAGGAAGGTGGAAAGCTCCAGAGGGAGGTCTCCAGAAACAAACAAACAAATGGAACTGGTACATCGTTTGAATAAATAACATCGACAGCTGTATAAAATATGTGATGAACAGTAACAGAAAACAAAGCAAAAGAAAAAAATGAGGGCCACTGAATCCAAGGACAAGAGTTATATGAGAAAGGAAACCTAATCAGTGTCATGCTTGGGTCAGCAGAGAGAAATAGTGACACAGCCATAGTAATGTAAACACTAGTGACTTAACCAAGAGTTCTGATCAAACTATATTACAATACTGGGAGAATGGGGAAGAGGACAGATGATGTGGCAGTGATGGTGGGAGTGGAGGGTATGGAGAAAGGGTGAACATAAGATAACTAAATCTTCATCTACCTTAAAATGAAGTTAATGGGCAGTGTTTAAAATTGATAAGAAATAGCCATAAGAGCATATTTGAAAATATGAAGGAAAAAAATAGCTCAAGTGGTTGCCTCTGGGCAGGGGATTAGAAGGGATGGGAGAGAAAACTACAGTTTTTGTTATAAGCTTTTCCTGCCATTTGATTTGAAACTGGGTCCCTCCCTCTATATGTCAAAATTACAACTGGAGATGAGATTTGGGTGGGGACACAGAGCCAAACCATATCACTCACCAAGGTTCAACTTTTGCACACATGTAGTTTTCTCGTAGGGCTGTTGTGAGGTTTACAATGGTAAAGCATCCAACAGAGGGCCTGGCACTTAGTAGGTGCTCCAAGAACCTAGTTGTTATTACTGGTGATTGTTTTAAATAATATGGACTTGTAAAGAAAATGAAATAAACTTATTTTCATCTCCTTGAACAGACATTTTAGAAAAGTTGGTCTTTTTCTAAAGTGTCCTTTTTCTCCAAGTGTCCCCTATCTCAGAAGTGGCAAAACATTTTACCCAGTATAGGTAAAACAATCTAACAATAAGAATAGCCCTTATTTATTTTCTTTCTCTTATCCCACATCTAATTCCAGAAAATCCTATTAGTTTTACTTTCAAAATGTGTCTCAAATTTTACCACTTCTTACTTCTCCCATTAAGCTCACACAAATTCTCCATGGACTGTAGATCTTCTGGCTCAGAGTATCTTTTGTGTCAAGGACTTCTTTGGAATACAGAAAGTTTATAGACTGCTTCTTAAACATTTTTCAATGTATAAAGTAAAAACATCAGAAAGATTACAAGGTGAAACCCCATCTCTACTAAAAATACAAAATTAGCCGGGTGTGGTGGCACATGCCTGTAATCCCAGCTACTCGGGAGGCTGAGGCAGGAGAATCACTTGAACCTGGGAGGCAGAAGTTGCGGTGAGCCGAGATCATGCCACTGCGCTCCAGTCTGGGCGACAGAGCAAGATTCCGTCTCAAAAACAAACAAACAAACAAACAAACTCCAAAAAGATTATAATTATTTGGCAGCCGGGTTGGGAGAGAGACCAAGGATTGTGAAGACATTGTGAGTAAAGAGGCCACTGTGGAAATGGATTCTCTGGTCCAGCCACTCCAGCTGATAGTACGTGGATCCAAGATGAACCACCCAGACAAGCCCATCCCAAATTCCTGACCTAAAAATTGTGAGCCAAATAAAAATGGTGATTTTTTTTTTTTTTTGTGAGATGGAGTCTCACTCTGTCGCCCAGGCTGGAATGCAGTGGTGCTATCTGGGCTCACTGCAACCTCCGCCTCCTGGGTTCAAGTGATTCTCCTTCCTGCCTCAGCCTCCTGAGTAGCCGGGATTGCAGGCGCCCACCACCACGCCCAATTAATTTTTGTATTATTAGTAGAGATGGAGCTTCACCATGTTGAGCAGGCTGGTCTTGAACTCTTTACCTCAAGTGATCCTTGGCTTCCCACAGTGCTGGGATTACAGGTGTGAGTCACTGCATCCAGCCACAAATGGTGATTTTAAAGCACTAAGCTTTACAGTAGTTTGTTATGCAGCAACGGCTAACCAGAACATCAAGCAAGAAGGGAATTCTTAAAGCTAAGCAGAGAAGTTATAAGCAATCAAAACAATGTCACGTGATAGTATACAATGGAGCAGAACTGCCAAATAAGCATGAAAACAAGTGAAGAAGATCTAGAACGTTTATTATTATTATTATTTTTTGAGACAGAGTCTCGCTTTGTCACTCAGGCTGGAGTGCAGTGGTGCAATCTCGGCTCACTGCAACCTCCGCTTCCCGGGTTCAAGTGATTCTCCTGCCTCAGCCTCAGCCTCGCAAGTAGCTGGGACTACAGGTGTGTGCCACCATGCCCGGCTAATCTTTTTTAATTTTTAGTAGAGACGGGGTTTCACCATGTTAGCTGATGGTCTCGATCTTCTAACCTTGTGATCCGCCGGCCTCGGCCTCCCAAAGTGTTGGGATTACAGGTGTGAGCCACCGTGCCCGGCCAGAACATTTATTTTTAAATGTAGGTCGTTAATGCAACAGATTTGTTACAGGGGAAAAAAGGATGGAAGAGTTTTAGGGGAAGACAATATACACACATAGGGAAAAAACAAAACACCGGTACCACATTATGATTCATCTGCCATTTCTGCCATTCTTAACACAGGTTTTAAAATAAACAGGCCAGGCGCAGTGGCTCATGCCTGTAATCCCAGCACTTTGGGAGGCCGAGGAAGGCAGATCCTCTGAGGTCAGGAGCCGAGACCAGGCTGGCCAGCATGGTGAAACCCTGTCTCTACTAAAAATACAAAAATTAGCTAGGCGTAGTGGCACGTGCCTGTAGTCCCAGCTACTTGGGAGGCTGAGGGAGAAGAAATCTTTGAACCCAGGAGGCAGAGGTTGCAAGGAGCTGAGATCACACCACTGCACTCCAGCCTGGGCAGTAGACCAAGACTCTGTCTCAAAATAAATAAATAAATAATAAAATAAAATAAACAAACTTAAAATATGGTGCGGGCTGTTAACGATAGAATAGGTTATTACAGGAAACGAAAGATTGATGCTGTGGTTTGAACGTATTCCCCAAATTTCACGTGTTGGAAACTTAATCCCCAATAAAACAGTGTTGAGATGTGGGACCTTTAAAAGGTGATTAGGTCATGAGGGCTCTGCCCTCATGAATGATGCTGGTTTCAAGAGAGTGGGTAAGTTATTACAGGAGTGGACTCTTGATAAAAGGATATGTTTCGCCACTCTCACTATTTTTTAAATAATAGAGACAAGGTCTCACTATGTTGCCCAGGCTGGTCTTAAACTCCCAAGCTCAAGCGATCCTCCTGTCTCAACCTCGTAAAGTGCTAGGATTACAGGCATAAGCCACCATGCCCAGCTTGGCCACTTTCTTTCTTTTTTAATGTCTACTCATTTGTTAACTATGTTTCTGTATGATGTTATTAATATACTGCACATATGACAAGTCATACATCAAAACCAGATAGTACAAACAATTAAACAGATAATAATTTTAGCATTTTCTGTCTCACCACTAACAGATATTAAGCCCATCCTTACTAATTTATGCTCCTCACTTTAAAAAGGATGATCATATACTGGAAAAAACTGGATCAATGTATTTCTTCAATGAGGCTTTTTTGAGAGAAACAGGGCCCTCATTTCCTACTCCCCAGGATCCCCCCTCTCTCTGCTTCTTTCTTCTCCAGACTTCCTCCAGTGAAACTAATCTTTTGCTATACAAAATGCTTTTTGGTAGGCTGAAGAAAACAGTTGTTTAGCTCAGGCAGTTGAGATAAATGTCCAAAGATAGGGTAAAATTAATTAAACTTTATTTGTCCACCTTTACTCATGGGACCATGGTTTCTTCCTGTCCAGGCCACTTTCCTTTTGCTCTCTCATGCATGCTCTTGTGCTCTTCTACCCTTTCGCCTTGGGGTGATGCAGCAAGAAGGCCCTTGACAGATGCAGGCCACTCAGCCTTGACCTTCCCAGCTTCCTGAACTAGAAGAACTGAATCTCTTTTCTTTTTAACACAAATTACCCAGTTTCAGGTATTCTGTTACAGCAAAACAAAACAGACTAAGACAAGCATCTTCTTGAAATATGTGAGAAAAGATCTGTATCTGCTTATGAAAGGGACGATGTGATTCTGTTCAACTCTGAGGGACTTTCTTCTAGGATGACTCTGTGATTTTATGACCTAATGACTGTTCCCACTACTATTACCAAACTGCTTATGAACATGATAACAATTACTAAATAGCTACGTGCTGTTTAACACCACTGTGGCAGATACATTACCAACATCATTTAACTTTTGTGGCAATCCTGCCAATTAAGTATTATCATCTTCATTTAAAAAGTGCCAAAATGATGGTCAGCAAGATAAAGTAATATAGTCCCAAGGTTACTATGGTATAATACAGAATATAACTGGTCTTTGCCCACCTTTCCTGGCATAGATCTTCAAAAATCCTTGCAATTTCCTGAGTGCCAGGAATATCTTTGTTGAGCTAATGTGGTGACGCATAGTGGCCCCACAGATAGCTTCGGGCAGGGGACTGATCACCAGAAAGATCAAGCATGTGATTAGAGTTGTAACTCCGAGCCATCTTCTGCACTTCTGTAGTCTTGAGCCCTTTTCTGAATCCCTCAAAGAATGCTTAACCTTGAAAACAATTTTCAGTAATTATTCAGGGCAGATATAGGGGCATGGCTCCAGCATAAAATCCTAAAAATCTATCTTTAACTTCTACTAGAGTGAAGAGTCTCGTTTTTGTTTCCTATAAGCTAGAGAGAAACCACAAAACACAAATTCTGAAAATACTTTTGTGGTCAAAAGTGTATGCTGGTCGGGTGCAGTGGCTCACGTCTGTAATCCTAGCACTTTGGGAGGCCGAGGTGGGCAGATCACCTGAGGTCAGGAGTTCAAGACCAGCCTGGCCAACATGGCGAAACCCCATCTCTACTAAAAATACAAAAAATAGCCGGGCATGGTGGCAGCACCTGTAATCCCAGCTACTCAGGAGGCTGAGGCAGGAGAATCACTTGAACTCAGGAGGCAGAGGTTGCAGTGAGCCAAGGTCATGCCACTGCATGCCAGCCTGGGTGACAGAGCGAGATTCTGTCTCAAAAAAAAAAAAAAAAAAAAGTGTATGCTGCAACTGTTCTCAGCCAAAAAGAGCTTTCTAAGCACCGACACAGAAAAGCAATCTCATGGGATCCAAGCAGTAATACTATACTTTTTACTATAGCTTATGCAAAAGCTTTCTAAGCCTTTATTTCAACTATGAAGTTTCCTTTCACAGAACCAAAAATGGATTGCCCAAATTTAATCTTCCTTTCCTAGGATGCATGTGAATTATATTGTTTATAAATGCTACTAGTTTTTACTTTTATTTTTAATTATCTGAATCTCTTCTACGGAAATGCTGTAAGTTTTTAGATTCATCTGTGTTACAATATTTTTATTTCTTACCTGGCCTGTTAGTGGCTGCCATAATAAAAACCTGCTGGCGTGCTTCCAGACCATCCATCTCTGTAAGTAGCTGATTCACCACTCGGACACTTGCCCCTGTCTAAAAAGACATAAATCTGGTTCCATCAGCTCTCAATACAAAGGAAAAATACCCATTTTCTTCCACATAAAAATAATACATTTCCCCATGCAAAGGAGATAACAATGATAATTTTCTGAGGCGTCACTATATGCAGACACTGTGCAAAATGTGTTCTCATCAGTGGACCTCCCCAGCAATCCTATTATTATCCAGTCTAAATGAGGAAAGTGAGGCTTAGAGGGATTATTTGTCCAAGTTCTCATCACTAGATAAAGGAAGAAATGAGACTCAATCTCAGGCTGAATGGATCCCAAGGTCTGATGTTTTCGAGTTACTCAAAGATCTAACCGTCACAATACACTTCCCTTGGGGCAAATCTACAGCTAGCTTTCGTTTCTTTGGTAGAGATGGGGTCTTGCTATGCTGTCCAGGCTGGTCGTGACCTCCTGGCCTCAAGCAATCCTCTTGCCTCAGCCTCCCAAAGTGCTGGGATTATAGGTGTGAGCCGCTGCACCCCACCAAGACTAAGCTTTTTTGTTTGTTTGTTTGTTTTGTTTTTTGAGATGAAGTTTCACTCTTGTTGCCCAGAATGGAGTACAATGGTGTGATCTTGGCTCACTGCAACCTCCATCTCCCAGGTTCAAGCAATTCTCCTGCCTCTGCCTCCCAAGTAGCTGGGATTACAGGCGTATGCCACGATGCCTGGCTAATTTTGTAATTTCAGTAGAGATGCGGTTTCACCACGTTGGTCAGGCTGGTCTTCAAACTCCTGACTTCAGGTGATCTGCCCACCTCGGCCTCCCAAAGTGCTGGGATTACAGGAGTGAGCCACTGCGCCCGGCCCTAGACTAAGCTTTTGAACCCCAAATTTCCCAGTATATCAGGTATTCTAGATCTCATTTTATTTTATTTTTAAAGCCAGTCAAATTTAACAGTGGGAGGTTGTATACCAACTTTGGTGAGACTAACTTTTTTTTTTTTTTTTTTTTTGAGACAGGGTTTTACTCTGTAGCCGAGGCTAGAGTGTACTGGTGTGATATCAGCTCACTGCAGCCTTCCCCTCCTGGGCTCAAGCAGTCCTCCGACCTCAGCCTCCCAAGTAGCTGGGATTACTGGTGTGTGTCACCACGCCTGGCTAATTTTCATATTTTTTCTAGAGATCCTGTTGCTATATTGCCCAGGCTAGTCTCGAACCCCTGAGCTCAACCAATCCTCCTGCCTTGGCCTCCCAAAGTGCTGGGATTACAGGCTTGTGCCACTGCACCTGGACGACACTAATGTTAATAAGTTCTGATAACCCACCACCATTAGACATTAGACCAGCCAGGTGTTCCAGATCTTTTTAGTGCAACACATACAAGAGTATCTGGGACACTGAGGTATTTTCTCTTTTCCTTGAAGCAAATAATACAAAGTACAGCTACCTCAGCAATATCTAAGTGAAAGGAAACATTCAGGGAGTTGGTATAAATTCAGGGAGGGGGATAAATCACTTAGATACAGAAACAACAAAAAAGTTTTAAATGAAGGAAATGAGAAAAGTGGTGCTGTGTTTTTGGTCATTAATTGCTTTTCTTCACCATAAATTTTATGTACAGAGGTGGTAATGGGCTTACCTCATTTCTTTCTTTCTTTTTTCTTTTTTTTTTTGAGACAGGGGTCTTGTTCTGTCACCCAGGCTGGAAGTACAGTGGTGAGATCTCAGCTTACTGCAACCTCTGCCTTCTAGGCTCAAGCAATCCTCCTACCTCAGTCTCCCAAGTGGCTGGGACTACAGGTATGCACCACCACACCTGGCTAATTTTTCTCTCTTTTTCTTTCTTTTTTTTTTTTTTGTAGAGCCGGGATTTCACCATGTTGCCCTTGCTGGTCTTGAACTCCTGGACTCAAGCAATCTGCCCACCTCGGCTGCCCAAACTGCTGGGATTACAGGTATGAACTACCGCGCCCAGCTTACCCCACTGATTTCTCTAGAAAAAAAAAAATTGGTGCTCCTTATTATCACTCCTTGGTAACATAACACTAACAGAATCATAATCCATACTCAAAAATATAAGGAAGTAATGGGTAAAAAACATTTTTTCTACATAAGCAAGACAAACTCAGAGTCAATACAAGAATGACTGATAGATTTTGCTGCATTAAAGCCATAATATTCTGGCCGGGCATTGTGGCTCACACCTGTAATCCCAGCACTTTGGGAGGCCGAGACATGTGAATCACCTGAGGTCAGGAGTGCAAGACCAGCCTGGCCAACATGGCAAAACCCCATCTCTACTAAAAATACAAAAAATTAGCTGGGCATGGTGGTGGGAACCTGTAATCCCAGCTGCACGGGAAGCTGAGGCAGAAGAATTGCTTGAACCCGGGAGGCGGAGGCTGCAGTAAGCCAAGATTGCATCATTGCATTCCAGCCTGGGCGACGGAGTGAGACTCTCAAAACAGAAAACAAACAAACAAACAAACAAAACCTATAATATTCTATATAATAAAATTAAATATAAGTCATAAGACTGGGAAAAATAGTGTCAACACATAATTAAATAAAAGACTACTTTCCATCATAGAGTACCAATTAATGTAAAAAAAGAAAAAGACAGCAATAGCAAAAGGGTTGAAAGATAAGATCAAATAATTTCAAATCACTGGAGATAGTCAACCTCATGGTAATCAGGGACATGTATACTAAAATGTAATATGATTTGCCAATAAAACTGCCAAAAAATAAAAAGACAGGTATAATCCATTGTTGATAGGAAATGGTTATTTTCACACACTGTTGGTGGGCACATGTAACTGACAGTTTTTGTGAAGGATGATACAGCATTATTTTTCAAAATCTAATATATATCAATCTTCAACCCTGATTTTCACTTCCAAAAATCTATCTCATATAGTCCCATCACAGGTGCACAAAAATACGTGAAACAAGTTCAGCAGAGTTCTATTTACAACTGGAAACAATCTAAATGTCCAAAACAGGAGAATTATTATGTAAATTCTGCTGTATCCAGACTATTATACAATATCTATTTTTAAGTTATTACGTACATGAGAAAGTCATCAAGACAGAATGACCACATTTATATAAAAAATAGAAGCCTAGGTCCAGGCATGATGTAATCCCAGCACTTTGGGAGGCTGAGGCAGGAGGATCGCTTGAGGCCAGAAGTTCAATACAAGCCTGGGCAACACAGCAAGATCCCACCTCTAAAAACAAAAACTTAGCTGGGTGTGGTGGTGCACACCCGTACTACTAGCTACTCAGGCAGCTGAGGTGGGATCATTTCTTGAGCCCAGGAGCTCAAGGCAGCAGGCAGTGAGCTACAATCACACCACTGCACTCCAGCCTGGGAGACAGGGTAAGACCCTGTCTCAAACAACAGCAACAACAACAAAACAGAAGCGTAAAATATAAATTTTTTTATGTTTCTGGAAAAAATTCTAGAATGATGCATACTAAATGACAACTATTAGCAGTCTCGTAATAACCTCCAAAAAGAGTAATACGGAGGAGAATGGAAAGAAATTTACTCTCTTTATACTTGTGTTTTATTTGAATTTTTCACAAATGTGTATTCATGTATAACTAGTGCAATTAAAAAAGAATACATTTGCCAGGCGCGGTGGCTCACGCCTGTAATCTCAACACTTTAGGAGGCCGAGGCGGGCAGATCACGAGGTCAGGAGTTCGAGACCAGTCTGGCCAACATAGTGAAACCCCATCTCTACTAAAAATACACAAAAAATTAGCCAGGCGTGGTGGTGTGCGCCTGTAATCCCAGCTACTCGGGAGGCTGAGGCAGGAGAATCGCATGAACCCAGGAGGCAGAGGTTGCAGTGAGCCGAGATTGCGCCACTGCACTCCAGCCTGGGCAACAGAACGAGACTCTGTCTCAAAAAAAACAGAATGCATTCAAATTTAAAATGTTTTTAGAGGCCAGGCATGGTGGCTCATGCCTGTAATCCTAGCACTTTGGAAGGCTGAGGCAGGTGGATCACCTGAGGTTAGAAGTTCGAGACCAGCCTGGCCAACATGGTGAAACCCTGTCTCTACTAAAAAAAAAAAAATACAAAAAATCAGCTGGGCATGGTGGCACACACCTGTAGTCCCAGCTACTCAGGAGGCTGAGGCACAAGAATCGCTTGAACCCAGGAGGCAGAAGTTGCGAAGAGCTGAGATCGCGCCACTGCACTCCAGCTTGAGTGAGAGTGAGACTCTGTTTTAAAAAAAAAAAAATCAAATAAAAAGAAACAAAAAATAAAAATAAAATGTTTTTAGAATCTGCTTTAGGTGAAAATGTTAGAAAAGCAAACTATAGCTGGGCGTAGTGGCTCACATCTGTAATGCCAGCACTTTGGGAGGCCAAGGCGAGTGGATCACCTGAGGTCAGGAGTTCAAGACCAGCCTGGCCAAAGTGGTAAAACCCCGTCTCTACTAAAAATACAAAATTAGCCAGGTGTGGTGGCACACATCTGTAGTCCCAGCTACTTGGGAGGCTGAGTCAGGAAAATCGCTTGAACCTGGGAGGCAGAGGCTGCAGTGAGCTGAGATTACACCACTGCACTCCAGCTTGGGTGACAGAGCAAGACTCTGTCTCAAAACAAACAAACAAAACAAAAAACAAAACACAACAGGCCGTGCGCGGTGGCTCATGCCTGTAATCCCAGCACTTTGGGAGGCCGAGGCGGGCGGATCGCGAGGTCAGGAGATCGAGACCATCCCGACTAAAACGGTGAAACCCCGTCTCTACTAAAAATACAAAAAATTAGCCGGGCGTAGTGGCGGGCGCCTGTAGTCCCAGCTACTTGGGAGGCTGAGGCAGGAGAATGGCGTGAACCCGGGAGGCGGAGCTTGCAGTGAGCCGAGATCCCGCCACTGCACTCCAGCCTGGGCGACAGAGCGAGACTCCGTCTCAAAAAAAAACAAAAAAAACAAACAAACAAAAAAAAACACAACAAAAACACAAGAAAAGAAAACCATATATATCAGAGTATAGAAATGTATGGCAGTAGGCTGGGCGTGGTGGCTCACGCCTCTAATCCCAGTACTTTGGGAGGCCGAGGATGGTGGATCACTTGAGACCAAGAGTTCGAGACCAGCCCGGCCATCATGGTGAAACCCCATCTCTACTGAAAATACAAATATTAGCTGGGCATGGTAGCAGGCGCCTGTAATCTCAGCTACTCGGGAGGCTGAGTCAGGAAAATCGCTTGAACCTGGGAGGCAGAGGTTGCAGTGAGCTGAGATAGTGCCATTGCACTCCAGCCTGGGTGACAGAGCAAGACTCTCTCTCAAAAGAAAAAAAAAAAAAGAAATGTACGGCAGTAGACATCCAAGAAACAGATAAGGCTGCTCTGCCTATGGAGCAGCCATTCTTTATTCCTTAAAAAAAAGAGAGAGATAAACCAGAAGTTAGACATGTACTTCATACGGCTACAGACTTCTTTGAGGGCAACAGTTGACAATGAACCTCTCCAAATTTAGATTTACCAGCTGACAGTAGAGAGCTTCAAACCAATTGAAGGGGCTATGGACAAATGAAGGGTTTATTCATGGCAAAAGAGAGAGAATAAAAAGGAAAGGAATAAAATCCAGAGCATGCTGTGCCCTAACCAGCTGGAGATAACAAAGTGCTGTGTTTTGCTCCATAGCCCACAGTAGACTTTGGAATATGACTGGGGAACCTGGGAAGGATCTCTGCCTCAGTCACTGACATCACTATCAAAGATAAGCCTGTAGTAAGAATCTTCTATGATGGTATCAATGACTAGGATGAAGAAACAAAACCGCTAAAATGTGAGTCACATTTATTTATTTATTTATTTATATTAGTCATCCTTTTTTGTGTGTGACTTTTGAATGTTTTCGGAGATTTTTAGCAAAATGAGGCATGTAATAATGTTTTATGACCTAACAACACACACACACACACACACACACCCATATTGAAAATAAATCACAAAAGATTTCCTAGGTTTCAGAAATGATGGTAAAACTCTGTCTCTACTAAAAACTACAAAAATTAGCCAGGTGCGGTGGCGGGCGCCTGTAATCCCAGCTGCTCGGGAGGCTGAGGCAGGAGAATCGCTTGAACCCGGGTGGCAGAGGTTGCAGTGAGCCGAGATCACACCACTGCACTCCAGCCTGGGAGAAAGAGTGAGACTCTGTTTCAACAACAACAACAAAAAGAAATGTAACCATTCCTTCAGTCATCTTACAAGAAATGTACTTGTGGCCAGGCATGGTGGCTCACCCATGTAATCCCAGCACTTTTTGGGAGGCTGAGGCGGATACATCACCTGAGGTCAGGAGTTCAAGACCAGCCTGACCAACATGAGGAAACCCTGTCTCTACTAAAAATACAAAAATTAGCCAGGCATGGTGGCGGGTGCCTGTAATCCCAGCTACTCAGGAGGCTGAGGGAGGAGAATCGCTTGAACCCAGGAGGCGGAAGTTGCAGTGAGCCGAGATGCACCATTGCACTCCAGCCTGGGAGACAAGAGCAAAACTCCGTCTCGAAAAAAATAAAAATAAAAATAAATAAAAATAGCAGTTGCTATCTGCTTCAAAAAGGTTATATATTTATTGTTTATGTTATGCTTCACTAAGCTTCAAATTGTTATACAATAGCACTCCTAATAACAACTGTTTCTGGTACTCCGTACTGAAATCTCTAAGGACTGTGACTCAGTGTGGCTGACACAAGTGGTATTCAGTGCAGATCAATTTTATATCTTCTCCAGATATAAAATGGGTGTTGGGTCTTTTTTTATCTTCATCATTTTAATGTCCTCACTTTAAGAGAAAAGGTTTTGGGTCTTAAAAGTTAATAACCTGACCCTATTTTGAGTGCATGATATCTTAAACTGTATGTTTTCCTGTCTCAAGAACCCATTTAGCTCAAGAATGTTGTAGGATTACAAGATTATAAGGCAAGCTATTTAAAACAATATCATTTCCATACTTACCTACTCATTTGTGTGAATTAGGATGACCTAAAGATTGTGCAACCAAAATAATGTACAGGAAAAAAACTGGATGCAGAGGCGGATACAGAATACAACTGCTATCTCTAGGATTTGATTTCAAATTACTAAGTGTCTTCATTAAGAGTCTCAATGCTCCCAAGGGATGACTTCATAAGAAATACCTGGCTTGGAACATAGAAAAGGTTTATTGTGCTAAAAGAATCTGAAAACCACTAGTCCATGATACTTACCTCTCGGTCTGATCTTCGAGGACATAAAGCATCCACTTCATCAAAGAATATCACACAGGGTGCTGAGTTCTTGGCTCGTTGAAAAACTTGTCGCACAGCACGTTCACTCTCACCAACATACTAAACATACACAGAAAGGAAATAAAATACCAACAGTTCAACTTTGTGGTTTGGGTCAAATGATACTAAACAGTTTTATGTGACATAAACTAGTTTTATGTGTCAAAGTCCAGAAAGTATCAGAATGAACCATATACAATTGCTGATATTTAACCATTTTTGACCTGTAATAGCCAACTGCATATAGTTCAACTTAATAAAATTAGCTACTATTTAAGCCTACTATAAATTTCCTTATTTATAAAATGAAGACTTAAGTGAAACGTAAGTTCTTCTCTAGCTCAAAAAAAATCACCAAAATTCAATTGCACTTTAGAACTAATCTTGTAAGCCTCGTGCATATAAAATATCCAGCAGTAATTTTCATTAATTCAACAGTATTTTACATACACACAAGTCAAATTACTGTTTTATTGTTATTTTTACACAAGTCGTCTTACTAAATAAAGGAATAACTATTTTGTCATACAGCATCAGAGGAGGCAAAGTGAGCCAACTAGGCACTTAACAGGTTTCATAATGGCTTACTCTATGTTGAAATCTAAATCAAAATATAAAACATTAAGATAAGTCAAGAAATATAGCAATTCACAAGCAACTATAACATTAGGACTAAGTAATATGAAAAGCTACATGTAAGGATTATTTCACTTTTAGCTTAGGCATAAGAAATTTTTCTTGTAAAATGTCAAACCAGATGATTAAGAAAGAGCAGTTTTTTTCTTAATGAAACTGCCAAATAAGATGGAATCCAAAAACATCTTTACAGTGCCAATTATTATTATTATTTTTGTTTTAAGACAGGGTCTCTCTGTCAACCAGACAGGAGTGCAGTGGAGCCATCTCGGCTCACTGCAACCTCCACGCCCCCAGGCTCAAGTGATTCTCCTGCCTCAGCCTCCTGAGTAGCTAGGATTGCAGGCATACCACCACTACCACCTGGCTAATTTTTGTATTTTTAGTAGAGATGGGGTTTCACCATGTTGGCCAGGCTGGTCTCGAACTCCTGAACTCAAATATCCACCTGACTCAGCCTCCCAAAATACTGGGATTACAGGCATGAGCCACTGCCCCCGGCCTACAGTGCCAACTATTTCATATCACCTATGCTATTTAATGACTATATGGCCATACTAAATAATCAAGGCAAAGAGTACCACAGACGACAGAGATTAAAGTGCTATTTTTTCATTTGACTAGAACTTTCTTTCCCTCACATCCTTTTGGTACTTTTCTTTGAACTTTTGCTCATTCTGCTTCCCTTACTTGAACTGCTTTCTAACCTACCTCCAAACATTTCTTCTTGCATTCTAAAAGATCCTCATTAATCATTCTTCCCATAATAGTTAATTTGATTAAGTTGAACTATATGCAGTTGGCTATTACAGGTCAAAAATGGTTAAATATCAGCAATTGTATATGGCTTATCCTCATCCTGATACTTTCTGGACTTTGACACATAAAACTAGTTTTATGACACATAAAACTAGTTTTATGACACATAAAACTAGTTTTATGACACATAAAACTAGTTTTATGACACATAAAACTGTTTTACTATCATTTGACCGAAACCAAACCCAAAGTATTTCTTTGCTCTTAAAGTACTTTGTATTATTATAATATTTGAGCTCTTCTACCTTCACTATATTATATTACAAAGCCCTTGGAAAGCAGGGGTCCTATTCAGATATTCAGATTTTATCATTATTGTAACATTTGAGCTCTTCTACCCTCACTATATTATATTACAAAGTCCTTGGAAAGCAGGAGTCCTATTCAGATTTTTCTGTCATAACATCCTGCACAGTGTACAAATATAGCACACAGTGTGCAAATATAATAAACAGTGTACAAATATAGTAGACTTTCCTGGAAAATCGAATTCAGCAAAAACTATACTTGCAATGCTGAAGCAAAATATTCAGTACTATTGTAAAAGAAGGCATATCAGGGGGCTGGGAGACATAAAGTTTCAGATAGGAATAGAAGAGAACAATCAATACCGTTGGCAAAGTGACTTTGGAAATGGTAAACCAAGGTAGCTAGGTAAAAGGAAATTTAATTTAGGGAAAGGTAAACCTAAAGTTTCAACGAGGACATATTAAAACCTACTTAATCTTAACAAGGCAACAGTGATTAAAAATAAGTAAATAAATGAAAAGCCCATCTTATCCTTTATTTGAAACATATGCAACATTTCAAGTAAAGATCCTACATTTATTATCTCAAAATCTTTATTGGCCATCAAATTTTCAACCATTTTATTCTGGCTTTTGCAAACATCATTATTAAACATATTTTCCCTAAAGCCACCAATGACCTTCTAATTACCAAATCCCAAGTCCCACTCTCACTATCTTTTATACTGTTTAGTCACACTGACAAGGTTGAAAAACTCATCTTCCCTTGGTTTTCAGGCTTAGAAGGTCCGGGGTGTTCTCCATCTTATGACCAAGCACTTTCGGTCTCCTTTACCAGATCTTGCTTCTTTATCCCTTAATTGTTCGAATCTTTCAGGGTTCTGTCAGAGGCCCTTAATGTAACTGTTCTTTTACTTAACAAACTTGTCCTACCAGACTGAACCCATTCCCATGGTTTTAGATGCCACTTGGATGATAGTGACTTTCAAATCTCTTCAGAGCTTCAGATTCACATTTCCTACTGCCTGCTGGACATCTCCAGATGGCTGTTTAATCTAAAATGTCCTAGAGTGAACTCATTTTCCAATCCCAAGATGCCCATCTTCCTCATTAGATCATCTAATCTTTTTTTTTTTTTTTTTTTTTTTGAGGCGGAGTCTCACTGTGTCGCCCAGGCTGGAGTGCAGTGGCGTGATCTCTGCTCACCGTTAACCTCCACCTCCTGAGTTCAAACAATTCTCCTGCCTCAGCTTCCTGAGTAGCTGGGATTACAGACACCCACCACCATGCCTGGCTAATTTTTTTGTATTTTTACAATGGGGTTTCACCACATTGGCCACACTGGTCTTAAATTCTTGACCTCAAGTGATCTGCCCACCTTGGCCTCCCAAAGTGCAGGGATTATAGGCGTGAGCCACCGCACCCAGCCCAGATCATCTAATCTTTCAGAGACATTCTGCACTCTTCCATAGACCTCTTCCCCCTACCCACCCGTTAAAAACAAATCAGACCACAATGAGGCAAAATGTCATATTTACCAGACTGGCAAAAATGAAAATATCAGACACCAACACTGCTGTTGAGAATGTGGGACAATCTGATACAATCACTTTATAAAAATAGTTAGCAATATCCAATTTTTTTTTTTTGAGACAGGATGTTGCTCTGTTGCCTAGGCTGGAGAGCAGTGGCGTGATCATAGCTCACTGCAGCCTCGACCTCTCAGGCTCACGTGATCCTCCCACCTCAGCCTCCCAAGGAGATGGGACTACAGGTGTGCATCTGGCTAATTTTATGGGGTTTTTTTGTAGAGACAGGGTCTCACTATGTTGCCCATGCTGGTCTCAAACTGGCCTCAAGCAATCCTCCTGCCTTGACCTCTCAAAGTGCTGGGATTATAGGTGTGAGCCACTGTGCCCAGCCAATACCTAATATTTTTGAAAGTGCACATACTCTAAGATTCAGCAATTCTCCTTCTGGGTATATACCCTAAGGGGAAAAAAATCTCACAAATATATGCAAAGATATACATATATAATATTCAACCTAAAAATTCATCAGAAAAAAAACTGATTTTTAAAGTATGGTTACATTCATTCAATGAAATGCCACACAAAAAGTTAATAAACTAAAAATACATCAACAGAGATAAGTATTATAAATAAATATTGAACAAAAATAACAACCAAGAATAGGTGTAGTCACTCACGCATGTAATCCTAGCATTTTGGGAGGCTGAGATAGGAGGATCACCTGAGGCCAGGAGTTTGAGACCAGCCTGGACAATACAGCAAAACCTCTACTTCCAGAGACCCTGTCTCTCTCTCAAAAAACAAAACAAAACAAAAACCAAAAAACTCAACCAAACCAAGTTGCAAAATAATACACACTATTTAAAGGGGTTTTTTGTTTGTTTTGCTTTATACCATGGAGAGTTTATAAGGAGAGTTCCAAACTTATAACTAAAGAGATATAACAGTTATAAACTTCAAATGTACCCATCACTGACCTTCAATTATTATCAACTCGATTAATGACCAGTCTTGCTTCATCTATACTCCTGGCCACTTTCCTTGTTTTATTGAAGAAAATCCTAGATGTCCTATTTTATTTATAAATATTTCAGTATCTCTAAAATATGATTTTAAAATGTCATATCACACTTAAAAATTAGTATTTCCTTAATATAAAATATTCAGTAAGCACTAACATTTCCAATTATCTCATAAACCTCATACTTGAAAAAAATTACATTAAAAATTTTTTTGGTAGAGACAGGGTCTTGGTATGCTGGTCTGTCTTAAATGCCTGGCCTCAAGTGATCCTCTTGCCTCAGCCTCCCAAAGTGCTGGGGATTACAGGTGTCGGCCACTGTGCCTGGCCTTATACTTCTGAAACATATAAAATAATACTATATATTGTTTAGGGATAAATATACACATAGTAAATATAGAAAGAAGTGCATGGAACTAATAAGCACCAAATTCAGCCTTGTGGTAAGTTCCATGGGAAAGAGAACAGGGAACATCATGAGGGAGGGTTTGCAAGAAGCTTTAAGTGTACTGCTGTTTTTTTTTGTTTTTTTTTTTTTTGCTGGGTGATAGATACATAGGGGTATATTATATTACTCTTTGGAATTCCTTATATGTGGAAATATTTTATAATAAAATTTTTATTAATTACAATCTTTAAAAATATGTTACACTCTTGACTTAAAGCCTCTATTAGCTCTCTGATATTCTGAAGTTAACATCCAAACTTTAGCTTGGTATAAAGGCCCTTCAATGTCTGGCTATAACCTTCTTTTCCAATCCCAGTTCCCACCAATGCCCTCTGCTTCAAGGTTCACATCTAATACCACCTCTGCTGGAAAATCAAAACCAAGTACAAGAAAAGTTACGAGGTATGTAAAAAGCCCATAGGAAATACTTAAGTATAACTCCCTTATTTTAGGGAGAAAGTAATACACAATAGGAAAGATTTAAAAATTGAGGTAGAGATAAATTTTAAAAACCTTTTAAAACAAATGTTACCCTCATTTCTTCTTTGTTGGAATATATCATAGAATGGCATTTTTACTTTTCACAGAGAGGGACAAAAAATAAATTCAAAGTGTCTTAAATTTGGATAATAAGTTTCTTAAATGCAGAAGGAAGATACAGCACTTGAGTGACTTCTATCTCCAGAAGTATTTTTATTTATTAATATGGAACTCATCTGAGCCACATGACAACTGGACAAAAAGTAGATCAGGAGTCAGACAACTCAGATTGAAATCTTTGCTCTACTGCTTCTAGCTGTGGGAAAATTCAGGCTCAGAGGTTAACAGACTTAATTGAGAAAGCATTTATACA
This sequence comes from Homo sapiens, assembly GCF_000001405.40. Lineage (NCBI taxonomy): Eukaryota > Metazoa > Chordata > Mammalia > Primates > Hominidae > Homo > Homo sapiens. Next base: position 224,280,956 of record NC_000001.11, read on the forward strand.
CCCAAAGTGGCAGAGCAGAGCAAAGCTCAGCCTCCTCACTCCTACAGCACTGATTTTAAATACCAAAATACCACAATTGCTGAAAGATCTGAGAACATTTTACCCCGTAATTTGCATGACCATTACTTTTTCTAATCTAAAATAATGGTTCTTGCTCAATAACTTACCATGTTTAGTAATTCGGGGCCCTTGACAGATATAAAATTTAGTCCGGACTCATTTGCAACAGCCTAGCAAGAGGAAACAAAAAGACACAAATAAGACCAATACACAGTAATAATAACAATAATAATGATGATGATGTGTGACAATGAAAGGACTCTGTGTGCGTGTGTGTGTGTGTGTGTGTGTGTGTGTGAGATTTAGATGGAGTCTTGCTCTGTCGCCCAGGATGAAGTGCAGTGGCGCGATCTCGGCTCACTGCAAACTCTGCCTCCCGGGTTGACGCCATTCTCCTGCCTCAGCCTCCCAAGTAGCTGGGACTACAGGCGCCCGCCACCACGCCCGGCTAATTTTTTATATTTTTAGTGGAGATGGGGTTTCACCATGTTAGCCAGGATGGTCTCAATCTCCTGACCTCGTGATCAGCCTGCCTCGGCCTGCCAAAGTGCTAGGATTACAGGCGTGAGCTACTGCGCCTAGCCCTTTTTGTGGTCTTAATTCTGTGTCTCCCTTTCTATATTAATAGTTACCTCTTTCTTATTAAAAGGAAAAAAGGGGTGGGTGCGGTGACTCGCCTGTAATCCTAGCACTTTGGGAGGCCGAGGCGGGTGGATCACCTGAGGTCAGGAGTTTGAGACCAGCCTGACCAATATGGTGAAACCCCATCTCTACTAAAAACACAAAAATTAGTCGGGCATGGTGGCATGTACCTATAGTCTCAGCTACTCGAGAGGCTGAGACAGGAGAATTGCTCGCACCCGGGAGGCAGAGGTTGCAGTGAGCCAAGATTGTGCCATAGCACTCCAGCCTGGGCGACAGAGCGAGACTCTGTCTCAAAAAAAAAAAAAAAGGAAAAAAGACAAATGGGAAAAGGGGAATGGATAAAGGGAAAATCAAAGGAAATAAACGTTAATGTGTTAACGTACAACTTTTTTTTTTAAATTTCACTTTAATTTTTTTTTTTTTTTGAGACAGAATCTTACTGTCGCCCAGGCTGCAGTGCAGTGATGAGATCACCACTCACTGCAGTCTTGACTTCCCAGGTTCAGGCAATCCTCTCACCTCAGCCTTCCGAGGAGCTGGGATTACAGGAGTATGCCACCACGCTCAGCTAATTTTTGTATTTTTTTGGTAGAGGCAGGGTTTTGCCACATTGCCCAGGCTGAAACCTACAACTTTCTAAGAATTACTAAGGCTATAAATCAAATGGAAATGACACAAAATATTTATGTGAACATTTGTTTACATAAACATGCTTATGTAAATATAAATACATTTATAGCCCTAGTTTGGAATTCCAGTGAAATGCTAGTCTCTGTACTCAAGAAATACCTCATGGGATGAAAGCATTCATTGATTTACAAATGAAAATTTAACATCAGTTATCAGTCTTTACGAAGAGTCAGTGTTGAGAAACTCATAGTTGTATGTGTAGAAGAGTCTAAGAATTACAATCTGAATGCAGAGGTGAAACCTGAATAAAATCAATCAGAACTTCAAAATGATCATGGAAGAGAGTTCTTTCCTATTCTTAGAACCTGGTATCTGAGCTCCCCATCTATGTTCCACTTACTCCTCAGCAACACCACTTGGATTGCACAAGCATTTCAAATCTACCACTTCTAAAACTGGACTCCCAATTCTTATTCTTCCAAACCTCTCCAACTCCAGTAACTGCATGCCCTGACTTTATGCTAGTTACATACTTAGTATGTGCAGGTGCCAAGAAAAATTGTATTATTTTGTTATCCTGAGTAAACAAAACAATCAAGATCAGCCAAATACCTAATTTTATATGTATCTCTAGGTTTCTAGGTTCTGACCTATAATTTGTTCCATGAGTTTATCCTAGGCCACACTTTGCCTCTGCCATTCAAGGACATTTTCTATTTCTGGATTCTTGGGCACATAGTCTTGCACCCCTTGGAGAACCTGATGAAAGGTGTTGTGAACACTCTTCCCCAGAAACAATACATATACACAATACATTGCCTGGGCTCATAGATTCAGTGAAGCTGTGAAGTCCATTCATGGAGTCCTAGGTAAGAGTCCCTGCTCCCAAAGGTCAGATGTAAGAAATCTGACTAAGGCCGGGCACGGTGGCTCATGCCTGTAATCCCAGCACTTTGGGAGGCTGACACGGGTGGATCACGAGGTCAGGAGATCGAGACCATCCTGGCTAATGCGGCAAAACCCCGTCTCTACTAAAAATACAAAAAATTAGCTGGGCATGGTGGCAGGCACCTGTAGTCCCAGCTACTCAGGAGGCTGAGGCAGGAGAATGGCGTGAACCCAGGAGGCGGAGCTTGCAGTGAGCCAAGGTTGTGCCACTGCACTCCAGCCTGGGTGACAGCAAGACTCCATCTCAAAAAAAGAAAGAAAGAAAGAAAGAAATCTGACTAAACAGAGTGGTCCTCAATTGTTGGCAGTTCAGTAGTGGGGAGAAGAAGAGGAGAAATGTAGATCTATGATGTTTTAGTACTATATATGCTTTTCAAGTTATCCAAGCTACCTCCTCTCTGCTGTGAACAGGACTACTCAAAGGCAGATGTAACTAATTAAATAATAAACACTATAGGACACACATGAAAGGGAAGTGCATTGACCTGGAGAATTCACACACCAGCATGCAGAACCTTCTTTCTGGCTATATTTTTCCAAAACTATTGTGAAAAAATTGTAGATCAATGACTGTGTTGTTCTCTTCTACCTCCATACCCAGCTCTCTGAAAGCAATGCCTTTTAAGAGTACTGAAAGCATTAAGCAAGGAAAATTAGTAGTATAAATAAAAGTAAGTTTTACACACAGCACTATGGATATTTGATATTTACTGAGGAGCTATAATTTGGTTGCTGTTGTACTTATTAAAAATGTTATTATTTCAATTTCTTACAATTCAAAATATTTTTAAAAGTTGATAAGGGTTAGTTATGGATGTAATATTATACAGACACTAAAAATGATGGATAACATACTTTACACATAGGGAAGACAGTTCTAATAAGCATAATTCCAATGGGGAAAAAAGCACAAAAAGACAGAAATTTGCCCACATAAAAATCAAACCAAAAAAGCTCAAGGTGTCAAACATGGTTACAGTCAAGATAAACTAATCAACATTTATAAATAACAAATCTTAATATATGAAGTGATATAAATAAGAAAGAAAATCACATGTATGCCATTAGAAAAATAGGAAAGGATATGAATAGACAATTCACAAAGAAATATAGCCAATAAACATACTTAAATAAAAAAAACTAGTTTTTTTTTTTGAGACAGAGTCTTACTCTGTTGCCTAAGCTGGCATGCAGTGGTGTGATCTTGGCTTACTGCAGCCTCTGCCTCTTTGGGTCAAGTGATTCTTGTGCCTCAGCCTCCCGAGTAGCTGGGATTACAGGCATGCACCACTACATCTGGCTAATTTTTGTAATTTACTTTAGTAGAGACAGGGTTTTACCATGTTGCCCAAGCTGGTCTTGAAATCATGGCCTCAAGTGATCCACCCGCCTCGGCCTCCCAAAGTGCTGGGGTTACAGGCATGAGCTACCATGCCTGGCCAAAAAAACACTAGTAATTTTTAAAATGCAAATTAAACTGTAAGACAGCATTTTTACCTATTAAATTGTCCACTATTAAGAGCAATGTTCATGGCCATCACTAGTTTAAGGTGTGGGAAAATTGATTCTCATACCCTATTGATAAAAAAGGTAAAAACTGGTGAAAACCTTTAGGAAGGCACTTTAATAATATGGCTCAAAAGCCTTAAAAACATACATTCCTTTGACTGGAAAATTATTTAGAAATGCATTCTAATATAATTATTAGTCAAGGTACAAAAATATAAGTGCAAGGCCATTTAAAGTAGTGTTGTTTCAATATGGGATCATTTCCATAAATTATAGAACATCTATCTTTATGGTAGAATATTATGCAGGCATTAAAAATATTGATGTGTATCAATATATACTGACGTGAAGATGTTCAGGAAATACAGCTAAGTGAGAAAAACATGTTTAAAAAAGCTTATATTTGTGGCTGGGGGTGGTGGCTCACGCCTGTAATCCCAGCACTTTGGGAGGCCGAGATGGGCGGATCATGAGGTCAGGAGTTCGAGACCAGCCTAACCAACATGGTGAAACCCCATCTCTACTAAAAATACAAAAATTAGCCGGGCGTGGTGGCGTATGCCTGTAACCCCAGCTACTCGGGAGGCTGAGGCAAGAGAATTGATTGAACTCGGGAGGCGGAAGTTGCAGTGAGCCAAGATCATGCCACTGTACTCCAGCCTGGGCGACAGAATGAGACTCCGTCTCAAAAATAATAAAATAAAATAAAAAAAGCTTATATTTGTAAACATGCATGTAAAAACTTAAAAGTTAGATATTACTTTGATATGTATGCATAGAAAAATATCTGAAGGATTGACAATGAAATGAAATAATAGTAGTAGGTGGCAGTGAGAGAATTACACACAATGCTTTTCCTTTTTGCTTATTTTTATTTTCTATTATGAAAAAACAATTTTAGAAAATAATTACAAGAAATATAGAGGAAAATACTTAAGTTATAAATAATAACAATACCAAAGCAGGAAACTAAGTCAAGTAAAAACTAAAACTATGGAATAATACTCACTAAAAAGCTAAAATGTAATACACAGAAAATATAATAATTGCATGTTAAAATTGATAGGATTATGGTTGATATAAACATTTTTCAATCATGTGCCTTTGTAATTTAAAAAAGTAGGAAACTTTAATGAAGAAAGTTGTCAGTTTTGCTAAAATAAACTTCTGATAAAAATTATGCATAAGACTTACCTCACTGTAATATTTAAAGTTAAGTTCATATTATCCTATCTGATACTAAGAAATAAATTACATGCAATTGAACTTATATGATACCTTCGCCAGCAGAGTCTTCCCACAGCCAGGAGGACCAGCAAGGAGGACCCCAGCTGGAGTCACCAATCCAAGAGCTTTGAACTGGTCTGGGTTGCGTACTGGTGCCTGGAAATAATGATACAAACGGCGATCCATTACATGTCCATTTTATACTGCAGGTTCAAATTATTTCCAGATACATATTTTATGGTTTTTTTTTTTTTTTGAGTCTCCCTCTGTCACCCAGCTAGAGTGCAGTGGTGCTATCTTGGCTCACTGCAACTTCTGCCTCCTGGGTTCAAGCAATCCTCCCACCTTAGCCTCGTGAGTAGCTGGGACTACAGGCACATGCCACCACGTCTGGCTAATTTTTGTATTTTTAGTAGAGTCGGGGTTTCACCATGTTGGCCAGGCTGGTCTTGAACTCCTGACCTCAGGTGATCCACCTGCCTCAGCCTCCCAAAGTGCTGGGATTACAGGCATGAGCCACTGCGCCCAGCTTCTCAGGCTTATTTTCAACATGACTGTGAGGCCTGAAGATACGAACAGTACCTGGTTTACCTGTTCATGCTCTGTGGTGATAAAGAGAAAAGTCCCTGCACTTGAGGAATTTATACTTGAACATAATGTCTAAGAACATTTTAGACATAATGATATAATATTTCAACAAATATGTTTTAGAAAACCATTTAAATTTCTAGGTTATAAAATGTTTAGACAATGGTCTCCTCTAAGAAATCAGATGCAGCAGTAACTTTTGCATAGTTAAAAGCCAGAGATATCTGTTGACTATAATCCCAGTGTATTTTCTCTTTCAGTAGTACATACCTCTAAATCGATCATATTTCCATTAATGAACCATGGAATGATGAGTAGAAAAGTAAAGTAAATAAAAATTAATCCAAAGTTTTATGTGCATTAAAATTGCCTTGATCCATAAGATCAAGTTCAGAAAGTCTTTGTCAAACAATTTGGTCTTAACTGAAACCTATAATTTTTTGTGGTTTAAACTCACTGCTACAGAAATGAAGCACAACCAAAAGGATCAGCATAAAATAGGTCTCAATGGAATATTATTCAGCCACAAAAATGAATGAAATCCTGTCATTTGCAGCAACATGGATGGAACTAGAGGTCATTATGTTAGTGAAATAAACTAGGCACAGAAAGGCAAATATTGCACATTCTCACTCATAGTGGGAGCTAATAAAGTGGATCTCATGGAGACAGAGAGCAAATTGATGGTTACCAGAGGCTGGGAAGGGAAGGTGGAGATGAGTATAATGAAGAGAAGTTGGTTAACGGGTAAAAAAAATAGTTAGATAGGAGTAATAAGTTCTGGTATTTGATAGCACGGTAGGGAAATTATATTTCAAAACAGCTAGAAGAAAAAAGTATATTTCAAAACAGCTAGAAGAAAAAAAGTATAATGTTCCCAACACAAAGAAAACATAAACATTAGAGGTGATGAATATCCCAATTACCCTGACTTCATCAATACACATTTAATATATGTATCAAAATATCACATGTATCCCAAAAATATTTACAACTATGATACATCAATTTAAAAAAATAAACAAATCGGATCTCAAACAAAAGAAAAACCATTGTTGGGGGCTTGAAAGAAGTGCTACATTCAAGTCAAGTTAGACACAGTGATTATAGTCAAGTCAGTTTAGCCACAGAACCTAGTACACATGCATGGAGCTTTATCTCTGGTCTTTAATCCATGACATGCCAATAATATTTGGCAGCTGATATACCTACCAATATTGCCATGGTGAGCTCCTCTCTAATGTCTTCCAGGGCACCAATATCTGCCCATGTCACATTAGGGACAGTGACAAAGCCTTCCCTTTTGGCAGAGGGTTGGACTGAGGATAGAGCAACAATGAAATCATTCAGTTCAATGCACAGTCCTTGCATCTGCTCCTCTGAGAGGGGATCTTGGTCTCTTAGCAACCCCAGCAGCCTTTGTAATTCATCCTTGAAGGGAACAATAGAGGGGAAAAAAATAAAGAAACACCACAACAGCTATTGAAAAGTTACATTTTCTACTTGTAAAAATTATTACTGTAATATTTCCGTAAGCTATCCTGAACGTCTATGTATTTTAATAATTTTCTCTCTGACATGAGACAAGTTCATTTTATTCTTAAGGATCATATGCTCTGGTCAAGTAAAGATATACCAATTATAATTATAATTAAACATATAAGAATGACTTCTATATACTAGGGCTAGGTATAGCAAATATAAGCGTTGGCAAATATTCATTTCAGCAACCATAATATTTCCCATGTTTCATTTATAAATATTCAAGAAACAGTTGAATCCTGATGAAATTAAAACACTTATGCTGGAGGTAGTATAATTCATTAATATGGTTCCTTGATGGTTTATCAACTAAGTAGAGGGAAGGCAATTTTCCTATTACTATCAAATCTTAAACTTAAAAGGCAGATTTCTTGCTTTGTGGAGAAGATGAAAGGATAAGTCTAAAAAACAGGTAACCAATTAATTCAATTTATAAAATATTAATTTATATGCAATATTATAAAAGGAATGAGTTTGTTATTTTTTACAGAATTAATTGCAGTTTCAAATGTCTAAGAAAAAAACAAATTATCTGAGAACAAAAGATCTGGATTGAAGCCCCTGCTCTATAAAGTAGAGGCTGTATGGGCTTGAGGAAATCACAACCACTTAAGCTTAGTGCCTTTGATTATAAAATGGGGAAAATGACATTTATATAAGGTTACAGGGATCAAATTATATAACATACAGAAGCCATCTGTGCAAGCTATAAAATGCTATATGAAATGATATATATATTGAATTTTCATGACTCATAAAACTAAAAAATTTAATACCGATCTTGGACTGATAACTGTCCCCTATTATTCACATGACTGTCCTCCAGAGCTGTTTGCAGCTACCGACATGGATATAGTTGTGTCAACAGACCACTGTAATCTACCTAACCAAAAGTTAACCAGGAGATATAATTAAATGCCAATGCTGAAATAGGGGTTGACAACCTTTTTCTGTAAAGGTTTAGACTGTAAACACCGTAGGCTTTGTGGGCCACGGTCTCTGCTGCAGACTCCTGTGTGAATTCTGCCATGAAGAACGAAAGCAGAAACAGACAACATGTATACAAATGAACATGGCTGTGTTCCAATATAACTTTAATTTACAAAAACACGTGGTGGGTGGGTAGGCCACAGTCTGCCAACCCCATTCCAGAATTTCATAATCATTATTGTAAAATGAATTTATTAAAATAAACTAAACATAAAACAACTCATATTTTTGAAATGATAAACATCGTGGGTATAAATGATAAGTATTCTATAGATTAAATGCCAATAAAACAGAAAGTAATGAACCTCAATTGTATTGACCCTTGCTTCAATGTAAGATAACACAAAGAACATTAAAAGGACAATTTAAGGTGCCTTTAGAGAAAGCACCTGTGTTTCAGAAGTGGGCTCAGTTCCCAGCCTTTCCTCCTGGACTCCTTTAGATGGCAAATCTTCCATTTCAGGATTTTTCTTCTGCTGTTCCTGTAGCTTCATTAAGACTCTATTGACTGCACACATTGCTGCCTCTCGGCACAGTGCCATGAGATCAGCACCAACAAAGCCTGGAGTTAGGTGTGCTAAGTGACAGAAATCAAAAGCTTGAGGAAGCCTCAGTTTTCTGCACAATGTTTGAAGTATTCTGTAGAAAAGACAGGGGAAAAAATTTCTGATTCCTGATCTAATAGTAAAAACAAGTCACCAACTATATTTATTTGAAGTCCTTCACGTCTGCCAAAGGTATCAAAATGGATACTATATAAGATCAAATAGTTCAGTCACTCAACAAACGCTGTCATTATTACATGTTCCATCTTATTCCAGAAAGGATTATGGTAAATATCTGCTTTGTTAGGAAACATGCTAAGTGCTGTGACGAATACATAGAATTTTTAAAAAATATTTTGCCTTTAAGAATTTACAACATTACAGGGGAAATAAGATAAATAACTTATGGGGGTACTTTTAGAGTAGATTAAATGGATATCTACCAGAAATAAAAGCCCCCACATACACACAAACCATTAATTATCTTCATCATTGAAAATTATCTTGCCATATACTTCCCATTTCATATTAGGACAGTTACAACTCCAACTTTATCTTTACCTATTGTTCATCCCCTGTACTACATGTGTGGAAAATTTTGTTCAACCTAACTGGCAACATGGTATCTATAAACATCTGGACTTCTAGATAATTGTTATTAAAGGAATATCTTGAACAATTTCTGATAAGACCTACTGAATAAAAACTTAAAAGCAGTAAAGATATTCAAGATGAGGGCAGGTGCGGTGGCTCACACCTGCAATCCCAGCACTCTGGGAGGCTGAGGCAGGCAAATCACCTGAGGTCAAGAGTTTGAGATTAGCCTGGCCAACATGGCAAAATCCCGTCTCTACTAAACATACAAAAATTAGCTGGGCATGGCCAGGCACAGTGGCTCACACCTTGTAATCCCAGCACTTTGGGAGGCCGAGGCAGGCAGATCACGAGGTCAGGAGATCAAGACCATCCTGGCTAACACGGTGAAACCCCGTCTCTACTAAAGATACAAAAAATTAGCTGGGCGTGGTGGCGGGCACCTGTAGTCCCAGCTACTCGGGAGGCTGAGGAAGGAGAATGGCATGAACCTGGGAGGCGGAGCTTGCAGTGAGCTGAGATCAGGCCATTGCACTCCAGCCTGGGCAACAGAGCGAGACTCTGTCTCAAAAAAAAAAAAAAAAAAATTAGCTGGGCATGGGGGCGGGTACCTGTAATCCTAGCTACACGGGAGCCTGAGGAAGGAGAATTGCTTGAACCGGGAGGCAGAGGTTGCAGTGAGCCAAGATTGTGTCACTGCACTCCAGCCCGGACGACAGAGCAAGACTCCATCTCGAATAATTTAAAAAAAAGATATTCAGGATGAAAGGTCTGAAGCCAAACTGCAAGAGTCTGAATCCCAGCTCTGTTAACCTTTGTTATCTGGGCCAGTTACTTAATCTTTGTGCTTCAGTTTGTTCATTTATTCAATCTATATTATAGTAGCACTTATTCAGAGGGCTGTTGCTACAAATGAATACATGCAAAGCACATAAAACAATGGCTGATCTACAGTTAGTGCCCAATGAATGTTAATTCTTTTTTTTTCTGAGACGGAGTTTTGCTCTTGTTGCCCTGGCTGGAGTGCAATGGCACGATCTCGGCTCACCGCAACCTCCGCCTCCCAGGTTCAAGCGATTCTCCTGCCTCAGCCTCCCAAGTAGCTGGGATTATAGGCATGCGCCAATGAATGTTAATTCTTATTTACATATTTTGATATTATAAACTAACTTGGACAAGGAAATATATTTTAAAATTAATAACTTTGTAAAGAAGACTAATATTTTCAAATGTCAAGCTAATAAAGAATAAATTATAGAAAAATCATTTGGGATCATATAAGTGAGCAGAATAGAAGCAGATAAACATTACTGACAAATTTTTTAAAATTTCACTGGGATACTCTGAATAATGGGAATCAAGAAAACTTTCCACTAAAGAACTATTTCCAAAAGATACAGATCCAATTTGCTACTATGCACAAGAATACAAAACACTCTTCGACTTACCATGAGTTTACATTCCTGATAAACCCATCTTAAGTCAAAAACATCATGATAAACCCTTTGTAAAGTTGAAAAACTATAAGCCAAAGCATTGTCAGTTGGGGACTATCCGTACTAAGAACATTTTGGATGTTGTGAAAATGGCTAACAGAAAATAATATCGCCCTTTTCATAGTTGTACTCTATCCCTAAAAAAAGTGGGTATTTTTGGTCATCATACTGTAGAAACTCCAAAAGAAGGGAAAGCTACCACTGTTCTAGCTCCAGCTACTGCAGCCACGTGAGACCGCAAGGCAGAACCATCTAGCTGAGGCCTTTCTAAATTCTTGATCCACAGAAACTGTGAGACACAATAAAATGAGTATTGCTGTAAGACACTAAATTTTGGTGTGGTCTGTTTTACACCAATAGAAACTGGAACAATTTATACGGGTTTCCTTTTATGTATGCTGAAACTTTTCCATAATTTGATGCTTTTGAAGTACAGGATGATATCCGGAGGATCACTTGAGGGCAGGAGTTCAAGATGAGCCTGGGCAACATAGTGAGACCCTTTCTCTATATAAAAAATAGTAATAATAAAAGAGACAGCTATCAATAGCTACCTTATTTAAAAAATTCTCTATGTCAGATATTGTGCTAGGTTATGTTAATTCAATACTCACAGGAAGCCTTTGTAGTATTATGATCACTTTACAGATAAAGTTATTACTATTATTATTACTGCATTATAGGTAAATAAACTAAAGCTTGGAAATGTTAAAAACACTGGACAAGGACCAAGGATAACAGGAGGCAGAGGTGGAATAATTTTCCTTCACTGGCTCAAAGTTTGGGCATCTATTCATTGCCTCTGCAACCCAGTCCCGCCTAGGTCTGGCCTTTCTCCTCCTTACTTACACTTACTCATACCCTGGACCTCGTCATCACCTGGATCTAGCCCCTATCTGAGATCACAATCTCACATGCGGCACTCTGCCCAGTCTCACATGTCTGAGCTTATATGTGCAATTACTCCCACACTGTTCCTGGACCTCACCAGGATCTTCAGTGTACCCCTTCCTCATTAAATACCTTTTTTTTTTTGAGACAGGGTTTTGCTGTGTCACCCAGGCTGGATGGAGTACAGTGGCATGACATCGGCTCACTACAACCTCCACTTCCCAGGTTCAAGCGATTCCCCTACCTCAGTTTCCTAAGTAGCTGGGATTACAGGCATGCACCATCACGCCCGGCTAATTTTTTTGTGTATTTTTAGTAGAGATGGGGTTTCACCATGTTGGCTAGGCTGGTCTTGAACTCCTAACCTCAAGTGATGCACCCGCCTCGGCCTCCCAAAGTGCTAGGATTACAGGTGTGAGCCACCATACCCGACCTAATATTTCAGAACAATTTTTTTTTTTTTTTTTGAGACAGAGTCTTGCTCTGTCGCCCAGGCTGGAGTGCAGTGGCGCCATCTCGGCTCACTGCAAGCTCCGCCTCCCGGGTTCACGCCATTCTCCTGCCTCAGCCTCTCAAGTAGCTGGGACTACAGGAGCCTGCCACCATGCCTGGCTAATTTTTTGTATTTTTAGTAGTAACGGGGTTTCACCATGTTAGCCAGGATGGTCTCAATCTCCTGACCTCGTGATCCGCCCGCCTCGGCCTCCCAAAGTGCAGGGATTACAGGCGTGAGCCACCGTGCCTGGCCCAGAACATTTCTTAACTAGATTTCCACTCTACCACCTCAACAGTGCTTCCTGAGATAGTCTCGCTTATGAAGTTATATTTCTGGTTATTGGTGGATATTTATTTGCTCTATGGACATTACTCATTTGCTCAATTACCAGGAAAGGCTGGTACTGCAGCAAACAGCTTTCAACTGTCTGGCTGCCATTTCATTACTGGTAACAGGACCTGTGGTCTCAGACAGGTTAGTGCAATAGGTTAAAGTATGGTACTCAGATTTAACCTATAAGTGGACCAGATGGCTGCTGTATGCCATAGCTCCAGACATTGCCACTAACCTGGTCAGCCAACTGAAGAATGCAAGCCATTGTTAATAAGACCAGACAAATGAGTATGGATACATAAGTCCATTACTACTTCTGAAAAAACAACCTGAAACAATTATCCTACTGATGAGTAAATTGTTTTCTTCCTCTTTTTTTACAGAGGTGGGGCCTCCCTCTGTCACCCAGGTTGGAGCACAGTGACACAATCATAACTTACTGCAGCCTTGAACTCCTGGGCTCAAGCAATCCTCCTGTGCTTCAGCCTCCTGAGTAACTAGGACTACAGGTGTGTGCACAGCTGATTTTATTTTTTGTAGAGACAGGGTCACACTATGTTGCCCAGGCTCAAAATCCTGGTATCAAGTGATCCTCCTGCCTCGGCCTCCCAAAGTGTTGGGATTACAGGCATGAGCCACTGCACCCAGGCATAAATGATTTTCTTAATGTGGGCTTCTCCTTTTCCAAATCAATTTAATTGGTACAAAAAGAAAGAGAGAGAAAGAAAAGGCTACTTGGTATTTCTCACCTCTTACTTTCAAACCATTCAGTTAAGATGACTTAGTGGCATACAAACTTCATTCTATAAGAATATACCTTTCCCTGGATGCTTCATCTGGGATACCTAGGCATATTTCTCGGTCGAACCTTCCCGCACGTCTCAAAGCAGGGTCTAACGAGTCTGGTCGATTAGTAGCTCCAATAACTAGGACCCGGGCTGTAGCAGCCACATTATTCAGATCTAGTAAGAGACAGAGAAAGAGTAGTGAACAAAGCACTTGACACTGACGGCAATAATGGTTACAGAATCATTTCATGGTTAAAGATAAAGTATTACAGATTTTGACAGCAACATACATATAAAACCAACATTTATTAAATGTCAAATATGTAAAAGGTGTGAGGAGGATAAATAAAATACAAACTCTGTCCTCAGCAGTTCACAATCTATTGAGAAACATTGAGTGTGTAAATAAAAAAATGGCATCAGACAAATTTTGTGAAGTATAATAACAGATATAAACAAAGCACCATGGTAATAAGAGAAAAGACATCATGAATTCCAACTGAGGAATAAGGGAGGGTTCATGGAGGTGGTAACATTTCAGAAAAGGCTTGAAGGGTAAATACAATTTTAACAAGCAGATATATAGGCTAATGGAATTCTATGTAGAAGAAAGAGTATTAGTGAAAGCACAGAGGGTCAAGCATGCATGGCACATCCAGGCAAGGTGAGCAGGACAACAGGGAGGCTGGGGAGGATGCCAAAGTCTGTGTCTCAGAATAGACTGATAAAATTAATTCGAGCAGGGGAATACAAAATAGTCTTCAGCTGTTCTGGCTTAATCTAGGAATGTATTTCTAGGAATGGACAAAACTGAGGACTTAAATCTTATCTTTCCTAAGTATTATTTCTCTCAGCTGAACCAGGATTGAACAGCAGGGAGTCTGAGGTTATTTTCCCTCACAGGTAACAAGAAGGTAGTAAGATGCTAATTAAATCATGAGGAGTTTATACAGTGTGTTCTTTTTTTTTTTTTGAGACGGAGTCTCGCTCTGTCGCCCAGGCTGAAGTGCAGTGGCACCATCTCAGCTCATGGCAAGCTCTGCCTCCCAGGTTCATGCCATTCTCCTGCCTCAGCCTCCCGAGTACCTGGGACTACAGGCGCCCGCCACCACGCCCGGCTAATTTTTTTATTTTTTTATTTTTTAGTAGAGACAGAGTTTCACCGTGTTAACCAGGATGGTCTCGATCTCCTGACCTCCTGATCCACCCACCTCGGCCTCCCAAAGTGCTAAGATTACAGGCATGAGCCACTGCGCCCAGCCACAGTGTGTTCTTTAGCTAGCAGGAAGCCATGAAAGCATTTTCTCAGAATGCAGGCCTCAAAGACATGGCAAGAAAATTTTAGATAAAAATAAAACAGAATCCCAGCACTTCGGGAGGCTGAAGCAGAAAGACTGAGCCCAGGAGTTCGAGATCAGCCTGGGCAACATAGTGAGACCGTCTTTAAAAAAAAAAAACACCCAGGCACAGTGGCTCACACCTGTAATCCCAGCACTTCAGGAGGCTGAGGCCAGTAGATCACCTGAGGTCAGGAGTTCGAGACCAGCCTGGCCAACATGGAAACACCCCGTCTCAAAAATCAGCCAGGTGTGGTGGCACGCACCTGTAATCCCAGCTACTCAGGAGGCTGAGGAGGTGAATAGGTTGAACGCAGGAGGCAGAGGTTGCAGCGAGTTGAGATCATGCCAGTGCACTCAAGCCTAGGCAACAGAGACTCTGTCTCAAAAAAAAAAAAAAAAAAAAAAAAGCCAGGCATGGTGGTGCACACCTGTGGTCACAGCTATTTGGGAGGCTTAAATGGGAGGATCACTTGAGCCCAGGAGGTCAAGGCTGCGGTGAGCTGTGATTGTGCCACTGCATTCCAGCCTGGGTGACAGAGCAACACTCTATCTCATCAATCAATCAATCAGTCCATCAATCAGAAGAAGAAGCAACCTACAATCTGGTAATGCAAGGAACATAAAATATATACTTCAAATTTTCTTGTGTACACAAAACAAGTGCTATTTCTTTTTATTTATTTTTAGAGGTAGCATCTCGCTATGTTGCCCAGGCTGGCCTCAAACTACTAGGCTCAAGCAATCCTCCTACCTTAGCCTCCCAAAGTGTTAGGATTACAGGCATGAGCCACTGTGCCCAGTATGACTTTTTTTTTACACTATTTGATATTTACTATATGAATATTATTTTTTATCTTCATGTATTAATTACACTATTTTAAAAAATTTATTCTCTTAAAATGAATTTATTATTTTAAACTAACCATCCATGCAGGTTAGGAGTTGGGCTACAATTCTTCGTTCCATATCTTTTGAAGCCACTTCTCTTTTGGGGGTAATAGCATCAATTTCATCAATGAAAATGATACATGGTGCATTTGACTAGAAATAAAAATATCACAAAAAGACAATCATAAATGCATCCCCTATACTGAAGCACAATTAAGCATATACATTTTAAAAAAAATCTTCAAGGTCAAGGATCATTTGCCAAAAGAATAACCCTAAAGAAGGCAGTTCACATGTGTTACTTCTGATTTTTACCTGACTTAAGAGAACCAAGATGATTAGAAGTACACAGTAAGAGACTGCAGATAGGGTAACACATTTATAGTCTCTTCATCAATGCATGTTTTGTGATAAATCTACTGAAATTCTTTTGTAAATTAGATACATTTGCTATGCTATGAAACAGAAACAATGATTTTGGATAAGCATATGCACAGAAAAAAAAACTTAAGACAACAAGTTTATAAACTTTAAATTAGCAAACCCAAGCTCACTAGAAACGTTATGAGGGTTTCTACTAACGTAAGAATCTCCAAGTCTTTCCCTATAATTTGCTATAAGAGGAAATTTGAGAAGCACCAGAAGCTTTTTAAAAAATCTGTGGTAAAATATACATAAAATTTACCATTCTAACCACTTTGGGTATATAGTTTAGTGGCATTAAATATTTTCAGACTGTTGTGTAAACGTCACCACTATCCATCTCCAGAACTTTCCCAGCATCCACACTGAAAAGTACCGGAAGCTTATTTTAAAGGCTACACTGAATAAGGAAGGATGGTAAAGTTCTAATACATCAGTGTAAAGATCACCTCCAGTTTTTTTGTTTTTAAGAAATAAACTAGACACGGTTCAGAAAGAATAAGTTAAGATGTAAGGATCAGCTACCGAGAGTAGTCAAATTCATTAAGACAAAAAGTAGAATGGTGGTGATGGCCAGGGACTGGTAGGAGAGAGGAATGGGGACTTACTGTCTGGGAACATGAAGACATTCTGGAAATGGATGGGGGTAATGATAACACAACAATATGAATGTACTTAATGCCACAGAATTGTACACTTAAAAATGTTTAAAATGGCCTTTTCAGTTGGAACTGCCATCTTCCAGTAATTCACCAAAATGATGAACACAAAGAGAAAGAGGAGAGGCACCTGAGAGATGTTCTCTAGGCCGTTCAGAAAACATGGAGCTGTTCCTTTGGCTATATGTATGCAAATCTATAAGAAATGTCATATTGTAGGCCAGGCGCCATGGCTCATGCCTGTAATCCCAGCACTTTGGGAGGCCAAGGCGGGTAGATCACCAGAGGTCAGAAGTTCAAGACCAGCCTGGCCAACATGGCAAAACGCCGTCTCTACTGAACATACAAAAACTAGCCAGGTGTGGTGGTGCATGTCTGTAATCCCAGCTACTCGGGAGGCTGAGGCAGGAGAATTATTTGAGCCTGGAAGGCAGAGGCTGCAGTGAGCTGAGACATTCCAGCCTGGACAACAGAGAGATACTCCATCTCAAAAAAAAAAAAAAAAAAAATTAGCTGGTGGGTAGTGCATGCCTGTAATCCCAGCTATTTGGGAGGCTGAGGCAAGAGAACTGCTTCAACCCGGGAGGCAGAGGTTGCAGTGAGCTGAGATTGTCCCACTGCACTCCAGCCTGGGCAACAGAACGAGACTCTGTCTCAAAAAAGAAAAGAAGAGAAGAGAAAAAGAAATGTGATACTGTAGACATCAAGGGAATGGGTACTGTTCAAAAAGGAATGTCCCACAAGTGTTACCACCACAAAACTGGAAGAGTCTATAACGTTATCCAGCATGCTGCTGGCATTGTTGTAAAGAAACAAGTTAAGGGCAAGATTCTTGCCAAGAGAATCAATGTGTGCGAGAATCAACGTGCATATTGAGCACATTAAGCATTCTAGGAGCCGAGGTAGCTTTCTGAAACACATGGAGGAAAATGATCAGAAAAAGGAAACCAAAGGGAAAGTGTCAGCATGCTCCACCCAGAGAAGTGCACTCTGAGAACCAATAGGAAGGAGCCTGAACTGCTGGAGCCTCTTCCCTGTGAATTCATGGCATAATAGGTGGTAATAAAAGACCTCTGGACTGTAAAAATGTTTCTCTTCATTGAGTAGAAGTGTAGTGTCCTCTTCCGCAAAGAAACATTTAAAGCAAATTTAAATTGTTGTCCTAATTCATTGTGTAATATCTTTACTATTCAAATTTAATGTATTTCTTGCTGAAAGATGTGAGGTGGCTTATTATGCAACAAATTACTCAGTTGGTTAGAAAACAGCCAGGTATTATTTATGAAATATCTGTACTGGTTTGAAGATAGTCCCTCTAAATCATCATGGAAGACATAAAATAATTTACAAAAACTTAAAAAAATGTTTAAAATGGTAAATTCTGTTATATATATTTTACCACAAAAAAGAGATAAGGATCAGTTAAAATGAAAAAAATTGAAGAAAATTATCTAGATTTACAATCTAAATCATTTTACTCAATCAGTTACTCAATGGTTAGGAGTGACAGTGATTATGCTAAGTAAGGCTGTCAGCGTCGCTTAAGGCATCTCAAAACCATGGGAACAACCACATCTTAAAGGGAAAGATATTTAGCTTATCGCTAGCTGGATCTCTTCCCTAATCATCCTTATGACAATGTTTGCAAAAGACGCCTATGACTGCTAGATATATTACCCAGTTACAAAGGAGTAAAATTACAGAGGCCAAAAGCACCAGAAAACAAGCACATCAGTACTTGTCAGTGACCTGGAAAGTTGAATGGGGGAAAAAAAAGAATAAATGATGGTCATCAGAATGTGGCCTAAAGAAAGCATAGTTTTCAACCAAGTATCACTTGATTGGATTTCACCTTTTTGTTTCCTGATCCACATGCTTTACTGGACTCATTCTCATTAGCGAAGAGGGGACCAGGAAAAGCGGGGTGCTAGGCCACATATTTACTGAGCATCTACTGTGAGGTACTGTACTGGCTCAGTACTGGTTTAGTGAGAGGTTTAAACACAGAACTAACAACCTAAAGATGCCATTTGCCTCTTATCCTTATTCATCGTGTTTACCATACGCACAAAATTTACTACTTGTCTCTGGCTATGCGTGCCAATTTAACAATGGAATCCACCGCGTTTTGGAAAACAGGTAGCACCTGAGAAAGTTCAGCTTTGCTCTGCACTCTGCCCTTTCCACCTTTTTTCTCTTTATCCTCCTAGTGTTGCCCACAGCTTTTTCAACGTCAGCCCGCACCATAACTAAGTAGATGGCCTACCCATTCTTGTTATTTAAAATGTTTTTTTTTTCTCAATTACTGCTTAAATATAATTTCTCTTCTAATTTCACACAGGCTTCTAACAGTTGTATTGGATATTCATCAGCTACTATATATTGTCATTGCTAATAATGACATAAACTTTTCACCATTTTTTAGTTTTAAACACAGTGATATTTGTTCAAGTGTGAATAATCTTACAGCTAATATTTACAGGGCTTGTGCTGTGTGCAAGGCACCATATCGAAGGTTTTATAAGAATTCTCTCATTTAATACTCTCAATAGCCACGTGAGATTTGGGTATTATTATTGCCCTAGTTTACTAGTAAGGAATGACAGAATTTATTCTGGTATTTTTATGGTTGCTTTTATAATAGCCTAAATAACAATTTTTACATTGCTTACAAGTTTTTTTTGGCCAAACTTAAGTTGAGGAAAGTAAAAGTGAGTGGAAAATATCATAAGGATAATATATTTTCAACATATGACTACAGGGTATGACGGCCCAGAATTTCTCACCAATTACATTTATGTTTGATTTCAAATGAAAAGGGTTATTTATCCAACAGCTGGTATCACTAAATCTACTTTAAATATTTAGCCATCATGCATAGCAAATTACCATGTTTATATTAATAAAAGAATGGCCAGTGAGTGGGTTAACAAATACTAGCATCAGAAAAAGCAGGATCTTTAATATAAGCTGGTAGCGTCTGACCACCTGGCATTAGTCATTAACTGACTCACCACAGCTTGCTCAAATAGTTCTCTCAGCTTCTGCTCAGACTCTCCGGATACTCCAGACACAATCTCTGGAGCAGCCACTTTCAAAATTGGCAGGTCAAGTTCCTATGCAGACACATAAAAGAATAACCAAATATTCAAATTTTAATTTCCCTACTTTTTCTTATCCAGTCCCCTCAAATTTTTTAAATAGCTAGTTTCCTGAGGAACTTCATCTTTTTATGTTGGCCCAGTGAAAAACACTATTTGAAAATCAATGGTTTTGGCCGGGCATGGTGGCTCAGGCCTATAATCCCACTACTTTGGGAGGCTGAGGTGGGCGGATCACCTGAGGTCAGGAGTTCGAGACCACCCTGACCAACATGGAGAAACCCCATTTTTACTAAAAATACAAAAATTAGCCATGCATGGTGGTGCATGCCTATAATCCCAGCTACTTGGGAAGGCTGAGGCAGAAGAATTGCTTGAACCTGGGAGGCGGAGGTTGTAGTGAGCCGAGATCGCGCCATTGCACTCCAGCCTGGGCAACAAGAGCAAAACTCCATCTCAAAAAAAAAAAAAATCAACGGTTTCATGCAAACACATTTAAGTGGATACCTTCAACTTGTTTTTATTTTATACATGTCACTATAAAATTCTATTATCTTTTCTGAATAAAGGGTCTTGACTTTCAAGAGGTATGTTATCCCCACTTAGGGCTGAGCCAAAGCAATTCTTCGTTTTTTTTGGAGAGACTGTGTCTCACTATGTTGCCCAGGCTGGTCCCAAACTCCTGGCCTCAAGCCATCCTCCCAATTCAGCCTCCCAAAGTGCTGGGGATACAGGAGTGACCATTCCTGGCCTATCAAAACAATTCTTACCCATCTGCTAAGGAGAAAATAGCAAGGGTTGTGACACAGATGTTTCCCACACATTCTGCTAGTATTTCTCCAAATCCTAACCCAGAGAGTAGCCAGTTACTAGTCAGAGGAGGGAGACTCTTTAAGAAGAGGCCAGGTGTGGACGCCCATGCCTGTAATCCCAGCACTTTGAGAGGAGTTTGAGACCAGCCTGGGCAACACAGTGAGACCCCACCTCTAAAAAAATAATAAATTAGCCAGGCATGCTGATGCATGCCTGCAGTCCCAGTTACCTGTGAGGCTGAGGCAGGAGGATCATTTGAGCCTGAGAAGTCAAAGCTGCAGTGAGCTGTGATCATGCCACTGCACTCAGCCTGGGCAACAGAGAGAAAATCTGTTTCAAAAAAAAAAAAAAAAAAAAAAAGAGAGAAGAGAGACTACTGTTCTCCCATTCTTGTGCTTATCTTGAAATTTCACTTCCTCAACCATACCTTCCTTGAACCCAACTCTAATTTGGGAATCCTAACATACCACATACCATTTTGCACTTCTTCTTGTCTTCCATTTATTATAGTCATTATTATGTACAGCATTTATTTATATGAATGACTGTTTAATGTCTCTCTCATATTAGAACTACGATTGTGGTACTTAACACTATATTCCAAAGTCTGGCATGCAGTAGTCAGTCATGTAATGGAATTATTAAACAAAAATGAAGCAAACCAATCAAGTCCCCCTTTACAAATGATTTTCTTTCATAGAACATTATTGTATTAGCGCTTGGTATAACATGCTATTTTTCTTTTTTCTTTTTTTTTTGAGATAGAGTCTGGCTCTTGTTGCCCAAGCTGGAGTGCAATGGCATGATCTTGGCTCACCGCGACCTCCGCCTCCAGGTTCAAGTGATTCTCCTGCCTTAGCCCCCAAGTAGCTGGGATTGCAGGCATGCGCCACCACACCCGGCTAATTTTGTATTTTTAGTAGAGATGGGGGTTTCTCCATGTTGGTCAGGCTGGTCTTGAACTCCCGACCTCAGGTGATCCACATGCCTCGGCCTCCCAAAGTGCTGGGATTACAGGCATGAGCCACTGCGCCCGGCGAGCATGCTATTTTTCTAATCGAAGTTACTCGGATATTTTACATTACTGTCCCCTACAGTTTCTGAAAAATCTGAGAGGGTTAAAATAAGATTGCTAACTTTTAATTTCTCAAAGTAAGTGTCTATTATTACCATTTTAGAAAGAATTATTTTAAAACTAAAAAGTATAAGAACATGACTCTAAATAAAAATTTTGAATAAATTTAGCTATATGAAAAATAATATAACCCTAGTTTTCTTATTTTACTGCTCCTTAGAACCACTGGGAGGGCAGGTGCAGTGGCCCATGCCTGTAATCCCAGCACTTTGGAAGACTGAGACAGGAGGACTGCTTGAGGCCAGGAGTTTAAGACCAGCCAGGCAACATAGTGGGCTTCGTCTCTACAAAAAAACAAAAACATAAGCTGGGCGTGGTGGTATGTGTCTGTGTTTCCAGTTACTCGGGAGGCTGAGGTGGGAGGACCACTTGAGCCTGGGAAGTTGAGGCTGTAGTGAGCCATGATTGCACCATTGCACTCCAGCCTGGGTGACAGTGAAACTCTGTCTCAAAAAAATAAGTAAACTGAAATAACTATTGGGTTAAAGGGAAAGCAAAGTAACTAAAATGTAAGCTATGTGTTAATAAAAAGGTTTGTTTAAAACCGTATTATTATGGCCGGGTGCGATGACTCACACCTGTAATCCTAGCACTTTGGGAGGCTGAGGCAAGTGGACTGCCTGACCTCAGGAGCTCAAGACCAGCCTGGGCAAGAGGGTGAAACCCCGTCTCTACTATAATACAAAAAATCAGCCGGGCGTGGTGGCGTATGCCTGTAGTCCCAGCTACTGGGGAGGCTGAGGCAGGAGAATTGCTTGAACCCGGGAGGCGGAGGTTGCAGTAAGCCAAGATCACGACACTGCATTCCAGCCTGGGTGACAGAGTGAGACTCTGTCTCCAAAAAAAAAAAAACTGTATTATTTTACTTTTTATCTAACTCTTGCCATATAAACAATTACATACATTAAAAAAAAAAATCCCTCAAGTTGCTCGTGAGAAACAATAAATAAACTAAATGAATAAATTCCACAAATAATACCAGCATGATAACAAAGGGATCAGTTCCAATGACTATGTTCTCTTCCTGAAGAATGCCATGTCTGGTTTAAGTTGACCAAAGAGAAAAAACAAAAACAAATAATAACAACAAAAACAGCAAAAGCAAACAAATGTCAGCAAGCCTCACCCCAGCAATTGCATGTGCAAGTAATGTCTTCCCACAGCCTGGTGGTCCATGAAGGAGAACTCCACGAGGGGGCACGACGCCCAGGTGGTGGTACACCTCCGGGTGACGCATGTGTATGAGCATCTTGCAGACCTCCTAGCAGAGGATAAGCACAAAGATGTCTTTCAAGACAGAACAATCAAAGTAGAATGAAATGTCCTATTTTTCGGAGCAGTGAAATGGAGTAGATAGGTAGAATATACACCTTAGACTTAGATCAGACTTTGAATCCTGGCTCTGGTACCTACTGTGTGATTTCAGCAATAACCTCTCTGAGGAGCTATTTCCTAAGCTGTAACATTATATACCTTGAGGATGTAATGCAAAGTTAACTAGCATGGCAGATGAAAAAGAGTAGGCATTAAAAATAAAGTTACCATTACGGCCAGGCATGGTGGCTCACGCCTGTAATCCCAGCACTTTGGGAGGCTGAGGTGGGCAGATCACGAAGTCAGGAGATCAAGACCATCCTGGCCAACATGGTGAAGCCCTGTCTCTACTAAAAATACAAAAATTAGCTGGGCGTGGTGGCACATGCCTGTAAACCCAACTACTCGGGTGGCTGAGGCAGAAGAATCTCTTGAACCTGGGAGGCGGAGGTTGCAGTGAGCCAAGATCGCGCCACTGCACTCCAGCCTGGTGACAGAGCTACACTCCTTCTCAAAATAAATAAATAAAATAAAATAAAAAATAAATAAAAATAAAGTTACCATTACTATTAGTATTGCTAAGACAATATTACTTATAAAGCATGGATCTTATATATACTATAATTAAAATAATAGAAAAGTTCAAAATAGTATGCATCTTTTCTCCTGCAATGCCCTAAAGGGTACAGGTCAGGTTTGCCCTTCTCAACCTTCCCAGTTTCCTTTTCTACACCCAGATCATATTAGAAACAAAGAGGTAGGCTTTTTCCTCATAACTGATTAGTAATATATCCATTTGAGGTAAAATTCAGAATTTGCACTAACTTTTAATGTCATATCATTGCCTCCCACATCTTCAAACTTCACGTTGGAGATCTGGAATTCTAACCCCCTGGCTTTAGCTGGTAAACAAAAATGAGGAGATGAAAAGATTAATGATTCAGTAGTAACTCATAATTATAATGAATAGTCTTTAAGTAAACAAAGGTCCATTAAATATAGAAATATTTCCTGGTAAACATTTCTGCACATAGAAGGTCCCTCAAGCAAAATAGCTTGGGACAGAATGATGCTTCTCTCACTGCAAACATGACCACTGCCACCAACAAGACTCACACCTTACCTTTCTTTTGCAGGACAGCTTCAATTTCTCCATCTACTTCCTGAAGATCTTCTTTCTTCCTTTTGCTTCCTTTATTCTTTAGCTTGCCTTTCCGTTTCATATCACTCTCCAAAAGAGAAGAATCTTTTGAATCCTGGAAAGAAAATAAATTTAAATATGCCATGCTTAAAATTCTATGCCAATAATTGTTTTACTTTTTAAAGAGGGGCATTGTAAAGAAAATTCATTCCTGCCCTAGCACTTTCACCTCTGTTAACTATTCCCAATCTCTTTGCTCAAAGATGCTGTCTATTGTGAAAGTCCTTCTCCTCATTCCCTTAAAGCTCAGTTTAAATCTTAACATTTGGTGCTGGCCTTGGCAGCACATATACTAAAATTGGAATGATACAAAGATTAGCATGGCCCCTGTGCAAGGATGACATGGAAATTTGTGAAGCATCCCATATGGGGAAAAAAAAAAAAAGAAAAAAGAAATCTTAACATTTGAATGCCGCTTCTTTTCCAGATTCTTTCAGTTAGAGTTTGTTTTTGTTTTTGTTTTGAGACAGAGTTTCAGTCTTGTCACCCAGGCTGGAGTGCAACAGCGCGATCTCAGCTCACTGCAACCTCCACCTCCTAGGTTCAAACAATTCTCCTGCCTCAGCCTCCCAAGTAGCCCACCACCATGCCCAGCTAATTTTTATATTATCAGTAGAGATGGGGTTTTGCCATGTTGGCCAGGCTGGTATCGAACTCCTGACCTCAGGTGATCTGCCCACCTCAGCCTCCCAAAGTGCTGGGATTACAGGCGTGAGCCGCCCTGCACGGCCCTCTTTCAGTTAGATTTAATCTTGTCCTCACATTCCCAAGACACTGCATTTGCAGCTATTATCAGTTGGAATAATCTGCCTTGTATGAGTGATTCACTTATCTCTGTCTTTCTCACTGAATTGTGAGCTCCTTGATTAAGGACACTGATATTTGCCTTTTATTTCTCACTGAGTCTTCTATATAGTTGTCTTCATCTGACAGCTGATGATTCACTAAATTAAATATAACTACAGAGCTGCTTTGACAGTCATAACAAAGTGTAATTCAGCCAAGCACACTGGGACACACCTGTAGCCCCAGCTACTTGAGAGGCAGAAGGACCACTTGAGCTCAGGGTTTCAAGGCTATAGTGTTCTGTGATCAAGCCTGTGAAAAGTGACTGCACTCTAGCCTGGGTGATGTAGCAATATTCCAACTCTTAAAAAAAAATTTTTTTTTTTTGAGACGGAGTCTCGCTCTGTCACCCAGGATGGAGTGCAGTGGCACGATCTCAGCGCACTGCAAGCTCCGCCTGCCGGGTTCACGTCATTCTCCTGCCTCAGCCTCCTAAGTAGCTGGGACTACAGGCGCCCGCCATGACGCCTGGCTAACTTTTTGTATTTTTAGTAGAGACAGGGTTTCACTGTGTTAGCCAGGATGGTCTCAATCTCCTGACCTCATGATCTGCCCGCCTTGGTCTCCCAAAGTGCTGGGAATACAGGTGTGAGCCACTGCACCCGGCCAAAAAAAATTGTTTTTAAGTATGATTCAGGCTGAGGTGGGTGGATCACTTGAGCTCAGGAGTTCAAGACCAGTCTGAGCAACATGGCCAAACGCCATCTCTACAAAAAATACAAAACTTAGCCAGGTGTGGTGGTGGGCACCTGTAGTCCCCAGCTACTTGGAAGACTGAGGTGGGGGGATGGCTTATGCCCAGGGGGTGGAGGTTATAGTGAGCCGTGATCATGCCACTCCACCATGTCAGTCTGGGTGACAAGGCAGACCCTGTCTCAAACCAAAAAAAGTATTTCAGCATTAAGACTCGAGTTCTTGCCAACCATAACAATGTTCCCTATAGATGGATGATATGGATAATTAAAGCAAAGAGATTTGGAAAGGCCTATTAATAAATAAAAAGGGGAAAGGTTCTGCCAAATCAAAGGGCTTGGTTCTTAGAAATCAGTTGAAGCATCATTGTCCATGAGGAATATGTGAGCCACATATGAAATTCATTTAATAATCTATTTTACTTAACCCAGTATATCCAAAATATTATCATTTCAACAGTCAATATAAAATATTATTAATGAGATGTTTTACATTCTATTTTTTTAGTGAGTCTTCAAAGTCTAATGTACACTTTAAGTTAATAGCACATCTCAATTTGGACCCTAAATTTTCATGGGAAACACCTGATTTGTACTTAGAGTTTGTAAAATTTACAGCTGAGGAAATAGATTCACATACCTAACAGGGTGGTAGGAGATGAAACTGAAAAGAAAGTCAGGCAGCGAAATCATAAAGGACGTTAGTGGCTGTCACAGGCCTTTGGATTTGAAACTGAATGAAGCCACTGGAGGGTTTTAAATAGAAGAATGATAATATGTGGTGGCTCACGCCTACAATCCCAGAACTTTGGGAGTCCGAGGCGGGTGGATTGCTTGACCCCAAGAGTTCAAGACCAGCTTGGGCAACCCTGCAAAACACCATCTCTAGAAAAGATATAAGTTAGCTAGGTGTGGTGGCACATGCCTGTAGTCTTAGTTACATGGGAGGCTGAGGTGGGGGATGGCTTGAGCCTGGAAGGCAGAGGTTGCAATGAGCCAAGATCACACCACTGCACTCCAGCCTCAGCGACAGAGCCAGACCCAGTCTCAAAAAAAAAAAAAAAAAAAAAAAGCTATCTCTCTGTGTAAAGAATAAACTAGGGGAACAAGAAAGGACACAGACTCCAGCTAGAAGGCTGTTTCAATAATTAAGTCAAGAATGAGAAAAGGCTTAGACTAGGATAGAAAGAATGGAAAGCAGTGCAATGTGATCAAATTCTCCATATATTTTAAAGTTCCTATGCCTTCCACAAAACACAAGTATCTGATTGATATTATATTCAACTAAAAGGTTGAAATGTACTTCGATGATATGGGGCTAAAATTTCATTACAAAAATACCTGTATCTCAGTTATTGGCTTCTTAGGATTACTTTTCTCACATGACAGGTCCAAGAAAAAACTGTCTTTCTTTACACTTGGGGTTTTGTCAATAAACCATCCTCCTTCAGAATCTTTGGCAGGGGTCTTCAAGGGAATGGAGCCTGTTTTGGAACTTATCCGTGGTGTTGAAGAGGTGGTTTCTCTTTGCTCCATCTCAGGAGTATTTGAAACAGAATCAGGATTTCCTTTCCGATATAAAGACAGCAGGGAACTGTTCATGTGATTTGCTGACTGGCAGAAAGATAAAACAAAATTGTAGCATAAATTACTCAACAGGTACTCATAAAAGTTGTATTGCCTATAGTAATAAGTTTTCTATATTTTGTTTTTTAACAACTTCTCTCAGAACATTTATAATCAGAATATATAGGTGTTAGGCTGGGCACAGTGGCTTATGCCTGTAATCCCAGCACTTTGGGAGGCCGAGGTGGGCAGATCACTTGAGGTCAGGAGTTCAAGACCAGCCTAGCCAACATGGTGTAACACCGTCTCTAGTAAAAATACAAAAATTAGCCGGGCGCAGTGGTAGGCACCTGTAATCCCAGCTACTTGGGAGGCTGAGGCAGGAGAATCACTTGAACCCAGCAGGCGGAAGTTGCAGTGAGCCGAGATCACACCACTGCACTCCAGCCTGGGTGACAGAGTGAGACTCCATCTCAAAAAAAAAAAAAAAAAGAAAAGAATATATGGGTGTTCACAATAAGATGACTCACAAACAAGCATTTACTATTCAAAAAGACTTCACTCGGCCGGGCGCAGTGGCTCACGCCTGTAATCCCAGCACTTTGGGAAGCCGAGGCGGGCGGATCACGAGGTCAGGAGATCAAAACCATCCTGGCTAACACGGTGAAACCCTGTCTCTACTAAAAATACAAAAAATTAGCCAGGCGTGATGGCGGACGCCTGTAGTCCCAGCTACTCGGGAGGCTGAGGCAGGAGAATGGCGAGAACCCGGGAGGCGGAGCTTGCAGTGAGCCGAGATCACGCCACTGCACTCCAGCCTGGGTGACAGAGCGGGACTCTGTCTCAACAAAAAAAAAAAAAAAAAAAGACTTCACTCCATTCCAATGGAAACCAATTCATAATTGGTGGTTAAATAAAATAAAGTAAGTATGGTTGCTTCGAAAAAAAATACACTAAAGAAGTATGAAAATGAGCTGGTTGCCAATGAGAGTCACTGTTATTCCATCAAAGCAAAATTGGGACTGGGCGTGGTAGCTCACGCCCTGTAATCCTAATGCTTTCGGAGGCCAAACTGGGAGAACTGCTTGAGGCCTAGAGTTCGAGACCATCCTGGGCAACACAGCGAGACCCTGTGTCTACAAAAAATTTAAAATTTACCCAGGCATGGTGGCACATGCCTGTTATCCTAGCTACTTGGGAGGCTAAGGTAGGAGGACAACTTGAGCCCAAGAGTTTGAGGTTGCAGTGAGCTAGGACCATGCCACTGTACTCCAGCCTGGGTGACAGAGCGAGACCCTGTCCCCGTGAAAACTGGATCAAATATTTTGATAATATATTCAAAACTTATATACCAAGGGAAAAAATAAAAAGCAAATTATAAATAATTTGACAAACAGTTGGCCCTCTATATCCAAGGGTTCTGCATCCAGGGATTCAATGAACCTCAATGGAAAATATTTGGGAAATAAAAAGCAATTAAAAAACACAGTACACCAATAAAAATAATACAAATTTTAAGAAATAAAGTGTATGCTGGGCATGTTGTCTCATGTCTGTTATTCCAGCACTTTGGGAGGCCAAGGTGGGTGGATCACTCAAGGCCAGGAGTTCAAGACCAGCCTGGCCAACATGGTGAAACCACATCTCTACTAAAAATGCCAAAAAGTAGCTAGGTGTGGTGGCGCACACCTTAATCTCAGCTACTCAGGAGGCTGAGGCACGAGAATCACTTGAACTTGGGAGGCAGAGGTTGCAGTGAGCCGAGATGACACCACTGAACTCCAGCCTGGGTGACAGAGCGAGACCCTGCCTGTAATTCCAGCTCCTCAGGAAGCTGAGGCAGGAGAATCACTTGAGCTGGGGAGGTGGAGGCTGCAGTGAGCCGAGATCGCACCACTGCACTCCAGCCTCGGTGATCACACCACTGCACTTCAGCCTGGGCGACAGAGTGAGACTCCCTCGCAAAAAAAAAAAAAAAAAAAGAAAGAAATATAGTGTAAAAACTATTTACATCTCATTTACATTGTATTATTACAAGTAATCCAGAGATAATTTAAAGTATACAAGAGGATGTATATAACGTTATATGCAAACATGATGCCATTTTATGTAAGGGACTTGAGCATTTGCAGGTATTCATGTGGGGCTCTGGGGCCAATCCCCCATGGATAGTGAGGGCCGACTATATTATCTCCATATTCTCCTTTAATCAAGCCTTTTCATTACTAATGCCATCTCCTTGACAAAAAGTATATCCCTTTTTCCATTTTTACTATTAATTACTCTATTCTTGTCTGCCCTTATTTCTAGCTATTCTCTTCCCTTCTTTTTCCTTGTATAACTGACTTATAAACATAAATACTGGAAGGATGGTTAATCCATCACCAACACTGAACACAGAAAGTGTTCAATTATTTATTGATGAAGACTTCCGAAGTCTCTTATTCTATTCCCTGTCCTTCCTTTCTCCCTCCCTTTAGCCCTAACCCTTTTTTTTCTTTCCCTCTTTCTTTCCTTCTCCTCTCTCTCTCTCTCTTTTGCAATAAGGTCTGTCGCCCAGGCTGAAGTGGAATGGCACAATCATAGCTCACCGCAGCCTCAAACTCCTGGGCTCAAGCGATCCTCCAGCCTCAGCCTCCTGAGTAGCTAGGACTATGGGTGTATGCCACCAGATCCAGCTAATTTTTATTTGTTTTTTGTAGAGACAGAGTCTTGCTAGGTTGCCTAGGCTGGTCTTAAACTCCTGGCTTCAAGTGATCTTCCTGCCTCAGCCTCCCAAAGTGCTGGGATTACAGACGTGAGCCATAACCCCTGGCCTTTTATTCTATTCCTTACTGATTTTTATTTATTTATTTTTTTGGAGACAGGATCTGGTTTTGTTGCTCAGGCTGGAGTGCAGTAGTGCAATCCCAGCTCACTGCAACCTCTGCAACCTGGGCTCAAGTGATCCTCCCACCTCAGCTTCCTGAGTAGCTGGGACCACAGGTGCAAGCCATTACACCTGGCTAATTTTGGGGGGTTTTTTGGTAGAGATGGGGTTGTGCCATGTTGCACAGGCTGGTCTCAAACTCCTGGGCTAAAGTGATCCACCCTCCTTGGCCTTCCAAAGTGCTGGGATTACAGGCGTGAGCCACGACAGCTAGCCTTATTTTTTTTTTTAAAAGGTAGGGTCTCACTCTGTCACCCAGGCTGGAGTGCAGTGGTGCAATCACGGCTCACTGCAGCTCACTACAGCCTTGACCTCCTGGGCTCAAGTGATTCTCCCACCTCAGCCCCCCAAGTAGCTGGGACCACAGGTGCATGCCACCATGCCCGGCTAACTTTTGTATTTTTTGTAGAGACAAGGTTTCACCATGTTGGCCAGACTTATTTTTTCATACTTTTTATAGAGACAAGGTTTTGCCATGTTGCCCAGGCTGGTCTCAAATTCCTGGGCTCAAGTGATCTGCATGCCTCAGCCTCCCAAAGTGTTGGGATTAGAGGTGTGAGTCACCATGTCCAGCTAATACTGAGTTTTTCAAGGGAGGTACCATAACAACTAAAAAAGAAAAAATCTAAGTGGACCCACTAAATGTTTGGCTTACCTGTGGATCTGGGTAGTCTTCCATACTTGAATCATCATCAGAATAGCTTTCAGTATACCTCAGTAAAAGGAGGGAAAAATGTTTTAAAGACTTTCTCTCCCATATCCTAAAAAAATGACTACCCAAAACAAGTAAATATATTCAGCCAAAAGATTATGGTGGTTAAGAGTCCAAACTCTGGAATCAGAGAAACTAGGATTCAAAATCCAACTTAACCAGTTATTACTTAACCTCTCTAAGCGTCAGCTTCCTTATCTATAAAACGGAGATTTAATAAGTAATGTCTGTCTCCCAGGGTTATTAAAGGATTAAATAAACACTTGCAAAGTCCTTATGCATTTACAAAATATAATAAATGCAAAATAAATTATAGTTATATTTATCCTAGCAATAAATAAAAGTGAGATACAAATTCCCTCAGGCCCAAGGGTCCCATTTAGGGATATCAGATTCAGGTAGAGGAAATATTTCAGCAACCTATAATTAAGTACTCTGAGTAACAAATTCACAAAGTCAACATGACCAAAGCATGTAACCAAATACAACTTCTGCAAGACTGTTCATGAGGGATGAAGGAGCAAATAAATTTCCTGTATCAAAAAAGAGGTATAAAGCCTAATAAACTACAAGCTGAGAATGTAGTCTTAATTCATTATAACTGAAAGTTGTTATCTAATAGCTTCAAGTAACTTCAGGACACTGCTAGTATTTAATACTTCTTTGGAAATTATTTAAATAGGCCCGGCATGGTGGCTCACGCCTGTAATCCCAGCACTTTGGGAGGCCGAGGTGGGTGGATTACCTGAGGTCAGGAGTTCGAGACTAGCCTGGCCAACATGGTGAAACCCCGTCTCTACTAAAAATACAAAAATTAGCCAGGTGTGGTGAAAATACGCCTGTAATCCCAGCTACTCGGGAGGCTGAGGCAGGAAAATTACTTGAGCCCGGGAGACGGAGGTTGCAGTGAGCCAAGATCGTGCCACTACACTCCAGCCTGGCCCACAGTACGAGACTCTGCCTAAAAAAAAAAAAAAAACTATTTAAATAAGAAAAAAAAAAAGCCCTTTTCTTATTTAAATAATTTTTTTTTTTTTTTAGGTAGAAAGCTTTATATGAATGCAATGAAATGCTGTTATAATTAAGATATTAAGATACAAATTCTAGCCTGGGCAACTAAGGGAGACTCTGTCTCTACAAAAAAATTAAAAAATTAGCTGGGCATGCTGGCACACACCTGTAATCCCAGCTACCTGTGAGGCTGCGGTGGGAGGATCGCTTGGGCCTGGGACGTCAAGACTGCGGTAAGCCATGATTGTGCCAGTGCACTGAAGCCTGGGTGACAGAGCGAGACGCTGTCTCAAAAAAAAAAAAAAAAAAAAAACAAGCAAATTCTGTATTCATTAAAATTAATCAGCATTACTTGGGAGCAATTCTAATCAATGTAAATAAGGTATATCATTCAACTATTTGAAAAAAAAAAAAGTTTTGCCTTACAACTCATGCCCTAAAAAAAGAAAAAAAAAATTCCAAGTGGATTAAAGAGTTAAACATAAAGAAAGAAGAAAAAAGTGTAAGTAATTATTTTACACACTCTTGTGAGAGAGGTCTTTCTAAGCATATCAGCATAAAACAAAAGGAAAAAGACTGATAGATTTGACTACATAAAAATGCAAAACTTCTCTAATCAAAAGATGGTGCAAGCGAAAATTAAAAAAGAAGTGGCAACATGGGGAAAGCAGTTGTAATGCATATAAAGAGGTATTATTTTATGCAAAACCCTCTGACAACTAATAAGGAAAATGCAAATACCTCTCAAATGAAATAGAAAAAACTCCATAAGCAAGCAATTCGCAAAACAAATATGAAATAACAAAAAAACTAACCTCAATAATTATAAAATCACAAATAAAAATATGATCAAGGCCAGAGGCGGTGGCTCAAGCCTGTAACCCCAGCACTTTGGGAGGCCAAGGTGGGCGGATCGCCTGAGGTCAGGAGTTCGAGACCAGCCTGGCCAACATGGTGAAACCCTGTCTCTACTAAACATACAAAAATTGGCCAGCAGTGGTGGTGGGTGCCTGTAATCCCAACTACTCGGGAGGCTGAGGCAGGAGAATTGCTTGAACCTGGGAGGCAGAGGATGCAGTGAGTCGAGATCGCACCACTGGACTCCAGCCTGGGTGACAGAGCGAGATTCTGTCTCAAAAAAAGAAAAAATATATATGATCAATATTTTGCCTATAAAAACAGCAAAGATTAAATTATAGTATAACAAAGATTGCAGGGATGCAGAGAAATGTGCCCTTTATACAAAGTTGTTGGGAGTATAAACTGAGGCAACCTTTTTAGGAAGGTAAGTCCAAATGCACTGGAAATCTCAAAAATATAAATCTTTGACCCCAGAAATTCCACCTCAAAAATTCAACATAAAAAAGTGATGTGTACAAAGATATATGCAGTAAAGCAGTAAAGAGTTATTTATTATGCAATAGTGTAACACAAATAAATATCCATGAATATGGAACTGGTTAAGAAAATTATGATAAATCTAAATGAAAAAGGCTGAGCTACAAACAGTAAAATGGGGCTATCACCCCAAATCCTGTAGACATTAAAAGGATAACAAGAGAATATTGCAGAAGCATTATGCCACCAAATTCCACACCTGAGAGAAAATGAACAAATGATTAAAAAATACAATTTATCACAATTGACATAAGGAGAGATGTAAGGAAGAGCTGTATATCTAGCAAAATTAAAATTTATCGAAATCCTTCAGAAAAAGAAGACTCGGGGGGAAGTTGACTCTAGGCCTAGAAAAACTGTGGTCGAACACTAACAAATATTCAAAAAAGAATTTCCATAATGTGTTTTCATAAAATAGAGAACAAAAGAACACTTTCCCACTAATATCATGAGGCCGGTGTAACCCTAACACCAAAATATGACAGACATTCCAAAAATGAACAAAAGAAAATTCAGACCAATATGACATACAGATGCAAACATCTGTAGAAAAAGATTAGTAAATCGAATCCAATTAATACCCTTTTTTTCAAAAATTAGCCGGGCATGGTGGCATGTGCCTGTAATCCCAGCTACTCAGGAGGCTGAGGCAGGAGAATGGCTTAAACCCGGGAGGCGGTGGTTGCAGCGAGCTGAGATCACGCTATTGCACTCCAGCCTGGGCGACAAGAGTGAGACTCCATCTCAAAAAAACAACGTCAAACAAATACTCTTTACAAATAACTCTGTTTCTTTTTTTTTTTTTTTAGAGACAAGGCCTCACTCTCTCACCCAGGCTGGAGTGCAGTGGCATAATTATAGCTCATTGTAACCTTCAACTCTGGGGCTCAAGCAATCCTCCTACCTCAACTTCCAAAGAAGCTGGGATAGAACCATGCACCACTATGCCTGGCTAATTTTTAAATTTTCTGTAGAGACAGAGTCTTGCTGTGTTGCCCAAGCTGCCAACAATACATTAAAAAGATAACATATCAGGACCAAGTAGAGTTTATCCCCAGGAGGCAAGATTGGCTTAATACTGGGAACCAATGTAATTCATCAAATTAATAGACTAAAGGGGAAAGGCCATAATGAGAAATTTCAACAGATGCAGAAAAGCATTTGACAAATGCAATACCTATTCATGACAAAAATTCTCAGCAATCTAGGAATATTAGGAAACTTCCTCAATCTGACAAAGGACATCTACAAAAAAACCTAAAGCTAATGTCATATTTACAGTGAAACACTACTGAAAATTAAACACTGACCATAACAAATATCAGCAATTTGTGGAAAGAGTAGAATTCTCATAAACTGCTAATGTAAAAGTAAAATGGTATAAAGACATTGGAAAATAGTTTGGCAATTTCTTAAATATGCATCTATCACACGACCCAGCTATTCTAATCTTAGATATTTAACAAGGGAAATGAAAATACTGTCCACACAAAGACCTGGCTTTAGGCAACCATTGATTTGCTTTCTGTCACTATATGTTACATTGCATTTTGTAGAATTTTATGAGCATAAATGTTCATAGCAGCTTAATTTGTAATAGCCAGAAACTGGAAACAAACCAACTGCCCAACAAGAGATAAACAGATAGGTCAGGCAAGGTGGTTCACACCTGTAATCCCAGCATTCTGGGAGTCCGAGGCAAGAGGATTGCTTGAGCCCAGGGGTACAAGACCAGCCTGACAACATAGTGAGACCCCCATTTCTACAAAAAATTAGAAAATTAACTGGGCATGGTAGCATGCACCCGTATGGGAGAATCGCCTGAGCCCAGGAGGTAGAGGCTGCAGTGAGTTATGATATGCCTCTCCACTACATTCCAGCCTGAGCAACAAAGTGAGACTCTGTCTCAAAAAAAACAAACAAAAAAACAGATAAATAGATAAAATAATTGCAGCATGTCCATACATACTTATCAATAAAAAGCAATGAACTATTGATACACACAACATTGATAAATCTCAAAATCATGCTAAGTGAAAGAATGAAAGAATCCAGACTTTAAAAGTATGATTCCAAATAAAATTCTACAAAATGCAATGTAACATACAGTGACAGAAAGCAAATCAATGGTTGCCTAAAGCTGGGTGCTGTGGCTCGCACCTATAATCCCAACACTTTGGGAGGATGAGGCGGGCAGACTGCTTGAGCCCAGGAGTTTGAGACCAACCTGGGCAACATGGCAAAACCCCATTTCTACGAAAAATTAGCTAGGTGTGGTAGCATGTGCCTGCAGCTACTTGGGAGGCTGAAGGAGAAGAATCAAGTAACCTGGGAAGTCAAGGCTGCAATGAGCTGTGATCGCACTCCAGCCTGGGTGACAGAGTAAAACCCTGTCTCAAAAAAAAAAAAAAAAGAAAAAGAAAAAAGTTTGCCTAGAAGCAGGGGTGGAGGGAGAAATGAATTGCAAAGCGGAACAAGAAGACTTTTGATATTTATGGAAAGGTTCAGTATCTTGCTTATGGTGATAGTTCAGTGAGTATATCTATATGTCAAAACTTAACAAATTGTACACTTTAAAAATGAAGAGGTTGGCCAGGCGCAATGGCTCACGCCTGTAATCCCAGCACTTTGGGAGGCCAAGATGTGCGGATCACTAGAAGTCAGGAGTTCGAGACCAGCCTGGCCAACATGGTGAAACCCCGTCTCTACCAAAAATATAAAAAATTAGCCGGGTGTGGTGGCACATGACTGTAATCCCAGCTACTTGGGAGGCTGAGGCAAGAGAATCGCTTGAACCCGGGGGGCAGAGGTTGCAGTGAGCCGAGATGGTGCCACTGCACTCCAGCCTGGGTGACAGAGTGAGACTTAATCTCAAAAGAAAAAAAAAAAAAAAAGTAGAGCTTACTGATGTCAATTATACCTCAATAAAGCTATTTTTTAAACTCTCAATACTATTTCTTAAACAAAATTAATCAGCACCTTTTTATATATCTGATATTGTATTAGGGCAGAAAAAGAAGGTAATGAGACAGTACTGTTGGTAATGCAAACAAGTAAGCAAATAATTTCAATGCCGTATGATATGATAAGGATTATAACAAATATCTGTAACTAGAAGCTAAGGAAACATTTAAAAAGGGGTCTTAGGCCTAATAAAGGCAGTAACATTTCAACTGATTCTTGAGGGCTGTGTGGGAGTTTGTGAAAGGGAAATGACACTCTAACTCAATAAAACCACCCATACAAAGGCACAGCCAAAGAGAATTTGATCTCTTTGGGGAATAAAGAACATTCAATATGGCTGAAGAGGTTAGGTAAATATCACGCAGGGCTTTGTTGGCAATGAAGAGCCACTGAAAGTTTTACAAGCAGGAATGTAACATGATAAAGTTCATGGTTTAAAAAAACCCTGCATTTGGTATACTTACTCATTATCCTCTTCACCTTGTCTTGCCCTTTTTGCCAAATGTTCATCTTCTAATTCTGTTAAATTCTTAAGTTCCTTCTCACTACTAATTATGCTAAATACTGAAACAAAAAGAAAAACGCTATGAGCTAAAACAATCGTTTGTATAACTTTATTGATAATTTAGCTCTAACAATAAGACTCACCTTTTTCTACCTGAATCCTAAAAGCATTTCTTTTTCTTCGACCATAGTCTATACTGAAAAAAGAAAACAAGAAGTTTACCATAGTAGTCTCCACCAATATTTTTCCATTAAGTTCAATCTAAATGGATCAAATAAATTTTCATGAATATTTCATTGTTACAGTATAGACACTTGCCATAACCCTATTTTCAAACTTCTAAGTTTATATATTTACTATTGTGACCTTTCTCCATTTTCCCCCTTTTTTAAACTAACCTTTTTTGCTTCAAATATTTTTATTTTAAAATTTCAAAGTTACTAAAAATATGAAAGAAATAATGTAATCAACACTCGTATATTCTTTACCTATAGTATTCTCAAACTGCCACATTTACTTTACTTCTGTCTACATATAGAGATTTCTTTTGGAGGGGTAGAGCAAAACCATTTGAAAATAAGTTCTAGGCCAGGCACAGTGGCTCATGCCTGTAATCCCAGCACTTTGGGAGG
The DNA here is from genome assembly GCF_000001405.40 of Homo sapiens. NCBI lineage: Eukaryota > Metazoa > Chordata > Mammalia > Primates > Hominidae > Homo > Homo sapiens. Next base: position 224,318,367 of record NC_000001.11, read on the forward strand.
CTGAGGTGGGAGAATCACTTGAGCCTAGGAGTTTGAGACCATCCCTGCCAACATAGGGAAACCCTATCCCTACAAAATATTAAAAATTAGCCAGGTATGGTAGTACGTGGCTGTAGTCCCAGCTACTTGGGAGGCTGAGGTGGGAGAACAGCTTGAGTCTGGGAGGTGAAGGCTGCAGTGAGCCGTGATTGCGCCAATGCACTCAGCTTGGCCAACAGAGCAAGATCTCATCTCAAAAAAAATAATAAATTAAAAAACTAAGAAGAAGAAACTAAGTTACAGACCCTTCGTCTCAAAAATTCTCAGCATGTATCTCTTTAAAAAAGAATATCTGCAGCCAGGTGCGGTGGCTCACTCCTGTAATTCCAGAACTTTGGGAGGCTGAGGTGGGAGGATCATGAGGTCAGGAGATTGAGACCAGCCTGGCTAACACGGTGAAACCTCGTCTCTTCTAAAAATAAAAAAAAAAAAAATTAGCCAGGCGTGGTGGTGGGCGCCTGTAGTCCCAGCTACTGGGGAGCCTGAGGCAACAGAATGGCGTGAACCCAGGAGGCAGAGCTTGCAGTGAGCCAAGATCGTGCCACTGCACTCCAGCCTGGGCGACAAAGCGGGACTCCGTCTCAAAAAAAAAAAAAAAAATCAGCTGGGTGTGGTGGTGCACACTTGTGGTCCCAGTTACTTGGGAGGCTGAGGCAGGAGAATCCCATGAACCCAGGAGGCGGAGGTTGCAGTGAGCCGAGATCACACCACTGCACTCCAGCCTGGGGACAGAGCAAGACTCCGTCTCAAAAAAAAAAAAAAAAAAAAAAAGGATATCTGCATAGCTACAATACAATTAGCACAAATAAGAAATTTAATATTGATAAATTATCTAATATACAGTCCATATTAAAATTTCTCAAATTATTCCCAAAAAATGGTCTTTATAGTTGTTTTTCTTTCTTTCTTTTTGTTTTTTTGAAACGGAGTCTCGCTCTGTGGCCCAGGCTGGAGTGCAGTGGTGCAATCTCGGCTCACTGCAGACTCCGCTTCCGGGGTTCACGCCATTCTCCTGCCTCAGCCTCCTGAGTAGCTGGGACTACAGGCGCCTGCCACCACACCCGGCTATTTTTTTGTATTTTTAGTAGAGACAGGATATAGTTGTTTTTCTTTGACCCAGAGTCTAGTCAAGGTTCATGCATTTACTTGGTTGTTGTGTCTCTTTGGACTCTTTTAACTTGTAATAATCTCTTCACCTTTGTGCATGTAACACTGACATTTTTGAAGGATCCAGGCCAGCTAATTTATAAAATGTCCCACAATCTGAATTTATGTCTCCTCATTATTAAATTCAAGTTAAACATTTTTAGCAAGACCATCTGCTAAAAATATAGGTGAAAGTTTGATGAGTACAGGATATTTGTATAATCTGAAAATATATTCTTATAAATTATTTATTAATTTCAAATTAATTTACAGTGGATCGATCAAAACTAACATTACCGAATAACACCCCACACAGATATTCTGTGCCTTTTGAAGTCAAATTGCTTCTTTGGTTTTCCTTCCAAAAACATATAACCTGATTCCAACCATGTGAAAACAGCAGAAAAATCCAAATTGAGGGATATTCTATATAGTAACTACCTGTAATCTTCAAAAATGTAAAGATCATGAAAAACAAAAAAAGGTTGAGGAACTGTTGCAGATTAAAGGAAACTAAAAAGCAAAACAAGCATAATTTAGGGGCTGGATTTCAGTTCTGGAAAAAAAATTCCGATAAAATAATAGCTATAAAGAACATTATTGAGACAGGCAAACTCTGAATATGAATGGTGGATTCGATAATATTACTGAATCAAGATTACATTTTCTGGTTTTAATAAATAAACTGTGGTTATATAATAAAAGCCTTTGTCCTTAGGGAATAGATAGTATGCATGGATAAAGGGACATTCTAGGTAGAGTATATGGGTGTTCTTTGTACTATTTTTTCCATTTTCCTCTTTATAAAAATCTGTGCCAGCGCAGTGGCTCACACTTGTAATCCCAGTACTTTGGGAGGCCAAGATGGGCGGATCATTTGCGGTCAGGAGTTCGAAACTAGCCTGGCCAACATGGTAAAACCCCATCTCTACTAAAAATACAAAAATCAGCCAGGCATGGTGGTGGGTGCCTGTAATCCCAGCTACTTGGGAGGCTGAGGCAGGAGTATCACTTGAGCCCAGGAGGTGGAGGTTGCAGTGGGCAGACATCACACCACCACACTCCAGCCTGGGTGACTGAGTGAGACTCCATCTCAAAAAAAAAAAAAACTTTATGTTTTTGAGACAGGGTCTCACTCAGTCAGGCTGAAGTGTAGTTGTGCAATCAGAGCTTGCCACAACCTCAACCTCCTGGTCTCATGCAATCCTCCCACCCCAGCATCCGAGTAGGTACGATGACAGACACGTGCCAGCACACCTAGTTAATTTTTTGATTTTTTTTGCAGAGATGGGGGTCTCACTATGTTGTCTAAGCTCGTCTGGGTCAGTTTTTCTTAAATGTGAAATTACTTCAAAACACAAAGTTTTAGATGAGGCAAATATTGTACTAAATCATGACCATTTAAAAAGGCAACTTGGGGCCTGGCACGGTGGCTCATGCCTGGAATCCTAGCACTTTAGGAGGCTGAGGCGAGAGGATCACTTGAGCTCAGGAGTTCAAGGCCAGCTGGGCAACATGGCAAAACCCCATCTCTACAAAAAATACAAAGAATCAGCGGGGCATGGTGGCATGTGCCTTAGTTCCAGCCATCTGGGGGCTGAGGCAGAAGGATGAGCCCAGGGGGCTGAAGCTGCAGTGAGCCGAGATTGAGCCACTGCACTCCAACCTGGATGATAGAGCGAGACTGTGTCTCCAAAAAATAAATAAATAATTAATTAAAAATTAAACAAAGAGAGAAAGAAAGACGTAAAAGCGATTCTTCACTCATGAGCCATACAAAACAAGGTGGTAGGCAGGAACTGGTTTGAGGGCCATAGTTTGCCAACACCTGGATAAGAGAAGATGGCAGATGGATGTAGGCAGAATGTTTAAAAGCTGAAACAGGCCAGGTGTAGTGGCTCATGCCTATAATCCTAACACTTTGGGATGCCAAGGCAGGAGGATCACTTGAGGTCAAGAGTTCAAGACCAGACTGGCCAACATGGCGAAACCACATCTCTACTAAAAATACAAAAATTATTTTTAGTAATAATTTTTAAATAAATTTTAAATAAATTTTTAGGGTGTGGTGGTGTACACCTGTAGTCCTGGCTACTTGGGAGGCTGAGGCAGGAGAGTCACTTGAACCCAGGAGGCGGAGGTTGCAGTGAGCCGAGATTGCCCCGCTGCACTCCACCCTGAGCAACAGAGTAAGATTCCACCTCAAAAAAAAAAAAAAAAACTGAAACAGTAGTCTAGACAAGAAATAATGAGGCTCTGGATTAGGCTAGTATAGTAATGGTAGGGAAAGGAGAGAACAGGCATCATGAAATATTTAAGAGACCACAGCAAGGCTTCTTGGTGACTTATTATAGACATGGCAGGGGGATTCAAGGCTAGGTAGAAGGAAGTGGACAACATACAGATTAACCTGGGTGACTGGCTGAGTAACAGTCATACCACCAACTAAGAAAAAAGGTTACCAACAAAACACAACTCACAGATTTCAATGGAGTGAGTGGCGGGGATAGAAACAATCTTAGTTTAGTCTTTATTTTTATTTTTTAAGAGACAGGGTCTTGCTCTGTCACCCACGCTTCAGTGCAGCGGTGCAATCGTAGCTCACTGCAGCCTTGAATTCCTGGCCTCAAGTGATCCTCCTGCTTCAACTTCCTGAGTAGCTAAGACAGACTACAGGTGCATGCCACGCTAATTTTTTTTTTTTTTTTTTTTGGTAGAGACAGAATCTTGCTATGTTGCCCAGTCTGGTCTCAAACTCCTAGCCTCAAGCAATCCTCCTGTGTCAGCCTCTCTAAGTGCTGAAATTACAGGTGTGAGCCACTGTGCCCTGGCCTTAGACCACTCATTAAATAAATTCTGATCAGGGGAAGGAAAAATACTACTGAGTGGTAGCCAAAGTGAGGTATACTATTGTTTTAAAAAGCTTTCTGTCTTAGTTTCTCTTCTTTTCTTCCTTCCTAATACAGATTTTGGTATTGATAAGTATAGTGCTACTGTGACAAATACCTTAAAATGTAGAAATGGTTTCAGAACTAGGTAGTAGAGGCCAGAGAGTTTTGAGGTGCATGTTAGAAGAAACCTAGATGGCTCTGAAGTGACTGCTGTTAGAAATATGGACACCGCAGGGCGTGGTGGCTCATGCCTATAATCCTAGCATGTTGGGAGAATGAGGCGGGCAGATTGCCTGAGCTCAGGAGTTCAAGACCAGCCTGGGCAACACAGTGAAACCCTGTCGCTACTAAAATACAAAAAATTAGCCAGGCATGGTGGCGTGCACCCGTAGTCCCAGCCCCTCGGGAGGCTGAGGCAGGAGAATCGCTTGAACCAGGGAGGCAGAGGTTGCAGTGAGCTGAGATTGCGCCACTGCACTCCAGCCTGGGTGACAGAGTGAGACTCCATCTCCAAAAAAAAAAAGACACGGAAGGCAATTCTGGTAAGAGCTCAGAAAGACAAGAGAAGAGCTGTACAGGAAGGTTCTATAGTTATATACACACAGAGAGAGAATGCTATTAGAAATATGAATGTTAAAGATGCTTCTGGTGAGGTCTCAGACAGAAATGAGAAGCAGGATATTGGAAATTGGAAGAAAGGCAGTCCATGTTACGAAGTGGCAGAGGACTTGTGTTTTACTGTTTTAAAAGTAGAACTTGTAAGTGATGAATCTAGATATTTCACTCACATTTCCAAGCAAAGTGTTGAAGTGTGGCCTGATTTCTCCTTGCTGCTTATAGTAAAATTTTACAGTATAGAGAGACATAAAGAAGGAATTGTTCAACAAAAAGGAAACTAGAACCTGAAGATTGGAAAATTCTCAGTTTATCCATATTGTAAAAAATGAAAAAGCATAATCTAAAGAGAACATCAAGGGTGTGGGGGGACAACAATTTGCTAAAGCGATTACCAGCATATGACTTATGGATCCAGTCAGCCATCTTAGCAGAAGCCAGGAATAGACATGGGGTTAAAGCAACAGAAACACTGCCAGCTTGGACTGAAGGGACCGAGATGGGGACAAAATTAAGGAAGGCTGTTGGACTTCCAGGATTCTATAGGACAGGGCCAATAAAACCATCCAGTTGTGAACACAAGTTATCCTTCAAGAAAAGGGAAGAACGACCCTTCAGGAGGCTCAAAAGAAGGCAGGGCTGCCACTGCCAACACAAACCCAGAGGGCACAGGTCCGGCAGGTGGGGCTGCCTCCTCCTAGGTAACAGGGCAGGATCACCACCCTACGGAGCCCACAGGGCAGGGCATCAAGCCAAAGAGGATTATTCTAACATCTGAAAATCTAATGACATTTGCCCTGCTTGGTTTTAGATTTGCTTGGGACCCATGACCCTTTCTTTTTTCCAATTGCTCTCTTTTAGAATAGGAATGAATGTCTAACCTACACCTATGCCTGTCCTGCCATTGTACAATTGTGCATCACTAAACAATGGAGACACATTCTGAGAAGTGTATCATTAAGCATTTTCATTGTGTGAAAACAAAAATAAGTAAGAGTATACTTACACAAACCTAGATGGGCTAGCCTATTACACACCTAGACTACATGGTATAGCCTACTGTGCCTACAAACCTATACAGCACATTATTGTACTAAATACTATAGGCAACTGTAACACAATGGTATTGTGTTTTTAAACATATCTAAACACAGAAAAGGTACAGTACAAATATGATGTAATAATCTTATGGGATCACCATCATACATGAGGTCCATCATTGACTGAAACACTGTTATATAGCACATGCCTGTATTTTGGAAGCAGATAACTTGTCTGGTTTCACAGGTTAATAGATGAAGAGGAATTTTGCCCCAGGATAAATCATACCTTGAATCTCAGCCATTACCAATTAATTTAGATAACATTATTTTTATTTATTTTATTTTTAGAGACAGGGTCTTGCTCTGTTACCCAGCTGGAGTGCACTGGTGCAATCATAGCTCACTGCAACCTTGAACTCCTGGGCTCAAGCGATCCTCCCACCTCAGCCTCTTGAGTAGCAAGGACTACAGGTTCAGGCCACCATGCCCAGCTAATTATTTCTATTTTCATTTTGTAGAGATGGGGTCTCACTATGTTCCCCAAGTTGGTCTTGAACTCTATGGCCTTAAGCCAATGGCCCCTCAAAATGCTGGGATTATAGGTGTGAGTCCTTGCATCTGGCCTGATTTAGATGATATTGAGATGAGAGTTTGGACTTAAGAGTTGATGCTAAAATGAGTTAAGACTTTTGGGGCTTGTGGAATGGAATGAATGTATCTGCACATGAGAAGGCCATGAATTTTGGGAGCCACAGGACAGAGTCCAATAAGCTGAATTGTGTTTCCCTTATATTCTTATGTTGATGTCCTAACCCCCAGTACCTCTGAATATGACTGCATTTGGAGATAGAGCCTCTAGAAATAATTAAGGTATTCTTGGCCAGGTGCGGTGGCTCCCACCTATAACCCCAGCACTTTGGGAGGCTGAGGTAGGCAGATCACCTGAGGTCAGGAGTTCAAGACCAGCCTGGCCAACATGGTGAAACCCCATCTCTATTAAAAATACAAAAATTAGTTGGGTGTGGTTAGCACACGCCTGTAATCCCAGCTACTCAGGAGGCTGAGGCAGGAGAATCGCTTAAACCCAGGAGGCAGAGCTTGCAGTGAGCCGAGATCGCGCCACTGCACTCCAGCCTGGGCGACAGAGCAAGACTCCGTCTCAGAAAAAAAAAAAAAGACTCAGGAAGCTGGCTGGGCATGGTGGCTCATGCGTGTCATCCTAGCACTTAGGGAGGCGAAGGTGGAAGGATCACTTGAGGTCAGGTGTTCCAGACCAACCTGGGCAAATACAGAAGGCCCTGTCTCCACAAAAAATAAAAATAAAAACTGTATTTAAAAAAAAAAAAAAAGAGGCTGGGCGCTGTGGCTCACGTCTGTAATCCCAGCACTTTGGGAGGCCAAGGTGGGCGGATCACCTGAGGTCAGGAGTTCGAGACCAGCCTGGCCAACATGGTGAAGCCCTGTCTCTACTAAAAATACAAAATTACCCAGGTGTGGTGGCACATGCCTGTAATTCCAGCTACTTGGGAAGCTGAGGCAGGAGAATTGCTTGAACCTGGGAAGCGGAGGTTGCGGTGAGCTGAGGTCATGCCATTGCACTCCAGCCTGGGCAACAAGAGCGAAATTCTGTCTCAAAAAGAAAGGAGTCAGGAAACTCAGGGAGATCATACCTGCTGGTGATGGTTTTAATTTTCTTTCTTTTTTGGGACAGGATCTTATTCTGTCACTGAGGTTAGAGTGCAGTGGCGTGACCACAGCTCACTACAGCCTTGACCTCCTGGGCTCAAGTGATCCTCCCACCTCAGCCTCCCAAGTAGGTGGGACCACAGGTGCATGCCACCAAGCCTGGCAAATTTTTGTATATTTTTTGTACAGATGGGGTTTCACCATGTTGCCCAGGCTGGTCTCAAACTCCTGGGCTTAAGCCATCCTCCCACCTCAGCCTCCCAAAGTGTTGAGATTACAGGCATGAGCCATTATGACTGGCCCGGTTTTAATTTTCTAATGTAGCAGGAAAGGAAGTGATATAATAACATCTCTATCTCTTGACCAGACTGTCAGGTACTAAAAGATAAGCAGTGACCCATTTCCCACAGTACAAAAGACATTTTACTGCACATAATAGGTATTTGATAAATGTTTGCATAACTGAATTGAGTTCCAAGATTATGGATTGGTGAACTAATGCCAGCAGCTACTGATATCAACTGGAAATTTAGGCAGGATATAAACTTTTAAAATGGTAAAGGAGACATAAAAATCCAAGGATCCGGAAACTATATTTATTTACCTGTACACTCTTTGTAAATCAGACGCTAAGACTCCAATGTCCACATATTTGCCACATTTGTTACTGGTAAGGTACTAAAACAGAAAATATAACAAATACAAAACACCCAATATTTCAAACTCAGTGATTTTAATCAACAGATTGAGCTATCTGAACACATTATACTTTAAGATAAACTCTTCGTTAATAAAGTGTACCAGAAACATAAATAAAAGTAACCAAATAATTGTCAAATATGAAATCAGAAAATTTAATTAACATTATTAATCACTATAATACAATACTAATAATTATCAGAATAGTTATAAGGCAGTAAGTGAGGGCTTACTTACTAATATCCTAGGTTTCCAAACACCCCAGAACACTGCAGTAAACTCATAAGGGTAGGAGGGGATATTTTAAACTTCAAGGAACACAGTGATATTTGACATCTGTCAGATACTGCAGAACTACTAGCTTGAGGCAATTTAGTTTCAATATTAAATCACCTTTTGGCTGGGCATGGTGGCTCATATCTGTAATCCCAACACTTTGGGAGCCCAGGAGTTTGAGACCACCCTGGGCAACAAAGTTTGACCTCATCTCTACAAAAAAATTAAAAAGTTGGTTGGATGTGGTGGCTTGTGCTTATACTCCCAGCATTTTGGGAGGCCAAGGTGGGAGATCGCTTAAGCCCAGACTTAGAGGTTGCAGTGAGCTATGATCGAGCCACTGCACTCCAGCCTGGATAACAGAACGAGACCTTATCTCAAAAATAAATACATAAATAAGCCCGGGCGTGGTGGCTCACACCCGTAATCCCAGCACTTTGAGAGGCCAAGGCGGGAGGATTGCTTCAGTCCAGGTGTTCGAGACCAGCCTGGGCAAGGTGGTAAGATCTCATCTCTACAAAAAATTTTAAAATTAGCCAGACATGGTGGTGCATACCTGTGGTCCCAGCTACATGGGAGGCTGAGGTGGGAGAATCACTTGACCCCACGAGTTTGAGATGGCAGTGAGCAGTGTTCACACCACTGCACTCCAGCCTGGGTGACAGAGCTAGACCCAGTCTCAAAAATAAAAAATTAAAATTAAATTAAATATATAGCTAAGTGAAAATTTATTTAAAATATTGTGTAAGACTATCTTCAGGCTATGTGTGTAAGGTGTATATGAAACATAAATAAACTTCATGTTTAACTTGGGTCCCATCCCCAAATATCTCATTATGTATATGCAAACATTCCAAAACCTGAAAAAAATCAATCTGAAACATTTTTTGGTCTTAAGCATTTAGAATAAGGGATATTCATTTGTACTTTTATAATGAACCAAAGTGAAAGCTATAGAGGAAAACTGATAATGTCAAACGCTGAAAAGAGTCAAGTGTGAGGACAGAGAAGAGGCCACTAGATCCAGTAATTAGGAGTCACTGCTCAGAAACCTCAATAAAGTGAAGGAGCAAGTTGTGGGACGCGGGAACATCCAGAGGAAGAGTAATTCAGAGTGACTGAACAACGAGAACAAAGGTCCTGTGCTTGGCATGTTTGAGAAGGTCTGTGTGGCTGGGACAGGAGAGGAAAAGTAAACTAGGACAACAGAGGCCAGAATATGCAGGGCTTTTCAGACTGGGTTTTACTCTAGATGTCTGTGACTCCACTGAAAGGTTTTGAGCAGGGCTATGGCAAGCTCTGATTTCCCCCCCCTTTTTTTTAGTTATACTTTAAGTTCTGGGATACATGTGCAGAACATGCGGGTTTGTTACATAGGTATACAGGTGCCATGGTGGTTTCCTGCACCCATCAACCCGTCATCTACATTAGGTATTTTTCCTAATGCTATCCCTCCCCTAGCCCGATTTTTCCCTTTAAAAGGATGTCTTGGCCACGCCTGTAATCCCAGCACTTTGGGAGGCTGAGGCGGGCAGATCACCTGAGGTCAGGAGTTCGAGACTAGCCTGGCCAACATGGTGAAATCCCATCCCTACTAAAAATACAAAAAGTAGCCAGGCGTGATGGCATGCACTTGTAATCCCACGTACTCGGGAGGCTGAGGCAGGAGAATCACTTGAACCCAGGAGGCAGAGGTTGCAGTGAGCAGAAAAAAAAAAAAAAATTAGATGTCTCTGGCTGCTCTGTGGGGAATAGGCTTTAGGTAAAAGCAGAATCAGAGAGATCAGTTAGGAGGCTATTGTAATAGTATAAGGTAGAGATGATGGTTTGGACTAAGATGGTTACAGGGAAAGACAGTAAGAAGTACTTGGAATATATTTTGAAAGTAAAGCCAACCAGGCTGTTGACAGATGGTATACAGGAAATGAAAGACTCAGAATGATCCTTAAGGTTTTTGGCCTTAACAACAGGACGAACGGTAGTATCATTTACTGAGATACAGAACACTAAGAAAGGGCAGATTTGAAGGAAGAAAAAAATCACAAATTCCACTTGGCCATTTTAATTTGGAGATATGCTGACTAGGCAGCTGGATATATCAATCTGTACTTCAAGATAAAATCTGGACTGGAGATATAAAGTTAGCAGTCATAAATATACAGAGGCCAGTGCAGCAGCTTGCACCGGTAATCCCAGCACTTTGGGAGGCTGAGGCCCGATCGCTTGAGCCCAGGAGTTAGAGACCAGCCAGAGTAACATAGTGGAACCCCGTCTCTACAAATAATAATAATAATAATAAATTAGCCAGGTGTGGTGGTGCACACCTGTAGTCCCAGCTACTGGGGAGGCTGAGGAGGGAGGATCACTTGAGTCAGGGAGGCCGAGGGTGCAGTGAGTTATGATTGTGCCCATAAACAGCCACTGCACTCTAGCCTGGGCAACAGAGCGAGACTATGTCTCAGAAAAATAAAAATAAAATGAAATAAATACATAGATAATAGAGTATGTAGATACTACTCAAAGGTTATTACACTAAATGAGATCACATAGGAAGTATGGATAGATAAGAAAGGTGTATGAGGAAAGAGGAGGAAGGGGAGGTAAGAGAACAGTGGCACAGAGCACTTCCAACATTTACAAGTTGGTAGGAAAAGATGGGTCCGAAAAGGAGATTGTTTAGGGGCTGGTGAAGTGAAAGAAAAACAAGGAGAATGTGTAGCTCACAAATTCCTAAGTGAAGAAAATTCTCTCCCACCTTTTAACTCAGACTGCTTGCTTACATTCTGAGGTATTTGCCACACACTGCTTTTTACTGATGGTCATGAAAATGAGAAAACCGTAGGCAAAGTGCCTGTTACTGTTGCCAGACCCATGTTATCTCGTTTTAGTGTGTAAGTTCCTTGAGAACGGAAATTAACATATTATTTATGCCACCCCTTCTCAAGGACCTCTTACAATGCGAGCGTTTGAAGACCATTCCTGTGCTAACTTCACAAGCCAAAGAGGTTAAAATTCAAAGGCTACCTCCACTCTACTGAATGATCTGCGCTGAAGACGACCAGACAACTTGGGCAGCCCTACCAAGCTGCACCCTCCCACCATCCCCGGCTTCTCCCTGAGACTCCGCACCAACGTGGGTAGGGAAGGCCCCGGCAGCACCAACTAAGGAGAAACAGACGCACGCCCAGACCCAGACTGGGGAAAGAAGACTAGTTGAGTTCCACCTGGATGCCACCCGACAAAAGGGGAGTGGCACCCTGGGGCAGCGATCGGGGCCCTTGGCGAGGCCAAGCGGTGCAGAATACACACCTGGATGACTCGCTGCTTGAGTTTATTATCCACGAACCCTGCAGGTCTGGGCTTCATCGCGTCGGTCTTCCAAGCCACAGCTCGGACCGCCAGCTCCTAGTCAACCGGGGGCCTCGTAGGGGTTGCCCGCCGCGATCGCCGGGCCAGTTGCACCTGAAATGCGCCCCTCCTGGGGCCTAGCCCGCGCCGTTTCCGTCAGAATAAAAGTAATGCGAATGAAGGGGAAAAAATTCCGAGGAGAGGGAGAAGACTTGAAAACCTCAGGGAGTTTCTAGGGGCCTTATTTTGCAGGCCTGCCCAGTGGACCCTGGAAGATTAGGACCCCTTTGAACGCGCTCAACTTTATTGGTTCCCCGCCGGGCGAACCAGGTGGGAGGAAGTTCCTACCCCGGCGCGGTGTGCGGAGACGCTGTCAACGGCGTCCTCTGGAAAACTTGGTTTGCTTTCCTCAGGCGTTCCAGCCACACCTCATTCTGATACAAAGCTAGTCTTCGCAAAACCAGCCACGGTAGATACTTGGAGTGATAAAATCAGGGTAAAAACACACCACCAGCCGCTGCTTGCTTTCCCACGTAGTTATCTTACATTTTAGAGGCCCGACAAAAGGGCTAGGTGAAAAAGAAAAGGAAGGACGGATTTATCCAGATAACTAAGTCATTTGTTACTTTTAGAACTCGTTTGACTTACGCTGTTATCATCGGCAGGTAATTTGTTGAATATATCCAGTGCAGGACTCCTTGGCCCAGAATTTTATCAAACGTTTGTATTTGCCCCAAGAAGTTTATCCTGCACTTAGGGAGACACAAAGGGACAGTTACCAAGCATTAAAAAAAAAATGCTGGCTTTAGTTTCTGTCTTCTTGTTTATTTCAACCGTGTTTTGAGTATTCTTATTTCAGGTCCTCCTTGGCTTATGACAAGGTTAAGTGCAGTGTATTAAGGGGCAGAGGGGAGAGAAAATGGAATTAAGAGAAGGGCGTGAGGCCGGGCACGGTGGCTCACACCTGTAATCCCAGCACTTTGGGAGGCCGAGGCGGGCAGATCACTTGAGGTCAGGAGTTCACGACCAGCCTGGCCAACATGGTGAAACCTTGTCTCTACTAAAAATATAAAAATTAGCACTGAATTAAGTATTAGATTTCCCACTCAAAATATTGATCCGTTTGGTTGCAACTTCATTTCCTACTTCTTCACTATGTGTAGTTTTATTTTTTATTTTTTTAGTTGTAAAATATAAGAACATTCACCATCTTAAACATTTTAAAGTGTGCAGTTTAGTGATAATACATTCATAATATGCAACCATCACTGCCATCTAGTTCCAGAACTCTTTTCATCTTGTACAACTAAAACTCTATACTAATTAAAAAATAACTCCCCATTCCTCCCTCCCCCCAGCCCCTGGCAACTACCATTCTACTTACTGTCTTTATGATTTTGACTACACTAACTTCCTCATATAAGTGGAATCTTCCAGTATTTGACTTTTGTGACTGGCTTGTTTCTTAGCTTAATGCCCTCATATAGCATGTGTTAGAATTTCCTTCTTTCTTTTCTTTTTTTTTTTTTTTTTTTTTTGATACAGAGTCTTGCTCTGTTGCCCAGGCTGGAGTGCAGTGGCGCAATCTCAGCTCACTGCAACCTTCGCCTCCTGGGTTCAAGAGATTCTACCACCTCAGCCTCCCAAGTAGTTGGGACTACAGGTGTGTACCACCACACCCGGCTAATTTTTTGTATTTTTAGTAGAAATGGCGTTTTGCCATGTTGGCCAGGCTGATCTCCAACTCCTGACCTGAGGTGATCCACCTGCCTTGGCCTCCCAAAGTGCTGGGATTACAGGTATAAGCCACCGCACCTGGCCTTTCCTTCACTTTTAAGGCTGAATAAAATTTGGCTCTTTTGTTGCCATTCTGCCTTTTGCCATGGGATGACACAGCAAGAAGGCCCTCACCAAATAACAACTCCTTGATATTGGACTTTCCAGCCTTCTTGCATTCATTCAACAAGTGTTTATTGAGTGCCTACCAGTTTCAGTCTCTGCTCTGCGCTTTAGGCTTGTGGGGAAAAGTGGAAGAATTATAACTAACTTTTTATAACATTTAAAAAATTTGATTAGGTATTTATGTGCTTGATTAAATGTTAGCAAAGATTCCCTACAGCATATAGTACAAATGTAGTCAATGCTCAGTAATTTTTAAAATGAAATGTAATTCTGTGCATGCCAAATGTCCAACATAGAATGAAAACACACTGAGGCCAGGCATGGTGGCTCATGCCTATACTACCAGCACTTTGGGAGGCAGAGGCAGGTGGATCACCTGAGGTCAGGAGTTCAAGACTAGCCTGACCAATGTGGTGAAACCCTGTCTCTATTAAAAATACAAAATTATCCGGGTGTGGTGGCCCATGCCTGTAATCCTAGCTACTTGGGAGGCTGAGGCAGGAGAATCACTTGAACCTGGGAGGCAGAGGTTGCAGTGAGCTGAGATTGCGCCATTGCACTCTAGCCTGGGCAACAAGAGCAAAACTCCATCTCAAAAAAACGAACAAATAAACAACCACATTGAAAGGCCTAGTAGTATCATGACATGTACTAGGCAATATAGTTTATTAGTCTATAATTTGTCATAGAATACTATCCTACACTTAGGGTTGACTTCATGGGTATGTGACCTCTGCAGTCACACAGGGCCCTGTGCTCAGAAGGGCCCCACAGGTGGTTTAATGCTGTACTGTTGCCATCTTGAAATGCTTTCTGAATAAGCTGTCCCTTATTTTCATTTTGCACTGGGTCTTACAAATTATGTAACCAGCCATTCATATGTAAACTTGAAGTACTCTAGAATGCTGCCTTCTTCTTCTTTTTCTTCTTTTTTTTTTTAGGTGGAGTCTCACTATATTGCCAGGCTAGAGTGCAGTGGTACGATCTTGGCTCACTGTAACCTCCGCCTCCCGGGTTCAAGCGATTCTTCTGCCTCAGCCTCCCAAGTAGCTGGGACTCCAGGTGCATGCCACCATGCCCAGCTAATTTTTGTATTTTTAGTAGAGACAGGGTTTCACCATATTGGCCAGGCTCGTCTTGAACTCCTGACCTCGTGATTCGCCTGTCTCGGCCTCTCAAAGTGCTGGGATTACAGGCATGAGCCACTGCACCCAGCCACCTCCTTCTTAAAGGCAGGGAATGTGTTGTTCATCTCACTACTGCTTCAGGTGCAGAAGGCAATAATTGAAAGTGAATTAATACTAGATGATAATATGCTTGAACATTTCTCGTTGGAATTATTTCATCAATTATTGCCCTGAAGACCATTTTACATTGATTCCAATGTTTGGATTTACAATATCATGCATCAAAACCAAAAAGATTACTGAACAGTAACCTAAGTGCATATACACTTTAAGCACTTCCTTTTTTAATTGAAGCATCCTCCATTCTTTGGTGGTGTAACCCCACCTAGTGGTAGTGGCGTATTTTATCTTTTGTCTTTCACACTTTCTCCTAAACCTCATACAGTATTTCACAAGCAAACAGCTTCTGGTCTAATTGTGCTTCATAACTAGGGTGATTTATGTCCAGATTTGCTCAGGACAGTCCTGATTTTTGATTCAGCAAAATTATTGCTAGTATCCCCTTTGTGGAAATACATGAAGACCAAATACATAAGAAGAGGTGAAGACTATTTGTTCAGAGTTTGCTATAACAAGGGAGTCAGCCACCATCACTTGTGTTTTGGCAGAGCCTCAAAGACAGGCAGAGGAGTGGGAAAACTTTATGGTGGGGAATAGGGGAAGGCTTCAGGTACGCCCTAACTGAAGACTGTTGTCATAGGGAAGCTATAGGTGGGCTAAATAGAACTAGCAGAGCATCCTATGTGTTTGGTTGGGATGCACAGTTGGTTTTCTTTTTGGTCCTATGTTGACAGCAGGTCCAAAAATTAGAAAAGCTATCATTTATTAATAAAGTTTTTGCCATCTGGGGCCGTTTGTTACAGGGGTTGTTGCTGGGTTCCTGGATTGTTTGCTAGTGATAGTGATCTAACTTCCTACATGTCTGACTTGTAGATGATATATTGGTTTTCTGGTCTGGTTGCTGCAGATTGTGAGTCAGAGTTCTATTTTTGCATTTGGTCTGGCCATTTTTCATTCACATGTTCAGTGTCTTCCTTTTATCTCTCAAAAAGGTTCTAGTTTGGACAATGTATGACCACTCTATGTATAGTAGGAACATGGAGAAAAAGATGAAGTTTGCATGTCAGAGGATCCTTACTGAGATGCAAAAATGAGGCTTCCTGCTTGCTGGGAGCTGGAGACTGAGTTCTGTTCTGTTATGTTCTTTTCTTTTCTTTTTCGAGACAGGGTTATATGGTTTGGCTATGTCGCCACTCAAATCTCATCTTGAATTGTGGCTTCCATAATTCTTATGAATTGTAGGAAGGACCTAGTGGCAGATAAATGAATCATGGGGGTGGTTTCCCCCATACTGTTCTGGTGGTAGTGAATAAGTCTCATGAGATCTGATGATTTTATAAGGTGTTTCCTCTTTTGCTTGGCTCTAATTCTGTCTCATCTGCCATCATGTAAGACGTGCCTTTACTCTTCCACCATGATTGTGAGACCTCCCCAGCCACGAGGAACTATAGGTCCATTAAGTCTGTTTTTCTTTATAAATTACCCAGTCTTGGGTATGTCTTTATCAGCAGTGTGAAAATTGACTAATACAGAGCATCCCACTCTGTCGACCAGGCTAGAGTGCAGTGGCATGATTTCAGCTCACTGCAACCTCTGCTTCCCTGTTTTTTTTGTTTTTGTTTTTGTTTTTTTGAGATGTAGTCTTGCTCTGTCGCCCAGGCTGGAGTGCAGTGGCACGATCTCAGCTCACTGCATCCTCCGCCTCCCAAGTGCAAGCAATTCTCTGCTTCAGCCTCCCGAGTAGCTGGGATTGCAAGTGCCCACCATCACACCCAGCTAATTTTTTTGTATTTTTAATAGAGATGGGGTTTCATCATCTTGGCCAGGCTGGTCTTGAACTCCTGACCTCGTGATCCATCCGCCTTGGCCTCCTAAAGTGCTGGGATTACAGGCGTGAGCCACTGCTCCCGGCCACTTCCCTGGTTTAAGCAATTCTCCCACCCCAACCTCCTGAGTAGCTGGGACTACTTGTACGTGCCACCACACCCAGCTAACTTTTGTATTTTTTGGTAGAGACAGGTTTCATCACATTGGCCAGGCTGGTCTCAAACTCCTGACCTCAAGTGATCCGCTCGCTTCAGCCTCCCAAACTGCTGGGATTACAGGCATGGGCCACTGCGCCCGGCCTTGAGTTTTTTGAGATTAAAAAAAATCTTTAATTTATTTTATTTGGTAATGGCTAACGATTCCATTTTCTAATCAGGTTTACCATTCTTTGAGGTGATTGCCTCATTTATGTTCCTAATCCTGAATAGAATGAAAATAATATTTTGAGCTTGGCATTTTATACATTCATTCTACAAATATTTATTGTCTCCTGTGTACCAGTTACTATGCCGAAATCAAAAAAAACAGTGATGACCAAAACAGATATGGCCTTGGAACTTATATTCTACAGTGTCCCTTTAGAGAGGGACAGGAGATGAACTGGTAAATCAATAAATGTTTAATTAAAAAATGAGAAGTAAGGAGGATTTCATAGCCCATGGTATAGAATCTTTTTATTTATTTATTTATTTATTTATTTAGAGACAGAGTTTCGCTCTTGTTGTCCAAGCTGGAGTGCAATGGAGTGATCTTGGCTTACTGCAACCTCCACCTCCCGGGTTCAAGCAATTCTCCTGCCTCAGCCTCCCAAGTAGCTGGGATTACAGGCGTGCACCACCATGCCCAGCTAAGTTTTTGTATTTTTAGTAGAAACGGGGTTTCACCATGTTAGCCAGGCTGGTCTTGAACTCCTGACCTCAGGTGATCCGCCTGCTTCGGCCTCCCAAAGTGCCGGTATTACAGGGGTGAGCCACTGTGCCCTGCCTATTTTTTTAATTATTATTTTTTGAGATGGAGTCTCACTCTGTCACCCAGGCTGGAGTGCAGTGGCGTGAGCTTGGCTCACTGCAACCTCCACCTCCCGGGTTTCAAGCTATTCAAGCGATTCTCCTGCCTCAGCCTCCCAAGTAGCTGGAATTACAGGCACGCACCACCATGCCTGGCTAATTTTTTTGTGTTTTTAGTAGAGATGGGGTTTTGTTATGTTGGCCAGGCTGATCTCGAACTCCTGACCTCAAGTGATCCACCCACCTCCACCTCCCAAATTGCTGGGATTACAGGTGTGAGCCATTGCTCCTGGCCTGAATCTTTCATATAGAAATTTTTTAGTAAATAATTGTTAAGTAAATGAATGAAAATTGTGAAGTAAATAATCAGAGTACTGTGATAGAAAATAACAAGGCCAGGTGCAGTGGCTCACGCCTGTAATCCCAGCACTTTGGGAGGCCGAGGCGGGCAGATCACCTGAGATTGGGAGTTTGAGACCAGCCTGACCAACATGGAGAAACCCTGTCTCTACTAAAAATACAAAATTAGCCAGGGGTGGTGGCGCATGCCTGTAATCCCAGCTACTTGGGAGTTTGAGGCAGGAGAATCACTTGAACCCGGGAGGCGGAGGTTGCGGTGAGCTGAGATTGTGCCACTGCACTCCATCCTGGGCAACAAGAGCGAAACTCTGTCTCAAAAAAAGGGAAGAAAATAACAAATCCTTTTGTAGTTCCTAAGTGTGAAGAATGGGTGTTCATGCAGAAGGATAAGATGTGCTACCCTCAAACCTTGTTCCGTGCATATTACACGTCTGACATGGAAAAAAAAGAAGAAAATAAAAAAGGGAGACTACCTCAGTCCCTGGTCAAGGGAGGTCTTTCTGAGAATGTGACAGGTAAGGACTTTAAGTATAGCAGAAGCCAATTGTACAAGGAGAGTGGGAAGAGTTTGAGGTAGAGAGAGAATAATGTGTGCCAAGACTTTAAGCAGAAAAGAAGTTGACCTGTTCTAGGAACAGAAACAGAGAAAAATAAGCTTATTTGTTGTTTCAACCACCATTATTTCAGATTTCTGTCACTCAAAACCAACATTAATTTGAACAAATACAGGTATCTGGAGGAATTTTAAAAGTCGAATCTAAGATTGATGCAGAAGAGAAAATGACAGAAAAGAGCCAAAACATTCCTGAATAAGAACCTGGTATCATTAACATTTTTTAAAAAACACTATTGAGGTATAATTTACCTATAATAAAAAGGGTCCATTTAAAGTGTATAACTCAGTGATTTTATCCATTTATTTATTTATTTTTAAAAGATGGTCTCAGGCCAGGCGCGGTGGCTCATGCCTGTAATCCCAGCACTTTGGGAGGCCGAGGTGGGCAGATCACCTGAGGTCAGGAGTTCGAGACCAGCCTGACCAACATGGAGAAACCCCATCTCTACTAAAAATACAAAAATTAGCCGGGTGTGGTAGCGCATGCCTGTAATCCCAGCTACTCAGGAGGCTGAGGCAGGAGAATCGCTTGAACCCGGGATGCAGAGGTTGTGGTGAGCTGAGATTGCGCCATTGCACTCCAGCCTGGGCCACAAGAGTGAAACTCCATCTCAAAAAAAAAAAAAAAAAAAAGAAAGTCTCACTCTTGTGGCCCAGGCTGGGGTACAATGGTGATCATAGCTCACTGTAGGTTCAGCCTCCTGAACTCAAGTGACCCTCCTGCCTCAGCCTCCTGAGTAGTTAGGATTACAGGCATGTGTCACTGTGCTGGCTTTTTTTTTTTTTTTAAACTGGGTCTTGCTGTGTTACCCAGGCTGGTTTCGAACCCCTGGCTTCAACCAATCCTTCTGCCTCAGCCTCCAAGAATGCTGGGATTACAGGTGTGAGCCACCATGCTGGGGAAATTTTTTTTTAATTGAGGTAAATATACATAGCATAAAATTCACCATTTTATTCATTTTAAAGTATACAATTCAGTGGCATTTAGTATGTTTACAGGGTTATGCAGACATTACCACTATATAGTTCCAGAACATTTCATTAGCCCAGAAAGAAACCCTGTAACTATTAAGCAGTCACTTCAGTTTTCCCCTCTTCCCAGCCCCTGGAAACCACAAATCTACTTTTTGTTTCTATGGATTTGCCTATTTTGGACATTTCATATAAATGGAATTATACAATATGTGACCTTTTGTGTCTGACTTCTTTCACTTAGCATAATGTGTCCAAGGTTTCTCCATGTTATAGCATATATTAATACTTCATTCCTTTTCATTGCTGAGTAATATTCTGTGGTATAGATATATCCCATTTTAGTTATCAGTTCATCACCTGATAGACATTTGGGTTATTTCCACTTTAAGTTTCAGTTCTGTGGGGTATACAGTACACCCAGGAGTGGAATTGTTATGGAGCAAGGGCTCACTGCCTGATAGGCATAGAAGCCAATACTGAGGCAGGAGAATAGGGTGTGGAGACAGGGAGCCTTCACTTCAGCTTCTGATTAGTCGCAGGCCAAGTCTTTATTTGCATAGAGTATAACTTACTTCAGCTTCCAATTGGTCAGGGGCCAAGTCTTCATCTACATAGGGTGTAACCAATAGGAAACTTCTAAAGGGTACTTAAACCCCAGAAGATTTTGCAACCAGGAGCTCTTGAGCTGCTTGCTCAAGCCCGCTCCCCTCTGTGGCATGTACTTTCGCTTCAATAAATCGGTGCTTCATTGCTTCATTCTTTTGTTGCTTTGTTTGTGCATTTTGCTCAATTCTTTGTTCAACACACCAAGAACCTGGACAACTCGTCAAGACCTGGACAACCTAGTCAAGACCCTCCACCAGTAACAATACCATGGCAACTTGCTTTTGAGAAAATAGAAACCTTTATTGCAAAGTTGACTTGGCATGCTCAAATCTGTCTCCCTGAGCTGGAGAATGGGGACAGGTTTTATAGGCAGATAGTTACAATGAGGAAGATAGGAAAATGCAATGAGGTAGACCAGGCGTGGCGGCTCATGCCTATAATCTCAACACTTTGGGAGGCCCAGGCAGGTGGATCACTTGAGGTCAGGAGTTCGAGACCAACCTAACAAACATGGAGAAACCTCATCTCTACTAAAAATACAAAAATTAGCTGGGCATGGTGGTGCACACCTGTGGTCCCAGCTGCTTGGGGCGCTGAGGCAGGAGAATCACTTGAACTTGGGAAGTGGAGGTTGCAATGAGCTGAGATCACGCCACTGCACTCCAGCCTGGGAGACAAAGTAAGACTCCATCAAAAAAAAAAAAAATGGAAAAATGCAATGAGATATGATCTGATTGGGTCATGCTGAGGGTCCTTGGCTCTTAAGTCTGTACTGCAACAAAATAGGGTACTCCTTGTTTCTGAATTTGGTCCCTGTTCCTTGATCCAAGCACTTTGGTTCTGCTTGTGACTGACTTTTTCATTCCTCCTGGCTCCTAAGTCACCAATGGGGCACACTTGGCTCATCTGGGTATGCTTAGGTTATGTAACTTGCAACCTGGGGGTTGGCTGCACTGAGAAACCACTCAGAACTTTGTTTCACAAAGGTTGAACCAGATGGAATTGATTCCGCTGTTACAGAATTGCTGGGTCATATAATTCAGTATTTAACTTTTTGAAGAATCACTGAACTGTTCCCTCCAGCTGCTGCAACATTTTACATTTGTACCAGCAATGTATTGAAGGTTCAGATTTCTCTGTATCCCCCCCAACAGTTAATTTCTCTTTTGTTTTTTAATTACTGTGGGGAAAAGCAAGAGAGATCAGATTGTTACTGTGTCTGTGTAGAAAGAAGTAGACATAGGAGACTCCATTTTGTTATGTACTAAGAAAAATCCTTCTGCCTTGAGATTCTGTTAATCTATAACCTTACCCCCAACCCCGTGCTCTCTGAAACATGTGCTGTGTCAACTCAGAGTTGAATGGATTAACGGCGGTGCAAGATGTGCTTTGTTAAACAGATGCTTGAAGGCAGCATGCTCCTTAAGAGTCATCACCACTCCCTAATCTCAAGTACCCAGGGACACAAAAACTGCGGAAGGCCGCAGGGACCTCTGCCTAGGAAAGCCAGGTATTGTCCAAGGTTTCTCCCCATGTGATAGTCTGAAATATGGCCTCGTGGGAAGGGAAAGACCTGACCGTCCCCCAGCCCGACACCCGTAAAGGGTCTGTGCTGAGGAGGATTAGTAAAAGAGGAAGGAATGCCTCTTGCAGTTGAGACAAGAGGAAGGCATCTGTCTCCTGCCTGTCCCTGGGCAATGGAATGTCTCGGTATAAAACCCGATTGTATGCTCCATCTACTGAGATAGGGAAAAACTGCCTTAGGGCTGGAGGTGGGACCTGTGGGCAGCAATACTGCTTTGTAAAGCATTGAGATGTTTATGTGTATGCATATCTAAAAGCACAGCACTTAATCCTTTACATTGTCTATGATGCAAAGACCTTTGTTCACGTGTTTGTCTGCTGACCCTCTCCCCACAATTGTCTTGTGACCCTGACACATCCCCCTCTTCGAGAAACACCCACAGATGATCAATAAATACTAAGGGAACTCAGAGGCTGGCGGGATCCTCCATATGCTGAACGCTGGTTCCCCGGTTCCCCTTATTTCTTTCTCTATACTTTGTCTCTGTGTCTTTTTCTTTTCCAAATCTCTCGTCCCACCTTACGAGAAACACCCACAGGTGTGTAGGGGCAACCCACCCCTACAAATTACAGCCATTTTAGTGGGTGTGAAGTAATACCTTTTTCTTTTTCTTTTTCTTTTTTTTTTTTTGAGACAGCGTCTCACTGTGTCACTCAGGCTGGCATGCAGTGGCATGGGGGCTCCAGGTCCTCGCTGGGCACCTCTCTGCCCAACCCTCTGCACCCAGCCGGCTTCTCCCCCACCGACGGGGAGCCCCGCCTGGCCCCATCGCAGAGACCCCCAGAGCGGCGGGCTTTTGTTGGGGGGTTCCCGCTTGTCCCTGGCTCCTGCCGTCTCTGTGGAGCGCGGCACCGCCTTGGATCCAGCTCCACCTCCTCCCCGTGCCCTCCCCACGAGGCCTGGGAGCGGGTCCTGCCCGGCTGCGCAAGGGTGGGGGTCGCGCAGTTAGCTGCCTTTGGGATGCAGAGCACAGGGGACCCACCGCCGCCACTGCTGCTCCTGCAGCCGCTCCAGCTGCTACTGCTTGCACCTTCCTGCTGCAGCTCGCGCAGTGGCAGTGGCCGTGTCCTTTCATTTCAGCCTGACGTACTGACTCTAAACCTTTTCGTGTAGAGCAGGACTACTAGTGAAGAACTCTCAGTTTTTATTTATCTGGGAATATCTTTAATTTTCCTTTGTTTAAAAAGAAATTTTAAATTATAGTTAAAAACACATAACATAAAATTTATTATGTTAACCATTTTAAGTGTACAGTTCAGTACTGTTAATTGTATTCACATTGTTGTGTAAGTAACATATCTATACAACTTTTTTATCTTGCAAAACTGAAACTCTATACCTATAGATCAATAACTCCCTATTTCCTGCTTGCCCTGGACTCTGGCAACCACCATTGTACTTTCTGCTTCTATAAATTTGAGTACTTTACATAATTCATATGAGTGGAATCATACAACATTTGTCCTTTTGTGATTGGCTTATTTCAATTAGCATAATGTCCTCAAGGTTCATCTATGATATAGCATGACAGAGGAGTTTTTTTCTTTTTAAAGGCTGTATAATATTTCATCAGTTGTGTGTGGCACATTTTCTTTACCCATTCATCTATCTATGGACATTGTCCACAGATAGATGCTTTTCTTTTTTTTTTCCTTTCTTTCTTTTTTTTTTTTTTTTTTTTTTTTTGTTGAGACAGAGTCTTGCTTTGTCACCAGGCTGGAGTGCAATGGTGAGATCTTGGCTCACTGCAACCTCCACCTCCCAGGTTCAAGGAATTCTCCTGCCTCAGCCTCCTGAGTAGCTGGGACTACAGGTGCGCACCACCACACCCAGCTACTTTTTTTGTATTTTTAGTACAGACGGGGTTTCACCATGTTGGCCAGGATGGTCTCGATCTTTTGACCTCCTGATCCGCCTGCCTTGGCTTCCCAAAGTGCTGGGATTACAGGCGTGAGCCACCCCTGGCCTGCTTCCATTTTTTTACGCTTGTGAATAGTGGTGCAATGAACATGTGTGTTCAAATATTTCTTTGAGATTCTGCTTTCAGTTCTTTTGGACATATACTCACAGGTGAGATCCCATAGGTGCTAGATCCTATGGTAATTCTATTTTTAATTGTTTGAAGAACGACCATACTATTTTTCATAGCACCTGTACCATTTTACATTCCCACCAACAGTGCGCAAGTCTTTCCATTTCTCCACATCCTCACCAACACATGTTATTTCTTGGTTGTGTGTATCTCTCTCTCTCTGTGTGTGTGTGTGTGTGTGTGTGTGTGTGTGTGTGTGTTTTAAATTATGGCCAACCAAATGGGTGCAAGGCGATATCTCATTGTGTTTTTTCTTTGATAATTAGTGATATTGAGGATCTTTTCATATATCTGTGGGCCATTTTTATCTTCTTTGGAAAAATGTTTTCATGGCTTTGACCATTTTAAAATCAAGTTTAGAGTGTGTGCATATGTTTTGGGAGATGAGGTCTTGCTATGTTACTCAGGCTGGTCTCGAACTCCTGGCCTCAAGTTATCTTCCCGCCTCCACCTCCCAAAGTGTTACAAGTGTGAGCCACTGCACCTAGCCAGGTTATTTGTTTTATTATAGTTTTTTTTTTTCTTTTTCTTTTTTAAGAGTTAGGGTCCCGCTCTATCACCTAGACTTCAGTGCAGTGGCACCATCATAGCTCACTGCAGCCTTGAACTCCTGGGCTCAAGCAATTTTCCTGCTTCAGCCTTCTGAGAATCTGGGGCTACAGGTGTGTGCCAGTATGCCCAGCTAATTATTTTTTTTGCTGTAGATACGGGTTCTCATTTTGTTGCCCAGGCTGAGAAGTTCTCTCTATATTTTGAATATTAATCTCATCAGATATATGACTTGCAAATATTTTCTCCCATTCTATAGCTTGCCTTTTCACATTGTTGGTTATGTTGTTTGATGCATGAAAGTTTTAAGTCTGATGTAGTCCCATTTGTCTATTTTTTTCTTTTTGTTGCACATGCTTTTGGTGTTGTATGTAAGAAATTATTGCCAAATCCAATATCATAAAGATTTTCCCCTATGTTTTTCATGTAGGAGTTTTATAGTTTTAGGTCTTATGTTTTCCTTTCACTTTTTCTTTTCTTTTCTTTTCTTTTTTTTGAGACAGGGTTTCGCTCTTGTTGTGCAGACTGGAGTGCAATGGCATGATCTTGGCTCACTGCAAGCTCCGCTTCCTGGGTTCAAGCAATTCTCCTGCCTCAGCCTCCTCAGTAGCTGGGATTACAAGTGCCCACCACCACGCCCAACTAATTTTTTGCATTTTTAGTAGAGATGGGGTTTCACCATGTTGGCCAGTCTGGTCTCAAACTCCTGACCTCAAGTGATCTGCCTGCCTTGGCCTCCCAAAGTGCTGGGATTACAGGCGTGACCCACCATGACCGGCCCTCCTTTCACTTTTTAAGAATCATTTTGCTGGACATAAAATTCTTTGTTTGGAGAGTTTTTTCCCTTCTTTCTACACTTTATGTTATTCCAGTGCCACCTAGCCTCCATGGTTTCTGATGAGAAATCAGCTGTTAATCTTATTGAGCATCACTGGTATATAATTAATTGCTTCTCTCTTGTTACCTTCTGAATTCCTTCTTCGGCTTTCAATGGTTTGAATATGGCCTGCGTGATGGCTTATGCTTGTAATCCCAGCCCTTTGGGAGGCCAAGGCAGGAGGATTGCTTGAGCCTAGGATTTTGAGGTTACAATGAGCTATGTTCATGCAACCACACTCCAGGCTGGGTGACAGAATGAGACCTTGTCTCAAAAAAACGTTTGATTATGATTTGTCTCAGAAGGACTCTCTTTGAGCTTATCCTACTTGGGATTTGTTGAGGTCCTTGGTTGTGTAGAAACGTTCTTGTTTCTTTGCATACCTATTTTTCTGTTGTTGAAAACTGGACATTTTAGGGTTGTGTTTTGTTTTTGAGATGGGGTCTTTCTCTGTCACCCAGGCTGTAGTGCAGGGGTGTGATCACAGCTCACTGCAGCCTCGACCTGACAGGCTCAGCGTTCTCCCACCTCAGCCTTCCAAGTAGCTGGGACTACAGGTGCACACTACCATGCCTGGACAATTTTTCTCTTTTTTGTTTTTCTGGATTTTTTATAGAGATGGGATTTTGCCTTGCCCAGGCTGGTTTTGAACTCCTGGCTCATGTGATCTGCCCACTTCAGCCTCCCAAAGTGCTGGGATTATGGGCTTGAGCCACTGCCTTGGTCGGTTTCTTTTTTGAGGGTGGGTAGGGGGATGGAGTCTCCCTCTGTTGCCCAGGCTGGAGTGCAGTGACACAATCTCAGCTCTCTGCAACCTCCACCTCCCAGGTTCAAGAGATTCTTCTGCATTAGCCTCCCAAGTAGCTGGGATTACAGGTGCCTGCCACCATGTCTGGCTAATTTTTGTGTTTTTAGTAGAGACGGGATTTCACCACGTTGGCCAGGCTGCTCTTGAACTGCTGGCCTCAAGTGATCCTCCTGCCTTGGACTCCCAAAGTCCTGGAATTACAGGCATGATCCCAGGCCCTCAGTCTGTTTTTGACTTCTGCTGATCAATATATTACCTTTGAGATATCCATGTTTTGTGTATATCAGTAGTTCATTGTTTTCATTACTATTATTCTATTTTATGATTATGCCACAATTTGTTTATCTATTTGCCTGTTCATAATTGTCAGGTAATTTCCAGGTTTTTTTTCCTACATTTTCTTTTTTTTTAGAGATGAGGTCTCACTATGTTGCCCAGGTTAGAGTATAGTGGCTACTCACAAACACAATTATAGTGTACTACAGCCTCGAACTCCTGGGCTTACGTGATTCTCCTGTCTCAGCTTCCCAGGTAGCTGGGACTACAGGTACACACCACTGTGCACAACTCTCTAGTATTTTTAAGTGCATATTTATTCATATTACCTTATATATCTGAATCGTTTTTCTTTATGCACAATTGGTAATTTGCATTCAGTGACGTTTCTCTTTTTCAAGAATATTTTTGTTGTTGTTAATTTTATACTTTAGACAGCAATCCCATGTGTGCAGTGTAAATGTGAATTCAAGTCATATTTATAACCATGGTCCTGACCTGGACCTCTGATTTCTTTTGGGAAATTTCTTTTTTTTTTGAGATGGAGTTTCACTCTTTTTGCCCAGCCTGGAGTGCAATGGTGTAATCTTGGCTCACCACAACCTCTGCCTCCCTGGTTCAAGTGATTCTCCTGCCTTAGCCTCTTGAGTAGCTGGGATTACAGGCATGCGCCACCACCCCTGGCTAATTTTGTATTTTTAGTAGAGATGGGGGCTTCTCCATGTTGGTCAGGCTGGTCTTGAACTCCCAACCTCAGGTGATCTGCCCCCCTCGGCTTCCCAAAGTGCTGGGATTACAGATGTGAGCCACCGTGCCCAGCCTTTCTCTTCTTTTTTTTTTTTTTTTTTTTTTGAGATGGCATCTTGATCTTGTCACGCAGGCTGGAGTGCAGTGTCATTAGCTCACTGCAACCTCCCCCTCCCAGGGTCAAGCGATTCTCCTGCCTCAGCCTCTCGAGTAGATGGGATTACAGGCGCCCAACACCACACCTGTCTAATTTTTCTTTTTTAGTATTTTTAGTAGAGATGGGGTTTCAGCCTGTGGCCAGGCTGATCTCAAACTCTTGACCTCAGGTGATCTGCCCGCTTCAGCCTCCCAAAGTGCTGGGATTACAGGCGTGAGCCACTGTGCCTGGCCTCTTTTGGGGAATTTTGTTTTTTTACCCAAAGTGAAGCTTTTTTGAAATGTTCATTTGCTTTTTGTATCTCTTTATTAATCATAAACCCTGCTTATACATGGGACTGATCCATAGGATTCCTGTAATCAATGCCATATTTTCCTTGCTTATGAGGTTTCAGTTTTTGACTCTGTTCCCTACTTGGACAATAAAGTCCCAGTTGGCAATTGTTCGATCCATGAGTAGTTACAATTCCCTCAAGGGTTTTTCAGCTCTGCTTCACTGATTCCTCTAATTTGGGTTTATGAAACTAGGGTAATCCCACCTTTTAATGAATAAGTTTACTGTTTATTTTTAAAATTATTTTTATTTTTGTTTTTGAGTTGGGATCTTGCTCTTGTCACTCAGGCTGGTGTAGATTGGTGGGACCACAGCTCACTGTAACCTCAAACTCCTGGGCTCAAGTGATCCTCCTGACTCAGCCTCCCAAGTTACTGGGAATACACGCATGTACTACCACACTCAGCTGTTTTTTTAAAATTTTATTTTTGTAGAGAGAGGGTTTTACCCAGGCTAGTCTTGAACTCTTGGCTTCAAGTGAGTTCAAGATCCTGCTGCCCTGGCCTCCCAAAGTACTGGGGTAACGTGTGAGCCACCATGCCTGACCTAGTGTTTATTTTTTAATGTTGCTTTTTATGTGGCATTTGTGTTTGGCACTGGATGGAAGGAAGATAAATTCTGTGTCAATTAGGTTTATTGATGCAGATATTCAATCAATATTGACTGAATTTCTGTGTAAGAAGATTGAAGATATTGCTTTCCTGCTTTACTGCATATAGGGTTGCCAAGATTGTACCAAGATCACATTTTTTTCCTTTATACTATGATTCTATTTTTAAATTTGTGAATAAGGTGAGAGGTATGAGCCAAAGTTTTTGTTGTTGTTGTATATGGCTGTTTAGTGGTTCCAGAACAGTTTGTTCTGGAAAAGAATATAGCTTCTCCGTTAAATCGTCTTTGTATGTTTATCAAAAAAATTAATTGACCATATATTTGTGGGTCTATTTCTATATTCTTAATTTTGTTCCAAAATATCTATGCATCTATCTCTCCTTTCATGAATATCACAGTGTTTTGATTGTGGTAGCCCTTAGTACATCTTGAAATCAGGTAGTGTGAGCCCTTCAACTTTGCTCTTTTTCAAAATTGTCTTGGCTGTTGAAATTCCTTTGTCTTTCCATATAAATTTTAGAATACGGTTAAGATTTCTACAAAAATGCTAATATTGTTTTAATTGGATTGCATTGAACCTATAGATCTGTTTTGGAAGAACCGACATTTTAACAATATTGAGTCTTCTAATCCATGAACATGATTTTTTTTTTTTAGGTTTTTAGATTTTATTTAGGTTTTCTCTTTTCTCTCTTTCTTTCTTTCTTTCTGTCTGTCTGTCTTTCTTTCTTTCTTTTTCTTTCTTTTTTTTTTCTTCTGGGTCTTGCTGTCTCACCCAGGCTGGAGTGCACTGGTGTGATCATTGCTCACTGTAGCTCAACCTGCCAGGCTCAAGTCATCCACCCAACTCAGCCTCCCAAATAGCTGAGACTACAGACACACCACACGGCTGGCTAATTTTTGCATTTTTTGTAGAGATGGGGTTTCACCATATTGCCTAGGCTGGTCTCCAACCTCTGGGCTCAAGTGATCTACCCACCTTGGCTTCCCAAAGTGCTGGGATTACAGGCATGAGCCACTGCATCTGACCTATTTAGGTTTTCTTTTATTTCATCAGTGTCTTGTATTTATCACATACAGATCCCGGAGATATCTTAATAGACTTATTCCTAAGTATTTCATGATTTTTTATGATATTATAAGTAGTACTGTTTGGATTTTTTTTTTTTTTTTGAGACAGGGTCTCTGTCACCCAGGCTGGAGTGCAGTGGTGTGATCTGGTCTCACTGCAACCTCCACCTCCCGGATTCAAGCTATTCTCCTGCCTCAACCTCCCCAGTAGCTGGGATGACAGGTGCCCCCCACCATGTCTGGCTAATTTTTATATTTTTAGTAGAGATGGGTTTTCACCATGTTGGCCAGGCTGGTCTCGAACTCCTGACCTCAGGTGATCTGCCTGCCTTGGCCTCCCAAAGTGCTGAGATTACAGGCATGAACCACCATGCCTAGCCTACTGTTTTGATTTTTAACTGGCAATTGCTAGTATATGGAAATGCAATTAATTTTTGTGTGTTAACCTTGTGTCCTCTCTTTGCTAATAATACAGTCTATGTAGACAAAATTGATTACTTCATTTCCAGCCTATAAATATTTTTTTCTTGCCTTATTGTGCTGACTAGACATAACAGAAGAAAAACAAGGTGCAACAATGAAAACAGGAAGATTGAGGGTTTGCCCTATGACTTCACTTCTTTGATGGATCTAAGAAGAGTTTTTGATTTTTCAGTTTGTTTGGGTTTTTACTTGTAAGAACAGAGTTGCTACTTTTAGGTCTGTACGTGCTAAACCAGAAACCCTAACGGTTCAGTTTATACTTTTAAAATATAACACATATTTTATTTTACTTATGTATTTTATTATATTATATTTTTTTGAGGCAAGGTCTCGCTCTGTTCCCCAGGATGAAGTGCAGTGGCATGATCATGGCTAACTGCAGCCTCGACCCCCTGGTCTCAAGTGATCCTCCCATCTCAGCCTCTTGAGTCACTTGGACTATAGACATGTTACACCATGCCTCGCTAATAGAACATGTATTTTAAAACAAAAATTATATTAACACACAAACACCATTTATTGTTTTTTATCCTGATAATTTCTTTCTCCCAAATTTTGTATTCCTTGTAGTTGAGACATTGCAACCTTTTTTTTTTTTTTTTTTTTTTTTTTTACTTTCACCAGTATTGTTTAATACATGTTGCTTCATTTCTCTGTGAACATTTGGTGTTGTCAGGGTTTTTTTTTTTTTTAAAGCTATTCTCCTAAGTGTGAAGTAGTATCTAATTGCAGTTTTAAAGCATTTCTCTGCTGAGCACTGCTACATGTACTTATTGACCATTCACACATCTACTTAAAACTTTTGCCTAAGGTTGTAAAGATGTTCTAAATTTTCTTCTGGAAGAGTTACAGTTTTAACTTACACATTTAGGTTTATCGCATATTGCTAATTAATTTTTGTGTATGATGTGAGGTAGAGATTGAGGCTCATGTTTTCATAGTTTTTTTCTGGTTGTTTCAGCTCAATCTTTTTTTTTTTTTTTTTTTTTTTTTTAGTATTTATTGATCATTCTTGGGTGTTTCTCGGAGAGGGGGATTTGGCAGGGTCATAGGACAATAGTGGAGGGAAGGTCAGCAGATAAACATGTGAACAAGGGTCTCTGGTTTTCCTAGGCAGAGGACCCTGCGGCCTTCCGCAGTGTTTGTGTCCCTGGGTACTTGAGATTAGGGAGTGGTGATGACTCTTAAGGAGCATGCTGCTTTCAAGCATCTGTTTAACAAAGCACATCTTGCACCGCCCTTAATCCATTTAACCCTGAGTGGACACAGCACATGTTTCAGAGAGCACGGGGTTGGGGGTAAGGTTATAGATTAACAGCATCCCAAGGCAGAATAATTTTTCTTAGTACAGAACAAAATGGAGTCTCCTATGTCTACTTCTTTCTACACAGACACAGTAACAATCTGATCTCTCTTTCTTTTCCCATTTCCCCCTTTTCTATTCGACAAAACCGCCATCGTCATCATGGCCCGTTCTCAATGAGCTGTTGGGTACACCTCCCAGACGGGGTGGCGGCCGGGCAGAGGGGCTCCTCACCTCCCAGACGGGGTGGCCGGGCAGAGGCGCCCCCCACCTCCCGAACGGGGCGGCTGGCCGGGCGGGGGCTGCCCCCCACCTCCCTCCTGGACGGGGCGGCTGCCGGGCGGAGATGCTCCTCACTTCCCAGACGGGGCGGCTGCTGGGCGGAGGGGCTCCTCACTTCTCAGACGGGGCGGCCAGGCAGAGACGCTCCTCACCTCCCAGACGGGGTGGCAGTCGGGCAGAGACACTCCTCAGATCCCAGATGGGGTCGCGGCCAGGCAGAGGCGCTCCTCACATCCCAGACGGGGCATCGGGGCAGAGGAGCTTCCCACATCTCAGAGGATGGGCGGCGGGCAGAGACGCTCCTCACTTCCTAGATGGGATGGCAGCTGGGAAGAGGCACTCCTCACTTCCCAGACTGGGCGGCTGGGCAGAGGGGCTCCTCACATCCCAGACGATGGGCGGCCAGGCAGAGACGCTCCTCACTTCCCAGACGGGGTGGCTGCCGGGCAGAGGCTGCAATCTCGGCACTTTGGGAGGCCAAGGCAGGCGGCTGGGAGGTGGAGGTTGTAGCGAGCCAAAATCACGCCACTGCACTCCAGCCTGGGCAAGATTGAGCACTGAGTGAGCGAGACTCTGTCTGCAATCCCGGCACCGTGGGAGGCACAGGCGGGCAGATCACTCGCGGTCAGGAGCTGGAGACCAGTCCGGCCAACACTGCGAAACCCCGTCTCCACCAAAAAATACAAAAACCAGTCAGGTGTGGCGGCGCACGCCTGCAATCCCAGGCACTCGGCAGGCTGAGGCAGGAGAATCAGGCAGGGAGGTTGCAGTGAGCTGAGATGGCGGCAGTACAGTCCAGCCTCGGCTGGACATCAGAGGGAGACCGTGGAAAGTGGGAGACGGGAGAGGGAGACGGGAGAGGGATAGGGATAGGGAGAGGGAGAGGGAGAGGGAGAGGGAGAGGGAGAGGGAGAGCCCATTTTTTAAGTAGGATAAGAGACAGCGGCTATCTTAATTTTATGGTAATTCAATCATTACCACTGATTATGGTACCAGCTTTTAAAATTTTCCCAGGATAAAATAGCAGATAAAGAATGTGAAATATGGTCCAGCACAGTGGCTCACGCTTGTAATCCCAGCACTTTGGCAGGCCAAGGTGGGCAGATCACTTGAGGCCAGGAGTTTGAGACCAGCCTGGCCAACATGGCGAAACCCCGTCTCAACTGAAAACACAAAAATTAGCTTTGTCTTTTCATATAAATTTTGGAATATGGTTAAGATTTCTGCAAAAAATGCTACTATTGTTGCATGGTGGCATGTGCCTGTAGTCCCAGCCACTTGAACTGGGGAGGCGGAGGTTGCAGCGAGCTGAGATGGCATTACTGCACTCTAGCCTGGGCGACAGAGTGGGACTCTTGCCTCAAAAAAAAAAAAAAAAAAAATGCGAAATAGCTTGTATTTCCTACTCCATCTCGGGGAATACATGTGAGATGAGGTTTATGATTTTGATAAAATCTGGACTAATATAAATAAAATCTGTCATGATAGTGTGGATCATTCATTCAGGAACCATTTATTAACCACCAGCTATTTATAGAATAGAAAGTATTGGGATATAAAAATTAATAAAATCTGTTACTTTTATCATAATCTAAAGCAGGGGTGTCTAATCTTTTGGCTTCTTTGGGCCACACTGGAAGAATTGTCCTGGGCCACATATAAAACACACTAACACTAATGATAGCTGATGAGATGAAATAAAAAAAATGGCAAAAACAATTTCATAACGTTTTAATAAAGTTTATAAATTTATGGTAGATTGCATTCAATGCCGTTCTGGACCACATGTGGCGTATGGGCAATGGGCTGAACAAGCTTGATCAAACGTGTTCTGTCCAGAATTGGTGGGTTTTTGGTCTCACTGACTTTAAGAATGAAGCCACGGACCCTCGTGGTGTTACAGCTCTTAAGGTGGCACATTTGGAATTTGTTCCTTCTGATGTTCAGATGTGTTCGGAGTTTCCTCCTTCCGGTGGGTTCGTGGTCTCACTGGCTCAGGAGTGAAGCTACAGACCTTCGCGCTGTCACAGCTCATAAAGGCAGCGTGGACCCAAAGAGTGACAAACAGCAGGATTTATTGCAAAGAGCAAAAGAACAAACCTTCCACACTGTGGAAGTGGACCCGAGTGGGTTGCCACTGCTCGCTGGGGCAGCCTGCTTTTATTCTCTTATCTGGCCCCACCCACATCCTGCTGATTGGTAGAGCCCAGTGGTCTGTTTTGACAGGGTGCTGATTGGTGCCTTTACAATCCCTGAGCTAGACACAAACGTTCTCCACATCCGCACCAGAGTAGCTAGATACAGAGGGTGGACTGGTGCATTCACAAACTCTGAGCTAGACACAGGGTGCTGATTGGTGTGTTTACAAACCTTGAGCTAGATACAGAGTGCCGATTGGTGTATTTACAATCCCTGAGCTAGACATAAAGGTTCTCCAAGTCCCGACCAGAGTAGCTACATACAGATTGTCGATTGGTGCATTCACAAACCCTGAGCTAGACACAGGGTGCTGATTGGTGTGTTTACAAACCTTGAGCTAGATACAGAGTGCCAATTGGTGTATTTACAATCCCTTAGCTAGACATAAAGGTTCTCCACGTCCCCACCAGACTCAGGAGCCCAGCTGGCTTCACCCAGTGGATTCACCACGGGGGCTGCAGGTGGAGCTGCCTGCCAGTCCCGTGCCGTGCGCCGGCATTCCTCAGCCCTTGGGTGGTGGATGGGACTGGGCGCCGTGGAGCAGGGAGCGGCGCTCGTCGGGGAGGCTCGGGCCGTACAGGAGCCCACGGAGGTCGGGGAGGCTCAGGCATGGCGGGCCGCAGGTCCCGAGCCCTGCCCGGCGGGAAGGCAACTAAGGCCCGGTGAGAAATTGAGCACAGCAGCTGCTGGCCCAGGTGCTAAGCCTCTCACTGCCCAGGGCCGGCGGGGCCCGCGGGGCCGGCTGGCAGCTCCCAGTGCAGGGCCCGACGAGCCTACGCCCACCCAGAACTCGCGCTGGCCCACAAGCACAGCACGCAGCCCCGGTTCCCGCCCGCGCCTCTGCCTCCACACCTCCCCGCAAGCTGAGGGAGCCGGCTCCGGCCTTGGCCAGCCCAGAAGGGGGCTCCCACAGTGCAGCGGCGGGCTGAAGGACTCCTCAAGTGGCGCCAAAGTGGGAGCCCAGGCAGAGGAGGCGCCGAGAGCGAGCGAGAGCGAGTGAGGGCTGTGACGATTGCCAGCACGCTGTCACCCCTCAGTGTGACTGGCTAAGCACATAAGGAAGATAGTTGATGAGTATTTTTTTTCACCTTAAGATAACTGAGTATGTAATGAATATTCTGATAGAGATATGTACAAGGTACAATGGGAGTTTGGTAATAGCTGGTTTAATTAATTAGATAATCTGTTAATTGTATGTCTAGCTTTAACCTGTGAACCCTTTATGAATCTATGAACCTGTACTGCATCAGGCAAATCCAGTTGGGTTTTTGTGTTTTTTGTTGTTGTTGTTTGCTTATTTTTTTGAGACATAGTTTCATTTTGTTGCCCAGGCTGGAGTGCAATGGAGCAATCTCAGCTCACTGCAACCTCCACCTCCTGGGTTCAAGTGATTCTCCTGCCTCAGCCTCCCAAGTAGCTGGGATTACAGGCATGCACCACCACCCCTGGCTAATTTTGTATTTTTAGTAGAGACGGGGTTTCTCCGTGTTGGTCAGGCTGGTCTCGAACTCCCGACCTCAGGTGATCCGCCCGCCTCGGCCTCCCAAAGTGCTAGGATTACAGGCGTGAATCACCGCGCCCGGCTCAGTTGGTTTTGCCTTCATAGTAATTCTCCTGTTCTACTCTCCATGTGATCTCCCTGCTGACAAACTTGTTTCCCTTTCACACATTCAGTGCGCTAAATAGCCAGAATGAGATTTTAAAAATGTAAATCAGATTAAGCTACTTTTTTGCTTAGAACTCTGCAGTGGTTTCTCATCATATTAGGATAAAAATCCTTGCCAAGGGTCTACAGGGCCCATATAACCTTACCCTGCCTCCTTCTCTTCCTCTCAGCACTCTCTCACCCTTTTCCCCTGTGCTTTAGCCACAAGACCACAGTAGTCTTTTTTTCTATTCCTTTAACACATCAAGCCTCTATATACAACTGGGCCTCTGAAATTATTGTTCCTACTTTCTGAAACATTCTGCCCGCAGACCTTCACATAGCTATTGTTCAAATTTCTACTTAAGTGTCATTTCCTCAGCTTGGCTTTCTCTGATCACTCCGTCTTTCCCCATCCCCTTCCAAGTACTTATGACTGCCTGTCATTAGTATATTTATTTTGTCGTCTGTCTTTCTCACTGTAATGTAAACCACAGGCTTGTGGGGACTTTTCCCAAGGTTTGGAACAGTAGCTCATATATTCTGGCTGCTCAGAAAATATTGGTTGAATGAATAAATAACTTTGACACAACCGCTCACAGAGCTTATCACTGCTTGAAGTTATCTTTTTCCCATACTTTGTTATACTTTATTGCCTGTTCCTCCCACTCACCCTACTAGAGCAGCAACTTGTTTGCCTTGTTTATTTTTATATCTCTGGAGTCTAGAGCAGTTCTTGGCCTATAGCAGGTGTGTTGTCAGTAAATACAGCAGTCTCATCCACAGTTTTGCTTTCACTGGTTTCATTTACCTGAGGTCAATCACAGTCCTAAAATGTTAAATGGAAAATTTCAGAAATATACAATCCATGAATTTTAAATTGTGTGCCACTCTTAGGAGTGTAATGAAATCTCCTGCTGCTCACTTCATCCTGCCTGGGACATGAATTATCTATCCC
Source organism: Homo sapiens (assembly GCF_000001405.40). Classification (NCBI taxonomy): domain Eukaryota; kingdom Metazoa; phylum Chordata; class Mammalia; order Primates; family Hominidae; genus Homo; species Homo sapiens. The sequence goes on from NC_000001.11 coordinate 224,354,627, forward strand.
CTTGTCCAGCATATCCATGCTGTCTATGCCACCTACCTGTTAGTCACGTAGTAGCCATCTTATCAGTTATCAGATTGACTGCAGCAGTATTGCAGTGCTTATGTTCAAGTACCCATTATTGTACTTAACAATGGCCCAAAGTTCAAGAGCAGTGAATACTGGCAATTCAGATATGCCAAAGAGAAGCCATGAAGTGCTCCCTTTAAGTGAAATGGTCAAAGTTCTTGACTTAAGGAAAGAAAAAAAAACCCTATGAGACTGCTAAGATCTATGGTAAGAACCAGTCTTTTATCTGTGAATTTCTGAAAAAGGAAAAAGGAATTTGTGCTAGTTTTGCTGTTGCAACTCAGACTACAAAAGTTATGGCCACAGTGCCTGATAAGTGCTTAGTTAAGATGGAAAAGGCGGCACAGCACAGTGGCTCATGCCTGTAATCCCAGCACTTTGGGAGGTCAAGGTAGGTGGATCACTTGAGGCCAGGAGTTTGAGACCAGCCTGGCCAACATGGCGAAACCCCAACTCTACTAAAAATACAAAAAATTATCTGGGTGTGGTGGCATGCACCTGTAATCTCAGCTACTCCGGAGGCTGAGGCAGGAGAATCGCTTGAACTTGGGAGGTGGAGGTTGCAGAGAGCTGAAATGGCGCCACTGCACTCCAGCCTGGGTGACAGAGTGAACTTCATCTCAGAAAAACTAAAACAACAACCACAAAAAAGATGGAAGAGGCATTACATTTGTGGGTGGAAGACATGAACAGAAAACATGTGCCAATTGATGGCAACGTGTTGAGCCAGAAAGTATTGAGCCTATACAAAGACTTCAGTGAGGGATTCCCTAAAACGAGTGATACCAAGCCACTTACTGCAAGTAATGGATAGTTACATGAATGTAAGAATAGATTTGGACTGAAAAATATAAAAATCACTGGAGAGGCTGCATCTGTCTCTTCATCTTATCACATAGGCATTTTATCATCATACATCATCTCAAAAAGAAGGGTCAGTACAATAAGATATTTTGAGACAGAAAGACCACATTTACATAACTTTTATTACAGTATAATTGTTCTATCTTATTATTACTTGTTAATCTCCTACTGTGCCTGATCTATAAATTAAGCTTTATCATAGGTATGTATATATAGGAAAAAACATAGTACACATAAGGTTTGGTACTATCCATCGTGTCAGGCATCCACTTGGGGGTCTTGGAAAGTAGCCCCTGCAAATACAACTGTATTTGTTAAATGAATGAATGGATGAGTAAGACATCGTATTCACTTCTTAAAGATCTTAAAATCTAGAGAGGAGAGAAACATTGCTGTAGGAGAGGATAAACAAAGGACTGTGAAATCTCTGGAGAAATTGAAATCAGGAAGGGAAGGGCAAATCGCAAAAGTCAAGCCAGGAGCATTAAGTTAGATTTGTGCTTTGAGATGAAAACCCCTTACAAATCCTAAGTCAGGGAATGCAATGGTTCTAGAGCCAACTCTAAAGAAAATTTCACACATGGGAAATACATCCTACTGGATATCCGGATTAAAAGCGTTCAGTAGAGACTGGTGCAGTGGCTCAGGCCTGTAATTCCAGCACTGTGGGAGACTGAGGCAGGCAGATCGCTTGAGCCGAGGAATTCGAGACCAGCCTGGGCAACATGGCAAAAACCCCATCTCTATTAAAAATACAAAAAATTAGCCAGGCGTGGTGGTACATTCCTGTAATCCCAGGTACTCAGGAGGCGGAGGTGGGAGGATCACCTGAGGCCAGGAGGTAGAGGCTGCAGTGAGCTGTGACCATGCCACTGCACTCCAGCCTGGGCGACAGAGTGAGACCCTGTCTCAAAAAATAAAATAAAATGAGAAATAATAAAATAAAATTAGCTGGGCATGTCGGGAGGCTGAGGTGGAAGGATTGCTTGAGCCCAGGAATTCGAGGTCATAGTGAGCTCTATCACGCCACTGCACTCCAGCCTGGACGACAGAGCAAGACCCCAGCTCTTTAAAAGAAAAGCGTTGAGTAAATACTTGTTGATTAATTCCATTTCTGGAAATAATCGGATTTATGAAAGAGGCCCTGCCCACCTCTTTGATATGGACTTGTACTAATGAACTACAATTCCCAGCATGCGTCAGAATTAGGGCCGTAGAGTTTTTTAAAATATGGACTACAACTCCCGGCATGCCACACCAGGATTCGAGGACCACACGCCTCAGCCAGCCCCGGCAAGGGCCTATCAGGGGTGGGTCGGGGCATCCGAGCGGGTTTGACGGAAGGAGCGGCGGCGACGGAGGAGGAGGATGGAGGCGGTGGTGTTCGTCTTCTCTCTCCTCGATTGTTGCGCGCTCATCTTCCTCTCGGTCTACTTCGTATCCTTGCCTGAGGCAGGCGAACGCCTTGCCGGGGGACACGGCTGAGGGTGGGCCAGTTGGGCACCCGGGCAGGTGTGTGGGACTAGGGAGGCGCCCGGCGGCGGGCGTGGGCTCCCTGGGAGCTGGCCTGGCCGGGGCGGTGGCGCGGGCCCCGGAGCGGGTAGGAGAGGCTGGCTGCCCTACCCGACGGGCCCTGCTGCCCTGCACGCACTTGCCCTGCCTGGGTTGCCGGCCGCCCCTCACTCGGGTCCGAGTGGGCCTCTCCGGGCGCGCCCCGTCTCGGCCTGCCCGCCTGCTCTCCGCTCGTCCCCGCGGCGCCCGGACCAGCCCTGCCTGAGCCACGGCCGCCCTCGGGAGAGAAGCGTCGCTGTTTTTCTGGGAGAGGCCCTGCGCCGTGCTCTTCGTCGGATATTGGGGGTCCCAAGGGCGGTCGCTTGCGACAGTCGGGTGCCGGGATAAGTGCGGGCCATTTGCCTCCTCCTGTTCCCCACGCAACACCCCCGGCACCCGCCCCTTTGTTCTGGCGGGTGTTAGTACTTGCAGGGACCTTTCACATCCAGGAGTTGACTCATTCGCCAAAGGAGCGAAGTTGCTTCCTTCACTGTGCCGTTTTGTAGTGAGTGTTGGAAAGGAGTTGTTTTAACAACTGTCTACAAAGTGATTATTTTGGTTGTCCCCGGTGGTTGCAGATCTGTAAATTCAATAACTACATCTGCTGTAGTTCCCAATCGTTTCTCAGCTTTTAAATTTTTCTATCGATCCATGTTAAAACTTAAGTTGCAGTATTCAAACTGTTTTCCAGAGCAATAAATGGTGGTTGAATTTAGCACTGCAGTAGCCATGTCGGCTACAACTCTTCCCATCTCTTGACAAAGCATCTAGGCTTAGTTGTTGCCCAATGTTGTATTGCACCATCCAGGTTTAAGTAATTAAATATAAGAAAAAACGTATGAGGAACTCCGCATTTCAGCTTCCTTTCTTGGAAATCACATGTACCTGTTTCTGATCGGATTAAACCATTTGTTTGCTAGAGCATGCGGGCTTTAGGATAGTCGTACAGAGTATATGTTCAGTGCAGCTTCATTTTTCATTGTGGACTGGCATCCTGTTGTAGTGGAAAGGGACAAAATTTGGAATCAGATTTCCTGGTCAGCTAGCTCTTTGCTTGCACATTATTTCCCTAAGCCTCAGTTTTCTGATCTTTAAAATAGGAAATGTTTATTTCCTAGATATGCACAATGAGAATGGTGCTGAGCACCCTAGCACAGTGCCTGCCCCATAGCTAATGTTCAGTAAATATTGCTCTGCCTTCGTGTCCCCACCCTCCCCAATTGAGCAGCAGTTTTTACTTTGATGATATCTAACGACAAGATTTCTGAGTTTTAGTAGGTTTGGGGAGCTGATTGAAAGGGCAGCATCACTTGCCTAAGTTTTGATGACCTCTATGCCCCTCTTGTGATATAAGGAACTAGAGCAAGCTTGTCCAACCCACGGCCCACGGGCTGCATGTGGTCCAGGACAGCTTTGAATGTGGCCCAACACAAATTTGTAAACTTTCTTAAAACATTATGATTCTTTTTTGGTGATTTTTTTTTAAGTTCATCAGCTATCATTAGTATTAGTGTATTTTATGTGTGGCCCAAGGCAATTCTTCTTCCAGTGTGGCCCAGGGAAGCCAAAAGATTGGACACCCCTGAACTAGAGCTTATGCTCAGAAATGTAGCTGGGTTTTTTCTTTTTGCAGTTTGGAAAACCAGGCTTGATAATTTTAAATAGCCCTGGTTTACACCAATTTATGCATTTAGAGAAATGGTAGGTGGAATGTTTGACTTAGACATTACATTAAAATACATTCGGGGGGTGTTTTGATGAAATTCAGCATATTCTGTATTTTAGAATAGTTGCACTAACTTAGGGATAGGAGGTGGAAAATGGTCACGGTAGACTTAATATAGGATATAAGAGTTTTCTTGGACTTTGAACTGTGGACAAAATCTACAGGAAGGGGAAGAGGTGAATATTCCAAATCAGACACTGGCAAGAGCGAAGGTGCAGAGACAGGTATGTTCGTGGATTTCTGGGCTATGGTTAACGAATAGACCATCTGGAGCACATGGTTGATTTTGGCGTCAGTAGAAGGCTAAGTTGGAAAGGCAGGATTACATCAGATTTTGGAGGGCTTGAATGTTAAGGGTGGGAGGGAAGTCTTTCACTTTTATCCTGCAGGCAATAGAGAGCCATTGAAAATTTTTATTTTCGGTAGTTTATTAGGAAGATGAATCTGCCGAGTGGGTTGGAAACAAGAAAGATTGGAAGATAAACCAACTGGATAGGGTCGTCTGGATTTCAAATAGAGTGCTGGTTGTGGGCAGGTGAAAGGAGGGAATATGTGAGTAGTATTTAGAAGAAATGATTGCCAGGACCTACAAATGAGTGATTATGATATATGAAACAGAAGGCAGAGATAGCTTTCCATATTTTGATCCTGGGCAAGTGATACTTGTGTCAGTAACAGAAATAAAACAAATTGGAGGAAGATCAATCTGTGGAGAAAGTGATGAGTTTGACTTTATTTTATTTTCATGTTTATTTTTGAGACAGAGTCTCACTGTCACCCAGGCTGGAGTGCAGTGGCGCAATCTTGGCTTACTGCTGCCTCCATCTCCTGGGTTCAAGCGATTCTCCTGCCTCAGCCTCTCAAGTAACTGAGACTACAAGTGCCTACCAAATCTGCTGCTCAGACTGGAGCGCACTGGTGTGATTATAGCTCAGTGTAACGTGAATCCTGGGCTCTAGGCATTTTGCTGCCTCACCTTAGCAGTACTGCTACTAATAGCTAGCATTACAGGTGCTCATGCCCGGCTAATGAAAAAAAAAGAAAAAATTTGTAGAGATGGGGGTGAGGTGAGTGAATCACTTGAAGCCAGGAGTTCGAGACCAGCCTGGCTAACATAGTGAAACCCCGTCTCTACTAAAAATACAAAAAATTAGCTGGGTGTGGTGGTGGCGCGCACCTATAGTTCCAGCTACTTGGAAGGCTGAGGCACAAGAATTGCTTGAACCCAGGAGGCAGGGGTAGCAGTGCGTTGGAATTGCGCCACTGCACTACAGCCTGGGTGAAAGAGATGGAGGCTTGCTATGTTGCCTATGCTGATCTTGAACTCCTGCTTCAGGCGATCCTCCTGCCTCAGCTTCCCAAAGTGCTGGGATATTTCCCATTTTTTTTTTTTTAATAGCCATTGTTTTACATTTGAAGAACTCAAACTAAATGTTCTGGTTGGGTCAGATTAGATTTGAGCAAAATAGGATTATTTTGTAAAATAATTTGTTGAAGGAACATGAATGGGAAAATTGAGTTGTCTAATGAGCAAACTTTAGGAAACAACTCATTTTTTTCAAGTCAAATCTAATTCTGCCTTGTAACTGGGATTGCTTTCTGAAACTTAAATACTTAGTTATTATAAAAGAAATATAATAATTCCTTATCTTGATCATCAGATAATTACATTGTCTGATTTAGAATGTGATTACATTAATGCTAGATCATGTTGCTCAAAATTAAACAAGGTAAGACATTTCTTTGCTCATTCTCTGGCATTGAAGCCAGGTCATTTTCCATACTTAAGATTATTATAGATAACAGATGTATTTTTGATTTTAGAGTACATGTTGTCTCTTATTCATTGGAAATTTGATGGAACTGCTGTGTTTTACAATATTTTAGATCATGAAATTATGCTAGAAGATCTGACTTGAAATTTTGTTTCTTTATATGTTGCTTGTCTCTTGTTTACAGCGGATAGCATCTTTACTCAGAGTAGGGAAATGTTCATCATGAGGGTAATTGTTTTTGTCTTCTGCGTTGGAACTCCCTCCTCCCACTCACGGAAAAAAGCTCAAGTCTGTCTTTGGTTGAATGAAAGAAGACCTTTCTTGTGTAGTTTACCGAGAAAATAATTTTTTTTTAATGTATGACTCTTTATTTATTTATTTATTTATTGAGAGAGAAGGTTTCTTGCAGTGGTGATCAGGCTATTCTTGAATTCCTAGGCTCAAGTGATCTGCCTCGGCCTTCTGAGTAGCTGGGACTACAGGCGCATGCCACCATGCCTGGCTAATTTTTTTTTTTTTTTTTTTGAGATGGAGTCTCACTCTGTCACCCAGGCCGGAGTGCAGTGGTGTGATCTGGACTCACTGCAGCCTCTGCCTCCCAGGTTCAAGCGTTTCTCCTGCCTCAGCCTCCCAAGTAGCTGGGATTACAGGCACTGCCACCACACCTGGCTAATTTTTTTTGTATTTTTCATAGAGATGGGGTTTCACCATGTTGGCCAGGCTGGTTTCAAACTCCTGACCTCAAGTGATTCGCCTGCCTCAGCCTCCCAAAGTGTTAGGATTATAGGTGTGAGCCACCGTGCCCAGCCACCTGGCTAATTTTTAAATTTTTTTGTAGACTGGGTCTTGCTATGTGATCTAGACTGGCTTTGAACTCCTGGCCTTAAGCAATCCTGCTGTCTTGGCAAAGTGCTGGGATTACAGGTGTCAGCCACCATGCCTGGCCTAAGCTCCATATTTTAAAAATTTTCATAAATTTTGTTTGATTGTTTGAGGCAGAGTCTCACTCTGTTGCCCAGGCTGGAGTGCAGTGATGCGATCATGGCTCACTGCAGCCTTGACCTCCTAGGCTCAAGCGATCCTTCCACCTCAGCCTCCCATGTAGGTGGGACTACAGGTGTGTGCCACCATACCTGGCTGATTTTTAAAATTTTTTTGTAGAGACAGGGTTTCACTATGTTGCCCAGGCTGGTCTGAAATTCCTAGGCTCAAGTGATCTGCCCTCTTTGGCCTCCCAAAGTGTTAGGATTACAGTTGTGAGCCACTGCGCCCAGCCTCATGTAGCTTCTTGAGATAAGGTAACTGCCAATTAAATTTTGAGGCCTTCCATGTTTGAAAATGTCTTATCTTTACACTTGATTCATAGTTGTCAGAGTACAGGGTTCTAGGCTGGAAAAGATTTTTCTTTCAGAATTTTAAAGACACCCCTTGGTGGTCTTCTGACTTCCAGTGGTTCAAGTTGGGAAGTACCATGCCATTTTTTTTTTTTTGAGACGGAGTCTCACTCTGTTGCCTAAGCTGGAGTGCAGTGGTGCGATCTTGGCTCACTGCAAGCTCTGCCTCCCGGGTTCATGCTATTCTCCTGCCTCAGCCTCCCAAGTAACTGGGACTACAGGCGCCCACCACCACGCCCGGCTAATTTTTTTGTATTTTTTAGTGGAGACGGGGTTTCACCGTGTTAGCCAGGATGGTCTCAATCTCCTGACCTCATGATCTGCCCGCCTCAGCCTCCCAAAGAATTTCTCATCTATTCTATATGATTCTCATTCTCATTCTCTCTCTCTCTCTCTCTTTCTCTCTTTTCCTGTCCTCTATGGGAAAGTTTTAGAATCTTTATCCTTGGTGTTTTGAAATTTTACAGTGCTGTATCGCTGTGTACTTTTTTTTTTTTTTTTTTTTGAGACGGAGTCTTGCTCTGTGGCCCAGACTAGATTGCAGTGGCGTGATCTCAGCTCACTGCAAGCTCTACCTCCCCGGTTCACGCCATTCTCCCGCTTCAGCCTCCCGAGTAGCTGGGACTACAGGCGCCTGCCACCATGCCTGGCTAATTTTGTTTTTGTATTTTTAATAGAGACAGGGTTTCACCATGTTAGCCAGGATGGTCTTGATCTCCTGACCTCGTAATCTGCCCAAAGTGCTGGGATTACAGGCATGAGCCACTGTGCCTGGCCCTCTGTGTACTTTTTAAAAGGCCTTTCTTGTTTGTTTTGGACATCTGATAGGCTCTTTCAATATGGGAAATTTTCTTGTATTCTTTCTTTGATGTTTCTTCCCCATCTTTTTTCCCTCCTTCTCTTCCTACAACATCCACTAACTAGACAATTGATCTGCTGGATTGATCTGCCAATTTTTCCTTTTTCTTAGTTTTATCTCTTTGATTTTTTTTCTGCTGTTTTTATTATTTCCCTTGCTTTTTCTTCTGAATTTTCTTTTTTTCTTTTTTCTTTCTTTTTGAGATGGAGTTTTGCACTTGTTGTCTAGGCTGGAGTGCAGTGGTGCTATCTTGGCTCACTGACACCTCCAACTCCTGGGTTTAAACAATTCTTGTGCCTCAGCCTCCTGAGTAGCTGGGATTACAGGGGTGTGCCACCATGCTGGCTAATTTTTGTATTTTTAATAGAGATGAAGTCTCGCCACGTTGGCCAGGCTGGTCTCCGACTCCTGACATCAGGTGATCTGCTCTCCTCGGCCTCCCAAAGTGCTGGGATTACAGGCATGAGCCACTGCACCCAGCCTTCTTTTGAATTTTCTAACAAATGTAGCATTTATGCTAAAATGATGATTTTTAAGAGGTTTTTATTCTCTTGGTTCATGTTTGACTCCTAGTTCTCTGCGAATACTGATTATAGTATTTTTCTATTTTTTATTAAAGATAGGGTCTTTTTCTCTCATCCAGGCTGAAGTACAGTGGCACAATCATATTTCATTGCAGCCTTGAATTTCTAGGCTCAAGCAATCCTCCCGCCTTAGTGTCCCAAGTAGCTGGGACTGCAGATGTGCACCACCATGCCTGGCTGATTATAGTATTTTTGAAATTTTCTTCTGCTTCCAATATTATATCTGTTTCCATCCAGTTCTTTTCCTTTCTTTTTTTCCCCCCATCTGTCTTTGATTTTGGAGGCTTTCTTCAAATTTCTGATATATGACTGCCTATTCATATTTAAGGGTAAAGCACTAAAATGCTCATTGAAAGCTCTTTGGATGGTCTAGATTTGTTGACTGGTAGACTTCCCTGTAGGGTAATTGTTATCTACCTGGACTTTTGTTGGGGTACCTGAAATGGCGGTGTTTTGGTAGGTGTTTTTTCGAGTCATTTACTTTAGAGAAAAATCCTCCAAGTTCCTTCATGGAGGATATGAGTCTAGTGCCAGTGTACTGAGAACAAATTCGGGGAAGGGCATATCGTTAAGGAGGGAAGAGACAAAAAACAGAGGACTTGGTTGAAAGTCAGTAAACCAAGCATAATAAGGTGAAGTCTTGCTTCCTGAAACATATTTCAGGCCAGTTGCAGTGGCTGACACCTGTCCCCAGTACTTTGGGAGGCCGAGGAGGGAGAATCACTTGAGCCCAGCGGTTCGAGACCAGCTCTGGTAACATAGGGAGACTTCCTCTCTACAAAAATAAAACAAGAGGAAAAAAAAAAGAAACATGTTTCAGGTCTGTGTCTGTGTAATACAAAGATGACTGCAGCCTACAGTAAGAAATCCAGAGACTGAAGGCTATAGCTTTAGGGATCTGATATGGATCGCAGAGTATTAGTATAACATCAGCTGACATTTTATTGAGTGCCTACTTTGCATGTGGCTTACATGTTATTTCATCTAATTCTCTACAACAACTTCGTGAGGTAGGTATTATGTGTATTTTACAGATGAAAACATTGTGGCTTAGAGAGGGTAACTTTTCCCAAGATTGCACAGCTAATAAATAGGACATAGCATGAGTTCCATTCCAGGTTTGTTTGACTTTGTAGCTCATACTTGTAAGAATTATGCAATCAACTAGAACTTTCCAATATGTAATAGCATTTTAAAAAGTATAGCCGGCAGGGCGCAGTGGCTCACGCCTGTAATCCCAGCACTTTGGGAGGCTGAGGTGGGTGGATCACAAGGTTGAGAGATTGAGACCATCCTGGCCAACATGGTGAAACTCCGTCTCTACTAAAAAATACAAAAATTAGCTGGCATGGTGGCGGGCGCCTGTAGTCCCAGCTACTCGGGAGGTTGAGGCAAGAGAATTGGTTGAACCCGGGAGGCGGAGGTTTCAGTGAGCCAAGATCATGCCACTGCACTCCAGCCTGGCGACAGAGCGAAAAAAAAAAAAAAGTATAACCAAGTTGATTGCAAATTAGGTTTATGGCCCAGAAAAATCTCTACTTCTTTATTTACCAAAAAATTATCCAAAATCTAAATGCAAGAGGTCTGAGGTCATTGTGCCTGGGCTTACACTATATTGCTCTGCCATTATTTAGCTGTGTAACCTTAGGCAATTTACCTAACCACTCTGAGTTTTGTTTTCCTCATTTCTGAAAGTGAGGCATGCCAGTTTCTTTCATTAAATATTAACTTCCACTAAAAGAAGTTAACTTTAATTAAAAATCTGTACTCATAGGAAAGGAAAGCTGTTGGTGAATTGAGAACCCTGCCACAAAAGCTGTTGATGCATGAGAACTAGAACATTACACAGTCAACAAATAGCATAGGGAAGGGCATGGAGCTCTGTAAAGCCGATAGGCCAGGATTCTGGCATTCTGCTTCATTATCATATTTGGTCAACTTTGAGCTATTATTGTAAGCTTTTACATTCTTATTATTTTTTGTTTTTCTCTGAATATGAAATGGTTTCCTCGGGATTCTGGAGATTGGAAAATGTTTAACGTTGCTATTCTGACTTGAAAGGCAACATGTGTGTGGATATCAGACATCCCAAATTAGAGCTAGGGGCTTTGGCATAGATACTAGAATAGGAACTAAACAATACTCTTTTTTTCTCTAGTTCTCATTCAAATCTGCTTAATGAATGAACCTAAGCCTTTGCTTAGGATAAAAAGTAATTGAAATTTAAGTGCTTTATTTTTAAGTTGTGCCCTGATATATTTGCATGGGATACAAAGTTATAGCAGTATGCAAATCTGGGACATGGGAGTCTAAAAATAATCTTGAAACAGTAGCTTGTAAATTCTCTGTACGTTCATTGATTTAGTTTCAAATAACATGTACAGTCAGGAAGGACATAGCAGTGAGATGTAATACTGTGTTCTTCCATTGCAGTGGGTAATTCCAGAATTGATTGGCCATACCATTGTCACTGTATTACTGCTCATGTCATTGCACTGGTTCATCTTCCTTCTCAACTTACCTGTTGCCACTTGGAATATATATCGGTGAGTATAGTTTGTTTACTTTGGTGTCAAGGTAGTTAAAAAAAAATTTAAAAAGTTGTGTTTTTTTCAAGACAGGATCTTACTCTGTTACCCAGGCTGGAGTGCAGTGGTGTGATCTCAGCTCACTGCAATTTCTGCCTCCTCAGTTTAAGCGATTCTCCCACTTCAGCCTCCCAAGTAGCTGGGACTACAGGCGTGCACCACCACACCTGGCTAATTTTTGTATTTTTACTAGAGACAGGGTTTCACCATGTTGGCCCGGCTGGTCTTGAACTCCTGACCTCAGGTGATCTGCTGGTCTCGGCCTCCCAAAGGGCTGGGATTATTTATAGGTGTGAGCCAAAAAAGGTGTTTAAGAGCTTTTTTTCTTTTTTTTTGGAGATGGAGTCTCACTCTGTCACCCAGGCTGGAGTACAGTGGCTTGATCTCAGCTCACTGCAACTTCCGCCTCCTGGGTTCAAGCCATTCTCCTGCCTCAGCCTCCTGAGTAGCTAGGATTCAGGTGCCTGCCACAGTGCCTGGCTAATTTTTGTATTTTTAGTAGACAGGGTTTCACCATGTTGGTCAGGCTGGTCTCAAACTCCTGACCTCAAGTGATCCGCCCACCTTAGCCTCTCAAAGTGCTGGGATTACAGGTGTGAGCCACAGCGCCGGGCTGGAAGTACGTTTAAAAGCTGCAAATTAGGGCTGGGTACAGTGGCTCACGCCTGTAATCCCAGCACTTTGGGAGGCTGAGGTGGGTGGATCACTTGAGGTCAGGAGATCGAGACCATCCTGGCTAACACGGTGAAACCCCATCTCTACTAAAAATAAAAAAAAAAATTAGCCAGGCATGGTGGCGTGCACCTGTAGTCCCAGCTACTTGGGAGGCTGAGGTGGGAGAATGGCGTGAAGCCGGGAGGCGGAGCTTGAAGTGAGCTGAGGTCACGCCACTGCAACCAGCCTGGGCGACAGAGCGAGACTCCGTCTCAAGAAAAAAAAAAAAAAAGCTGCAAATTAGGTAACTAATCAAAATTTTTTATTTAATAAATTTAGGAAGTTTGTTCAAAATGAGCTCAATGGAAACCCTGAAGTATATAATTTTATAGTTGGGTTATTAGACATAGCATACTTTCTTGTGAAGACCGCTGGGATAATCTTGACAAGCCTGTAATTGTTATATTAGTGGGTTGCTGCTCTACTACATTTTTAGGTTTTATTTCATTTTTATTTATGTCTAGTTTTTTGGGACAGGACCATTCATTGGCTGTTTTTTAAGTATGATGTTGTAAAGTGCAGTTAGAATAAAAAGAACAGAAAAAAATAAAGTAGGGTTTGGAGGAAGATGGGATGCACATGAAAAGATAATGGCAGCAGTAGAGGTGAGGGAAGGAGTGGATATGGGGGAATGATTTTATAAAGGTCATGAAACTAGAATCTGAGTGAGGGAAAAGCTTTAAAATATCTGTGTCTCTTTTCTAGAGGGTGGGTACCCTGGGGTCGAATTTTTTGTTTTCTTTTTCATTTTTTAATATACTGAACATGGGTTCTGAATTTTTTTTTTTTTTTTAAGAGATGAAGTCTTGCTGTGTTGCTCAGGCTGGAATGCAATGGCTATTCACAGGTGTGATATAGTGCACTACAGCCTTGAACTCCTGGGCTGAAGCGATCTTCCCACCTCAGCCTCCTGGGCAGTTGGGACTGCAGGTGCACACCACCGCACCTGGCCTCTTTCAAGCTTAGTAGTACTCTCCCATGATCAGTTCCATAGACCAACGCCCTAAAGTGAGCTCTGAGCTGGGAACACAGATTACTTGCACTTCTGCTGCGGGCTAGTCCCAGACAGACTTTTAGCACAGCTAAGTCTACCTGTAGTTTCACTTAAGTGAAACACAACTTTGGGAGTGAGAATGGGGACTCGAATCTTTGAGAATGAGGATCTTAATGTTATACCAGACCATACTGTCAGTCATCTCTACTAGAAATGAAAACCTGCTAGAAGAGCCAGCTTTGGCATGGCTTCTTTGTAGATAGTGGTAAAAGGTTCTATGAAGTCAAGTCCAAAGATTCTTTTTTTAGGCCGGGCGTGGTGGCCCATGCCTATAATCCCAGCACTTTAAGAGGCTGAGGTGGGTGGATTACCTGAGGTCAGGAGTTCGAGACCAGCCCTGGCTAACGTGGAGAAACTGCATCTCTACTAAAAATACAAAAATTAGCTGGGCGTGGTGGCATGCGCTTGTAGTCCCAGCTACTTGGGAGGCTGAGGCAGGAGAATCACTTGAATCTGGGAGGCGGAGGTTGCAGTGAGCCGAGATTGCACCACTGCACTCCAGCCGGGAAACAGAGCGAGACCCAGCCTCAAAAAAACAAACAGAAACACTGGAGATTCTTTTTTAAATATAATTATAAAATAAAGACAAAGATCATGTATATTTATTGCCCTGGTAACTGCAGTGACAGGTTGGCTGTCTGCTGGTCACAAGTTTACCTTCTATTTAAAAAGGTTTAAAAAATCAACAGATAGATTATTTGCTATTTTCAGACCACTATACTTTATGCTGTTGGAGATGAAGTACAGTAGTCCACAGGACAAAGAGGCAAAATACCTAGGAGTGGAATCACTGAGTCATATAGTAACTCTATATTTAACCTTTTGAGGGACTGCCTGAGTGTTTTCAGAAGCAGCTGCACTTTTTTTTTTTTCGAGATAGAGTCTCACTCTGTTGCCTAGGTTGGAGTGCAGTGGCGTGATGTTTGCTTACTACAGCCTCGACCTCCTGGGCTCAAGCGATCCTCCCACCTCAGCCACCCAACGTGTTGGGATTACAGGTGTGAGCCAGTGTGCCCAGCCACAGCTGCACTATTTGACATTCCCATCAACTGTGTATTGGGGGTTCCATTTTCTCTACATCCTTGCCAACACTTTTTACTGTGTGTGTCTTTTTTTTTTTTTTGATATCAAAAAAATACCAAAAACTGTCTTTGATATTTTTTTCCTGCCCTAGTAGTATACAGCTGTAGAGTTCCCCTGCCTGTTATAAGCATTAATATATGTGCCTCAGCGACCATCCCACTCATGGTCTTTGGGGAATCATACCACAGCTCTCAGCTACTTTTATCCAAATTGTGCTGATCTTTCTTGGCAATAAGTAATTTAGGTGTGATGCTCATTCTCCAGTATGCTGAATGGTCTATTATGGTAAAGTTGTATCAGTCTTCTAGTTATAACGCACTGGAAGTAAGAATTAATATGAAAGATTGGCTGTCAGACACTGGAAGCCTTATATAGTCCTGTTTTAAATTATTCCTGTGTGTTTTAGAGATGAGCGCAGTGGCTCACTTCTGTAATCCCAGCACTTTGGGAGGCCGAGGTGGGAGGATCACCTGAGGTCAGGAGTTCAGGACCATCTTGGCCAACACGGGGAGACCCCATCTCTACTAAAAATACAAAAATTAGCTGGGCATGGTGGTGTTGGGCACCTGTAATCCCAGCTACTCCGCAGCCTGAGGCAGGAGAATTGCTTGAATCCAGGAGGAGGAGGTTGCGCTGAGCCGAGATCTTGCCACTACACTCCAGCCTGGGCAACAGAGCGAGATTACGTCTAAAAATAATAATAATAATAAACTAAAAAAGTATAACTGGATCGTTTGTAACACAAAGGATAAATGCTTGAGGTAATGGATACCCCGTTTACCCTGATGTGATTTTTTTTTTTTTTTTTTGAGACGGAGGTTTGCTCTTGTTGCCCAGGCTGGAGTGTGATACCGCAATCTTGGCTCATTGCAACCTCCGTCTCCCGGGTCCAAGCGATTCTCCTGCCTCAGCCTCCTGAGTAGGTGGGATTACAGGCATGCGCCACCACGCCTGGCTAATTTTGTATTTTTAGTAGCAATGGGATTTCTCCATGTTGGTCAGGTTGGTCTTGAACTCAACCTCAGGCAATCCTCCCGCCTCGGCCTCCTGGAGTGCTGGGATTACAGGTGTGAGCCACTGTGCCCAGCCTTACCCTGATGGGATTAGTACACATTGCATGCCTGTATCAAAATCTCTCATATAACCCATAAATATATATACCTACTGTGTACCCACAAAAATTAAAAATAAAACAAAAATACAAAAAGGAAAAAAAAGACAGCTAAGTAAGTGGTGGTAGGAAGAAAGACTGGACAAGGGTTTGATGGACTGGCTATGAAAGATGAGGAAGAGAGAAGTCCCAGTTGGGTAAGAGGAAGTTTTTAAGGACCACCAAGAAAATGGTGACACTCTTATTAGATAACCTAGAAATTAGACAAGGATGAGATGTTATCTGGATATTCAAATGAAAATACCCTCTATTCAGCTATAGTCGGGCTACTGGGGTTTTAAGGGAGAATTTCAGATTTGTGGAACTCAGAGAGTCCTTTGCATTTCAAAGAAGTGATAATTGAGAAGCTGTGTGACAACTAAGGTTGTACTAGAAGAAGCTTAGACGTGAGAGCAGGAAGAATTCATGGACAGTGCTAGGTTAGGACATATATGTTACACAGATGACACAGTCTGGATGTTGAAGCCCAGACACTTAAATTCATTGATCCTCTCAAAGTAACCTAACTTCCTTAATTTCCCTGTTTCCATAATGAAGTTTCTAAGAACTTAATAAAATTGGTTTGGGTTTGAAGCCTTCTTTAACCTTTGTCTAATGGAAAAGGGCTGTAGATGTGACTGGTATGGTAGTTTTCTACAGATGAGTAAAAGGGTTTCAGTGCATAAAATATCCTTTTCTGGAATGTTACTGTATTTATTTTACAGGGCAGAAGATTAACAGTATTATAACTTTCAAAAGGAAACTAAGTGGCAGCCCATGACATTATCATACTACTCTGTACATATGTGGTATGAATTTAAGGCTGCTATGATTGGCTCACTTTTTTTTTTTTTTTTTTTGAGATGGAGTTCTGCTCTGTCACCCAGGCTGGGGCTCAATGGCACGATCTTGGTTCACTGCAACCTCTGCCTTCCGGGTTCAGGTGATTATCCTGCCTCAGCTTCTCGAGTAGCTGGAATTCCAGTTGCCTGCCACCATGCCCAGCTAATTTTTGTATTTTTAGTAGAGACAGGGTTTCACCATGTTGGTCAAGCTGGTCTTGAACTCCTGACCTCAGGTGATCCACCTGCCTTGGCCTGCCAAAGTGCTGGGATTACCGGCATGAGCCACAGTACTGGGCCTGATTGGTTCACTTTTAAAAGTCGATTATTATTGGCTACTTATATTTGAATACTTATGCCTATGATTTGATTATCCTTCTAATGTGTGTATCCTTTAATTTATCAGATACATTATGGTGCCGAGTGGTAACATGGGAGTGTTTGATCCAACAGAAATACACAATCGAGGGCAGCTGAAGTCACACATGAAAGAAGCCATGATCAAGCTTGGTTTCCACTTGCTCTGCTTCTTCATGTATCTTTATAGGTGAGTTTAAAGTCCTGGTATTTTCCTAGATGCCATATTTGTTTTTGAAGGGTGAGATATTACTATACTATAGGATTTTGCATTGACATTGTGGAACTTTCGGGGATTATGTAAATTCCTTGTGGCTGTGTAGATTATTTATGTATGTCATTGAATCAGCTTTCTGTCTGAACTACAGTAGATCTACCCTGTTGCATCTTAGTTATGCCTTAGCTTTGAGGCTATCCACATGCTTAAAACAGGGCACGGTGACTTACGCCTGTAATCCCAGCACTTTGGGAGGCCGAGGAGGGCAGATCACCTGAGGTCGGGAGTTCGAGACCAGCCTGACCAACATGGAGAAACACCGACTCTACTAAAAATACAAAATTAGGTGGGCGTGGTGGCACATGCCTGTAATCCCAGCTACTTGGGAGGCTGAGGCAGGAGAATCACTTGAACCTGGGAAGCAGAGGTTGTGGTGAGCCAGGATCGCGCCATTGCACTCCATCCTGGGCAACAATAGTGAAACTCTGTTTCATATTTTTTTCCTTCCCTAGTAGTATACAGCTGTGGAGTTCCACTGCCTGTTATAAGCATTAATATATGTGCCTCAGCGACCATCCCACTCATGGTCTTTGGGGGATCACACCACTAGCAGCAGCTCTCAGCAACTTTTATCCAAATTGTGCTGATCTTTCTTGGCAATAAGTAATTTAGGTGTGATGCTCATTCTCCAGCATGCTAAATGTCTATTATGGTAAAGTTGTATCAGTCTTCTAGTTATAACACACTGGAAGTAAGAATTAATATGATAGATTGGCTGTCAGACATTGGAAGCCTTATATAGTCCTGTTTTAAATTATTCCTGTGTGTTTTAGAGGTGAACATGCCACCTTTTCCTTTATCCATCATAGATGCATAGAATAGAGCAAAGGAGAAAAAAAAATTCCTGTGTATACGATTTGATTAAACCTTTGAAAAGCTAGAAGTCAGGCTTAACCTTTGTATCAAAGCTTTAATTAGATCATTTTTATTTTTTCTCCTAGGTAGAGTTTAATTTTTCACATAGGCATAAGGACTATTAGGAAAAACTTATGTTGAAGTAAACTTCCACCACTCAGAAAATTCTTGATTAGAAACTGTATAGAGATAGCAGGGGTTTTTTTTTTGTTTGTTTTGTTTTGTTTTGTTTTTCGAGACAGAGTCTCGCTCTGTCACCCAGGGTGGAGTACAGTGGCACAGTCTCGGCTCACTGCAACCTCCACCTCCCAGGTTCAAGCGATTCTCCTGCCTCAGCCTCCCAAGTAGCTGGGACTACAGGTGCGTGCCACCACGCCTGGCTAATTTTTTTTTTTTTTTTCTATTTTTAGTAGAGATGGGGTTTCAGGATGGTCTCAATCTCCTGACCTCATGATCCGCCCACCTCGGCCTCCCAAAGTGCTGGGATTACAGGCATGAGCCACCGTGCCTGGCCAAGATAGCAGTTTTTAAAAATTGCTATTTTTTTGAAATAGTTTAGAAGTCAGAACCATTTTAGCCTCTTCCTGACAAAGCAGGCTTCCTAAAATCCCTTCACTGTGCTAAATCCACCCATTAGTGGATTAGATTAAAATTGGAGTTTAGATAGTTTTCTTTTCACCATTCATCTTATTTGCTTTTCTGTGTCTTAAAAACTAGATCAGAAAAAGCACACTGGTATCAGTTTCTGATTCTCATACCCTACCTCATTACTAATATGCTTAGTTCTTAATCCAAGTATCAAAGATGATGAATAAGGAGCAAAAAAAGTTAATGATGAGAACATAATGATGCACCTATTCTTGTTTTTAATACTTTTGTATCTTTACTGTCATATATGTTCCCTTATATTTGTTTCTGAAGAGACAAAAAACAAGCTGGAATTGGCTTAGCTAAGGTTATCCTTTCTTCATCCTCCCCACCCCTGCGGTTTCATGCTGTTGGAAAGTAAACTAGAGCAGGCATCTCCTGGGGGCGGTGCTGTAGGTACAGCCCACGTAGTCATGCTTTGCAGAGTAAATTTAGGCTTGGAGGTATCTTGCTTAGTAGACTCAAAGTCTTAGGATTTAAAAATGTACATGAGTTTCTGAACTCTTAGTCGTAGAATTTAAAGTGGTGGGGAGTGGCTGGGCTCGGTGGCTCATGCCTGTAATCCCAGCACTTTGGGAGGCCGAGGTGGGTGGATCACAAGGTCAGGAGTTCAAGACCAGCCTGGCCCAAATGGTGAAACCCCATCTCTACTAAATATACAAAAATTGGCCAGGTGTGGTGGCGGGCGCCTGTAATCCCAGCTACTCGGGAGGCTGAGGCAGGAGAATCGCTTGAACCCGGGAGGTGGAGGTTGCGGTGAGCCGATATCATGCCACTGCACTGCAGCCTGGGTGACAGAGTAAGGCTCCGTCTCAAAAAAAAAGAAAAAATAAAGTGGTGGGGAGTTGGACTGGAGGAATTAAGATGTAATTTTGGGGCAGGTTTAAGATATTGTTCTTTATAACTAAATAAAAGATAGGCAACTCATGTAACTGGTTTGCCTGGGCAGCTGTGTACTTCACTGGCTGTACAGTTTTCTTTTCTCTCTTCCCTTCCTTTCCCTTCCCTATCAGCCTGTCATTTTCAGCCACATTGCTATTACGTTACCCTTTGGTGTTACATATAGTTCAGAGGGTCAGAAGATGTCCTTGTAGCACTTTTCTCTTGGTTTTTGGTTGCTGTTTTTAAACAGTGGTTTTGCTATTACTACCAAGTCATTAGCTTTTGATTGCAGAGATTTTATGCTACTTGTCTTTGTATCTAACATCTGCCACACCTTGCCTAATACCTTGGACCTAGTTGACATTTCAGGACTTGTTGAATGGAGTTAAAGTTTTGAAAAAATGCTCATCTTCTTTAGAGAATGGGGGAATCTATGCTTTTGGTTTTTTGATTGGGTGCTAGCCTAGTGGAATGTGGGCTCTACCACTTACACTGTGGCCTGGGGCAAGTTTCGTTTCTTTTTTTTTTTTCTTTTGAGATGGAGTCTCACACTCTGTCCCCCAGGCTGGAGTGCAGTGGCATGATCTCAGCTCACTGCAGCCTCCGCCTCCCAGGTTCCAGGGATTCTCTTGCTTCAGCCTCCCGTGTAGCTGGGATTATAGGCGCACGCCACCATGCCCGGCTAATTTTTGTATCTTTAGTAGAGTCAGGGTTTCACCATGTTGGTCAGGTGATCCACCCACCTCGGCCTCCCAAAGTGCTGGGATTACAGGCGTGAGCCACCACACCCGGCCTGGGGCAAGTTTCTTAACTTGTCTGAGCCTCAGTTTCTGATCTGAAAAGGGGATATTAATGATATTAATAGTACCTACCTCATCACATTTTAATGTGGGCTGAGATAATACATGTAAGACACTTGTTTATGCTGACCCATAGTAAACTCTCAAAAATCTTTAAAAAATATTAGCTGCTATCATTAATTTTTACTGTGCATTGAGTACATTTAGTATGGTTGAATTTGGACAATTATTTATACCATAAGTGATGTAAGGATATTTTTGTGTATTTTAGGCATTTCATTTCAGCAGAGCAAGGCTGATCCCAGTATTTCAAAGGAAAGGATGGTTTTGTTATTGTTAACTGTGTCAATTTTAGTGGCGTAGCATTTATTGGGTGACTGCTGTGTGTCAGACATTGTGTACAACATTGCAAGTGACACAGAGGAGCAGCACAGAACCCCTACGGTAAAAGCTTGGAACTTGGTAATTGCAGGCCCGGTTGCTAGTAGAACATGAAAGTGGTAATGCTTGGGCCCTGCTTTCATCTCAAGAGTTGCTCATAGTCCAGTGGTAGAGACAACATGTAAGCCACAGCAGCAGGAAGAAGAGCTGTGGAAGGAGGCTGTGCAACTGCCCTGGGCTGAGAGGCCAGCTTCCCCAACGAGGTGCCCTAGAGCCAATCACAAAACCTGAGTAAGAAGTTACTGCTTTGATGGAGTGGTGGGATGGGGAGAAGAGGTTCCAGGCATAGAACAGTATGTATCTGGCTAGAGAATTTAAAGGTTTTTTTTTCTGGACATAGGTGTTTTTTGTTTTGTTTTGTTTTTTTTTAACTGAGCTAGGTTGTTTTTGTTTTGTTTTGTTTTTATTTTTTTAACTATAGCCTAACATAGGTTTTAAGTTGTACTTCCCCCAACTCCCCACCCCCAGTCACTCTTTTTTAGTGAAAAAGTTTGGACATGAAAGATCCTAATATATTCTTTCCTTTGGGTATGAATGATTGTCTTTTACTCAAATGATTGTTCCTTTGTGAACCTTAGGGACGCAAGTCTGGACAAACCAGGCTCTGTAGGAACATTCCTGAGAAAACATTAGTGACATTCATTTCTTCTTTCCACAGTATGATCTTAGCTTTGATAAATGACTGAAGCTGGAGAAGCCGTGGTTGAAGTCAGCCTACACTACAGTGCACAGTTGAGGAGCCAGAGACTTCTTAAATCATCCTTAGAACCGTGACCATAGCAGTATATATTTTCCTCTTGGAACAAAAAACTATTTTTGCTGTATTTTTACCATATAAAGTATTTAAAAAACATGAATTGAGTTTCTGTAGATTTCTAGTTCTCAACTTTAGCCTGAACGCCAACACTTGAAGGTGTTTTTCATCCTCTGTATGTTGAAGGTGGTTATTTGTATGTAGGAACAGGACTGCCATCCCAGCTTTGCATGCCAAAGAAATAAAGAACACACTTTAAAGGGCAAACTGAAGAGATGAGCGAGCAAAGGTGCCCTTCAGGTCTACTGAAAAGTTAGAGTACAAAACAACACTGTTGATCTGGACAAAAGAAGAAAAATTACCCTTTTTGCTTGTGTTGTGACAACTTCATTTAATATGGTTTAAAGATTTATGAGACTGTCAGCTAAAAGTCTTTTCACAAGAATGTCAACAGAGAATGGCATCTCAAAATATATATATTTCTTTGCACAATTTGTGAAACCTTATAAGCCATTTTCCCCAGGTACAATGTAGTTCCTGCTGATAGAAAGGAAATATTTTGTCAAGAGCTTTCATTTAAAAGCTACTACCTCCACAATCACCCCCAAACCCAGAAAATCCCCACTGGCTCTTGCCAGTCTGGTTTTCGTATTGCAGTTATTCCAATTGTATTTGATCTCCCTGATAACGTATTTTCATGGGTTTGGGTAGAAGATGCTAATCAGATTAGAAGCAGGAATAGTTATTTGCTGTCTGTGAAATTGAGCCTTTTGGTGCGCCACGTGGTGCCAGATCAACACTTCTATCCCTCTGCACTGACCACGTTGTGAACTGGGAGACCAAATGCAAGCCATTTCATGGACATAGCAATATACAACCAAACTCTGTTCCTTGGAGTTATATTGTAAACTCTTGCAGGTGGGAGAGCAGTTCACCTCCTTAGCTCTGTTTGCCAGCTCTTACAGGGTAAAATAAACCTGGCAATTTATCCTCAGTCCTAGTTTGTGGTTTAATGTTGCTATCTTAAGCACTGGCATTTGGGCAAAACATGACTGTGTTCTGTGGGAGAATCCAAAGGCATTATTCACTCTAGTTGAGATAGAATTGGGTGGCTAAACAGGGTGTGTGGTACCCAAAAGATTAAATGTTACATGTCCTTTTAGTCCTTGACCAGGTCTAGCCTTGGCAGAAGCAAGGGAGCCACTAAGCCAAACTCCCTGTGCAGACAGACCATGTTTCAAGGCTGGAAGTAGTGCCCTGGCAACACACAAAAGGAACGGTGAAATGGTAGGCAAAGTGAACTTGGCTCTGCTGGCCTCTTTGGGGTCACAGAAATTGCTCCTTGTGGTAATCTTATATTTCTGTCAGGCACAGGGCCAAGAAGCTGTGTAACAGACATTACTTTGCTTGCATCTCTTTTTCATACCTTTTCCCTCTGAGGCAGCTTTTGCTTAGAAAACAGTCCCTTCACTCTGCCTTTCCTCCTAACTTCCTGTGCCTCTTCATGTTCTGCTCAAGCTTTTTAAAGCAACGAAGCTGTTGGAGAACTTAAATCCTTGCAACTGAGAGATAAGCTACTTAAAGGCGGTAGAGATCTTTTTTTTTTTTTTTTTGAGATGGGGTCTTGCTGTGTTGCCCAGGCTGGAGTGCAGTGGTGTGATCTCAGCTCACTGCAACCTCTGCTTTCTGGGTTCAAGCGATTCTCCTGCCTCAGCCTCCCAAGTAGCTGGGATTACGGCTAGCTACTCCTGGCTAATTTTTGTATTTTTAGTAGAGATGGGGTTTCACCATGTTGGCCAGGCTGGTCTCAAACTCCTGACCTCAAACGATCTGCCTGCCTTGGTCTCCCAAAGTGCTGGGATTATAGGTGTGAGCCACTGCGCCTGGCCATGTAGATGACTTTTGACCAAAATGTTTCACCTTCTCATTCAGATATTCTTAGTAACCAAAACAGTGACTCATGCAGTTGAGAGAGCCTTTGGGCTGTCAGTTTACAGTACATCAGGCTTGCTGAGGCTAAGCAAATCAGAAAGGTGCCATGTTTATAACAGAGGTCAAAGCTCCTTACTTCTGAAACATTAGCTGTGGTTAAAAACAAAAACTCTTCCTTCTTGTATTGCTTGTCTATCAAAGCCAGGAAAGTGGGGGATCACTGTAGTTAAATTTTTTTTTTTTTTAATTAGAGACAGAGTCTTGCCCTGTCGCCCAAGCTGGAGTGCACTGGCGCAATCGTGGTACACTGCAGCCTTGAACTCCTGGACTCAAGCAGTCCTCCTGCCTCAGCTTCCCAAGTAGTTGGGAGTAGGTGCACACCACCATGCCCAGCGAATTTTTTGTAGAGACAGAGGTCTTGCTATGTTGCCTAGGCTGGTATCAAAATTACTGGCCTCAAGCGATTCTCCTGCCTCGGCCTCCCAGATGTTGGGATTACTGGTGTGAGCCACCACGCCCAGCTCAAAAACAATTTTTTTAGGGGCACTTCTACAAATCATGAAAGGGGGATAAAAGCACTGACTTTAAAAAGCCATGTTTAAGATGCTATAAATGTTCTCCCCTTTTCATTGATTGGAGAGTTGTAGAGGACCTTAGAGATCATTTTGTCTAACTCCCTCATCCCAAAGATAAACTGAGGCCTAGAGATCGTTCAGGGTGTTGTAACTGGGAACATCTGAATGCTGAGGCCTAGAGATCGTTCAGGGTGTTGTAACTGGGAACATCTGAATGCTGAGGCCTAGAGATCGTTCAGGGTGTTGTAACTGGGAACATCTGAATGCTGAGGCCTAGAGATCGTTCAGGGTGTTGTAACTGGGAACATCTGAATGCTGAGGCCTAGAGATCGTTCAGGGTGTTGTAACTGGGAACATCTGAATGCTGAGGCCTAGAGATCGTTCAGGGTGTTGTAACTGGGAACATCTGAATGCTGAGGCCTAGAGATCGTTCAGGGTGTTGTAACTGGGAACATCTGAATGCTGAGGCCTAGAGATCGTTCAGGGTGTTGTAACTGGGAACATCTGAATGCTGAGGCTTAGTCCAGTGTTCTCTCTCCCTTACCACTCCTCTTCCCCTTCCCTCTATAATGGCAGTACCCAGGGCCCGGTCCATAGACTAC
This sequence comes from Homo sapiens, assembly GCF_000001405.40. Lineage (NCBI taxonomy): Eukaryota > Metazoa > Chordata > Mammalia > Primates > Hominidae > Homo > Homo sapiens. Next base: position 224,379,000 of record NC_000001.11, read on the forward strand.
TATCGAGTGCTCCTATGTGCATCTTAGTACGTATCATTTTCCCTTGCCTTTTTCCTTCTATCCTTTCAGTGGTAGCAACTGCCCTTGCTAATCACCGTAACCTCGGCTGAGAAAGAAGAGGAAGCGAAATCCAAGATGCAGCTCAGTTCATCAAAGCCTAGCAGGTCCCCTCAGCTGCCTTTTCATGCCTGCCACAGACTACAGTAGGACAAAACCTGACCTGGTCTTTGAAGTTAAGAGCTAAGAAAGCTTCCTATAGTAGTATCTCCCATGGCACTTACCACATTCTATCTGGTATTACAGTTATTTGTATGCAATTAATCACTCTTAGATTGTATGTTCCTGGAGGGCAGAATATGCCCATTCATATTTGTATCTTCTTCCTTCTGCTCTTGGCACCTAACACAGTGCCTTGCACACAAACAATAAATGATTGTTGAGTGAATAAGTAAACCTGATTGTGGTGTTCTATTGCTTTTTCAGCAAGAAGTCAAACTGATGGCCTTTAAGTCAGAGAAGCAGCAATGGAGCAACATAATCAAAGTTGACCATCTTTGTTTTCAAGACAGTCACATTATGAAATATTCTGACATGCTAGGCTAGGAAATGGCTATAACTGGTTCACTTGAGACTGGAGAAATCAGCTTTGCTAACAGGTAATACTTTGTCAAGTAGTGAGAAATATTATATACTAGGTATAATTAGTTGTCCCCAAAATCTAAATAAACTTGTTCTAATATATGGAAAAGGGCAGCAAGATAGAGAAGGTAAGTTTGAAATTCTACAATATCTGGATCTTTGTCACCTGAGTTTATGTACTTTAAACCAAATATACTATTTTACTATGTAGTATAGCAAAGATTGAAATATTCTTGGTAAATGAAGCCTTTTGGATCTAAGCCATATTTTTCAGGAATTTTTGAAAAGGTAACTTTTTTTTGCTTCAGTTAAATACAGTCTAATGACTGAAGGTCATTCAAAGCTTTCGGGTTATCATTCTTCACTACAGTAATCACAATAATGGTCTGGACATGCTGAAGGGACTGTTCACTGAGCTAACTTGGTTCTGAGCTCAGGTGCTCTTTAATAAGTTCTTGGGTAAAGGCTGCTTTTATTTTTAATTGCTTCCCTCTGAAGCTGGGTGGAGAAGAGTGAGTGGGTGGGTGGTCGGAATCAGCAGGCTGAGAGAGAACTCAGTGGTTTGCCTGTGGCTTCCTCTGCTGTATATTTGGTTTGCTACATCCGTTATGGAGCAATCTTGGTTTCATCTATATCAGTTCCCATTAAACGTTAGCACCTAGTTAGAATGTGAGTTAGTTGAACATACACTTTAATTCCTGTTTTCTAGATCTTATTTCACAGGTTGGATGCAAACTGGGTGAGAATTGAACCTCTCGTGTTGCTTAATTAAAAGTAACACATTTGACTGCCACTGGTATCTATCAGAAAGAGACCTGTGGAGCAGGTTGAATCCTCTGGGGTAGCTTTATATAAATTTGCCAACTTTCTGGGACAGAGTAATAGGATTTACCCGTGTTAGTTGGTAATTTTCTATTTTACCAGGTACAATAATCAACTTACGGTCATACTTGCTGATTCAAACAGCAGAGAAAAAAAATAAACTTACAGTCATTCTTCTTTTATCCATTACCTACCACCTTCTTTGCCCTCCACTGCCCTCCATTTTGAAGCAAATCCCAGACCTTGTTACATCTGTCATATTTTAGTATGTTTCTCTGTAAGATAAGGGTTCTTAAAACACATGCGACTAGAGGAGCAGTGTCACACAAACTGGCAATTCCTTAGAATTAAGTATCTAGGCCAGGCACAGTGGCTCATGCCTGTAATCCCAGCACTTTGGAAAGACAAGGTGGGAGGATCACTTGAGGCCAGGAGGTCGAGACACCCCTAGGCAAAATAGTGAGACCCCATCTCTTAAAAAAAAATTAGCCGATATAGGCACCTATATAGTCCTAGCTACTTGGGAGGCTGACGTGGAGGGATGGCTTGAGCCCAGGAGTTCAAGGTTACAGAGAGCTATGATCACATCTCTGTACTCTAGCCTGGGTAACAGAGCAAGACCCTGTCTCTTGAAAAAAGATTAAAATTTGTTGTGGAGGTTTCCCTCTACAAAACTTGAGTCTGTTTTACAATTAGAGCAATCAGGCCGGGTGCGGTGGCTCATGCCTGTAATCCCAGCACTTTAGGAGGCCAAGGCAGGCAGATCACTTGAGGGCAGGGGTTCAAGACCACCCTGGCCAACATGGTGAAACTTCATCTCTACTAAAAATACAAAAATGGGGCACGGTGGCTCACGCCTGTAATCCCAGCACTTTGGGAGGCCGAGGCGGGTGGATCACAGGGTTAGGAATTCCAGACCAGCCTGACCAACATGGTGAAACCCCGTCTCTACTAAAAATACAAAAATTAGCCAGGCGTTATGGCGGGTGCCTGTAATCCCAGCTACTTGGGAGGCTGAGGCAGGAGAATTGTTTGAACCTGGGAGGCAGAGGTTGCAGTGAGCCGAGATCGCACCACTGCACTCCAGCCTGGGCAACACAGTGAGACTCCATCTCAAAAAAATAATAAAAATAAAAAATAAACAAAAATTAGCCGGACATGGTGGTGCGTGTCTAGTCCCAGCTACTTGGAGGCTGAGACGTGATATAATCGCTTGAACCTGGGAGGCAGAGGTTGCAGTGAGCTGAGATCCACCACTGCACTCCAGCCTGGGTGACAGAGCGAGACTTAAAAAACAAAAAAACAAAAAACCCCGAAGCAATCAATATGAAGGAGTCTCCTGAATTTCAAGTGTCATTTCCTTCTGTCAGTTAAGGAGTTCACTAGAATCAAAGTGGGGCCTTAAACTTTTCATCTATCTTTGACAAGTTTTAACAGTCAATTTTTCCAAGGTAAGTGGCCATCTATAGACACCAAAGAAATATTATATGGTGTAGTGACTAAAAACATGAGCTCAGAGGCACCTAGGTTTGAGTCCCAGCTCCTTCATACATATACCTTTTAAAGCCTATTTCCCTCATTTGTAAAATGAGAATTAGCATATCTGCCCCACAAAGCTACTTTGATATTTAAATGAGAATATATATGAATGGCTCACACTCATAGTGATTGGCCTACAGTAAGCACCCAAATGAATACTTGTTGCTCAATAACCAAATAGGTGTATGTGAAATAGGTGTAAAATTAATGTGGTTAGTTCCTCCGAATGCCCTTCTTGCTCCTGCTTTTTGTTCTTTTCACTGATGTAACATAGCATTATGGTCTTGTGGTTGGTTTTCAAACACCAACAAATGAATTGGTACCAGGCTGACAGCATAAAATTACCTTGTCTTGAGCAGTGACTCACACCTATAATCCCAGCACTTTGGGAGGCCAAGGTGGGAGGACTGCATAAGGCCAGGAGTTCGAGACCAGCCTTGGCAACAAAGTGAGACGCTCCCCCTACCCGTCTCTGCATAAAAAAACTTAAAAATAAAATTACCTGGAGTGTTCACACACACACACAAATTCCAGATCTCCCTTTTGAGATCTGAAAGGTGCCTCAGAAATCTGAAACTTAGAAAAGCCCCCAACTGACTCACATGCATTTGGATTTAGAGGTTAAAATTGCAGGCTTTGGAATAACAGGTTATATCTTCAAGCTTATCACCTGGAAAATAGTGGGCAGTAATACTTGTTTACAGTAGACAGTTAAATAATGTACGTGAAATGCTTAGCTTAGTGCCTGGCATCTAACAGGCACTCCAATTGTCTACTTTTACTAAGAGGAAGAACAGAAAGAAAAAGGAAAACCAATTTAGTTGTTTAGTTTGTGTACAAGTTAACAGAAACTTACTGAAAAGGTCTTTTCATGCAAATCCATTAATGGGACAAAAAAGCCCACTTAAACATACTTACCTGTGAAAGGTTCAGGCATGTTCATCTACAGTTAATTTTCTTTTACAGAATATAGCATATAGATCCAAAATGTATTTTGTTTCCTATCAGAAGTGCATCTGCCTGTTCTTTAAAAAAGATTTTTAAAAAGTTTTGTTGATGTTAATAAAATCAGGGATCCCTTTTCTGAATGCTTAGGACACAAACTGATATTCTTCAGCTATGGGGGATGAGGGAAAATTATTCAACATTTGGAAACTACCTGGAATACAATTTCCAATCCAATGTGTAGCTCTATTTCTTATATTCAAAACAGTAGGGAAAAAAGCCACACAGGCATTTTCTTATGTTTTTAAAAATAAGCTAAAGTTGCAGTGAAATCACTTTTATTCCAGATCTGTTCTATCACCATGGCTAATTGTCTTAAATGTCTTTCCTGAGCGTATGAAAGAATTCTAAAGTCTTAATCATATAGGAAGGACGAATGTACATAAAGTTGCGCCAACTTTAATATCATGACCAAGGAAGCCACTACTCCTTACATCAGAAAGGGAAGTTAAAACTTGTCTCATCTGAGAACAAGAAACAAAACACAACAAAATAAACTTGATTGAAAATTTGCTATTTGTCCTTTTGATTCCCACATTAGCTATAATTACATGCTGATTTAATAACTTTAAGTACATGACTAGAATGTTTCATATATAGCAAGCTCATTTAAGTAGGCTAATCAAGTTTGAGGGAGAAGAGCCTACTGCCACAAAACCAACAACAAAGATTCTTGAACGATGTGATATGATGAGGGGAATACTTCTGTTTGTTGAATCTTAAGTTTTAGATTTTTTTGGAAAAGAGAAGTCATTAAATGATGTAATAAAATACCAGTTTTTCTTTTGCTTAAGTGGAAGAGAATTAGATTGTATTTTATTTATTATTATTTTTGAGATGGAGTCTTGCACTGTCGCTCAGGCTGGAGTGCAATGGCGCGAGCTTGGCTCACTGCAACCTCCGCCTTCCAGGTCCAAGCGATTCTCTTGCCTCAGCCTCTTGAGTAGCTGAGACTACAGGCGCCGGCCACCACGCCCAGCTCATTTTTGTATTTTTAATGGAGACGGGGTTTTGCCATGTTGGTCAGGCTGGTCTTGAACTCCTGACCTCAGGTGATCTGTCTGCCTCAGCCTCCCAAAGTGTTGGGATTACAGGCGTGAGCCACTGTGCCCGGCCAGATTGTATTTTAAAAAAAAATCTGTACTCTTAGATTTGTTAAGACTGAGAAAATTTCTATACCTGGTCCTGGGAATTGGCATGGAACTCTAAATGTAGATGAATAAACTGACTAAATTAGCTAAATCTGCTGTTAAGGTATAGCTGTATTTAAAGAAAACAAGTAGAAAAACTTCTTCCTTCTCTTTCCTGTTAATCAGAGGAAGCTGCAAACCATGATTTTCTAAGCCGTGAGCTATGGAAGCAATACCTCTCACAGCTACACTCACCATTAGTCGGCTGCCAAATACTTATTTTTCACATTTGAACTTTATTTTTGAACAAAATAGGGCATGCAATTCCTTTGAAATGCAAATACTCCTAAAATTTTTCTAAGTTTATCCATGAATGCACAGTGGCCCTTAAAAAGACGATCCCAGGCCAGGCGCGGTGGCTCACGTCTGTAATCCCAGCACTTTGGGAGGCCGAGGCAGGTGGATCACGAGGTCAGGAATTCGAGACTAGCCTGGCCAATATGGTGAAACCCCATCTCTACTAAAAATACAACAATTAGCTGGGCGTGGTGGCGGGCGCCTGTAGTCCCAGCTACTTGGGAAGCTGAGGCAGAAGAATCACTTGAACCCGGGAGGCAGAGGTTGCACTGAGCCGAGATCGCACGACTGCACTCCAGCCTGGGCGACAGGGCAAGACTCCGTCTCAAAAAAAAAAAAAAAAAAAAAAAAAAAGATGATCCCAACAGACTAACCACTGCTTCTTTAGCTATCACTCACAAACTCTAGGTACATATATGGAAGGCAAATTCAGCAAATCATAGCCAGGCATGATGGTTTGTGTCTGTTATTTCAGCACTTTTGAGAGGCTGAGTCAGGAGGATATTTTGAGCCCAGCAGTTCAAGTCCAGTCTGGGCAACACAGTGAGACTCTCTCTAAAATACATAAAAAATCAGCAAATGTTTTAGGCAAAAAGAGTACTACTTAAACATTCAGATTAATGGATATTAGGAGATGTAACACACCAAGAATTATTTAGGTATTCATTCTGTTTATTGGATTGAAAGAAAGGGAATACAAACGACTGGTTAAGTGCTGCGCACTGACATGGAAAAAGTGTCTTTAAAAAAAAATCCCAGTAAAGCAAATCAAAGTTAATGTAGTTTCAGTTGAACAAAAATTTAAAGACGTTTAATACATTACACATTTATAAAATAAAAGTCAACAAAGGGTGTTTTGTAAATAATTAGTAAACAAGTGAAAATAAATATCAGAGACCTGAAGTTTTTATACTTTAATGAATAAAGCAAAGAAATTTAAACTAAGTAAATATAATCTGAGAGGCAGTTAAAAAAACAAAAATCAAAACCCACCAAAATTGAAGAACACAATCTTTTGAAACATTTAATCAGTCCATAGCAAATAGTTATTACATACCAAAAGCTCTAAGTGTTAACTAGTTCCACCACAATGCCATGTAAATCTTGACAATTTAGAAATCTTGAGATCAACACTTAAGTTCTTTTCTTGATCTCTACAGCTTGGTTTGTAAGTACATACATGCTTTTGTGGATCTATTCCCCTCGCCACACACACACATTTTCAAGGAGCCAATAACATTTTTTTCCATCTGTGCCTAAAAATGTTACAATTCAGTTCTAGCACATTGACCCTGATAATGAAAATGTTTAAGTTAAAGATGGGGACACAATTTCAATCTTATAAAAATATACCAGTATTAACCAAACCTTAAACTCAGAGGGCACTTCACATGTGCACGAGACTTTCAGTAAAAATGACAAGATCCTAGAACAGCTGTTTCCAGGACTTTTTAATGAATCAAGTACTCTCTCTCTCACACACACACAGAACACACACACACATTTTTATACTATTGGTTTTGTTAAATCCAGGCTATCTGGATTAAGTAGATAGGGGATGGGTTTTTATAGTTTTTATTTTTGTAACTATAGGGCAGCTACTATAACAATAGCTTAACAACACTGAAAAATTTCAATTAAGTTCACCCTGTTTTTAGAAAGTGTCTAAGTGTAAATGCAAATTCACCTCTTCTTAAGTTAGCAGTTTATATTAAATCAGATATGGTTTCTGAAATGGAAGTAATGTGTTGGAGGGCAACCCAAAAGGACAGTTGCGAAATTATGAATGAGAAATTAAAGTAAAACCAAATCAAAATATTTATACATTTTAGAGATGGGACAAAAAGGATATTAAGAAAAATGTCTTCTTTCCTCCCCATTCAAAAGCAGCCATTCTTCTACTGTGAAAGAAACTGACATGGATATTTTCCCTTTCAAGAGATGTATGATATATTTACCCACTGTGAGGCAGAGGTGATAGGGTCAGTTCTTGTTTGCAGGAACCAACATCCTAAAAAAGAAAATGTCAAGATGGGGAGGGGTGGGAAAGAAGGGTTTTCTATTAATGTCATGGAATATGCCACTGTAGAGGCAGAACACTCCTAATAATAACATTCACCAGATTACTACTGCTGTTTTTTTCAGACTAAGAAAATACTGACAAAATTGGATTTTTTTCTCCTTTCAATTGCAGGATATTCTGATTATTTAAAGTTAGGGAATCCCTTTTTTATCCCCCCACCCAATAAAATGGGCCAATTTGTAGGGATATATGCAAATAAAATGTTCTCTGTTTAAAATACTTACCTGGTTTAATATAACACATTTATCTGGCCAATAAGAGCAACAGAAATGTAGCTGTTATGAAGACTAAAAAAATACAAAAACCAAAGCTGAAGCTTTGTCATCCCTCCCCACTAACTCCCACTCCAATTCTTTACTACCCACATACTAATCTCAGTAATCCCCAAGTCCAACATTTTACCATTAATAACCAATTATTTGGAGGAAAAAGACATTTAATTTTATATTTGCTCTAGCCCTTAATCAATGCATAACAACAAAAACATTTTTAAGCACATGGAAATGAGCCTACTAACCTGATTTTTGGAGCCCAAATTCTCCACTCTATTTTGATCTATGTGCAAAAAGTATTGGTACTTTTCAATTTATACATTTGTTAGTATCTTGTGGCTGGCTTCATAGTATAAGACTCACTCTTAAGCCTACTATAGAGCCTACAGCACTATCAGAAGTTTTCAATTAATAGCTATGGATCAGAAAATCCTGCGATCAGTTTCTCATACCATAAAATCCTAGGCTTCTTTACCATTGATTTCACCTTTCGAGCACAGTCACTGCATGGCAAATGTATGAAACAGACGTTTACAGCAAATAAGTACCAGTATGTACAGGAAGCTGCCAGTTAAGACAGACCCGGAAAACAAACTCACCTAGCTGCTATAGAAACCTTTGCATAGTTGTTACTCCGTTTTAATAGGAGTTATGTTCTTGTAAAATGTGCCTCACTTTTACTCCACTTTTTAAAAAGTGTTTTTAAACTGTACTTCAGAAGCACTCTGAAAACTCAGATCTAGGGGTGGTTAGGTGAAGTAGAGTAGAATCTGAGTGCCAAATTGCCCCTGAATGGGCACAAATCTGAGTGTTACAAATGCACCGTAGCACACTGTAACCAAATTTGTAAACAGCTGTGGAGTTTCTATGCCCACATTTAGTGATGTTACCATAGAGACTGGGGTGTATTAACGGCTTCAGGGTATACATGAATCACTTAAAATATGAATGGTTTTTAACTATACTGAGGTAAAGAGAAGTTGCCACTTAATTACATACAGTTACCAATGAAGATTTTTATTCAAGCTTAAAGTAAAAAGTAATTTTAGTTAAGAAAAATGAAGTACCAGATAAACTGTAACATATATTTTAACTTAGAAGTATCAAAACAGGAATTTTTTGATTCTCTAAGTGGTGGTCTCTGCAAAATGGAGCTTGAAGAAATCTTTTACATACCAATTTGATAAGAGTCTGCTGACCACGATCTGTCATTTTCTTTACTATGGGCTTCTGGGAGAATGCATGCTATTTTAAGGCCAAATGTGTTTTTCTTTCTTCTCCCCTTCCCTGACTTTTCCCTTTCTCCCATCCCCGACCACCTACCCCACAATGGAAGAATTTTTGACATCCAAGCCCTCTTCTCTTTGTGGATTCTGGAGTCTATTCATGATCATAATTATATTATAGACTTGGCTACACCTAAAGGGGAACTTAGTACAAGACTTTTTCTTCACCAGAATCTTATTTTGGGGGTATCCCCATTCTCATTCCAACAGCTGGAGTCACCCTATTTATCCTCTACTGAAAAAGGGAGGGAATTTCAAGGGAGACTATGTTATGTTGTATTCAGCTGTTACGGAGTTTAAAAGCACAATGTGAACATCAGGCTTTTGGCTTATTTTAAATGTGAAATTCTCAAAATTAAAAGTGCTTTTCCATGAAGGAAACCTTTCCTTAAACTAAAACAGGAGGGGAGAGGGAAAGACTATCCACAGCACCAGTTTAGAATGAGGTTCAGTATGGCAATATCTGAAAAAACTGAGAAAAAATATTCTTTAAATTTATGTATCCCTATATGTCAAAATATTAAGGGCAATTAAGAAAAATGACTATGAGGTTTTAATCCCAGTTTAAGTATGTCTGTAACCTGCTGAATTCTTCTAATAATTTCAATTATACTATAAACTTCCAAAGTGGTTGTATCGCTGATTCCTACTCTTTTGCTAGATCACACCAAAATTACTTCCTAAGTTGAGAACAACTTGGAACAAGCTTTACTGAAAACCAACTGACTACTGATGTCTCATGTTGGTGTATTTAAAATTCTTTTTGAATCTTGAATTTCTTCAAGATCGGGTACTGATGTTCCTTCAGGAATAAAACAAAAGGGGGGAAATCTTCAAAGCATTACTCTGAATTTCTTGTGTAATGTCCTTCCAAGCACTGTTTCTGACCATGTCTCATGTGGTATTCCAGAAGAGCATCAGTTATACTGTGTATCTAAGTCATTGAGGAAACTGTTTTTAAGCTGGTTTAGATTCCAAATGTATACAAATGAAGTCACTTTAATCCTATAAATACTTCTTAATTTATTTTTAAAAAATTGTGCTGTTAACCCTTTTACGGGGCAACAAGCTATGTGAAAAGTACAAAACTTTTTGTCAAATGTAATATTGAGAGTGCTTTTGACATAGTTCACTGGTTTATCATCTGGATCAGTATATACTGCGCAACGGGCAAGGCTAGAATCCATGAACCAAGCTGCAAAGATCTCAAGCTAAATAAGGCGGAAAGATTTGGAGAAACAAAAGAAGGAAATTCTTTCCTATCCAATGTATACTCTTCAGACTAATGCACTCTTTCTATCAAGCCTTCTAAACTGTTAAATAAAGTTTTCCAAACAAGCATTTAAACTTCATTACACAGAAGAGCAACAAGAATGGTATCCTGCCAGACAAAAGACAGGAAGGAAAAAAATATATATACTGAGTTCAATGGGTAAGCCTGAATGTAGCACAGTTCTTCACAACCGATGGGGGAATAATTCAACATGGTGTCCAACAACGTTCTAACGACGTGCTTCATCTCAACTGGTTACTATGAAGCAAGGTGTAAATGTTTGGCCCCAATCGGGCTTCAGAAATGGTTCTTTTTTCATGACGAGCATGTCTGTCCAGCTATCAATCATGTTTGTTTGCACCAAATCCCAAGCCATTAAAATACGACTAATTTTAAGTTAAACAGAAGTCGTCTGCTCCAAATTCACCATCAACTATCCATGCTACTGCATTCCTCTGAATGAAGACAAGATGAAATGTATGGGGGGCGGGCGGGGGAGGGAAGAGGGGAAGGAGAGAAAAAAATTACCAGTTAGAAAGTTTCAAAATTAGCATTATGACATTACAAAATTATACTAACATTAAAAAATCAAAGCAAATTCTTGAAACTTTCATCATACTCATTAAAACAATGTCTGTATCATGTCTTAGACCATATATTATGATCTAAATTCATGATTTTGAATACTGAAGAAACCCAAGTGAATAATCATGTTAGAATCTCATGCTTTTATTTTTTTGAGACAGGATCCCACTCTGCTGCTCAGGCTGGTGATGTAATTTGGGCTCACTGCAACCTCTGCCTCCTTGGCTCAAGTGATCCTTCCACCTCTGCTTCCTGAGTAGCCAGGACTACAGGCACATGCCACCATGCCTGGCTACTTTTTGTATTTTTTGTAGAGACAGGGTTTCGCCATGTTGCCCAGGCTGGTCTTGAACTCCTGAGCTCAAGCAATCTGCCTGCCTTGGCCTCCCAAAATGTTGGGATTATAAGGCACTGGCCACCGTGCCTAGCCTCAGAATCTCATACTTTTAAAATTAACCTTGAGATAGTTAGCAGAATAGATAAATTTTTATGATAGCTACAATAGTAAAGAGGAAAGAAAGATCTGGCAGTCTAAGGTAGAATAACGTGTTATAACTATGGAGTTGTTAATTTTCCTTTTGGTTGCTCTGTTTGAAATTCTACAGTATCATCCTACTCCATTTTTTTGGGGAGGTGTATAACAGCTTTGAGATATAATTCATATTCTATACAAAGCAACCATTTAAAGTGTACACTTTGAACCCGGGAGGCGGAGGTTGCAGTGAGCCGAGATTGCACCACTGCACTTCAGCCTGGGCGACAGAGTGAGACTCCATCTCAAAACAGAAACAAACACAAAAACAAAAAAAACAAAAGTGTAAAATCAATGGTTTTTAGTGTACCCACAGAATTATGCAATCATTAACAATCAATTTTAGAACATTTTCAACATTCATTAGCAGTCAAACACTTCCCCAAGCCCTAAGTAATCACTATATCTATGTTGTCTATAGATCTGTCTAGACTATTTCATATAAATGGAATCATAATATGTGGTCTTGTGTCCTGCTTCTTTCACTTAGCATATTGTTTTCAAGGTCCATTCATACTGTAGCATGCATCGGTACTTCCTTCTATTCCATTTTATGCATCCTTAAAAAAAAAAATATCATGCCTGTAATCCCAGTACTTTGGGAGGCCAAGACAGGCCGACTTCACCTGAAGTCGGGAGTTCAAGACCAGCCTGACCAACATGGAAAAACCCCATCTTTACTAAAAATACAAAATTAGCCGGGCGTGGTGATGCATGCCTGTAATCCCAGCTACTCAGGAGGCTGAGGCAGAATTGCTTGAACCCAGGAGGCGGAGGTTGTGGTGAGCCGAGATTGCGCCATTGCACTCCAGCCTGGGCAACAAGAGCAAAACTCTGTCTCAAAAAAAAAAAAAAAAAAAACAAAAAAAAAACCTTAATTCTACTGTTAAAATTTTATTTTATTTACAGTCCATAATTCTACTGTTAAAATTTTTCCCTTTTGAAATGGAGTTGAGTGTATTTTTATTTAAATGACTTATAGTATTTTACTGTGCTACATTTTTCCTTTTTTGTTTCCTTCAGAGACAGGGTCTCATTCTGTCACCTAGGCTGGAGTGCAGTGGCATGATCATAGCTCACTGAAGCCTCAAACTCCTGGACTCAAGGGATCCTCCTGCCTCAGCCTTCCAAGTAGCTAGGATTACAGGCGCAAGCCATCATGCCTGGCTGTATTTTGATTTTTTTTAATATTGATTTCTTTAGCCTCATCTATATTTTTCGTAAGTTCTATTCTAAATAGGTATTACTTTAATTAGAAAAAGTGTTTTGGGGGTGGAGGGGGAATACTCCAGAAAATAACTTGTGAAAAGGACATTATAGCCAAACATCTGGTTATACAAGTACTGTTTTTTCTATTTCAGGTGAAAATGAAAATCATTTTAGGGCTATACCCATGTTGCCAAAGCACAATGGAGAGTTGCTGAACTGGACCCAGATCCTACAAATTAGCCAAAATTTGGCTCACTCACCAAAGTGAGGATCTACATTAGTCAGATTCACCAAATAGCAGCACACTCTTATTCCATTGCTATGGAGGCATAAAATATATCCTCTTCTGGCTGGTCGCGGTGGCTCATGCCTGTAATCCCAGCACTTTGGGAGGCCGAGGCGGGTGGATCACGAGGTCAGGAGATCGAGACCATCCTGGCTAACACAGTGAAACCCCGTCTCTACTAAAAATACAAAAAATTAGCTGGGCGTGGTGGTGGGTGCCTGTAGTCCCAGCTACTCGGGAGGCTGAGGCAGGAGAATGGCGTGAACCCAGGAGGCGGAGCTTGCAGTGAGCCGAGATCGCACCACTGTACACTGGGAGAGAGCATGAGACTCCGTCTCAAAAAAAAAAAAGAAAAGAAAACATATCCTCTTCTGGAGTAAATCTGTTACTACATACCTAGTATTTTCCTACTTCTTTAAACCAAGTATGTTTATTTGAAGAAATAACTCCCAAATGACTAATAAAATGAGAAAAGCACAGATTGAATCACAGTTGCAGATCTATAAAGACTTTGGGTTTGTAGGCCTTTGGTTGAAACCCAAACAGGACAACACAAGAAGGTAAAGATTTCTGGTCTTAGTTGATTTCCTAGAGGAATGTTAGAATGTCAGGTAGTGATCTATAAATACAAAAATACCCTTCAAGGTTCTGGGCAAATGAACAGTAGTTCTCAAACTTTTTGACTCGTGTGCTCTTCATGTTTTGTATTCTCATCTCTGATTGCATATCCTTACCCGCCAGTAAGATGTGGCCAAGCCTTCTACAGTCTGTACCACAAAGATAAAAGTGTAGGGAATATACTTTTTCAAACCATACATGCTACTCCGATAACCCTCCTCCACAGAGAATCACTTAACTGAGAGCAATTAGTCATCTTTCTCACTAAAAAAAAAAAAAAAATTTAGGTGGGACATGCTTAACAAAAAATCTGTTTATATATAAACTGCTTCCTTCTAAGCAAACCAAACATTTTACGTGCTCTATTTAAGAGAGTCATTTACATGAAGTTTCTCATTATCTCTTTGCTGTAGTACTGATATATCATGTTCAATTAAGTTTTTGGCTTTAACTGTTAGCCTTATATTTTGGCCTTTCTTCATCCCCAAGTATCTCAAAGTGGTGGAAAAAACCTTTCAGACTTAGACTTGAAGACCTGATGGCACTCAACAAGTGAATTAGTTTTGCCATGCTGCAGTTTCCTTACCTCTAAAAATAAAGATAAAAATACTTCCCTTATAGGACTATGAAGACTTTATGCAAGACAGTATATGTAAAGGGATTAGCATGCTGCTTGGCACACAGGTACATGATCAATTTTAGTTCTCTCTTCTCTTTCCCTATCCATTAAACACAACTCATGTTAGTATGATGCATGGTGCAAACAGACGTTTACTTTTTTTTAAAGAGTAAAATCTATAATCAAGATATTTAATATCTAAAGTTGTTAATATTTTGTATGGTTAGTTTCATGTGTATAAAATTCTTCCTACAATATTACGTTTAGGTAGCATGACGAAGCAAGATTTTCAGTAACATTTTTAAAGTGAAACTACTAAATAGCTAACTGGATGTCAATGAGGTATCATATTCCAGCTTATTCTTTTCACTGTGCCCCCCAAAACAACCACTACATTATTGGCTCTTACACTACTTAAACTCATTCTGTGGCCTGAGATAGGGTACAATATGTAAAAGAGAGAAATCATATACCACACTTTAAATAAACTTGCTTAAAACTGCTTTAAGTTCATAATAAGCCGAGTGATGTTTCATTTGGACAAAACATAGTAACATTATACAAAGGTATTACCTTCAATATTCTGGTGGTCTATAAAAGGTGCTGGTCCCCATATTCTAACAGTGCCATCATCTGAGGCGCTGGCCATCATGGATGGAATCTGTGGGTTCCAGCTCACACAGTTTACTGTACGTGTGTGCCCTGTCAGCTCCGCAATTGGCAGTTCACTACGTTTGTGCCAGATGTAAACCTTGTGATCTGAACATATAGTAATTCAGAAAAAAGTTTTACATTAATAAAACCAACTAACTGATCTTAAATTTATCATTCACTACACACAGGACTCTTTACTAGAACTTAAAGGGAAAATAAATATACCATGAATAGTTTAACATGTTACCTTATGAAAAAATGTTTAAATCAAATATACACTTTTTTCCTGTTAAAGGTGATCAGCTCTCATCAAGTCACACACAAAAAAACTATCTGCAATATTCTGTCAATACATGAGTAATGAAGAATTATAAATCAAGGCCTTTGAACATAAACAAATCCAGGATAGAGATAGTGATAAATTCTATGGAAATGGGAAGTGACAGAAAAGCAATGTATCCAAATTGAATACTGAAGCAAAAATGAAGATGACAGCTAAACCTTTATTGGGTGCTTACAAAGTACTAGGTATCAAGTACTTAATGCATATTATTTAATCTTCATCACTACCCCATAAAATGGGTATTCTGCTTATCCTTTTTTTTTTTTTCTTTGAGACGGAGTCTCACTCTGTTGCCCAGGCTGGAGCGCAGTGGCAATATCTCGGCTGACTGCAACCTCCACCTCCCGGGTTCAAGCGATTCTCCTGCCTCAGCCTCCCGAGTAGCTGGGATTACAGGTGTGTGTGACCATGCCCGGCTAATTTTTTGTATTTTTAGTAGAGATGGGGTTTAGCCACGATGGTCTCCATCTCCTGACCTCGTGATCCGCCCATCTCAGCCTCCCAAAGTGCTGGGATTACAGGCATGAGCTACTGCGCCCCGCCTGCTTATCCTCTTAATGGTGATTGAAACATAGGTTATGGTTAAGTGGTCTGCTTATGGTTAACAGCTAGTAAATGGTAAAGTTGGGATTCAAATCCAGGCAGCCCTGCTCAAGAGCTTACTAGTGAGAGTAGACAATGGTCCCTTATCTGCATCATGATATGGCTTTGTAGACTATAATCTCATGAAGTGACCACAACAATCAAAATCCCCTACAGCTTTCTTTGTAATAAACGAATCTTCAAAAAACTAGCCACATAGTATAGAGAGTATTGGTTGAGAGTATGGGCTCTGGAATCAGACTACTCAACATTGTATCCTTCCTCCAACACTGACTAGCTGAGCAACTTTGGGCAAATTACTCTTTACAACCCTTCACCTGTAAATGGGGATACTAACCTCATATCATGTTGTTATAAGGATTAAATATATTTGTATGTGGAAAGGTGTTTGGAATAAACACCATTTACTACTGTGACGAGATTAAGTACAGGTGATGGTTCTTGAACAGAGGGCAGAATCCCAGGGCAAATTAGAAAGGTGTATAACTTAATGATATATCAGTTAAGTATGGCCAATGTGCAAACTGTCAGTGGGTGTACTGCCAGTTGAGGAAACCTTAGAGGATGTGCCTTAGCTTCAAAATTTCTGACATGAAGATAAAAAGCTGGAACTGTATCTGAACTTTTTGTGTGTGTATGTGTGAAGCAAAAGCTAAAAGGCACCAATTTAAAAACTGAATTTATCTTCTTAGAAGTATCTGCTGCTCAATAATTTTTGAAAATAATTTTTTCTTACATGAAATGAAATTAGGAAAAAAAAAAAAAAAAGTAAAGACAGGTTAGCTGTATTTCCTTCCTAAACTGAAGAGGTCCACAAGGAGAAGGATCACAGGGTTAAAGTGTGAATGCAATTGAATATTTCTCTATTTGGTGGAAAATGTTTTTGTGAATATATATTCAAGGAGCACATTTGGTGAAAGGCAGGAAAAACCGGGTTTGAAGTAATCAAGGTCAAAATGACAGGCTTTATCATCAAGCTCTGTTTGCTGTATCAATCTGAGAAATCTATTGTTTATGCAAAGGTAAAAAAGTCCAGTTTTTCTACATATTGCCAGCACAATGAAAAGGCTTGAGTAGTGGTATAACTTTTTTGGGAAACGGTTTTTAATTGCTCTATTTTATACTGGCACTTATATATTTGGGGATTTGGAGGGTCATTGAAATATATTCCTTACAAATAAATGGCAAATGGATTACTGTGGTCATCCTGGGAGATAATATACTCGCTATATCTGATTGATGTTCAAAACATTTTCAAAACCATTCTAAATCACTTGAGTCATGAGAAGACTAATCTCTGTACTTGACAGTGGTCTAATTTGTAGCCCTAAACCAGAAGATAATGTGGTTTAATTATAGTATTCATCGTTGTTTCTAAGTTAGTTTGGGCTTAAAAAAAAGTTTGGCTTTTCTAGGGATAATGGTAGCCATACATAATTTTAAGTACCTCTAGGGTACACAGAAAGAGCTGTAAGGGATTCTCAGGCATAATTAAGAGAAAGAAAACCTACCAGAAGCAGGATTGAATAGACCATGGAAGAAGACATCTTATAAACAGGAGGAATTTAAAAGCAAGAAGGCTTAACATATTTAGACCACAGGAAAATTTAATTAGAAACTAATGTCTATTATCTCCCGCGATATATTAAAAACAGACAGACAAAACAAAACAAAAAGCCAATAGAGAATCTAGAAGTAGTGGAAAAAACTAAATTTCCTGACTGGAAAAAAGTAAATTCCCAATTGCTACCTAACCACTCTTCTTTCCTCCCAATCTCATCTGACGCTGATTTTCGGTAGAAAGAAAGAATTGATGAATTCAGGCTGGGCGCGGTGGCTCATGCCTGTAATCCCAGCACTTCAGGAGGCTGAGGCAGGTAGACTGCTTGAGCTCAGGAATTCAAGACCAGCCTGGGTAACGCGGTGAAACCCCATCTCTACAAAAATTTGTTGGGGCTACTTGAGGGGCTGAGGAGGGAAGGACTGCTTGAGCCCAGGAGGTGGAGGTTGCATCAAGATCGTGCCATTGCACTCAAAAAAAGAAAAGAAAAGAAAAGAAAAGAAAAGGAATAGATGAATTTATATGCTTGATGTTAAAATCTAAATCTCTAAATGTCTCTCTTTGTCCCAATCCTTAAATATGCCTTATTCTTAAAGGTAAACCTCATGTGCACTTTATGATCCTCTTATCTACCAAGATCAGTTTTTTGTCAAGATAGGGATAGTAAACATCTTATACAATAAATGGAACATAACATAATCTAATTCCTTGGTCTATCTTATAAAACCAGATTCAGTATATATTTTTTTACTTTTTGTAGAGACAGTGTCTAGCCATGTTGCCCAGGTTGGTCTGGAACTCGTGGCCTCAAGCAGTACTCCCATCTAGGCCTCCCAGAGTGTTGAGATTACAGGTGTAAGCCATCATGCCCGGCCAAAAAAAGTGACTTAAATAATTTGCTTTTATAGTACCTAGAAATGTACAGTGGGTATTGAAGAAAAATGTGTTGAATAAAAACTTGCAATAATTTGCCACTAGTTAAGTTCCTATCGCCTTAAAAAGTACACTAATTTTTATTACTGCCTCACTTATTTGTGCTTGCATCTTCTAAACAATTCACACTTTAGAGTGACTTTAGGCATATTCCTGTCTGGAATACTGACACTTTTAGATTAGAGAACAAGTTTATTCAAAAGGGTAGTAGTAGGAAGAATAATTTCAGCTTTCCTAAAATCTTAAGAATTATCAAACTCAATTATAACTCTGGTGACCGCTGAAGAAATACTGAAGAACTAACTATAGTCAAATCTGTCCAAGTTCAGGTAGAGCATCATAATTAACCTTGATTTTTCAGATACTACCAACCCTTAAAAACCATCAGTCCCATGAAAATACAAGTCAACATATGAAAGTATAATAATTTAACTAAATCTTGATTAGACACATGCACCAAACACACTGCTACGTGGTCAGAATAAGCACTGCTAATCCGTGACAATACATGACAATATGGAGGGCTTAGGTCATTACAGAAAAGGAGAAAGTAATACATGACAGCATGTGACAATTTGTGATAATACAGGGGCTTAGGTCATTACAGAGAGAAATTAACCGTGTATTGGATAAATGAAAGAATTTTAACTTACTACCCTGAATTTTCTTGGAGACATGACTGCCTTCATAAATTGAGATTTACAGACTTTAATATCAACATATGTAAACTGATAAGGACACAATTTACCTTCACTGCCACTAGCGATGAAGTCTTCATTATGGCCTCCAAAACATGAATGAATTGTATAAAACCCTTGTGTAACACCTTGATACTTTCTTACTAAAACTCTGTCTTGCAAGTCCCATAAATGAACTCCCTGCAGGCAAAGGAGAATACAGATATTTAATCTGCCTCAACTCAAACAAATTTTAAAAAGTATCTGTAAATATCCCTTTGCCTGATGAAATATCTTCATTTTCTATTATGCAAAATACCAACATTCTGACAAATTTATGGTTGATTATACACATTTAAGGATCAATCACATGCAATCAAATTTAAGGGTAAGTAGAAAATTTTGTTAATATAAATACACTGAAAATAACAGTTAAAATAAAACTTGTACTAAGCCAAATTTTTCAGAAAATTATACTAATAAACATACCTGAGTTGCTACATTTAACAAAGCTAATCGGCCATTTTTTGAAATAGTAAAAGACATAATAGGATGATCTTCTTGTACTCTGGAACCAGAAAATAATTTGTCAAAAACAACATATTAACAGTCAAGACATTCAAATTATCAATACATAAGATGTGCTAGCTTAAGTATGACAATTTTGCCTGCAATCACTATTACATACTATACTTCAATTGAGAAGAATCTGAGTTACTGATTACTAAGTACCATGTGACCTTCAATCCAAATTACCACGCAAACCAAAACGAAAAACATAAAAACTGTGAAAAGGCAAGTTCCACTACACATTTGAATATAAATCAGGTAATTGTTGTTTAATGGAAACAAAAAATAGTTACATGTTCCTATCTGTAAGGTCCTCGAAGTTATAGCCCCGAATTCGCTGGTGTGTATCTGATGCCAGAACAGTCTTTCCATCACTCAAGCACCAAAGGCATTGCACTCTTACCCCTTCCCAGGAGTCAAGGAGATTACCATCTAAGTCCTGAGTAAGAAAAAACTACTATTAACTTCATTACTCAACAGCACTCAGAAAGCAAATAAAGAACCAAAAGACTCCCTTCACAATATCTTTTAGTAACAGGTTTTTTTTTTTTCCTGAGACTGATCTCAACCTAATTGTTCTAGAAGTGTTTTTAACCATGAAAATTTGAATATAGTTCAAATTTCATTACAACCATACTTAAGGGAAAGCAGAGAGACACTTTGTAGCTCTATCTTCCCTTCAATAACTCACCATGCATAAATAACACAAAGAAAGAAACAGTCCCTAAGTTCCAAGTAAGGTCTTACTTTTATTCAAAAACAATTTAAACGTTCCTTTAAAATTCACTATACTGGAATTTGTCCTAATATTTAGGAGTTGTGAAATGGAAAAAGATTCTAAAACATTTTACAGCTTCATACAGACTGGAGGAATCTGTTAATGACATTTTTCAAAAATTTACCAAATTTGTAATGTGCTCTACAGATCAAAGCTCTTATAGTCATTATCTCATTGAATATCCAAAGTTCTGAGAGGAACAACCCTTCCCATTTTATAAGTTAGATAATCCTGTATCTTGATGGCTTAACACAGTATAGGACAGCAAACTCAGCAGAAACATACATGATCATCTTGCACGCAGGGAATTAAGAACAATTCATAACCATATTGAGATAATATAACACCAAAATCCATGTGTTCCAAACGAGCTTAATAAAAGAAACTGATAACCTGTTTTAGCTAAATTAAATGATTTATTATCTTGTTTTAGTTTAAAAAATTGATCTGGGGTCGGGTGTGGTAGCTCATGCCTATAATCCCAGCACGTTGGGAGGCCAAGGCGGGAGGATCATTTGAGCCCAGAAGTTTGAAGCTGCAGTGAGCCATGATCACACCAATGTACTCTAGCATGGGTGGCAGAGAGCAAGACCCTGTCTCTTAAAAAACAACAAAAAAAATGTGGACGTGCATACTGGGACCATGTGAGTCTGTAATATGAGACACAGAATCTAGACTACACTGCAAGTAACAGAGAAAGTTTTATGGCAAGGTAAACAATGATTTATGATATAAATGATACTTATGATATAAAGTTTACCTTGCCATAAAACTTATTTTTATCATTCCAACAATTCAAAATAATTAGGGCAGCTACTTATTAGAAGCTGACACAAAGATTGAAAAGTACTCTGGTAGCACCTGTCACCACTTTTATTATTCAAATATTAAAGGGAGTCTACTCATAAAATTCAGTGTTTTTTTTTTTTGGTTACAAAAATCTCAAAAGAAATTTAAAAAATCTTTTCAATTCTTATAAATTAGAAACTTGCTCATAAAAACAAAAATGTTTAGCAAAACACATTTTTTTGTTCTACTAAATCCAAAGTCTATACTTTGTACAAACATTTGAAATGTTTAAAAGAAAGGAAAAAAATGACCCAGAAAATTCTATTGGACAGCGCTTGTCTACGACGACAGCAAAGTAGGTGTTCATAGAGTATATTTTGTTTTATTTATGTATTTTTTTGAGACAGAGTTTCACTCTTGTTGCCCAGGCTGGAGTGCAATGGCGCGATCTTGGCCCACTGCAATCTCCGCCTCCTGAGTTCAAGCAATTCTCCTGCCTCAGCCTCCCGAGTAGCTGGGATTACAGGCACCCACCACCATGCCCAGCTAATTTTTGTATTTTTAGTAGAGACAGGGTTTCACCATGTTGGCCAGACTGGTCTTGAACTCCTGATCTCAGGTGATCCACCTGCCTCGGCCTCCCAAAGTGCTGGGATTACAGGTGTGAGCCACCATGCCTGGCCCACAGAGTATACTTTGTAAGATACTGAGTCAAGGAAATTGTTTAAACAAAAGTACATTTGCTTTTAAACCAACAGATACTGGGAAGGGGGCACTGAATACTTACACACTGATAGAACTGCCCACGCTGACCTCCAGTCACAAAGCGCTTCCCATCTGGATTCCAAGCCACACTTGTCAAACTGTCTTCATGAGACTGGCTCATTTTTGTCCTTAGTTCTCCTGTCTATAAGGAAATAAAACTGTAAATGAGACCTTCAAGATACCCCTCTAAAGGAATTATGTGAGAAAAAAAAAATAACTGGGATGTCTGGCTGGTTTCCCAGTTCATTCTAAGTAGAGTAATGAATTAAGTGACCCTACAAAAAAGAGACAACAGCACTCAGAAGAGAAATTAAGAACTTGAAGAAAAACCCAGCAGTTGAACAATGTCTGGCACAGGTAACCCAAAGAGTAGATATGATGAGATAAACTTCAATAAATCTCTCATCGCAAATCAATTATATGCATAAACTAAAACATGTAATTTTTCCCAAGCAAGATAATGAAAAGCCCAAGACTACATACCTATTCCTTCTGAGCTTCCACTTCTCAGTCCAAAGTTTTTTATAAATTTTATTCTACAACTGCAGTTAATGCAATTAGCAATTCCTCAAGAACATGATTAATGAGTAAAAAACTGTACCCATACATGGTGGTGCATGCCTATAATCCCAGCTATTCAAGAGGCTTAGGCACGAGAATCACTTGAACCCAGGCGGTGGAGGTTGCAGTGAGCTGAGATCATGCCACTGCACTCCAACCTGGGTGACAGAGTGAGACTGTCTCAAAAAAAAAAAAAAAAAAGAAAAAAAAAAAGAAAAAAGAAAAAAAAAGAGAAAAACTATGCCCATAAAGTAGGCAAAGGGCAGTCTACATAAATTATGTTAAATTTCATATTCAAATGCTCACAATATAGTAGGGAAGGTAGAAAGAGAGAAAAAAACATTTTTCTGATACACAACCTTATTTCAATGAAAAGTACTAGAAAGAGGAACCTGTGTACTGTTTAACATAGCCATTCCGTGGCATTTCTAAGTAAGAATATTTAGTGGCTACAACCCTCAGGTATCCTCCTGTTACATTTTCTGAATTACTCAACTTAGAAGGTATACACATACCATTTAATCTAGTCTTGATTCCATTTTGTTCATGGATTAGAAACAGGATCTGAGAGATAATAGCTGCCCTTGGTGTAATAATAAAAGGTACATGGGGATAGTTTTCCTGTGAGAAATGGGTAATCAAAAGTAGAAATAAAAGAGTGAAAACAAAGGGTATGATTAGGAAATGGGGCCAAGTACTAAAAGAGGGCACAAAAACAGAAAACCAGGTTTCCCTTACACTGGAAAAAAAGTGTTCAGCAATATAAATCCTTCCCCCAAATTGTTAACTACTCTCCCCTATTTACTCTTTTGGGTTGACTGATATAAACAGTTGAAAGTTTAGAGCACAAATACACAAGCAATAGCTAAATTCTTGGCATTTTCCATTGACAAATACATTAACACACTAAATTCTGAAGGCAGAAATGGTTTGTCTTCTCTTATTATGCTCTAAATAGTGAGTACATGAGGTTATTAGATTAGAAAGGATTTTTCTAATTTAAGAAATGATTAAAGAAATCTGAAAACTGATTAGATCACCCTTTTAGAAGAAGTTTTAAGTATATAAAGTACTACACAATGAAAGTTATGTTAGAACACAGTTTAATTGGTCAAAGGAAGACTACAAAGGCACTCTACATTAAATTTCTGTTACAGGATTAAGACAACATACTTTCTCCTTTGGAAGGTGGAAAGAAAGCTTTAATGGAAAAAAGTTTTCATTGATCTTCTAGGTCAGACTCACTGCAAGCTCTGTTTTACTGAGAGAAAGCAATTTTAACATTCTACTCTATGTTTTGCCACCTCCCTGAACCCAATCACAAATACAGCATTGATTAAATGCTGATTTGACAAAAATGGCATAAAACACATTTTGGGAACAATTGTGGATTTTGATCATGAGTACTAGATATTAGAGAATTATAGTTAATGTTCTTAGATATCATAATGTTTGAATAGGTAGAACGTTATTTTTTAAAAGATACATGCTTAAGTATTTAGGGTAAGATATCTAATTTACTTTCAAATATTTTAGATATGTATATATATGTAATATATATGTAAGTACAAATGCACATTTCTTTTTTTTTTTGAGATGGGAGTCTCACTCTGTTGCCCAGGCTGGAGTGCAGTGGCACGATCCCAGCCTGCCTCCTGGGTTCAAGCGATTCTCCTGCCTCAGCCTCCCGAGTAGCTGGGATTACAGGCGCCTGCCACTGCACCTGCTAATTTTTGTAGTTTTAGTAGAGACGGGGTTTCACCATCTTGGCCAGGCTGGTCTTGAACTCCTGACCTCGTGATTTACCCACCTCGGCCTCCCCAAGTGCTGGGATTATAGGCGTGAGCCACCGCGCCCGGCCACAAATGCATGTTTCTATGCATGTATGTACAAACAAAATATCACAAAATGTTAACAATTGTTGAATTTACAGTGGTGGGCACATAGATCATCATTGTCCTATTTTGACTTTTCTTAATATTTGAAAATTTTCTTAATAAAAAGCTGGAGTTGAAACAAGGAAATGACTGACAGCAAGGCAGTCTTACTATTATAACTACAGGGTTTCTAAAACATGAACTGTAAATAACAAACTGAACCTAATGCCGACTTTTCCTAAAATGGGACCCTGCATAAAATTCAAATTTTCATATATAAACAGCAATGGACCGGGCACGGTGGCTCACGCCTGTAGTCCTAACACTTTGGGAGGCCGAGGCAGGCGGATCACTTTAGGTGAAGAGTTCGAGACTAGCCTGGCCAACATGATGAAACCTCTTCTCTGCTGAAAATACAAAAATTAGCCAGGCGTTGTGGCGGGTGCCTGTAATCCCAGCTACTCTGGAGGCTGAGGCAGGAGAATCGCTTGAACCCAGGAGGTGGAGGCTGCAGTGAGCCGAGATTGCGCCACCGCACTCCAGCCTGGGCGACAGAGCGAGACTCTGTCTCAAAAACAAACAAACAAACGAACAAACCAAGCAATAAAGCCCTTAGGAATAAGTACTGAAAACATCAGTTAGCTTCACTAAACTAGCTTAGTATATTAAATATAGGCAAGGAGATGGTGCAACTGCCATCAGAATCGAAAATTTGGTTTAATGCTGACCTTTAACATTTCAAAGGTAGGTGTAATGTACAATTGTGAAACTATGAAACCATTATAAAATTCTTTCTGAAGAACCACAGTAAATAGCATAAATTCCATAGGACAAAGCCAAACATCCTGAAAACACTTACTGATCATTCTTCCAAAAATATATTACTGAGCATAATACTTAAATTGATAAATCTGGAAACTTGGGTTCCACTTGAATAACTAAGAGATACAGTATAGTAATTTAGGTTGAATGGTTATATTATATAAATCAATAAAGTTATAATGAATATGTACATTATGACTATGCTGTACTTAAAAGCTCAACCAAAGATGGAACTCGCTCACTTGTACATTCCAAAGCCAAAGCTCAGAGCAGTCATCTGGGCCACAAGCAACAAGATAGTTGTCATCTGGACTCCATGCAATATAAGAAACGCCATAAGCATGTCCTTCTAATGTTTTAAGCAGTTTTAGCAGGTGTGTATCCTGGGAGGGAAAATAAACAATTCAGTTAACCCCTATCACTAAAGTCATTGTTTCCCAATGTAAGAACTTAAATAGCTACAAAGATGTACTTTGATAATTTAATCTGAGGAAATTTTCAGACCAATTTTCCCTTTAACAGCTTGCTTCATAAAGACTCATTCACATTGCAACATCTATTAAGCATCTACTACACTATTAGGCATCTACTATATACAAGTCATTGTGTACTTGATGAAAATATAAAGATATATTAACATTTTTAATATATGTATAAAGATATATTGAATTTGACCTTAGAAAGCTTTCAAGGCAACTGAAAACAGATGGGTATAATAAGAGCTATCTCTTACATATTTTTAAACAACTTGAGATATAACTTACCATAAAATTCATCCTTTTAAAGTATACAACTCAGTATATTTTAGTATATTCAGAGTTGTGCAACCATCACACCATCTAATTTTTAGAACATTCTCATCATTTCCCAAAGAAACCTCCTACCCATCAGCAGCTGCCATACCCCTCCCTGCAGCCCCTGGCAACCACTACTTTCTGTCTCTGTCTCTATAGATTTGCCTATTCTGGACGTTTCACATAAATAGGCTTATACATGATGTGGTCTCTTTTAATTGGCTTCTTTCAGTTAGCATGTTTTCAGGGTTCATCCGTGTTATAGAATGTATTAGTATTTAATCTCTTTTTATTGCTGAATAATATTTAACAGTATAATTATTTTGTTTATCCATTCATGAGGTGATGAACATTTGGACTGTTTCTCTACTTTTTGGCTATTATGAATAATGCTGTTATGAATATGTATGAGTTTTTGTGTAGACATATGTTTCCATTTCTCTTGGGTATATACATAGGAGTGGAATTTCTGGGTCGTATGCTAACTCTGTTTAACATTTTGAGAAACTGCCAAACTGTTTTCCAAGTGGTTGCACCATTTTACAATCCTACCAGCAAAGCTACCACTTATTAATGCTAACCACTACTAGCACTATTCATAAACAATACTTCATTTAATTCTCACAAATCTAGAATATTACCCCCTCTCATATTATAGGGAAAGAAACGAAAGTTTAGAAAGGTTAGAAACATGCCTGTTTGTAGTGCAATGGGGATTTGAATCTGGGCTGCCTCACTTAAAAGCCCATATTGTATGCTATGCAAGCTGAACTGTGAAGTGCAAATGTAGACGTGGCAAGTGACAAGGCTGCAAGAGTTGACATGTTTGTTGTAGGCTAAGGGGTTACATTTTCCCTGTGTGTGAAAAGCCACTTAAAATTTGTAAGCTAGGGAATATACAGTGTGATATTTGGCTTTAGGAAGAGAACTAGGATAACAATGTGGAAGATGAATCAGAAAGACACAGGATAAGGCAACCATAAAGGGACAATGGAACCATAATGAGCCATACATAGTTCACAGTCAGTTCCCAAAAAATGAGGCCCTAACGTAAGATGTTAAGGACTAAAAGAGGTCAGAATCAAAAGATATTTTGGGCTGGACACTATGGCTCATGCCCATACTTTGAGAGGCTGAGGCTGGAGGACTGCTTGAGTCCAGGAGTTCAAGACCGACCTGGACAACATAGGGAGATCCCTGTTATAAAAAGAAAAAAAGATATTGTGGAGATAAAAATGACATGACAGAAAATAACAAAAAATCTTCAAAGACAACCTCCAGATTTCTGGTTTAGGGGATAGGGATGGATGTTTACAAGAAATAGAGGAAGTAAGAATTTGACTAAAGGTGGGAAGAAACAGTAAGTTTTAGACTTTAGTCTTAAGATTTATTGAGTTTAGCTTTGAGCCTGGGGGGATGGGGGGGAAATTCCAATGGGATGACCCACCAGCAGTTGAAAAAAGTTGGGAACTAGTCTGATAAAATTAGGTTGGAGATTCCTCCCCTCCTAAGAAATGTCATTGCAAAATGGATTATGTTTACACTATTGTTTCTTCACTGAACCCTAAGTTTATCATTCATACAATTATCTAGTCCAAATCACCATTGTTTTGATAAAATTGAATAGTTAACAATGCGACTACTTCTGATTCTTCTTTGGGAAGTGGGTAAGAGGTATTTGTATTAGATCAGCAATATCATTAGGTCAAAATGGTTTAAATAATTTACTAAGCAAGTCAAGTCTTCCTGACTAGCTCAAGATCTTCCAGGAACAAATTTTCATTCACAGTACTGCCCCAGATCAACACAAAGATTTGCTTTTAAACTGAAGACAAACTCCTTTAGAAATATTTAACTCAGCCAGGTGTGGTGGCTCATGCCTGTAATCCCAGCACTTTGGGAGGTTGAAGCAGGCGAACAGCTTGAGGTCAGGAGTTTCAGACCAGCCTGGCCAATGTGGTGAAACCCTGTCTCTACTAAAAATACAAAAATTAGCCGGGTGTGGTGGTGGGTGCCTGTAATCCCAGCTGCTCGGGAGGCTGAGGCAGGAGAATTGCTTGAACCCGGGAGGTGAAGGTTACAGTGAGCCAAGATTGCGCCACTGCACTCCAGCCTGGGCGACACAGCGAGACTCTGTCTTTAAAAAAAAAAAAAAAAAAAAAAAAAAAAAATATATATATATATATATATAACTCAAAAACTTTTATGTACATGAATGAAAAAAATATAATCCTATAAAAGATAAAGTTGAAAACAAAAACAATACTATATCTTCATTAGCACAGTGCCTTTATACTAATTTATTCAAAGTGGAAATAACATGTTTGTGGAGCCTATATGACCTTGCTTGGATTCTGCGGGGAATGGGTAAAATTCATCTTTTTTAGGCAAAGAAAAACTGTTAAAGGAAAGTAGGCATTGGAATCACATCAACTCAAATTTTAAGGCTCTCTTAAATGTACTTTTTTCTCTCCATTAAAACACACACACACGTTCAAAAAGGGCATATATATATATATACATATATAAATTTTTTTTTTTTTTTGAGATGGAGTCTTGCTCTGTCGCCTAGGCTGGAGTGCAGTGGCGCAATCTCAATTCATTGCACCCTCCGCCTCCCAGGTTCAAGCAATTCTCCTGCCTCAGCCTCCAAAGTAGCTGGGACTACAGGCACGCACTACCATGCCAGACTAATTTTTTTTATTTTTACTAGAGATGGGGTTTCACCATGTTGGCCAGGTTGGCTTGAACTTCTGACCTCAGGTGACTCACCTGCCTCGGCCTTCCAAAGTGCTGAGATTACAGCGGTAAGCCACCGCACCCGGCCAAAAAGAACACATATTTTCTTATAATTTTTTCAGACAGTATTTGACATAACAAAAATACCATCATACCAAAAGAACCAAACAGTCCCAGAGGACTCACTATAATACAGCTATCTAAAAATTACAGTCTCTAAAAGTCTCTCTGTTTCATATTGGAATGTAAGCATTAACTCTGCATTTCCCAAGCTAATCTGGCAACAAAAGCCCTTTACATGTAACACCTATTAATTCTGCATACCCATTATTCCTGCAAAAACACTCTGGGAAACACTGGCATAAGAGTCTAAACTTCTTAGCAAAGAATACAAAAGCTCCTCCTTGATCTGGCTGCTATTTAATTAACCTCAACTCTAGTCTACCTAAAACTCTTCCCCCAAACCACCTAAATGCCATGTTACGTTTTCTTTTGCCCAAGGGCCTATCCTAACTAGTTTTGCCTAAATAGTTCTTTACCTCTTCTTCACCTAATATTTACTTTTCTTACTTTCCCTAGCTTTGCTGTTCCAGTAGGCTCTCTTTGATGAGCTCCTGTAGCACCCACTATAAATTACGGTGTATTATCATGTGCTTAGTCTGTCTACAGCAAAAGACCTGGCACACAACAGGTGTTTAATAAATACTGGCTAAATGAAGGGGATTCTTATACACTGCTACTAGGAAAAACTAATAAAGCACAGTTTTGGTATTACTACCTTCTTTTTCATATATCATGCAAATAAATGACTGGTGAATGAAAACAGAACTCAGAATAGTATGCAAAGGCTATGATTTGATCCCAAACTCTTTTTCTAGTCTAATCTCCCACTCTGCCATTACTCATCCCATTCTTTTTTTTTTTTTTTTTTTGGAGTTGGACAGGAGGGCAAGAGGTTTTTCTGTCTTCCTAGAATGCCACTTTCCTGTTGTCCACCTGTGTGATGCGCAGTAAGACTCTCAAGAGGTATTTCGACTTGTAAAGCTTCCCTGCGCTTTCATAATACTTTATGTATTATCTATTATGTATCATGCTTATTTCATTGAATTTTGTTTTCATTTAAACGGTACATTTTTTTCACAGGAATTTTAAACCTGAGATCTACAAGAATGGGTCCAGGGATAGAATCAGGGGTCTATGAATTTAAATGAGAAAAAGACACAACTCTATTATTATTAAACACAGCCTGAAATTTGGTGTTTCCTTCACTCTCAAATGCAGGCAATTAACAAGGTAGTATTAGGCAGTACTGGGTATATTAGTAATTACACAGGGTAGTATATTAGGTAGTGGTGGGTAGTATACTAGCTAGTATACTAAATTAGGTAGTATTAGGTGACTCCATTAACAAGAGAAATCTTACATCTTTTCATATCATATTATAGTTGTTGCAGATACTTTGAAATATTTATGCTCATCACTACTTCAAAATTCTGGTACTTATATCTGCTGCTAGAATTTATTATTTAATGCATTAATAAAGCATTAAATAAAAATAAAAAATGTTTTTGTACTATGTTAACTACATATCAATATAGTTGGCTTTCCTTAGTAATGAATACATAACATATATTTGGCCTTGCTATGTGCTTTGATTTATGCATTTAAACATATTCTGAGAAAGAGTCCATAGGTTTGCCAAACTGCCAAAGAGGTACGTGGTACCAAAAAAAGGTAAAGAACCACTGCTTTATGGTAAAGAATGTATCTTATTTACCTTTCATTGTTTGTAGCATACATAGGTATGCAAGAATTGGTGTATGCTCTCAAATTCACTTCTCTTCTAAAAAGAACTGTTAGGCTGGGAATGGCGACTCACGCCAGTAATCCCAGCACTTTGGGAGGTCGAGGTGGGCGATCAGCTGAGGTCAGGAATATGATACCAGCCTGGCCAACATGGTGAAACCCCGTCTCTACTTCAAAAATGAAAAAATTAGCTGGGCGTCGTGGTGCCTGCCTGTAGTCCCAGCTAGTTGGGAGGCTGAGGCATAAGAATCTCTTGAACCTGGGAGGTAGAGGTTGCAGTGAGCCAAGATTGCCCCACTGCACTACACCCTGGGGGACATAGTGAGATACTGTCTCAGAGAAAAAAAAAGAAAAGAAAAAAAAATTATTTCCATCTGTGGCTCCCTTTTTCTATTTTTCTCAACACGGGAGCCCAAAACTTTATCCTGAGCTAATAGCATATTTTAATTCTAAACTTCAAAGTAAGTTATTTGGCCGGACGTAGTGGCTCACGCCTGTAATCCCAGCACTTTGGGAGGCCGAGGAGGGCAGATCACCTGAGGTCAGGAGTTTGAGACCAGTCTGGCCAACATGGTGAAACCCCATCTCTACTAAAAATACAAAAATTAGCCAGGCGTGGTGGCAAGCGCTTGTAATCCCAGCTACTCGGGAGGCTGAGGCAGGAGAATCCCTTGAACCCAGGAGGTGGAGGTTGCAGTGAGCCAAGATCGCACCATTGCACTCCAGCCTGGGGGACAAGAGCGAGACTTTGTCTCAAAAAAAAAAAAAAAAAAAGAGGAAAAGAAAAGAAAAGAAAAGAAGTTTATTTTAGGTGAATGACTCCTAAACCAAATATAGTTCCTTAACCTATCCGGAGTCATGTGCTCCTTTGATCACTTGATAAATGTTCAATTAGTTGAAATAAATGAAAATACTTATTACCCACAACAAATCCATAGGTCATCTGGTTATAAACGAACACTTATCTGATTTTAGAGGGAACTTACAATTTTAAATCCAGAATAAAATACTTTTCATATATATCAATGGGAAAACAAAGGGGGAAAGGATTACACAACAAGGTCCACAAATTATACAAGATAATGATGGGCTTCAGAAGGCAAAAGAGTAATGAGTCTTTTCTAACTTGTGGTTGGGACAGAATGGACATTGTATTAATCTTTCTTTCTTTTTTTTTTTTTTTTTTTTGAGACAGGGTCTCACTCTGTTGCCCAGCCTTGAGTGTGCAGTATCAAGGTCACAGCTCACTGTAGCCTCCACCTCCCGGGCTCAAGTGATCCTCCCACTTCATCCTCTTGAATAGCTGGGACGACTGGTGTGTACCATCATGCCTGGCTAATTTTTTGTAGTGACAGACTCTCCTCTATGTTGTCCAGGCTGCTCTTGAACTCCTGAGCTCAAGTGATCCTCCTGCCTCGGCTTCCCAAAGTGCTGGGATTACAGGCATGAGCCACCGTGCCTGGCCTAATCTTTCAACCAAGTATTAACAAAGATATAAATTGGCAGATATGTTAATAGCAGTGGGTTTGGAGTCAAGGTATTCCGGGATTTGAGTCAAACTTTGTCACGTACTAGCTGTGAGAGTCAAAGCATTTAACTTCTACCTCAGTTTCCTCATCTGACTGCAGGAGATGTTAGCACCTCACAGAGTTTTTCAGAATATTAAATTAGATAATGCATACACAGATTTAACATTATTGTTAGCACATAAACACTCAACAATGTTGATAATATTAACTTACATATATTATCTATACAACACATGAAGATGTAAAAATGATAAAAAATGCTCTTAGAAAAGAATACTATTGATACATATATACTTAAAAATATGTAATCAATGAATTAGATTCAAAATTATCCCCTTTTGTAATATAAACACTCATATTGGGGTACATACCGGATCAACTTGCCATATGATAACTGTTGTATCTTTTGATCCTGTTGCTAGTTTAGTGCCATCATTAGAGAATTTACAGAACCACACTTCATTACAATGCTCCGTAAGTATCTGCTGCGTATAACATGGGAACTGCCTCCTAAAACAAAGAGGTCCACAAATTATTCTTTCAAAACAGATTAGAGTAATAATAATAAAAAAGGTTAAATAACTGACAAAACTTCTTTGAAGATCACATCACTAACTTTAAAAATAAGAAGTGAATGCATTTGTAAATCTTTTTTTTTTTTTTGAGACAGGGTCTCTCTGTTGCCCAGGCTCTGTACTGTTGTACAGTAGCACAATCATAGATCACTGTAGCCCTGACCGCCTGGGGTCAAGAGACTCTCCCACCTCAGCTTCCTGAGTAGCTGGGACCACAGACCTGTGACACCAGGCCCAGCTACATTTTTTTTTACTTGCTACTGGGGAGGCTGAGGGGGAAGTATTGCTTGAGCCTGGGAGTTAAGAGGCTGCAGTGAGTTATGACTGCACCACTGCACTCCAGCCTGGGTGATGGAGTGAGATCATTTCAAAAAACAAACAAACCAAAACCAAAATCAGAATAGGCTCCAGATAATGAGTTTAGGTCCTTCTCACTCACAAGCTTTAATGTCTTTGGCAAGTTATTTAACAACTCTTAGCCTGAGTTCCCACATCTACAAAAGGAGATTAGTATCTACCTAACAGGGTTCTTAGAATTCTTGTAAGAATTAGAAATACATTTAAAATTTCTGGAATGTAAGAGATACTCAAATGTGATTAATAATATTTGGGGGGATGCACAGGAGAAGTGCAATATATGGCAAGGAGTGCAGTAGTTAAGAGCAAAGCCTTAAGAATGGGAGCAGTAGTCTGACAGACTTAGATTTAAATCTTGGCTCAGTCACTTAGCTATGATTCTGAGATATTAAATTAACCTCTCTAAATCTCAATTTTTCCAACTATCAAACAAAGATTAAGGTATCTGCCTTACAGAATTCCTTACCCAAGGATGAAATAAGAGGAAGAGAAAATGACTATAAACCATTTAGACTGAATCTGACACTTAGCTAGTACCTCATAAATGGCAGCTAATATTATATATCAAGGGCAAAGCATTTTGTGATTTATGATCCGGTTTACCAACTTAAATGACTATTTTCATTAAGCACTCATTTAAAAAAAAATCATTCTTTTCCAACCTCTATATCAACTGTCCAACAGAACTTTCTGTGACAGTGGAAATGCTATATACCTGTGTTATCTAATATGGTAGCCCTCACTACAAGTGGCTATTGAACACTTGAAATGTGGCCAGTAAGCTGGAGGAACTTGATTTATTTAATTTGAATTATTTTACATTTGAATTTAAATGGACACATGTAGTTAGTGGCTACTGTTTAGACAGAACAGCTCTACCTTATAAATTCTCTGTATTATAAAAAACGTTATTTGAGTAGGCTGGGCATGGTGGCTCACACGTGTAATCCCAGCACTTTGGGAGGCCAAGGCAGACGGATCACCTGAGGTCAGGAGTTCAAGACTGGCCTGGCCAACATGGTGAAACCTCATCTCTACTAAAAATACAAAAATTAGTCGGGTGTGGTGACACATGCCTGTACTCTCAGCTACTCAAGAAGCTGAGGCAGGAGAATCGCTTGAATGTGGGAGGTGGAGGTTGCAGTGAGCCAAGATCATGCCACTCCACTCCAGCCTGGGTGACAGAGTGAGATAGTCTCAAACAACAACAACAACAAAAACCCCCCCCCCCAAAAAAAACGTTATTTAAACAATAATGGATACACCTTTAAGTGTATCTTGAAACACGGTCTTCCTTGCTTCTTTTCCCAATCAATAATTTAGAATTACATTTTGTCAATTCACCAGTCTGAAACAAAATATACATTTAAAAATAAATTAACATTCTTTATTTGGTACACATGGCAATCTACCTTAGCAGATGGGTATTTGCAGGCTGTTTTAAACTTTCAGATTTTTAAATTAAATTGCTTTAATATTACTACTATACATGTGTGATTTTAGATAAAATAATCAATACTAGCTGACATTTATTAAGCAATTACTAGGTGCCAAATGCTGCTTTAGACACTTCACATATAATATTGCTCATGGAAGTACTATTATCCCCATTTTCATGAGGCTCAAAGAGGACAAATAATTTACCAGATGTTATAAAACTGATAAGTAATTGTACTAAGATTTGGACCTATGGTTGACTCCAAGACCAGTTTTCTTTCCAAATACCATTTTAAAATCATATTTTTCAAGGCACTGCTGGACAAAATTCCAATCAAATAAGCAATTTCAGTATCAGAAATAGTTTTTTCCTCCTCTAATGTTTATCTTTATTTGTTTTTTTGAGATGGAGTCTCGCTCTGTTGTTCAGGATGGAGTGCAGTGGTGCGATCTCTGCTCACTGCAACCTCCACCTCCTGGGTTCAAGTGATTCTCCTGCCTCAGCCTCCCCAGCAGCTGGGATTACAGGTGCGCACCACTACACCTGGCTGATTTTTTTGTATTTTTAGTAGAGACAGGGTTTCATCAAGTTGGCCAGGCTGGTCTCGAACTCCTGACCTCACGTGATCCAGCCACTTTGGCCTCTCAAAGTGCTGGGATTACAGGCGTGAGCCACCACGCCCGGCCTGTTTTTTTTTTTGAGACTGAGTTTCGCTTGTTGCCCAGGCTGGAATGCAGTGGCACGATCTCGGCTCACTGCAATCTCTACCTCCCGGGTTCAAGCAATTCTCCTGCTTCAGCCTCCCCAGCAGCTGGGATTACAGGCACCCACCACCACACCCGGCTAATTTTTGTATTTTTAGTAGAGGCAGGGTCTTGCCATGTTGCCCAGGCTGGTCTCAAACTCCTGGGCTCAAGTGATCTCCCCACCTCGGCCTCCCAAAGTGCTGGGATTACAGGTGTGAGCCACCATGCCCTGCCTAGAAATTGTATACAATCTAATAAACCTTTTCAATGTACATCAGGATTTTTTATTCAGAATAATTCATTTTAATCAGAATAATTTTAATCAGAATAATTCATTTATTCATAATTCTTTATTCTCCAGAAAAAAGCGGGTATTTAATTTCAAAGCTAAGATTTAATTTCCGAAAATAGTTTTCTAGTTCCAATGCTAAAATCTAGTTTCTAAAAGAGTAAAGAAAGTAATAAAAATTAGCAACTTTTCTTTTGAAGACTTTTAGATAAATAATAGGAATTAAATTTAGGTTCAGACCCAGCATGGTTGCTCATACCTGTAACCCTAGCACTTTGGAAGGACAAGGTGGGAGGATCACCTGAGGCCAGGAGTTTGAGATTGGCCTGGGCAACACAGTGAGCAACCCCATCTCCAAAAAAAAGAAACCACAAAACAACAACGAAAACACAAAAACAAAGCAAAAAAGTTTTTTTTGAAATTAGCTGTGTGGTGGTCCACACCTGAAGCCCCAGCTGCTCAGGCTGAGACGGGAGTTCAAGGCTGCTGTGAACTATAATTGCACCACTGCACTCCAACTTGGGCTACAGGGCAAGATCATGTGTTGAATAAAAACTTTTTTTAATTAAAAAATAACTAAGTAAATTCAGGTTCTATTTTTGCAGTTTAGCAATAAAGGGCATAACTCACTCTCAAGACTGTGTATATAACGTAATGTCTGACATTATTCTCTTAGTGACTTTAAAATCTCTACAGTAAAAAGCTAAGGCTGACTCCAAGTTTTCTGGTTTGGGAAAACTGGGTAGATGGTTGCTTTTCACTGAGGTAGGGAATTTAAGAAAAAGCAGATTTTGCAAAAATAGGTGAGAGGGAAAGGAAGTTCTGTTTCGGACATGCTGTGTTTAATGTACTTGAGAACCCAAATTGTGGCATTAAGGTCTAAGGCTCAGGAGATAAATTCTGTAGCTCTGGCCTGTATCTAGTTGTCATTAGAACCATGGAAGTATAACTAAGGATGAGGGAAGAAACAATTCTGGAACACGTATTTCTTTCTTTTTTTTTTTTTTTTTTTTTTTTTGAGACGGAGTCTTGCTCTGTCGCCCAAGCTGGAGTGCAGTGGCGTGATCTCTGCTCACTGCAACCTCTGCCTCCCAGGTTCAAGTGATTCTCCTGCCTCAGCCTCCTGAGTAGCTGGGACTACAGGCGTGTGCCGCCATGCCCGGCTATTTTTTTTGTATTTTTAGTAGAGACAGGGTTACACCATTTTAGCCAGGATGGTCTTGATCTCCCGACCTCGTGATCCACTCGCCTCGGCCCCCCAAATACTGGGATTACAGGCGTGAGCCACTGCACCCGGCCTGGAACATGTATTTCTTAAAGGGACAGGTAAAGAAGAAGAGCCTAAGGAGTAGCCAGGAGTTAAACTAAGAATCTAGAATGTTTTAGAAGTCAAAGGAAAAGTTTCAAAGTAAAGTAGTACAGTGCTATAGTAAGGTGAAGATATAGGCTGGAAAATATCCACTGAATGTGAAAGAGGTATTCTCACCAACATCTACAATTCTGGTATTATGTTAGCTACACAGGTCCTAATACTAAAGAAATATGAAGAGTGAAGGAAAAGTAAGGACAAAGACATTGCGAATGTGTAGTAGGCAATGATTTCAAGAAGTCAGCTCTAAAGTGGAGGGGGAGAGAGAAAGAGAGGTAAGTAGGAGCATAGAGTGAAGGTTTTGTTTTAAGATTACAGAGAAGACCTTCTAATCAGTGGTTATTTCAGAAGAAAAAGGATGCTTTCATTCCTCTGTAAAACTCTGAACTGCTTTTTTCTTTCTTTTTTTTTTTTCTGAGATGAAGTCTCACTCTGTCGCCCAGGCTAGAGTGCAGTGGTGTGATCTCAGCTCATTGCAAGCTCCGCCTCCTGGGTTCACACCATTCTCCTGCCTCAGCCTCCCGAGTAGCTGGGACTACAGGCGCCTGCCACCACGCCCGGCTAATTTTTGTATTTTTAGAAGAGACAGGGTTTCACCATGTTAGCCAGGATGGTCTCAATCTCCTGACCTCGTGATCCACCCACCTCAGCCTCCCATAGTGCTGGGATTACAGGCGTGAGCCACCACACCCAGCCTGGACTGCTTTTCTACACAGGCTTATGAGAGCTTGGTCCCTGACCTGAGGGTTGGAAAAAGTTAGATTAAGTATTTTTCATCACTTAGTTTCATAGGTACTGATGTAGATGTTAAAACACTTTGGTCATGTTCCCATAGATTCCAGTTTCCAAACAGGAGGGCAAGCTCTTAACGTACTGATACCTCTTGAACCATTATGTCTAGTCACAACCTTTCAAAATATTTAAATTTATGAACCAAAAAAAGATTTGGGTTCACAAGCGTCTTAATTTTAACACTGTTCTCAAATCTGCGAATGGAGCTATGAACCATGAAACTATATAGTCTTTTAATCTATTATCTCTTCCTATTGCTATTCAATTTTATACAAAAAGATTTTTAAATCCTCAGAAGCAGGTCAATGAACATTATTAAAGAGTTTAAAAGGGATAGGGGAAAAAATTTCTAATCACTTCCTTGTAGAATATTTAAGATATGTACCAAGTAATAATCTAATATTTTAAGATAAAGTAAGGCCAATATCTCAAACAATTATTATTTTTGTACTTCAAGTAGGGAGAGTGAGGTTAAAAACTCAATAGGTACAAAAGTGGTTTATACACATGTAAAAAATTATTTTATATCACAGTAGAGATATGCATATATAGACAATTTTTACGGTTATTCAGAAGTTCCTCGTTATTCCAAAGTCCTCATACTTAATATGTTTTTGTCCTTATTTATGTTACTTTCATTAGTTCTTTGATATCACTGGTAAAAGCAACTGAGCACATGCATTGCAGCTATTCTCTATTCTCCTTTTTGTTTGGTTCACCAGATTCAAATTATTTCATTCTTGAAGTCTGAAATATTTCACAATTTGTTATTCGATATCTTAAAATTAAAGCTATGCTTTAGGCCCAGCATGGAGGCTCACGCCTGTAATCCCAGTGCTTTGGGAGGCCAAGGCAGAAGTATCGATTGCTTGAGACCAGAAGTTCAAGACCAGCTGGGGCAAGAGACCCCATCTCTACAAAAAAACTTAAGAATTAGCCAGGCATGGTAGTGCATGCCTATATAGTCCTAGCTACTCAGAAGGCTGAGGTGAGTGGATCACTTGAGCCTAAGGCTATATAGTAGCCTATGATCATGCCACTGCACTCTATCCTGGGCAACAGAGAGGCTGTGTCTAAAAAAGAAACCAACAAAAACATCAAGAACAAAATAAAGCTATACTTTAATTTTAGAGACCATTAAAATAGTAGGTATATTTTTACTCAAAATACTCCTAATGTCGAAAGAGAAGCCTGAATTCTTACAAGTTAAATTATGGACATGGGTACACATGGTAAAAAAAACCCAAACCATAAGTTAATAGCTGTTGTTCTAGCCATTTTTAGAGCCTGTCTTCTACTAAAAAGCAGAACTTTCATTAAGAAAAAAGTATTACCATGATCTTTATGTGCAGTAAATAATTTGGGACATAGTTAAATTGTCAGACACAGGAAACAAGTAACCAAACCTATAGATAACGAAAAACTGGCTTCCCAACTTCAGTTCTCAAGGTATGGTTACTAAGTAAACATACAGAAATTTCTCATAATTTTCAATTTTCATAGTTCCAGCTTTACTCGTGAACAAATGCTAAATCAGACATGAACTGTTATATAGCTACAGGATAAGACTCTAAAAAAGAAAACTAAAATTTTGTAAAATGTTAGGCTGTTTCAGAATATAGGAAGTTTTCCTCTTACCTACTACAAACATGGTCTATAAGCAGAGACACAGAATCTAGATTATTATCAAGTTTGGTATTGTGATATAGGCACCGATCCCTTTGTAGTTCCACCGCCTGCCGCAGGAGAGTCTGTAAACGCCGTGGGGGAAGCATCACTGATGGTGGTAAATAGGCTTTAATAGAAGATATTTTAAAAAAGAGAAATAATAATAAACTGTAAACTTTTATTTAAGACATTTGCTCATCTTCTGCTGTACTTGTTCCTACCCCAATAGTATCTATTCCTTAAATAGAGAAGTTCTGCGTTATGCGATACGTGAGCTTTACGAATATTTGTCAGCAGCAATAGCTATGCTGCTCATAAAATTGGATATATTTGGTGGGAGGGGTTTACTTTATATGTGGATTTTCTAGGGGCAGGGAGGATAAGTGAGGAATAACAACAACAAAATGAAGAAAAAGAAGACAACAATGAAAAGAATATTAGATATTATTGTGTACCAGGAGACCAGGTGTAAGTAAAATCTCCACTTAACAAATAGCAAAATTTTGGCAAATGTTGCAATAGGTTAAGTTCTAGTTCCCATCAAACTGCTCTAAAAATCGCCTCTTGGCCTTTTGGCTAAGATCAAGTACAAATTGCTCCAAATGCCAAAGATACTGTGTGAATTCAGGGAGTAACTGGTGTTTTGATATCCATACCAACCTACTGCAATCCTTGAATCCCTTATACCTCCCCAACTGCACGGCTTTGTGATTCTTAGGATCGTCACTGTCATTTCAACATCAAAATTATAGAATCATATAATTTTCAGAGAGAACATCTTTTACATAAAAATACAGCAAAAATGAAACCTGCATTACAATCTAGAATAAACATAACATGGTTGGGGAAGAATAAAACAATTTACCTAAAGAAACCTGGACCTTACTATTGAAATCAACAAAATCTTTAAAGCACTTGTGACTTAAAACTGTGGTTTACATATTTTTTTCTCTTAACACAGTACTTTTCCCCCAAACAAAATCTTAAGGGGGAACATCATCACATAATACAAATGAAAGAAGGGCTGC
Source organism: Homo sapiens (assembly GCF_000001405.40). Taxonomy (NCBI): domain Eukaryota; kingdom Metazoa; phylum Chordata; class Mammalia; order Primates; family Hominidae; genus Homo; species Homo sapiens. Next base: position 224,419,318 of record NC_000001.11, read on the forward strand.
TCTGGAACCAGTGCCCTTTCACTGACTCCTGAGGTTAGCTTCTTAGACTCCATGACAGAGTCTGAAAAACTGGATTCTCCCTCTTCTAAGCACTCAATAAAAGTATGTCCAGATATTCCCCATCTGTCTTCCTAATTGATCACTGTATCCATTTGTAATCTAAGAGAAAACACAGCAACATAAAAAATTAAGACTCTTACTCTGAAGTTTATCCAATAGTTTAGATCGGGAAGCTGTCCCTTTGCCTTCCCATTCTGCTTTTGCACGTAGGTCTTCTGCATGGCTACACATCAGATACCTAAAAATACAACAGAGAAAGCAACCAATATTAAACCCATTTCTTTGTAATAAATGTAATTGAAAAGTACTGACCATCTGGCTATCTGCTTCTTACTAATACATGTCAAGAAATTTCTACAGTGGACTCAATTCATTAATATAATATGGCACCTGCATATAATTACTAAAATGTAAAGTAACAATACCTATATATATATTACCTATTAACAGAACAAATTCTTATGTTATTGTTATATATTATATATATGGCTCTTATTGTGCAGGTTCTAGCACTCAACACATATTACTTCCTTTAATGTTTATAACAACCCTGTAAGCACTATTATTATTCTATTTTTATAAATGAGGAAACCAAGGCACAGAAAGCTTAAGTAACTGGCCTAGGGTTAAGAGGCTAAGTAGGTATATAAACTCAGGCATTCCAGCTGTAGAACTTGCTCTTAACCACTAGGCTAACTTAACTACTTCTGAATAGTAAAATAAAACTCAAAGAACATATCTTCAAGACTTTATAATAAACATCATTCAAAAAATAGTATAACTGGATAATCATCCTTGTGTCATCTTGTGAAAGATACTGAGATCCCAGAGCACAAAACTGGGGAACTGTTTTATTGCTCACTGTATGTACAGAAGGTGGGATAAATGCTAAAGTTCACAGATTCTGGAGAATACATGAGGGGCCCCTGCTGGGAGTGTGACCCTGACCTGGTTTTGGTTCTTCTCAGAAGAATGGGCTTTGAAAGTAAAAGAAGTGAAGGTATTATTCAAACATGGAGATTAGACCTGGCAAGTAACTCTCCTGCTATTCTGTCTCATGCTCTGCCAGACAAATCTGTTTCTCTCACTTGTAAAAAGAATATTAAATAGGGTAATGAGGATTCTTGAAGATGAAGCATTTTAAGTACTTAGTCTACGACCTGCTATACCTCTCAGTTAACATGAGTATCATCACTCCCTCCCTTTCTTAACTGCATAAAGCATATTTCATTTAGAATCTAAATGATTTAATAGTCTCTTCCCAAACAGCAGAACTACTTTTCCTCTTGATTTTTAGTACATAAATAGTGCTTTAACTGATCAAAAAAACTTATTTAATAATGTAAGTAATTATACTCAAAAACGCTATAGGAAGTTAGCTATTGTGTTTTTTTGTATTTTTAGTAGAGACAGGGTTTCACCATGTTAGCCAGGATGGTCTTGATCTCCTGACCTCGTGATCCGCCCGCCTCGGCCTCCCAAAGTGCTGAGATTACAGGCGTGTGCCACCGTGCCCAGCCAGAAGTTGGCCATTGTGAATATTTTGTTTCTAAAACAACTTTTTTTGGGCAAAGTTTATTATCAATAATTATATTTTAAAATGTTCATTTTTAAAATTTTACAAAAGTGACTTAGAATTGCTTCTATGTCCTTGTGAAAATACATATTAAATCTTAAAGTTTTAAATGAATTTCTGTTTACAGAAAGTCACATGGTACAACTAAAAGGACATTGGACTGAGAAGGAGAAACCCTGGGTTCTGATCCCAGTTCCACATCTCACCACCTTTGGGCCATTTCCTTAGGTGAAAAACTCATGGTGTGCTTCAGAATAAAACCCATATGACTAATTATATGTTCTGACACAAGAGCAGGAAAAAAATCATCATGTGAATGATATTCCGATGACAAAGAAATCAGATACCGCATTAAAAAGGTAATCAGCACGCCTGTAATCCCAGCACTTTGGGAGATGAGGCAGGAGGATCACCTGAGGTCAGGAGTCCGAGACTAGCCTGGCCAACATGGCGAAACCCCGTCTCTACTAAAAATACAGAAAAAAAATTAACTGGGCGTGGTGGTGCATGCCTGTAATCCCAGCTACTTGGGAGGCTGAGGCAGGAGAATTGCTTGAACCCAGGAGGTGGAGGTTGCAGTGAGCCGAGATTGCGCCACTACACTGCAGCATGGATAATGGAGAGAGACTCTGTCTCAAAAAAAAAGGTAATCGGAACAAGAAATTTGTCAGCTACCATATCAAAACATCTAGCAGGCCAGGTGTGGTGGCTTGTGCCTGTAAACCTAGCACTTTGGGAAGCCAAGGTGGGAGGACTGCTTGAGCACAGGAGTTCAAGACCAGTCTAAGCAACATAGCCAGACTCCATCTCAAACAACAAGAAAAAAACCTGTAGAATTTATTGTTTCAAGATGTGGTAGTGGGTAAGACCAATGACTTTGGAATCAGTCAAACCAGGCTTTGAGTCCTGCTTTCTGAATTATTAGCTTTATATTGTGCTGGCTACTTAACTTCTTTGAGGCTCAGTTTCCTTATCTGCAAGGAATGGGCCCTTATCTTGGGCCCATTCTTTTGTCCATCATTTTGTATTTACAAACTCGTGTGTCACATATTTGTTCTCGATGCTGGAGCCATATCATATAGTGAAAAATGCTATAAAGAAAAAACATAAAAACAGAGTGATGTCACGAGAATACCCAGTGGGTAATCTTGGGAGATGATGATGCTTGGGCTGGGAGCTGAGCAAGGAGTACCCAGCTATGCAAAGACTGGGGGACATACATTTCAGATGGAGGGGACAAGCAGTGCAAATGCCTTAAGGGGTGGCAAGTTAAGGAACAGAAAGAGCATGAGTGTCACTAGAGTAATGAATAAAGAAAAAGATGGCAGAAAAGGATCAGGGATTTTGTGGCCTTGCACAGAGATTTTGGGTTTTAAGACTGCTGGAGAGCCAGTGGCAAGGGAGTAAAGACTTCATTTATGGTTTTGCTTACTTGTCTGGCTGCTGTGTGAAATATGCATTGTTAAGAAATTAAGAGTGAAGCCTGGTACAGTGGCTCACGCCTATAATCCCAGCACTTTGGAAGGCTGAGGCAGGTGGATCACCTGAGGTCAGAAGTTCGAGACCAGCCTGGCCAATGTGGTGAGACCCCATCTCTACTAAAAATACAAAATTAGCCGGGTGTGGTGGCGCATGCCTATAATCCCAGCTACTCAGGAGGCAAGGCTGAAGCATCACTTGAACCCAGGAGGCGAAGGCTGCAGTGAGCTGAGATTGCACCATTGCACCCCAGCCTGGGTGACAATAGTGAAACTCTGTCTCAAAAAAAAAAAAGGAAAGAAATTAAGAGTGAAGACAATGTAACTAGGTGGGAAGCTACTATAATATTCTAGGAGAGATGTCCATGGCTTAACTAGGCTAGAAACTGTGGAGATTCAGAGAAATGAAAATTTTATATTTTTTAGAATTAGGCCATACATGTCAAAGTTAAAAGACAAAGAAAAAGCAATATGAGGCTTAAGTTCTTCCCTTAAGCAACTGGGTTGAAGATCTTGCGATATACTGGAAGTGGCACAGGTCTGTAGAGGTTAAATTTATTCCTAAATTATTCTTTTTTATACTAGTGTAAATAAAACTGTTTTCTTAATTCCATTTTCTGAATTATTCATTGCTAGATTATAGAAATACCATTATTCTTGTGTATTGACCTTGTATCCTACAACCTTGCTGAACTTGCCTATTAGTTCTAAGAGTTTTTTAGTGGATTCCTTAAATTTTCTTTATATAAAATCATGACATCTTTGAACAGAGATAGTTTTTCCTTTTCAATCTTTTATTCCTTTTTCTTGCCTAATTTCCTTGGCTAGAACCTCCAATACAATGTTGAACAGACGTAGCAAGAGTAGACATCATTGTCCTATTCTTGATCACAAGAAGAGAGGTTTCAGTCTTTCACTGCCAGCCCTGTGAGTTTTCATTAATGCCCTTTATTCGGTCAAGGAAGTTCCTTTCTATTCCTAGTTTGTTGAGTGCATTTATCATGAAGGGGTGAATCCAGAATTTTGTTTTGAGGCTGGGTGCAGTGGCTCATGCCTATTAACCCAGCACCTTGGGAGGCCGAAGCAGGTGGATTGCTTAAGGTTAGGAGGAGTTCAAGGCCAGCCTGGGCAACATAGCGAGACCTGTCTCTACAAAAAATGAAAAAATTAGCCACATGTGGTGGTACATGCCTGAAATCCTACCTACTTAGGAGGGTGAGGCAGGAGGATGGCTTGAGCCCAGAAACTAGAGGTGGCAGTGATCTATGATTGTGCCACTGCACACCAGCCTCATACAACTGAGACATCTATTAAACATCCAAGTGGAGAATGTCAGGTATGCCAGTAGATATACATATTGGGAGTTCAGATGAGAAGCTAAATTTAAGAGCCACTGGTATACAGATAGTATGTGAAGGCATGGTATAGAATGAGATTACCTAAAAAGAGTATGTAGATAGAGAATAAAGAGGCCCAGGATCAAACCTTTGGGTACTCTAACATTTTAAGGATTAATGTGGCGAGGTACAGTGACTCATGCCTGTAATCCCTGCACTCTGGGAAGATCACAGGAGTTTGAGATCACACTGGACAACACTGTAAGACCCTGTCTCTACCCTTCACCCCCCAAAAAAGGACTGATGTTGATGTGAGGATTAAATGAGGCTGTTTATGTGAAAAGCTTAGCAAGGGCCTGGCACATGACAAGTATTCACTTAAAAAAGTTAGTGTGCACCAATACTGGAAATGTCATTGTTTACTGTGATCCATATCATATGATTTTTATTTTGTTTTTAACTACAAAAGCTGTCCTTGGAATGTAATAGGGTTTTCATAGAACATTCTAAAATAGCATTTCACAGGCAATACATATTTTCTTCTCCCTTTCACCCACTTAAATATATCTCTATCCTAATCTGAACAGTTTCCTAGAATGACCAAAATAGTTGATCCACACAGGAGTGAGTTTACCTAGACAAATATCTAAGAATTTAGCAATAATCAAGATTTTATATTTTGGAAAAATGTTAAAGAAATATAACTTTGGCCCTCCATTAACCTGAGTTCAAGAACTCAGTTTCCTTACCCACTAAGAACATGAATGCGCTCTGTATTGTATTTCAGCGGCGTCAATTCACAGCGTAGAACTTGAAGTGCCTCCAGGACCTTGCCATCCTCCAGGTATTCTAGGTACTTCTGCTGCAGCAGCAAAAACTTCATCCTCTGACATGACAGAAAGCAGCAGTCAGGGGAAAAAAGTTGATGGAAGTTTCAGAAAATGTTTGTGCCTAAACAGAACAGTAGAAACCATTCTACTATGCCCTTTGAAATAACTTTTTATAAAGCTTCAAGATGACTCAAAATATTTTAGTTTAGTAGAGCCACAGTAGATTAAATGTGACTTTGCTCAATTCCACATCTTACTAAAACTCTGCTTTGAACAAATAATCTCAAATCAGACTAGATCATTAGTGACTGAGGCATCAGCCTTGGAAAAAATGAATTCTCCTCTCAAAGCAATCTCCTACAATTGTAGTTCTTGTATAAAAATTTAGAACTATTCCAAGTACTTGAAATTTGCTTTTTAAGAAGTATGACTTTATAACTAGGGCACTGGGGGGTTTTATGCAACAAGTTTTGAAAAGATTAGAGAAAAAAATAGCAAATGAACTATTTAAGTCACAATGTGAAAGAGGGAATAAGTAGACCAGAAATCAGAACTAGACACACTCAGGAGAAGGAGAAAAGTATATTTTGGCTTATCAAAAGTTAAGAGCTGTCCAACAAATGTACTACAAGTTGGTGTGCAAAGTATTGAATTTCCTACAACTAACGTGGACAAGCATAAGCTTGATGCACTCACTCTCTTCTAGGCGGCTATTAAGGGATGTCTACGTTAGATGGTTGAACTTAAAGGTTTTTAAAAAGATTCAATATTTGTACTTGTGTATTTCTGACAATCTGATCACTGATGCATTTAAAAGTGAAGCACAGGAAATTATTATTCGCTCTTTTCTCCCCTAAACCAATAAACCACTTTCCAGCTGTGAGACACTTTCACATTTAGTTTTTTCCTGAACTGTGTTTTTGACTTTAATACTTTTAAATGCTACTTTATTATTTTACTTTTAACTTGAAACCACGTGGTCACAATCTTAGCAGTTTTTTACAAGAGAAAAGGGATATTTATAAACATCATTTTGAAACTTCTTTTAAACCTTAAACCTAATTAAGGACCACAGGTTGGAGGGACCTTTTCATCATAGTTGCTACTTGTGGAGCTTGAGCAAGCCAATTAATGTAAACAGAGACATCAGTAGGTAGGAAATGTTAGTCATATTTAGAGACTCCAAGGAATACAGCGGTAAAGATCTCAAGTCCACTTAAAATTAAAACTTAAAGTACAATTTTTCTTCTTCGTAAGATGCTTTTCTTCTTTTTTTTTTGAGACAGAGTCTCACTGTGGCCCAGGCTAGAGTGCAGTGGCGTGATCTTGGCTTACTACAACCTCTGCCTCCTGGGTTCACGCGATTCTCCTGCCTCAGCCTCCTAAGTAGCTGGGATTACAGGCACCCGCCACCACACCCAGCTAATTTTTGTATTTTTAGTAGAGACAGGGTTTTGCCATGTTGGCCAGGCTGGTCTTGAACTCCTGACCTCAAGTGATCTGCCCACCTTGGCCTCCCAAAGTGCTGGGATTACAGGCATGAGACACCGCACCCGGCCCAAAATGCTTACTTTAAAACCATAAAAAAATACACTGCTGTCACGAAATGCTGTGGAGAAATTACCATTTATTTGCAGAATTAACAGTATAATAAACTGCTCTACAAGATTTTCTATCAAGGAGTATTTAGAAGAGAGATATAAACTGTAAGCTTATAAAAGTGGTTTCTAGAGAAAGTAAGCAATAATAAACCCTCTCATATAAGTTAGGCATGTATTTAAATTTATAAGATACATTTCTTTTGCTTGATACAAATCTCATCTTAAATATACGGCTAAGGAACAGAAAAAAATTCAAACTGAGACACTCCTGTAACTCTGGGAAAATTACACTTATCAAATTTTACATATAAATTTAGAATGACTAATGAATGTTTCAGAAATACATTAATTACCAAGATGCTCTGAAAAGTACATTACTGTACATACAGCCTGAAGTTAACCTTTCTATGTTAAATGAAAAAACTTTGTCATTCATCAGGTCACAGAAACCAAAAACTAAACAATGCAAAAAAAAAAAAAATCTAAAAATAAAAGAATTTTATATTTGAAGTTATTCTGGATATTCGCACCATTTTAGCTTCTGAAAAAAATGCAACTATGAAATGAAGACCTCATATATTTTCATTTATCAATATAATGTTAAAAGTTTCATTCCACCGGGTGTGGTGGCTCACACCTGTAATCCCAGCACTTTGGGAGGCTGAGGCGGGTGGATCACGAGGTCAGCAGTTCGAGACCAGCCTGACAAACATGGTGAAACCCCGTCTCTACTAAAAAAAAAAATACAAAAAAATTAGCTGGGTGTGGCAGCGGGTGCCTGTAATCCCAGCTACTTCGGAGGCTGAGGCAGGAGAATCGATTGAAACTGGAAGGTGGAGGTTGCAGTGAGCCGAGATTGTGCTACTGCACTCTAGCCTGGGCAACGAGAGCAAAACTCTGTCTCCAAAAAAAAAAAAAAAAAAAAAAAGTTTCATTCCATTTTGTGGTATTTTTTAAATTCAAACTTGAAAATCTTATTCAGTTGCAGAACTTTTTCATTTAAATGTCACATGGAACTGGCCAGAGCATGAGATGTAATTTCTTCACTAAATTTTCTTAGTAATTGGGAATTGAGGGGCTTAAAAAAAAATTTCAGGGCAAGTTTTTTATTTACTTAATATTTATTTTTTTTGGTATCAATCATTAGGCTCCTATGCCCACCCCTCCCCCATTCCAATGTGTGCAGGGACAGTGCCCAAAGCGCTATTTCTCCCTTATTTTCCCACCAAGATCTTGATACAACATGTTACTCTTTTTCTATGGGGCAGAGGTGGGGCAGGAGAGCAGAGAAAGGCTGACTAAAACTCTGAGAGAAGCCAATATAAACACATATTTCTGTATATACAGGGAATGCTATAAAAGTAGCACAAGAGCATTTCTCTATGAGTCATTTTATCCAGATCAAGACCAAGAATATTCTCAAACAGATATCAAATCCTGGTATTGTGCATGGCAACTAACATGCTGCTGGCCAAGCACAGCTAGAGATCTGTTTGAAAGAAAATGTTTATTCTCCAAAAAATCAGTTGAAGTATTTGACACATACGATAAGGGTGGGGAGTAAAACTGTATTTTACCTCCCAAAATTTAAAGCACAAAAATGTAAATATAACCTCAAGAAAGCAAAGACCCTTTAATTAACAAATAATGTTAAATATTTACTGAAAACATTGTAAAAATCAGACAAAATTAAAGCTTGCTGAGATGGGGACAGGGCTCTACTAATGTTTATATTTTTTAAAAAATCTTGAAGAAATAAAGACAAAAAAAGATTAGGAAAATAAACTCTCCTTTATGTCTTTCCCCAACTCCCAACTAGATCTCTTAAGAGATTATTTCTGGTCTCTAATGATTTTTTACCATCTCTGGGCCCAGCAAGATCTCCTTCTCCATTTTAATATCTAATAAATTTGAAATTGTTAAGTGACTAGGATAGCTTGAATGATAGTTTCACGTCGTAAATTCTGCTGTTGCTCCCCTAGTCCACCCAATACTGAATTGCTTTATTCCTTCCTTTGCTCCCATATTATTAAACTGAACTCAACATGAAAGAAAAACCCAGAAATTACGATACTTAGAAAGTCTGGTTCTCAAGGGCGGCCTCCTAGCTAATTCAGTAATGGTTCTAACTCTGGAGTAAGGTCATAACCAAATCTTATCAATTAAATCATGATTTCTCAGAGAAAAGGGGAAATAAATTATATCTAAACTTGGCACTCAAAACTCCTATTTGACTTTAAAATATACTAGTTAATTATAGATGCCAATTTTTCTTAAGCATATTTCCATTATATTAAAAAATAACCAAATATTTCTAGACATAAAAAAAGTTTTCTATTATTGGTCTCGTATACCCATCCAAATTGCCCAGAAATGGCGAAGTATATTTGAACCCAAACTAAAAAATGCTGATTTGGCCCGGCACGGTGGCTCACGCCTATAATCCCAGCACTCTGCGAGGCTGAGGCGGGTGGATCACCTGAGGTCAGGAGTTCGAGACCAGCCTGACCAACATGGTGAAAACCCATCTCTACTAAAAATACAAAAAAAAAAAAAATTAGCCAGGCTTGGTGATGGACACCTGTAATTCCAACTACTTGGGAGGCTGAGGCAGGAGAATCTCTTGAACCCCGGAGGCAGAGGTCGCAGTGAGCCAAGATTGCGCCATTGCACTCCAGTCTGGGCAATAAGAGAAACTCCATCTCAAAAAAAAAAAAAAAATGCTGATTCATGAAAGCAACTTCTGCCATTCCTAGTACCATTTAATCGGAAACCATTTAAACAGCTGGTGCAGTGGTTCACACCTGTAATCCCAGCACTTTGGAAGGCTGGGGCGGGCGGATCACAAGGTCAGGAGTTCGGGACCAGCTTGGCCAATATGGTGAAACCCCATCTACACTAAAAATACAAAAATTAGCCGGGCATGGTGGCATGTGCCTGTAGTCCCAGCTACTTCGGAGGCTGAGGCAGTGGAATCGCTTGAACCTGGGAGGCGAGGTTGCAGTGAGCCGAGATCGCGCCACTGCACTCCAGCCTGGGCGACAGAGCGAGACTCCATCTCAAAAAAAAAAAAACAAAACAAACAAACAGACAAAAAAAACAAAGGGAGTAGGCTGTAGAGAGAGTGGATTGGGTCAATGAAAACATTCAGGCTTAAAAAATAAAGTACAATTTTAGTCTAGACTAAGCCATCAAATGTGTCTGGGTATACAATTAAAATAATTACGTTTAAAGAAACCCTAATAGTTGTCTTCTAAGATATTATTACAAATTTAAGCTTATATTAGATTCTCTTCTTCTGGAGATGGGATGGATGAGAAAAGTAAATTTAAACACAATTAGAGAGGTGAAGAGCAACTTCAAAAAATGCTGAAATTAATCTTTAAAAGCAATTGATTCATCAATGCTTAAAGTGAGATAAAAGTTGGAACCCTTTTCTTTTTATAAATACCTAAACAGTTTGATGGCATGAGGCTCAGCCAGAGATTTAATCTTCATCTTTTATTAGATCCTAGAATGTTCTACAGACTGAACAGGCTGTAAAAAGAAAGGATTCCTCCTTATTATCTATAACTACCTTTCTTCAGTTTACATGCTGCCTCTAATGAAGGTTTCTAATGAGATAGTCATAATCGAAATCCAATACAGAACTCTCAAATTACTATAAACAAATAAGAAAAAAATAGGAAGTAAGCCTATTAAATTTTTTACTACTAAATTACAGATATAATTTGGGCGAAGCTTAAACAACCTCCAAGAAATCACACACATTTTAAACCAGTCCACAGGCAAGTTCTTTATTGTCAACACACAAGTAGTGCTAACTTGCCCAATGGGAAAGCAACCTTAATTCTTCTTTTGGCCATCTAACTGTTTTTATTTTAGCTCATTCAGTCAGAAGCAAAAATTTATGCAGAACTGCTCAATAAAATGTACTTGGGTATTTTTTTTTTAAACCCCAAACACACCAACTGAGGAAACTTTAGTTAACGAAAAATTTCCAATCCCTTTGAATATAGATGTTTAACTATTTTAACTTCTGTTTTTATTTTTCAATTTTACTACAGAATTATTTTATAAGTTAACTTATTACCAATCATCTTAGTCAACAGTAGTTTAAAATTTTTAATATTTTAAGTATTTAATGAAAGAATAAAAATAATACACTACATCATCAATTTAAATGAATTTGCATTTATTCTTGCTTGTTTGCACCTTTAATTCACCTGAAGCCCATTTCTCTAGGATTATATTATTGTGTAGAATTATACTGAGTTTGAAAACTCTTTTGTAATAAGATTTCAAAAGAAAAAAACACAAGGCCTTATTTTTATAGAAAAAGGCAGAAAAGATTAATGTTTGACTCAATTTTAAAAAAATCAAAATGTAATAGTCATTTACTAATATTTAACAAACAGCTGGTTTCTCTACTTCACTTCCTATTTGCCTTCTTTCTCTCCCCACCCCCAGACAGGAAACTGCTTTTGACAACAAATGAATCAGCTAGAAGTTAAAAAGCCAGCAGCTAGCAGCTGATTCTTCATGGTTTCCAAACTCCAGCATTTAGAAAAAACTTATTTCCTCTCTCCCTCACCACCATCTACTGAAGAATTAAAGCCCATAAGTCTAAAAGATTCATTAAGAATTATGAAAGCGGCTAACAGGTTAAACTACTAAATTGATCTTGTCAGGGAAATAAGGCCAGTAAGCAGGGCCAAATGGTCAAATCTGCACACAAACCCTCCACCAGAGTGATACGTTATTATACAAACTTTGACACTGTCAATTCACACAACTGGAATGCAAGAATGGAAAATGGCCAGCACACAAATGGAGTTGGCTTGAATTAACTGTAATTCCCAAAGATTAAAAAAAAAGATAATGTATCAGCTTCTTAAGGCTGTATGGATATACACACACCCAAACACATTTTCTCTTTAACCAGCACATTCAGTATTTTAAGTAACATAATAAAAGTATAATTTATCTTTAACTCTATAAATATAAAACCTCTATTAGTAGCACTGAAAGCATGAAGAGCTTTCAATATATTTTTTGTAGAGCTTAATTTATAAGGTTCAAATGACACATTTACTAAGTATGATTTTAAAGAAATAAAACTCATACTTTAAAACATTATACTCATCCTAGTTTACAAATTATATGAAATTTAACTACTTTTAGGCCTTATTTTTTTATAAGAGGCAGAAGCCTAGAGTTATCAATAACCTACTAAAATAAGCATAAATGTGAAACTAAGAACAAAAGTGTATTTACCACAATTATTCCCAACAACGTTTGAGAGATTTCAAGTGCGCCTCTTACCACAATAGCATGAGGAGAATGCACTAAAGGCTTTAGTTCATTCAGGTCATTTTCTGCCTGTAAAAATTGGTATAAAAGAAAAACAGAAATGTCACAAAATGCACATCAAATCTGTAATTTTAGCAGCAGTCACACAGCTCTATATGCCCTACTTTACCTTATCCCAGTCTCCTTCCATGACATGATTTCGGAATTTGGTAGCAGAAGGATGTTCTAAACGACATCCTGACTCTTGCATGAGGAGATCAACAGTCTGGCTGCAGGAAAGATACAGTGTAAAACAGACCTGACCAATTTTAGGGTTTTAATCCTTCAAATAAACTAATGTCCATGAAAACAGATGCAAAGTTTTTAAGCTAGCCTCATGATGAAGAAAAAAATAGCTTTCATGTGCCTGGTTAAACAAACTTTATTTAAAACTGACACCTACATTTTTTCCTAGTCAAGTTAAAAACCTTTCTTGAAACCAGAATCAATGTAAGTTCTTCCTAGTTTGCCATTTAATGCCTCAATTTAATGCATAAAGTATAAAATTTCTAAAAATGTGCTGTAACCAACTAGTCAAATAAATGAAAAACCAGAATCAACATACTACGTTACATTTTGAAAGATAAAAATTATTAGCTTCACACAAGGTTAACAGAGATGACCGTATCAGTTAAGAGCTTATATATCCAGGTATTATATTGCATAGAAATTCTACTAGGTCAATCTTTAAAATTAAAACAAATCCAGCATCAAAAATCATTCCCTTTCTCTCTATACTAAAAATAGCAAATTTACTATGGTGTAGGTTCCAAACAGTCACGAGTTATTTCCTCCTGCTGCTGTCAGCTTGCTTCTTGTCTCAGTAATATGTTCTGTTAGCATTTACAAAATCTGTTTTCATACTAATCCTTTTCCCTAGGGAATAAAGTGAATTCTTCCTACCACATATTTGTCTTTGAGCACTTAAAAGATTCATCAACTGTATTTTCTTCCCTCATGTATTCTGGTATCTAAGAACCTTCATTTATCAGTCTATTTTTTGTGCTTATGTTTCAATGCTTTCTTATTCAGCTTTAAAACTTAATTTTTAGCTAAACAGTGCAATGATCTGCCTGAAAACCGAAATACTTGTGCCACTTTTAAAAAGTTCTGTTCTCCTCCCCACTCCCCAAGAAATCCATAAATGCAAAAGTACACATCGGCTAGCCTGAGAGCTTAATCTACACTCTGAATGTAGGAAACTGACTGCTGCTGCACGTCCTCCCCCCTTCATTTCATTCTGACTCCGTCTCTTGCACCTCCTTCATCAGGCACTCCCACCAATCCTACCTTCCACCCCCTTAGTTTTTCTTTGTGTGTATACAAAACGGTGGTTTTTGTCCAAGGTCGCTGTCTACCTTCACCCTATGTTAGGTATACAAGGCCACCTAAATTGTATTTGAAAACAAATGGTTCACCAGATCAGATGTCCCCTTTTCAGAGGCGATCATCTTCTTGGTATTAAACTGAGATTTCAGACTAGTTAGGGTTAGGCCTCTTGTACACACACACAAGGGCCTTTAAACGACATCAACACTGTATCTTCATTATTCGCATCAGATTTATTCAACAACCTCTTTCCAAATGATCCCAGCCCCTCCGTTCCCATAAACACTTGTAGGTGATTGTCTTTCCTGATTGGTAGTTTGCTTGGGTTGTTGTCTGCCACGGTTGGGGGTGGGGAGGTGTCCCACAAAGATGCCTCCAAGATACACTTGAAAAACAAATCCTCCAAGGTTCATTATTTCCACCAGCTCTAATCCACCCCTCCCCCAACACATACAGAAACACACTCCCGCATCTGTCTTTATTGACAGACAATTAAGCTCTGAAGGTGCGTGGGGAGAAGTCATTCTTTGGGTTTCTCCTAACCCTTCCTAACCCCTCAACGCCTGTCTCGTCTCACAATTTGTCAGACTGATTGATTTTCCCCTATTTCCTTTCAGGTCCGCTCCTCCTCCCCGGTCGCCCTGAGCCGCGTCCTCCTGTGTACTGGGTCCTGCGTGCCCAGCACTCATTCTCTTTGACCGAGCTCTTTCAAGCCCCCCTCCCCCCTCCGCCCCTTCCCCTACCCCCCTGGAGCCTCCGTCCCTCGGTCTGTCCATCACCAGCTGGCGGTAAGGGATACTTACTTGAGCCCTAAGCCATTCAAGTGCTGTCCTATTAGCCTAATGACATCCTCATCTGACTGGGAGAGCCGCTTCTTCTTCTTGAGGCTGCTGCCCAGTTCTGGGGTGGCCAAGGAAGAGGAGGCGGCGGTGGTGGCGGAGGCAGCTGCGACGGTGGCTGAGGATGCGGCGGCCGCCCCGCCGGGAACCCCGTTATTGACATTCAGGCTGTTGCTATTGTTGCTGGCGGCGGAGGGGGCGGAAGGCAGGAGCCCATTGGCGTGGGCCAGGTCCCCCGCGGACGACGACGACGAGGGGGACGACTCCCCGTTCTGGGCCGACAAGCAGGCGAGTTCCGGGGTCTGTCCCTGGCCCCCGCCGCCCCCTCCTCCTCCACCGCCGCCGCCGCCACCTCCTCCTCCTCCTCCTGCCCCATTGGCCTGCATGATGCTGCCGCTGACCAGGCTGTGGCCGCTACTTCGGTGGGGGACAGCAGCGGCGGCGGGAGGGGCAGCAGCCGGGGGAAGTCCCACCACTACCACCACGGAGGAGGAGGAGGAGGAGGAGGACGAGGACGACGAGGACGGAGGGGAGAGGCCTGCTCTGCCTGCCGAAGCCCCGGGCTCTCCTACTCCCTCCGCCGCCGAGGCTCGGGGTTTCTTCCGCGGGGGCGGGGAGGCTCCGCCGGTGTCCGAGTCGGAGGAGGAGGAAGCGGAGGCCAGAGTTTCCTCGCCGAGAGAGGCCGTGGTGGGAAGCCGGTGGGGCGAGGCGGGGGAGGGGAGGCGGGGGCCGGGGAGAGGGTCGGGGTGAGGGGGGCCGGGGAGGCGGGGAGGGGGTCAGGGTAGGAGGGTGAGGGTGAGGGTGAGAGGAGGGGGAGGAGGAGGAGGGGGAGAAGGAGGATCCGGGCCCTTTCCCCCCCCCCTCCCGGAGGCAGCTCGGGGTGCGCGGCCCGGGGGTCGCGCCGGGGGGCGCCGCGGGGCGGCTGCGGGGGCGCGGGGCCCGCCGCTGGGCTGAGCCCCGGCAGTGGCTGCGGCGGCGGCGGCGGCGGGCGGCAGCGGAGGCAGCTGCCGCCTCTGTCCTCGGATCCGCTCCGCTCTGCTCCCTGGTGTGTTGATTCTTCCCCCAGCTGCTGCCTAATGGAGTCCAGGCGCTCGCGTCACAGGAAATGCCTATACTGCCCTCCTCACTCACTTCCGGTGGCAGGTATGGAACCTATAGGGGGCCTGTCACCCAGCACGTGCATCGGGGGCTGTCCCGGGGGTCAGGGGAGGGAGGCCAGCGGGCCGGCGGGGTCCGCCCCGACCCCATCCACGACCCCGACTCCTATCCGATCCTATCCCCGGCCCCGCTCGGGCCTTTCCCCTTGCGCCCTGGCTCGGCTGGCTCGACGAGCAGTAAGTTCGTAGCCGCCCTCCGAAGCCGGGCGTGCATGGGATGGCAGAGTTGGCGTGCGTGCGTGAGTCCACCAGTGTGGCATGGGCATGTAAGGTGCGCGGAGGGACTGCACCTTCTCCATCAGGTGCAGAAGGTGAGGATGGGGCAGGGGGCTAGGAGCTTCGACAGGCAGGAACTTCCAGGCACAGGGCTGTGGTAGGCCCCTCTCAATGGTAACCAGGACCGAAATCGGGTTTCACAACCTACTTGTTTTAGGGTGGAAAAACTTGAATTTCCACAGCCAAGTGCCACACAGTTGCTGTACCCGGGGCCATCCCGGGAGCTGTGAGATAATGAGCCGGTGAGACTCTGCTCCACCCTGGGAAGGGGAGTTAGTCTAGAGGAGCATATCTTATGGGGACAAGAAGTCACAAAAAGGCTGTGTGGTGTGTAGAGAAGGGGAGGGACTCTGCTGTTGAGGCTTCACTCTTTTTTAGCACTTGCCCAGCACCTCCTTCTCTCTTCCAGCTGCCTCTTGAGTCACTGCCCAGTTTAGGGAGCAGTAACATAAACCAAACAGTTGCCTCCAAAATATGCATTCTGAGAAGGATTCAGGCACCCATTCAGATCCAGGCTTGAAATTTTTACGTGGCATGTGAGCCTTCTGTGTCATCATGACTTACCAATTTATGTGAATGTAGAAATGCAGCAACAAAGACTGGGCTGAATCTTAATCATTGGCAAATGGTGTGCATTATCCCCAAACAATTATTTTCATGTATGTGGTTGATAGCATCTATACTCAATATGTATAAAGATTTTCTCAGAAATTTAAAGTCTTTCTCTGAAGTAGTTTTCCTGTGGGGAGGGGAAAAAAAACACCTTAGTTTCTAATTAATACATCATACATCGCTGATATTTATTATAGTAATAACTGAAAGTAATTTTGAGGCCTTTGGAGACAGTTGTTTTTAAATTTGGAAATACAATAAAAAATGATGCTGATGAGAAATTAGTAAAGAATCCTGAGGTTTATGGATCCTCAGACAGGAAGAAGTAAGAGGAAGGTCAATGCAGGATCTTACAGGGATTTGGTTTTGTAGTTCTTACTGCTTAAATTTGCTTCCAGGTGGCAGCTGTAATTGCAAGGTGACTCACATACAGTGTTTATATTCACCTGAGGCCGACCTGAGTTCTAGTTGAGGTTCATAGAGCTCTGTCACTGTATCCAGCAGAGCCTGAATTACTAGATAGTTAACACCCTCAGAGAGCCCTGTTTGTATATTAACTTTAGACAACCTTATTATTAAAAGTGTTGTTTAGGCAAAATTTAATTTTTGCAAAATGGTTTATAATAATTTATTAGGCCCATAGCAACATTGAAGACTTGCTTCTGAATAAAGACTGTAGGTTTTATAAAGGAAATCAGTCACTTCATGGCAGCTACAGACAAAGCTCACACTTCATTAACAAAAGTAAAATGATGAAAAATAAATTGGATTCCATTGCTATCTAAACTCTATATTCCAGTTTTTCTAATTTTTAGGTAACCAACACTGCTCGTGTTAGAATTCTGAATTTATAAAGTCCCTTACAGAACATTTTTCTCTGTACTAAAACACAGCTTGAGAATCTGTTATCTGAACTCTGGGTCTTTAGGTCTTTCTAAAGCCAAGTTTCAGGTCTATGTGCAGATGAACAATTCTGAAATACCACTCTACACACTGAGGAACCTTCAGTAACACCACATTACCTACAGAATAAAATCCAAATTCTGTCTTGCTCACCACAGGTTGCTTTCAGTCTTTCTTTTTGGCTTCATCTCTTATTGCTCCTCTTCAGGGACCTGTCTACTGTCCGCCAAATGTACTGGCTCATTTCTCCTTGAGAGTCTTTGACTACACTCTCCCGTCTTTTCTTCACCTGTCTGATGCCAGTCAGTCTTTCAAGACTCAGCTCATTTCAAACCTCCTCAGGGGAGCCTTTCCTGACTTCCACTCTCCTAGCCGTCATTGTGGGTGTCATTTATTAGGCTCCTCAATCACGAAGGCTGCTTGTGATGTAACTTGCTAAGACCCCTTCTTCAGGTCATCAGAGAGAAGGCTTTCTAGACCTCTGTCCCCCTGATTTACCTTCCCCTTTTCACCCTCCTCCTAAAAAGGACTAAGATGGGTTTAGGAACAAAGGTCCAAGTTATCTTTTAGAAAAAAGAAATCAAGTGTGTATTTTGATACTTGATTCATTTGTATTTGCTTCTGTACTGTTTTAAATAGAGACCTGTTAAAAACGGGTCTCTATTTGACCCATCTTGTGTTAGGTTCCAAATAAGAGGTAACTTCTTGTCCTTGAAATAGCAAACAAGCCTTTTTCACATTTCTCACCTTTTTTCAGGGATGCTGTAGAATCAAATATCGAGTAGGTAGTGGAACTAATTGACCTCCAGGCCTTTCCAACTGTAAGAGGTCTGTGAACTGTATGAGACTCCCAACTAATGTATAAATTCCTTGAGGGCACGATCTGTGTATTGTTCATATAAGCCAGTATTTTTCAGCTTTTGGGTTGTGACCCATTTGTAAGTCATGGAATCCATTTAGTGGGCCATAATTTGTATTTTTAAAAATAAGGTGGCAAAGTATAAAAGCATAGAAGATATCCAAGTGAATCACTCAAAAGAGGGGTGATTATTATTTTGTGAAATTTTTGTTTCAATGACAGACACATGTCTATGCTTTACAAAGTAAAATATATTTCTTCTGTAGGCCATTGTCAAAAAAGTTTGAAAAACGTTCCTATAAGCCAGTCCAGACTAGACTAGAAGGCAACTCAAGAAATAGGTGTTGGATATATAATTAACAAATCACTAGTACTGCCCACGGCAACTATTTTTTTTTTTTTTGGAGACAGAGTTTCGCTCTGTCGCCCAGGCTGGAGTGCAGTGGCGCGATCTTGGCTCACTGCAAGCTCCGCCTCCTGGGTTCACGCCATTCTCCTGCTTCAGCCTCCCGAGTAGCTGGGACTACAGGCAACCACCACCACACCCGGCTAATTTTTTGTATTATTATTATTATTTTTAGTAGAGACGGGGTTTCACCGTGTTAGCCAAGATGGTCTCGATCTCCTGACCTCGTGATCTGCCCACCTCAGCCTCCCAAAATGCTGGGATTACAGGTGTGAGCCACCATGCTGGCCTTTTTTTTTTTTTTAAATACAGACACAGTCTCATTATGTTGCCCAGGCTGGTCTCAAACTCTTGAGCTCGAGCAATCCTCCCGTCTTGGCCTCCCAAAGTGTTAGGATTACAGGTGTGAGCTACCACTCCTGACCCCAAGACAATATCTTAACTGTAAAAATTAAACTCTACCATATTTTAAAAAGCTGAGATAGTATAAATGTTTATAATAAAACATAAAACCAACATTTCTCACAAGTCTTTGTAACTAGTAGAGACTGTAGTTGTTCTGTCCAGATATAAGTGTGGTATATCAACTTGGCACTTAGCAACATTGATATTTAATTTGTTAAATTTTTGTTAGGAAGAGGTGTTTTCAGATCTCAGGTGTCTTTGGGAAGGAATATTTTTATATTTATATCTCCAGCTTCATTCCTAGCTTTTCTTTGGAACACTAAAATTGTCCAGCTGGACTTGTTGGGCCTGGGTGGGATTGGGAGAATTCAGGAGAGCACAGTTCTTGGGCCAGAACAGTTGGTCAGCTGATTGACTCTAGGCAAGTCATTTAACTTTCGCAGCCCCTCAGGCATGTCATGTTTAAGTGGGGATAATGACATTGGCATACCTGCTTGCTAGAGTTAATGTGTGGGTCATGAGATAACGAATATAACAAATATTTGGAAAAGTACTATGTTGAAATATTTTAAAATAAAATTTAAATCCCTCTTCATTTAGAAAGGATTTGAGGCAGCTAAATGCAGAGGTGTAAGATGGTTTTTTGGTTAGGATTGTTTCTGAGCTGTGACTCTGTAGTCACTTTCTTACTCAGCCCTGCCACTCAGCTGTATTCCTCTGTAGCTCTGGGCAGACGACTCTGAACACGGCTTCATATTGGCCTTCCATGAGTGGGTGAAGGGCATAGTCATCTGGCAGTTTTACCTGCTGTTCTATGCATGTCTCTCCAGCGCTTGCTTATTTTCCCCTTCTGCAAACATTCCATTCATGCCATGGGCATTCAGTACAGTCCTGTAAGCAAGGGTAGGGGCGGCACACCAGGTGGATTTAAGCGCAAAGACAGGACGACTGCTTTGCCACAGGCGCCTTTACAGCCAGCAGTGAACAGTTAGACATATTCACCTTCCTCTAGGTGGAAAACAGTCCTCTTCTCAGTAGCCCTCTCATGTTCTTGAGACCCATTTGATATAAATAACAATGTTGCAGGAAATTTCCTGAAGGAACTGAAATGAACCATAGAAACGAGATCATTCTTTTCCTACCACACAGCTGGGATTAGACTGCTTAGTTTGTACTTGCAGCACTTTTGCAGTATGGGCCGTATTAAAAAAAAAAAACATTTAACACTCAGCTATGGGTACAAAGATAGTCACTGAAACATTATTATTTACTTTTATTTATATATTTATTTTTGAGATGGAGTCTCGCTCTGTCGCCAGGCTGGAGTGCAGTGGCGCAATCTCGGCTCACTGCAACCTCAGCCTCCCAGGTTCAAGTGATTCTCCTACCTCAGCCTCCCGAGTAGCTGGGACTACAGGCGTGCACCACCATCCCCAGGTAATTTTGGTTTTTGTTTTGTTTTGTTTTTTGAGATGGGGTCTCGCTCTGTCGCCCAGGCTGGAGTGCAGTGGCGCAATCTCGGCTCACTGCAAGCTCCGCCTCCTGGGTTCATGCCATTCTCCTGCCTCAGCCTCCAGAGTAGCTGGGACTACAGGCACCCACCACCACACCCGGCTAATTTTTTGTATTTTTAGTAGAGGCGGGGTTTCACCGTGTTAACCAGGATGGTCTCGATCTCCTGACCTCGTGATCTGCCCGCCTCGGCCTCCCAAAGTGTTGGGATTACAGGCGTGAGCCACTGCGCCCAGCCAATTTTGGTATTTTTAGTAGAGATGGGGTTTCACCATGTTGACCAGGATGGTCTCGATCTCTTGACCTCATGGTCCGCCTGCCTCGGCGTCCCAAAGTGCTGGGATTACAGGCATGGGCCACTGCACCTGGCTGCATTATTATTATTATTATTTTATTTTGAGTTAGGGTCTTGCTCTGTTGTCCAGGCTGGAGTACAGTGGTGCAGTCATAGCTCACTGCAGCCTCAACCTCCAAAGTTCAAGTGGTCTTTCTGCCCCAGCCTCTTGAGTAGCTGGAACTACAGGTGCACACCACCTGGCTAATTTTTTATTTTTTGTCTAGAGGCAGGGTCACCCTATGTTGCCAAGGCTGATCTTAACTCCTGGGCTCAAGCAATCCTCCTGCCTTTTCCTCCCAAAGTTCTGGGATTACAGACATGAGCAACTGCTTCTGGCCTGAAGCATTAAGAGCAAAAAGAAAGTGGTAATCACCATGTACTGATATGGATATAGTACCAAGATATGTTATTAAGTGAATAATGCATGTTACAAAACAGTGTGCATAATATGATGCATTTTGATAAATAAATTTATGTATATATGCACATATTGTTTTCTCTGGTAGGAAAGAAAAGCATAAACAGGGTTTCTCTTTGATGGATGGAGTGGGGTAGTGAGGGGAGAAGTTCTTATTTTTCCATTTAATACTACTCCTTGGTGTTTGAATTTTACAGCTGTATACAGTATTAAGTTTTTTTTTTTTTTTTGAGACGGAGTCTCGCTCTGTCACCCAGGCTGGAGTGCAGTGGCACGATCTCGGCTCACTGCAAGCTCTGCCTCCCGGGTTCACACCATTCTCCTGCCTCAGCCTCCCGAGTAGCTGGGACTACAGGCGTCCGCCACCATGCCCGGCTAATTTTTTGTATTTTTAGTAGAGACAGGGTTTCACCGTGTTAGCCAGGATGGTCTCAATCTCCTGACCTCATGATCCGCCCCCCTCGGCCTCCCAAAGTGTTAGGATTACAGGCGTGAGCCACCGTGCCCGGCCAGTATGAAGTATTTTTAAAAAGTGCCAAGGGGTTATTTGGGTTGTGAGATTGTATATAATTTTTCTTTCTTTTTTATTAATGTTATGCTTCTAAAGCACACGTTTTTAAAAGAACACTCAAAAAACATCAAAATGTTCATAATAAAAACATGCCAGATAAGGCAATGTTATTAAGTATATTTGACAGTAAGTATTTGTTTTTCTAAATCTCCTTCTCATTACCCATACCTCTTATATTCTCACACTGCCATCTCTGCACACACCCACCCCATCTCTCATTTGGTTAAGTTCTTCTGGGGAATAAAGGGCAAAAAGGCATTCCTATTTATTAACTTTGAAAAGTAGATAAATAATTAATAGCCCCAGGAGTCCCTGCATAGACTCTAACAACAGGCCCTTTGGGCAGTCTTCCTTCTTCTCAGTTTCGAATGTGTTGTTCATCCCTCTGACATTATGATAATCACAATAATCAATGGTAAAACACAATTATGACTGTTAACAACAAATTCTAATTATCATAAGAAAATGTTTCTGAATATGTGTATGCATCCCCTGTAGATGTAATGGACCAATAACTAGGCATTTAAAACAGAAAAATTTTAAAGACTGTAGTAGATTATTCATAAAGTTTAAAAACTTATTGAAGGGATCTCGAGGCTTCTTCAGTTAATTGTTATTTTTTAAAATTATGCTCTTTACTAAATAATACTAAATGTATAGGCAAACATGAAATATTATAATAGCCTAAATTTTAAAAAATTTATTGAATGAAAGACCATGAATGTCAGTCATTAACAACAAAAAGCAAAACAATAACTCTTAGCTTCTTGTGGCTAGTGGAGGGGTGCTTAGCCAACTCAGGACTAACAGAGTTTGGGAGATTTATTGATTCCCTTAATTTTTTTTTTTTTTTTTTTTTTTGAGACAGGGTCTTCCTTCATTGCTCAGGCAGGAGTGCAGTGGCACGATCATGGCTCACTGCACCCACCTTGAGGTGGGCTCAAGCAATCCTCCCACCTCAGCCTCCCGAGTAGCTGGGACCACAGGCATGCACTACCACACCTGGCTAACTTTTTGTAGAGACAGGGTCTCCCCATGTTGCCCAGGCTGGTCTTGAACTCCTGGGCTCAAATAATTCTCCCGCCTCAGCTTCCCAAAGTGCTGGGATTATAGGCAAGAGCCTGGCCTCTCTTACTGGGGTTTGTATCATCACACATAACAGTAGCCTTTCTCTATAAATTCCTGAAAAATAAGGATGTACATTTTCTGCTACAGCTCTGACCCCTTATTTCAGAATGTCTTTTTCTCTGTCCCCAGATTATTGACAAATACTGTGGCATAGAAGTAGATGTGTTTTTAAGATTTAGCCAGAGTGTCAACAACACTGTTCTTTTCATTTTGTTTCCTAGTGCCCAGTTGTTCCATTCTTAGCCTTTTTTTTCCCTGTGATGGCGCATGTCCACAGCAGGGCTTCTGTGATAATGAAATAATAGAGCTAACACTAGGAAGACAAGGTTGTAAGTGCTTTACATATATTGTACTCTTTTAATCTTCCCATCAACCTTATGAAGGCTGTATTTTCATTAGCCACATTTTACAGGTGAGAAACTGAAGCACAGAAAACTTGAGGTCATATAGCTGGTGCGTGGCTCCAGAGCTGTGTTCTCAACACCTTCATTACATGACTTTTTGGAGACGGCTTGTGTTAGTCCGAAAAGTAGCCACTGTTTAAATTCCTTAGGGGTTAAAAGGAAAAATGGAGCAAGTCCTATACGTTCATTTTTGAACTTTTCCCTTTTTGGGTATATGAAACTTCGGCTCCTCACCTTTGAAGCCTGTATCATTTCATTAACCTAATTAGTAGTAGGTAAGTAAGCCCATTAGGGACACTAAAAGATTTTCTTTCCTCCAGAAGCTATCACAGGGGGTACCTGAATGCTTTGTACCAAAGGTAGAGTTCATTTCTCCAAGAAATCCTTGTTGAAACAGACATTATGTCCAGTAGGGATAGCACACTAAGCTAGGCGTTAACTTGGAGATTTATCAATTTAGAACACTTCATCTTGAAATGGCAAAGGAAGGCAAGAAGGAGGAAATGAATTTTCTTTCCCTGTGAACTGAGAAGGCTTCCAAACCTGGAGGGCTTCCTGGGAGACACATTAAGTCAGAAGGCCCTAGCTAGGTTTATATTTACAACTACTTGCATCTATCTAATGAGGGTTTCTAAATTGTGTAGGCCTGTAGTAGTCTAGATCCCTGGAATAAGAGCCAGACTTGATTTATACAGGAATTCATACTTGATTACTCCATTAGCAGCTCCAGCTAGGTCAGCTGGCAAAGGAAGCCACAGATATCTAACTGAGATGAGGCTCGATAGCATAAGCTTAATATCGAGGGACAAGACAGGAAAGGTCAGCTCAGGGAGAATACAGGAGCTTCTTTTAAGAGTCTTCTGTTTTAGACAAAGCAACTGGGCTACCTAGAGACCTTACCTTGGCATACACCCCAAAGAATATAGGTAAATGATTGCTCTGCCCAATTATATATATAGATAGATAGATAGATAGATATCTATAGATATAGATATATATATATATTTTTTTAGGCTGCTTCTCTGAGAGTAGAGACACTGTCACCTGTGCTGGTCAGTGTGCAGATGTGGTTTGGGATGTCCTCTGTTTCAGAGACTGCCTGATAGTGAGGGGATAGCCAAGATGATTTCTTGAGGTCCCTATAGCCTAGGGATTCAGTGTTTATGGAAGCTGCATTGCTACTACATAATCTTATTTGATTAGCCCAGGTAGGGGCAGAAGACAAGAGTCATAAATAG
The DNA here is from genome assembly GCF_000001405.40 of Homo sapiens. Lineage (NCBI taxonomy): Eukaryota > Metazoa > Chordata > Mammalia > Primates > Hominidae > Homo > Homo sapiens. The sequence continues at coordinate 224,443,946 of NC_000001.11, forward strand.
GCAAACAGTATAAAACCTTGGATTTGTTCTAGATTTTTAAAAAGTTTTATTATGCAGTATTTTAAACATACATAAAGGTAAAGAAATGGTGTAGCAATTCCCATGTCCCCACCATCCAGCTATGATAGCTATCATCTATGCTTGTGTTATCTGTCCTCTCTCCTGATTATTTTGAAGTAAATCCAGGATATTATTTATTTATAATATATTTACTTATACTTCGGTATATAGCTCTAAAAGATAAAACCTCCTTTTGAAAATATTGCCTTAATACCATCATCACACCTAAAAAATTAATATTGTCATCAGATATGCAATTAATCTCAAAATTTTCCAACTGTCTCAGAATTTCTTTTAACAGTTGGCTTGTATGAAGCAGGATCTAAAAAAGGCCCACATGTGGCATTTGGTTTTTTTTATTTTTATTTTTATTTTTATTTTTGAGACAGAGTCTCGCTCTGTTGCCTAGGCTGGAGTGCAGTGGCTCACTGCAACCTCTGCCTTCTGGGTTCAAGTGATTCTCCTGCCTCAGCCTCCCAAGCAGCTGGCTTGTGCCACCATGCCCAGCTAATTTTTGCATTTTCAGTAGAGGCGGGGTTTCACCATATTGGCCAGGCTGGTCTCAAACTCCTGACCGTGTGATCCACCCTCCTTGGCCTTCCAAAGTGCCGAGATTACAGGCATGAGCCACCGCGCCCTGCTGGTTTCTTTTTTTTTTAGACGGAATCTTTCTCTGTCACCCAGGCTGGAGTGCAGTAGCGCGATCTCGGCTCACTGCAACCTTCGACTCCCGGGTTCAAGCAATTCTCCTGCCTCAGCCTTTTGAATGGATGGGATTACAGGCGTGCGCCACCACGCCCGGCTAATTTTTGTATTTTTAGTATAGATGAGGTTTCACCATGTTGGTCAGGCTGGTCTCAAACTCCTGACCTCGTGATCCGCCCACCTCGGCCTCCCAAAGTGCTGGGATTACAGGCATAAGCCACCACGCCCGGCCCTTTTTTTTTTTTTTTTAGTAAACATCTTTATTAAAGTATAATATGTAGAAAGGAGTATATACATCCTTAATTGTACAACTCAGTTTTTTCTAGTGAACGTACCCGTGAAACCATCACCCAGGTCATGAAATAGAACGTTACCAGGACCCCAGTAGTATCTTATTGTAGTTTTAATTTGCATTTCTCTGATGACTAATGGTGTGTGTATATAAATACATAAGTAAGTGTATGTATAGTCCTACATATATGTATGTCTATATACATTTTTTGCTATTTGGATGTTTTCTTTTGTGAAGTGCCTTTTCAAATCTTTTGCTTGTTCCTCCTCTTTTAAGATTGTGTTGCCTTTTGGCCGGGTGTGGTGGCTCACACCTATAATCTCAGCACTTTGGGAGGCCAAGGTGGGTGGGTCACCTGAGGTCAGGAGTTCGAAATCAGCCTGGCCAACATGGTGAAACCCTGTCTCTACTAAAAATACGAAAATTAGCCGGGCGTGGTGGCGCATGCCTGTAATCCCAGCTACTTGGGAGTCTGAGGCAGGAGAGTTGCTTGAACCTGGGAGGTGGAGGTTGCAATGAGCTGAGATCATGCCACTGCATTCCAGCTTGGGTGACAGAGTGGGACTCTGCTTAAAAAAAAAAAAAAAAAAAAAAGAAAGATTGTGTTGCCTTTCTATTATTGATGTGTGGAATTCTGTGTATATTCTGGATGTGAGTCCTTTGTTGGATGTATGTACTGCAAATTTATTTTCCCTCTGTGTGGTTTGCTTTTGCTCTCTTAATGTTGTCTTGATGAACAGAAGTTCTTAATGAAATCCAGTTCATCAGTTCTCTTTATGGTTTGTGCTTTTTGTGTTTTACTTTAGAAGTCATTTCTCGTCCTCAAGGGCATAAATATATTCTTCTGTGTTATATCCTCTGGAAGTTTCAACGTTTTGCCTTTCATGTTTATGTCTACAACCATTCTGTAGTTTAGTTTTCTGACTGGTGTGAGGTAGGGGCCACAGTTCATTGTTTTTCCATGTGAATGTCCAGTTGACCCACACCACAGGGTAAAGAAAATCCTTTCCCCCCTATCTTGCAGTGGTGTTGTTATAAATTAGAGCACTGTATATGTGTGGGTATGTTTCTAAACTCTCTGCTCAATTGCTGTATTCACATATCTTTATGTCTTAACTGGCAAAAGTTTGTGCTGATACCATACTGACTTACTTGCTGCTGTAATTTTATAGTAAGTTTGCCATTTGGTAGTATAATTATTTCAACTTTGTTTTTTTTTTTTTTTTTTGTCAGTATTGTCTTGGCTATTCTGGGCCCTTTGCATTTCATATAAAGTATAGACTCATCAATTTCCACAAAACAATTTGTCAAATTTTGATTGGAACTGCATTAAATATTTGGGTCAATTTGGGGAGAACAGACATCTTTATAACATTGAATCTTTGTGTCTAGGAATATGGCATGTTTCTCTACTTACATAGTTCTTTAAGTCTTTAATTTTTCTTAGTAATGTTTCATGGTTTTCTGTGTAGAAGTCTTGTACATCTTTTTCCTAGGTATCGGATGTTTTTTGATGCTAACGTAAATGGTATGTTTAAAATTTCATTTTTCTCTTCCTGTCCTAATGTTAAGACTATCAACAGGGACTTCATCATCAAAGATGAACGCCCACATCAGTAGTATTCTTTAGTCTTGAGTTAAGGAGCTTCATTTAAAAGTCTACTGTTAAAAGACTCAAATTAAGTCTGAATTCCACTTAGAAATAATTTAATGATACAGCTGGTGTTTCATTATTTTTAAAGAATCAGATTTAAATTCCCCCTTTGGAAGCACTGGGAAGAGGGGGATTCAAAGAAGTCTATCTAGGTGAGGAAGGAAAGAGTCTCCTGGGCAGAACTCATCCTAAGGGAGCTGGAGCCAGACTGGACCCAGCTGAGCCCGTAACAAAACCCTGAGGGAGGGAGGGTAGATGGTGTCGGTCACTCACTTGCCTTCTAGCCTGGGTGCCCATGGACTCATAGCTCATCTCAGTCCTTTGGAGGATGGTATAAGAAGGGAGGGCTGCAAGTAAAAATGTAAAGAACTTTTAGGAATTGTGTTAGGGTTCTCCCGAGAGACAGAACCAATAGGATAGATCTAGATCTATAGATATATGAGAGGGGGTTTATTAGGGAATTGGCTCACTGGATTCTGGAGGCTGAGAAGCCCCTCAATAGGGTGCATCTGCAAGCGGGAGCCCCTGGGATGCTGGTAGTGTGGCTCAGTCCAAGTCTGAAAGCCCTAGAACTAGGGAAGCTGATGGTGTACTTCTCAAACTGAAGTCAAAGGCCCAAGAACCTAGGGGGCTGCTGGTGTAAGTCCTGGAGTCCCAAGGCCAGAGAGCCGGGAGTTCTGATGACTGAGGGCAGGAGTAGGAGAGTGTCCCAGCTCCAGGAGAGAGGAAATCCTTTTCTCTCCTTTTTTTGTTCTATCTGGGCCCCCAGCCAGTTGGATGGTGCCCGCCCACATTGAGGGTGGGTCTTCCCCACTCAGTCCACTGACTCACACACCAGTCTCCTGTGGAAACCCTGGCAGACACACCCAGAAACAGTGCTTCACCAGTTCTCTATTCCTTAATCCAGTCAAGTTGGCACCTAAAATTAACCATCACAGTGGTAATTTCAGAAAACACTGGACATAAGCTGTACCTGCCTTTGATGTCATATTACAAAGAGGGCATTGTCCCTTACCTTGTAATAAACCCCCATTGCTTTGGCAACTTATGGCAGGACCACCAGAGGTGTCCCCATGGCCAGTAGGAGTGAAGGTAGTAGAAATAATAGCTGGCATTTATTCAGTGCCTGCTCTGCTTTAGGCACTATTCTAAGTACTTTATAAATATTAACCCATTTAATCATCACAAGCACCTCCACAAGGTAGGCTAGAGGTTAGTTAATGAAAATAATAACATTATTATTGTTTTTACAAGGGTAGAAACTAAGGCACAGAGGGGCTACATAATTTGCCCAGGGTCACACAGCTCGTCAAGGGCAAAGCCAGGATTCCAACCTAAGCTGGCAGTCACTAGAGCCCATGCTGTTAACATTATATAGTCTTTCAAGTGGCAGCAGCAGATGGGGGCTGGAGGAGGAGAAAATGGATAAACTCAGCCAGGCATGGTGGCGGATGCCTGCAGTCCCAGCTGCTTGGGAGGCTGAAGTGGGAGGATTGCTTGAGCCCAGGAGGTTGAGGCTGCAATGAGCTGTGATCGTGCCACTGTACTCCAGCCTGGACGACAGAGCAAGATCCTGTCTCCCAAAAAACACACAAAAAAAATCAGAAATAAACTGGAGATCCTCACAGAGCATCTTGATAGATAGCTGACTGTACTTGCTTTTGAGTACCTGTGAGATGTCCCTTGAGGACTGTCAGAATTATCTTGGAATGGAAGTGGGGCTACTTTGGAAGAGGCTGGGGTTAAATTAGCAATTAAAGTCAAGAAAAATGGAACAGGGGAGGTAATTATAATTTGATCTTTAGATCAGATTCAGACTTAAGAAACATTACATTCATTGATGTTTTCAAGTTTGTCACCTTAAAGTTTTCTTGGAGTAAGTGGGATCATGACTTCTGATCTGTTCTTTCTCTGAGGTGACAGGCACATCTATATTTAGACCAATAGTCATGCGTCCATGGTGATGGATCAGTGTGTGCCTCCCAAAATGGCCGTGCAGTGCAATCCCACGTGTATCGTTATGAACAGATAAATCACCAGCACTGCACATTTCATGTACCCACACCAGAGGGACTTCTGTACGCATTTACTTATTCAGCAGATAAACTCATATTTATGCTAGGACCATAGATAGCCACTTGGGCAAGTATCCATGAGCTCATGCAAGCAAGCCAACTCAGATTCAGTCACCTCACAGGCAGAGTGAATTTAGAGCTCCAGAGGCCTCGTGCCTGCCTGAGAGCTATTCATTTCCATGAAGAATGTCACAATTTCTCCCACTGACACGAATCAGAAGCTGGGATTCTTTTTTTTTTTTTTTTTTTTGAGATGGAGTTTCGTTCTTTTTGCCCAGGCTGGAGTGCAATGGCATGATCTTGGCTCACTGCAACCTCCGCCTCTCAGGTTCAAGTGATTCTCCTGCCTCAGCCTCCCAAGTAGCTGGGATTACAGGTGCCTGCCACCATGACCGGCTAATTTTTTGTATTTTTAGTAGAGATGGGGTTTCACCATATTGGCCAGGATGGTCTCGATCTCTTGACCTTGTGATCCGCCTGCCTCGGCCTCCCAAAGTGCTGGGATTACAGGTGTGAGCCACCGCACCCGGCCAGAAACTGGGATTCTCTTTAACCCCATCCATTCTTTCACCTCCCGCATCTCCTGTGTCACTAAACTCTATTGATCCTACCCTTTTCATAGCTTTTAATCTGTCTCCTCTCTTCCATCTCCATTGCCACTAATAGTTTGGGTTTACATCTTTTTATTCTACCTGGATTAGACAGTAGCCTCCTAAATGTTTTGTTCCTTTCTCTAATTTGTTGCCGTCACTGCTACCAAAATTACTATTATTTTTTTCCAAGAGAGGGGGTCTTGCCGTGTCACCCAGGCTGGAGTGCAGTGGGGCAATCATAGCTCACTGCTGGCTTGAATTCCCAGGCTCAAGTGATCCTCCCACCTCAGCCTCCTGAGCTGGGACTACAGGCACACACCACCACCCCCGGCTACAAAATTTTCTTTATAAAGCATGAAACCATTATGTCACTTCCCTACTTAAAACTATGTAAAATGATTTCAGTGGCCCTCATTGCTTACATGATAAAATCTAATGTCCAGGTACTGGTCTGCATGGCTTCTTAAGAACTGGCCAATACCTGTCTTTGGAGGCCCAGTCTCCCTCAAGTCCCTCACCTGTGGCTCCAGTCACACCAGACCTCTTGGGGCTTCTGGAACCTGTGGCCTGCTTTCAGTTGTGGATATTTGCTGAATGGATTCTTCCATTCATCCAAACCATCCATTCATTCTTTCAACACACACACACACGTATATATACACATACACACATTATACACGCACACACACACACACACACGCACACACATACATATATGTATATATTATTGGGAAGCCCCCTGAGCCAGAATAGGTTCAGAGACTCCCTCAACAAATATTTTTTGAGCACTTGCTATATGCAAGACACTTCAAGGTGCTAGAAATATGCAGTGAACAAGACACAAAATCTTTACTTCCATGGAGCTTATATTCTTATAAGCTTACACAAACTTATATTCTAGTCTTGTATTGTGTCTCCTAGGGAAGACCAGCAAAAAGAAATAAATAAACAGGAAATGCATCAAAAAGAAAGAAACAGGAAATGTATCAGGTGGTGTGACGGTATGATGGTATGACGTGCTAGGCAGAGAATTAAAGAAGGACCACATGACATAGTGCGTGGGAAGACCCTGTCTACTGAATGGCCAGGGAGGGCCTCTCTCAGGGGTACCCTTGAGGCTGAGATCTGAATGAACTACTCTCGTGAAGATCAGGGTAAAGAGCATTCCAGGCAGAGGGAACAGATAATACAAAGGACTTAGGGTAAGAACGAACTGACTTTTAGAATAAACACCCTGGTTAGCTAAAGCCAAGGCATTAAAAGGACACAATGAAGAAAATGCCTCTAAGGGAGATAGAACCGAAGGGAGATCATAGCTGGTTGTGGAGCCAAAGGTAAATTATTCTTTAAGATGTACTAGATACTTATTGGCAGCTGCTAATAGCAAAATAAAAAAGGTCCTGTTGTTCACAACTGAGGCACAAAAGTACTTAGGAATGTAGGGAGCAGACACCCCCTCCACATTTCACTTGGAGCCATGCGGTCTGTGTCAAGATGGCCTGTGTGAAGAGCCACCAGTTATAGTTCATGTGGGTTTCCATTATTCTTTGGGCCTTCACTTTGCCCAAGGCACACAGTTAATATAACCACAAGAATGTGAACACTTTTATTTGTTCTGAAATATGCTTTTAACCTTTACAGTGGGAAAGGCCCTTAATTTATCTATTCCTTATTATTTTCCAGCCTCATATTTTCTATTTCCTTTCTGTGCTCCCTGAAAAACAAGATGCCATGTCTAAAATCCTGTGTGCCTTTGTGCAGGGCAAAGCCATGTCCTCGTGCACAGTCATGGGGTATGGCCGAGGGTTATGTAACAAGAGCTGTTCCTAGTGCAGTTGGCTCCTGCAGGAGACCATGATGTGGCAACTACAAAGCTCATCGCAGGTAGGCTGAGCATGAACTTGTCAAGCAAGAGCCGTGGCTCGGGGCAGCCTCTTGGTCAGCTTTGTTCTGACTCAGAATTATTCCCTTGAAATGCTTGGTTTGGGTTCAAAAGACCCAAGAGTTCTGTTTCATAGAGGGGTGCTCCTGCCAGAGTCATGATGTACTAGAGATCCATACTTTTTTTCTCTCCCCAGTGGGTGGGTAGATATTGGAAACTAGATCTGTTCTGATAAAAGTGTTCCCATTCTTGTGGTTATGTTAACCGAATAGCTTGGTCACACCAAGGCTGTGTCTAGACAATGTAATAGAGCCTGCTATGGCACAATGATCTAGTTTTGTTTTTCATTTAATTATGTTCCTGGTTATTCTTGTGAGTATTGACTATCTAGAAAACTTATTCACCCATATGCCATATTTTAGGATTGAAAGGAATTTTGGACCTCTAAACTTTTCAGACAAGGCAACTGAGGCCCAGAATGATTAGATCTTTGGCCCAGGGGAAGAAAATAGGTTGGTGTCAGCTGGCTTTAACAGTCTTGGCTCCCTGACTTCCAGAACAGTTCTATCCCCAGTCAGATTGCTTCTGGTTCGTAAAGTGGGGTAGCAAAGTGGTGACCCGATGACTTCTTTTAAGCTAATAGTCCATATTTAAAAATTGACAGATTACACATAGGAATCTGGACTTCTGGTTTCTCTTCAAAGACTTGGATCCACACTTCTGAAAAACAGATGGTTGGCGTTCATAGTGGCTTCTGCTTCTATACAGGTTATGTGCTTTTCAAATTACCAGAGTCGCCACGCTTTCCTATTGCCTCCCAGATACTGAGGTTGACTGTCAGCTGCCACTTGTATTTATTTTTACTTTTGAAATTCCTCCATGTTGCACTATTATTTTTCTAATAGTAGAATTAAGACGAAAGTGAACTATTTCCTTTACCAATGTCTTTTTTTTTTTTTTTAAGATGGAGTCTCACTCTGTTGCCTAGGCTGGTGTGCGGTGGCGCGATCTCGGTTCACTGCAACCTTCGCCTCCCGGGTTCAAGTGATTCTCCTGCCTCAGCCTCCCAAGTAGCTGGGATTATAGGCGCGTACCACCATGCCCGGCTAATTTTTGTATTTTTAGTAGGGACAGGGTTTCACCATGTTGGGCAGGCTGGTCTCAAACTCCTGACCTCAAGTGATCCACCCACTTCAGCCTTACAAAGTGCTGGGATTATAGGTGTGAGCCACTGTGCCTAGCAAAGTGGGCTGTATTTCAAGAAGAAATGGATATTTTAAAAAGTAAAGTGTTGGCCGGGCACGGTGGCTCACACCTGTAATCCCAGCACTTTGGGAGGCCAAGGTGGGCGGATCACAAGGTCAGGAGATTGAGACCATCCTGGCTAACACGGTGAAACCCCGTCTCTACTAAAAATACAAAAACATTAGCCAGGTGTGGTGATGGGCACCTGTAGTCCCAGCTACTCGGGAGGCTGAGGCAGGAGAATGGCATGAACCTGGGAGGCAGAGCTTGCAGTGAGCCGAGATCGCGCCACTGCACTCCAGCCTGGGCAACAGAGCGAAACTCTGTCTCAAAAAAAAAAAAAAAAAAAAAGGGTTTCAGGGCCAAAAGAAGATAGCTTAAGATTATGGCCAGGTGCGGTGGCTCGTGCCTGTAATCCCAGCACTTTGGGAGGCTGAGGCGGGCAGATGATCTGAGGTCAGAAGTTCAAGACCAGCCTGACCAATATGGAGAAACCCCGTCTCTACTAAAAATACAAAATTAGCCGGTTTTGGTGGCGCATGCCTGTAATCCCAGCTACTCGGGAAGGCTGAGGCAGGAGAATCACTTGAACCCAGGAGGCAGAGGTTGCAGTGAGCTGAGATCACGCCATTGCACTCCAGCCTGGGCAACAGAAAGAGACTCCATCTCAAAAAAAAATTATATGTATTATATACACATATAATATATATATTGTGTGTATATATATTTTTATTTTAGAGAGACAGTCTGTCTCTGTCATCCAGGCTGGAGTGCAGTGGTGTGATCATGGCTCACTGCAGCCTCGACTTCCTGGGCTCAACCCATCTTCCAGTCCTTCCAGCTTCGCCCTCCTGAGTAGCTGGGTCCACAGACATGAGCCACCATGCCTGGCCATTTTTTCTTTTTTCTTTTTTTTTGTAGAAACGGTTTCTCACAGTGTTGCCCAGGCTGGTCTTGAACTCCTAGGCTCAAGTGATCCTCCCACTTTGGCCTCCCAAAGTGTTGGGGTTACAGACGTGAGCCACTCTACCTGGCTTCATGATACTATGAAACAAATCTATTTGGCACCTGTAGTCACTGGAAGTTGCAACTCTTATGCTAAGTTCTAACACCATAATCAGAAGAACTTTGGATATTTCACTGTGAGGTTGTTGCATGCCTTTGACAAGGTGGGATTTTTTTTTTTTTTAATTTTTAGAGATGGGTTCTTGTTATATTGCCCAGACTGGAATGCAGAGTGCAGGCTATTCATAGGCATGATCAAAGTGTACTACAGCCTCAAAATTGTGGGATCAAGCCATCCTTCTGCCTCAGCCTCCTTCATGGCTGGGACTACAGGTGCCCTGCTACCTTTGACAAGTTTTGAAAGATTTTCATAGCATTGAGGGGAGAAGAAAAGTGAAACAAAGAGAAGAAATGGGACCCTTCTTTATCCTCCCTCCCCTCAACAGAACTATTAAAACCCGAGATCAGTTTGTTTAGACACTAGTCATATTGTCCAAAAGATTGCGCATTAAGAATCTCTGTCTTAACTTTAGGCAGAATTATCTTGAACTGTTCTAGTAGGATGGTAATCATGACAGCACAGCTACTGGGGAAATTAGAACTGAGGTTTCCTCTCTTCCGTTTGCTGAAATAACAGCAAAACTGCTTGAAGAAAACGCACTATATTATTCTAAGAAGTAAATTACAAATAAGCAACACCCAAAATGTCCCTTACTCATGGTTCCTTGAGTAAAAGGTGCTATGCTTTATCTACCCAATATTGTGAGTAGTATCATTTACAGGCTCATTTCTACTAGTAAGTTTTTTTTTTTTTTTTTCAGATCTCTGCTTCTAGCTGTCCTTCCACTCTATCAACTAATATTTCTTTTGCAAAGCTAGGAGGCTTGGTAAGGTTAAAAATAATTCAACTATATTGTGTTGAACATAATTGAAATGTCATAAACCATCCAGAGAGCAGGAGAACCAGTTCTCTCTTGTTTCTATTGGTGTAGTCTGTTTACATTTCTGGTCCCGTCCCTGAAGCTTGGACTGAGAGACCTGGTGAGGAATGTTTCCTCTGTAGTTTCGACAGGCACAGCTATTTGTCACTGCCTCAGAAGCTGCGTGGCTGCAGGTGAGGAAGGCTGCCCTTATGGGAGGGATAATTATGGTCAGTGACCTGTCTGAGCTTGGCCTCACTCTGCACCCAAGCTCGTGACTGGCTCAGAAAGTCTTCTGCTTCTGTGTTCACATCAATGATTTCCTTCCTTGCTTTCTAGAAGAGAATCGGCCTCTGGTACTGGTGAAGAGACCGGAGATTTTCAGTTAGGCATTTTACCTGGCTGAGTGCAGGGCTTGGAGGTGGAGTCGCTTGTGGAAGGATTAACTAGAGGGAGGAGTCACTGTCATTAGGATACCATACACATGGCAAAACCAAATATAACCACCCACCTCCTCTGACTCACCTACTTAAAGCATGAATAACCTGGAGGGGGTGGTGGCAAGCAGGTACAGAGATGCTCCTTGACTTTCAGTAGGTTTGTATCTCAATAAACCCATTGTAAGTAGAAAATATTGTAAGTCGAAAATGCATTTAATCCACCTAACCTACAGAACTTCATAGCTTAGCCTAGCCTACCTTAAACGTGCTCAGAACACTACAGTAGCCTACAGTTGGGCAAAATCATCTAACACAAAGCCTATTATATAATAATGTCGAATATTATGTAATTGAATACTGTACAGAAAGTAAAAAAACAGAATGGTTGTATGGGTACTCAAAGTATGGTTTCTACTGAATGTGTATTGCTTTCACACCATCATAAAGTTGAAAAATTGTAAGCTGAACCATCATAGGTCAGGGACCATCTGTATTTGAATGAGTGAGGTGGGGGCCTGAATCCACCCTCCTCCTCCTCTCACCACCCCATCCTCAGGATACACATAGACCAGTGAAGTCTGTCTTGGCCTTGTGAAACCCTTACCATCTGAATGGCCTAATGAAGTAGAACTTGTGACTGATAGGAAGACTTTGGAGAGGTTTGGAATGTTCTTTGACTTACCAGGAATCTAGTAGACCCAGGATTATCCAAATGTCACCAAACAGTGAGTTCAGTGCCCAGAGGGGAGGCCCATTATTAACCCTTCCTTGAGGTAGACACACCCAGTGTAGATGAGGGTGATGCTGGGTGGTCCCTGCCCAAGGCTTAGTCTGACCCTACTCAGGAAGGGGATATAATAGGAATAGCATTATGAGAGGTTCTTTCTGTTCTGTACCCCTTATGTGTTATAAGATAATGGAGGAAAATCTCAGTTGCCAAACCTGTGTCGGCCACATTAAAGCAACAGTTACTATATCAGTCATGGTAAATGAATGGTGGTCCAGGTATAAACATTGTTTTACCCCTTGATATTTTTATATGAAGCATTTGGCTTGAACCTTATGTTTGAAACATCAAACATAGTGTATTGTCATATTGAATATGAATACTACCAGTGTTTTAATAATAACTGACATTATATTTGTGGCACCACAGGTGTATCATTTTAAATTCTCTATATATAGCATTTAAAGTGTATAGTGACTAAAGTAATTACTGTTGCTTCATGTGGTGAATATGGGATGTGCCAGTTTAGCAGATGTGGTTACTCAACTCACATAAAAAGGTCACCTTAATCTGTCAGAAATCGTGGAAGTCACATCTCAAGTAGGATTGAAACATGCATAATATGGTCCATGAAGAGGGCACTCTTTTCTTCCCTGCTCCCCTCTCCTCACACCACCTCCTGCTTCTTTTCACAAGCTCTGCATTGTTCTGCATAGCAACGTTCCATCCACAAAAAGCTCCAGTGTGTAGGGGGTCTGAATCCTGTCTGATCCCTTCCCTAGCCCCATAGCTCAGACATGAGATGTGGTCCAGGGAGCAGCCTAGACAAGTGCCAATGGGACATGTAAAGATTCCCCTTTCTTTTCTTTCTTTAAGTGTTTTTTGGAGACAGGGTCTCACTTTGTTGCCTGGGCTGGAGTGCGGTGGTGCAGTCACGGCTCACAGTAGCCTGGACCTCCCGGGCTCGAGCCATCCTCCCACCTCAGCTTCCCAAGCAGTTGGGACAATAAGTGCGTGCCACCACACCCAGCTAATTTTTGTATTTTTTGTAGAGATAGGATTGTACCGTGTTGCTCAGGCTGGTCTCAAACCCCTGGCCTCATGAGATCCTCCCACCTCGGCCTCCGAAAGTGCCGGGATTACAGGCATGAGCCACTGTGCCCGGCCAAAGATTCCCCCTGTCTTTTTGACACTCTTCAGCTGTGCCCTCCCAGGGAAGACATTAGCTCACTCTGCAGCCACTTGTGCCATTCTCGTGCCCTCCTTGCACAAGGCCTTGTCGTAACTGCTTCACTCTCCTGGTCTGCCAGTGCAGGTATCAGTGATCCAAGAAGATACAGGAAGAGGCTTGTGTGGGAGTCGCCTGGAGCCCTCCATGGTATGTTGGCTCTACAAGAGCTAGGCATGTGGTGCCAGGGCGTGGGAGCAGCAAGGCCACCCCGCTCAGGCCTCTGCCCTGGAGGAAGGGTGGTGTAACTGCCCCTGGACGACAGCCTGGATGTGGCGAGGGGAGACGGTCCACACCCTGCTCTCAAGCATGGAGGTCGAATGTTTCTAGGTCAGCAGCTCAGGACAGCAGGCAGGTCAGGCCTGGTAGAGGAAGTGCATGTGAGGAGTCAGTGGGAAGTGAGTAAGAGATGGTGGTGGTAAACTAGGAGGTGCTCCTACAAACAGAATTGGATTTTCCCTTTTAAAACAAGGATGGCCGTAGCTGAGCCCTCCTCTCTCTCTCTGTGTGTGTGTGTGTGTGTGTGTGTGTGTGTGTGTGTGTGTGTCCGTGTCCTCTTCTGTTCTCCGCCCCTACTGAAGGAAGGAGATAGCTCTGGCTTCCAAAAGTAGCCTTGCAGCTGTAGGAGGACTGACTCTGCCTAGCCTTTACATTTCCCATGTAAAATTTAACAGTGCTTTCACAGAGCTTCTCTAAAGATCAAAGGGTACCCAACTGAATGGGAATCTGTGGTCTGGGGATTTTTTTTTTTTTTTTTTTTTTGTCTGTAGCTTCCCTTCCTCCCTCCCTGCAACACTAAGTAGACGAAATATTGGGCCAAAGGGCCAAGGAATCCTGTTAAGGGAGGAATCTCGCGGTCTCATTTCCAGCCAGGCACTTTTCTGTTCTTGTAACTTTCCAGTCGTAATTTGGGGATTACTGTTGATAACTCTGACACCTGGTGGTCATTTCAAAAACTGCACTCTGGAAGAATTAAACGTTCACTTTTATCATTTTTAGTTGTTTTTCCACCTCCAATGTCAGTGTCAATAATATGCATTTTATAAATTAGTGATTATTGTTAGTTGAATGATCTATAAGTAAAATCCTTGCACATGCATTCAACAGAATACACTAGGATAGAAAATTTCTGAAAGGTATACCAGAAGCTATACATGGTGGTCCCTAGAGAGTGCAGCTAGGTGTGGGGAGGAAGCAGACTTATTTTACTTTATGCCAGTTAGTGCCCTTTGAAATGGTCTTAAACAGAAATAGTGTATTACTGTAATAATTATAGTGAAGTACTGCACTTGGGCAGGATATTCCCTTCCAGGGCTCCTACCCTCTCCTGATTTTGCATCCAGGGACGTCCTCTGTGCTTTTGAATGTATTAAGGAGTGACGTACGGCTGGATTCACTCTGATCTCATTCACTGACAGTGGTGGGAGAGCCCAGAGCTGAGTAGAAACTGGTTCTGGGGCATCGTGTGGCTAGGGTGCCAAAGCCGAGAAAGGTCCCGTAGTCCCTGTGTGGTCAGCAGGGAAGGCAGCAGTGCTCTGTCAGTATTGATTCTTCAGGGGCAGGCTGCCCACTTACCAAAGTTATGCTTAGCAGAGGGGCTCTGGCTCACTCCCCGTCCCTCATCCTACCAGGTGTGAGGCTGCCAGGAGCCGATCGCACAAGGCTTGGCAAGGCAGATGCTCCCCAGCTCCTGACATCAGAGAGAAGGGCTGGGATTGTGGCCTGCGGTTGGTGGGCAGGAGAGCCTGGTCTGATGACAGCAACCACCCTTTGACTACCTTCTCTGTGGCTGTTACTGTCTGATTCCAACCTTCCACTGTTGAACAGACCTCCTACCACTTTCCTACTACTCCCCCTAATGATAACATACTGAACTCACTTTTATGAATTTGTTGAGACCTTACCACTTTTCAAGTGTGTGTTCAGGAACAGCAAACTTTTGTCTTGCTTGGATCCACCCACATACCCAAATCACCATGGGTATCAGACACACTGGGTAGCTGAGTGCTCAGAGGAAGATGCGAGGTATTCAGGGAAAGTGTCAGTGGGGTCTCCCAGTGCCTGTTTGGTCCACAGTTAGGAGAGGCCCTGCTTGCACTTCTAATACAGTCCCGGAAAGACGGGGCCAGAACTTAGGAGGGGAGCGCTTTGCAGCAACTTTTCAAGAAAAGGGGAAAATTTAAGCACCATACTGTTATGTGGTCCTTGTACCCAGAGGCCCTGTTCAGCTCCAGTGATCAGCTCTCTTAGGGCACACCCTCCAAGGTGCCTAAATGCCATCCCAGGATTGGTTCCAGTGTCTATTATCTGTTTGACTCCAAATGGCCAAACACCTGACTTCCTCTCTGGTAGCCTGGCTTTTATCTTCTAGGACATCCAGGGCCCCTCTCTTTGCCTTCCCCTCTTTCTTCCTTCTACTGCTTAGATCAAGTCTTCAGCAGACATCATGTGACCTTGAGGATGGATGTCACATGCTGGAGGAAACAGAAGGCCGAAACCCTGATGACTTCACAGAGCTGCCAAAACAGTTCCTGACTGTTTATTCCGGGTCTTTAACAAAGTGATGAAAAGAAATCCTTGCAGTATGAAAACAACTTTTCTATTCCATGGAGCCAAACCTCATTATAACAGATAACGTGACCCTCAGCGATATCCCAAGTATTTTCCTGTTCTCATCTATACTATGGCAAAGGGGCAAATACCTCTCAGTAAAGAAAGAAATAACAACTTCTATCTTGGGCGAGGCATTTCTTCTGTTAGAACTTTGTACACGGAATAAAATAGATCTGTTTGTGCTTATCTTTCTCCTTAGAATTATTGAATTTGAAGTCTTTCCCAGGGTGGGGGTGGAGTGAAGCTGGGGTTTCATAAGCACATAGATAGTAGTGTCTCTTAGCTTCCGTTTAAATATGGGGGTAGCGATGTGGAGGGCCCAGAAGTATCAGAGAGGAGAGACAGGCTGCTCTGATTGCCTTTGTAAAATGCACATTTGAGCTTGTGCAAAGCCCTGGGCCTGAGCTCAGAAAAAGCAAGGCCAGGAATGAGGCTCTTGGTTCAGTTCCCCTGCACACCCTGGGCGGGGAGGGGTTGTTAGAGTCATGGAACCCCTATTTTTTTTTTTTTTTTGACCGGGTCTTGCTTGGTCACCCAGCCAGAGTGCAGAGGTATGTGCACAGCTCACTGCAGCCTCAACTTCCTGGGCTCAAGCGATCTTCCTGCCTCAGCCCCCAGAGTTGCTGGAGCTACAGCCCCATGCCACTACACCTGTCTAACTTTTGTACTTTTTGTAGAGACAGGGTTTTGTCATATCGCCCAGGCTGCTCTCGAACTCCTGAGCTTAAGACCAGGTTGCTCAAGTGATCCACCCACGTCGGCCTCCCAGGGTGCTAGGATTACAGGCATGATCTACCCCTCCTGGTTTATCTTTCTTAAGCTTGGAGTCATCTTTTTAAAACAGCCACAATGAGGTATAATTGATATACAATACACTGCTTATATTTAAAGTGGATAATTTGATAAGTTTTGCCATATGTTTACATCTGTGAAACTGTCACCACAATCAACAGGGGGATCATATCCATCACCCACAAAAGTTTTCTTAGGCCTCTTCCCCCTGAGAAAACCCTCTCTCTGGCAGCCACTGAACTGCTTTCTGTCCCTGCAGATTCGTTTGCATTTTCTTAAGTTTTATATAAATGGAATCATAGAGTACGTGCTCTTCTTTTGTCTGTCTTCTTTCACGCAGCATAATTATTTTTTAGATTCTTGTGTCTTGTGTGTGTCAATTCTTTTCTTTTTATTGATGAATAACATTCCATTGTATGGATATACCACATCTGTACAGTTTGTTTAATCCATTCACCTGTCGATGGACATTTGGATCACTTCCAATATTTGGCTATTAAAATAAAGCTACTCTGAACATTTGTGTATGTGCCTTTGTGTTATTCTTGGGTATATATCCAGCAGTAGAATGCTAGATCATGTGGTAGGTTTTTTGGGTTTTTTTTTTTTTAGATATGTGGTCTCATTTGGTCACCCAGGCTGGAGTGCAATTGCGTGACTATGGCTCACTATGGCCTTAAACTCCTGGGCACAAACAGTCCTCCCACCTCAGCCTCCTGAGTAGCTGTGAGTAGCCGGGATTATAGGCGAGAGCCACTGCATCCAGCCAGTTGTTTTTATTATGACTTTACCCTTAATTCATTGTATATTTTATTTAAATTTAATTTTTTCTTTTTTTTTTTTTGAGATGGAGTCTCACTCTGTCACCCAGCCTGGAGTGCAGTGGGGCGAGCTCAGCTCACTGCAACCTCCACCTCCTGGGTTCAAGAAATTCTTGTGCGTTGGCTTCCCGAGTAGCTGGGACTACAGGCGCCCACCACCACACCCAGCTAATTTTTATATTTTTAGTAGAGACGGGGTTTTTCCATGTTGGCCAAGCTGGTTTCGAACACGTGACCTCAAGTGACCCACCCACCTTTGCCTCCCAAAGTGCTTGGATTACAGGCATGAGCCACTGTGCCTGGCCTCCATTGTATATTTTAAACAAAGGATGTTTAATACAGACTTATTTTTGATGCATTATACATTTTAAACAACATGAGTTTATAGCCAGTATGGCTTTTACTCCCCTTTCTTTAAGGGGAGATAAGCATACCAGTATTCTATAGAATAGTATCAGCACACAAGGCACACTTGCTTCCCTTTGCTTACCTCTGATTTAAGATCATAACTAAAAGGAATTTATTGAACCTATGGACGTATGTATTTACTTCTGAGTATATATCTCTTCCTCACATGCATATACCTTACATAAATGATTTCTTCAGTTACCATAGTGATTTAAACAGTTTTAAAACATCTTTATTAAGATTTTAACATACTACAAAATTCACCCATTTAAAATGGACACAATTCATTGGTTTTTAGTAGATTAACAAAGTTGTGCAACAACCAGCACCACAATCTAAGTTTAGAATATTTCACCCCAAAAGAAAACCCATATCAATTAGCAGTCATTTCCCATTCTCTCCTCCATATGCCTCAGTTGTAGGCCACTAATCATGTACTTTCTTTTTCTATATATTTACTTATTCTGGACATATATAAATGGAGTCATACAGTATATAGTTTTTTGTGACTGGCTTCTTTCACTTAGCACAGTGTTTTCAATGTTCATCCACGTTGTAGCATTTATCAGTACTTCTTTCCTTTTTTTTAAAAAAAAGACTTTTACTTTTTAGAGCTGTTGTAGGTTCACAGCAAAATTGAGCTGAAAGTACAGGGTGTTCTCATATACACCCTGCCCTGCTCCATGTAAACCCTCCCCCATTATCACCATCCGCACCGTTGGTGTATTTGTTACCATCAATGAACCTACATTGACATCACTATCACTCAGTCCATAGTTTACAGTAGGGTTGGTTCACTCTTACCCTAATGTAGGGTTCATGTGGTGTCGTACATTCTATGGGTTTGGACAAACCTTTAATGATGACATGTATCCACCATCGTAGTGTTGTACAGAGTAGTTTCACTGCCCTAAAAATCCTGTTATGTTTAAATTTTTTTTGTTTTTTGAAACAGTCTTGCCCTGTCACCCAGGTTGGAGTGCAGTGGCCCCATCTTGGGTCACCGCAACTTCTGCCTCCCATGCTCAAGCGACTCTCCTGTCTCAGCCTCCTGAGTAGCTGGGATTACAGGCACCCACCACCACGCCTGGCTAATTTTTGTATTTTTAGTAGAGATGGGGTTTTGCCATGTTGGCCAGGCTGGTCTCGAAATCCTGGCCTCAAGCAATCCGCCCGCCTTGGCCTCCCAAAATGCTGGGATTACAGGTGTGAACCACTAGGTCTGGACCCAATTTTTTTTTTTTTTTTTTTTTGAGATAGGGTCTCATTCTGTCACCTGGCTGAAGGGTGGTGGTGTGATCACGGCTCACCAGAGCCTCGACCTCCCAGGCTCAGGTGATCCTCCCACCTCAGCCTCCTGAGTAGCTGGGTCTGCAGGCACGCACCACCACACCTGGCTAATTTTTTGTATTTTTATTGTAGACATGGGCTGGTCTCAAAACACCTAGGCTCAAGTGATATTCCTGCCTTGGTTTCCCAAAATATGTTTAACTTTTTTTTTTTTTTTTTTTTTTTTGAGACAGTCTTGCTCTGTCACCAGGCTGGAGTGCAGTGGCACAATCTTGGCTCACTGCAACCTGCACCTCCTGGGTTCAAGCAATTCTGCCTCAGCCTCCCGAGTAGCTGGGACTACAGGCGTGTGCCACCACACCCAGCTAATTTTTGTATTTTTAGTAGAGATGGGGTTTCATCATGTTGGCCAGGATGGTCTCGATCTCTTGACCTCGTGATCCACCCGCCTCGGCCTCCCAAAGTGTTGGGATTACAGGCGTGAGGCACTGTGCCTGGCCTGTTTAACTTTTTAAGAAGCTACCAAAATGTTTTACAAAGTGCTTGTACTGTTTTCCATTCCCAATGATGTGTGAGAGTCCGGTTTCTTCATATCCTTGCTGACTCTTGGGATGGTCAGTCTTTTGTTAAAATGTTTTGTTAAAAATCCTTTGGCCATTTAAAAAATTGTGTTGTTTTCTCGTTATTAATTTTTGGAGTTATTAGCATGAATACAAGTCTTTTTTTTTTTGAGGCGGAGCTTCACTCTTGTTGCCTAGGCTGGAGTGCAATCGCACGGTCTCTGCTCACAGCAACCTCTGCCTCCCAGGTTCAAGCGATGCTTTTGCCTCAGCCTCCCGAGTAGCTGGGGTTAGGCATGTGCCACCATGCCCGGCTAATTTTGTATTTTTTAATAGAAACGAGGTTTCTCCATGTTGGTTAGGCTGGTCTCGAACTCCCAACCTCAGATGATCCGCCTGCCTCAGCCTCCCAAAGTGCTGGGATTATTGGTGTGAGCCACCGTGCCCGGCCTGATACAAGTCTTTTATCAGATATGTGCTTTGTGATGATTTTTCTCCCAGCTTATGAATTGTCCTCATTTTTTTTTTTTTTTTTTTTTTTTTTTTTTTTTTTTAGAGGGAGTCTCGCTCTGTCGCCCAGGCTGGAGTGCAGTGGCATGATCTCAGTTTACTGCAACCTCTGCCTCCTGGGTTCAAGCCATTCTCCTGCCTCAGCCTCCCGAGTAGCTGGGACTACAGGCACATGCCACCACACCTGGCTAATTTTTGTGTTTTTAGTAGAGACGGGGTTTCACCATATTGGCCAGGCTTGTCTCGAACTCCCGATCTTGTGATCCGCCCACCTCAGCCTCCCAAAGTGCTGGGATTACAGGTGTGAGCCACCGCGCTCGACCTGGATTGTCTTCATTCTTTTCGGAGTATCTTTTGAAGAGCTTAACCTTTAAATTTTGATGGAGTTCACTTTATATTTATTTTTTATGGGTTATGCTCTTGGTGTCATGTCTAAGCAATCTTTGCCCCAAGGCCACAAAATTTTTCTCCAGTGTTTTCTTCTAGAAGTTTTATAGTTTTAGGTTATTCATTTAGGTCAATGCTCTATTTTGAATTGATTTTTTTTTTGAGATGGGGTCTCTATATGTTGCCCAGGCTGTTCTTAAATTCCTAGGCTCAAGGGATCCTCCTGCCTCAGCCTCCCAGGTAGCTGGGACTACAGGCATGTGCTACTGCACCCAGCTAGTTAGTTTAATTTTTGAATAGGTAATACTTTTCCGTGCCTGGCTTTAAGCTAATTTTTATGTATGGTGTGAGTTATGGATCAAAGTTCATTTCTTTCTTTTTTGCATGTGGATATCCAATTGTTCCAGAACTATTTCTTGAAAAAACTATCCTTTCTCCATTGGATTGCCTTGGCACCTTTGTAAAAAATTAGTTCTCCATTTATGTATGGATCTATTTCTGATTTCCATATTCTGTTCCATTTATCTATTTTCCTTATTTATACCAAACCACACTGTTTTGATTCCTGTAGCTTTTAAATAAATCTTGAAGTCAGGTAGCATAAGTCTTCCAGCTGTATTCTTCTTTTTTTTAAAGATTTTATTTCATTTTATTTTATTTAAAGACAGGGTCTTGCTCTATTGCCCAGGCTGAAGTGCAGTGGTGTGATCACAGCTCACTGCAGTCATTAATTCTTGGGCTCAAGTGATATTCTCACCTCAGCCTCCCGTGTAGCTGGGCCCACAGGTGTGTACCACTAGGCCCAGTTAATTTTTTGATTTTTTGTAGAAACAGTCTCACCATGTTGCCCAGGCTGGTCTGAAACTTCTGGACTTGAGCGACCCTCCCACTTTAGCCACCTAAAGTGCTGAGATTAGAGATGTAAGCTGAGGCACCCAGCCAAGATAGTTAGAATTATCTTTTTTTTTTTTTTTGAGACGGAGTTTCGCTCTTGTTGCCCAGGCTGGAGTGCAATGGCACAATCTTGGCTCACCGCAACCTCCACCTCCTGGATTCAAGCGATTCTCCTGCCTCAGCCTCCCAGGTAGCTGGGATTACAGGCATGCACCACCACACCTGACTGATTTTGTATTTTTAGTAGAGACGGGGTTTCTCCGTGTTGGTCAGGCTGGTCTCGAACTCCCGACCTCAGGTCATCTGCCCACCTTGGCCTCCCAAAGTGCTAGGATTACCGGTGTGACCCACCATGCCTGGCTGGTTAGAATTATCTTTAACTCATCACAGTCTACCTTCAAGTTATATTGTATCACTTCACACATAACATAAGTTTACAGGAGTCTACCTTTGTTTCCCTCCTCATAGCTTTTATGCTGTTGTTGTCATACGTTTTACTTACACATTTGTTATAAACCACAGTCTATACTATTATTTTTGCTTGAACAGCCAGTTTTCTTTTTTAGATGTTTTATTTTGAAATAATTATAAACGGGATATTGCAAATAAATGTATAGAAAGGTCCTGTGCATCCTTCACCCCTCCTCCCTCAATGTTGACATTTTGCATAACTACATACCGTATCAAAACCAGGAAATTGGGCGGGTGCTGTGGCTCACGCCTGTAACCACAGCACTTTGGGAGGCTGAGGCAGGCAGATCACCTGATGTCAGGAGTTTGAGACCAGCCTGGCCAACATAGTGAAACCCCATCTCCACTAAAAATACAAAAATGAGCCGGGCATGGTGTCGGGCACCTGTAATCTCAGCTACTCGGGAGGCTGAGGCAGGAGAATCGCTTGAGCCTGGGAGGCGGAGGTTGCAGTGAGCTGAGATCTCGCCATTGCACTCCAGCCTGGGTGATGAGAATGAAACTCCTTCTCAAAAAAACACAAAAAACGAAAAACAAAAACCCAGAAATTGGCATTAGTACAATCCACAGGGTTTAGTCAGATTTTACCAGTTACACATGCACTCATTTGTGTGTGTATGTAGTTCTATGCAGTTTTATCATACATGTAGCTTTGTGTAATTGCCACCACAATCAAGATACAGACCCATTTCATCACCATAAGCCTCCCTGATGCTTTTATAGTCACATCTACCTTCTTTCTCCCCAGTCCATAACCCCAGCAGCCATTCTTCTGTTCTCCATCTTTTAATATTGTTATTCAAATACATTACGTAAATGGAATCACTTATGTAGTGTCATACAGTCTGTAGCTTTTTAAAAAAATCAATCAGCATAATTCCCTTGAGAACCAGCCAAGGCCTAATTCTATCGTAGTTTTTTCCTTTATGTTGCAGAGTAGTATCTGTGGTATGGATGTACTACAGTTTCTTCAACCATTTATACATTGAAGGACATTTGGGTGGTATCTAGTTCTTGGCTATTATAAATAGAGTTGTTATCAACATTCATGTATAGATTGCAGAGCGCATATAGGTTTTCATTTGCCTGGGATAAATGCCCAAGGGTGCAATTGCTGGGTTGTATGGTAAGTGCACTTTTAGTTTTAAAAGAAAATGCCAAAATATTTTCCAGAGTAGCTATCCCATTCTACATTCCTGCCAGCCATGTAAGAGTGATCCAGTTTTTCCCATATCCTTGCCAGAATTTGACATTTTTTATTTTATCACTCTGTTAGGCATGTAGTGATAATGCATTGTGGTTTTAATTTAGATTGCCCTAATCACTGAGGTTGAACATCTTTTTATTAGCTTGTTACCTGTATCTACTCCTCAGTGAAATGTTTTTAGTACACTTGCTAATTATATTGTTTGCTTTTCTACTGTTGAGTTTTGGAAATTCTTTATATTCTAGATACTAAATCCTTTGTTGGATATTTGGCTTGCAAATATTTTCTCCCAGTCTGTAATTTATCTTTTCATTCTCTTGAGACAGGGTTTCACTCTGTTACCCATGCTGGAGTGCAGTGGTGTGATCATGGCTCATTGCAGCCTTGACCTCCTGGGCTCAAGTGATCATCCCACCCCAGCCTCTCACGTGGCTGGGACTACAGGTGTGTGCCACCATACCCAGCTAATTTTTTCTGTTTTTTGTAGAGACATTTCTTGAACTGCTGGAAATGTTGCTGAGGCTGATCTTGAACTGCTAGACTCAAGCCATCTGCCCACCTCTGCCTCCCAAAGTGCTGTGAATACAGGCGTGAGCCACTATGCCTGGCTCTTTTCATTCTCTTAACAGGAGCTTTCACAGAGCAAAATTTTCTAATTCTTAAGAGGTCCAATTTATCAAGTTTTCCTGGATCATAGTTTTTGTTTGTTTGTTTGTTTGTTTTTGTTTTGCTCTCATTGCCTAGGCTGGAGTGCAATAGTGCGATCTCAGCTCACTGCAACCTCTGCCTCCTGGGTTCAAGCAATTCTCCTGCCTCAGCCTCCTGAGTTGCTGGGATTACAGGCAGGTGCCACCAAGCCCGGCTAATTTTTGTATTTTTAGTAGAGACGGGGTTTCACCATATTGGCCAGGCTGGTCTCGAACTCCTGACCTCAGGTGATCCACTCACTTCGACCTCCCATATTGCTGGGATTACAGGCATGAGCCACTGCGCCTGGCTGGGATCATAGTTTTGATATCAAGTTGAAGTACTGTTCTCCCAGCCGTAGGTTTTGAAGATTTCCTCCTGTTTTTTTTTTTTCCAAAAGTTTCATAGTTTTACATGGTATGTTTAAATCAATGATTCATTTTAAGTTAATTTTTGTAAAAGGTATGAGGCTCTTCTTTTTTTTTCTTGGCCTACAGACTTTTTTTTTTTCTTCACCAATTGTTGAAAGGGCCGTCCTTCCTCTATTAAATCATGTTTGTACCTTTTTTCTTTAAAAAAATCAGTTGTACATTCTTTTGTGATTCTATTGTTTCCTCTATTATATTTCATTGATCTACATATTTATTCTTCCACCAGTACTCTACTGTCTTGATTACTGAAGTTATTTAGTAAGCCTTAACATTGGGTAGAATGATTCTTCTTACAACATTCTTCTTTTTCAAAATTGTCGTAACTATTTTAGGTCCTTTACCTTTCCATATAAATTTTAGAATAAGTTATTTATATCTATAAGAAGCCTTGCTGGAATTTGGATAGGAATTATGTAAATCAATTTGGGAAAAATTGATGTTTTTAGTGTTGAGTTTTCTAAGTCATAAACACAGTATTTCTATTTATTTAGGTCTTCTGTGATTTCTTTCATCAACATTTTGTAATTTTCAGCATACAGCTCTTATACATGTTTTGTTAGATTTATAACTAAGTATTTCATTTGCTTTGTAGCAATTGTAAATGGTATTGTGTTTTCAGCTTTGGTTTCTACATGTTTGTTGATTTTTGTGTGTTGATTCTGTGTCCAGTGACCTTCCTTATTAATTTTTAAAATTGCAGTTAAAAATAGATTTATTAGGATTTTCTGTGTAGATAATTGTCATCTACAAATAGGGACAATTTTATTTCTTTCTTTCCAATCTGTCTGCATTTATTGTTTTTCTTTCTTTATTGCATAGGCTAGAACTTTCAGTACTGTGTTGAATAAGAATGATGAGAGTACGTCTGTGGTAGGAGAAGGTGGGAGCATCACTTGAGGCCAGGAGTTAAAGGCTGCAGTGAACTATGATCATGCCACTGCCACTGCACTCCAGCCTGCGTGACAGAGTGAGACCCTGTCTCAAAAAAAAAAAAAAAAAAAGAAAGAATGGTGATGCCATGTTCCTGATATTAGGGGGAAAGCATTCAGTCTTTCAGTCTTTCACCACTAATTATGCTGTTACCTGTAGTTTTTTGGTAGATGCTCTCTATCAAGTTGAGTCAGTTCCTCTCTAATCCTAGTTTGTGAAACTTTTTTTTTTTTGTGCACGTGAATGGGAACTGGATTTTGTAAAATGCTTTTTCTATATCAATATGGTCATATGACTTTTCTTCTTTTTTATTTTATTTTATTTTTTAGACAGGGTCTTGTTCTGTCACTCAGGCTGGAGTTTAGTGGTGCAATCATGGCTCACTGCAGCCTTTACTTTCTGGCGTCAAGTGATCCTCCCACCTCAGCCTCTTGAGAAGCTGGAGCTTCAGGTGCATGCCACCATGCCCAGCTAATTTTTAATTTTTTTTGTAGAGACAGGATTTTGCTATATTTCCCAGGCTGGTCTTGAACTCCTGGACTCAAATGATCCTTCCACCTTGGCCTCCCAAACTGCTGGGATTACAGGTGTGAGCCACTCTGCCCAGCCTGATTTTTCTTCTTTAGCCTGTTGATATGATGGGTTATATTGACTGATTTTCAAATATTGAACTGGCCTTGCATACCTGTAATAAGTCCAACTTGGTTATGATGTATAATTTTAAAGAATTTTTTATTATTTATTTGTTTTATAGCGACAGAGTCTTGCTCTGTCACCCAGACTGGAGCGCAGTGGTGCAAATCATAGCTAATTGTAATCTCAAACTTCAGGCTCAAGCAATCCCTCCGCCTCAGCCTCCCAAGTAGCTGGGACCACAGGCATGTGCCATCATTCCTGGCTAATTCTTTTTTGATATTGCTGAATTTAATTTATTAATATTTTGTTGAGGACTCAATTATCTCTTAAAGAGACATAAATAATAGGAAAAACATCTTACATATTTTACCTGTGTGGTAACCATTTCTGACACTCTTCATTCCTTTGGTTAGATCAATATTTCCATGTGGTATCATTTTCCTTCTACTTTCAGGCCTTCCTTTAATATTTTTTAAAGTCTGGTAGTGATGAATTCTGCCAGATTTAAAAAAAATCTGAAAACATCTTTATTTTCATTTTTGAAATATGGTTTTTAAAAAACTGGGTGTATAATTTAAACTTGGCAGTTCTTTCTTTCAGTTATTCTTCTTCTTCTTTTTTTTTTTTGGAGACAGAGTCTCGCTTTGTTGCCCAGGCTGGAGTTCAGTGGCGCGATCTCGGCTCACTGCAAGCTCTGCTTCCCGGGTTCATGCCATTTTCCTGCCTCAGCCTCCTGAGTAGCTGGGATTACAGGCACCCGCCACCATGCCCGGCTAATTTTTTGTATTTTTAGTAGAGACGGGGTTTCACTGTGTTAGCCAGGATAGTCTCGATCTCCTGACCTTGTGAGCTACCTGCCTCGGCCTCCCGAAGTGTTGGGATTACAGGCATGAGCCACTGTGCCTGGCCTTTTTTTTTTTTTTTTTTAAGAGGTAGTGTCTCACTCTGTCACCCAGGATGGAGTGCAGTGGCACGATCGTAGCTCACTGCAGCCTTCTTGGACTCAAGTGGTTCTCCTGCCTCATCCTCTCAAGTACCTAGGGCTACAGGTGTGTGCCACCAGGCCCAGCTAATTTTGTAAAACTTTTTTTGTAGAGACAAGGGTCTCCTTGTCTGGCCCAGGCTGGTCTTCAGCTCCTGGCCTCAAGTGACCCTTCTGCCTCGGCCTTTCAAAGTGTTGGGATTACAGGTGTGAGCCACCACACCCAGCCCTCTTTCAGTTGTTATTGTTTTTTGTTTATTTGTAAAAATGGGATCTGCCTATGTTTTGAACTCTTGGGCTCAAGTGATCCTCCCACTTCGGTCTCCCAAAGCGCTGGGTTTACAGGCACAAGCCACCATGCCTGGCCATCTCTTTCAGTTCTTTAAAGATGTTGTTCCATTGTCTTCTTGCTTGCATTGTTTCTTTTTTGGGGGTACATAGTAGGTATGTATATTTATGGTGTACACGAGCTATTTTGATACAGACATACAATATGTAATAATCACATCAGGATAAATGAGATATCCATAACCTCAAGAATTTATCGTTTGTGTTACAAACAATCTAGTTGTACTCTTTTAATTATTTAAAAGTGTACAATTAAATTATTTTTTACTATAGTCACCTCGTTGTGCTAGCAAATACTAGGTTTTTTGTTTGTTTGTTTGTTTGTTTTAGATGAGGTCTTGTTCTGTTGCCCAGGCTGGAGTGCAGTGGCACAATCTCAGCTCACTGCAAGCTGGGTTCAAGTGATTCTCCTGCCTCAGCCTCCCGGGTAGCTGGGACTATAGGCATACGCCACCACATCCAGCTCATGTTTTATATTTTTAGTAGAGACAGGGTCAGGAGTTCGAGACCAGAACTCCTGACCTCATGTGATCTGCCCGCCTTGGCCTCCCAAGGTGCTGGGATTCCAGGCGTGAACCACAGTGCCTGGCAGAAATACTAGCTCTTATTCATTCATTCTATTTTTTTGTACCCATTAACCATCCCCTCTTCCTCCCCACTCCCCCACTACCCTTCCCAGCTTCTGGTAACCATCATTGTACGCTCTATCTCCATGAGTTCAGTTGTTTTAATCTTTAGCTCCTACAAATAAGTAAGAATACGCAAAGTTTGTCTTTCAGTGCCTAGCTTATTTCCTTAACATAACTACCTCCAGTTCTGTTCATGTTGTTGCAAATGACAGAATCTCATTCTCTCTTTTTTTTTTTTTTTGAGATGGAGTCTCGCTCTGTCACCCAGGCTGGAGTGCAGTGGCGTGATCTCGGCTCACCGCAACCTACGCCTCCTGGGTTCAAGCAGTTCTCTGCTGCAGCCTCCTAAGTAGCTGGGACTACGGGTACCTGCCACCATGCCTGGCTAATTTTTTTGTATTTTTAGTAGAGACGGGCTTTCACCATCTTGGCCAGGCTGGTCTTGAACTCCTGACCTCATGATCCACCGGCCTCGGCCTCCCAAAGTGCTGGGATTACAGGTGTGAGCCACCGTGCCCGGCCTCTCATTCTTTTTTTTATAGCTGAATAGTACTCCATTGTGTATATGTACCACATTTTCTTTATCCATTCATTTGTTCATAGACACTTAGGTTGCTTCCAAATCTTGGCTATTGTCAATAGTGCTGCAGTAAACATGGAAGTGCAGATATCTCTTCGATATACTGATTTCCTTTTTTTGGGAGGGTGGGTATTTCCCTAGCAATGGGATGTCTGGATCATATGATAGCTCTATTTTTGTTTTTTTGAGGAACCTCCAAATTGTTCTTCATAGTGGTTGTACTAATTTACATTCCCACCAGCAGTGTATAAGGATTCCCTTTTCTCTACATCCTCACCAGCATTTGTTATTGCCTGTCTTTTGCATAAAAACCATTTAAAATGAAGTGATATCACATTTTCTATATGATAATAGAAGTCATTATATAAAAAAGATACTTGCACATGCATGTTTATAGCAGCACAATTCACAATTTCAAAAATATGGAACCTGCCCAAATGTCCATTAATCTATAAGTGGATAAAGAAAACATGGTATATATGTATACATCATGGAATACTACTCAGCCATAAAAAGGAGAGAAATAATGACATTCGCAGCAACCTGGATGGAATTGGAAATTATTATTCTAAGTGAAGTAACTCAGGAATGGAAAACCAAACATTATATATTCTTACTAATATGTGGGAGCTAAGCTATCAGGACGCAAAGGCATAAGAATGATACATTGGACTTTGGGGACCTGGGGAAAAGGATTGAGGATGGTGAGGGATAAAAGACTACACGCTGGGCACAGTGTACACTGCTAGGGTGATGAGTGCACCACAATCTCAGAAATCACCACTAAAGAACTTATTCATGTAACCAGACACCACCTGTTCCCCAAAAATCCTATTGAAATAAAAAAATTAAAAATCAAAAACCACAAAATTCAGAATTACAGGAGCTTTCCTCTCCCACAACCACCTAAGATTCTGGACAACTATATTTATAATGGGTATCTCAGATGATTCTCATGAATAAGTCATCCTGATAGATTTTAGGGCCAATTTTTCATAAGAATTCAAGGAAACTGTCTTTGCTGGGCTATGTGAAATTACCCAGAGCTGCTTATCTCTCATTGGCAGGAGGGTTTGGCATCAGTTGCAGGTGACTTATTTCCTTTTACTGTGGATGATAGAGATAATTGAAGAAAAAGCCTTAGTTTGTATTTAAAAAAATAAATAAAATAATGGGTTTGGAAGATATTATTTGCAAGCCTCATGGTAACCTCAAATTTAAAAACGTACAATGGATACACAAAAATTAAAAAGCAAAAAATTAAAACATACCACAAGAAAATCATCACCTTCACTAAAAGGAAGACAGGAAGGAAGGAAATAAGAGAAGACCATAAAACAACCAGGAAACAACAAAATGACAGGAATAAGTCCTTACTTATCAATAAAATAAGTAATTGGTAATCGACTACACTCAACAATCAAAAGGCATAGAGTGGCTGAATGGATTAAAAACAAAACAAAACAAAACAAGACCCAGTGATCTGATGCCTAAAAGAAATACACTTCACCACTTCTATGCAAATGGGAACCTAAAAAGAGCAAGAGTAGCTATACTTATATCACACAAAATAGGTTTCAATACAAAAACTATAAAAAGCGACAAAAAGGTCATTATATAATGATAAAGAGGTCAGTTCAGCAAGAGGATATAACAATTATCAATATATATGCATCCAACATGAGAGCACACAGGTATGTAAAGGAAATATTACTAGAGCTAAAGAGAGAGAGAGAGAGACAACAATAGCTGGAAACTTCAACACCCCACTTCCAGCATTGGGCACATCTCCTAGACAGAAAATCAACAAAGAAACATTGGATTTAATCTGCACTATAGACCAAATGGACCTAATAGATATTTACAGAACGTTTCATCCAATGGCTGCAGAACACACATTCTTTTCCTTAGCACATGGATCATTCACAAGGAAAGACCCTATGTTAGGGTACAAAACAAGTCTTAAAACATTCAAAAAATGGAAATAATATCAAATATCTTCTCTGACCACAATAAAATAAAACTAAAAACCAATAACAGGAGGAATTCTGGAAATTATACAAACACAAGGAAATTACACAGTATGTTCCTGAATGACCAGTGGGTCAATGAAGAGATAAAAAAACGAAAGTTTTGGCCAGGCACAGTGGCTCATGCCTGTAATCCCAGAACTTTGGGAGGCCAAGGTGGGCAGATCATGTGAGGTCAGGAGTTCAAGACCAGCCTGACCAACGTGGAGAAACCCCGTCTCTACTAAAAATACAAAATTAGCTGGGCATGGTGGTGCATGCCTGTAGTCCCAGCTACTTGGGAGGCTGAGGCAGAAGAATCACTTGCACCCAGGAGGCAGAGGTTGCGGTGAGCCGAGATTGTGCCATTGCATTACAGCCTGGGCAGCAAGAGCAAAACTTCGCCTCAAAAAAAAAAAAAAAAAGTTTTTCAAGAAAAAGTTTTCTTGAAACAAATGATAGTGGAAACACAACATACCAAAAACTATGACATACATCAAAAAAGGGAAGTTTATGGGTATCAGTGCCTACATCAAAAAAGAAGAAAAACTTCAAATAAACGATATAATGATGTATCTTGAAGAATTAGAAAAGCAAGAGCAAACCAAACCCAAAATAAGTAGAAGAAAAGAAATAATAAAGATCAGAGCAGAAATAAGTGAGATTGAAATGAAGAAAACAATACAAAAGATCAATGAAACAAAAAGTTGGTTTTCTGAAAAGATAAAATTGACAAACCTTTATCCAGACTAAGAAAAAAAGAAAGAAGGCCCAAATAAGGGAAATCGGAGCCCGGGCCGGTGGCTCACGCCTGTAATCCCAGCACTTTGGGAGGCCAAGGCGGGCAGATCACAAGGTCAGGAGATCGAGACCATCCTGACTAACACGGTGAAACCCCGTCTCTACTAAAAAATACAAAAAAATAAAAATAAAAAAAAGCCGGTCGTGGCAGTGGGCGGGCGCCTGTAGTCCCAGCTACTTGGGAGGCTGAGGCAGGAGAATGGCGTGAACCCGGGAGGCGGGGCTTGCAGTGAGTCGAGATCGTGCCACTGCACTCCAGCCTGAGCGACAGAAGGAGACTCCATCTCAAAAAAAAAAGAAAAAAAAAAAAGAAAATCAGAGGCTGGGCGCGGTGGCTCAGCCTGTAATCCCAGCACTTTGGAAGGTAGAGGCGGGCGGATCACGGTCAGGAGATCAACACAATCCTGGCTAACATGGTGAAACCCCGTCTTTACTAAAACTACAGAAAATTAGCTGGTCGTGGCTGCATGCGCCTGTAGTCCCAGCTACTCGGGAGGCTGAGGCAGGAGAAGGGCATGAACCCAGGAGGCGGAGCTTGCAGTGAACCGAGATTGCGCCACTGCAGTCCAGCCGGGGCGACAGAGCGAGACTCCATCTCAAAAAAAAAAAGAAAAGAAAAGAAAAGAAAATCAGAGATGACAAGGGAGACATTACAACGGATACTGCCAAATTCAAAGGATGATTAGTGGCTATGAGCAATTATATGCTAATAAATTGGAAAGTCTAGAAGAAACAGATAAATTCCTAGATACATACAACCTACCAAGACTGAACCATGAAGAAATCCAAAACCTGAACAGGCAAATAACAAGTGATGAGATTGAAGCCATAATAAAAATTTCGTCAGCAAAGAAAAGCCTGGAACCTGATGGCTTCACTGCTGAATTTTACCAAATATTTTAAAACTGATAATACCAACCCTGCTCAAATGATTCCAAAAAATAGAGGAAGAGGGAATACTTGTAAACCTAATACTTGTAAACTATGCACTATGAGGCCAGTATTACCAGTAAACTAGACAAAGCCTCACCAATAAAAGAAAACTACAGGCCAATATTCCTCATGAACATTGATGCAAAAATCCTCAACAAAATAGTAGAAAACCAAATTCAACAACACATTAAAAAAAGCATTCATCATTACCAAGTGGGGTTTATCCCAGGGATGCAAGGATGTTTCAACATATGCAAATCAGTCAGTGTGATACATCATATCAACAGAATGAAGGACAAAAACTATATGATCATTTAAGTTGATGCTGAAAAAGCATTCGAAAAAATTCAACATCCCTTCATGATAAAAATCCTCCAAAAAAGTGGGTATTAAAGGAACATACCTCAATACAATAAAAGCCATCTAGGACAGACCCACAGCTAATATCATACTTAAAGTAGAAAACTGAAAGCATTTCCTCAAATATCTGGAACAAGACAAGGATGCCCACTTTCACCACTGTTATTCAAGTCCTAACTGGAGCAAACAGACAAGAGAAAGAAATAAAGGACATCAGAATTGAAGGAGGAAGTCAAATTAGCCTTGTTTGCAGATAATACATCTAATATTCAGAAAAACCTAAAGACTCCACTAAGAAAACTATCAGAACTGGTAAACAAATTTAGTAAAGTTTCAGGATACAAAATCATCATACAAAAATCAGTAGCATTTCTATATGCCAACAGTGAACAATCTGAAAAAGAAATCAAGAAAGTAATACCATTTACAATAGCTACAAATAAATTTAACCCATTACCCATTTGCCCTGAGAAATGAGCACTGGCAGCGAGCTGCACTTTTTTTGTCTGAATAGGAAATGGGTTAAATACTTAGGATTTAACCAAATAAGTGAAAGATTTCTACAATGAAAACTATAAAACACTGATGCAAGAAACTGAAGAAGACACCAAAAACTGGTAAGATAGTCCATGTTCATGGACTGGAAGAATCAATATTATTAAAATATCCATACCACCCAAAGCAATCTACAGAGTCAATGCAATCTCTATCAAAATACCAATGATATTCTTCACAGAAATAGAAAAAAAAATCCTAAAATTTATATGAAACCACAAAAGACCTGGAATAGCCAAAGCTATCCTAAGCAAAAAGAACATTCTGTGTCTTTTAGGTGGAGTGTTTAGGACATTTACATTCAATGTTAGTTTTGAGATGCGAGGTACAGGTTGCTAGGGAACTGGGGGAAAGCCGGCAGTTACAGGCCTCACCCTGCTCCCAAGCAGCCCACAGTCCTAAAGCTGATCTTACTCCCACCATGCCCCTGCAACAGCACCAAGTTTATTTCTAAGCAGCTGGTGACCAGGGCTGAGAACTTGCCCCATTGAGAAAGCAAGCAGCCTCCCCATGAGCCTCCCCATTGAGAAAGCAAGCGGACTCACAGTTTTTTGGCATCTCAGGGAGCCTGC
Organism: Homo sapiens; assembly: GCF_000001405.40. NCBI lineage: Eukaryota > Metazoa > Chordata > Mammalia > Primates > Hominidae > Homo > Homo sapiens. The sequence continues at coordinate 224,477,178 of NC_000001.11, forward strand.
AGGGGTGATGAAGTTCCTTCAAAGGGTGTGTGGATTCTTTCGGCTTTCTTGGTATGTTCCTATGGTAGTTCTTGGAGCAAAAGTTCACGATGTGAGTCTCCACATGCTGTTCTGTCCATCTGAGTGGGACGCGCAAGCTAGTCTTTCCTCGTATCCACCATCTTAATCTCCTAAGTCGAATTCTGAATTTCAAACAAATTCTTTAGGAGATTCTTCTGCCTGCTTATATTGGAGAACCCCAAATCCAGTCCTATAGTTTAGATGGAGTAACTGAAATGCCCACAAACCCATTATTTTAAACTGATGACAATGCTGCCTGCATAAACAAACAAGCAAAAAACAAATGAACAAAACCCCCAAAATTAATAAAAACTCTACACTTTAACTTTGTCTTCCTGCATTTTAACTTATTGTTGTTTATATTTTATTATACTGTCTATGTCATGAAAGTTGTTTTAGTTATTTTTGTTGATCAGTTCATCTTTTCGTCTTTCTACTTAAGATATGAGTAGTTTACATACCACAATTACAGTGTTAATGACATTCTGTGTTTTTCTGTGTGCTTACTGTTACCAGAGAGTTTTGTACCTTCAGATAATTTCTTATTGCTTATTAATGTCTTTTCCTTTCAGGCTGCAGAACTCCCTTTAGCATTTCTTGTAGGAAGGGTCTGGTATTGATGAAATCCCTTAGTTTTTGTTTGTCTGGGAAAGTCTTTATTTCTCCTTTATGTTTGAAGGATTTTTTTTTCCAGATATACTATTTTAGAGTAAAAGTTTTTCCCTTTAGCACTTTAAATATGTCATACCACTCTCTCCTGGCCTGTAATGTTTCCACTGAAAAGTCTGCTGCCAGACATATTGCCATTGTATGTTATTTGTTTCTATTCTCTGGCTGCTTTTAGAATCCTTTCTTTTTCCTTGACCTTTGGGAGTTTGATTATTAAATGCCTTGATGTAGTCTTCTTTGGGTTAAATATGCTTGGTTTTCTACAACCTTTTTGTACTTGAATATTGTTATCTTTCTCTAGGTTTTGGAAGTTCTCTGTTATTATCATCTTGAATAAACTTTCTACCCCCATCTCTTTTTCTACCTTCTCTTTAAGGCCAATAACTCTTAGATTTGCCCTTTTGAGGTTATTTTCTAGATCTTGTAGGCATGCTTCATTCTTTTTTATTTTGTCTCCTCCGTGTATTTTCAAATAGCTTCTTCTCAAGCTTACGGATTCTTTTTTCTGCTTGATCAGTTCTGCTATTAAGAGATTCTGATGCATTCTTCAGTAGATCATTGCATTTTTTAACTCCATAATTTCTGCTTATTTTTAATTATTTCAATTTTTGTTAAATTTATGGGATAGGATTCTGAATACATTTTCTGTATTATCTTGAATTTCTTTGAGTTTTCTCTAAACAGATATTTTGAATTCCGTCTGAAAGGTCACATATCTCTGTCTCTCTGGGATTGGTTCCTGGTACCTTATTTAGTTCGTTTGCTGAGGTCCTGGATAGTCTTGATGTTTGTGGATGTTCATCAGTGTATTACTCTGTTTTCATGCTGCTGATAAAGACATACCTAAGACTGGGCAATTTACAAAAGAAAGAGTTTTATTGGACTTAAAGTTCCACATGGCTGGGGAGGGTTCACAATCATGGCAGAAGGCAAGGAGCAGCAGCAAGTCACATCTTATGTGGATGGTGGCAGGCAAAAAAGAGCTTGTGCAGAAAAACTCCCCCTTATAATAACCATCAGATCTGGTGAGACTTACTGTCACAAGAACGGCATGGGAAAGACCTGCCCGCATGATTCAATTACCTCCCACTGGATCCCTCCTACAACATGTGGGAATTCAAGCTGAGATTTTGGTGGGGACACAGCCAAACTGTTATCATTCCCTCCCTGGCCCCTCCCAAATCTGATGTTTTCACATTCCCAAACCAATCATGCCTTCCCAGCAGTCCCCCAAAGTCTTTTTTTTTTTTTTTTTTTTTTTTTTGAGACAGAGTTTCACACTTGTTGCCCAAGCTGGAGTGCAATGGCGCAATCTCGGCTCACTGCAACCTCTGCCTCCCAGGTTAAAGTGATTCTCCTGCCTCAGCCTCCCAAGTAGCTGGGATTAGAGGCATGCGTCACCACGCCCGGCTAATTTTATATTTTTTAGTAGAGACGGAGTTTCTCCACGTTGGTCAGGCTGGTCTCAAACTCCTGACCTCAAGTGATCTGCCCGCCTTGGCCTCCCAAAGTGCTGGGATTACAGGCGTGAGCCACTGCGCCCGGCAGTCCCCCAAAGTCTTAACTCATTTCAGCATTAACTCAAAAGTCCACAGTCCCAAGTCTCTTCTAAGACAAGGCAAGTCCCTTCCACCTATGAGCCTGTTAAATCAAAAGCAAGTTAGTTCCTAATTACAATGGGGTTACAGGCATTGGATAAATATAGCCATTCCAAATAGGAGACATTGGCCAAAACAAAGGGGCTACAGGCCCCATGCAAGTCTGAAATCCAGCAGGGCAGTCAAATCTTAAATCTCCAAAATGATCTCCTTTAACTCCATGTCTCACATGCAGGTCACACTGATGCAAGAGATGGGTTCCTATGGTCTTGGGCAGCTCCATCCCTGTGGCTTTGCAGGGTTCAGCCTCCCTCCTGGCTGCTTTCATGGGCTGGCATTAAGTGTCTGTGGCTTTTCCAGGCACATGCTGCAAGCTGTCAGTGGATCTACCATTTGGGGGTCTGGAGGACAGCGGCCCTATTTTCACAACTTCACTAGGTGCTGCCCCAGTAGAGACTCTGTGTGGGGGCTTCGACCCCACATTTCCCTTCTGCACTGCCCTAACAGTGGTTCTCTATGAGGGCCCTGTCCCTGCTGCAAACTTCTGTCTGGGTATCCAGGTCTTTCCATACATCTTCTGAAATCTAGGTGGAGGTTCCCAAATCTCAGTTCTTTGACTTCTGCGCACCCGTAGGCTCAACACCATGTGGAAGCTGCCAAGGCTTAGGGCTTCCACCCTCTGAAGCAACAGCCTGAGCTGTACCTTAGCCCCTTTTAGTCACGGCTGAAGTGGCTGGGACACACAGCACCAAGTCCCTAGACCGCACACAGCACGGGACTCTGGGCCTGGCCCCTGAAACCATTTTCTCCTAGGCCTCTGGGCCTGTGATGGGAGGGGCTGCTGTGAAGACCTCTGACATGCCCTGGAGGCATTTTCCCCATTGTCTTGGGGATTAACATTAGGCTTCTCCTCACTTGTGCAAATTTCTGCAGCCAGCTTCAATCTGTCCTCAGAAAATGGGTTTTTCTTTTCTATCACATTGCCAGGCTGCAAATTTTCTGAACTTTTATGCTCTGCTTCCCTTATAAAACTGAGTGCCTTTAACAGCACCCAAGTCACCTCTTGAATGCTTTGCTGCTTAGAAATTTCTTCTGCCAGATACCCTAAATCATCTCTCTCAAATTCAAAGTTCCAAAAATCTCTAGGGCAGGGGCGAAATGCTGCCAGTCTCTGCTAAAACATAACAAGAGTCATTTTTGCCCCAGTTCCCGACAAGTTCCCCATCTCCATCTGAGACCACCTCAGCCTGGACCTTATTGTCCATATCACTATTAGGCTTTTGGTCAAAGCCATTCAACAAGTCTCTGAGGAAGTTCCAAACTTTCCCACATTTTCCTGTCTTCTGAGACCTTCAAACTGTTCCAACCTCTGCCTGTTAGGTCCAAAGTTGCTTCCATATTTTTTTTGGTATCTTTTCAGCAATGCCTCACTCTACTGGTACCAATTTACTGTATTAGTTTATTTTCATGCTGCTGATAAAGACATACATGAGACTGGGCAATTTACAAAAGAAAGAGGTTTATTGGACTTACAGTTCCACGTGCCTGGGGAGGGGTGACAATCATCGCAGAAGGCGAGGAGCAGCAAGTCACATCTTACATGGATGGCAGCAGGCAAAGAAAAGAGCTTGTGGGGGAAAACTCCTCCTTATCATAACCATCAGATCTCATGAGACTTACTCACTATCATGAGAACAGTATGGGAAAGACCTGCCCCTATGATTCAGTTACCTTCCACCAGGTCCCTCCTACAACATGTGGGAATTCAAGATGAGATTTAGGTGGGAACACAGCCAAACCATATCAATCAGTGTCTAGGCACTGAAGAGTTAGCTATTTATTGTGATCTTTGCAGTCTGGGCTTGTTTGTACCCATCCTTCTTGGAAAGGCTTTCCAGGTATTTGAAGGGACTTGAGTGTTGTGATCTAAGTTTTTGGTCAGCGCAGCCATAGCTGCATTAGGGGGTACCTCAAGCCCAGTAACACTGTGGCTCTTGCAGACTCATAGAGGTATAACCTTGTGGTCTTGGATAAAATCTAGAAGAATTCTCTAGATTACCAGGTAGAGACTCTTCTTCTCTTCCCTTAAATTCTCCCAAAGAGTTTCTCTCTCTGTGCTGAGATACCTGGAGCTGGGGAAGGGGTGACACAAGTATCCCTGTGGCCACCACCACTGGGATTGCACTGGGTCAAACTTGAAGCCAGCACACCACTGGGTCTTGCCCTAGGCCTGCTGTAACCACTACCTGGCTACTGCCTATGTTTGCTGAAGGCCCTAGGGCTCTACACTCAGCAGGTGGTGAAGCCAGTCAAACTTGTATACTCCCCTTAAGAGCGGTGAGTTCCCTTGGGCCTTGGATGGGTCCAAAGATGCTGTCCAGGGTTCAGAGCCTTAGAAATCTACCTGGTGCTCTATTCTACTGTGGCTGAGCTGGCACCAAATCCACTGGAACGAGTCTTTTCCACTCTTCCCTCTCCTTTCCCCAGCAGGCAGAGGAGTCTCTCCTCATGCACCACTACAGGCCCATGGGGAGCAGTGCTAGGATACTGCGGATGTTCATTTAAGGCCCAAGGCTGTTCAGTCAGCTTGTGTTGAATGCTCTCAAGCCTGGGACTCACCCTTCAGGGCAGTGGGTTCCCCTCTGGCCCAGGATAGGTCTAGAGATGCTGTTCAAGAACTGAAGTTTGGAATCAGGGACCCCAAGAGCCTGGTTGGTGCTCTTCCCCACTGTAGCGAAGCTGGTACCTAAGCTCCAGACAGAGTCCTCTTTATTCTTTCCTCTGCTTTTCTCAAGCAGAAGGGTTCTCTCCTCGTAGCGACCACAGCTGTGAATGTGCGGGGTCACAACTGAAGCCAGCATGTCCGAGTCTAACCCAAGGCCCTCAGTATGTACTACCTGATTACCACTGCTGATTATTCAGGGCTCAAGGGCTCTTTAGTCAGCAGATGATAAATCCTATCAGGAATAGGACCTTCCCTTCAAGGTAGCGGGCTCCCTTCTGGCCTAGGGTGTGTCTAGAAATGTTGTTTAGGAGCTAGGCCCTAGAATGGGGGCTTCATGACTCTGCCCAGTGCCCTATCTTTCTGTAGCTGTGCTCATATCCAAGTTGCAAAACAAAGTCTTCTTTACTCTTTCCTCTCCTCTCCTCAAGCAGAAGGAAGGGGTCACTTTTGGAGCTGTGAGCTGTACTACCTAGTTTTGGGGGAGAGGTGATGCAAGCACTCCCTTAGCCACCTCAGCTGGTGTCTCATTAGGTCGTGTGCTCCTCAGGTCCTTTGGCTCTGAGCCCAGCACAGCACTAGAAGTCATCTAGGAGTTGTACTCTTTATGGCCTAGACAGTCTTTCAAGTTAATTTAGGGCTCAGAGCACGTTAGCCTGCGGTGACAAGGCTTGCTGAAATTCAAGTTCTGACCAGTGGAGTGGGCGATTCCCCTCTGGCTAGGGTTGATCTAAATCATCCCTCCTTGGGCCCTGGCTGAGTTCTGCCCAGTGTTGGCAGTACTGCATTCCAGTGCAAAATCTCACAATCAATGCACTCTCCCTTCCTTAAGCACACAGATTCTCTCTCTGTGCCACACAGCTGACCACTGGCAGGGGAATGGGGAGGGATGGTGTTGGCAATTCAAAACTGTCTTTCCTACCCTCTCCAGTGCCTCTTTGAGTGATATGAAGTTAAAACCAGGTACTGTGAAATTAGTTGGGCATAATGGTGGGTGCCTGTAATCCTAGCTACTCAGGAGGCTGAGGCACAAGAATTGCTTGAACTTGGCAGGTGAAGGTTGCAGTGAGCTGAGATTGCAGCACTGCACTCCAGTCTGGGTGACAGAGTAAGACTCTGTCTCAAAACAAAAACATAAAACAGGTAGTGTGATTGCTCACCTGATTTTTTTTTTTTTTTTTAGACAGAGTCTTGCTCTGTTGTCCACGCTGGAATGCAGTGGCGTAATCTTGGCTCACCGCAACCTCCGCCTCCCCAGTTCAAGTGATTCTCATGCCTCGGCCTCCTGAGTAGCTGGGATTTATAGGCACATGCCACCACACCCGGCTAATTTTTGTATTTTTTTTTTTTAGTAGAGACGAGGTCTCACTATGTTGGCCAGGCTGGTCTCAAAACTCCTGACCTCAAGTGATCCGCCCACCTTGGCATCCCAAAGTTCTGGGATTACAGGTGTGAGCCACCACACCCGGCTGATTTTTGGTTCTTATGAAGGTGCTTTTTTGTGTAAATAGTTGTTAAATTTGGTGTTCCTGTGGGGGATGACAATCAGTAAACGCTTCTATTCTGCAACCTTGGTCTGCCTCCTCCCCTGCTTGCATTTTTTCTGATAAGAAATTTGCATGTATGTAGTTTTTTTCTAACTACTTTTAAGATTTTTCCCTTGGCTGGGTGCGTTGGCTCACGCCTGTAATCCCAGCACTTTGGGAGGCCAAGATGGGTGGATCCCCTGAAATCAGGAGTTCGAGACTAGCCTGACCAACATGGTGAAACCCCGTCTCTACTAAAAATACAAAAATTAGCCGGGTGTGGTGGCGCGTGCCTGTAATCCCAGCTACTCTGGAGGCTGAGGCAGGAGAATTGATTGAACCCAAGAAGTGGAGGTTGCAGTGAGCGGAGATCGCACCATTGCACTCTAGCCTGGGCAACAAGAGCAAAACTCTGTCTCAAAAAAAAAAAAAAATTGGGAGGCCGAGGCGGGCAGATCACGAGGTCAGGAGATCGAAACCATCCTGGCTAACACGGTGAAACCCTGTCTATACTAAAAATACAAAAAATTAGCCGGGCGCGGTAGTGGGCACCTGTAGTCCCAGCTACTGGGGCGGCTGAGGCAGGAGAATGGCACGAACCTGGGAGGCGGAGCTTGCAGTGAGCCGAGATCACGCCACTGCACTCCAGCCTGGGTGACAGAGCGAGACTCTGTTTAAAAAAAAAAAAAAGATTTTTCTCTTTATCACCAGTTTTGAGCACATTGACTATGATATGTGTTGGTGTTGTTTTCTTCATGTTGGGATTCATGAAGCTTCTTGTATCTGTGACTTTGTAGTTTTATCAAATTTATAAATTTTATAAAATTCACCCAAATTTTAGCCATTACTTCTTCAAATATTTTTATGTCCCCATCTCTCCTACCTTTTGGGAACTCCAGTTGCATGTATATTAGGCTGCTTACAACTCATGGATGCTCTTCTCTGTGTTTCATCTTGGATATTTTGTGTTGATGTCTTCAAGTTCACTCATCTTTTCTTCTGCAGTATCTACTTTGCCGTTAATCCCAGCAATGTATTTTTATCTCAGATTTTATAGTTTTAATCTCTAGAAGTTTGATAAGAGTCTTCAAAAAATATCTTTCATGTATTTACTTAACTTTTGAACATATATAATATAGTTGTAATGATTATTTTTTATGTCATTGACTGTGAATTCTAACAGATGGATCAGTTCTGGGTCAGTTTATCTTGACTGATCTTTCTCCTCACCAAGGGTCAGTTTTCCTGTTTCTTGGTATCTATCTTTGATTGTATGCCAGACATTGTCAATTTCAGCATATTGAGTGCTGGGCATTTTTACATTCCTACTAATATTTTTGAGCTTTATTTTGGGATGTAGTTGAGTTTATTGGAAACAGCCCTCTGTTACATACCTGCCCTTCGTTCATAAACTTATATAGTCACTCTCTGCTTCTCCATATTGGGCCACTGGGTGCACCTTCCAAGATGGTAGCTTTTCTTGGTTATTCAGAATCCCTTACAGGTAAGAACTCAGGTTTTAACAGGAAGATCTTTCCTTTTCTTCACTGAGCTTTCTCCTCCTAAAACACTACAACTACTGACCAATAGAAGAGAAGCTCCTTTGTAGGTCATTTATTCTTTCAGAGTTTCTCTTTTGTTTCTAGGCATCAGCCTTCTTCCATTCCAGGTAGACTGCTATGTTTCTTTCTCTTTCTTTTCCCACACCTTCTTTCCTTCCCCTCACCTCACCCCACCACCGCCCCCCTTTATTTTTTAGAGACAGGGTCTGATTCTGTCACCCAGGCTGGAGTGCAGTGGCGTGATCATTGTTCACCACAGCCTTGAACTCCTGGGCCCAAGCAATCCTGTTGCCTCAGCCTCCCAAGTAGCTGGGACCACAGATGGTGCCACAATGCCTGGCTAATTTAAAACAAATTTTGTAGAGATAGAATCTCACTATGTTGTGCAGGCTTGTCCTGTCTCCAGCTCCCAAAGTGCTAGGATTACTAGCATGAGCCAGGATGCCCAGCCCTCTTCTTTCTTTTAAAACTTTAATTATGGAAAATTTTAAGCGTGCAAAGAAAAATAGACTGATACAATGAATTCCCATGTATCCATCCACAATCATCAACTTGTAAAACTTCAGTTTTCTAATGCTTCTGATTTGGGAACACTGGGAACTTGTTTTCAAGTTACATTAGAAATCATGCAGTAGGGAATGCACAACTTTTTTTATCTTGTCAGTCATATGGAAGGGACGCTTTCCCTTTGAGGTGGTTTATTATCCAGGTGAGGATGCATACGATATGAAAACTATCAGTCTCCAGTGATTTCCAGGGGTTACCACAGGCATCTCAAATATTCTTTTACTTTGTATTTTTTGTGTTTTGAGACAGGGTCTGGCTCTGTTGCTCAGGCTGAAATGCAATGGTGTGATCACGGCTTACTGCAGCCTCCAACTCCTCTGCTCAAACGATCCTCCCACCTCAGCCTCCCCAGAAGCTGGGACTACAGGGGCATGCCACCATGCCCAGCTAATTTTTGTGGGGTTTTTTTTTTGTGGAGATAGGGCCTTGCCATGTTACCCAGGCTGTTCTCAAACTCCTGGGCTCAAGCAGTCCTCCTGCCTCTGCCTCCCAAAGTGCTGGGATTACAGGCATGAGCCACTTTGTGTTTTATGCATAGTCCTTAAGTGCAGCCTGTAGCTTTCACTGTGTTTTGTTTATACTCTCTAGATGATTTGGGCCATATTTCATCTTTCATCTAGGTTTATATTCCTTGAATGTAATCACTAAGTTTTTTTCCTGTATACACACATACACTTATATGCCTATATATACATGAATATATACGTATACATACCTAGAATGCTCTTTCTATATCAACTATGCCAAGTGAATAAAAGCAAACTAGCATCATGTAGTAAGAGGCACCTGATAGAATCCTGGCATCACACCTCACTAGTTGGTGCAGCTTTTTAAAGGTTGCTAAAACTCTATGAGATTCAGTATTGTCATCTGCAAATTGAATAACACTACCTTCAAGATGATTGTTTGGATTAGAAATAATGCAAGTAGAGTGCTTATCACAGTGCCTGATGCACAGTACTAACGCAATAAGTGATATCTATTATGATTATGACAGATGCAGCATTGCTGTGAAAAGGATAGCAAAGAGTATTATCCCCAGGTCGGCTGACTAAACAGGCTCCGGATGGACTAAAACACTGACGAAAGTCACGTAAAGAGCCAGTGACAGATCTATAACCAAACTCATAAATGTCACATCCTAGACCCAGAGTCTCCTGTAAACATACCAAAATCTAATTTCTGCTTATATCTTTATGGGAGAATTCTATTTTCTAACAGAAATAAGACATTCTCAGCAGCTCATTTCAAGGGGATTTACTAAATTTATGATTCCAGGCATATAGTTTCAGGCTTTGTGCCTGAAACCATGTCCTTACATTTACAATCATATTTGAGGTGAGCCTATCAGACCAGTACAACCAAAACACCAGCTGTGATATTTTTACTGAGTTTATTTGTAGACAGGTTGGTTCTCAGAATCGTAGACTATTAGTGGACAGTTTGTAAACAGATGGAGAGAAGTGCTTCAAGAATTCACACAGAGAAAGGAATGTTAGGAGCCCTTCCTCCTTCTGTCTTTCTGTTCCTCTCTCTCTCACACACACATATTCCTTTTGATCTTTTACCCTCTAGGTTCTGGAGAGGTATACACACTTCTGTATTTTCTCCCCAAAGTGGAGAAATGGTTTTTCTCAGCTGTTTCCCTCCATATTTTACTGACTGATAAAAATATGTCATAGTTACAGCTATCATCTGCAGCTATTTAAAGGATGTAAGTTCTGCCTAAAAGGTAAAGGCAACTTCAAGCAAAAACAGTGAAAATTGTATAGAAGAAGCTTCCCTTTCTGTTCTAAACAGTTAGGTGAGAAAAGCGCTATTTGAAGCGGTTCTGGAAGGATGTACCTGTAACTATGGCCTACTGATATGACATCCCTTCTCACTCTGGATCACAATGTTACATTCTCCTTTTAGCAGGGATCGCCATAAGCAAGTTAGATCAAATCATGATGAATTACCTAGGAAAGAGTAAAAAACAGAGGCCATTGGAAACCCTTTCCTTCTTTAAAAACCCTTTCCTTCTTTATTGTTTCTTTAAAAAGAAACAATAAATCTTCTTTCTCTTAATCTTTTTGAAAACCCTATTCTTTCATTAAGCACAGGGCATGTTTGTGTCTCTACACCATTCCTGGTGCTTTACACATAGCAGGCACTCAGTAAATAATTATTTTTGATGCTGAATATATAAGTTGATACTAGTTGAGAATCTAGTATGTGACCTAACCTTGTTAGGTATGATATGATACGAGCTACTAAAGAGGTATAAGTCAAAAATCCTGGCTTTTATTAAGCTTGCACTCTAAATGGGGCCATAGCAATTTTGAGAAGAGTTTGGCTATTATTTCCTTGAGTGTTTTGGCTACCCCATTCTATTTCACTCCTTTTGGTACTCCAATTGTACTTACGTTAAATCTTTTGATAAGGGCCCACAGGTTCCTGAAGCTCTGTCAATTTTTTTTCCCATCTTTTTTCGCTCTGATCTTTAAATTAGATAATTTATCTATCTGTTAATCAATCTTCAAGTTCACTGACGCTTTCTTCTATATCTTTATTCTGCTGTTAAGCCCATTCAGTAATTTTTTTTTGGGGGGTGGGGGGGAACAGAGTCTTGCTTTGTCATGCATGCTGGAGTGCAGTGGCACAATCATAGCTCATTATAGCCTCGAGCTCCTGGGCTCAAGCAATGCTACTGCCTCAGCCTCCTGAATAGGACTGCAAGAACTACAGACATGTGCCACCATGCCCGGCTAATTTTTCAAAATTTGTTGTAGAGACTAGGTTTCTCTATGTCACCCAGACTAGTCTCAAACACCTGGCTTCAAGCAATCCTCCTGCCCCGTCTTTCCAAAATGCTTGGATTATAGGCATGAGCCATCATGCCTGGCCCCTATCTAGTAATTTTTAAATTTTAGATGTGTTTTTCAGTTCTATAATTTCTATTTAGTTATTTTTTAGAGTTTCTATTTACCTGCTGACAATTCCTATTTTTTCATTTATTAACAAGTGTATTTCCCAAGCGCATTTTCCTTTAAGTCCTTGAGCTTAGTTGTAATAATTGTTTCATATAACCCTGTCTACTAATTCCAATGTATGAATCATTTCAGGGTTGATCTTCATTGATTTTATTCTTTTTCTTGATATGAGTAGTGTCTTCCTGTTTCTTTGAATATTGAATAATTTTGAACTGTATCCTGAACATTGTCAATACATTGCAGAGATTCTGAGTTCTGCTATGTTTCTCTGAAGAGTATTTTTCTTCTTTTTTTTAATGGTAGGCAGTTAACTTGGCTGAATTCAAATGCTAAACTTTATCTTCCCTGCTGTGAGTGGTAGCTCACATTTCTGCTCAGGTCTTTTATTCTTCAAGTCTGACTCACACACATGTGGTTCCAGCATCAGCTGGACAGTTGGTCAGAATTTATATACACAATTTGGGGCTCCCCCTTTCTGGCCCTCTCCCTTTCAGGATTTCCCCCACTTTGCTTTCCAGCATCTATATTTCCCTCACATCCCATCCTTTGGTTCACACCAGTAAGACTTTGGTTTTTTTTTCTGACTTTTAGCTGCCCTGCATAGTGCCATTTGGGGGCTTTCCCTCAGGATAAAAGCCGTAAAAATGGGATGCTCCCTTAGTGCTTTTCCCCTCTTTCAAATGTCCACTCCCCTCCAGCATCTACCTACTTTCGGTTGCTCTTTTGTGACTTTAGAAAGATGTTTTTATTTTCTGTCCAGAGCTCACTGTTGTTATCTGTGAGAACATTGGTCTGATAGGAGCTATTAATACATGGCCATGACTGGGAGCAGGTGTCTTAGTCCATTTGGGCTGCTGTAACAAAACACCATAGACTGGGCAGCTTGTAAACAACAAACATTGATTTTTCGGTGCTGGAGGCTGGGAAGTCCAAAGTCAATATGCCAGCAGCTTTGGTGTCTTGTGAGAGCCTGATTTCTTGTAGATGGTGTCTTCTTGCTGGGTCCTCACGTGTTGAAAGGGGGCAAGGCAGTTCTTGGCACTAATCCCATTGATGAGGACCCCACCCTCATGACCTAATTGCCTAATCGTCACACTAGGGATTAAGTTTTCAACATATGTATTTCAGTGGGACACAAACATTCAGATCATAGCAATAGGTATGTAGGACCAAAAAAATAGGGACAAGTAAGCAAGTTACTATCAAAGACTCAGACAAAAGCATTTAGAAGAGAAAGCAACTTTATTTGTAGTGAGTGTTGCAAGGGAATCCAGGCTTTAGAAAGACAGGCTCATCCAATAAAAAATGCAACAAGTATTTAAAGGAAAAAATTACCAAATCACTGAGTTTACTGTTTATGGTGGAAAACCGGTGTTTTTCTTGTGTGATATTAATATTTACAAAGGTTGAGACATATCTTCAGGCATTAGCATTGCAAAAGTTAGGGATAGAGATGTTTTTGTTAGGGAGTCACTACAGGAATGGTTCAGGGTTTCATATTTTGGGGACTAGAATTATAGAGAGTAATCCTGGTTTTTGTGTTTTGTTTTGTCTCTGGGTGCAAAGTGGTTTTCTCCCTCTGCTCCCCCATGGGATGTGGCCCAGGAGGGTATTAGTTTAGTCGTGTTTTCACAGTTTTTCTTTATGGTCAAGTTCTTTTCTCGCATGCAGATTTGACCTCCTAAATTGTTTTGAGATTTTTCTGATTCCCTATAACTCATTTGAAATTTTGTTTTATTTACATCATGTATAAGAGATGTTAATACACCAATACATCCTTGTTACAGACTTCAAAAACCAGAGCCTTCTGGTTTGAGACTTAACTTGTAAATCCTCCATATCTGTAATGTACTTTTATGTGTCACATTATTTTATGGCCTGTTAAAAGAGAAACTTCAGCGGAATTAAATTTAAAGGAGTTTAACTGAGCAATGAATGATTTGCGAATCGGGCAGCTCCCAGAATCACAGCAGGTTCAGAGAGACTCCAGGGATGCCTCATGGTCAGAACAAATTTAAGACAAAAAAAAGAGAAATGACATACAGAAATTGGCAGTGAAGTACAGAAACAGCTGGATTGGCTATGGGTTGGCATTTGCCTTATTTGAACACAGTTTAAACACTTAGCAGTCTATGAGTGGTTGAAGTATGGCCACTGGGATTGGCCAAGACTCAGCTATTGTTACAGGCGCATACTCCTAAGTTAGGTTCTCAATCTTGTCTGCCTATTACAAGGTTACAGTTTGTCCACAAGTACTCAAATATAGAAATACGGAGTCCTTCTCAGGCCATATTTAGTTTGCTTTAACAGGCCCTTATTAGTGTATTTACTGAGCTGAGGAACAAAAACCATCCAGTTTGCTTCTATGAGGTTTCGTTTGTCTGAGACCCCTCCAAATTAGTCATTTTCCTAACTTGCTAGGCAATTCTTTACTATCTGTAAAGCTGATATTCCATAAACCACAGAATAAGTTCCAGGGCAGTTTTCTGGGAATGGTGTGCTGGAACCGGCTCATACTGGCTTGCAAGAACTGATTGTTAAATTTGTAGGAATTTTGTAAGCTGCTTGTTAAACATGGCCATTATGAGAAACTAAACTTTATGATATACAATTAAATAAATTATGTTTAAAACAATGGCAATAAATACTCAAAACTTATCTCTTACTAATTATTGTATGGCAGTTTATTTTTATCTATGCTCTTAAGCTTATTTGCATCTATTAAATAAATTCATTTATTTACTTTATTTTTTATTTATTTATTTTTTTTGAGACAGAGTCTCACTCTGTCACCCAGGCTGGAGTGCAGTGGCACAATCTCAGCTCACTGCAACCTCTGCCTCCCGGGTTCAAGCAATTCTCCTGCCTCAGCCTCCCAAGTAGCAGGGAACTACAGGTGCCAACCATCATGCCTGGCTAATTTTTGTATTTTTTAGTAGAGATGGGGTTTCACCATGTTGCCCAGACTGGTCTCGAACTCCTGACCTCAAGTGACTCTCCCACCTCGGCCTCCCAGAGTACTGGGATTATAGGCATGAGCCACTGCACCTGGCCCATTTATTTACTTTATTTTTATTTTTGTAGAGACAAGATCTTGCTATATTGCCCAGAGACTGTTCTTGAACTCCTGGCCTCAAATGATCCTCTTATCTTGGCCTCTCAAAGTGCTGGGACTGTGGGCATGAGCTGCTGTGCCTGGCCTCTCTGCATCTATTGCATTTATTTATTTAATGATTCTTCATCATTCAACTTGAATATTGCATCTTTATGGTGGAAATACTTTATAATGGTGTGCCATTTCATGTCTTCTCAACTCCACATTCAGTGATGTCATGTTAACATTGGCCATGACAGGAATATTTATGCCACAGAAATTGGCAAATGCAACAACACAGTGTGTTTTTTTCCTTTGCAGAGCTGGTTGTTAAACACTTACCGACACATTACTGTGTGTAGGCATTCCTCCCCAACCTGTAAAGCATAGTTCTTGTTCCTTAAAAGTGGCTTGTCATATCTAATTAAATGAGATTTGGGTCTTGGTTATTGTTGCAAATTTGATTTATTCAGTTTAATCTTACAGGAAAGAGGATGGATTTTTATTGAGCCTAAGTAAATAACCTACATGACGTAAAGGTGAAGGAACTGAATAAAAGCACTTTGAATAATATTTAACCATTGTTGCCATGGTTTTGGGTAGTTTATAGATAAAATCTATTAATATATTCTACATAATCATTATTGTTTGAAGTTTTTCCTTTCAATTTTCTAGTTTAACATATATACAAAGAATTTTAATAAGAAGATTTTATTTTGCTGATCTTGGGGTAGACAGTCTGCTTTCTTGAAGTCATCTCTTTCTGTGCTAGACATCCTGGAAGGCCTGAGTCCCCAGTATAGAGTCACAGGTGTCTGTGGTAATAACATCAGCTCCTGCTCAAAAGCCTGTGCTCCGAGTCTACCTGTTACAGTTTTTATTGCATATTTTTTTGACGTTTCTTCAAAAAGTTCCCATTTTATTTCTGAGTTTGTAACAGAGGCTTTTAGGCAAGTATGAGAGAAAAGCAGGCACCATCTGTTGATAGTAAGACTGAATGACTTTGGCTATTTTACTATAATCACCAACAATATCAGAATGGAGGACAGTGATCCATGGAATCCATTTATAAGGATTGAGTCAACGATTTCCCTGGAGAGTGAGGGCATTGACCCAGGGTCTTTAATCATCCCTTGAAATCTTGTTTTATTTGTCACCAGTTGACAAAGGTACTTTAAGCCTAGAAACAAAATTTTCCTTCTTTTTATTTTTTGTTTTTTAAAGAAATCCATTTGTTGGAAGTTATTTGGCTAGTCTTTGTATATAAACTTGATATGGTGGGTAAGTAGGGTAGGTGACTGATTCGTGTAATATATATGCGGAAATTTTAAATTTGCAGAACATAAAGGAAGTTTGCAAGTCATTTTTTGGCTTTTAAAGTTGTCTTTAGCAAACCAAAAGGTCAGGGAAACCTACCTGGGGCGCTGAACGTTTGTGTGTGTGTGTTAATAGGTGTGTTTATGATGTTTTGGGAGTGGGGTAGGGAGACCTAGTGTGCTTCTTTAAATGTAGTTTCAACCTACCCCGAGGGCTCAAGGAAGGGGTGTGATTGCTGTTAGCAAAAATTATGAAAAGTAAACACCTGGGAGTGGCAGAGAGGGGAGCAGGTGGTTTCCAGTACAGAACAAAGCACAAAGTTGAGACGTCCCAATGAGTTGCAAGGTTTATCAAAGTGACTTGTTTCAGTTACAGTAAAAAGTATTGGAATTTGGGGATGATTTGCTTTTACCATATCTTGTAGATAATTCAGGTCACTCTCATTCAGTGGTACTCCCAAAAGCACATGGGAGAAACAAAGGTAGGAATCAAGCTGTTTGTGTAGGTTGGAGGTGAGAAGAATGGCAGGGGAGAGAGTGCGATTCCTTTCTCCTCTCACGCACCTGGAGGAGACTCAATAATTTCCTCTCCAGTCTGCAAAGGACAGCCCAGAGTCCCGTCATTAACACCACTTTGTGCTTATCACTGCCACAGAACCAATCGGGTATGTAAATTTGCTGCAGTACTGCAGCATTTTAACTGACAATACACTTGAAGGTATTGATCTGATGAGAAAGGACAATGGAAGATCAGATGTGGTTCTTCAAATTAACTGCAAAATCAGTAATAATGTCTTTCAGTCTTTTAGCCTTAAAAGCCACCAGGGTCGATTTTTAAATATGTCTTATCACAGATGTCAGGTCAAAAGCTGTGGTAATATAATTTCTGAATATTTTATCAGCAGTGTTGGTATTTCACATCCCTTATTGATAAAATTGACTAAAGGAACCTTGAAACATTAGATCTTGTATAATTTTCATACAGGATTTCAGAAATCACAGAGCCTCTCAACGTGCTATCTAGTCCAAGGGAGTAGAATTAACTAATTCTGCTCACATCTTTCTCAGCATGCTGGGTCCTCTTGATTTATCCCTGTGTCCTTCTAATGCTCTCAGACCAGTAGGCCCAGAGAATGTATGTCAGGCAGAAACCAGTGCTACATCTTGTGTTCCCCCTCAGCCTACATCTTGGAAGCAGGGAGGGGAGGATGATAGAGGAGACCAGAAGAAGTAACTGATTTATCAAGCCTGCTGCCTGACAGTCCTGATTTTTGAGTTCACATTCCTGCCAAATCTTTGCTTGTGGCTGAAGCCGTGTGATAACCAGCTTGATGGTACTAAATACTGGTTTCTGTAGTTTAACTTCTATGGTTCTTTCGGGGTTCCTTTTGCAGCCACTTTATCTTAAAGACCTCTTTGGGATTCTGCCCTAATCAAAACTGAATTCCAACTTCCACAGCTCCAATAACAGGTGGCCCAGGTCAGGGCCTGGTAAAGAGAGTATTTTTGAGCCCTGAGGTGCCCACCAGATTGATTCTGAACTGGACTCATGCCCAACGCCCTCTGGATCTTTGTCTCACAAAATCAGATTATTACACTAAAGTCTCTCAGATGTTTTTGGAGGGTTGTTTTGAAAGTGGCTTGCTTTCTTCTGCCCTCTCTGCCTACCTCCACTTTCCCCTATTCAGGGGCTGCGCCTGAGCCCCCCAAGCTGCTCCTTACCTGAATCTGGAGTACAGGACAAATACACACACATGTACTCATACACGCATGCACACATGCACACACACACACTCTCTACCAGTTCATGCCTTAGAGGCCTATCAGAACTGCCCCATAGTGAGAGTAGTTCCCGTGGTAGGCAGGGGAGACCTTCCTGAGACCCCTACCTGAGACTCATCAATTTTTTGGCTGTTCAATGAGCCTCCTCATGTAAGGACTTGAGACTACCTCACACAATGAGCCCAGTCCTGATCCCAGCCCCCTTCTCTCCCATGCCAAGGTATTGTCCTTCCTATGGCAGAAGGAGAGGGTCCCAGGACATGCCTTGTATATACCTTGAGTTTTGTCAATCCAATATGATTTTTTACTACAAGATCAATGGGAAGGTCTTGTATCCTTAACTACTTAAAAATTGGACTTGTTTCCTTCCTGGAAAAAAACGATGAATTCATTCGTTCATCAAATATTTATTGCCCTGCTAGGTGTCAGGCTAGGTGCTGGGGATACAAAGCTGAGCCAAAATAGTCTCTACTTTAATGGAGTGTTTGTGTAGCTGGGCATCAATATGAATGAATCACTCCATAGATGCAGTCTTACAGCAGTGGTGTCACAAAGACGCTGATGCAGCTGTGAGGGCTTAGAGGAGAGGATTTTACTGCTCCAAGGGGTCCTCCTGGAGGAAGTGATGCTGAGCTGAGATCCCAGGAGGAATGGGCATTCACCAGGGGAAGGGCATTTGCTATTGGAGAGAAGTGGCTGGAGGAGGGGGTCGGGGAGCAGCAGTCCATGTGCAAACTCTCTGGGCAAGAGGAGCGGGCTGAGTGTGGGCATCATGGCTCACTCCTATAATCCCATCACTTTGGGAGACTGAGGCAAGAGGAACCCTTGAGGCCAAGAGTTTGAGATCAGCCTGTGAACACAGTGAGACCCCATCTCTGCAAAACACAACAATGAAAAAGGCATCTGTGAGCTATCCGTGGGCAGAGAGAGCGCAACTAAGCAGTAAGATATGCTCTTTTCATGTGGAGTGAAACATAATCTGGGAAGTGAAAAATTATTCAAGATCTCATGTAGTGGCAGAGACTCAGCCCCTTGTCCTCCCAGCTGCACGAGTCTGTTGTCTCAGCCTCTCTGCCAGCCCAGCAGTTACTGAACAACTACATGTCGTTCTCAATACCCTAGAACTTCTGCTTCCTCAGGGCTGCTGCTTGCTGCCTCCTCTCTTGTGTCTCTTGGCTTATACCAACCACCATCCACTCGAGGAGGGTCTAATTGATCCATTCCTGCCTGAGGAGACTGTGGGGAGAACTTCCATGTCTGAGCACTTTCTGTGCTGCTGGCTGTCCCGTGGGCAGATGTCAACTCCAGTCCATTCAGCTCTGGCCCACCTAACTAGTGTTGCTGATGACACCCCTTCTGCTACCACCATCGCTCCTGCTGCTGCTGGGGCCTCCATGTTAGCCTGATACTAGGAGAGCAAGAAACTGAAGCCTCCTGATTTTCTCTTCCAGGTGGTATAGCAGTATGAGCACAGGCCAAGCAAGGCTGGCCTTGAGATGAGGAGGCCAGATGGTCCCTGAATCAGGGTGGTTTCAGCATGCCCAGGAAGGTGCTGCTGCTTCACAGACAGGTAGCGACTTATACTTAAGAAATTGTTTACAGTGAACAGGATGGGTCCCTTCCCTCAAAGAGCACTCCATGCAGTTGTGGAAACAGACTCAGTGTGACGGGTACAATACTACAGGTGGCATAGGATATCATGGTGGGAATACTGCAAATCCTTATTGAAAACAGGCATATTATAAATACCTTGTAATGAATGCAATACCATAGCTGATACTCATTTCTTTTAGACTTACCTATGTTTTCAGATATATAAAAACTCTAGGAATTCCCAAGGTAATTGAAAACATATGTCCACACAAAAACTTGTACAATAATGTTCATAGCAGCGTTATTCACAATAGCTGAAAGGGGGAAGCAACTCAAGTGTTCTTTGATGGATGAATGGATAAACAAAATGTGGTATATCCATACAATGGAATATTATGCAGCCATAAAAAGGAATGAAGTACTATTATATGCTACAACATGGATGACTCTTGAAAACATGCAGTGAAAGAAGCCAGTCACAAAAAAACTACATTTTATGATTCCATTAATATGAAATGTTCAAATAGGCAAATCTATAGAGACAGAAAGTAGAGGAGTGGTTGTCAGGGAGAGAGGCATAGGGAGGAATTGGGAGTGACTGCTAATAGGTACAAGATTTCTTCCTGGGGTGATGAAAATGTTCTAGAATTAGCTAGTGGTGATGTTTGCACAACATAGTGAATATACTAAAAACCACTGAACTGTATACTTTAACAAATGATAGATTTTATGTTTACTTTAAAAAATGATAGATTTTATGTTATGTGAATGATATGTTGATTTTTAAAGTCTAGGAATTAATCAATTATACTGTGATGGAATATGATATTTTAAGTCAGAAATTTACTTGTGGCATCATCTTCACTGTTCATCTGTAGAATCAGGAGAAGTGATGTTTCCTAGGTTGCTGTGAAGATTAGATAAGATAATGCATATGACAGACTTAGCTGCAAGAATATGGGTTGGGAACCCTTTGTTGTTATAGATGCATTTCTAAAGCAACTTTTTTTATGTGTTGCTGTTTGTTGGAGCCCTCCAGGAGGATCTTGGCACTGAGAGAAATCCCTAAACTAGAGTCATGGCTGAAGAGTGCTGAACACTTCCTGCACTGCTGGCTGTATGGTGGTCAGATGCTCCTGACTATGACCCTGCAGTGAAGCCCGGATCTGGGCAAAACTGAGAAGTAGTTGACACTTGCATCTCTTTCCTGACTGTCTTTTCTGGCCTGGTAGTCTTTTGGGTTATAATTCAGCATCTCTTCCATCTGCATGTCTCAAGTGATTAGTATTTTCCAAAGTGAGCTCATCACATTAATCATATTAGGGTATGAGCAGCCCTTTTAAGCTGTATTTGTATCTTACAGGAAGACCAGAAAAGCTCAGAAGGAGGAAGAATCTTCAGGCACTGTGCAAAGGGAGGGCAGGGAGAGGGGGAAGTTATTCTGCAGCAGCAGTGCCTTCCTGGGCATCCTGAAACCACCCTGATTCAGGGCCCATCTGGCCTCCTCATCTCAAGGCCAGTCTTGCTTGGCCTGTGCTCACTGCTGCCACTGCAATGCCATCTGGAAGAGAAAATCAGGACAATGGCTTCAGTTTCTTGCTCTCTTAGGATTAGGCTAACATGGAGGCCCCAGCAGCCCCAGCAAAAGCAGCAGTGATGGTGGTGGCGGTAGGGGTGTCATTAGCAACACTAATGAATCACTGCTGGGCCCGGTTCTCTTCTCTGACTCAGCTTGAAACTTCTTTCAGTTAACAGGAAGCCAGTAACCAGTAAAGTCAAAAGCTTATATGCAACTCTCTGGATTGGAAACCACTGGGGTGTTTTTTAAGCTTCTATTTCTAAAATAAGAAGGGAAACCAATGGACAGAAGCTTCCCTGTCTTCTTTGATGCAGATAAACTATGTTGGTAGAGGGTGATTGTGAGCTGGGGCCCTTGTTTCTTATGAAACTAAAAAATTCTACATGAGTTTACAAAAACAGGAAGCTGGCAGTGAAAGCTATTGGAATTATGTAAATGAAACAGTCAGTTTGGAATGCAGGTGGGAGTGTGCCTGTGGGAAAGAATGGAGAATGCATCAGAACACGGGCAGCCAGGTTACCATGCGCTGCTTCAGCACAGGGGAAGATGCGGGGGGCAAGGAACCTTCACTGCCCTGGCGTCATCAGCCCAGTGCTGCAACAGTGCAGCAGAAAGGGCAGCGGGGAAAGGCGACAGGAAGAGGAATCAAGACACTTACATTGCTCTAGGAGAGATTCGCATTTTTTTGTGGATCTGAGGATGGGAGCTCTGGGAGCTCTGGAGCCTCTTCCTGTCCGCAGGCACTGCAAAGCTTTAGCACACCAGTAGCTCCCCAGAGGGCTGGGAACCCATGCCAGGACTGGCACCCGCTCCGGGAAGGGGTGCTGGGAGTGCCATGATTTAGATCAGTGATTCACAAACTTTTGGTAGTGAAGACACTCCGTTAAAGCTTATTGTTTTGGGGTTGTATCCTACTCCCCGCCTTTTAAAAATGTTAGTTAAAAATTTAAATTAAAATGGACTTTGTTTTAAAATTAAAAATTTCCTGTTGTTTGAAGCTTCTATGACAACTGGGTAGCCTTCTGAGGTATTGTAATACAGTATTAGGATTTGGACTCTCTGCTGTATACACTAAGCTCTTAAGGGTGAAGGGCAGGCCATTGGTTCTGATAAGAAGAGAGGTTGCCATAGGTATCTCTGCTTTCTTACTCTTCCCCACTCCAGGCCATGTGGACATCTGGAGATATTTGATAAAATGTCCTTTACCAGCCGAGACTCATGACTAATCAATCGTTGTTTTTGTTGGTTTGCTTCTAATCCCTCTCCCTTCCAGTCTATCTTTCATCCTGCCATCAATTTCCTAAAACAGATTTGATGTGCCACCTCCCTCCTCAACAGTTTTCAATGGGATTTCCTACTGCCTGCATAAAGTCTAATGCCTTAGAATGGGGCAAGGAAAGCCTTTCATGATTTAACCCTCTAATACCTTTCTAGTTTCAATTTTTTATAACTCTCTATTTCGGGTCATTTTTTGAACATCAAGAAACTGAAAAGCATAGCTCAACTGCCTTATACAATACACGCCGTTATTTGCTTCTGGGACAAAAGAAGTCTAGAGTCAGCTGACTGGGCACTGTGGCTCACACCTGTAATCCCAGCACTTTGGGAGGCTGAGGCAGGAGGATCGCTTGAGGCCAGGAGTTCAAGACCAGCCTGGGCAACATAGCGACATCCTATCTCTACCAAAAAAAAAAAAAGAAAAAAGAAAAGAAAAAGAAATCTAGTGTCAGAGTGGGGCTTTGGGTAAGGCTCAACAATTCCCCAAGGATCTAATTCCTTTCTTTCTTTTTTCTTTTTTCTTTTTGAGACAGGATCTTACTGTGTCTCCTAGGCTGAAGTGTAGTGGCACAATCATGGCTCACTGTAGCCTTGACCTCCTGGGCTCAAGTGATCCTCCCACCTCAGCCTCCTTAGTAGCTGGGACTACAGGCCTGCACCATCAAGCCTGACTAATTAAAACAATTTTTTTTTTTTATAGAGATAGTGTCTCCTTATGTTGCTCAGACTGGTCTCTTGAACTCCTGGTCTCAAGTCATCCTCCCACCTCAGCCTCCCAAAGTGCTGTGATTACAAACTGAGCCACTGTGCCTGGCCACAATTTCTTCCTAATTCTCATGGTCCCAAAATGGTTGCCAGCAGCCTTCATCTCATGTCTCTAAAGAAAGAATGACTTGGCTGGTGCAACAGTTCATGCCTGTAATCCCAGCACTTTGGGAGGCCGAGGCAGGCAGATAGCTTGAACTCAGGAGTTGGAAACCAGCCTGGCCAACATGACGAAACTCTATCTCTACCAAAAATACAAAAACTTAGTCAGGCTTGGTGGCATGCATCTGTGGTCCCAGCTGCTTGGGAGGCTGAGGAGGGAGGATGGCTTGAACTCAGGGGGCGGAGGTTGCAGTGAGGCGAGATTGTGCCACTGCACTCCAACCTGCTGGGCGACAGAGTGAGACAAAAAAGCAAAGAAAAAAAAAAAAGAATGACTTTTCCCCAGCATTCATGACTGATCTTTAATCTGAGTAGACTTGTTTCTGACGTACATCTGCCCCTGCACCAACCCCAGTCGCCAGTGGGCTGGGATGTGCTGAGTGGCTACCTGCTGCACGATTTCCCTTGACCTCAAGACTCCCCACAATGCAGTGGATGCCTAAGTGGACAATGAGGCTGCTAGGATGGAAGAAGGGGGGCTGGAACCCGAGGAAGCAGCCGGCATCTGTGCATTCCACACACCCTGCACCATCACATCTCCATGCCTCCCCTTCTGCCACTTCCTGGAACCTACCATCTGCTTCCACTGATCAGAGCCCTGCTTATGCTTCAAAGCCTTGCTCGTGGGCCACCTCTGCTGCTGTGCCTCTTCTGTTCTGGAAACAGTAATCTTTTTTTTCATCTCTCTACTCTCTAAAGCATATCATGTTTCTATCTCATGTGCATTTACTAATTCTGCTTTGTTTTATGTCCACTTGTTTGTATATTTGACTCCTATATTGAACAGAAAGACACTTGAGGTAGGCGGAGTCATACTTTGTTCATTGTAGGGGTTTAAGAGTGTTGAATAAATGGTCATGGGCAATAATACTATCATTATTGAGAGCTTACTGGGTGAAAGGCACTTTGTAAAGAATTCTTCTCATAATTTTATTTAATCTCATTTAATCTTGACAACAGCACCATGAGGCAGATACTATTATTATTGTATCCAGTTTACAGATGAGGGTCCTGGAGCTTAGAGTGATATAAGCGAATTGCCCAAGGTCACATGCTCAGCAGACAGCAGCATAGGCTTGAACCTATATATATATATATATATATTTTTTTTTTTTAACCCCAGAGTTCATGTTCTTAATCATGATAATGTTTTATACAGAATTTTTTTTTTTTTTGGAGATGGAATCTCGCTCTGTCGCCCAGGCTGGAGTGCAGTGGCGCGATCTCGGCTCACTACAACCTCCGTCTCCCAGGTTCAAGCGATTTTCCTGTCTCAGCCTCTGGAGTAGCTGGGATTACAGGTGCGTGCCACCACGCCCAGCTAATTTTTTGTATTTTAGTAGAGACGGGGTTTTACTGTGTTGCCCAGGCTGGTCTCAAACTCCTGAGCTCAGGCAATCCACCTGCCTCGGCCTCCCAAAGTGCTAGGATTACAGGCGTGAGCCACTGCTTTATACAGAAATTTGTTTGTGACCAGCTACTTTCCTGGAAGAGGGGTCCCTGTTGGAGATGATTCTGTGGTGAGGAGGCTGGAGGAAGGTAGGGTGGAGGGGCAGAGGACCTGGAGGCTTCATGAGCAACTGGAGGGAGGTGCTGAAGAATGTGGGGAGGGCAGGTGAGCAGAGGATCCTCTGGGCCTTGTTCAGAATGGTTTGCCCAGAGGGGTCTTCCCTGAGGATACCACTTGTGGGCAGAACCCAGGAGTGCTGCAGATACGGCTCCCGGAGAGTGAAGCCCTGGTTTTCTTGGGGTCCTCAGAAACAGAGGGAATCAAGTCACTTTACTGGCCCAAGGGAATGGAAATTAGGGGCCGAAACAAACATCTACTGGGATAAAATAAGTGGTGTGAGTGAGATTGCAGCCAGAAATGATCTCTGTGAACGTAGCTGGTCAGCAGAAGTATCTCGTGATAGAGACTCCATGTGGACAGCATGGAGGAAAGAGGAGAAGGGCAGCCTTTGGAGCCGAAAGCCCAGCTCTCCTGAAAGGCACAGCCATGGAGCAAGAGCCGAAAGCCTTTTATTTGGAGGCTGGCCTATTTCTTTATCGCTAAACCCACTTTGCCTGTTTCCAGAGCCTCCTGGCTTGCATGAGCAGAACGAACAGCCTTCCTCCTGGTCTAGGCACTCTTGCACCAGTGTAACCTGCAGCGTGGGGAGGTGGATTGCCATTCCACCTCTAGAGTTAGGGAGGGCGGGGCCCGTGCCAGGGGAATGGAGTCCAGTAATTACTGAGCAACCCCCCTGCTTACATTCCCTGCCGAGTTCTACATAAACAATCAGCTGAAAAGACTGTCCCCTTTTCATAGTTTTCACCGCTGGGTGTTTTCAGAAGCAATTTAAACACTGGCAAACATAAAGGGAAGCTTTTATCCCTTCTCTAACCACTGAAAGGAAGCCGTGGATTTAAACACCATATGAATGGTGGGGAACAGAGCCCAGAGACATAAAAGGTGGAGGGAAGGGTGAGATGTTGAAAGCCTGTGAGTTGACAGGGGGTAGAACACAGGCTAAGGTGATGGGATCGGAGCTTTGGAGGGTGAGGGAGGAGGAGGAGGGAAGAAACAGCTGGGTGCCAACCCCAGAAGGGCAGAAGGAAGGCAAACAGCTCTCCCGGGGAGGGAGGGAGGGAGGGAGGTGGGGGCAGGGGCGGAGGAAACCTGGGAGACTTCTGCACGGATGAAGTCACCACCTTTTTGGGAGGAGGATGAGAAAGAAGATGGCCTTTAGTTTGTATTCAAATCCAATACACTATTTAGAACACAATGTACTAAATGTCATATACAATTTAATTGTGTGTAATTAAAATTCCTATCAGCTAGGGAGAGCCTGAGGCACGGGTGCTGCACTTGCTGAAAGCCAGGACCGCAGAGTGTTCCACATCTCCTTCCCTTGTCGGTCTTTTGGCCCTAATTCCTCTCTGTCTTTTCCTCCCTTGCTTCTGTCTTTGTTCCTCTTGTCTCTGTCACCCTCCCCCCTCTTATTTCCTTCTTCCTCCTGTTTTGACCCCACAGGCAGCCTGGACTCTCACTCTGAAACAGCCAGGTGGCTCCCCTGCAGGAGGAGGGCTGTCGCTGCTGTCTGCAACCCCACCGGGCCTCCCAGAGCCGAGGTGACAGCCTGGGCCTCGGGGAAGCCCGTGTCTCATGGGCGGTTGTCCAGCTGCTCAGGCCTGCACAGGGGCGGGTCCCCTCCTAATCTTATCCTCACACAACCCTGGCAACCGCACAGGGCTGCCTGGTGTTTAGCAAGGGGAGGTGGAGTGTGGTCCTCCCCCAGGAGAGGCAGCAGGCGACTTCCCTATTGAAAACACAGCTGTGGCAAGGGAGATAGACAGGAAACCCGACCCAGCCCTCTGGCAGGGATTGCCGTGGGAGTGCCAACTACTGTGGAATAACAGGCCCAGCCCTGCAGGCTCGGGCACGCTGTGCTGTAGGCCACAGCAACCACAGGCTCTGAGGCCTCTGGCCGCTCCAGGAGGGAGGGGTGCCGGGACAGAGACGCCCTCAGGCCTGGGAAGGCAAACTTGGAGGTGGGGTGGAGGGGACTTGAGGACTGGGTGATAAAACCTGGTTTAGTTATTAGTGGAGTTAAATTATTCATTTCCTTGCTCCCTTTAAGTCTCAGTTTCTTCATCTGAAAAATGGATACAGTACTTGCCCTACTTACTTAAACAGGCTGTTTTGAGGACTGTATGGATGATGCCTTCCCGAGTTAGACCTAGGTTCAAACCTGAAACCCTACTGTTGCCACATGTTAGCTGACCTTGGTCTCTGTTTTCTCACCTGGGAGGGACAAGACTACAACCTACTTCCTAGCACCCTGTTAAGGCTGGAATGAGCTAGTGTAGTGCCTGGTTTATTATAAATTTCTCAGTAAATGTTACCCATTGTCATCATCAAATGGGACAGTTTTGTGCAAGCATTTTGTAAACTATGGTGTGTTCTTTAAAAATGTAGGACATTATTCTTATGCAGACTGGCTGAAATTCTGGGCTCCAAGCGACATTTGGTAAAGGGATTCCTCTTCCAATTTCCTCTCCCCCTAAGAAAGTTCCCCTTTCCTCCTGCGGTCTTCTGGAGGCTTCAGCAGGAGACTGCTCCCATGACCCCCTCCCCTCCCCTCTCCTCCCCTCCTGTACCCACCTGCCTTCCATGTTTCCTCTAGAGCCCAGCTGAATTCCTCCAAGGAGTCATGTGTCACTAGTCCAACCCCACCTTAATCTTTTTCTGGGTTCTCCTGTGACTTAGTTGTAACTGGTCTTTGCATGCCGCTGCTTATAGATTCACACTGCTTGAGTTCAAAGCCCACATCTTAACTCTGTGACCTTGGGGTAAGTAATTTAACCTTGCTAGGCCTCAGTTTTCTTATCTGGGAAATGGGACATTGCAATAGCTATCTCATCAGGCTGTTTAGAGGATCAGATGAGACCCTGTTCCTGAGGTGGTCAGCATGATGCCTGACACATTGTAAGTGCTCAATGGAGGGCAAGTATGGCTTTTATGCCACTGAGTGTTTAATATGAACGTTTTTATTCCCTGACTTGAGTGTAAGCTCTTTATTATTTTCCCTTTCCCTCCCTCCCTCCCTCCCTCCCTCCCTCCCTCCCTCCCTTCCTTCCTTCCTTCCTTCCTTCCTTCCTTTCTTGTGAGAGACAGGTCAAGTGTAAGCTTTTAAAGAGTGGATTATGAGCCTAGGCAACATGGCCAAACTCTGTCTCTACAAAAAATACAAAAATTAGCCAGGTATGGTAGTGCGCGCCTGTAGTCCAGGAGGCTGAGGTGGGAGGATTGTTTGAGCCCGGGAAGTCAAGGCTTCAGTGAGCTGTGTTCATGCCACTGCACTGTAGCCGGGGTGACAAAGCAAGACCTTGTCTCAAAAAGGAAAAAAAAAAAAAAAAGTCTTTTTTGCCATATCATGAATTGTGGTATACACGTAGTGGGTACTCAGGTACCTTGAATACACTTTCCCCTTCATTTTGGTTAGGTTGTCTGTAAATCTGCAGAGTGACGTTACTTCACAATGATGACATATTACTTTTCTTTATTTTCACAGGGGAGAGAACTAATATTTTAGTAAACACTTATTTTTGCATCATGCTGAAAACTTTTACATATTATCTCCTTTAACTTTCACAGGAAAATCAAACCCCTAGGGTAGGTGTAATTATCCCCATTTTACCCACAAGAAAACTAGGGCTCAAAAAGATTGAGTAACTTGACTAGGATTACGTAGCTGCCAGAGCTGGAATTCAGACTCAGGTCTGTTTGACTCTAAGATCTTGTTTCATTTTATTTAGATTGTTTGTGCCTTTCAGTAACACTGTCTTTGTAGAGCAGATTCTAAACTTTAATTTTATTTACTGTTTATACCAACAGCATATGAACCATTGGCGTTCAATAAAATTGGTAAACTGCCAATTGATTACCAAAAAAATCTGGAGGTGCAAAGTCCTTTGAACAAGCCAAAGCTTTAACCGAAAATAGTACATTGATCCCTGTGACCTATTGCACTAAAAGTTTGGTTATTTCTCTTGAAATGATTGGCTTAAAGGCTTCATCTTGTTTGCCACTTTGGAAGTATACTCCCTCCCCTGCTCCCAGTTGGAAAGATTGCTCCCAAGACCCAAGCCTTTTTATTTTAAGGAATCTTGGTTTATACAATACTGAACAATTACGATCTTTCGAGAATGAATCTTTTGAAAATAGTGAATCTCTGAGGAATGAAATTCCTTTGTAACAAAGGCAGCTGAGTATTAAATAAACCAAAAAATCAGCAGTGAAGTGCTGTTGGTGTGTCACCAGGCCTGGGGCCACATTCCCATTCCTTACACTCATATGCACGCACACGCGCGCGCGCGCGCGCGCACACACACACACACACGGTCACTCCTCTTTGTCCCAGAACCGTGGGATGTAAAAGACTTCAGGCACAGTGATGAAGCTAGCACATTCCGTTTTTACTGTCTTCCCTCCTTCCTCCTTCAGCCTTGGCTTCTGCTCTGCCAGGCCCCAGGGCCCTGCTCGATGCCACCCTCCTGGCCCCAGTGCAGAGGATCTGCTGGCAGTCCCCGCTGCTCAGTGGAGTTTTAGTCTGCATGTTACTCTGTAGGGCGTGTGCAAGGAGGGGAGGATGAGTGAGAGCTGAGATTGCATCGTCCCTGTTCTAAGGGCTTCCCTGAAGTTAAACCTGATACAGCCCTTTTAGGGTAACAATGTGAGATCAGAAGGGCAGCCAACAAGCCACGTGTCTAGCAGCCACCCTTGGGAAATGGAGTTGCTTGCTTTTCCATTAGACCCTTCTCCATACTAGAACTTCACATATGTTAAGCAATTAGACCATGCCCAGAACTGGACTAGAGAGAAAGTGATCACATTTTAATTATCAACAAGCTCAGTATCTACACGTTGATGAGAAGTATTCATACTCATAAAAGAAGGAAGCACCAATTCTTTTTTTTTTTGAGACAGGGTCTCTGTCTCCCAGGCTGGAGTGTAGCAGTGTGATCACAGCTCACTGCAGCCTCAACTTCTTGGGGCTCAGGTGATCCTCCTACCTCAGCCTTCTGAGTAGCTGGGACCACAGGTGTGAGCCACCACACCTGGCTAATTTTTGTATTTTTTTGTAGAGACGGGGTTTCACCGTGTTGCCCAGGCTGGTCTCAAATTCCTGGGCTTGAGTGACCTGCTGGCCTCAGCTTCTCACAGTGCTGGGATTACAGGCATGAGCCACCATGCCCAGCCACCAGTTCTTATAAACGTATCAACATGTATGTATCCCTCCAGATCCAACAAACCAAATAGAGAATTGTAGCAACCCAGAAAAGAGCGGTGCACGAGGCCAGGTGTTGTTAAGACACAGACTTGGAGCCAGACAGATCGGGTTCAAATCTTGACTCTGTCACTTAATAGCAATGTGACCCTGGGCAAGTGTCCTCTCTGTGCCTCAGTTTTCTCATTTGTAAATGAGGATAATAATAGTGCCTATGTTCTGGGGTTTGTTCTGAGAATTACATTAAATGGGTTAATATTTTTAAGGTGATTAAAATAGTGCCTAGCACATCATAAATTCTATTTAATGTTTGCCAAATATATATGTGTATGCGATCTTTCTCTGGTGTATATGTATCCCCATGATGTTAGATGCTGCAGCCTGAGGGCCCATAGTTAAATCAAAATGCTTTTGAATATAACACAGTCTAAGCCCCAAAACTCACCTTCATCTCTGCTCTGTTATCAAGGGTGTCTGCAAGCAAGGGGTACCTGGTGTCTTGTCCTGTAGTTGGATTCTTGCTGAACTGCAGAAACCCCATAGACTTACCAGTGCGGGAGGCCAATTTATCTTTATACCTCAAGAGTTCAGGCTTCTTATTAAACTATGTATGTTCACATTTAGAGATATTTACTATGTGCAATGCACTGTGGTGATATGAAGATGAATAAGACTTAGTCCCTGCTCAGGAATGGTGTTTGTATTCCATATACAGGTTTGATACCTGAGGGCAAGGGGTTAAGCATTTCTGCATACGCTAGACAACTCCTCATTGTTTTATAGGCTTTTCTCTCTGAAAGCAAAGTCCATTTCCCTGAATATCAGGAGAGGGCCATCTGCCATGCCAGAGTAGTGAATGAGAGGTATTTCCATTTGAGACTGCTATTTTCTGGTATATGTATGTTTTGTGAGAATCTACTCCTGAAATGTATTTGGCAATAGATAAATTTATAAAATAGAAGCTAGGTGGCTTGAGATAAAACATGTCCTTCTCTTCTTTTCCCCACAAAGTTTTCCTTTCTCTCCAATCCTTCAGATATGTTTTTTTCTAGACAATGATCATTAAAGCCAGATGTGGGCCTTTTCAAACTCACAACATGGCACAGGCTCAGATCTGGGAGAGTTGTAAATTCTTCTGGCATTTGAAGGGGCAGGCTTTCCCAGTAAAGACAGAAATATTCGGACTAGCACAGTTGGATTTTATACTGTATTTGTCTGTGTCTTAATTGGAATTCCTAAGATGTGATTTTTAACTTAATGGTCAATGACTTAGGTTGCAGTCTGTAGAATGGGGCCATGGACCATTAGTTATACCCTGTGCAGGAACTCTTTATGATAAAATATTGCTGTAACTTTCTGTTAATCTTACTTCCAGTTCCTTCCTGCTTTATTCCATAAAACATCTTGCCCAGTTTAGTTTCCTAAGCATAGCTCTGATAAAATTACTCTCCTCATGAAACTTCAATGATATCCCATTACTTAGAGTATCAAATATATCTTTAATTCAACATTCTTCAAAATATAGTACAACTCTAACTTCCAGCTTCTCCCACTAATCATATATGGTTTGTCATAATCATATGGATATAAATGTATGTATATATGTATTCCTGTATTCTAGCCAATGAGACTTTGTTTATTAAACACGTGATATATGTGAGGTACAGTATTAGACCCTGGGGGGTTCAAAGATAACTACGATTTTTATTCTAAAGTAGTTTAGGGTTTAGTAGTAGAACTAGGCATTTGAGTAAAAGCTAGAGGTAAAATGTGTTATTAGATACTAAAAGAGAGAAGTTGCCTGTATCGTCTACTCCTGGGCAAACCTCATGGTAAAAAAAAAGCCCTGGCTGGGCATGGTGGCTCACGCTTGTAATCCCAACACTTTGGGAGGCCAAGGTGGGTGGATCACTCGAGGTCAGGAGTTCAAGACCAGCCTGGCCAACATGGTGAAACCCCATCTATACTAAAAATACAAAAATTAGCCTGGTGTGGTGGTACACATCTGTAATCCCAGCTACTCGGGAGGCTGAGACGCAAGAATTGCTTGAACCTGGGAGGTGGAGGTTTGCAGTGAGCTGAGATCATGCCAGTGCACTCCAGCCTGGGTGAGAGAGTGAAACCCTGAAGATAGAAAGACGAAAGGAAAGAAGAAGGGAAAGAAGAAAGGAAAGAAGAAAGGAAAGCCTGGGTGGTGGTTTGTTTACTGGCTGTGAGTCTTCCTCTCAGCTTCTCCTGTCTGTTCTGGCTCCATGCTTTCCTCCAGCTCACACATAATCTACCCTCACCAGAGACCCAGTGCCCAATCCATGCAGCCCCTTCTCCCTGGCCCACCCTCCTTGCCACAGGTCAGGCTCTTGCTGTCCTGTCCTCTGGACTCTTGTCATCTCCCAAGTACCCTGCCTGCCCCAAATAGCTGCCAGAGTGGTTTTTCTGCAAACCTCAATCTGATCATGTTACTCCCCAGGTGAGATCCTCCACAGCTCCCTCTTGGCTACAAGATTAATCCAAACAAAAAGAAGTGTGAGGTGCCAGGCTGGTGACGATGAGACCCATGCTCAGTCTCTGGCACCTCTGTGCCCCCCTCGCCTGAAGTCTGAGTGCATGCTGGGGTGGTGTCCAGGCCTGAGGAGCAATCCTGCAACCTCCTTCCCTCCTCAGAGCTGCAGGCGACAGTGTCAGTGTCTCCCAGGGGCGAGCCCCAGCTGTCCACCTAGAAAAAGGGCCCCAGAAAGTGGTGGTGTCTCCTCCTCAATGCTTTCCAGCCCTCGATGCACGAACCATAGAGGAAGCTCCTTTGGCTGCTGGTTTCTGGGCTTCAGGCCTTCCTTTTCTTAGTCTGCTTCCCGTGGGCTCCTAGCAGTGTGGACCTCGTGGCTCTACCGCTGGCCTGCACTTCTCATCCTGCCTTGTTTAAACTTGATAACTGAACTCTGGACTCCTCCCTCTTGACTCACTGAGGGAAGTCTATGGATGTTCCCCTTGGAACTGCCCCCGTGAGAGGCTCTGTTACTGGGAAGGGGGAGCAGAGGTAGAAGAAGCTGGAGGGGTCAGCGGGAGTCAGTTTGCCCCATTCCCCATGCAAAGGAGCTTAAACTTCATCCTCAGCTGATGGGCAGGCATGGAGTGTCAGTAGGGGCGCCCCGTGGTCAGCGTTGTGTTTTAAAACGATCACTATCAGCAGTCGGGAGCCAGGGAGGCCAGTTGGGAGACTCAGAATTGAGGTGGGTGACAGCAAGAACCAGAAACAAGGCTGGGCACATGGCTTATGGCTGTAATCCCAGCACTTTGGGAAGCTGAGAGCTGAGGCAGGAGGCTTATTTGAGGGCAGGAGTTTGAGGCTGTAGTGAGCCATGATCATGCCACTGCACTCCAGCCTGGGCAACAGAACAGGACCCTGTCTCAAAAAAAAAAAACAAAAAAAAAACAAAAAAAAGAAAGAACTAGAACCATATTAATGTCCTGGCCGGTCAATGCAGTCATTGACCTTGATGCTGTGGGGCTCAGGTAGGCAGGTAAGAGGAAACACAGAGGAGCCGGGTTCCAGGATGGCACAACCAGAGTTTACTGACTGATACTCCAAAGGGGGTTCTGGAGCACATACTCTCTGTCCTGGCTCAGCACACACCAGGCCTCCCTGGCACTGAGGTCTGATGGTAACAGGTTGTCCCCTTCCTCCCTGGCTTTGTCCTCTGGGAGAAGGGGCAAGGGGGAAAGGAGGAGAGTTGTTTCATTCCACCACAGGCCAGCACTGAACACAGCCTGGCTGGAGATGCAAAATGCAAGCCAGAGGATGTGGTTTGGGTTGTCCCTGAAAAAGATCTCTGTTTATGCATTGTAGGATATTTTCAGATGAGGCTTAATGTGAAGAAAGGGAGGCTGACCTCTCTGAAAGGCCTGCTTCTTAAAGGCACAGTGCATTACAGTATATCACGAGAAGAATGGGAGCGGCAGATGCTATAGGTTTCTTCTTTATCAGTGATGCCATCACAGTTGTGGTTAGGCCAGAGGGCTGCTTGTCGTTTCCAAGGCTCTATTCCCAATTCAGTCTGTAACTCATGGTGTGATGTTAGATAAGACACTTCATTTTCCCCAGACCCTATTTAATAATCTGTAAAATACTCCTCTATCTTTTAGGAGGTGACAAGAGGTGGAATTAATTTGTGTTTGTGAAGTGCTTTGAGGTCCCCAGACAAAAGCCACTATGTAAATAGCTGAGTATTCTCCACTTGGATTGAACCTGTGGGTTCATAGTCAGACCCGCATGTGATCACAAAGTGGGTAGACTGGTTTTCATGATTTCATATTCAGATCCTTGGAGGATACTTATTTCCTTTCAGTTTCTTTCCTTCTTTCTTCCTAAATAAAAATATTATTTACTAGGCCAGGTGTGGTGGCTCATGCCTGTAATCCTAGCATGTTGGGAGGCTGAGGTGGGAAGATCATTTGAGGCTGGTTTGCAACCAGACTGGGCAACATAGCGAGACTCCTTGCCTATAAAAAATTAAGAGATTACCTGGGTGTGGTGGCATACACCTGTAGTCCCAGTTATTCAGGAGGCTGAAGTAGGAGGATCCTTTGAGTTTAGGAGGGCGAGGCTGCAGTGAGCTATGATCATGCCACTGCACTCCAACCTGGGTGACAGGACAAACCCTATCTCAAACAAAACAAATTTAAGAAAATTTTTAAAAGTTTGGAGCTGGCCAGGCATGGTGGCTCATGCCTGTAATCCCAGCACTTTGGGAGGCTGAGGCGGGTGGATCACCTGAGGTCAGGAGTTCGAGACCAGCCTGACCAACATGGAGAAACCCCGTCTCTACTAAAAATACAAAATTAGCTGGGCGTGGTGGCGCATGCCTGTAATCCTAGCTACTAGGGAGGCTGAGGCAGGAGAATCGCTTGAACCCTGGAGGTGGAGGTTGCAGTGAGCCGAGATCGTGCCATTGCACTCCAGCCTGGGCAACAAGAGTGAAACACCGTCTCAAAAAAAAAAAAAAGTTTGGAGCTAAGAATGGGCATGGTGGCTCATGCCTGTGATCCTAGCACTTTGAGAGGCCAAGGCAGAGGATCGCTTGAGGTCAGGAATTTGAGACTAGCCTGGGCAAGAAAGTCAGACCCATCTCTACAGAAAATTAAAAAATTAGCGAGGCATGGTGGTGCACGCCTGTAGTTCTAGCTACTTGGGAGGCTGAGGGGGAAATCAGTTGAGCCCAGGTGTTTGAGGTTACAGTGAACTATGATGGTGCCTCTGCACTTCAGCTGAGGCAACAGAGTGAGACCTTGTTTCAAAAACAAAAAAGAAAAAATGGAGCTATACAGAAAATACAGTAATGAATAGCCAGGTACCCATCAACCAAAATGAACAAATGTTGACATTTTTTACATTTAACAATTTTTATTTGCATTTAAAAGTATTTTTATCTAACAACATACCATGAGGTATATGTGGGCTTTAAACCTTGTTTGTTTTTAAAATAAAAGAAAGAACACATTTGTATTTCCTTCATCCCACCCACCCTGCCACCCCTCCAGCCCATTTACCTTCCTCCAGCCCCTGAGGTGGCTATTGTCATGGGTACGTGCCCTCCCTGTTCATGTGTGGGCCCATGTGTGGGTGGGTGTAGTTTATCTTCCCACGTGTATAGGGGAACTAAGCTAAAAATGATGTGAGTGAACACAGAATGGAGTTCAGAGTCAAGCTGACCAGGGTTGGAGACCTGGCTCTCCCGCTTTTGGCCTCTGTCCTTTGGCCTCTTTGAACCTGTTTACCCATCTGCAACGTGGCAATTATTAGCTTACAGCATTGCTGTTAACACTGGAGATAATGGTAAAGTGGCTGGCTTAATAAATGGTAACTGACATTATTAACCATTTCTGTTTTTATCTCTTTTTCTAGATGGAAAGCCCTTTGAGAGCAGAGACCCTGCCCGCAGCCTGTGTCCCTTTGTATAATTTACAATTTGTGCTACCTAGCTTTTTTTTTAAACAGTGGATCTTGCTCTGTCACTCAGGCTGGAGTGCAGTGGTGTGATCACAGCTCACAGCAGCCTAAACCTTCCAGATTCAAGCAATCATCCCACTGAGTAGCTGGGACTATAGGCACATACCACCACACCTGGTTAATTTTTTTTTTTAATTTTTGTAGAGTTGGGGGTGGGGGTGGGGGTGGGAGGGGGGGGGTCTCTCTATGTTGCTCAGGCTGGTCTCGAACTCCTGGACTCAACTGATCCTCCTGCCTCAGCTTCCCAAAGTGCTGGGATTACAGGTGTGAGCCCCTGGGCCTGGCCAGCTTGTTTCTTGAGGAAATGATTGCAATGCCCGAGCCCCACTTCCCAGCCTCAGTTCAGATGCACGTAAGGGCTGTTGCAAAAGCTGTGTTCTCAGTGCACCTGGAGGACACGGGGAACCATTTGGCTGAGGACAGAAGCAGTGATGAGAAGAGGCCCTTCGAATTTTCCCCCGGGTTCTGCTGTTGTCTATTCAAGTTACACATTAATTCAATATAGTGGCATGAAGGAGGAGACACAGAGCTACTTCATGGGATCTGTCTTCTTAACAGTCATGCATTATGCATTGCTGTTGTTTCAGGTGCGTTTTTGCAAGACTGCGCACTCACACGACCATTGAGAGGCTCACTTTGCAGTGGCCCTCCCAGGCCCTCCGTGGTTGGGTGTCCGTCTTTGTCAGAAAAGGGCCAGCAGGGGGCACCAAACCCGCACGTTTCTGCCGGGAGAGGGCGTCTGGGTGAGCGACAGGGCCTGAGGCTCACGTTCCTTCCCTCCCTTTGCTGATATTTGGACATTTCTTTCTACAGTAGTTTTAGACTCCCACAGCGGCAAGGCAGAGAGCTTTCTTTATTAAAGCAACAAACAAACAAACAAACACCCTTCTCCTTCAAACCTCATCTCCAACAGCAGCAGAAACTGTCATCACAAAAAGCCACTTCATTCATCTTCTTTTGATTTGCATTTGTTCATCTTAAATCAGGGGCCAGAGACCAAGAGGTATAAAATGATCTACCTGAACTGAACTGGAACATACTTGTCTAAGTCCTATTGTTTGCTATAAGGGCCTTACGATATTTTAGTTTATACGCATGCAGGTTAAGAATAATCATAGAGTTTCAGACCTGGGCACTAGATAAATATCATCTAGCCAGGGTTTCTGAGTCCACAGTTACACTCCAGCCCCCAGTTTTTGACATCTAAATCTGCACACTAGCTATATTATTTGTTTAGTATTTTAATATCTACTCCTGTAAAACTTACATAAGTTGATTTTAAAAAGACCACCATCATAAATGGAAAATTGCTATTTTTCAAATACATATTAAGATAAAGAATTAACATTAAAATAAGCTGGGCATAATGGCTCACACCTGTAATCCCAGCACTTTGGGAGGCTGAGGTGGGCGGATCACTTGAAGCCAGGAGTTCAAGAACAGCCTGAGCAGTATAGCAAAATCCTGTCTCTACGAAAAATACAAAAATTAACTGGGTGTGGTGGTGCGAGCCTGTAGTCCCAGCCACTTGGGAGGGTGTGGTGGCAGGATCACCTGAGCCCAGGGAGGTTGAGGCTGCAGTGAGCCGTGGTCATGCCACCGCATTCCAGCCTTGGCGAGAGTGAGACCCTGTCTCAAAAAACAAACAACAAAAACAAAACCCCCATTAAAACAGAAGCCCCTTCTCTGCCTCCCATACTACCTTACACTCCTTTATTTTGCCTGTGTGGAGCCTAGGCCAGAGAAGTGACTTGAATTGCCCCACATCTTGGTGAGCTGCAGAGCTGAGATTTAGCTGGGTACCTGTTCCTCTCTGGCACATGGCCATGACTAGGAAGGAACAGTTTTGTTAAACCAGCAGGTCTTACTCTTTGGAATGATCTTTGACAAAGTTTTAGTAGGCAGTGCCCACTTTTAATGTTTTTAGTGTTTTTCCTACTGCTTCTGGAAGGTGAAAGCCAAGAACAGGAGGGTCTGGGCGGGGGTCTAGGCTATTTACAGTGGCATTGATTTGATTACCACTCTTTAGCAGTGAAAAGTGTTGAGTATGCACTCCCAGCAGATGTATGCTTATTTATGTGTACTTTTGTACATGCATGACTGTACCAATATATTATGCTCATTGTAAAGTATACACAAATATTAACTCAAAAAATGGTAAAGAAAAGGAAAGCAGTATTTTAAAATGTCTTGTTAACTGCAATGGTTTCATTACTGTTGTCAGCTAATATCTTGAGCACAATTACACTTAGGGTTAGATTCCTCATTAGCAGCAGCACGCACCAAGCCATGTTTCAAAGACTCTTTTGGTAATTTGAAAACTTTTTGGCTGGCCTGTGAGATCTGATTATATTGTCTTGTTTGCCCTTGAAATATGGCTAACAACTTGTCAGGTCTGCCTCTTTCTTGCTGTTCATCTTGTTTTGCATTATTACTTCAATCCACAGTTTCTTTTTTGAAAAAAGCTTAAGCCTCTTGCCCACTTTGGGGATAGTTAAACATGGGATCCTCTCTGTAGTTCCACTTACCCAGGCTTGTCTATAACAGGCCACATCATGCTGAACAAGAGCCGAGAAGTAGAATCGCCAGTGTCAAGCCGTCCACGTTGTGGGATGCCCACTGTTCCCCCAGGATCACTCAAGACCCTGTGACTTGTGGTCACTGATGAGTGGACCAAGTGAAGGTACGAAGGTCGTTGCTTAGAGTGAATATTAATAAAGCTTAGCTTATTATGTGTTTAATTGTATAAAAATAAATACATGAACATTTTAGTATTTTCTTCTTGTACCCTCTGGATTGTGTTTTATGACCCACAAATGTAGAGAAAAAAATCCATGAACTGCCCAGGCGCGGTGGCTTACCCCTGTAATCCCAGCACTTTGGGAGGCCGAGGTGGGCAGATCATGAGGTCAAGAGATAGAGACCATTCTAGCCAACATGGTGAAACCCTGTCTCTACTAAAAATACAAAAATTAGCTGGGCATGGTGGCACGTGCCTGTAGTCCCAGCTACTTGAGAGGCTGAGGCAGGAGAATCGATCGAACCAGGAGGCGGAGGTTGCAGTGAGCCGAGATTGTGCCACTGCATTCCCGCCTGGCGACAAACCGAGACTCTGTCTCAAAAAAAAAAAAAAAAAAAAAAAAAAAAATCCATGCACTTCGGCTTGGCACATAAAGCCCTTCACAGCTCAACTTACCTTGCTGACTTCCTAGTCAACTCCAGGTGCTACCACTGGGCCACATCTATGGGCTTCCCACGAGACTATGAACCTTAGAGGGCAGGTATGGCATCTTATTCATCCTTGTGTTTTCAAAGCCTAGCTCAATGCTAGAGATGAAAATTTCCTAGATCTCAAAGCAAAAGGGCTGCCATGAAGAGTCATGGGCTTTCTGCCTTTGGGGTTGGGCCTTTGCAAAGCCTCTGCATGCTCCAGGCAGTGGTGCTGGCCCTCCATGTCTCTGTAGGCCTCCCCAGACAGCCTGGCCCCTGCATGGGTCTGCACTGCAAGAGCAGATAAGCCATTCGGCGCCTGCCATGGACAGAACAGCGCTGAACAGATGGGGCAGATTGTAAACTTTGCAGCACGTTTTCTTACCCTCTGCCATCATCGCATCATCCCCGCCAGAAAATCTGTCTCTACGCAGTGCTAAGGACACACTCTTTCCTTGTGAGCCCTTCCTGGCCCCACTCTTGTTTTTTTTTGTTTTTAGGAGCTATAGGTATAAAGCCAGATGGCTTCACCCACTTCCCCAGCTCTGCTTCTGTTTCAGTGACAGGGAAATTAAGAACTGTTTTTAGGGGGTAGGGGAAGATTTCACCTGGATCCTGGAGATGGGGCATCTTGCATACTGTGATGTCCAGGTATGGCTGTTCTGGCTGTGGGATATGGTGTTTTTTGTTTGTTTGTTAGTTTTTTGGCATGTGTGTTTATCTCAGTTTCTTGCATTTTCCCCTATCTCTCTGCTCTCTTGACCTGATGGAGGTTGGCGGCGGTGGTGGGATGACCTCCATACTCCCATGGGGCAGTGCTGAGCACACCTTGGAGCAGGAGCCTGTTCTGCACACCCAATAGTGTGTGCAGAAATGCCAGCTGGGAGCCTATTTAACGGAGCCATTTCATAAATCGGGATGCTGAAACTCTGATTACACACAGCATTTTTGTAGGCTGCGGTGGGGCTGATCTCAACCCCACAGGGTTTACTCACCCGCCTGGAGTGGCGTTTGATGCCTCGCCTTCCAGGATGTTTCTCTCTGAGGGGAAAGATATTCCTTTTTTTGTAGTTTATTATTATTATTATTTCAGTAGTTTTGGGGGAGCAGGTGGTGTTTGGTTACATGGGTAAGTTCTTTAGTGGTGATTTCTGAGATTTTGATGCACCCATCACCTAAACAGTGTACACTGTACCCAGTGTGTAGTCTTTTATCCCTCACCCCCTCCCACCCTTCCCCCTAAATCCACATAGTCTATGATATCATTCTTATGCCTTTGCGTCCTTATAGCTTAACTCCCACCTGTGAGTGAGAACATACGATGTTTGGTTTTCCATTCCTGAGATACTTCACTTAGAATAACAGTCTCGATCCGGGTTGCTGCATTTGCCATTAGGGAAATATATTCTTGTCTTTTTTATTTCTGAGCAAATCTTTGCTGAGGAGAAACACTAGGATGTTATTACTGCCAACCCAGTGGAGGTGTTAATGCTGTGTGCTGGGCCTTGGGAATGATGGGGGTGCCTTGAGGAGGGTAAGGAATGCAGAATAGACCCTTTCATCATAAAGCTTGATAAACCGAGCGATCCTTTAGCAAGCGGCAGGACAGCATGCTTATGGTTCGCTACTGGAATTTGTAGACTGGATAATGGAGTGCTGTTCATTTCTAGTGCTTAGAGGTCTAAGGTTTATGTACCTTAGAGATGAATTCTCTAGATACCCTGGGGAGGCTTTAGCAGCAGAGCCGGCCCTCACCCGAGGTGGCCACAGACTGCAGCGATTCATGAACCTCGTACTTTATGATGCTCTACAGCTTTCTAAGCACTTTCAGATGCATTATTACTTCAATAAACATTAATTGAGTGCAAAATACTGGGGATGCCAGGCAGACTTGGTGCCTGCCTTCAGACCTTGTCTTATTTTTTATTTTTATTTATTTAGTTTTTT
The DNA here is from genome assembly GCF_000001405.40 of Homo sapiens. Classification (NCBI taxonomy): domain Eukaryota; kingdom Metazoa; phylum Chordata; class Mammalia; order Primates; family Hominidae; genus Homo; species Homo sapiens. The sequence continues at coordinate 224,518,351 of NC_000001.11, forward strand.
TAGAGACAAGGTCTCTGTCACCCAGTTGGAGTGCAGTGGTGCAATCATAGCTCACTGTAGCCTCGGACTCTTGGGTTCCAAGGTATCCTCCTGCTTCAGCCTTCCTGGGACTACAGGCATGCACCAACACACCTGCCTAATTTTTGAAGCCTTTTTTTTTTTTTAGAGACAGGGTCTTGCTATGCTTCCCAAGCTGGTCTTGAACTCTGGCCTCAAGCGATCTCCCACCTTGGCCTCCCAAAGCACTGGGATTACTGGTGTGAGCCATGGCATTGAGGCTTTTTTGTTTGCTTTTCAGCCCATTGAGGTCTCTTCTAGACCCCCTCTTACTCATTCAGTCACTGTGACAACCTTGTGACACATGCAGGGCGGGAGGACTAGCCTCATTTTATGCTGAGGAAGCTGAGATTCAGAGATAGGCAACAACCCGTACAGCTCCAAAGGACAAGAGGAAGAAGGAGAACTAGAAGCCAGCCTTTGGATTTCGAGTTTAGTCCTCCTTTTGCTTCATATGGAGGAATAGTGGTTACAAACAGGTTTTCTTAAGATCCAGGCTTGGTGCAATGGGTTCAATCTCTTAGTGGTACCAATTATGAGCATGTGATCTTGGGAAATTACCTTTTTAGCCTAAGTTTCATCATCCATAAAAGGAATTAATAATAATACCTACCCCACTAGGTTGTTCTGCAGATGAAATGAGGTAAAGTTTGTAAGACTGTTAGCATAGCACTTGGCATATATAAAGCACTTAATAAATGGCAGTTACTACTATGGTTATCGTATTCGTCTGTTCTAATGCTGCTAATAAACACATACCTGAAACTGGGCAATTTATAAATGAAAGAGGTTTAATTGACTCACAGCACCGCATGGCAGGGGAGGCCTCACAGTCATGGCAGAAGGGCCTGAATAGAACAGAAGGCAGAGGAAGGGAAAACTTGCCTCTTTTTCTGCCTGACTGCTTGAGCTGGGGCATCAATCTACTTCTGTCTGTGGACTGAGACTTACACTATTGGCTCCCCTGGTTCTCAGGCCTTCAGACTAGGACGGAACTACACCACCAGCCTTCCTGAGTCTCCAGCTTGCAGACGGCAGATCATGGGACCTCTTAGCCTCTATGATTGCGGGAGTTCTCAAAATTTCTCTTTCTCTGTATGCGTGTATGTGTATGCTTGTGTGTGTGAAAGATACATATCACATACTATATATTTTATGTGTGCGTGTACATATATACATGTTATATATGTAATATATTAAATAATATATATAATATACACATCACATATACATTTTGTGTGTGTACTCTTCATGCAGAAGTGGCAGGAAATATGTATATGTATACTATATATGTACACACATAAAAATATATAATATGTGACATGTATAGTTTATATTATATATATTATTTAATATGTATCTCCTGTTGGTTCTGTTTCTTGGGAGAACTTTGACTAACACGGTAGCTACTAGCCACATGTGGCTATTGAGATGGAAATGAATTAAAATTAAATATAATTAAAATTGATTTTGTCAGTCACAGTAGACCACATTTCAAGTGCTTACTAGCCAATGTGGATAGTGACTACTCTGTTGGACAGTGCAGAATAGAATATTTCCATCACTGTAGAAAGTTCTATTGACTAGTGCTAGTTTAGAGTACCCAGAGGCCAAGGCTCTGTATCCAGTTGAAAAACAGCAAACCTTTCTCCCAGGGTGACTCAACAACAGCTGCATCTTTGCCACATCTCCCCTGGCACCATTTACTATTATTATTTTGTTCTCTGTTGCTCAAGGATTCACCATGGCTTGGAAATGAAGGAAACAATTTCTCTGCTTCTACACTTTGTGAAAGTACATAAAATTTTAGGACACCCTAAATTTATTATGCAGCACAACATCTCTCAAGCCTTACACAGAAAGGCTTGAGCACAACACATTAAGCCTTATATAGAAAGATGTTGAAATTCTGTAAAGCTTTCCTAAGCTTTGTCGATATAAGCGATCCCACACCTCTACACTTAAGAACACTGACTTCCATTCTTTGGAATCTGTGCTTCCCAAGCAGGCTCATCCTCAACATTTGCTCTTGAACAAACTCTCTTTAAAACAGATTCTGACCTTTTTATTATTTTAGGTGGACAACTAGTTCACATAGAGATATGTAAGAGTTAGATTGAACCACATGGAATTGCCTTTTTTGTAGATCAGAAAAAGCATTGAATTGAATATTGTCAGTTTCATAAGGTTCAGGCTAATACAAAGTGAAGTGAGAACAGTGATAGAGGTTCTGGGACAGGAAGTGCATGCATAGCTTGTGTTCCTTTTTCAGTCCCGAATTTGTGTACTGTGAGATGGGGATAATCCAGGTGGTTTCATCTTAAGGAAGGATGGCTGACTGAACTCCTGCTTATTCCTTGCCTGCCACAGCTGCATGAAGAGAGGCTCATGTGTGTTTATGGAGAATAGTTATGGGAGAGTTAGAGTATATACAGCTGTAAGAACCAGAAAGCCTGAAAACCAATGGCTTTATACATACTGCATTCTGAACAAGCATCCTGGAGGTGGTATTTCTGGATCTGGATCAGTAATTCCATGTCGTCAGGGCACTAACTTGGCATCTCTGCTTTTCTCTCCACCTTCCCCCTACAGTCCACAAGATGGCTGCTGTGGCTCCAGGCATCACGTCCACATGCAAATCCATCCAGAGGCAGGAACTGGGAATAGGCTTGGAGGTGGCCAGGACAGCAAGTGGGCTGTCTGTATAAACCTCCCCTCCACTTGGGAAGGAAAATCACCCCCCAAGTCGATTTTCTGTCCATCTTATTGATCAGAGAGCGTTATAAATTCACCCATTAAATAATCTGGACAAGGGGAGCGTGCATGTTGTCCTTGGTTTAGACTGGTTATGATTTATGCCCTGAAATTGGACATATTGCCAAGCAAGCGAAATTGAGATTCCATCAGCCAGGAAGAAGGGGTAAGGATGATGAATATTGGGTAGGCACATGATAGGGGTTGTCACAAGTTTTAAGATGCTTTCAATTAGTAAATAACTGTCAAGATTACCTTTTGTTTTCACCTGCCCAGTCTCCATTGTGCCTCCTTCAGAAACACACACTGGGTTTTCTTTGGGTGTGAAGGGGCCTCTGTGTCCATCATTCCAGTGTGAGCACATGATCTGAGCCCGGTCAGTGAGGTTTAATTTCAGGACTTTGGTTGGAACTCTTGGGAAAGACAAGTTCTCCCTGACCTGGGGTGTTTGAAAAGATAACATGCTAGCCTGGAATTGTTGGGGGCTATTTTACCTGCCTACCTACCTGAATGAATGAATGGTTGACTGAATTAAGCTGACACAAAGGGGTGGTAGAGGGATGAGGAGAGGAGAACAGAGGGATGGTGAGAAACTTGGTCCAAATGAAATTGCTTGAGACCGGTATGCAGCTGTGACAGATGATTCAGTTACATGACATAATAAATCTTTCCCTCATCCCCCACCTTATTTTTTTCTTTTGTATGTAAGTTAGTTTGAGTTGCAAAAGATTACTGACAGGAATGGTACCTAGCAATGGAGTGTTACAAGTAATAGACCCTAAAATGTGGATTGGCAAATTGCAGGTAGAATGGAAGGCAATAAAGTTCTCCTATCCCTGGCTAAGAAGTTGGCAGTCTTTGTTATGCTCCGATAAAGCATATTAAATTGTTGCCTGTTCTCCCTTAGGACTCACAGCATGTGCCATTGGAGATTGGATCATTAAAGTACTTGATAGAACTTGTCAGGCTGTGGAGTGTGTAGGCTACTTCCTGAAGTTCTTAGTGAGTTCCTATGAGAAAAAGACAAGCTTCTATCATCTGAAAGTTAAAAAAAAAGAAAAATGTGTCTTTGATAAAAGAAGTCCTTTCTCTTTTGGTAACTGAGAGCCAGACAACACTGTACTTTGCAGGGTTGGAAAAAATGAGTTCTCTGTTACATGATGAAACTCATTCCAGCAAAGACAGAGACACTGGAAACAGAATAGAAGATACTACTAAAATTGGGAAGGAGCTGGAGTCTGATTTTGACTCCTCCAGGACAGATGACAACCATCCTCGGGGTTATCAAAAGTTGTCACTGCAGAGTGAAAGCCCAAGCCACAGGTGGGAGAAGGTATTGCAGCGTGTCTAACTGGTAAAGTGCTCCTATCTGGAATACACAAACAACTCCAGCAAATAAATCAGTAAATCACAAAAGGACAGTCAGTTCAATAGAATAGTGAGAGGAAGAGATTGACAGGGCATTTCACAACAGATGACAATGAACAGGAAAAGTGCTCAGCCTCACCTGTCATCAGGGACATGCCTGGAAACAGCAAGGAGATCCCACTACACATTCTAGGAGAACAGCTAAAACCTAAAAAAACAACTGATCATATCAGTGTTAATGAATATGTGGAACTGTTGGAACCCTCATCCTCTGCTGGTGGGAGTATAAAGAGGCCCACATACTTTGGAAAACAGTGTGGCATTATCTATTAAAGGCAAATGTATGCATATCTTACTACAAAGCAATTCCACTCCTAGGTCTATGTGTGCGTATGTGTAAGAAAAAACACAAAAAATGTGCTGGCTTGGTGCCATGGCTCAAGCCCTTAAGCCCAGTGTTTTGGGGAACCTGAGGCAGGAGTATTGTTTGAGACCAGGAATTCGAGACCAGCCTGGGCAACATAGGAAGACTCCATCTCTACAAAAAATAAAAAATAAAATTAGATGAGCATGGTACTGTGTACTTGTAGTCCTAGCTACTTGGGAGGCTGAGGCAGAAGGATCGCTTGAGTGCAGGAGTTCAAGGTTATAGTGAGCTATGATTGGGCCACTGCACTCCAGCCTGGGTGACAGAGAGGGACCCTGTCTCAAAAAAAAAAAAAGTTCTTAGCAACATTGTTTATAATAGTCCCAAATTGAGAAAACCTAAATACCCATCAACAGCAGAGTGGGTAAATACGTTGTGGTGTAGTTTTGCAATGAACACTTTGTAAATACACAGAACAAACTATTGCTATGTGCAACAACATGAAATAATCTTGCAGATATAATTTTGAGTGAAAGAAGCTTGATATGATGAAATACCATAGAGTCTCATTTATGTAAGACTCAAGACCAGGCAAAATGAATATATGGTGTTAGAACTCAAGTGAATGGAGACCTTTGAGGACAGGGGAAAGGGTTGGTGATAGGAAGGGGAAAAGAGGGGCTTCTGAGGTCCTGGTTTTGTTCTATTTCTCAACCTGGCGATGGTTACACAGAGGTGCTTACTTTGTGATGATGTGTGTGGGCTGTAAGATGTGTGATCTCTGCACTTCTCTATATGTGTGTTACATGTCAATAAAAATGTTAAAAAGTCTCCTAATCATAGACTATGGAGGAAGAGATGGCTGTGAGAGTACAAATCAGTGATTCATTAAAATAATAATTATCCCTGAGCTGCAGGGCAAGAGGCACATTAGTAGGGCCTCCCCATTCCAGGCTGTAGTTTGAATTTCACTGATGCAGAGGTTAAAGTGGAGGCCATTAAGCTGAGAAGGAGGATGGAGCCCTGAGGCTGCTGCTAAGAAACAAAACTCCCAGGCCAGAGTCTAGATGAGGACACTGTCTCTTGCTTTGCCTAATGTCCCATGAAATGACCAGATGCAAATGGACTGAAAAAGTACTAAGTTATAAACTTCTTAGGGAATTGCTTTGCCAGAAAACTCCCAGCATGATTAAAAAGGGCCTCTGGTCAGCCCAAGGTAAACCCCTGCTCCCAAATCTGCACCATCTGGAAATGGGTCACTAAAGGATCCTCCCAGGGTCCCACCTCAGATGTGGAAATGGAGGACGACTGGCAAAGGGGACCCTCTCAGAGGGCAGAACCAGGGTTGTCAGATCGGCTGGTCAAGGACCTCAGTCCCCTGCTAGTGTGAGTCCTTGCTGTTCTTGTCCAACAGACCATGATGTACATAAAGGACTGGTGATCACAGTAGGCTGTTTCCCCTTCTCATTTCCAAATGGGAAATTCTGTTATATTCTGCTATTTTCTCTTCTGTCTTATATACTGAGTGTGTTGGGTTGGTTTACATTTATCCTTTAGCCTCTAGGGTATCAAACTATGAATTGCTATATACAGATCACCTTGATAGATATCTGTATGACCTTGAGATCTTGGTCTTGGAGCTGGGTGCAAAAACAGGGGCATAATTTTGGGTTGTCTATGACTGTAGAGGGAATGACTTAGTTTTTGAAAGTATGTAGTATAGTTGCATTGTGTTAGGTAGGGATATTACTGAAATTGAACAAATGCAAAGAAGGATGTGTATAGAAAATGAGAAGCCAAGGGGTGGGTTGTTGGGTGTATTTGTTATTTTTGCCTTCAAGTATCAATTTCTTCCTCTTATGATAATAGCTCCCTGATTTTCTTTTGGAGAAACAGTGTCTTCCCAACCGAGATTGTGTGGTTTATCCCTTTCCCTTGATCACAGTGGTTGATTCAGAGATAGGCAAGTGACTCAGACCAGGAGCCCAAGCGATGAGATCAGATTCCAGAACATTTGAGAATCTCCTGGGAGAGAAGAGTTCCCTTTGCACTGATGCTGTTAGACTATAGGATATAAATCTGTAGCGGTTGGGTGCTCTCTTGCCATTACATAGGAAGTATCCGCCTAAATGTAGCCATTCAAGATGAAAACAAAGCAGGAAAAAAAGAGAGACCAAGTTTGATGTTCTAATCTAAGCTCTCATGGCAATTACCCTCCTGTATGTTTTAGTTGCACGGACCCCACAAATCTCATATTTTGCTTGAGATCACATGAGTTGGGTTTCTGAAACTTTCAACTGAGAATCTTATAATTGCGACCAGCTATGGGAAATGCACAAACACTTCCGTGTGTTTTGCATATATTTGGTGTCATGCAACTTTTAACTAAATGAAAGGAGAGTGGCTTTTACTGAAATGCCTAAGTTGCAGGCATTAACCCAGTGGGGGAAGACCTAGTTGAGTATATTCTTTCATTTCCTTGCTTTGGCATCCAAGGCTTGGGAGCAGTCCATATCAGGAATTCATTGCTCAGGTCCGCATAGCTTGTTTTTCCCTCCTCCCAAGTGAAGAGCATCAGACCTTCCACAGTCAGGGTGTGTCCTTGTGAATTTCCAGCTGAGCCAGCTCACTGATGCATGGATGCCACAATGATGGCAGTATTTTCTGCTCTACACGCACATGTAACAGCAGTGTGTTCTACCCAGGAAATGGGGGGTGGAGGCAGTAGCTTTGTGGGCCATCACCCTTGGGCCTAGGATAGCATGGAATATAGCAAGATCTGTGGTGTTCAAGGGTCAGGGATGTGTATTAGATTCAGTCTGAGTCACAAGTAGGTGAAACAGTGAGATTAGGGAAGGATGGAATCCTGGGAGTACGAATGGAAGGAGCCAAAAGCTGAGGAGATGGGGGTATCAGAATAAGATCCAGGAAATACAGAATAAGAGTTAGAAACTGGCCAGGCAGAAGAGCCAGGAGACAGAGATGCTCTAAGGAGGCACTGGACAGGCCTGCCATACACTGGAGAATGGAGTTTGTGCTGCTTGAGGGTATGTTGAAGGGTTTGCCTGAGCTATGTGCTACCACTAAGGTATCACCATGCCTGGTGAGCTCTGCGGGGTTCTCTCTCATCCTCTGCTTCAGCTGGGCACTGTGTCACATGTATGTGCTCTGGATCAGAGACCAGAATGGGAGCACAGCAGATTCACTTAACTACAGTTACATTTGCTGGTTTTTTCTATTACAAATGTATGAATTTTATCCTCCTACAAAACTTCAAGTCAAAACTCCTCCTCAGCATCTGGCTAACCAGGCAAAAGTAGGTGCTTTCTAGGGTCTGAATGTTGGTGTCCCCCCAAATTCATATTTGAAACTGAATCCCCAATGTGATCGTATTAAGAAGTTAGGTCTTTTGGGAAGTGATTAAGCCACAAGGGCAAACTAATGAACCATGAATGGGATTAGTGCCCTCGTAAAAGACTGAAGGGAGCTTTTTTCCCCCTTTGTGCCATGTGAGGACACAGCAACAAATTACCATCTGTGAAGCAGAGAGCTCCCACCAGACACCGGAGCTGCTCGTGCCTGAGCTTGGACTTCATGCCTCTGGAATGGTGAGAAATAGATTTCTTTTTTGCGGGTGGGAGAGCAGATTCACTTTATTTATTTATTTATTTTTTGCAATGCAGCATGTATTTGGAGGGCTTTAGGTCTCAGTATTACAAATTATCTCCATTGAGAAATAAATTTTTGTTGTTTATAAGCTACCTAGTCTAAGGCATTTTGTTATAGCAGCCTGTATTCGGTCATTCTTTCATTGCTACAAAGAAACACCTGAGACTGGGTAATTTATAACAGGTTTAACTGGCCCATGGTTCTGCAGGCTGTACAGGAGGCATAGCGATGGCTTCTGCTTCCGGGGAGGCCTCTAGAAGCTTCCAATTATGGTGGAAGGCAAAGCGTGAGCCTACACATAACATGGTGAAAGAAGGAGCAAGAGAGAAGCGGAGAGGGGGCCACACACTTCTAAACAACCAGGTCTCATGAGAACTCACTCACTATCACGAGGAAGCACTAAGCCATTCATGAGGGCTCCAGCCCCATGACCCAATCACCTCCCATCAGGCCCGCCTCCAACATTGGGGATTATATTTCAACCTGAGATTTGGCGGGTACAAATATCCGACAATGTCACAGCCGAAACAGACTAAGACAGGGCTGAAAAAACTTGATGAGCGTGAGTGCTCACTGTGTGTATATGCAAAGTGTGTGGGGGACAGGTGCTTGGGGGGACATGAAGATGAACCCTGCACAGATCTTGCATACCAGGGGCTTGTACTGCTGAGGGAGGCATCACAGGGGCTCTAGCCTGCTGTCAATCCTGTGCCCTACTGACATTGTAAATAACCGCATTTATCACCCATCTGTTCAAGGAATTGTGTGAGCCACTAAGGTAATTTTTTAATTCCAGAAAGAGAGAAAATACTGTTTCTTACTGCAGGAAACTTTATTTTCTTCACTTCACAAAAGCACCAGTGAAACGGCTGTTGAATAAAATTGTGAACTTTGCCTGATGGGTGTCACTAAGGCAGCAGATCCTAAAACAGGGGCTGGCGTGTGCTCATATCAGGCTGTTTGATGAACACTTTGCTACCAGTTACTCCACTCTGTATTTATAGCACAACATGATTTTACTAAAACCCTACGATGGAATCTTATGCAGAATTTTATGCAAAGTAGTTTCTAAAAAGACTTTTAAAGTCATGGAAAATTGGCTTGGATACAATGTTAGGCAATAAAAACAGGACTCATATATAGAGTTTGTAAAAAAAAATATATTTGAGATGATGGATATCCTAATTACCCTGATCTAATCACTGTACATTAGATGCATCAAAACAATAGTATGTACCCAATAAATATATAATTATGTGTCAATTACAAATATAAAAGTATCAAAATTATATATGTGTATGCATATACATATATCTATATCTATACAATAATAATACTTCTTTTAAAGTATATCTGAATAGCTGGATCCGTATCTGTATATGTACACACACATAAGAGTTCAAGGAAAATCCTGGGCTGGGTGCAGTGGCTCATGCCTGTAATTCCAGCACTTTGGGAAGCTGAGGTAAGAGGATTGCTTGAGGCCAGGAGTTCAAGACCAGAGTGGGCAACATGGCAGGACCCCCATCTCTATAAAAAATACAAAAAATTAGCCAGGTCTGGTGGCACATGCCTGTAGTTTGAGCTACTTGGGAAGCTGAGGTGTAAGGATTGATTGAGCCTGGGAGGTCAAGGCTGCAGTATGCTATGATCATGTCACTGCACTCCAGCCTGGGTGACAGTGCAAGGCTCTGTCTCTAAAACAATAAAATAAAATTAACAAAATGCCTATTTTTTGAAATTTTATTTACTTATTTATTTATGTATTTTTAAGAGACAAGATCTTATTATATTGTACAGGTTGGAGTGCAGTGGTGTGATCATGGCTCACTGTAGCCTTAACCTCCTGAGCTCAAAGGATCCTGCTCCCTTAGCCACCTGAGTAGCTGGTACCATGGTGGGCATCACCACACCTAGAAAATTAAAAAAATTTTTTTAGAGAGTTGGGGGTCTCGCTTTGTTGCCCATGCTGGTCTTGAACTCCTGGCTTCAAGTGATCCACCTCAGCCTCCTGGAGTGCTGGGATTACAGGCATGAGCCACAGCAGCTGGCCAATGCCTGGTGCTAATAGTAGTTAACATTTAGGTCATAGAGTTACAGGCAATTTGGGTTTTCTTCCTTTGTATTTTCAAATTTTCTATAATGATTATGTGTTGTTTTTCTACATGATTATATTTTATGGTCACAATATAAAGACAAATTCATTTTTAAAAAGAATTACCTGAAACCTATGAACAATAATAATGTATTTGACAATGTCCCATGTGGAGCATATCACAAATATCCTACATTTTAGAGACTACCCAACTTGCGCGTGGTCATTTAGGAAGCTAATGGTGGGATTAAGAATTGAATTTGGAGAATGTTGAGGTTCTTTGCTGTCTTCCTGACAGCCCTTGCCCATGTGCTTATGGTAGGCAGACTGCTGGCATCACTGTTTCATGGACTGTGTACCATTTGGGGGAAGAGGAGATGGACACTGTGAGGGCGAGTCGGCTGGGGCAGCCTCCCCCAGGCAGCTCTCCCTGCTCCCACCGGAAATGGGAAAGCAGGGTGAGTCATAGGTCAGGTGGCCTCCTGCATCTTGATTTCCAGCTTGTTTAAGTTTGTAAGTTCAGAGCAGCTGTTCAGCTTTGTTCTTACTTTGTTTGTGTTACACTGGTATCCAGTGATCCATTGGCACAGAGACACAGTTTCTACTTTGATACAATCTGTGTCAGCCTGGCAGTTAATTTATTTAGCAGCATCTTAAATTTTTTTGTTTTTGCATAAAATCCAGCTCCTGCAGGATATTTATCAGCATCTTTGCAAGAGAGGATGAATTCAAAATAAAGTACAAGAGAAGAAACATTCAGGTATGAGCAGTGGAGGGATGCATAATTATATTATTCCATCTTACCAGGCCGGGGGTTTTGATGTGACACAAGGATGCTATCAAAGTACTCAATATTAGCAAAAAGAGAGGGCTGTTTTGGACATGTGCTGCTCCGAATGACCAGAAGGACCTATAGCCTCCTCTAGATTCACACACAACCCTAGTGAACTTATGCTGCCCCTTCCAGGTGAAACTCAAATGCTAATGGGGGCAGTTGGTAGGATAGGACATACAAGGTGGGGAGGCAGAGAGGGAAGGTTATTTTCCAGTGCTCATGTGAGTGGGAACTGATAAGGGACTCCATGGGGAAAATGAAGAAACGCTTTGTATATTCCTCTGAACTCTAGTTAGGCCTAACCTGCTAAAAGTCAGACTTTGTTTCTGATAACGGGCTGTACCTTCATGCCCTTGTAGGTGTAATGGCCATAACGAGGGGTTAGAGACTTTGTCCTGAATTTTTAAATGCTGATGTAGGCATGGGAACCAAGACTTTTTGGCCAACATGGACCCGAAGATCCATGGAGGGGAGCCAGCTTGGTATTGCTGAGCGCTTGCTATGTACTGGCATTGCTGAGCACCTGCTGTTTGCTGCCCTTACATCATGCTGTGGAGGCATGGAAAACAGTCTGCCTTCTGGGGCAGGAGAGGGCTGCACTTCTGGGAAGTCTGGAACCTGGGCAAAGCTTCACCAAACACATGCTCTGCAGTTCCCTGGGTCCCAAGGTAAGGTCGTTTCCAGGAGGAATGCCGGAGGGGACTAGAGAATATGCTGTAAAATCTTGTTTGTGTAAATCATCATGTAGTATTATATTTTGTTTGTGCAGTTTCCATGTGCCTCCATTCAGGAATTATTTCTCAATTATTTATTATGTACAGAGTAAATTAAGTCCCATTAGTCAAGTCTCAAATTGCATTTGGCTGTTCCATTGTAATTACTCCTAGGTTATCATTATCAATATTAACTAAAATTTGTGTGTTCTAGGCTTTAGAGCTTAGGAACCACTTTCATGCACAGCATTACATTTAATACAGCAAGCCTGTGAAGTGGGGATTAGTATCCACACTTTACAGATGAAAGGAGTGAGGCTGAGACACATCCAAAACTACACAGCTCTCAAGATGCTGAGCTGGAATTTTAAACCCTACATTTCTTTTTTTTTTCTTTTTTTCTTTTTTTTTAGATGGAGTCTTGCTCTGTCGCCAGACTGGAGTGCAGTGGCATGATCTTGGCTCACTGCAACCTCTGCCTCCTGGGTTCAAGCGGTTCTCCTGCCTCAGCCTCCCAAGTAGTTGGGATTACAGGCGCCTGCCACCATGTGCGGCTAATTTTTGTATTTTTAGTAGAGATGGGGTTTCACCATGTTGGCCAGGATGGTCGCGATCTCCTGACCTTGTGATACACCTGCCTCGGCCTCCCAAAGTGCTAGGATTATAGGCGTGAGCCACTGTGTGGCCTAAACCCTACATTTCTTACTGTAAACCCAGCATTATTTCCATCACATCATTCCATGACTCTCCTTTTTTCCCCCCTAGGATAAAATAAAGCTTTTCCTGGGCTAGCTGAATAGAGCAGACTTCCTAGGCATGGAACTGGGGGTTCAGGGCGTAGGGCCTCTCTTCATCTTCCAATTTCCTCTTCCTATCATGTTGATTTGGAGACATCAAGGAGAAAGATTCAGGAATGTGAGAGTGGAGAAAGAGAATAGTGTATTCCAGCTGTAGTCACATCAGTGTCTTCATTTATTTAGTAACCATTAATAAATACCTGCTGTATGCCAAATACTGCCCTAGGCACTGGGGGTACAGTGGGGAAGATGACAGGCATGAACCCTGCCCTCATGAAGCCTGGAACTCCATGGAGCCTGGAACTCTATGGGGAAAACAGGGACTCAGTGAGTCATTAGTCATACTACTGAATGTTATGAAGAGGTGCACTGTGTACCTTTATATAATACAGGGGTCTAAGATAGGAAGACCCCACCTACGGTGTCTGGAAAGGCTTTCTAGGGAGAGCAGTGTTAAAGCTGAGTGTGGAATTAGCGAAGTGAAGCTCTAGGTCATAGGGAATGTGGTACTTTTGAAGAGTTGAAAGGCCAAGACAACTGGAATGAGTCAAGGGAGGATTGTAGATCAATGGAGATGTGTTGGAACCAGGTTATGCAGAGAATGAAAGAATTTTAGTCTTTATCCTAAGAGTAACGGGAAGCAATAGAAGGATTTTTAGCAGGGGTGTGACATGATTGGATTTGAATTTCAAAGTATGAATTTCACTGCACTGCGGAGAATATGTGTGTGAGTTCTGGACCCATCTGTGAGACATCCAAGTGACTGAGGTGGGCAGCTGGAGCTCAGGAGAGGGTCTGCAGCACAGAGGCAGATGAGAGACAATTGGCACAAATAAAACAAACGAAGTGGAGGAAGTCTATTTGGGGAGATGGTAGAGAGGCGAGAGAAGGCATTCATTCACTCTATAAACATTTATTGCTCCTGACTGCTGGTGTTCTAGGTACTTGGGTTGAAGAATAAAAAAGACAAAGATTCCTCCATTGTGGGGCCTGTATTCTAGTAAGGAAAGGTAGACGGTGGGGTGGGAGGGAAGTCAGACAATAAGTAACAGATCTATAGTAATAAAGATGTACTTATAAGGTATGGTGCAGAAAGACAAAATAGAGGAGGGTAAGGGGAGTGGGAACTCGGGGCATGGGTGGATTGCAATTTTAAATAGAGCGATCAAGGTAGGTTTTTCCACGAAGGTAAAGGAGAGAGCCACAAACGACCATTTCCCGTGCAAAGGCTCTAGAGAGTGCGAGGAACAGCACAGAGACCCAGTGTCTGGAGCCAGGAGATGAGGTCAGACAGAAAACAGGAGGTCTGGGCACAGAGGGCCTTGTGGGCTTTGGGTTTTAGTCTGAGATGGGGGAGCCTGTGGAAGGTTTGAAGAAGAAGGGTGGGATGATGTGACAAGTAAGAGGACCACTCTCATAACTGCGTTAGGAACAGACCTTGTCGAGGGCAAAGTGGAAGCAGCACCAGCAGAGGCTCTTGCAGTTATCCAGGTGAGAGGTGATGGCGGCTCCCATCTGGGTGGTGGTACTGGAAGTGGGCAGAAGTGGTTGTATTCTGGGCCTGAGATCTAGCTTGGAGCCCATAGGACAACCAACAGGTATTTATTAACATTTGCTAAATTAAGTGGAATAGAATCTACCTAACATAGTCACAAAGTCAGATAATAGAAATATTTTTGTTTTCAAGACCTTTTAAATGATCTAGGAGATAAAACTAAATGGAGTCAAGAATAACTGCAGGAATAATACCATCACCAATTTGTATCTACTAATGCTAAATGCTGTAGTAAAGACTTTATATATATCAGGTTGACTGTTTCGCAGCTTTATGTGGTTCAACTTAATATTATCTAAGTTAACCATTGCAACCACCTTGTGAGTTTAGATTATTCCTATTGTACAGATGAGGACATTGAGGCTCAGGAAGATTCAGTAGAGAAGTGGTGGCAAAGACAATAAAACAAAGGGTATAATGAAGGACTAAATAGTATCATTTATGTAATAAATATTATGTGAGTCTATTCAGGAGAAATTTATGTGGGCTGGCATCATTCAGGAACCTTCAAGGAACAGAGAAACCTGAGTCAGGCTGTGAGAAAAGGTTAGACTTTGTTGATTTGTGGAGGTGGAGAGGAGAATTCCAAATAGAGGAAAATGCTCTGGCAAAGTCATAGAGTTGGGTTACAGATTAAAGTATCAGAGACACCAGCATAGGAAACAGAGCAAGAGCATGTCTCTACAAAAAAAAAAAATAAAATAAAATTGGCTGAGAGTAGTGGCGCGCCCTTATATTCCTAGCTACTTGGGAGGCTGAGGTGGGAGGATCACTTGAGCCTAGGAGTTCAAGATTACAATGAGCTCTGAAGAGTGAGAACCCGTCTCAAAAAAAAAAAAAAAAAATCAGAGAGAGGACAGTCTGGCTGAATTTAAAAGTCTATCTGCTGTATCACTTTTCTAGTACTTTTGTAACAAATCACCACAAATTGGGTGGCTTAAAACAACAGAAATGTATTATCTCATCGTTCTGGGGGCTGGAAGTCTGTCATCGAGGTGTTAGCAGGGCCATGTTCTCTCTGAAGCCTCGAGGGGAGAATCTGTTGTGTGCCCTTCTCTTAGCTTTTGGTGCTGCTAGTAATCCGTGGCCTTTCTTGCCTCATCCAGTTTCTGCCTTGTTATCATGTGGAGCTCTCCCTGCATGTCTGTCCCTGTGTTTCCTCTCCTCTTTTTATAATGACACCTGTCATACTGCATCAAGGCTTGCCCCAATTCAGTCTAACCGCATCTCAACTTGATTACATTGGCAAGTTCCCATTTCCAAATAAGGTCACTTTCACAGGTACTGAGGGTTAAAACTTGAACATAGGCTGGGAGCACATAGGCTGGGAGCAGTGGCTTGCGCTTGTAATCCCAGCATTTTGGGAGGCTGACGCAGGTGGATCGCTTGAGCCCAGGAGTTTGAGACTAGCCTGGGCAACATGGTGAAACCCCGTCTTTACACAAACTACAAAAATTAGGTGGGCATGGTGGCACATGCCTGTGGTCCCAGCTACTCCAGAGGCTGAGGTGGGATGATTGCTTGAGCCTCGGAGGTTGAGGCTTCAGTGAGCCATGATCATGCCACTGCACTCTAGCCTGGGTGACAGAGCGAGACCATGTCTCAGATAAAACAAAACAACAAAAAACCCTTGAACATATCTTCTTGGGGAACACAATTCAACCATAACATCTGCTAAGCAAATTACTGTGTGTTGAATGAATGTATGAAATGGATGACATGTGATTGGATATGAAGAGTGTAAATGTTTGAGACTACTGAGAGTCTGAAATGTCTGGTGGAGTCTGGAAAATGCTTTACCCAGGATGGTAAAACTTGTTCATCAAAATGCTGGGAGTTGACTTTATAGGGTGAGGAAATGGAGGATTATGGTTTGTAATTTGGGATTTAAGACTTTTAGATCTTCAATCTGTCTATAGATGTCCCCAGATTTTTATCTCTCGATTCTATAAAAAATGACTGTTAAAAATACCAGTTGCCAGCTTGGAACACCCAAGCAGCAAGTCTGTGGTCTTAGAACAGAGATTATTTTTCTTGAGTTAAAGTCTTTGGAAGAAGCAGTAATGGACTCAGCAGAGAAAACATGGAAAAAATCAGTGGTGAGACTAGCATGAACATGGAGTCCTTTTCTATAACAGGAGAGTCTAAACATAGCTGCTATGATCATATATCACCACAGACAGTGTCTTCCACCTGCACCCCCTCAAGTTTTTTACAAACTTGACACATTACTTTCCTCACCTTTTCACAGCCGCATTACAGGGGCTGATCCACAATGAACAAGTCCCGGAGGTTGGTCTGTTTTTCCTAAGTACCTCTTGCCAATCCCCCAGTGGCAGGTGCAGGTGCCACCCTGGCAGGTACTCATCAGCTGTAGGCAGTGTGCCTTGCAGATTCAGCCTCTTCAGAAACACCAGGTACTCATAGACACCTACCGGCCTATATTTCCACATCTGTCTGTTCTGGGCTGAATTGTGTCTGCCCCCAAAAAAGATATGTTGAAGTCCTAACCCCCAGCAACTCAGATGGGATGTTATTTGAAAATAAGCACTTCACAGATTAAGTGAAGTTAAGGTGAGGTCATTAGGGCAGGCCCTAATCCAATAGGACTGATGTCCTCATAAGAAGAGGGGAATCTGGACGTAGACGCAGCGAGGAGAGCATCAAGAGAAGACAGAGACACGCAGGGAGAACTCCATGCCGTGACAGAGGAGGGCTGCAGCTGCAGCCAAGGGTGCCAGCAAACACCAGGAGCTAGAAGAAGTGAGGAAGGCTCCTCCCCTGCAGGTTTTAGAGAAAGCAGGACCCTGCTGACACCTTGACTTCAGACTTCAGACTGCAAGAGAATAAGCTTATGTTGTTTCAAACCATCCAACATATAGTAGTTTGTTACAGCATCACTGAGAAACAAACGGACTGTCCCTTTCATCAAGGTTAACGTGTCTGAAGTTTCATTTTCTAATGTTACTGTACTCAACTGAATTGACTTAGCAAATTAATTACTGTGAAGGGATTTACAGCGGCTGATGGCATAACAGGGGTGTGGGGAACTGCATGGTCTGTAGCAGGGACCTTGTCTGGCAGGTTACTGTCAAATGTAGTAACCGAGGAGAGTGGAATGAAGGGACACTACAAAGATGTGAACAGGGGTGAGGGAAGCACCAAGGATGCAAGGGAGGGCTGCTGCCACTGGGGCTGGTAACAGTGGGTGCCATTAAATCCACCTGTAGGCGTGAAGGAGGCAGGGCAAGGGCCTATTCCCAGAGCTGGGGACAGCGGTAGTGTGGCCGCAGGAGATGGCTGCCTAGTGGGATCTGTGGCCTCCTGTAGAGGCATGGGACCGCTGTCACCTGCAGCAAGGCAGGGAGGGAGCTAGAAGATAAACACCTGCTCTTTCTCTCGCCCTCTGGCTCTTTTGTTAACATCCCTTAACCAGAAGCTGGAGGGTAAAGGAACCTGTGGATGTAGTTGTAAAAGTCGGCCTCCCTGGGGTGCAAAGAAGAGTGGACAAAATTGGGGTCCCCAGCAGGGATGAGGATGGGAAATGTGTCCTGACAATGTCAGATGGGGCAAGGATCCATCTGTCAGCAGCCTACCCCTCCCCACCTTTGATTTGACTTTCCAAGGATATGCCTAGTAGAAAAAGTCTCCCTTTCAAGCCTATTTGCATTTTGGTGGCATCCCCTTTTTTTAATTGTGGGAAATAGCTGCCATAATTGTTGTCTTTTTTTTTTTTTTTTTTTTTTTTGAGACAGAGTTGTACTCTTGTCGCCCAGGCTGGAGTACAATGGCGTGATCTCAGCTCACCGTAACCTCTGCCTCCTGCGTTCAAGCGATTCTCCTGCCTCAGCCTCCTGAGTAGCTGGGATTACAGGCATGCGCCACCACGCCTGGCTAATTTTGTATTTTTAGTAGAGATGGGGTTTCTCCATGTTGGTCGGGCTGGTCTCGAACTCCCGACCTCAGGTGATCTGCCCACCTCGGCTTCCCAAAGTGCTGGGATTACAGGCATGAGCCACTGTGCCTGGCCCATAATTGTTTTAATTGTGGGAAATGCTAAGTCATAATGTAGAGCCCTTTAATGCTCCAAGGTGACGGGGCAGAGATGGGACAGATGAAACAAAATGGGATAGACAATAGTGGTCTTGTTAGCTCAGAGGCAATGATTGTCCAAAGAAAGACACTGTCTAGGGACAAAGTTAGAAAGAAAGAATCATATTAAAGGAAAAGAGGTGAGGGGGATTCCAGTTAGTGGAGAGAAAGTGCTGGAGAAAGACTTGGGAAGATGACTGGACTCAATCCTGAGGGAAGAGATTAGCGTAACAAATTTCTGAATGTGAGAATTAGAGAGGGAAAAACAGTGTCTTCCTTACAGGATTGTGGTGAGGAGCAAATGAATCAACGCATGAGCAAAGGATGGTCGCATCTGTGAAAGGAAATTCAATCTCGGGACCCCAAAATCCTACACCAAAGAGAAAAGTCAAGCTGGGAACTGCATCAGGCAAACCTGCCTCCCATTTAATTGCTAAATAAGATAGCTACAAAGATTTTTTAAAAAGGAAAAAAAAACTACATATCTCCATCACAATTTGCCCGCAAGGAAATTTTTATGGGCCTCAAGATCTTTACCCTGAAACGGTTCTGTTGAATTTCACTTTGGAAATGTAAGTTGATAGCTGATCTTCACAACTGCGGGACAAAGGACAGAACTCAAAGTCATCCCTCTGCTCACCTGAGACAAATGCATATCTGATTGCTTTCTCTGCCTTACTGTTTATGCAAAACTGCAGATGCACTGAGGCTAAGTGATCATTCCTCTACCCACCCCTCACATGTAAATCGTGTATTCAGTGAAAGGCTGATAAAAGACTGGAAAGACTGCAACCATTTGTCTCTTACCTACCTGTGATCTGGAAGCCCCCGCCCCCGTGCTTTGAGTTGTCCTGCCTTTCCAGACCAAACCAATGTACGTCTTACACATATTGATTGATGTCTCATGTCTCCCTAAATGCATAAAATCAAGCTGTGCCCCAACCACCAGGGCACACATTGTCAGGCCCTCCTGAGGCTGTGTCACAGGTGTGTCCTTAACCTTGGCAAAATAAACTTTCTAAATTGATCGAGACCTGTCTCAGATACTTTTGGTTCACACATATAAAGCACTGTATGCATATATAATGTATAACAGCAGCAGCAGCAATTATAAGAACAATAACAGCCATTTAGTTTGGGATACAGGGAGACGCTGGATTAATTTCAGCTTAACTGATAGTGTGTGACTATTTATTGTCAGTACCATCCATAATAAGCAAAAGGAACTTTATTTTCTCAACTAAAGGTAGAGGACCCAGGATATGAAGTGGAGTAGAGTGGAAATCAGACACATTATTATTATTATTTTTTTTTTTGAGACAGAGTCTCACTCTGTCACCCAGGCTGGAGTGTAATGGCGCGATCTTGGCTCACTGCAACCTCTACCTCCCAGGTTCCAGCAATTCTCCTGCCTCAGCCTCCCGAGTAGTTGGCATTACAGGTGCCACCGTGCCTGGCTAATTTTTTTGTATTTTTAGTAGAGATGGAGTTTCACCATATTGGCCAGGCTGGTTTTGAACTCCTGACCTCAAGTGATCCATCCGCATCAGCCTCCCAAAGTGCTAGGATTACAGGAGTGAGCCACTGCGCCTGGCCCAGACATGTTAATTAAAGTGGAAAAGTTTGTACCTTCAGCTTTACCAAGTTCTAGATTCGTTCTCTGCTTAATTCATCCCATAAGAGTCTCAGGAATGTGGTAGTTTTTGGCACCATAACTGTCTGACCAAGATGAGTCTCTTAGGAGTGTGGAGGAGAGCTTGGGGACAGAATTCTGTTCCTAAGGAGAGACCCTGTTTAAGTCCTTTGATGTGGTCGTAGCACCGAATGAGGTTGCTATATATACAGGTAGCAATCTTGAAGAGCTTTTATTTGGTGGAGTTTTCAAACCCCATGCCTCCCAGTACCCCATCCTTTAGCTACAAGGAAGAACATCGGCCTCTTTACTACATCTTGGACAATGCCTTCTCTATGATTCTCCCTGCCTCCTCCTCCTTCTCTCTCTCTCTCTCTCTTTTTTTTTTTTTAAGAGACAGGGTCTTGCGTGTTGCCCAGCCCGGAATGTAGTGGTGCAATCAGAGCTCACCATAACCTCTAACTCCTGGGTTTATGTGATCCTCCCACCTCAGCCTCCTGAGTAGCTGGGACTACAGGAATGGCCACCTAGCCCAGCTAATTACATTTTTTTTTTTTTTTTTTTTTGTAGAGATGGTGTTTCATGTTGCTCAGGCTGGTCTCGAACTCCTGGTCTCAAGTGATTCTCCTGCCTCAGTCTCCCAAAGTGCTGCGATTACAGGCATAAGCCTATTATGCCCAGCCTCTACTTACTGTTTAAATGTACCTTTCCTCAAGTTTTATCTTCCCATGTTTTCCTGCTCAGATTCTCTGTCTGAGGGGGCTCACCTATATTCACCTCTAAATTTCTTGTGGCTAACACAGATTTCCAGTGGTCTCCTGGATATTTTCCCATGCATTTCTCTTCCGTAACTAAAACTTAGCACACTTAATTTAACATGTCATCCTGCATACTGCTCCTCTTGCCGTATTTACTTATCATGGCTATTAGGACTTCTACCCTTGCTTTCATTTGGGCCAGAAGCCTCAGTCGTCTTCCATTTCTTGTTCTCCATTCTCTTTAAACTCCAGGGTCTCTTGACATCCAAATCATCAATTGCCAAGTTCTGTCCTTTCTTCCTTTGAACTTTCTTCCCAGTCCAATACCTTGATTCTGCTATAATTTAAGTACTTTTTGACTCTTATGGATTATTTCAGTAGCTTCATGACATATCAAATTTCCAACTTCGACTTTTCTTCATTGTTGCATGAGTTATCTTTCTCTCTGATCCAGTTCAGATAGTTTTACCTCCTCAGAATCATCAGTGGCTCCTTGCTCTCCAAGATACGTGGTTCAGTTCCAGGCTGGGACTTTACAACGCTCTAGGATTCAGTCCCAACCTACCCTATGCCTTCCTTATGCCCCATGCTGGTCACTGCCCCATACTGGCCATACTGCACTACTTGCCCTTCACTAAATATGCCATTCATACCTCCATGTTTTTGCTTATGCTATCCGTGAGAGGTAGACCCACCTCTCTACCTTTCCCTGTGCCACCTAGTTAGAACTAATCATTCCCTACTTTGTCTTTCTGTATTTTGAACTTTGTCTTTCTGTATTCTGTTTCTATATTTTGCTTATTTTCTATTCTAGTACTTCTTCTGAGAAGTACTATATGCTTTATATTATAGTTAATTGCCTTCCCTCCAGATTGTAAGCTCCTTGAGGGTGCACTGAATTTTATTCCTTTCTGTATTCGTGTAACATTGATCACACAGAGCTTTACTCATAGTAAGCCTCTCAATAAATATCAATGAATGAATGGGTACTATTCACAGCACACAACGTGGGTAATTGGGAGGCTGGCCTTGAAGTATGTCTCATAGCTTCAAAATTTCTGATCTTTCTTCACCGTAGCTAAAAGTTCAAAAGAAAATCATCTAGTTCCTGGGGAAGTATCCTACGGGCCAACTTACATGGAAATGCAGCTGCACTCTCGTTTCATTTTGCTCCTGTGGTTTTGTCTCATGGCCCTGACTTGAAATTTCAGTTGGAAACTTGAAATGCAACCAAAGTAGTTTCTTCTGTGTCACCCAATAATAAGGCTTTCTAAACCCTTCAATTTTACTCAAACATTTCTCTTGAAAATCAGCTCTGCTGCAAAGTGGGGCTAATTCAATAGCCACCCATGCGGATGTAGTTGTGAGGATGAGTTTAAATGGGACATTTTTAGACTCTCCAATATGTCAACAAGTTAAAAGTTTCATTCATTTAAAAAATGTAAATAAATGCAGCTGCATCTGGCTATATGGACATTAAAGTGAGATCGTGGTTCTAAACCAAGTGACAAGATGCTGCAAACTGAGGGAGATACCCAGCTTTGAAGATAATTTAAGAAGCATTAATAAATATATTTAGAAAACTCATGCAGCCAAACCCCTACCTCCAGCTCATGTTTTTTTACCCTGTAAGCTAGCAGAATTTGTAATGACAGCTTAAGAACAACAAATAAAGAACTGGCTGCTTACCAAAACCAATTAAGTGGTGAGAAAAGGAAGTCACATGCATTAAACTTGCATGTTGGAATTCTCCATTATTGGACTTAAAATAATTATACAATTTCATACTTAAAGTAATTATACAATTTTGCATTTCTCATTAGAATATTTTTATAGAATTAAACAGTGTTCAACTTTCGAAAACTAGATTTCCAGAAATCAGCCTGCAAGTCTGTTTGCTTGAAGATAGAACGCATTTTCTTATAAAAATGGTATTATAAATGCAGGTGGGTACCCAGATTAGCCCACTAAAGTCATTCATACTCATTTATATTGATGCCATATGATGTATTTACAAGAAAAAATTAAGTAAAAAATTCCATTGCTGTATTGGCATGTATGTAAGTAATTTAATCTCCCATCTCTGAAATTTATTAAGAAAGGTTTTCATTTTTACTAAATGGTGAATGAAAAGCACAGCGGAAAGCAGATTTAATTAAGGGCTGAAAATATAGATGAGTACCGTGGTGGAGATTCCGAAGGGAAATTTGGGCCCTTTCCAGGACTTTCTAATTTGATGTTACTGGCTCTTTATGACATTAAGTGTCACTTCCAAATTTATGGCTTTCCTTTTTCCTCATATGGTTGTATCACTGGCACTACTTTAGGCTTATCATACATGATTAGGGTCATTTTTCTTTGGCTTACAAATGGAAGAAAAAGGGGACAAAATGGGACATTTTCTTCTGAGATAATTGAGCAAAAGTTAGATAAGAGGAAAGAGGGAGAAAAGGCCCTTAAAAAGGATGTGCATGCATATTAAAAATAAATTTCCTATAGTGGTTACCCTGAGCTGAGTCAGCAAAAATGCATGATTTCCTAAAGAAGAAAGAAGCTATTCATTAGATTTGAGAGTTCTTTGCAGTCCCAAGCCATGCTATTGCTTCTCAAAGGGTAGAGGCTACCAGAGGAACAAGCACAGAAAGAGCTCTGTATGCAACTGGCTATTCTTTTTTAGAGAAGATTCACAAATTGGGTGTTTATAGCTTTGCAATTCATGGTACTCTGTCATTAACTAATTTTGTGAGCATAACTATGATTTATTTCTCTTTCATTTTCCATACACAGAAAACGACTGTATCTTATCTTATTTTTAAAAAATCTTAATGTCTCTCACTCTTTGTAAGCATCACCTCCAATGGACTCCAAAACTCATGGCCCCTCCAATTCAACTTGCTACTGCTGTTTAGATAATACTTTTCAGAATCTTCCCCAGCCAAGACAAGTCCAGTGGCTTCCAATTTTCTTCACACGTTGAAACTTTTCTGCCGGATGTTCAGGGCCTCCATAGAATGGCTTCACACTTCCCAGTCAAGCCCACACCTCCTCCACTTCCTATCAGATGCCTCTGCTCTGGTTTGGCCAGAATCTTTCCTATTGTTTGAAAATGCCACAACCATTCCAGCTTCTATGCATCATCAATTCATGTTTTCCTTCTTAAAATTCATTCTTTTTCCTCCTTGGCTACTTAAATTCCATCTATTTGTAGGAAGCAACATTTGGGGTGTCTATTCTACGTAACAATAATTTTGGGCAATGAAGCCCTAGCAACGATTTTGTACTACATGACCCTGCTTTCTTAGCCACACTTGATTGGACTAACAGAGTACCTATGACCTAAAATGGAATGATCAAACTCTCTTCCCTAGGAATTTGGAAATGGAACTGAAAACCAGTGTGGGTGTCTGAAGATGGAACATGTGACTTAGGAACACGAAATAGAATAGCCACATTCTATTTTCTGGAAGAGAAACTATGGCAGCCTCATGGTAGAAAGAGAAAGAGTGTATGTAATAGAGTACTTGGTAGAAAATAGCAGAAACAAATTCTAGTTAACTTAGCAGAAAATATTTACTCTAAGGATATGATGTAGCTCATAGGATCAATGAGAAGGCTAGGAACCAGGTTTGGAGAATGGACCAAGAGAGATTAGGCAGCCCAAAGACAGCCAAGGTGTCTTCCTAGGAACAGTCCAGTTAGAATGCCACTGTAAGCTCCACTCTTGCCTCTTCTCGTCAACCCCTCCGTATAGTAGCTGCAGTGATCTTTCTAAAATTTAACTCAGATTATGATATTCTCCTGCTATTGTATAATAATTTCTCTGGTCTTTGTCCTAGTTCCTGGCATGGAGACTCTAATACCATTGGAATTTTCCAAGTTGTCTTTGTTATCCATGGTGGGTCCTGATTGCTTATGCTAATGAGGTGACTCATGCTAGGCCTCTAGACAGCTTCTGCAAATGAGAAGATTCAGGATGTGGGTAGGCTGAGTCAGAAAGACCAACCATGAGATTAGAAGGTTGGAGCTTTGAGCTATGTGATATCAGCCGGATCTCTGGAGAGGGGAGGGAAGCTGGAGATTGAGTCTAATCATGTGGGCCAATAATTCATTGAAACATGCCTGGGTAACGAAATTCTAATAGAAACTCAACACAGAAGTTTAGTGGAGCTTCCTGGTTGGTGCTGGGAGGGTGACACGTCCTGATTCTATGGGGAAAGAGGGCACAGGAGCTCTATGTGTGGGATCCTTCTGGATCTTGCCCTGTGTGTCTGTTTGTTTGCCTGCTTCGGATTTGTATCCTTTATCATAAAACTGTAATTACCAGTACTCTCCTGCGTACTTTAGTTCACGGGAGTTCTGTGAGTCATTCTAACAATTAACAAACCTGAGGGGGCCATGAAAATCTTAGAATTTGTAGCTAGTTGGTCAGAAGTGTGGGTGGTCTGAAGACCCTCAAACTTGCAGCTGGTTTCTAAATAGGGACAGTGCTGTTGGAGACCATGCCTTTTGGCTTGTGGAGTCAGTGCTGACTCTGGGTGGTTAGTGTCAGAATTGTATTGCATTACACCACCTGCTTAGCACTTCCAAATGGTTTTTATTAGACCAGAATAAAACAAGTGTTCACAATGGCCTGCAGTGACCTTGCCAGACTTGCTTCCTGCCTGTCTCCCTGGCCTTACCTCCCTCTACTCTCCTCCATATGCACTGCATTCCAGGATGACATTTCTTCTGTCCCTCGCACACACCAAGCTGACTCCATTTCAGTGCTTTGCACTTGCTCTTTCCTCTGCTTGGAATACCTTTCTTCCAGATCTTTGTGTGGACTTCTTTGAGGGTAGAAGTACTGTTGGTCTGGTTCACTTTTATACCCAAGACCTACAGCAGTAACTGGATTGGTTGATTGATTATACACTCATAGGTCACATAAGAGATCTGGGTGGGTCTGTTCATTATAATTCTGCAACCTACAGGATCAGATTCTAGGTCTGTCTTTTTAGCTAAATTGGCTCTTTGGCTGTTAAGAGATAAGAGGTTCTTTCTGTGCTGTTATCAAAGCTTTTTGGCTCTTGGACCATGGCATTAGCTGAGATATTTAAGCCCCAAGTTTGTAGTTTTCTTTCTGTGAACTCACCAGTGCATTCAGAAATAGTCAGTTCATTCAGAGTCTTTATATTTATTGCTCCCTCCAAAATAGTTGCAATCACCACTTGGTCTCCACAGGGAGAAGGAAGCCTTACCTTCCATATGCACTTCATCTCAAGCAGTCAGCAGTGATAATTTAACTAACAATTTGCTACAGCATCCCATGGACTACCAGTATCTTATTTTCCACTGGCATTGAGGTCATCATCTCATGCACGCCAACTCAGATAATCAATCCCAGATCCTATCTTTGAATCAGTTTCCTGGAGCTATTTTAGGAATATTTTGTTTATTCAGGGAAGCAAAACTGCTCTATGTTTTTAAAATAGGGAGTTCAATTCAGGAAATTGGTAACAGAGGTCTTGGAATGGTGGGAGAACAAAGAGGAAGGCAAAATGACTCAAAGATTGGTAATTTTAGGACGCCACTCCACCTCTAGGGCTGAGTGCACAGAAGCGAACACCATGTCACCAGAGCCCATGACCGCTGTGCTGCTGAGGCTGCTGCTGATGGAACTTGACTGCCCAAGGAGGAACTCAAGAGCTCTCAGTTACTCTTGGCACTACTACGACCACCACCATTATTGCTTTTGTCACTGCTGTCACTATTGCTGTTGCTATTGCTGCTGTCACTGCTAGAATCAAGAAAACACATGGCTTCTCCCTGCCTCCTACTTTCCAGTATCCTGCCACTGCCTCCCATGAGCATAATCAGCTGGCAGATGAGTCTGGAAAATGTAGTCTTCAGGCTTCTGGCCTGAGGGAGGAAGTAGAGTGGGGTGAGTGTTAGCTAAGAGACCATGGATTCCATGTGGCACAAACTCAGAGGTCCTGCTCAGATAAGCCTTCCTTGCCCCTGATACCAGAGCAGATCACGCTGAGCTCACTCTCAAAGCCATTGGCACTTTCTTCTCATAGAAGTTCCTACAGTTTGTGATTGCATATTGCAATGTATATGTACAAACGTATGTGTGTATCTCCTATGTGTGCAGAAGCTCCCCAAAGGCAATGACTGTGTAGCTTTTGCTGTCCACCATACCTGTAGCTCCTACACATGGTGGGGACTCAAATGTGTGTTGAACCAATGAACGGCTTCAAACAGCTCTGCCTTTCTGCCCATCCTTCACCCTTGTCTCTTCTCTCATCTTAATTCAGTCCCTTTCTATTATAACGTTCAGAGTCTACAATGAACTGTGAGACTTGGAGTGAGAAATGAGCTTTTAGATGAGTTCTCATCATCTTTAAAAATACGTATTTCACAACAGTATCAGTTAGGCTACCCAAATTCCCAGGCATTCTAGTCCTTTCAGAATTCCTGCCCCTCAGCATGAACATGCAAGTCTGTGTGTCCCTCCTCTTTTCAGGTCACATTAAGCTTAGGTGTCGGGTTGGAAGACTAGGTGCCATAGGAAGGATATAAAGGCAGTGGCTGTAAGAACAAACATCATTAAGTTCTTGGCGGAGGAAGAAGGGGCACAGAGGAGGGGATTTATGTGAATAAAGAGTCTGGGTCAGGGACTTGTGGCCTTGAACAAAGTGTGATGAAGAGGGTAATTTCCCCTGAATCAGCTTGAACATCAGGCTTCTAGTCACTATTTGGCTTTTGCAACATTAAAAATTACTATGTGGCTTAGTGTGCTAGGGCTGCTGTAACACAATACCACGGACTGGGTGGCTTCACTATAGAAACGGATTTTCTCCTGTTCTGGAGGCTGGGAAGTCCAACATCAAGGTGTTGGCAGCTTTGGTTTCTCCCGAGGCCCCTCTCCTTGGTTTGCAGGTGGCTTCCCAGGGTTTCTCTGTGTGTTTGTGTCCTAAGCTCCTCTTCTTATAAGGACACCAGTCATACTGGGTTAGAGCCCACCCTAATGACCTCATTTTAACTTAATTACCTCTTTAAATACCTTATCTCCAAATGCAGATACATTCTGAGTTACTTGGGATTAGGACTTCCAACACATGAATTTTAAGGGAACACAATTCAGTCCCTAACACCAAAGCAGCAAGCTTTGTTTCATTCTTGTATGTTTGGATACAACTTTTATGGAAGTTTTTCTCAAACGGAAATCCCAATATATGAAGTTATATCTCCCATGCTGTTAATTTCCAGAAGGCTTACAGGGAGAACTGAAATGGTTTGCAAACAAAAATGACAATAGAACACAGTAAGATGCTGCACTTCCCGCTCTCCCAAGACACCCAGCCTCCAAACTGCACTGTGGTGCCATCAGTTAGCATGAATTAGGAGAGACACGAGGTTAGACAGCCCAGCACGTTGTAGTCAACCTGGAGGGGGTAATGAATGCTGAGCAGCGTCAGGGGAAATTAGGAGGAGAGGTCACAGAGGTGTGGTGGAGCTGGAGTCTCATGCCTTGGTGAGAAGTGGAGAACAAAGAAAAGGGAGGAGTTCCATTCTGACCCAGTGTGTGTCACTTGGTTTAGCAAATTTATAATCATGGGTCCCAGAGAAAATTTATGTAAAATACCCTTATCCAACCCACTGCTCCAGGAAGCACCTATTTTTCATGCCTTCTGTGAGTTGTCAAAATGTATCTTCCAACTTTAATGAAACTCTAAGGTCAGCAGAGCCTCAGCTTTGACAAATAAAACCATTCAAGTCTGTATCTCCCTCATTGTCCTCCAGTGATCCTCATGGAACACCTTTCCTGAAGAGATGATGATGGGGCCATTTGACATGGGACACAGCAGGTGCTGGAAGAAGCACATATTTTTAGTGACAAAGACTGTGACTATGGTAAGCCAGAAACAAGACACTCAACCACTGAATTAGGACTTTTGAAGTAGTAATTGGTAGTGGTAAGATGGGTGAGTGAGTACCTAATGGGCCCACCTGTGTGCATACACGCAAGGTTGTCTCCATGCTGGAGGCTGAATGAACAAAAGAATATTATCTCCAAAATTGCAAGATTTCCTAACAACTGGAGATGTTCCAGCTTCTCTGGCAATTTGGCAGATGACTGGGGAAGAATAAAGAGGGCCCTGTAATTCTCAATTAATCTGGAAATAATGCCAGAAATTCCTCCTAATACCACAGTGGGTGTACACCCTGTAATATCATTCATAATATCCGAAAGGAGATATTACTCCAAATATCACAGTGGGTGTACACCCTGTGACAGTATTCGTAATATCTGAAAGGAGATCTTACCCCTAATATCACAGTGGCTATATACCCTGTGATATTATTCATAATATCTGAAAAAAGATATTACCCCTAATATTACAGTGGGTGTACACACTGTGATCGTATTCATAATATCTAAGGGAACTATTATTCTTAATATCACAGTGGGTGTACACCCTGTGATAGTATTAGTAATAATTAAGGGGGGTGAAACACCCTGTGTGTACACCCCCTGTGATATTCTTCATAATATATAAGGGAGATGTTACTCCTAATATCACAGTGCGTGTACACCCCGTGATATTATTTGTAATATCTAAGCGAGGTATTACTCCTAATATTACAGTGGGTGTACACCCCATGATATTATTCATATATCTACTAAGGGAGATATCACTTTTAATATCACATGGGTGTATACCTCGTGATATTATTCGTAATACCGAATGAGATATTACTTCCAATATCACAGTGGTGTACATCCTGTGACATTATTTGTAATATCTAAAGAAGATATTATTCCTAATATCAAAGTGGGAGTATACCCTGTGTGTACACCCCATGATATTGTTTATAGTATCTAAGAGAGATATTACTCCAATATCACAGTGGGTAGACACCCTTTATGTACACCTGGTGATATTATTTGTAAGATCTAAGGGAGATATTACTCCTAATATCACAGTAAGTGTACACCACATGATATTATTCATAACATCTCAGGGAGATACTTCTCCTAATATCACAGTGGGTGTACACCCCGTGATGTTATTTATAACGTATAAGGGAGATATTATTCCTAATATCACAGTGGGTGCATACCCTCGGATATTTTTTGTAATATCTAAGGGATACATTACTCCTAATATCACAATGGGTGTACACCCTGTGATATTATAGGCAATATCTTAGGGAGATATTACTCCTAACATCACAATTAATGTACACCCTATGTGTACACCTTGTGATATTACTCGCAATATCAAAGGGAGACATTACTTTCAATATCACAGTGGGTGTACACCCTGTGATATGATTAGTAATATTTAAGGGAAATATTTCTCCTAATATCACAGTAAGCATTCACCCTGTGTGTACACCCTGTGATATTATTTGTAATATATAGGGGAGATGTCACTCCTAATATAACAGTGGGTATATACCCTCTGATATTATTCATAATATCGATAAAAGATATTACATTTAATATCACTGTCAGTGTACATCCTGTGATATTATTCATTATTTCTAAAAAGATGTTGTTCCTAATATCATAGTGGGAGTACACTCTGTGTGTACATCCTGTAATATTATTTGTAATATTTAAGGGAGATATTACTGCCACTATCATGATGGCAGTACACCCTGTGTGGACACCCTGTGATATTATTAGTAACATCTAAGGGAGATACTACTCTTAATATCACAGGGGGTGTACACCCTGTGTGTACACCCTGGCACATTGTAGCATTTCAAGGTGACACTACTCATAATATAACAGGGGGTGTACACCCTGTGTGTATACCCTGGGACGTTATTCGTAGTATCCCAGGGAGATACTACTTGTAATATCACAGTGGTTATACACCCTGCTTGTACATTCTAGGACATTGTTCGTAGTATTCAAGGGAGATACTTTTCATAGCATCACAGTGTGTGTACACCCTGTGTGTACACCCTGGGACATTATTCATAGTATCCCATGGTGATACTACTCGTAATATCACAGTGGTGTACACTTTGTGTACACATTATTACAAATAATTATTACAAATATCAGAGCGATGATATTTCATTTACATCACAGTGTGTACACACAGAGGGGATGTTATAAAAATATCAGAGCAATGATGCTTCATTAATATCATAGTGTGTACACACACACTGGATGTTATGGAAATATCAGAGCAATGATATTTCCTTAATATCACAGTGTGTACTCACACTGGATGAATAGATGTATCAGAGTGATGATGTTTCCTTAATAACACAGTGTGTACAAACACACTAGATATTATAGAAATAGCAGACGGATTCTATTTCATTAATATGATATTTCATTAATATCACAGTGTGTATACACTGGATATAATGGAAATATCAGAGTGATGATATTTCCTTAATATCACAGTGTGTACACACACACTGGTTGTTACAGACAAATGAGAGTGATGATATTTTCTTAATATCACAGACTGTATGCACACACTAAATGTTACAGACAAATCAGAGCGATGACATTTCATTAATATCAGAGGCTGTAAATACGGAATATTATAGAAATATCAGAAATATAGTATGTAATACTGAATATTATAGAAATACCAGAGCGATGATATTTCACTAATACCACAGGGTGTAAACACTGGATATTATAAAACTATGAGAGTGATGATATTTCATTAATATCATGGTGTGTAAACACTGAATACTATGGAAATATCAGAGTGATGATGTTTCATTATTATCACAGTGCTTACATTTACAATTACAAATACTGGATATTATAGAAATATCAGAGCCATGATATTTTATTAATATGACAGCATGTAAACACTGGTTATTAAAGAAATATCAGAGTGATAATGTTTCATTAATTTCACAGTGTGTAAACACTGTATGTAACCACCGGATAATATAAAAATATCAGAGCGATTATATGTCATTAATATCACAGTGTGTAAACACAGGATATCATAGAATATCAGAGGGATGATATTTCTATAATATCTACAGTTGTTAATGTCACAGTGTGACAACTGTAGATATTATAGAAATATCAGTGATGATAGTTTATTAATATCACAATGTACATGTACTGTGTGTAAACACAGGATATTTTAGAAATATCAGAGCAATGATATTACGTTAATATCACAGTGGGTAAACAGTGTGTGTAACCACTAGATTTTATAGAAAATAGGTGCGATGATATTTCATTAATATCACAGTGTGTAAACACTGAATAGTATGGAAATATCGGAGCAATGTTATTTCATTATTATCACAGTGTGTAAAAACTGTGTAAACACTGGATATTATAGAAATATCAGAGCGAAGATATTACATTAATATCAATGTATAAACACTAAATGTTAAATAAATATCATAGCAATGATATTTCATTAATATCACAGTGTGTAAACTGTGTGTAAGCACTGGATATTATAGAAATATGAGAGCGATGTTATTTCAGTAATATCACAGTGTGTAAACACAGGATGTTATAGAAATAACAGAGTGATGGTGTTTCTTTAATGTCACACAGTGGGCAAACACTGAACGTTATAGAACTATCAAAGTGATATTTCATAAATATCATCAAAGTGTGTAAACACTGGATATAATAGAAATATCAGAGCGATGATATTTCTTTTCTTTTTTTTATTATACTTTAAGTTTTAGGGTACATGTGCACAATGTGCAGGTGAGTTACATATGTATACATGTGCCATGTTGGTGTGCTGCACCCATTAACTCGTCATTTAACATTAGGTTATATCTCCTAATGCTATCCCTCCCCCTCCCCCCACCCCACAACAGGCCCCGGTGTGTGATGTTCCCCTTCCTGTGTCCATGTGTTCTCATTGTTCAATTCCCACCTATGAGTGAGAACATGTGGTGTTTGGTTTTTTGTCCTTGCGATAGTTTGCTGAGAATCAGAGAAATGCGAATCAAAACCACAATGAGATACCATCTCACACCAGTTAGAATGGCGATCATTAAAAAGTCAGGAAACAACAGGTGCTGGAGAGGATGTGGAGAAATAGGAACACTTTTACACTGTTGGTGGGACTGTAAACTAGTTCAACCATTGTGGAAGTCAGTGTGGCGATTCCTCAGGGATCTAGAACTAGAAATACCATTTGACCCAGCAATCCCATTACTGGGTATATACCCAAAGGATTATAAATCATGCTGCTATAAAGACACATGCACACATATGTTTATTGCGGCATGATTCACACAATAGCAAAGACTTGGAATCAAACCAAATGTCCAACAATGATAGACTAGATTAAGAAAATGTGGCACATATACACCATGAAATACTATGCAGCCATAAAAAATGATGAGTTCATGTCCTTTGTAGGAACATGGATGAAGCAGAGCGATGATATTTCGTTAATATCACAGTGGACAAACATTGTATGTAATCACCGAATATTATAGAAATATCAGAGGGATGATATTTCATTAATATCACAGTGTATTAACATTGGGTGTAACACCTGGATTATAGAGAAATATCAAAGTGACGTTATTTCATTAATATCACAGTGTGTAAACACTAGATATTATAGAAATATCACAGCTATGTTATTTCATTAATATCACAGTGTGTACACCCTGGATATTTTAGGAATTTGATATTAGGAGTAGTATATCGCCCTTAGATATTATGAATAATACAACAGTGGGTGTACACAGAGGGAGTACACCCACTGTGATATTAGGAGTCATACATCTCCCAAAAATATTATGAATAAAATCACAGGGATTACACAGGGGGTGTACTCCCTCTGTGTACACCCACAGTTGTATTATTTGTAATATCTAAGGGAGTTATACTACTAATATCACATGGGGTGTACTCCCTCTGTGTACACCCACTGTTGTATTATTTGTAATGTCTAAGGGAGTTATACTACTAATATCACACGGGTTGTACTCCCTCTGTGTACGCCCCGTGTGATATTAAGAGTAACATATCTCCCTTAGATATTATGAATAATATCACAGGGGGTGAACACACATGGAGAACACCCTCGGTGGTATTAGAAGTCATATATCTCCCTTAGATATTACAAATAATATCACAGGGTGTATACCCCCTGTGATATTAGGAGTAATCTGTCTCCCTGAGATATTACCAATAATATCACAGGGTTAACACCCACTCTGATATTAAGAGTAATGTATCATCTCCTTTAGATATTATGAATAATATCACAGGCCATACACCCTCTGTGATATTAGGAGAAATATATCCTCTCCCTTATATATTAATCCTAATATCACAGGGTTTACATTCCCTGTGATATTAGGAGTAATATATCATCTCCCTTAGATATTATGAATAATATCAAAGGGCGTCCATCCACTGTGGTATTAGGAGTAATATCTCCCTTAGATATTACAAATAATATCACAGGGTGTACACCCACTGTGATATTAGCAGTAATATCTCCCTTAGATATTAGGAATAATATCACAAGATGTACATTCACTGTACTCTCATGAGTTATATATATCTCTCTTAGATATAATGAATAATATCACAGGGTGTACACCAACTGTGATCTTAGGAATAATATATCTCCCTTAAATCTTATGAATAACATCACAGGGTGGACTGTGATTTTAGGAGTAATGTATCTCGCTTAGATATTATATATATATCTTAGATATTATGAATAATATCACCGGGTGTACACTCCCTGTGATATTAGGAGTAATATATCTCCGTTAGATACTACAAATAATATCACAGAGGGTAGACATTGGATGTATGCTCCCTGTGATATTAGGAGTAATATATCATCTCCCTTAGATATTATGAATAATATCACAGGATATACACTTCCTGTTATATTAGGAGTAATATATCATCTCTCTTAGATATTATGAATGATATCACAGGGTGTACACACAAGGTGTACACCTCCTGTGATATTAGGAGCAATACATCTCCCTTAGATATTATGATT
Source organism: Homo sapiens (assembly GCF_000001405.40). Taxonomy (NCBI): domain Eukaryota; kingdom Metazoa; phylum Chordata; class Mammalia; order Primates; family Hominidae; genus Homo; species Homo sapiens. The sequence continues at coordinate 224,553,041 of NC_000001.11, forward strand.
AATATCATAGGGTGTATACACAGGGTGTACACCCACTGTGATATTAGGAGTAATATATCTCTTTTAGATAGTATGAATAATATCACAGGGTGTACACTCCCTGTGATATTACAAGTAATATATCATCTCCCTTAGATATCATGAATAATATCACAGGGGGTATACCCCCTGTGATATTAGGAGCAATATATCTCCCTTAGATATTAGGAGCAACATATCTCCCTTAGATATTACAAATAATATCACAGGGTGTACACCCCCTGTGATATTAAGAGTAATGTATCTCCCTTAGATATATCTATAACATCCAGGTTGTTTTCTGCCGTCCTTGCCTGGTGATGCTACTTCGCTTGAAAGATGCAGATGGGGTTTCTTCTTCCCTGGCAAGAATTCCTCAATGCTCATTCTCACAACCCAATCTCACTGGGAGACCTCTGGTGCGATGTGGCCATATTGTGAGTTCAGCTCAAGGTTCTGGGACCCGGCTGGTTCACCAAATTTCATTCCTTTTAGATTGTGGGCATCCCTTCAGGCTGTTAGTGCCCTCTGCTTCCTGTTGTGCTCCTGCTACAGCCCGCTGTGGAAAGTCTGCTCTGCTCCCCAGTGAGAATTAGCACTGCAAACAGTTTGACATGCACCCTCCAGTCTTCTGTGCATTTCCACATGTAGTATAAACAAGAGTGGAATTTGGGTTTTTCTTTCTTTCTTTTTTTTTTTTAATACAAGTGAGTTTATACTACAAATTATTTGGCTTTATGTCTCCCTGCCTCCCTCCCTCCCTCCCTCTTTCTCCCACTACCCTCAGCCAAATAGATATTTATAGACAGTTATCTTGATCCTCTATGGGTCTATAAAACAGCGAATTTGCACTCAAATACTTCGTACCTCTGTAGAACAAATCCATCTGCTGCAGATCAACCACTCAGTTTGTTGAGGATTCATTCATTACATAGCCTTGTAAAAATTCTCCTTTTTATTACCATAGACATAAATAACCCACCACAAGGGTGCTGGAAAATGATTTTTAGAACCAACATGGAGTAAGGGGCACCATTCTGAACGTAATGCCTGGGCCCTAGATTTCTATTAATAGCTCTATCTGCTCAGCTCCTGTCTGGCGCTTGACCCTGAACTCCTGCTTGGCTTCTGTCTGGCAGACAGGCCCTGACTTAGTGCAGGAGGAAACTTGTTGAAGAAGCATCTCCACCTTTGCACACACTCACCTGGGAAAGACATAAAAATGGATTACACAGTAAGGCCGTGGGGTGGGGTTCTCTTGGCAGATCCAAGTTTCTGTGAACAACTAACGTTTATTCAACATTTACTGTGTGCCAGGACTGTACAGTGCTTTACATGTACAGTCACCCCTCTGTATCATGGGTTTCACATCTACAGATTCAACCCACTGAGGATTGAAAAGATTTTTTAAAAAAATGGGTGGTTGCATCTGTACTGAACACCTGCAGACTTTTTTTCTTGTCATTATTCCCTAAACAATATAGTATTATAGTATAATAACAGCAATTTTTGTAGGTTTTTTTTTTGTTGTTGTTGTTGTTTCGAGTCAGGGTCTTGTTCTGTCACCCAGACTGGAGTGCAGTGGTGTGATCACGGCTTAGTGAAGCCTTGACTTCCCAGGGTTAAGTAATCCTCCCACCTCAGCCTCTTGAGTAGGTGGAACTACAGTTGTATGCCACCATGACCAGATAATAATCATTATTGTTTTTGTAGAGATGGGGTCTCACTATGTTGCCTAAGCTGGTCTTTAACCCCTGGGCTCAAGTGATCCTTCTGCCTCGACCTCCCAAAGTGCTGGGATTACTGGCATGAGTCACTGTGCTTGGTCCAGTATAACAACTACTTACATAGCATTGCATCAGGTATTGTAAGTAATCTAGAGATGATTTAAAGTATACAGGAGGATGTGAATAGGTTACATGCAAATATATGGCACAATTTTATATCAGGGACTTGAGCATCCGTGGGTTTTGGTATTTGTTGGGGGTAGTAGGGGAGGTGGTAGTGTCCTGGAATCAATCCCCCGTGGATACTGTGGGATGATTGTGTTAGCTCAGTTCCCCCAACCTTTTGAAGTGGGTTCATTAATCTCCATCCTTCACATATAAGGAAAATGAGGCTCAAAAAGATTGAGCCACTTGCCCCAGGACACACAGCTAAGTGTGGAGTGGGGATTTGATTTGGGGCAGTCAGACTTCAGATCCTGTGCTGTCACAGAAAGTGTCGCCTGTAAATGTAATGAAGATTTAGTGAAGAATCACCCACATCTCAGACATTGTGTGAAAAACTTGAATTCATTGATGGCTTTAATGGCCCTTCTTTCCTTGTTCAGGATGACACTGTTTAAAGATTCTAGGAACTCATCCTTTTAGAGGCCCCTAACCTGCACAATAAAAAAAATAAAATGCTATATTAAATGTAACTTTTTCTTCTATAAGTATTTTGGAAGACTTTTAACAAATAACAATTTTGCCTTTGAAATGATCAGGCTATGAACAACTTCTTTAATTTTCAATTCCTGTGATTTCTCACCCACACTTGGAATTCTTGTGAAGTAAGGAAGCCTAACCTACAGATTGTTTACAAATGTAATGAAATACTTATGAATATTAATTTAACAAACAAGGTTGGCATAACGTTACTTTTGGTAGAGATTTCATTAAAAGTTATCGATTATGAATTAGCAATGTTCCTTTTAGAGTTTTGAGCTAATCCTTTTTTTTTCCTCGGTCTCAAACCTTTCCCTTGCCCTTGACTGACTTTGTAGGTTCCGCACTGCGGCTGTGGGACCTAATGAATGAAATGGCCATGCTCCCGGTCATCCTCCATGGTTCCTTGTTTCCTACAGCTGGCAGAATATTGACTCCCACCAGTTAGATGGTTGTAAAGACCTTCCTGCCGCAGCCGGCTTTACTCACTGGCTGCTGGGGTTTTTTACAGGCGGAGCTGAGTGAAGACTGCTGAGGAAGGGTCGTACATTACAGCTGGCATGGTATATTGATGTTGTCTCAAAGTGCTCTCATTTACTTGTTTCAATTCTTTGCCTGCAGGCATAGGACATCCAGTTTGTTTCCTGGGACAACAGAGAACCTGCCATGCCTATAGCTTGGTTTTCCTATCTTTTTTTTTTTTTTTATCACTTGTTCTTGCTTGGTGATGGTGTCTGTCTATTTCACATGTGGTTTACTAGGTAATCTGGAATAGCATAGTTAAGAATCAGCTTGGATTCTCATCCTGTCTGTGGTACTTACTGTATGACCTTAGGCAAACCACTTAACCTCTCTAAGCCTCCATTTCTGGTTAGTAAAATGATAGTAATAGTACCCGCTTCATAGATTCTATTCCAAACTGGCTGGCTTTGTGTTCTTTGGAGCTGGCAGCTGTTTAAACCTTACTTTCTTCCATAGATTCCCTCAAACACTTTTGCTGGACCCTCTAGGCCAGCAATTCCCAACCTTTTTGGTACCAGGGACTGGTTTCATGGAAGATAATCTTTCCATGGATGGGGCAGGGTGTATGGTTTCAGGATGAAACTGTTCCACTTCAGATCATCAGGCGTTAGATTCTCATGAGGAATGTACAACCCAGATCCCTTGCATGCGCAGTTCACGAAAGGATTCACGCTCCTGTGAGTATCTAATGCTGCCACTGATCTGACAGGAGGCAGAGCTCAGGCAGTAGTGCTCTCTCACCCACTGCTCACCTCCTGCTGTGTGGCCTGGTTCCTAACACGCCACGGACCGGTACCAGTCAGTGGCCTGCGGGTTGGGGATCCCTGGTCTAGGCAGCAGCTCCCTGGTATAAAATTGCTCTCTAGACCTTGTGTCCCAAAGACAACCCTCCCCTTTGCTGTTTCACTTTCTCAGGCATGAATCTGAGGAGCTCCTGGACTACAAGGAGCACATTTCAGGCTCTCTGAGCAGCCTTGGTGAAGGACCCATTCTCAAACAGGCTTGAAGAGAGAGGGAAGCACTCTGCAGCCTCCCCTCTTTTGTATTTTTGAGAGAGGGTCTCACTCTGTCACCCAGTCTGGAATGTACTGGTGCGATCACAGCTCACTGCAGCCTCCAACTCTCAGGCTCAAGTGATCCTCCCACCTCAGACTCCTAGTAGCTGGGGCCACAGGCATGCATCACCATGCCTGGCTAATTATTTTTATTTTAGTTTTTTGTAGAGATAGGGTGTTGCTGTGTTGCTCAGGCTGGTCTCAAACTCCTGGGCTCAAACAATACTCCCACCTCAGCCTTCCAAAGTGCTAGGATTACAGGTGTGAGCCACTGCACCCAGCCCACTTTCCCCTCTTAGAAGGAGTCTTACAATAGTGCTTTCTTCAAAGAAAACCCCCTCACAAAATCCTCTCTCTGTCTTTACTCCCTTGAGGTGGAACTGAGGGGTTCAAGAGTCCTCAACCAGTTCTTTTTATTTTAGACAGAGTCTCGCTCTGTCGCTCAGGCTGGAGTACAGCAGCACGATCTCAGCTCACTGCAACCTCCACCTCCCCGGTTCAGGTGATTCTCCTGCCTCAGCCTCCGGGACTACAGGCACGTGCCACCATGCCCAGCTAATTTTTGTATTTTTAGTAGAGAGGGGGTTTTGCCATGTTGGCCAGGCTCATCTTGAACTCCTGACCTCAAATGATCCACTTGCCTCGGCCTCCCAAAGTGCTGGGATTACAGGTGCAAGCCACCACACCTGGCCCTCAACCAGTTCTTAACTGTCTACTTTGAGAATTCCTTCAGTGGGATATGTTCATACTCATTTTGGTATCTAGCACCTTTCACATCTTAGTGCCTCCACCCTGGCACATACACATAATCCTATTCAGTCCTTACCACAGTCATCTGTAGAAAGTTCTATATCATTATCCCCATTTTACAGATAAAGGAAAAGGCTTAGAAGAGTTAATTGACTTGTTCGTGGTCTCACCACTAAGAGGAAGAGCTAGGATGAGAACCCAATTTAGTGACTTCAAACAACCATTCGAACTGCTCAGAAATATGTGGGTAAACCATTTGGCCTGGGCTCAGCTGGGAAGTTCTTCTGCCAGTCTTGCCTGGAGTCACTCATGTGGCTGTAGCCATCTGATGGCTGGATTGGGGTCAACGATATAAGATGGCCCCACTCACCTGCCTGATGATAACTGGTGCTGGCTATCAGCTGGACCTCTCTTTTCATGTGTTCTTCTATCTTCAAGGAGGCCATGCTCAGCTTCCCCACATGGAGGTCTCAGGGTTCCAAGAGGACTAGAGCAAAATTTGCAAATGTCTTGAGGTCTTGGCTTGGAAGTCCCAAAGTGTCATTTTCACCACATACTATTGGTCAAAGCAAGTCCCAGGCTTGCTCAGATTCAAGAGGTGGGGAACGATGGAATACCAAGCAGGGAAGTGATTGGCAGTGGGAGAACAACTCCTGGGTGCAGACAGTAAGAGGGTGCATTTTCTGTAGAGAATTGAAAAGCAATAATAAAACTAATGAAAAGTTGGTTGCTTTTTATTTTATTATCACTGTGTGCTAGCAATTCTAAACAATGCAATAAAATTCTCTTCCCCACTGGAGTAAACTGCTCCCACCACTCCTCCTCCTTAGTCAGTCCCTAGTGGGGAAAAAGTCCCCACCCCTTGATGGGAGTGGTGACAAAGTCACATTGCAAAGGGGCACATGCACTGGGTTGGGAAGAATTATTACAGCCCACTTTGTAAGCAGTCACAGGGGAGAGATGTGGGGAGAGAGACTGTGAAACGAGGACACCTTTTCCTACTTCACATTTTCATTTAGACCAAATGCTGCAACTTCTGAAGGATGGCAGTATCATTTTCAGCTTTTTAAAGTCAGTTAATTATATTGCTGTGAACTAGTAAAATAATTAATAAATGTTAACATCTGCATGTCGTTTTAATTAAGAAATAAATGTATTTGAGTGAAAAAGTGCCTGCCAGCTTACCCATTAATTATCAGAGTACTTAAAAGCACGCTTTGCAAACTGGTACCTAAAGTACGTTGGTAAAATTAGTCCTCAATCATCTTTTGCCAACATGAGTCACAGTGTTTCATCTTTCCTTGCAATTCAAACTGCCAGCCAGGTGAAGGGAAGGGAATCTTTGCCTGCTAGGAAGAGGCAGAGTAATTTCTACCCTTTCTATACTGTTTGGGTTCTAGGCAGACAGTTTTGCTTCAGAGGATGTTTCTATTAATAATACCTTCTGTTTCCCACTTCTTTTGTTTTAAAAAAATGATAAACATGGTTTATCGTGTGATGAAACTAACTCATTTGTGATTAGTCTTCTATGTTTTGCTGGGTTTTTCACTTATTCTCTGTTACACTAAGCTTTTAGGTCTTGCTCCGTCACCCAGGCTGGAGTGTGGTGGCCCTATCGTAGCTCATTGTAACCCTGTACTCATGGGCTCGAGGGATCCTCCTGCCTCAGCCTTCCAAGTAGTTAGAACTACAGGCACATGCCACCATGACTGGCTAGTGTTTTTATTTTTAAAATTTTTGTAGAGATGGGGTGTCACTGTGTTGCCCAGGCTGATCTCCAACTCCTGACCTCAAGCAATACTCCCACATTGGCCTCCCAATGTGCTGGGATTATAGGCATGAGCCACTACATCTGTAATTTTTTTAAAAAAGAATTCCTTTTAAAAAACATTGAGAAATATAACACAATTAAGATAAATGCATAAAATATGTTAGTAAAGTTTTTTTGAATTATTATAAAGCAAACACTCAGGGCAAAAATAGTCTACTGCTAGCATTCCAGTAGGCCCTGCATACCCCTCCCCAGTTATACTCTTTCCCTCTCCCTAAAGGTAACCACTATCCTGGTCTTCATGGTTATGATGTCTTTGCATTTTTTTCCAATAGTTTTACCACCTAAGTATGAATCCCTAAATATGATATTTTAGTTTCAACTATTTTTGAACTTTATATATTTATAACTTTATATAATCATAGAATATGTGTCACTCAGCATTGTATTTGTGAAATTTATCTATATTGTTGGGTGTAGTTTTGATGCATTACTTTTCACTATGGTATGCCATAGAATGAATATGACCACAGTTTTACTGCTGGACATTTGCTTCATATTAATAATAGTGAGTAATGCTGCTATGAACATTCTTGGGCATGGCTTTTCATGTGTATATCCTATATTATGTAAAACCACTTCTAGGCACTTCCATACCTAGGAGTGGAATTTCTGGGTCACAGGATGAGCAATATTGAGTGGTAGATTTTGCAAACAGTTTTCCAAAGTGGTGGAATCATTTTACACACTCTTCAGTAGCACATAGGAACTTCTATTGCTCCTCATTCTTTTCAGCACTTTGTGTTATCTTTTAATCAGGACCCTCCAACCCCTGGTACCACTCTGTGGCCTGTTAGGAACCGGGCCCCACAGCAGGAGGCGAGCAGTGGGTGAGCAAGTGCAGTTTCATCTGCATTTAGAGCTGCTCCCCGTTGCTTGCATTACCACCTAAGCTCCGCCTCCTTTCAGATCAGTGGTGGCATTAGATTCTCATAGGAGCGTGAACCCTATTGTGAGCTGTGCATGCAAGAGATCTAGGTTACATGCTCCTTATGAAAATCTAATGCCTGATGATCTGTCACTGTCTCCCATCACCCCCAGATGGGACCATCTAGTTGCAGGAAAAGAAGCTCAGGGCTCCCACGGATTCTACATTATGGTGAGTTGAATAATTACTTCATCATATATTACAATGTAATAATAGAAATAAAGTGCACAATAAGAGTAATGCACTTGAATCATCCTGAAACCATTCCCCTGGGTCTGTGGGAAAATTGTCTTCCATGAAACCGTCCCTGGTGCCAAAAAGTTTGGAGACCACTGTTTTAGATTTTAACCATTCAGGTGTCTGTTGAATGTATCTCGTGATTTCAATTTGCATTTCCCTCGTGATTAATGATATTCAGCACCTATATATGTTTACTGGCCATTTGCATGGCCTCTTTTGTGGAATACCAGTTTGAGTTTCTTACCCTTTGTTCTACTGGGTTCTCTGTTATTTTGCTTTTGATTAACTTTTACCAGTTTTTAATATAGTCTGGTTATGAGCCTCTTAGTTATATGTATTAAAATGACACTTTCCCACTTTTGTTTGTCTTTTCACTCTTCTACTTATCAAAACAGAAGCTCTTAATTTTGGTAAATAAAAATTCTTAACTTTAATGTATTCTAGTGCATCTCTCTTTTCCTTTATGGTTTACAGATTTCCTTTCTCAGTCATGAATTTTCCTATATATAATTTTCTAAAAGTTTTATCATTTCAAACTTAGATCTACAATCCACCCAGAGCTGATTTTTGTGAATGGCATGAGAGGGAGTCAAGTTTCAGTTTTTGCCTTTGTCTATCCGTTTCACTTAGTACTTGAGAAGCTATCTTTTCCTCATTACTCTGATCTTTATGCTGGGGCCACACTTTCCCTGAGCTGCGTCTGTCCCTCATTGACATGTTGAAGGTACTAAAGCTGGGCCAATTCTGCTCGATGTGGCCTCTTCTAATGGGAACCTGGGCTTAGATACTACCCGTCAGCCAAACGAGACTTTCTTAGAACTGCAGTGTGGTCTGAGGATCTTCCTACCAGTCTTCTTTCCCTCTTGTCAATGGTGTCAGACAAGTGTGGTCTGAAGGCTCCCTCTGCCTATGCATGCTCTCTCCCTCTCTATCCTGCCCAAGTATCTCCCCCAACAAGTATCTTGCATGTCTGGTTCATGTTAACATCAGCTTATTGGAGGACCTGAGCTCACATAGGGTGAGTAGAACCTAGAATAAGAGAGTCATGCTTCAGTGTCAAAGGGACAAAGGGCTGGGCTAAGTTCAGGCCAAAAGAGAATGGATATGGAGAATGGATTGAAGGACTTTCTCGAAGAAGAGTGCATGGAAACTTGTGCCTAACAATGTAGAGGGCAAGGGAGGGGGTGGAGTTGAAGACACCTCCAACATTGAGACTTGATCACCATGTCACTGAAAAGGAACTCATTTGAGGGAAATATAATGACACTATTTCTATGCTAATTAAGGGATTTTTGTGGAAATAATTTAATAACAATGTTGTTACTTTTGTATTGGGCTTCAACAGTTTACTAGATGAATTTATACATCATCTCATTTACTCTTTAACCGGCTTTTGGAATACAAGAGAAAATGGAAGCACTTAGGGAGGTCCTATTTGACTCTCCTTTCCTGGGGTCTTCCCTGCTGACCCTTCTACTCCAGACTCTTCTTCACTTCTGTTTCCAAGGGATGAAATCACTAAATCACTCAGGTTAGGCCATCTCCAGTCAAGATAAAAGGTCGGGGTGGTGTTAGCATGTAGTGAGATGATGTGTGGTGGAAGAGATCTTAGGCCATGTGAAGGCTGAAAAATGTGGGTTTAAGGGAGAAGGGTCTGGGATATACATTGATTTGGCTGGGGACAGATTATTTTATAATATTTAGGGATGGTGACTGATATAGTTTGGATATTTGTCCCCCCAAATCTCATGTTGAAATTTGATCCCCAGTATTGGAAGATGGGGCGTAATGGGAGGTGTTTGGATCAGGTGGGCAGATCCCTCATGAATGGCTTGGTGCCCTTCCCATCCTAATGAGTGAGTGCTCACTCTACTAGTTCACATGAGAGTGGTTGTTTAAAAGAGCATGACACCCCTCCCCTCACTGTCTCTCTCTTGCCCCGTCCCTCACCATATGACACACTGCTCTCCTTCCTCTTCCACTGCAACTGGAAGCTTCCTGAGGTCCCCACCAGGAGCAGATGCTGGCGCAGTTCCTAACAGGCCACAGACTGATACCAGGGGTTGGAGAGTCCTGATTAAAAGATAACACAAAGTGCTGAAAAGAGTGAGGAGCAATAGAAGTTCCTATGTGCTACTGAAGAGTGTGTAAAATGATTCCAGCACTTTGGGAAACTGTTTGCAAAATCTGCTACTCAATATTGCTCATCCTGTGACCTGGAAATTCCACTCCTAGGTATGGAAGTGCCTAGAAGTGGTTTTACATAATATAGGATATACACATGAAAAGCCATGCCCAAGAATGTTCATAGCATCATTACTCACTATTATTAATACAAAGCAAATGTCCAGCAGTAAAATGTGGTCATGCTTCTTGTACAGGCTGCAGAACCATAAGCCAAATACACCTCTTCTTTTTATAAATTACCCAGTCTCAGGTATTCCTTTATAGCAACACAAAATGAACTAAGACAGTCACCTCACAAGGGTGTGAAGTGTTGATTTTTGGGGGGTTATGGATAAATCGTATCACTGTCAGAGAAGGGGAGAGAAGGACAATAGAAAGTAGAGCAATGTAGAGAAGGAATGATCGTTATGGGTGGGTTGGCAGAAGAAGGACAATACTACATTGAAATATTTTAGACGGGGTGTGTGTGTGTGTGTGTGTGTGTGTGTGTGTGTGTGTATTCTAGCCTCAGGGAGAGTGAGAAGAGGGGATTTGGTGGTTGGAAGAGAAGAGTGAAAGAGATATTGGAATTAGAAAGATTCTGAAGAACTTTAGAGTACTTAAGATTGGCATCCATTAGCCTAGGCTCTGTCAGCTAGCCAGTATTAAGTATCTCCCGTGGCTGCTGTTCAGTACGGATGGGACAGATGTTGTGTCTTAGGGAAGGGAGCTAGACTTTGAAGCTCCTTCCATTCTAGGATTGGACAAACAGGTATTTATTTAAAAGAACCAGATGGTTCAAAGGAATTTCTAATTTTATACTGTTGGGCATCAGGTTTCAAACTAAATTTGGGCTCTGTCTTCCAGCTTTCCTGTTGGCCCTGGATTGAGAATAGCCTCCTGTTTTACCAGCCATCTGGTCCCTCCAGATCTCTGCTGCTGAGTGACAACTCCAAATATCTCCCCACAGAGAGGACAGAATCTTAAACAAAATCTATAGGGTGAATATACATTTTTCTAATAGGTGAGATCCTGGAAAGGAATAGGTCCCCACTTTGAAAAGACCCATGTGATGAGAGTCACACTTATGTTTGATTTGATAAGTGGCTTCTTGAGCAGCCACATATTGAAGTGTACTCTCTACTGGATAGTCCATACCTGTGCTTCTAGATCTTTGATTTTGTAGAATTTCCTTTTCTAAATAAGCAGGCTTGTGTGCTAGTAATTCATCACATAGTATCAATAACTGTTTATAAATACCTGCTTGTGTGCTAGGCACTGGTGGCACAGAGTGGTAGAAGAAGGTGTCACTACCAGTTTGAACTATATCTCTGGTTTTCTAAAATGACGAAAATGGAGAATGATTTAGCTCTAACCATGACATGAATTTTTTGAGGAATAAAATCTATTATTTTCAGCAGGACCGTCTCTGGACAGAAGAGGCTAAGGCCATCCCAGGGCTTGATTTGTCTCCAGTGCAAGACAAATCGTACTATGAAGTCTCTTTGCTTCCTATTCTCAACCCCTCCCACTGGCAACCCAGCATTTTTATCAGGTCAAAGTGAATGACAAGGGTTAAAACTTGAAGAGGATGAGAAATCACACAATGCATCCATGTGACCAGAAGGGCTGACGATACTTGGATGGAGGTGTTACCACTTGGTTTGGTGAAGTCTGGGGTTTACATGCTTTGGAGGCATGTGTGAGCCTCAGGCCCTTCCTTCTGAGCAGCAGATGGCAGAGCCACCTCAATGCACTCTGCCAGCTGCCTGGTTCATGTGCCTGGGTGGGATTGTCCTGCTCTACCTTCCACAAGGATGGCTTTGTCTGCCAGAAAGAATAATCACAACTGAAACAAATGTGTAACGATACCTGGATAGATACAGCTCAATTGGCTCCTGACAGGCCTCTGGCTAGGAGGGCCTGAGCAGTTACAGTGGGAAGGTGGATGGTTTAGGACCAGACAGATGGTGGGCAGCTGTCATCCACTGCATCCCAGTCCCCTTCAGTCTCACATCACAAATGACCCTAAGGCTATGTGTGAGCAGATTTGAAAATAAAAAAGGTTCAGTTGATTCCATTTATCACAAGTTTTCTCAAGAACAGGCAGGCAATAAAACTGGTCCCCATTCCCCCAAATAGATTTTGCAATGCTTGAGGTCTCCTCTTAATATATAATGGAGGAGTTGCTAGGGTAGCTGATCTGAGTGTGTGTATGTCTCTGTCTAATAGGTTTTTCTTGCAAAAAGTCTTATAGTTATGGTTTAAGTTCTCATTGCCCAACTGTATACTCTGAGTCACTGTCCTGTCACAGCCATATTTCCGGCTGGCATTGTGTCTGCAACCAAGAGTGTGACTGCAAGAACACAAGGCACTGTGCAAAGATAGATGAGCTGTATGAGTCAGGAGTTCTGCTCTCCAGGTCTGAGGCTGTTCATTGCCTGGGTTTGTCCAGCGGGCCTGAAGCCATGGAGAGCATAATATTTAGAGGTGGCGAACCCGACACCACCCTGCTTGCATTCTTTGCTCCAGGCCTTCTGACCTAGTTGTCCTTTTCCTGTACCCCATGCTTGCTCCCTGAGCCCTACGCTTGCTGTTCTCCAGATTGAGGCTTTCTCCTCTTGCTTCATACTCCCCTCCCTCAGCCCACTATGCACTATGTCAGGCCAACTGGTCTTACTCTGCAGGAGAGTCTGAGATTCACTGTTGCTTCCTGTGGGGAGGCTTTTCTGAGCCCCCAGGCCTGGTGCTGTGTGCTCCCGTGGCAGCCCCTGCTTCTCCTGTACACCACATATTGCCAACTTGCTTCTGACTTTCCCCTACTGAGCTACATTCTCCATGAGGTAGGGAATTATGTGTTTATTTTTCCAGCACAGAGCTTGGTGCACACTGGGTGCTCAGTGGTTGAGCAGATGAATGGACCATCTCGGTGATTCTTTGCTTCCCTCACACTGAGAAGGTCTGGCCAGCTCGTTTCCCTTTCTCCTCTCCCTTGTTTCTTGCTGAATCTTCTGGAGCACCAGTGAAAACACAGTCCTTGCCTGGCTTTCTGTTTTTTTTTTTTTATTCTCTCCCCATTGCTTTAATTAACTTAGAAATTCAGTGGACTCTTAGACAAACAATAGAATTTGATTATCTCTATAGTATACCTGGATGCCACTTCTCTGAAGTCTGTTTGAATGAAGTGATAAAACCTTGTATGTTTTGTTTGTTTTCCAGTTGCCTCCTGGTTATAAAGCAAAGCCAAACTGGAGAGACCAGTGCCAGAGCCTTTATTACTAAAAGGTCAGCATTACTTGCAACTCTCTTTGGTTTGGGGCTCTTTTGTGTCACAGATGTTTTCTTTCCTTTATTTTTTTTTTCAGGATTAAGCATGAGTTTAATTTCTTCTTCTTTTTTTTTTAAATTATACTTTAAGTTCTGGGGTACATGTGCAGAACATGAAGTTTTGTTACATAGGTATACATGTGCCATGGTGGTTTGCTGCACCCATCAACCCGTCATCTACATTAGGTATTTCTCCTAATGCTATCCCTCCCCTATCCCCCATCCCCTGACAGACCCTGGTGTGTGATATTCCCTTCCCTGTGTCTATGCTCTTCTTCCTCAACTCCCACTTATGAGTGAGAACATGTGGTGTTTGGTTTTCTGTTCCTGTGATAGTTCGCTGAGAATGATGGTTTCCAGCTTCATCCATGTCCATGCAAAGGACATGAACTCATCATTTTTTATGGCTGCATAGTATTCCATGGTGCATATGTGCCACATTTTCTCTATCTAGTCTATTATTGATGGATATTTGGGTTGATTCCAAGTCTTTGCTATTGTGAATAGTGGCACAACAAACACACATGTGCATGTGTCTTTACAGTAGAATGATATATAATTCTTTGGGTATATACCCAGTAATGGGATTGCTGGGTCAAATGGTATTTCTAGTTCTAGATCCTTGAGGAATCGCCACACTGTCTTCTACAATGATTGAACTAATTACACTCCCACCAACAGTGTAAAAGCGTTCCTATTTCTCCACATCCTCTCCAGCATCAGTTGTTTCCTGACTTTGTAATGATCGCCATTCTAACTGGCATGAGATGGTATCTCATTGTGGTTTTGATTTGCATTTCTCTAATGACCAGTGATGATGAGCATTTTTTCATATGTTTGTTGGCTGCATAAATGTCTTCTTTTGAGAAGTGCCTGTTTATATCCTTTACCCACTTTTTGATGGGTTTGTTTGTTTTTTTCTTGTAAATTTGTTTAAGTTCTTTGTAGATTCTGGACATTAGCCCTTTGTCAGATGGATAGATTGCAAAAATTTTCTCCCATTCTGTAGGTTGCCTGTTCACTCTGATGATAATTTCTTTTACTGTGCAGAAGCGCTTTAGTTTAATTAGATCCCATTTGTCAATTTTGGCTTTTGTTGCCATTGCTTTCGGTATTTTAGACATGAAGTCTTTGCCCATGCCTGTGTCCTGAGATTTATAGCATTTGGACCAGAAGATACCCCAAGAGCAGGCAGTGAGCAGATCACTATCTTTACTCCTAGTCTGCCTTTTGTATTAGGTTGGTGCAAAAGCAATTGCATTTTTTTGCCATTAAAATTACTTTTGCACCAACCTAAATATAACTTGTGATGATGCAGAGCACCCAAACGAGAGAGTGTGTGATTGTGCAGGCATCCACTGTGCCTCTATTTTTATTTCTTCCAGCTTAGGGGTGTGGCTTCTCTCATCATAGTTTCACAAAAGGATTATTTTCTAGTCAAAAAGATAACCACCCAGGTAGAAATCAAGGTGAGGGGAAAGGACGAAACAGTTGTAGATGTTTATTTTTAGTTCAGTTGGCATAAATGACCCCACTGGGATGTTATAAGATCGAGAACCCGGAGTAGGGGAGCCTTGTTAGTCTTTGACTCTGAACAGACCTAGAGTCTGATCCTGTGGCATTCTTCCACCTAAGAGCAATTATTGGAGTTGAAAGAAAACCACTTAGTTTTACTCAAATTTGTTTTAAAATATTTATAATGAGGCCAGGCACGGTGGCTCAAGCCTGTAATCCCAGCACTTTGGGAGGACAAGGCGGGCGGATCACGAGGTCAGGAGATCAAGACCATCCTGGCCAACATGGTAAAACCCCGTCTTTACTAAAAATACAAAAATTAGCTGGGCATGGTGGCACGTGCCTGTTATCCCAGCTACTCTGGAGGCTGAGGGAGGAGAATTGCTTGAACCAGGGAGTCGGAGGTTGCAGTGAGCCGAGATCACGTCACTGCACTCCAGCCTGGTGACAGAGCAAGACTCTGTCTCAAACAAACAAGCAAACAAACAAAAAAAATTTATAATGAAACAAGACTTAGAAGAAGAATGGGCACCTAATAGATGCCAGCTACTGAGCTGTGTGTTTTACTTAGTCATCACCTCATTTAATTGTTTTGATTAGATATTGAGAATATTCATATAATATATATGTGATGTGTAAGGAATTACAATATTGGCCAGGCATGGTGGTTCATACCTGTAATCCCAGAGCTTCTGAAGGCCAAGGCAGGAGGATTGCTTGAGGCCAGGATTTCAAGACCAGCCTGAGCAACATAGTGAGACCTCATCTCTACAAAAAATAAATAAATTAGTCAGGTGTGGTGCACACCTGCAGTCCCAGCTACTCAGGAGGCTGAGGTGGGAGGATTGCTTGAGCCCAGGGGCTTGGGGCCGTAGTGAACCTTGATCACGTCATTGCATTCCAGCCTGGGTGACAGAGCAAGACCCTGTCTCTAAAATATAAAAAGAATTACAGAAGAGTGAACACCTGTGTTCAGCATTACCTTTGGATGCCCTGTAGAATCTGTCTTCTTCCCTTCTCAGATGTAGCTATTCTCCTGAAGTTTATTGTTCACTTTCTTTTTTTTTTAAGACAGAGTTTTACTCTTGTTGCCCAGGCTGAAGTACAATGGAGCGATCTCGGCTCACTGCAACCTCCGCCTCCCAGGCTCAAGCAATTCTCCTGCCTCAGCCTCCTGAGTAGCTGGGATTACAGGCATGTGCCACCACGCCTGGCTTTGTATTTTTAGTAGAGACGGGGTTTCTCCATGTTGGTCAGGCTGGTCTCGAACTCCCAACCTCAGGTGATCTGCCCGTCTCGGCCTCCCAAAGTGGTGGGATTACAGGCGTGAGCCTCTGCACCTGGCCTTGTTCACTTTTTTTCTAAAATGCTTTTTTACATTTTGCTATATTCCAAAACGACATGTTGTTTAGTTTTGAATGTTGTTGGACTTTAAACAAATGGAATCATACTGTATGAATTTTCTGCAACTTGTGTGTTTTACTCAGACATTTGATCTTGAGTTTCATCCGTGTAGTTGTGTTTCACTGTAATTAATTCCTATAATAAGAATTATATGGCGCTAGAGCATATAAATACACCACAGTGTGGTTTATTCATTCAGATGTGGATGAATGTTTGCATTGTTTCCATTTTTAAAACACGATCTAGACAAGACTTTTTCGATCATTCTTGTATGAGTCCCTTTGTGCACACGTACAGGAGCTCTAGGGTATAATCCTGCATGCGGACCTGCTGGATTACAGGACACATGCATCTTCATTCTTGCTAGATTATTTCTAATTATTTTTCAAGTGGTTGTACCAGTTGACACTCTCACCAGCAGTGTGAGTGTTCTGGTTTTTCCATCATAGCCAACACCTGATTTTGTCAGACTTTCAAACTTTTGCCAGTCTGGTAGGTATGAAATAGTATCTTATTGTGGTTTGTTCTTTTTATCTGATTATGAATGAGGTTGAGAATATTTTCTTTCTTTTTTTTTTAGACAGAGTCTGCTCTGTTGCCCAGGCTGGAGTGCAATGGCGCGATCTCAGCTCACTGCAAACTCAACCTCCCGGGTTCAAGCGATTCTCTTGCCTCAGCCTCCAGAGTAGCTGGGATTACAGGCACCTACCAACATGCTGGGCTAATTTTTGTAGTTTTAGTAGACATGGGGTTTCACCATGTTGGCCAGGCTGGTCTTGAACTCCCAACCTCAGGTGATCCACCTGCCTCAGCCTCACAAAGTGCTGGGATTACAGGCTTGAGCCACTGCACCCGGCAAAGCATATTTTCATATGGATATGGATACTTATGTTTCTTCTACTCTAAAGAGATAAAGTCTTGCCAATATTAATGATTTTTAAAATAATTTCAATTTCTATTTTAGATTCAAGGGGTACGTGTGCAAGTTTGTTCCATGGGTATATTATGCGCTGCTGCAGTTTGGAGTACAATCGATCCTGTCACCCATGTAGTGAGCATAGTACCCAATAGTTAGTTTTTCAATCCTTCCCTCCCCCTCCCACCTCTAGCAGTCTCCAGTGTCTGTTGTTGCCACCTTTGTGTCCACATGTACCCAGTGTTTAGCTCCCACTTATAAGTGAGAACATGCGATATTCGGTTTTCTGTTTCTGCATTAATTTGCTTAGGATAATGGCCTCCAGCTGCATCCATGTTGCCACAAAGGACATGATTTTGTTCTTTTTTATGGCTGCACCTATCTTTTTCTATTAAGATGTCTTTTTCTTATAGACTTATATGACTTCTTTATGTATTTTGATACTACCTCATTTGTATGTTGCAACAAATAGCTTCTCCATTTTTAATTGTTTTTTAAATTCTCTAACAGTTTCTTTTGGTGAACATATGTTCCAATTTTAGCTTAGCCAAACTTATCAAACATTTCCTTTATAGTTTATATTTTTGTATAAACTATTTATACAACAACTTTGTATGCAATCTTTCTTACTGAATGTTATAATCACATTGCCTATATTATCTTCTAAAAGTTTTATAGTTTAGCCTTTCATGTTTAGGCCTACAGTCTATGTGAAACTGATGTTTGTGTTCAATAGGATAGATCCAATAGAAATAGGATCATATTTCTT
Source organism: Homo sapiens (assembly GCF_000001405.40). Taxonomy (NCBI): domain Eukaryota; kingdom Metazoa; phylum Chordata; class Mammalia; order Primates; family Hominidae; genus Homo; species Homo sapiens. The sequence goes on from NC_000001.11 coordinate 224,570,911, forward strand.
TTTTTTTTTTTCCTGTGTGAATACTCAGTACTCTCAGCACCGTGAATTTCCACACTGTGAGCAATGGCAGCTTTGTCATAAATGTACATATACATATGGGTCTGTTTCTGGAACCTATTCTATTTCATTGTTCAGTATACCTCTGTGCCTCCACTATCTTAATTCCTAGAGCTTTTTAATAATTCTTGATACTTGATAGGGCAAGGCCTCTTGTCTTATTCTCCTTTGAGTGTGTCTTGGCTATTCTTGGTCCCTTGCACTTCTCTGTAAACTTTGGGTTAACCCATCAAATTTCCCCCAAACCCCTTGTTGTGTTTTCTTCTCATTGCGTTTTGAGGTCTCTCTTTTGAGAGTGGCCCTAATGCAAGATTGTCACTCTTTAGGAGAGGCCTGCCCTGAGGAGAGCTAGGATCAGGTATGTCAGCCAGGTGAGACACGGAGGAGGTGGCACAGCAAAACATATGAAATAACAGAAGCAGTTTTTAATTACTTAAAGATCACAGAGAGAAGAGGGCATCATAAAACCAGCAGGGGCCAGGCGCGGTGGCTCATGCCTGTAATCCCAGCACTTTGGGAGGCTGAGGTGGACGGATCACTTGAGGTCAGGAGTTCAAGACCAGCCTGGCCAACATGATGAAACCCCGTCTCTACTAAAAATACAAAAATTAACCGGGCATGGTGCTGGGCGCCTGTAATCCCAGCTACTCGGGAGGCTGAGGCATGAGAATCGCTTGAACCTAGGAGGCGGAGGTTGCAGTGAGGCGAGATCGCACCACTGCATTCCAGCCTTGGCGACAGAGTGAGACTCCATCTCAAAAACAAACAAAGAAAAAAACCCCAAGCAGGTCCAACAGGAAGAGGGGCACTGACTGGGACCTGCAGGGGCAACCAGAGGGTGGAAAGCAAAAGAGAGAGGGTGAGGGAGGGACCTGAGGGCCAAAGCCTTTTTTGGTGTCCAGGGCATTGCCCAAGCAGGTTTTCCACAGGGAGTTCTAACTGGTGGGTTTAAAGCAAGCAGGCATGAGTTCCATGGGGTCATGCTGTGACTGAGAGGTGGTCACTGCAGCATATCTGCACAGACAATGTAAGACGTGGGGGTTAGTGGGGCAAGTCAAGTAGGTTACCTCTAGTTGTCTTATAGGGAGGTGGTCGCCAGGAGGTGGTTGTATAAGGAAGATATCTGGATTAACCACACTGCAGAACTAGGAGGAGGTGGAGAACTGGAAATTGTGTCAAAGGCAACTAAACTCTACTTCTGGTATGAGGAAGTCCAACTTATATTTAAAACGGATGCCAAGGCAACATAGAATTATAAGAATTCACAGCCCAGTGTGGTGGCTCATGTCTGTAATCCCAGCACTTTGGGAGGCTGAGGAGGGTGAATCACCTGAGGTCAGGAGTTTGAGACCAGCCTAGTCAACATGGTGAAACCCTGTCTCTACTAAAAATACAAAACTTATCTGGGCAAGGTGGCTCACGCCTGTAGTCCCAGCTATTTGGGAGGTTGAGGGATGAGAATCGCTTGAATCTGGGAGGTGGAGGTTTCAGTGAGCTGAGATCATGCTACTGCACTTCAGCCTGGGTGACAGAGTGAAACTCCATCTTAAAAAAAAAAAAAAAAAAAGAATTCACTACACCCCTGATCTAATTGAAACTTTACTACAGCAATCCTGTTGGAGGATTATTGGAGATTGATCCCTTGATGAATTTTAGGATAGGGTTTTTTTTTTTTTTAATATTTCTGCCCCAAAAAATGCTGTTGGGATTTTAATAGCGATTGTATTCAAGCTGTAGATTACTTTGGGTAGTCTTGTCATCTTAACAATGTTAAGTCTGCCAATCCATGAGAAAAGGATGTCTTTTCATTTATTTATATCTTCCAGCAATGTTTCATAGTTTTCAGTGTGCAAGTCTTTTGCTTCCTTGGTTAAATTTATTTCTAAGTTGGTTTCTTGTTGTTGTTGTTGAGACAGGGTCTTGCTCTGTTGCCTAGACTGGAGTGCAACACATTGAATAACCTAGATGAAATGAAAAATTCCTAGAAACACATAATCTACCAAAACTGACTAATACAGAAATGGAAAATTTTACTAGACCTATAATTATTAAGTAGATTGAATCAATAATTAAAATTGTTGACATACAATTATTCATAATACTGCCTTGTAGTCATCTTTATTTCTGTAATATCACTAGTAATGTTCCCAGCATCGTTTTGTATTTTAGTAACTTGAGTCTTTTCTCTCGAATTTTTAGTCAGTCTCATCAAAGATTTGTTAATTTTGTTGATCTTTTCAAAGAACAAACTTATGGTTTTGTTGATTTTCTTTATTGTTTTTCTATTCTCTATTTTCATTATTTTCATTCAATCTTCCTTTTCTCTTAGTTACTACTTCCTCAGGAAGAGAGTATGTAGGAAGTGGGGGCTTAAAACACAAGGTGCAAGGTACAGCCTTTTTTTGGAGATGTATGAAAATGGGTCTGACTAGGCATAGAGGAAAAGCCGAGCTCAGCCGCTGCCTTTGCTGTGGAACTCTAAGCTGGAATTTAGGCAGTGTGCTACTCGGAGATCTTCATAAGGCTGGAAGTTATTGACACTTAGCTTATCAATAGGAGGGAGTCCAAGAAAGGTCCTTTTCTAAGGCAGAATAAGGAAAACTAGAATGAGATTAAGTGGAACTAGGTAATAGTAGTTCAGCAAATTAACCCAGAGTCAGGAATTCAGCAGGGCTTTTTGTGTGAAAATATAACACCCCATATCAGAACTCAAGCATGAGAAACTAATTCTTGGGGAGCTTTTTTCCATGTTTGTCTTTTTTCCATGTTTCCTTTGTGAAGGGAGTAGTCTCCCTACCTTTTCCCAGGGTAGGAAATGTGTGATAAAAAGGTAAAGGAGAGGTAGCTACAAGTGAGTTCTTATTAACTAGGAAGGTAATTCACTTGCACGTAGATGCTTTGTAGTTCCTTCCATCTTTTTTTGTAAATGGTATTTCCCTTTTTCATATGTTCTTTTAAAAAAAAGCATTATATATTTATAGAGAAAGGGTCTCACAGTGTTGCCCAGGCTAGTCTTGAACTCCTGGGCTCAAGGATCCTCCCACCTCAGCCTCCCAAGGTGTTGGGATTACACATATGAGTCCATTTTTTATATGTTCTAATTAGAAAATATATAGTTTATTTTTGACATTTTAATAGTATATTTATACATAAAATGCATGTAGACTAGACTATATGCTACTTCAGTCTCTCTACCTATCCATAGTTGGGAAAATCAGGTGGGTCCCTATGGCCATAATAAAAGGACCCACTGCTTCACGTCAGGTACCTACTAGAAAATAAGCAACCTCCCACTTACCGGCTTTGCAAATCCAAATCTATTAAGTGGCTCCACTGTCACAGTAAGTATTTCATTGTTGATTAGACCAGGCATTCTTAAAGACATAACTATTTTAATATTATTAAGTTGCTTAAAGAGTCACTGAGGTACATGGTTCTGGGTGGGGGTCTGGAGAGTGCAGCAGCCATGGCCAGCCACATTGTGCTCAACAATGGCACCAAGATGCCCATCCTGGGGCTAGGCACCTGGAATTCCCCTCCAGGCCAGGTAACTGAGGCTGTGAAGGTGGCCATTAATGTTGGGTACTGCCACATCGACTGTGCCCACGTGTACCAGAATGAGAATGACGTGGGGGTGGCCATTCGGGAGAAGCTCAGGGAGCAGGTGGTGAAGTGTGAGGAGCTCTTCATCACCAGCAAGCTGTGGTGAGCGTACCATGAGAAGGGCCTGGTGAAAGGAGCCTGCCAGAAGATGCTCATTGACCTGAAGCTGGACTACCTGGACCTCTACCTTATTCGCTGGCCAACCAGCTTCAAGCCTGGGAAGGAATTTTTCCCATTGGATGAGCCAGGTAATGGTAATGTGGTTCCCAGTAACAGTAACATTCTGGACACATGGGCGGGCATGGAAGAGCTGGTGGATGAAGGGCTGGTGAAAGCTATTGGCATCTCCAACTTCAACCATCTCCAGGTTGAGAGGATCTTAAACAAACCTGACTTAAAGTATAAGTAGGTGGTTAATCAGATTGAGTGCCACCCGTACCTCACTCAGGAGAAGTTAATCCAGTACTGCCAGTCCAAAGGCATCATGGTGACTGCCTACAGCTCCTTCAGCTCCCCCGACAGGCCCTGGGCCAAGCCTGAGGACCCTTCCCTCCTGGAAGATCCCAGGATCAAGGCGATCACAGCCAAACACAATAAAACTACAGCCCAGGTTCTGATCTGGTTCCCCATGCAGAGGAACTTGGTGGTGATCCCCAAGTCTGTGACACCAGAATGCATTGCTGAGAACTTTAAGGTCTTCAACTTTGAACTGAACAGCCAGGATATGACCACCTTATTCAGTTACAACAGAACTGGAGGGTCTGTGCCTTGGTGAGCTGTGCCTCCCACAAGGATTACCCCTTCCATGAAGAGTTTTGAAGCTGTGGATGCCTGCTTGTCCCCAAGTGACCTATACCGTGTTTTCTGTCTCATTTTTTTTTTTCCTTGCAAAGGTAGTATGGCCTGTGTCACTCAGCAGTGGGAGAGCAACCTATAGAGTGGCCAGCGAGGGTGTGTCTAGCTTGATGTTGGATCTGAAGAGCCCTGTCAATAGAGTAGCTTTGCTTTGCCCTTCTTTTTGCCCAGCTGGGGAAAGTACAACCTGAATACCCTTTTCTGACCAAAGAGAAGCAAAATCTACCAGGTCAAAATAGTGCCACTAACAGCTGAGTTTTGACTGCTTGGAAATGTCATCCTTTCAGCAAGACTTCTCTTTACCTCAAATAAATGTGCTTTTTGTGGAAAAAAAAAAACTCACTGAAGAAAAATTACGAAGATCTATAAATATGTAGCAAAGTAGAATAGCCTTTGTACTAATTTCAAATCATGTCTCTATCACTTACCAACTGGGCAACTTTGAGTAGTGTATATATCTTCACTGCTTTTCTCAGGTCATGTTTGGGTGCAACAATTAGATACTTACTCAAGCTAGTACATATAAAAGGGAACTTTATTAAAAAGATATGGATCTTACAGCATCCAAAGAGCAGATGAACAACTGCATCCATTCTTGGTAACATTTATGGGAAACTGAGACTTAGGTAAGTTAAGTCTCTTAACTACTAAACCTTATGGGAGAGGAAATCCATAAATGTACTGAGAACTGCTTAGGAATGAATCAATTATGTGTTTTGTACTTACATGAATCTACTATTTTTCTAATGTATGTAAATGCTACTCTGAGTAGACAAGTTCAAGTATATTTTAAAGTGTGGCTTTTATCATGTTCTTTCTCAGCCAAGAGACAGTCAATATACATGGGAGTATCCATAAACTTTTTACTTTAAAAATAGTTCCTTTTAAAAAAAGTTATATATGTACATAGTTTAAAGAGTCAAATAGTAAAAGCGAAGAGCTTGATGGGAGTCCCCCTTCCATTCCCAACTTTGCCCTCTATTTCCTGCCCTTCAGAAATACTTATAATTTTTTGGAATTTACCTACATATCTCTAAATAACATGCTTGTCTTGCTCTTTCTTGACTTTTTTGGTAGTAGGAATAATCTACTTATTTCCCACTAAGGAAGAGAGGGATTTAGTTTTCTTTATACATTTCACTTTCACATGTGGTTAGTTAACATTCAGTGTTTGCATTCTTATGACCTATGTAAATGCTATTCACAACTGAGCCGTGTAGTATACTATGATTATTATTTCTTTCCTGTAAAGCCTTTTGTTTTTTTCTGAAGGTAATATTTGCCTTTTCTAGAGCCCACATAGTGAAAGCAAGAGTAAGTAAGCAAGCAAACAAACAAACCCACAAAACTCAAAAACAAATCTAGAGACATCACACATTACCTGACTTCAAACTATACTACAAAACTATTGTTACTGAAACAACATGGTACTGGCATAAAAGTGGGTGTGTAGACCTATGGAACAGAAAAGAGAACCCAGAAATAAAGCCAAATACAGCCAACTGATCTTCAGCAAAGCAAACAAAAACATAAAGTGGGACAAAGGACACCCTAACAAATGGTGCTGGGATAATTGGCAAGCCACATGTAGAAGAATGAAGCTGGCTCCTCATCTCTTACCTTATATAAAAATCAACTTAAGATGGATAAAGACTTAAATCTAATACCTGAAGTCACAAAAATTCTATATGACAATATTGGAAAAACTCTTCTAGACATTGGCTTAGGCAAGGACTTCATGAACCCAAAAGCAAATGCAATGAAAACAAAGATAAATAGATGGGACCTAATTAAACGAGAAAGCTACTGCACAGCAAAAGAAATAATCAACAGAGTAAACAGACAACTCAGAGAATGGGAGAAAATATTCACAAACTGTGCATCTGAGAAAGGACTAATATCCAGAATCTACAAGGAACTCAAACAAATCAGCAAGAAAAAAACCAAATAATCCCATCAAAAAGTGGGCAAAGAACATGAATAGACAATTCTCAACAAATATATATATACTAATGCCCAACACGAAAAAATGCTCAACAACTGTAATTATCAGGGAAATGCAAATCAAAATCACAATGTGACACCAACTTACTCCTGCATTTGAATGGCCATGATTTAAAAATAAAAAAAAAATAACAGATATTGGCATGGATGTGGTGAAAGGAGAACACTTTTATACTGCTGGTGAGAATGTAAACTAGTACAACCACTATGGAAAACAGTATAGAGATTTTTTAAAGAACTGAAAGTATTGTAGAACTATTGTTTGATCCAGCAATCCCACTACTGGGTATCTACCCAGAGGAAAATAAGTCATTATATGAAAAAGACACTTGCACATGCAGGTTTATAGCAGCATAATTCACAATTGTAAAAATATGGAACCAGCCTAAATGCCCATCAACCAACAAATGGATAAAGAAAATGTGGTGTATACATATACCATGAAATACTATTTAGCCATAAAAAGGAACAAAATAATGGCATTCAAAACAATCTGGATGGAGTTGGAGACCATTATTCTAAGTGAAGTAACTCAGGAATGGAAAACCAAACATCCTATGTTCTCACTTATGAGCAGGAGCTTGCAGGGAAGGGTGGGAGGGAGGCAAAGGATAAAAAACTGCATATTGGGTACAGTGTACACTGCTCGGATGAAGGGTGGACCAAAATCTCAGAAATCACTACTAAAGAACTTTTCCATGCACCCAGACACCACCTCTTCCCCCAAAACTATTGAAATAAAAATTAAAAAAATAAAAACAACAATGACGACAACAAAAAGCTATTCCAACTGGTAAAATAAAAAGTTAAACATTCGCCTTTTCTGTTTGGTAGTTAGTTTTCTTTGTACTTACTACTAATTTATTTCCCTAACTTGCTCCCAAGATATAAATCTGCCTTCAGTACTTAAACACATTAGGTATTTCCAACAATTTCATCTTCTTGATGATTCCAGAACCTTCTGACTTGCTCCAGGCTGGGCTACTTATGCTCTATGCCTACTGCACAGCTGCCATCTTAAGGGTTTCCTTCACCATTATCCTAGAAATTCCCTTTGCCTTCCTTGTTTTTGATCCCCTGTATTCCGTATCCATTGTCTTTCTCTTTCTTAGTGAGTCTCTCATTTTGGTGACTGGTACTATTATTTGGTGTAGGTACTAGTACCTAGTATCTCCCTGATAAAGGTTGCATGAGAAGTGTTTTGAGATCTTATATACCTAAAAATGTCTTTATTCTGCCTACACACTCAATTACAGTTTGACTCTACAAAATTTTGGATTAGAAAACACTTTCTCTGCCTCATTATCTTCTAATTTCCAGTGTTGCTGCTAATTCAATGTCTTTCTGATTCTTTATACTTTTGTTGAAACTCCCTTCTCCGTCTTTCTCCTCTTTCTGAAAGCTTGTAGGATTTTCTCTTTGGTTGTCTAAAGTTTCACAGAGTATTTTTGTGTTTTCATCTGTTGTGCTGAGAGTTCAGAGGGCCCTTTCAATCTGGAAACTCATGTTTTCCATCCAGGGATATCTCAATTATTTCTTTGTCGATGTCTTGTTTTTCATGTAGAGAGTAGAGAACAACTCTATTGAAATTTTTTGTTCAGATGTTGGACCTCCTGAACTGATCATGTTTCTTTTTTCTTTTTTTTTTTTTCTTTCTGTTTTCTCTCTCTGCCTTTGGCTCTATTTCTGAGTGATTTCTTCCATTTTAACATCTTGCCCTTGAGATATTCATCTTGTCATCTTTTTTAATTTCTAAGAACGCCATTTTTGAGGTTCCTTTTTGTCTTTTCATAAGCTCTGTTTCCTCCAAGTTGTTGTTTTCTGTTTATTTATTTTGGCCTCTGTCTTTCATTGTAAAGGTTTTCCTCAAATGCCGCAATGAGTCTCAGCCCATTGTATTTGAGTGGTGTCTCCATAGAGTCCATTGGAAACTCTGAGCATGTTGGGTGTGACTTGTCAAATGTGGGTTTTACTAGGCTGGTCTGGCTGAAGAACTTCTTTGACAAATCTCTTTATGTCAGTATCTCTAGGTCATTTGTATTGGGATCTGATTCTGCAAGGAAGGCTCCTCCAGTGTTCCATCTAGATGGTAAAAGTCTGGCTGACAATGTCTAGGGACTGAGTGTACTATGGTTTAGATATTTGACCCCTGCAAACCTCATGCTGAAATTTGATCACCAGTGCTGGAGGTGGAGTCTAATGGGAGATGTTTGGGTCATGAGGGTGGATTCCTCAGGAAGGGATTGGTGTCGTCCTCATGGTAATGAGTGAGTTCTTGCTCTGTTAGTTCCTGAGAGAGCTGGTTGTTAAAAAGAGCCTGGAACTTTCCCCCCCTCTCTCTTTCTTCCTCTCTGGCCACATGAGCTTTGCACAGACCAGCTCCTGTTTGCCATTTGCCATGATTGGAGACAGCCTGAGGCTCTCACCAGATGCCCAGTGTTCCAGTCAGCAGAATTGTGTGTTAAATAAGCCTTTTCTTTTCTTTATACCCAGCCTTAGGTATTCCTTTCTAGCAACACAAACGGACAAAGACAGAGTGAACATAAGCCTGGGGTGGATGTTGGTGGGGAGTGTCTCGAAATCAGTCTGTAAATCTTCAACAGATTCCTTGCTCATGTTTTTAATATGTTATCCCTACCCTCAGCTGTGCCTAGAATCCTGACATTTTACCCCAATAAGAGAGTAAACATCTAGTCTTCAGCCAAGTGCTGAGGGAATGACGGGCTGGGGAGTATCTAACTATATCTTAAATAGACTTTGAGTCAGACCCCTTATATTTGGCCCCCACTTTCATCCATACTCCCAAAGGTACCTGGGCTGGTTTAGGATTCAGCCTTCTAAGTCAGTGATCAGCCACTCATCCATCTGCTTTCCAGTTTCCGTTACCATTGTAAACCAAAAAGTATCTGACACAAGCCTCCACCAATGTAGAGGTTTATTTTGCCAAGGTTGAAGACATGCCTGGGAAAAGGAGACATAAGCCACCGTAGGATCTGTAGCCTGTGCTTTTTCTGAAGAGGATTTCAAGGGCTTCAATATTTAAAGCGGAAAAGTGGGCAAAAGGGGAAAGGGCAAAGCGAAAAAAGGAGGTCGCATTCTTCTGAATCCACATGTTACACATGAAAAGGAGGGGTAGGCCAGTAATCCCAGCACTTTTGGGAGCCCAAGGTGGGTGGATCATGAGGTCAGGAGATCGAGACCATCCTGGCTAACATGGTGAAACCTTGTCTCTACTAAAAATACAAAAATTAGCCAGGCATGGTGGTGCATGCCTATAATCCCAGCTACTTGGGAGACTGAGGCAGGAGAATCGCTTGAACCAGGGAGTCGGAGGTTGCAGTGGCCACAGCCTGATGACAGAGCGAGACTCTGTCTCAAAAAAAAAAAAGAAAAGGAGGGGTAGAGGGAACAGTTAATTATGTATTCACCTTGTGTTTAATGAATCTGCACTTTACATAAGATAAACACAGAGTAGAGAAAGCAGTCAAATATGCATTCATCTTGGGGTAGATGAGGACAATTCTAGTCTCCTCTTTTCCCATACCATGAGGATAGGCTGTTAATTTACATTGTCAGGGTGAGGGAGGCCCCCAGTGGAAACATATGGCCTCTATCTGTGGCTCTCAGTTTAGGAACAAAAGAAAATGCAATTGTTTTCTTTGTTTTTTTGTAACTTGGCTTCCAAGCTTAATTTTTCCCTGTTGGCATAGTGAATTTGGGGTCCTGAAATTTTATTTTCCTTTCATACCATGTTGCTTTTGTCTTTGTCCTTTTCACTTTGTTCTGGGGATTTAGGCTTTACCCAAGTCTTTTTCCGGTTTTGATGGTTTTTTTGGAGAGATTGGAGGCTGAGTGTGTTTAGTCTTCCATCTTTAACCAGAACCCTGACATTTCTTGAAGTAAAAAAGGCATCATTACAGGGAAAAGACCGGAAATCATTGCTTAGTGATTCCTAATCAGTTCTCTTACTTTCTTCTACCCTTTTGAAAACCTTTTCCTTTCCTGTTTCTTTTTCACAGGTTTCTACTATGTCTTGATTAATCTGATTGTGTGTATTGACTAATTGAGTGGTACAAATAATAATCAGACACATGACAAATTTCTCCTTGCTCTTGAGAATACAATAAGAAGAGCCCAAAGCGTGTTGGATACCTCCTCACTGGCTCCCTTTAAGAGAAGTAAATTGTGCTTCTTTTGAAAACAGTGCTATTGCATATAGTTGGCATCATGAGAGAAAAAAAGAATTGTCATTCTTATGAGCCCATTATTTTGTTATTGATTGGTTGGCTTTTTAAAGGTGACAGGAATCATTTTTCTTTTCTCGGAAGATGATTTAAGGTCAAATTTAGCTCATCTCCTTTGCCAAGGATCTTTGGGGATAACATTTAAGTCACTTATAAACCTAGACTTTGAGAGACAGACTCTTCATACCTAAATTACAGGGGGATAAGGAGGACTGTGGGAAGCCTGGAGAGCAGGTAGCTGCAGCTGCACATCCTGGATGCCTTTTCACATCTCTGGAATCAGACTGAGTGTGCGTGAGGTTGTAACATTAAACATTTATCTGTACAGGTGATGGGGGTGGACATGCACAAAATAGGGAAAGAATCATGATAACAAAAATTGGACAGAGGGGGTGTGGGGAGGGCTGTGGAAGCTGGTTCCTCTTCCTGACAACCTTTGCCTTTTCTTTCATAATATTTACATACAATTCAGCTGTTTGGCTTTGACATGCTGAGGGCCTGGGGTTCCCTTCATCCTTTCTTTGTGCCTCCTCCAGCTGTTCCTGGGTTTATTTATTTCTTTTAACTGCTATTTATAGTCCATAGGTAGCCACAGATGGCCAGTTCTTAAAGTGTGTTGGTGTGTGAACAGAATTTTAGAGGTAAACATTTTCTTATTATGTGCAGAGACAGATGTGGCTGGGCTTTTCTTTTGTAGGGTTTGTCCATGACAAGTATGTTACATAAAGATAGAAAAGAACAGAGCACGGTTTTTTTTTTCCTCCCTAATGTAGCTACCAGTTAATTTTTAATCTAAAATAATGGTGATGGATTTTGAAGTGCCTGGGGCGGTAGCCTGTGTGCAATACACCTGGATCAATCACCGCAGAACTTCCTTCTTACGTGTACATGTAATGAAATGGAAGACACTTTATTCACCCAAATTCTTCTTGGAGAGAAGGAGTATGAGTTTGGAAGAAATATTTTGAGAAGCCTGTTGAAATCAGCGTGGGGGACTCCAAGTGGCATATTCAGGAATCAGAAGGTGTTCCAAATGCCTTCTAAAGAGGCTGAGACCTGCCATATGGAGGACTTTGTTTTTCTCAATACTAAGATGGTCAGGTCTATAAGTTCGGAGGTTTGGAGCTGCCATGTATCTAAATTGCTCTTAATAATAGAGGGGAAAAAGAATTTGCCTTTGTTGATTCACTTATCTGTTCATTATTTCAGACATCTTTGTTGAGTCCTTTCTCTCCATGGTACTCGGCCACATTGCCTGAGTGGATGTGTTGCTGGGGCACACAGCATGTGCTGGGAGTTTACAGAAGCTTCAGAATATACATGGGCCATCTTCCTGGGGCATTAGTGGACTCCATAAGTGGATTATGGAGATGCAACATTCATCTCCATTTGTAAAAACATTACATTTTAAAGAAGTTATTCTGGGTCCACTTGAGTCTGTGCTCTTAGATATTTCCTCCTCTTTCATAGTATGTACTTACTGTCCCCAGGCACATGCAAAGTGCTGTAAGATTTCACAGGATGGAGAGAACATCTGTGGCAGTGGACAGAGTCGTGAGTGACCACAGAAGGCTTTCTGGAGGCAGGACTTGAGGTGAGTTTCAAAGGACTAGGGGTGTGTATTAGGGAGCAATTGGTGAATGTGTGTTTGGGAGAGGGCCATGCCGGGTGAGGGAATGTCATGAATCCCAGCTCAATGGTGGAAATGTCAACCAGAGTGGACCAGTTTGGCCACACTATGTGAGAGTGAGGGATAAAATCTGAGTTGCATATGGGGATCAGCAGGTAAGAGACACCCATCAACTCTCCCGTTCATTATTAGAAATTTCTGATGATTTTGGACATCATCAAATAGATAGTTTAGGGAAGATAACAAGAGGATGGTAAGCTATGGTGGAGGGTGAGTTTAGACACCAAGTTGTTTGGTTTAGTGATTCCTAATCAGAGATGCACTTCAGACTTACCTGCAGAACATTTTAAACTAACAATGCTGGGGCTCCTACCATTGGAGACTCTGATTCAGTAGGTCTGTTGTAGAGCCTATGGAGTCTGTATGTGGAAGAGTTCTTCAGCCAATTTTGTTATATTCCCTGGCTAAAAATCCATGAAATAGAAGGTGATTGTAATGGCCTACTTTTAATGTAATGGAACTTGGATTTCTGGTGGTGGCAAAGGAAATGGATAAGAAGGGTTGAATTTGAAACACTTTGTAATACAAGAATAAGCAAGACATGAATTGATATTAGACCAGTCGCTGCTCCAATGTATGTGATGTTCTGGACCATACCCCACTTCCTGTCGTATTTTCCACATTAGCATAGCTAAGTTCTGCAACTCACTCACCACTGCATTAGCCTCACTTATAGCCCTTTCTTTGGAAATAATTTCACTGACAGCATAGTTCTTTGAGAACTTAGCGGACAACTTTTAAAAAGGATATTTTTGCACATCATTATTGCTGACACTATTATTATTCATGTTTTAAAAGCTATTTTATTATAAATCTCAGCTTGAGTTTTGTTCAATTCTGCTCTTTAAAAGAAAGTTACAATACACAGAACAAAGGCATTAGAAAAAAGAAATTTTCAAGTTTCTATTGCATAGAGAAGTATACAGTCCCCATAAACATTCCAGGTCTAATTTGTCCTTGAACATCCTTAGAATAACGGTAGACTTAAAGACAATATTATGCCTGGCAGTATTTAGGACAGCAAGGCACTTCTTGATTTTGGACAAACAGGATTTAAGTTTTGTTTGGGGGCTAGAAAAATAAATAACCAGTTCTATCACAAACCCTTTATGCCGGAGTAGACAATATTTCACTAAAAGACAGAGAAAAAGTGCTGATGTAAATCCTTCCTTTTTGGGAAGCTGATTCTTTTTGTCATGGAAGAAAGACTGGTAAAAATATTCACATTTGCAGTCATCAGGATGGCAAAACTTGAATTTGATGCAGAAATGCATTTATCATTTGATATATTTTTTCTGGCTGCATGATTCAGCATTTTGATTTGCATTGACCATTTTGGAAAAATGAAGCATTTCTTGGTTGTGAAATAATTTGTAATTTGTTTCTTTGGAATATTCCAGTTTGTGGCCTAGTTGACTATGTAGTGTTTTCCCCAGACTTAGTGTAAGATAAGAAAATGAGAATCTCAGCAATGCCTAATGGGTTGGCCCAGCATTAAGTCTATGAGGATAGGACCAAGGGACATCTTTAGGAATGGGAACGACACAGCTACATCTGCTGACATCAGCTTCTAAAGAACCCCTCAAACGTGCTGACTTACTCAATAATCTGTTAGAGACCAATAAAGCATGAATTCATGTGAAAAACTCTTGAAGAGCATTCAGTTTTCAGCCTGCATCACCTCTCTCCATTTCCCTCGCATTGAGACCCCAGCTCTGTAGCACATCACTCAAGTCCTTCAGGGTTTGCTGCAACTTACTTTTCCTTACCATTCCTGAGATGTCATTCTTGTTCATGCCTCCAAGCCTTTGCACTTGCCCTTTGTTCATAATGCCTTCCTTGCCCGTTTCCCTAGATCGAATCCTACTCGCTTATTTTTCCAGGCCTGTCTTAACGTCTCAATGTCTCCTCTACCGCAAAGCCTTCCAGACCCCGCAATCACTCAACATACGTAATGAGCATCTGCCATATGCCAGGCACTGTGCTGATGTTGTGACTAAAGATGCGTAGGACATAGTCTCTTCAAGGGACCACATGTGTGCTTCCAGAGCCATATCCTACACGTGCCCAGTAATATACTGGTGATATTAAACCAAAGCACAGTTCTTTTATTCTTTTTTTTTTTTTATTTTTGAGACAGGGCCCTGCTCCATTGCCCAGGCTGGATTGCAGTGATGAAATCATGGGTCACTGCAGTCTTGAACTCTTGGGCTCAAGCGGTCCTCCTGCCTCAACCTCCCAAGTAGCCAGGACTACAGACACATCACCACACCTGGATAATTTAAAAACTTTTTTTTTTTTGTAGAGATGGGGGTCTCACTATGTTGCCCAGGCTGGTTTTGAACTCCTGGGCTCAAGTGATCCTCCCACTTTGGCCTTTCAAAGTGCTGAGATTACAAACCTAAATGAGCCACCGCACCTAGCCCATTCATTCTTAAAAGTCTCCAGTTCCTGCACATACACATGAATCAATGGCTCAAAGGAGGATGTAGATAGCACAGGGGTCGTGGTTTAGCTTTAAACTCCAAACTAGATTAGATTTTTAAAAATCCATAAGCAGCATTAGTCTTGAAAGCCATACTTCGTTGAAAGAGAAAAGGGCTTTCTAGAGACACACATTTTCCCCTACATGGCAAGAGCCATGAATGAAGAGAGAACTCAGGACATCATGGAGGAAAAAGGAAAGACTTCCTTCCCCTAGTACTGCAGAAATGAATGGGACTGAGAGGGAAGTTTTCATGTGAATGATCTGGTTCTCCCCATGGGATCTGAACCTTGAAAAGGGACCTGGTAACAACCAGATGATCTGGGGACTTTGGGAACTTTAGGGCTATGTATTAGCCCGTTTTCATGCTGCTGTTAAAGAGATACCCGAGACTGGGCAATTTACAAAAGAAAGAGTTTTAATAGACTCACAGTTCCATGTGGCTGGGGAGGCCTCACAGTCATGGTAGAAGGTGAAAGGCATGTCTCACGTGGTGGCAGACAAGAGAAGAAAGCTTGTCAAGAGAAACTCCCCTTTTTAAAACCATCAGATCACATGAGACTTATTCACTATCATGAGAACAGCATGGGAAAGACCTGCCCCCGTGATTCAATTACCTCCTACTGGGTCCCTCCCACAACATGTGGGAATTCAAGATGAGATTTGGGTGGGGACACAGCCAAACCATATCAGGCCAGTACTTTGCTTCCCTGGGAGACTTCGAGCCTTAGAGAAAGTCTGGATTTGGCAGGACCGTTGTCTCAGCATGATGTGTATAGCGGGTTGAACAGTGTCCCCCAAGTTTGTGTTCACCCAGAACCTCAGAATGTAACCTTATTTGGAAATAGGGTCTTTGCAGATGTAATTAGTTAAGAATCTTGAGATAAAATCATCCTGGATTCAGGGTAGGCCCTAAATCCAATGACTGGTGTCCTTATAAGAAGAGGAGAGGACACCCAGAGACACAGAAAAGAAGGCCATGGGAAGATGGAGGCAGAGATTGGAGTGATGCTGCCACAGGCCGAGGAAACTGGAGAGCTGCTAGACATTGGAAGAGTTGAGGAAAGATTCTCTTCTAAAGACTGGCAGGGGAGCATGGCCCTGCTGACACCTTGATTTTAGACTTCCATCCTTCAGAACAGTGGGAAGGAGAATAAAGTTCTGTTGTTTGGAGCCACCCAGTTAGTGGTAATTTGTTGCAACAGCCCTAGAAAGTGAAAATTGTGTGGAAGCAGCAGGACAGTGCTGGAGCTTTGGGTCATGTGCCTGGTTGCCTATACCCACGTGTTCTGCCTGTGGGATTCACAATTTACACAGGCCTGAGTGAGAATGCAGGTGCGCTGAAGGAGCAGGCAATAGTGAAGAGTCAAGGTTTGGGAGGGGAACCAGAGACCCCAGACTTCAGAACTGCAGCTTTTGGGGTCAACACAACATCCCAGAACATCAAGACACCAAGACATATCAGCTAGGACCCTGCAGTAGGACATCGGTGTCCAGATGAGACCAGAAGCAACCCAGTAGAAGCCAGGGGACAGTGTGTGGACCACAGAATTCATGCTTGATGCCATCAAGGTAGGAAGTTTCTGCCTGCACAGAGATACCCTCTTGGGAAGGAAGCGGGTGTCTGGCCAGAGCTCCTTTGGGAAGGGAAGGCACACCTGATAGAGAATTTGACCTTGGAAAATGAGTGCATGTTTACCTGAAAGAGGTATTTCTAACCTAGAAGAGCCTGGGCTACTTTTTATTGAAAAATTTAAGATCTGTGTGGTGTGCGTATATGTGTATGTTGTCATTAAGGATTGATCACAGGCCGGGCATAGTGGCTTACACCTGTCATCCCAGCACTTTGGGAGGCCAAGGTGGGAGGATCCCTTGAGCCCAGGAGTTTGAGACCAGCCTGGGTAACATAGGGAGACCCCATCTCTACACAAAAGTTTTAAAAAAATAGCGGGGCATGGTGGTGTGTGCCAGCAGTCCCAGCTACTCAGGAGGCCAAGGTGGGAGGATTGCTTGAGCCAGGAGGTCAAGGCCTTAGTGAGCTGTGATTGCACCATTGTACTTCAGCCTGGGTGACAGAGTGAGACCCTGTTTCCATTAAAAAAAAAAACAAAACAAAACCTAAAAACTAACAAATAATTAATTACAAGATGAGACCAGTTATGGAAATGCATTTCTAGTTTTTGCCTATTTTAGTTACAGTATCTAAATGTCAACTCCCATCTCACCCCATTCCTAGATATTTGCTGTATTCTATTGTGTTTCCCACCCACCCCCATGTTCGTTCCCTCCCTTGAGCTGTCAGCCTCTTGTGGGTAGAGATGACATCAACTATCTTTTGACATATATTTGGATATCTGTGCCTGCAAGACCTAATAGGACAATTCTAACACACGGTGTCATCTCACTGAATATTTGTTGAATGAATGAAAAAATTCAGAATGTATGAATAATTTTTAAAATTTTTCCTCAATAGCTTTCTTGTATATTTTAAAGGCTGTCTGGATTTTCTTAGGGCCTTTGCCTCAGACATGCATACGGCAGGAGTGTGAGATCTATGGAGTGGGCTCAGCTCATGGAGCAAGGAGGACGGCAGGGGCTCCAATGATGATGTCTGCGTAAGAATTCCCATTTAAGATCTTTCCAAGCACAAGAGTCATGGCCCAATGGCAGAGTGTCCTATGCCCACGAATAAATCAAGGATGAAGAAGACATTTTTGGAACCAGCATAGTTTCTGGTAGGATCTTTGCCACTACTTAAAAAAAAAAAACAAGCATTTAAACTCCCATAGTGTAAATTAATTCAGATGTAAATAACCATTCAGACAACCAGGAATCTGACAAGCAGAGGTGTCTGCCAACATGTCCTGAGTAATTAGCTGGATTTTTGCACTTTTTTCTTTTTGCTGGCAGCACTAGGCAACACTTACTTATTTCTTAGCTCCACTTGATGGAGCTGATTCTAGGAGTTAAAAAAAAGACTTTGGATAATAAGGACCAGCTTCTCAGGCTTTGGAACCTGCTGTGGGAGTAAAGGCTGGCCTTCAAAGTTTCTGTTCTTAAGTCTGGAGGTGATTAGCATTAAGCCATGGGCCAAGCTACTACCTTCTTCCTGACCCCCTGTTTTTTTTTTTTTTTGGAGCCATTTTACTGAGAAGCATGACATCTATCAACTTCCCAGATCCCTGCGAGAATGGATTGAGGAGTCTGAGCTCTGGAAATCAAAGTGGCTAAGCGAGCACCGTTATTGCTGTTAAGAAAACCTGCAATGCGCGAGTTGAAACTTTCTAAGTTTGGATCTGCTTTTGTCTGACCTCTGCCTGGATAGTAAGGCAGCTGAGTGATTCACAGGCACAGAAATGCACCACGTTGCTATTCCCAGACCCTGCCACAAAAGACTGTTGAATTCCCAATGTCTCCATGCTCACTTCCTGTCCTCACTGTGACTATGAGGCACTTTGAAGATTTAACACATTATAGAAACACACAGCATCATGTTTATAATAAGTCTACATTCTGAATCAAAATAATGGTTTAGTCTTCTCAGATGAGAGGGAATATCTGGGGCTAAATGAGGGTAAGTCACGTACTTTTCTATGTGCAGGCAAAACTGATTTTGTTCTGAGTGAGCTGCAGCCTGCAGCCTCTTTTCAAAGCTGACTCCTAGGGGGTTTGGCCAGGGCTGCTTTTTGCATGAATTGTTGACATTCAAACACCTTTATCTCTGATGCTGCTCTACAGCTTAATGTGATATTTCTGTCCAAACTCAACTTTTGATGAGAAGAAAAGATTTTTAATCCAAAATATGCACACAACTCCCCAGCCCCAGGGAAAGGACTTCTTTGTCTTAGTGAGAGCACTTCTTTGAGTGCTCTTTGGGTGGCTCTGTAGCTCACTTGCAGCATGGGATTGAGAAAGGAAAAGTGGAGCCCAGGGCAGGCAGGGGGTTTTCCAGCTCCTCTAAAGAGGTTGCTTACCAGTGGGACCTTACTGTTTTGCTTGGAAGTTTGAGAGTTACCAGTTCATCAGGATATCCACTTTTTTTTTTTGAGATGGAGTCTTGCTCTGTCACCCAGGCTGGAGTGCAGTGGCACAATCTCAGCTCACTGCAACCTCTGCCTCTGGGGTTCAAGTAATTCTCCTGCCTCAGCCTCCCCTGTAGATGGGATTACAGGCATGAGCCGCCAGGCCTGGCTAATTTTTGTAATTTTAGTAGATATGGGGTTTCACTATGTTGGCCAGGCTGGTCTCAAACTCCTG
Source organism: Homo sapiens (assembly GCF_000001405.40). Taxonomy (NCBI): domain Eukaryota; kingdom Metazoa; phylum Chordata; class Mammalia; order Primates; family Hominidae; genus Homo; species Homo sapiens. The sequence goes on from NC_000001.11 coordinate 224,590,106, forward strand.
ACCTCATGATCCACCCACCTCAGCCTCCCAAAGTGGTAGGATTACAGACGCGAGCCATCACACCAGCTGATATCCACTTTTAAATGCCAGTGCTGTACTTGGCATAAAGTAGACCATGAATAAATGTTTGTTGAATAAATGAATGAATGATTAAAGCCCAAATTCCACTATATGGCTGTATGAGAGATTTTTGGCTTATTGGTTCCTTTGGGTTGTTTTGCCTCTATAACTTCCTCCCTTTTTTGTGTAACTGCTGTCCAGCTTAACCTGAGCATGGATGTGTATGTATGCCAAACAGTCTCCTTTTTCCACTTTATCTTAGTTTGTTTGTGCTGCTATATCAGAATACCTGAGACTGGGTAATTTATAAAGAACAGAAGTTTATTATCTCACAGTTCTGGGGCTGGGAAGTCCCAGAGCATAGCACCAGCATCTGGTGAGGGCCTTCTTGCTGTATCATCACATGGCAGAAGGTGGAAGGTCAAGAGAAAGCAAGTGACCAAACTTGCAGTCTTAAGCCCTTTTTATAATTGGCATTAATCTATTCATGAGGGTGGAGCCCTCGTGACCTAAACACCCCCCCTTAGGTCTCATCTTCCAACACTATTGCATTTGGGATTAAGTTCCTAACATGTGCTTTTTGGGGGACACATTCAAATCATAGCTAACGCCTTTGTGCTTTTGGCCCTTCTTCCCCACCGCCCCGCCCCCGCAACCCACCCAAGAGATAGATCCTGGTTATATTTCTGGCCTCTGTGTCCAGAGCCTGGTCACACTTCTGGGGCTTCATTTGTACATTCCTTTTTCCTGTAAGACTTATAGGGTTCTTGCCTCAGAAACAGCTCCCACCCCTAAAGTTACATATATAGAAACATAATGTGGGAGGCAATTGGAAAAGGTAGATCTAAGCTTCTCTTGAACTTGTTTTTATTTAATCCAGGTTAGCATTCAAGGCTACCTGATCTTACCTTTCTAAGTATATTTCCAGTTTCACTTATTATTCACTCTAGCTAAGCAGGTCTGTTTAGTGATCAATGAAAACAACATGCACATTGACACCCTGCACTGCTTCACATATCTGAATTCTACCTGTTCTTCTAGCTGTGGTTGAATGGTTAGGTCCTCTGTAAAGTTTCTCCTCTATTCCAGCCACTGTTCTCTCAGTACTGGGAAGTCATTTATATTCTCCACTGGCTCCTTTGTGAAGTGCAAAGTTTGAGAACCAGCTCTTCAGTGGGACTCCCTGGGTTTGAATCCTAACCCCACTGTTTACTAGCTGTGTGTCCTTGGCAAAGTTACTCAACTTCTCTATGTACCTCTGGGTCTTACAATTGGCAGCTGAGAAGAGCTTGGTCTTACTGAAGAGATGAGTTTCTTGGAGGCCCATTTACATGATAAAGAGAGACCACAGACTGATCAGGCCCAGCTATCTTGGCAACTGCTCCTTCCCTGAACACCAAGACAAAAAAGTTGGAGAATGGTTCCAACTGGAGGACTTGTGGTTTTATAGGTTTCAGATACTATGCCGTAAAACAGCCCATTTTTATTCTCAGAGGCTCAAGCTGTCAGGTTCCTTTTACCTCTCTCCAGGAAGCCAGCATCCCTAGGCCTCCACCTCTGGGGTACAGGGAGGGAGGTTTAGAACTCAAGCTTTAGAGTCAGATGGATTTGGGCATGACTGCTAGCTGACTCTGCTATTTACTGTATGACCTTGGTGCCTGATCTGTCTATCATTTTCTCATTGGTAAAATAGGAATGATAATACCCACGTTGCAGAGTGTGAGAATTAAAAAAGAGTGCAAGGCAAGTGCTTGCACAAGGTCTGATACCAGGAAGCAATCAACATAGATTATTAATAGCCACTAATTATAAACCACTTTTGTGGAACATAAAGAGTGGCTGTTGTTGTGGTTGGGTCATAATGACATCTGATGCTCATTCAGATGACACAGGCAGGACTTTTTTTTTGTCCCAAGGTGAAAGCTTCTTCATTCCATGTGTCTGTATGTGTGTATGTGTGTGTGTGTATATGTGTGTGTGTACGGTATGTGTGTGTATGTGTGTGTGTGTGTGCATACATATATGTGCACAGACAGATCTTTATAACTGTTTCAGGCGTCCTTTACATGAACTGAGAAAAATGGAATAATTAAGCACCTCACAGCTTTTAAAAGCTGAGATTCTGGTCGAGCTTAGAGGAGTAAAAGACAAGAGAGCAGAACTCAGTGAGCAGAGAGGGCACTCTCAGGACATATTGAAGTCAGTGCCTAAGAGGTAGAAAAAGGAAGGGAAATCACGGCAGTAATATTCAGACTGTAATATTAGATTTGACATCAGTCTTGTGAGTTGTGGACTTGTTAGCTGTAGGGTTAAACTTAGTAGCCTCAGATTTTCAGCAGAATGCCTGAAACAGTAATGAAAAATGGCACACCCGCTCGTGGCTGATGGAAGAGCAGGAATATATTTCACATCTGACGGGAAAGCTCAGGACTTTTAACTTTCCTACTGGAATTAGCAAATCAGAAAAAAATGGCATCACAGAGTTATCATGCCCAGCCCTGTCTATTGACTACCTATGCTTTAGAAGGGCAGAGGGCAGAAATGGGGATCTAGTTTTGACAGCTGAAGTTGGGAGGATGTGGGCATTTGGCATGCACCAGGAAGCTCCCCTACTCAAGCTCCACAGGTTCTGAGTAGGACGATTCCCCTGACAGACATCTGCTTCTTAAGCAGTACTGTGAAAATAGATGATACATCTCCAGGTGTGGAAGGAGCCAGGGCCCAGAGCTAAATGGGGAGTTTCTAACAAAGGCTCATTGTGATCTGTTTACAGTGCCTGTTTAGTGGTGCTAATAATAGGAAAATCACTTAATTTTCATTGGTGGGAAGATGACATTTAGATGAGCGGGAAATGCAAGCAGAAAGCTACATCCCATTACTCTGTCTCCCTGGCCTGAGGACTCTCTGAAATGGTCACTTCTGTGGCTAGAGGTTCTCCCCACTTCCCGTCCCCAGACTGGCTATGTTACTTCCTCTTCTTTTTTTTTTTTTAACTTTTTTTTTTTTTTGAGACAGGGTCTCACTCTGTTGCCTAGGCTGGAGCGCAGTGGCATGATCTCAGCTCACTGCAACCTCCATCTCCCAGGCTCAAGCTATCCTCCAGCTCAGCCACCCAAATAGCTGGGACCACAGGCATGTGGCACCATGCCCAGCTATCCACTCTGTTACTTCTTAGGCAAAAACATGGCTTGCTGATTTGCTGCATCCGGTCCACACAGGCCAAGCTGGTCCATACCTGGTTTTCAGGTCATTACTACTACACATCTGCGGGGCAAAGAGAAATTAAGTGGCTTGCCTAAAGTCACACAGCTTGAAAGTGGGAAGCTCAAAGCTTCCCAACTAGCTTGTCATCTGATTCAGTTCAGCTAAAAATACCTCTGTTGACATTGAATGTTCTTAACACAAATAAATGATAAATATTTGAGATAATGTTTATACTAATTACCTGATCTGATCACTGTACATTATATGTATCAAAACATCATATGGACCCCACAAATAGGTAAAATTATTGTCAATTTTAAAAAATTTAAAAATAAAAATAAAACAATGTCATTACAGGACGTGAGCAAATTTAGGAAAAAAGTACTTCCATTGAACACACACTCTATCCAGAGCCTTGTGCTGGGTGCATCCATAGACATTTGCTCCCCTCTGTTGCTGTTCTTATCAAGATAATAGATGGCTTCTGTGCATCTCTGTTAGATTTCAAGCTCCTTATAGGCAGGGATTGTCTTCAGTTTATTGTGCCTGCCGAGTAAGAAGTGCTCTAAAGTAAACAAATGAAAGGTAGGCACTGCCCCTGCTAACCAGGTTACCAACAGCTGGGAGAAGGGGGAAATAGGAATTATTGTTTAATGGGTACAGAGTTTTAGTTTGAGAAGTTGAAAAAGTTCTGGAGATGGATAGTGGTGATGGTTGCACAACAGTGTAAGTGTAATTAATGCCACAGAACTGAACACTTAAAAAGGTAAATTTTATGTTATATTTATTTTGCCACAATAAAACAAAACAGAAAAGTGCTCCACAGCCTGAGGACAAGTGACCCCTAGAGCCCAAGCCTGGCCCAGGTGGCCTGGACACTGCACACTGACCCAGTCTCCAGAGCCCTTGCACCCCCGCTTGTCTGGAAGGGGCTGGAGCAGGTGTGGGAACTGGAGCAAATGGAGGTTTAGGATTTGGAGTAGATCTTATCTAAGCTATTAGAGCTTCATTATACACATCCCCTTTCCAGAAGCCACGAGTTCTGTCTATAGTGGGTACTGTTCTATGTTATTTTATGTGATGGTTGGTCCAGTGCAGCCACATGGGGCAGGCTCTGGAAAAGGAAGTTTATTACACTCACAGGTCCTGGAAGCAGGAGGTGTGGCACACAGGACCACAAGGGAAAGCACCAGTGTAGGTCAGGAGGCAGAAAGGGCCAGAGTGAGGGAAAATCTAGGCCACGGCCTTTACTGGGGTTTGCACAGGAAAGGTCAGGCGGAGCAGCATAAACAGTTTTGGATTGGGCAATTTGCATTATAAATGGCAGGCTTTGGGCTCTCTAGGGATGGTCTCTAGTTGCCTGGTACCTGGCTCTGGGAAGACTAAGGCAGAGGAATATTGCTTCTTGTAGTGTGCAGGTCCCATAGAAGAGATGTGACTAGATAGGCCAGCCCCTGCAAGGGCAGTCTCTCTCTATCCAGAAAGAGTTATAAGATAAACATCAAAATATACTGAAAATAAAAATATAAGCACACATTGTTTTACTGCACTTTGCTTTATTGTGCCTTGCAGATATTGTATTTTTTACAAATTGAAGGTTCATGAGAACCTTGTGTTGAGCAAGTCTGTCAGCACCATTTCTCCAACATCATGTGCTTGCCTCATGTCTCTGTGTCATATTTTGGTAATTCTCACAATATTTCAAATTTGCCCTGTTGTCAGGCTGGAGTGCAGGGAAGTGATCAGAGCTCACTGTAGCCTTGAACTCCTGCACTCAAATGATCCTCCTACCTCAACCTTGCAATAAGCTGGGACTACAGTTGTGCACCACCATACCTGTCTAATTTTAAAATTTTTGTAGAGTCAGAGTCTCACTATGTCACCCAGGCTGGTCTCAAACTCATGGGCTCAAGTGATCCTCCCACCTCAGCCTCCCAGGGTGCTGGGATTACAGGTATGAGCCACCATGCCCAGTCTGTGATCAGTGATCTTTGATGTCACTGTCATAATCGTTTTGGGGCACCACAAATTGTGCCTAAGATGGCAAAGTTGATCAATAAATGTTGTGTGTGTTCTCACTGCTCCATCAACTAGCCATTCCCCTATCTGTCTCCTTTTCCTTGGACCTTTCTTTTCCTTGAAACACAATAATATTCAATTTAGGCAAATTAATAACCCTACAATAGCCCCTGAGTGGTCAAGTGAAAGAAGAGTTGCATGTTCCCCATTTTAAATCAAAAGCTGGAAATGATTTAGCTTAGTGAGGAAGGCATATCGAAAGTCGAGATGGGCCAAAAGCTAGGCCTCTTGTCAGTTAGCCAAGTTGTGAATGCAAAGGTGAAGTTCTTGAAGGAAAATAAAAGCACTACTCCAGTGAACACACAAATGATAAGAAAGCAAAACAACCTTGTTGCTGATGTGGAGAATATTAGATGGAAGATCAAACCAGCCACCACATTCCCTTAAGCCAAAGCCTAACCCAGAGCAAGGCCCTAACTCTCTTCAATTCTATGAGGGCTGAGAGAGGTGAGGAAGCTGCAATAGAAAAGTTTGAAGCTAGCAGCGGCTGGTTTACAAGGTTTAAGGAAAGATGCCATCTTCATAACATACACATGCAAGGTGAAGCCACAAGTGCTGATGGAGAAGCTGCAGCAAGTTACCCAGAAGGTCTAGCTAAGATCATTGATGAAGGTGGCTACACTAAACAACAGATTTTCAATGTAGATGAAACAGCCTTCTCTTGGGAGATGCCATCTAGGCATCTTTCATAGCTAGAGAGGAAAAGTCAATGCCTGGCTTCAAAGTCAAGCTCACTCTCTCATTAGGGGCTAATGCAATTGTTGACTTTAAGTTGAAGCCAATGCTCATTTACCATTCCAAAAAATCCTAGAACCCTTTATAATTATGCTAAATATACTCTGCCTGTGCTCTCTAAGTGGAACAACAAAGCCTGTGTGACAGACATTTGTTTATAGCATGGTTTATTGAGTATGTTAAGCCCACTGTTGAGACCTATTGCTCAGGAAAAAAGATTCCTTTCAAAATATTACTGCTCATTGACAATGTACTTAGTTATCCAAGAGTTCTGATGGAGATGTACAAGGATATGAATATTGTTTTCATGCCTGCTTGCACAACTCCATTATGTAGTCCATGGATTGAGGAGTATTTTCAGCTTTCCAGTCTTATTATGAATTACATACATTTTATAAGGTAATGGCTGCCATAGATAGTGATTCCTCTGATGGATCTGGGCAATGTAAATTGAAAACTGTTTTGTATATGTTTTTGTCTATGGTTCCTGGCTCATAACTCCCAGAACCCTTGTTATTTCCCAAATGACTAAAACAAGAAGAATATATTTTATTAAAGTATTTGGGCTTTTGTCCATTCCCAAAGCAGCTTTGGAACAGCTCAGAGTGATAAAGGTGAGAGAGAGTCTTTTGTTATAATGTTGGGGCACTTTAGGCCACAAAAGCAGGCATCAAAAAACAGAATCTTGGCCGGGTGTGGTGGCTCACACCTGTAATCCCAGCACTTTGGGAGACCAAGGCGGGTGGAACACCTGAGGTCAGGAGGTCGAGATCAGCCTGGCCAACGTGGTGAAACCCCGTCTCTACTAAAAATACAAAATTAGCCAGGCGTGGTGGTGCATGCCTGTAATCCCAGCTACTTGGGATGCTGACGCAGGAGAATTTCTTGAACCCGAGAGGTGCAGGTTGCAGTGAGCCGAGACTGCACCATTGCACTCCAGCCTGGGCAAAAAGAGTGAAGCTCTGTCTCAAAAACAAACAAACAAACAAACAAAAAAAAAAACAAAAACCAAACCAAACAAAACAAAACAGAATCTCTAACTGACCTTCTTCTCTCCTTTCACCTGCTCCTTTTTTACTTCAAAGGAGGGATCTCCCCAACCTTTCTGTCTTCGAGCTGGCCATGAAGGAATTCTCTGATCTACCTTGTCTGACTGTGGATTATGAGACCTCCATTTCAGAAGGGGTCCCAAACCCTGGAGGAAGGAATGTTGCTCAGAGAGATCAAGAAGAATCTTAACAGACAGGCCTCGCTAGGTTTCCCTGCTCAGTCTATTAATATTAAATCATCCTCTTTGGTCCAATCACATTTCTACATGGTTGTCCATGTTTCAGTCATGCCTACCCAAAGAAGTATTTATAAAAGGTCCAAGAGTATGGGGTCGGAGGGTACAGAAAGCTTCCAGACAGCTCAGCTTCCAAACAGACTTGTGGAGGGTCCTAGAGGGTGATGTGTCCATGGAGGGCATGGAAGCTCTCCATCCCTTCCCCCATACCTTCCCTGTGCATCTCTTCATCTGTATCATTTGTCATATCCTTTATAATAAACTGGTAAGTATAAATAAGAGTTTCCATGAGTTCTGTGAGCTGCTCTAGCAAATTAATCTACCCCAAGGAAGGGAGTCATAGGAGCCCTGATTTTTAGCTGGTCAGTCAGAAACAGGTAAAATGACCTGGGGTTGGTAATTGGCATCAGAAGTAGGGGGCGGGGACTCAGCCCTCAACCTGTGGGATCTGATGCTATATCCAGGTACACAGTGTCAGAATTGAATTGAAGGACACCCAGCGAGAGTCCACGGCAGAACTGATTGTTTGCTTGGTGTGTGGGAAACCCCCACCCCCAACATTGTGTTGTGAGAGCAGAAGGAAAAATAGTTTTTGCCATGCAGAAACTTCCTGGAAAGGATTCACCATTCTAACATGCCATTAAGAACATGTGTAATTCATGTGAGGAGGCCGAAATATCCACATTAACAGAAATTTGGAAGAAGTTGATTGCATCCCTCATGGATGACTTTGAGGGGTTCAAGACTTCAGTGGAGGAATTGACTGCAGATGTGGTGGAAATAGCAAGACAACTAGAATCAGAAGCGGAGCCTGAAGATGGGAGACAATTGCTGCAATCTCATGATCAAATGTGAATGTTTGAGGAGTTGCTTCTTATGGATGAGCAAAGAAAGTGGTTTCTTGAGATGAAATCTACTCCTGGTGAAGATGCTATGAATATCGTTGAACTGACAACAAAAGATTTACAATATTACATAAACTTGGTTAATAAAGTAGTGGCAGGGTATGAAAGAATTGACCCCAATTTTAAAAGAAGTTCTACTATAGGCAAAATGCTATCAAACAGCATTGCATGCTACAGAGAGATCTTTCACGAAAGGAAGAGTCAACTGAGGTGGCAAACTTCATTGTTGTCTTATTTTAGGAAATTGACACAGCCACCCCAACCTTCAGCAACCACCACGTTGATCAGTCAGCAGCCATCAACATGCAGGCAAGACCCTCCACCAGCAAAAAGATTAAGACTTGCTGAAGGCTCAGATGACTGTTAGCATTTTTTAGCAATAAAGTATTTTCAAATTAAGGTTTGTACATTATTATTTTAGACTGAATACTATTGCACATTGAATGGACCACAGTATAGTATAAACATAACTTATATGCCCTGGGAAACCAAAAAATTCATGTGACTCCACTTTATTGTGGTGGTCTGCAACCAATCTCACAGTATCTCCTAGGTGTACCTGTATAAACATACAGGTATCAGATAAAAGGTCACTTGGGGAATAAAGAACTTTTGCAGTTATCTATTGCTGCATAATATTTATTATTAACAAGTGGGACCATAAATCTGGACTGCAATGTATGCTTAATATAGACATTATTATTTTATTGGCTACCATGCAGCAATAGATAACTGCAAAAATTATTTTAGTTGCTCCAATTTTAGTTGTTTAAAAAAACCGCCACCCTTTATTTGCTTATAATTCTGCAATATGAAATGGGCTCAGCTGGGCACTTGTCTCTGCTCCAGGTGGTGTTAGCTGCACTTACCTATGGGTTTGTAATCAGTTGGCAGGCTTACTGAGCCAAGATGGCCTTCCTCAAATATGTGGCATCTTGGAAGCAAGACTGGGACAGCTAGAGGCTGGATGGGCCTCTTGTTCCTTATGGAATATCATATTTAATGAATTAGCCTTTATTAATTTTTGATTACCTTCAATCCAAGGAGGTTTGCTAACAGCTTTTGGCAAAGTTGAAGCATTTAATAAATAGAAACAACTTAAAAACTCATTATGCCTTTTACATAATTTATTGGACAATTTAATAATTTGTCATTTAAATTATCATATTTATATTATATAGATTTATATAAATAAGTTCATAATTTATTTGATCACAATCATTTTGCATAATTTATTAGATATTCTAATAATTTTCTTAGAATTTATAATTGCTTTGTTTCAAGTGGCATATTACATTTCTTTGCTTCTATAGTTTTAAAATTTATCCTTATATGCTTAATAACTTTTATTGATTGTTGAATTAAATGATTGATTTAACAGAAACATTTCTTGTAAAGACAGAGAAAGTATAGATATCACTATTGGAATATTGTTTACTAAGGCTAATTCTCTAAAATATGGTTTAATTTTCCAAATGTTTACTCCCATTTCACAAGTTATGTTAAAATGAATATAAAATTTCTAAACTCTCTTTGCATTACAGCATTACAGGTTTTCTATTGGGGCTTCATAGAAAATTAATGAATGACATTTTACTGCATTGGTTTATAACTTCTCAAATAAGTTACTTTCTCATTTTAGTAATGTTTTCCAACAAGTGGGTCCATAACTCTAGAATGCAATGTATGCTTATATAGGTATTATTTCTTAATGCCTATTGAATATTTCATGTTTGAAAATGCTACTCTCTCAATTTTTAATTTCAATTCCAAGATTATCAGATATATTATTTAGTTCTCTGTTTTTCTCATCTACATTTTTTTTTTTTTTTTGAGACGTAGTTTCACTCTTGTTGCCCAGGCTGGAATGCAATGGTGTGATCTTGGCTCACCGCAACCTCCACCTCCCAGGTTTAAGTGATTCTCCTGCCTCAGCCTCCCGAGTAGCTGTGATTATAGGCATGCACCACCATGCCTGGCTAATTTTTTTGTATTTTTAGTAGAGACGGTGTTTCTCCTTGTTGGTCAGGCTGGTCTCCAACTCCCAACCTCAGGTGACCTGCCTGCCTTGGCCTCCCAAAGTGCTGGGATTACAGGTGTGAGCCATCGTGCCCGGCCATCTGTGGTATTTTTTAAAAGAGATGGGGTCTCGCTCTGTTGTCCAGGCTGGAGTGCAGTGCAGTGGCTATTCACAGGCACAATCATAGTGCACTGCAGCCTGGAACTCCTGGCCTCAAGCGATCCCCCGACCTCAGCTTCCTGAATAGCTGGGACTACAGGCACCTGCCCCTCTGTGCCCAGCCCCATTTATGGAATTTTTTATGGGCTGAACTGTGTTCTCCCAAAATTCATATGCTGAATACCCAACCACCGATGTAACTGTATTTGGAGAAAGTCCCTATAACGAGGTAATAAAGGTTAAACGGGGTCATAAGGGTGCAACCTTAATCTGATAGAACTCCTGTCCTTATAAGAAAATATACCAGAGATCTCTCTTTCTCCCCATGTGTGCACAGAAGAAAGGTTATGTGAAGGCACAGAGGGAAGGTGGCCGTCCACCTGCTAGTGTTACAGGCAGCGAATCCAAACAGGTCTGCAGCAACCTCAATTCTTGCCTCCTCAGAAGAGATAATTTGACTGAGAGGCATAAAGCAGAGTGAGAGATGGAGGCAAGTTTTAGAGCAGGAGTGAAAATTTATTAAGAAAGTTTTAGGACAGGAATGAAAGTAAAGTACACTTGGAAGAGGCCCAAGCGAACAACTTGAGAGATTCAAGTGCGCTGTTTGACCTTTGACTTGGGGTTCTATACGCTGGCATGCTTCTGGGGGGTTGCATCCCTTCTCCCCTGAGGCTTCCCTTGGGTTGGGCTGTCCGCATGCTCAGTGGCCTGCCAGCACTTGGAAGGTGCTGCATGCAGAGTGTGTTTACTGGAGTTGTACACATGCTTACTAGAGGTGTTTTTCCCTTACCACTCCAGAGTTCCCAGAGGGAGGAACACTGTATACCAGTGAATGCCGCCATTTTGCCGCTTAGTGCACATGCTTGAGCCCATTCACCCAGCTCCTGAGATCTTATCGGGAAGCTGTTGATTGCACCAGTTTCAGGTCTTTTCTATCTATTGGGAGACTGGCTTTCCCTGGCGCTGGCTGTGACCAGTTATTATTTTAGAGAGACAGTGTGACAACTGCCCGACAATCACCTGATGGTCGTCTGACATTCCTAGTGTAGGGGGGTCATGTCTGCCTGACTACCTACTGTAACACTAGGATGAGAGCCCTCATGAAAGACTTAATTTCACAGTACCTAGATAGTGGATTTCCAGCCTCTAGAACCATGAGAAAATACATTTCTGTTGTTTAAGCCACCCAGTCTGTTGAGCTTTGTAATGGCAGTGTGAGCAAAATAATATAGTAGTGAATAGAATGCTTATGAAGAAAAAATTAAAGTGATTTATTGGATTAACATCTTTCATTGTATCATCCAGTGGTGATTGAATACAGTGACTTAGTGCCAAATTAAAAATATGCAGAAATGTTTCTAAAACTTTGGCTGAAATGCCAAACTTTCTGTGTAGCATACAAGCACCAGCACTATCTGAACAATATGCTTCCATGAAATATTTCTTGCTGGTACCATTCTTTTCCAACATTGACAATATAGTTTGTATATTATTTTGGATATTATTCCTTCCACCTTCATAAGATCAACAAAGTTTTAAATGTCTCATTTAAAATACATTATTAAATGCTTTTATGTGAAACCATTTCACAGAAAATGAATGACATTTTACTGTCTTGATTTATAACATCTTAAGTAAGTTGCTTTCTCATTTCAGTAATGTTTTCCAACAAGTGGGACCATAAATCTAAAATGCAATGTATGCTTGCATGGATATTATTTTTTAATGGCTATTGAATATTTCATGTTTGTTTGAAAATGCTTATGTTTAAGTACATGCTGTATAGCAACATTTCAAAGGTTACTTCTATAATATTTTAAATTGTTTTATCAATATTTTGTCCAATTTACATTTTTTCTTTCAAATGCATTGTTTTCTGAAATTGATCTTTTGATTGTTTTTGTCATTGATATTTACAGTTTTAAAAATTAAACTGTGAGCTTTGATAGAATGTGATTGCCATTCTGAAGAATATGTAAGTTGTCTGGGAAGAATAATAATTTTTCCTTCAACCCTCATAAGTCCTTACTTGGAAGTGACCCCTGTAACAAAAGACAGATTTATAAGAGAAAACCAAATAGAAGTGTATTAACATGTATATTTCATATGTACATGGGAGACACTGAGGGAATGAATAGTTCTCAAAGAGGTGGCTTTGAATTTCAGCCTATATAGAGTCTTCAACAAAAACCAGTATATTTTTAGAGAAGTAACAAGAAAAAGGAAAAGGGCTTTGAATCTCTAGAGGTGGCAACTTCGGGAAAGGCAAATTAATGGCAGATAAAGGCTGGTTAGTAAAGCTTGTTAATGTAGCTTCCTTGGGTACCATCTTGGGCCCGTAAAGGTCTACAAACCGAAAAGTATCTGAGACAGGTCTCAATAAATTTAGAGTTTATTTAGCCAAGGTTAAGGACATGTCTGTGGGGAAAAAAAGCAACACAAAACCACAGAAACAATCTGTGAGCTATGCTTTTTTCCAAAGATGATTTTGAGGGCTTCAGTATTTAAAGGGGAAAAGCAGGCTGGAGGGGAAAGAGGGAGGGTGTAATCCCATTACTGAATCCACATGTTGCAAAAGAAAAGAAGGAGGCAGGCAGAGGAATAGTCCATTATGTATTTGTCTTTGCATTCAGTAAATCAACACTTTACATGAGATGAACATAGAGTAGCTCCTGTGGAGATACCTGGCCTTTTATCTGCAGTTTATCTGCTTAGGAACAAGGAAAGGCAGTTTCTTGCATGACTCAATCAGCTTCTGCTTAATTTTTCCCTTTGGCATAGTAAACTGGGGACCCAAGATTTTAGTTTTCTTTCACAGGATCAATGCTATCTTCAGTGATTAACCTTTGTTCTTCCTGGTAGAAGATGGGCCAGGATACCTTTTGTCTTTGTAGATCTTTGTCCTGCTTTTAGGCAAATAGAGGGAGGGCAGAGAGCTTTACCTGGATCTGCTTCTTCTTGATCACCTTCAGCTCGGCAATCCCTATTTTGGGGTGGCATATGTTGGTCTCCCACAAAGCTTTTAACAGTGAACTCTGAGTGCCATTTGCATCTAATATTTACATTAGTAGCACTGGTGAGACACATTTTTTTTATGGTTTTTGTCAGCGTGCAAGAGACACTTGTATTTTTGTTAAAATAATAAAATTATTTTGTATTGAAGAAATAAAAAGCATTGTGTTATTTTGTACTGACGCTTGCACGGTGTAAAGGATGTCTGAGGTGGTTTGGATGATACTCTAGGCTGTGGTTCCTTATTACTATCACTATTTGTACTCTGTACAATCAGAAGATTGAGGTGTATGATCTTTAATGGAACATTAATACGTGTATCCACAGTTGGTTGTCTCTTTATTCTAAGAGTTCATTTTTAATATTTTATTCGTAAATTCTTAAATGTATAAATATTGAAACGCTGCCTTTGCAACTTACACAAGAATTACAATGCACAGACAATACAAATAAAGTAACAACTATGTAGAACCAGTGGCAACCACATGATTTCAGTAGAGTGATAAAAATGTGATGTATATACACAATGCTTTGTGATTAATAAGCACATGGGAGGCCCATTTGTCAGTGGTCCTTGTGACATCCTATGACAATTAGCCTGAATTAATGAGTTTAATTTTGAATTTAATTATTAATAAATTCTACTGATTATTGCAATAGCCGTTATATGATTTGCCAATCAGAACAGAAATCTTTCAATAGTATAGGAATCGCTGCAGTTATATTAATGAATATTGGCTGAATAAATTTTAAGGTGGAAAGCAGAGCTTTAAAAACAAATATTCTTTCTAGTTTGGTGAAAGGTTTAGCTTTTTGAAGAGATTCTGTCTCTGACGGGGAGGGGTGGGAGAGAAGAGATAATGCCTTTGCCAACAGTCAGAGGGAAGTGAGAAGCAGCTTCCTGTGGACTGGACAGAGGCTGAGATGGAGCCTCTGAAGAAGGGACCCCTACGCCGCTTTGTGCCAGTGACTTGTGGAAGAGACAAGTCCTCAGAGATGTGGTTATGTGGCACCAGGGAGGCTGGAGCCAGGGATGGGGCTCCCAGACTGTTTAGCTAGAGGAGAGCAGAAGGCCAGAGGTGAAAGGAACAAGGACCAGTCCAGCTGGTGAAACTGATGTAGGAATTTTCTTCTCGGTCACTTTGCAAGCCAGGGACCCTTGCCGGTGACACCTGGCCCAGGCGTCACTTGGCCATGCTGACATGCCCCAGCTCGCCTGTGTTATAGCTTATACCCACATTTGGTGGTTCCTGAGCTCCTGTACTGTGCCCAGGAAGAATGAGGATACACTGGACATTGAACAGTGAGGAGGGCAGAGAAGAGTTTTACTGAGTGATGAAAATGGCTTTCAGAGGAGAGGGGACATGGGGTTGGTCCTGCTACCTGAAAGCAGGAAAGTTCCCTGTGTGGTTGGGTCCAGGGCCTTTTATGGATTCAGAATGGGGAATGTGTGTGACTGGCTTGTGAGTAGGCAAAAAAGGCTAAAGCAAAGACACCACTCAAAGGTGGGCATGACAGTGTAGAAAACCAATTAGGAAAGGGTAGGTATATGTAAAATAGGTGAAGGGTGGGGATCAATCAGAGCAAAGTACCGCAAACAGGAAGACAAGTTCTTAATCCTGTCTGAGAATTTAACTTGTAGCTTGGCTTTCAGGCTTTAAATTGTCTTTGGCTTGGAGGTGGGGTTTCACCAGGGACCCACCCCTATCTGCCTTGGCATTTGGCTGCCTCCTGTTGCTATCAAAACTGCCTTTGCAAAAGTATGACAGTAAGAGAAATCTGACATGTCTGACTCCATCTTGCTTCTAGCCCCACAGGCTGGCTGTCTTTGCTCATTCCTGGGGTGGGCCAAGCTAACTTTGGGAGAAATGTAGTTTATACTTTAAATAATAGCCCTTCCCCAAAACTAAACTGTCCTTGTAAAACTAATGAAAGGCCACCAAGTTAGGAGAATGAGAGAGGCCTGAATTCTACATAATTCCCAGCCATTATTCCAGAGGTCATAAGATTTGCAACTTCCCCAATTAATCTTGCAGATAACAGCACTACTACAGAAACTAAGATGGCCTTTTGAGATTTCTTTTCAGGTTTTTGCATTTCTGACAACCAGATGGCCCCACCCAGACCCGTGACTCAACCAGTCCTGCGGCCCCCACCCAGAAGGGGACTCAGTGCATGAGGACTGTTTTCCACATCCCTATGATCGCCTCCCCTACTAATCAGCATTTTCCTTACCGTAGCCCCCTGCCCACCAAACTATCTTTGAAAAACCCCTAATCTCCAAGCCTTCAGGGAGATTGATTTGAGTAATAACTCTGTCTCCTCTGTGGCTGGCCAGCCTTGTGTCAATTAAATGCTTTCTTTACTGCAATGCCAATGAGACAGGATAGTTCCCTTGACCACTCTGTGGGATTCACAAAGGGGGTGACTCGTTTACTCAGCTCACAGCTCTCAACGCCTCTCAGGAAGGGGAACATGTAGGTGAGTGGGTGCTGGGGCCGGGATGAGTGCTTCTGGGTGCCGGCAGGAGTAAACACTGTGTGGTCTCGCGGCAGTGTCTGGGGGTGGGTACTTGCGACCCCCCCAGATCCCCAGAGAGCATGTGTTACAGTGTGCTCTTTTAGTTTTGCCATCCATGAATGGCTTAAGTGTTTAACAGCTCAGTGGAGGGTCAGGGTGACAGCATTTGTACCTGCCCTCTTGGTACCTGAGTTCTTGTCTGGCATCCAGGAAGAATCAGGCTGTGTGAATGAACTGAAGGGTGGCGAATGTGGAGGATTTTACTGAGTGGTGGAAGTGGCTCTTAGTGGGATGGGGAGCTGGAAAGGGGATGGAGTGGGAAGATGGTCTTCCCTTGGAGTTTGGCTGTTCCCAGTCGAACTCCTCTCCAACCATAGTCTCCAATGTCCAGCTGCATCTTCTCCTCTTGACGTTCAGTCACTTCTCTTCTCTCCTTCTCTGCTGCACCTCTGCCAGTGGAGCCTGGAGTTTTTATAAATACAGGATGCAGGGAGGGTGGGCCAGGGTGGTTTTGGAAAAGGCAACATTCAGGCGGGAAAACAAAAGTGCATGTTCTCACTTTGGGCTACAGGTCCTGGCTTGAGGGTGTGGCCCTTGCTGGGGACCGCCATCTTCTACCCAGTATTTCCCTTCCTCCTATCCATATTGCCATGGTCTTGGTGAGTTGATTTTGTTTGTGCAGGGGGCAGGAGGAACCTGTTGGGCAGTTACACTGGGATGTCTCAGGAGGAACCAGTGTGGACCCAGGACCAATGGTGGAGGGAGGTGCTGCCAGGTGCTTTGGTGCTATGAAAGCCTCCCAGAAGCTTTTCCCAACCTTGTGGGGAGCCCCAGTGAAGGCTGATACTGAATTTCCTGCCAGTCAAGCAGGAAGGGGGCTCAAAGTTAGATTTAAGTTATTTTAAAGAAAAAGGTGATTTAGCCAGCACACACAAATCTGCAATTCATAGCTTCCCACACATGTGAATGTGTGCTAAGCAAGTTAAGTAAACAGAGTCCTAAGCCAGACAGTGCCATCTTAGGTATACAAGGGCATGCAAAGCAACAGACATTGGTTGGCAGTGAATTAAGTCCCTGTGCTTCCACACAGCTGGACTGGCCCTTGGACCTTTCCAATGGTAAGTGCTGTAAATAAAAGAAAATGGTGGGAGGCAAGTCTCAATTGTTTTTAGAAGTTGATTTTGCCAAGGTTAAGGACACACCCAGGAAAAAGGGACACATAACCACTGCAACATCTGTGGTCCTTGCCTTTCCCAGAGGGTCTGGGAGCTTCAATATTTAAAGGGAAAAGAGCAGGCAGCAGGGGAAAGAAGAAGAAGAAAAAAGGGAGGGCAGATAAAAGAGGCAAGCGGTTGCATTCCTTTGAGTCTTTTGATTAGCTTTACTGAATCTACATTTTTCATTTGAAAGGAGAGGTGGGGAAAGAGTCAATTATGCATTCCTCTGGTCCTCAGTTGGAATCTGCATTTTTACATAAGATAAAATAATCACAGAGTCTAGGAAGCAATCAGATATGCATTTGTCTCAGGTGAGTGAAGGGATGACTTTTAGGTCTCTTCATGGTCCCTTACCTGTAAAAGTAAGTGGTTAATTTGCATTGTCAGGGTGAAATTCAACAGAACTGCTTTAGGGTAAAAGTCTCGGGGCCTACAAGGAGTTTCCTCCTGAGCAAAAGGTGAGGGAGGTAAGTAGCTATCTATTCAGGAAGAAAATGGGAAGTTGGTGTGTGTGACCCAGTTCCCAGCTTGCCCTTCATCCTTTGTGTGACCCAGTTCCCACTGAGCCCTTCAGCTTAGTGAGTTTCTGGGCCTGAGATTTTATTTTCCTTTTACAGCACTCAAAATTTTTAAAAAGTTATTGTGCAATAAATTACATGCAAGAAAAGGGTTAACATGTCCTGGTGTTAGCAGTTAGGGAACGTATCCAAGTCAGGCGGCACCAAAGTATGGGTCTGCAGCAACCTCAATTCTTGCCTCTTCAGAAGAAATAATTCAACCAAGGGGCATAAGGCAGAAGGAGATACTGAGGCAGGCTTCAGAGCAGGAGAGAACGTTTATTAAAAAGCTTTAGAGCAGAAACAAAAGGAAATAAAGTACATTTGAAAGAGGGCCAAGCTAACGACTTGAGCCAGTCAAGGGCACAGTTTGACCTTTGACTTGGGATTTTATATGAGGGCATATTTCTTGGGAGTTGCATCCCTTCTCCCCTTGTAGCAGGACTAGCCACAGACAAAACCTCTCAGACACCAAGTTAAAGAAGGAAGGGCTTTATTCGGCCGGGAGTGTTGGCAAGACTCATGTCTCAAAAACCGAGCTCCCCAAGTGAGCAATTCCTGTCCCTTTTAAGGGCTTACAACTCTAAGGGGGTCCACGTGAGAGGGTCGTAATCGATTGAGCAAGCAGGGGGTGCGTGACTGGGGGATGCATGCACTGGTAATCAGAACGGAACAGAACAGGACAGGGATTTTTACAATGCTCTTCCATACAATATCTGGAATCTATAGATAACATAACTGGTTAGGTCAGGGGTCGATCTTTAACCAGGCCCAGGGCACGGCGCCGGGCTGTCTGCCTGAGAATTTCATTTCTGCCTTTTAGTTTTTACTTCTTCTTTCTTTGGAGGCAGAAATTGGGCATAAGACAATATGAGGGGTGGTCTCCTCCCTTACCCTGATGCTTCCCTTGGGGTGGGCTGTCCACATGCACAGTGGCCTGCCAGCAGTTGGGAGGGGCCACATGCACAGTGTGTTTACTGAAGTTGTACACGTGCTCACTTGAGGAATTCTTCCTTTACCCAGTGTTCATATACCCTTTAAACTCTGCCATTTTGCCTCTTAGTGCACATGTTTGAGCCCACTCGCCCAACTCCTGAAATCTTATTGGGAAGCTGCTGATTACCAGTTTCAGGTGTTTCTATCTGTTGGGAGACTGCCTCTCTCTGGCACGGGGCCACAACCAATTATTATTTTAGAGAGACAGTTAACAATCACCTGACCATGACCTGATGGTTGCCTGGCATGCCTGTTGTTGGAGGGAGGTCCTCTCCTGCCCTGCTCATCTCTGCCTGCCTAGCTACTGTAACACTGAGGGGTGAGAAAATCTTTAGATCCTGGTTTGAACAAACCAGCTGTAAAACACAATTTTGAAACAACTCAAAGCACAAAAATGCTAACAGTTGCTGAATCCAGATAGGTAGATGAATGTTCACTAAACTCTCTATTCTTCTACATCTTTTAAAATTTTATAATAAACACTCAAAGAACCCCAATTCTCAGGACATTCTAAACATCCAAACCCCACCAAGAGAGAAACAGTATTAGGGGTGGTTGCTTAGCCAGGGCAGAGTATCTTTGTGGTGGGGACTGGAGGGAGTGTTTGGATGGGGGTGTTGAGAGGTGGGAGTGAGAACTTGGTGAGCTGGATTTAAGCTGGAGGATGGGGAAAGCTTTCTGGGATTTCAACAGGGCTTGGCTGGGAAGCAAGAGAGTAACTTGATATATCATACCAGTTATTTATGGCACTGAAAAGTTTACAGAGTTCATTTATGGGGGAAAATACTGTTTAGGAGATACTCTCGAATTTTGTGTTAAATGAAACATATGGTCAGATTTTCCTGTGGGCAGAACAGGATGAGTGATGGGGCAAGAGGAGGCTCACAGCCCACTTAACTGAGCTTCCCATGAATCCAAAGGCATTCCCCTTTACGCTTTGACCATTTCTCTGATGGATGCTTGAGGGTAGGGTGGAGACAGGAATGTAAGGGGAGAGCAGATAGGAGATAAGGTTGGAAAAAGCTTCATGATAAACCAAGTCTTCAGTTGTGTGGGTACACTTTACAGACAGTCCCCGACTTATGACTGTTCATCTTAAGATTTTTCAACTTCACAATAGTGCCAAAGCGATACACATTCAATAGATATTACATTTCAAGTACCCATAAAACCATTCTGTTTTTTCACTTTTGGTACAGCATTTAATAAATGACATGAGATATTCAATACTTTATTATAAAATAGGCTTTGTGTTAGATGATTTTGCCCAACTGTAGGCTAATGTAAGTATTCTAAGCACATTTAAGGTAGGTTAGGCTAAGTTATAATGTGTGATAGGTTCGATGTATTAAATGCATTTTGATGTACACTATTTTCAATTTACAAAGGGTTTATTGGGATGTAACCCTATCATAAGGAGCATCTGTGATATGGTTTGGTTCTGTGTTCCCACCCAGATCTCATCTTGAATTGTAATTTCCATGTGTCGAGGGAGGAATCTGGTAGGAGATGACTGGATCACGGGGGTGGTTTCCCCCTGCTATTCTCCTGATAGTGAGTTCTCACAAGATCTGATGGTTTAAAAGTGTTTGGCAATTCCCTTTCACTCTCTCTCTCTTTCTCTCTCCTGCTGCCATGTAAGATGTGCCTTGCTTCCCCGTTGCCTTCTGCTGTGATTGTAAGTTTCCTGAGGCCTCCCCAGCCATGCTGAACTGTGAGTCAATGAAACCTCTTTCCTTTATAAATTACCCAGTCTCAGGTAGTATCTTTATAGCAGTGTGAAAACAGACTAATGCAAACTGTATTTGCCTTCACCTTCAATAAACAGAGGTATTGCTATATATTAGAAGAAGGCAGAAAACCAAAACTAATTTATGTATAACAACTCAGGAGGAGCAGGAATCGGTTAAGAATAGGTCAGGAAAACATGGAACATTCAGACTTACTTACAAGCAGAGAAAAAGTGTGATGTAATTTGCCTTAGGTTGCCACTTTGTCAGTGAACTTTCCCTGATCATACTAACCCCAAAGCACTGTCTCTCTTATACACCAAGTTGTCAGCACAACTTGGGGCACCTGGAAATTGTATTAGGCTGCTGGTAATAGAAAACCTGACTAGAGCAGTATAGCAAAAACGTGAACTGGCTGTTCAAAGGCTGCTCAAACCCCCCTTCCTTTGCCTTTCTATTTCATAAAGCCTGAAATGAAAAAACACTCACCTTCTCAGATTCACTTGCAACTAGGTAGTGGCGGCCAAATGTTAGAGTTCTGGCCAATGAGATGTAGCAGATCTCTGGAGAGGGCTTCTTTTACTCTTCCCCAAAAGTTATGCCTTCAGACTGGGAGAACAAAATCCACATACTGAGGCTAGCAAGTCAGGAGGGCAAAAGAGCTTGGGACATTAATCGTGTCTTGGAGCTGCTACACTAGCCATAAACTGATTATCTCAATTTCCTGTCATACCAGGATCCCTACTCCCATTAAACCATGGCATCAGTTAAGAATTGTGTTCACCCATAAGTAACAGAATGCCTTACTTCTATGGGTTAAAACAAATGAGAAGTTTTATTGTCTCTTTCAATAAGAAGTCAGGGAATAGGAAGTTAAGGCCTGGTAGAGTGGCTTGATCATGTTGTCAGTGGTCCCTGCTCTCTGTATCTTCTTAGCTTTTCCCTTCTTAATGCGTTGATTTCCTCCTTATGGTCACAAGATGGCTGCTGTACCTCCAGGCATCAGGTCTGCATTTCAGGCAAAAAGAAATATTATCTAAAGAGTTCAAACTGTGTCATATGGCCTCTCCTGGCTGCATGGTGGGTGGGGAAAAAAATCAAGTAATTGGCTTTTCAATGTCTACAGTAGAGAAAACAATGTAGGTTGGTCACTCCACTCAACATCCATTCCCAATCACCATCTCCCTTGCCTTCCTCTACTGTGTCACTAGTACTTTTTGATTTTTTTAAACACTGCCTTGTGAAGGAATTACCGCCTCACCAATTAGACTAGAAACCTTGTGGATCCCTGACAGCGCCCAGAACTATGGACACTAAAATATTTTGAAATAACGAGCAGTAACTGCCTGGGGTTCTTATTTTCTGAAGTTTTGCAGTAACCTTTGCCGAGATATTGTTCTGTAACTAATAAAACAAGGCAAAGCAGGACCAGGTAAATGGCAAGAAAAACAGTGGCTGGATGGAGACTTGAAAGTCACAGTGGTAGGATAATGGATTCCATTTTTAAATTTGAAATTTTATTTTGATGTAGAGACTCTTGGTTCTGGTGATGCTGTGCTAGTGAATTCAGACCGGTTCTCCCACTGAGCACAACTTATAAAGCTGAATGAAATACAGTAACATCTTCTTGAAAGCATCAAAGACCTAATAAGAGAGTACGGAATTACTGGGGTCAAAAGCTGAGAGTGATTCAGAATCTAGAGGGGTTGGTTTAGCTCTTGGGGCCAGTTTTTTTTTCTAGGGGCATTTCTTAATCTTGAGGAGGTGGCTGAGGTATGCTTTTAGGGGCATTTCTTAATCTTGAGGAGGAGACTGAGCTATGCCTTTAGTACTCTGTGGCGCTAGGGGCAAAAGTCAGAGTCCAAGGACCATCAAGGGTTGGGACTTGATAAGCCCTGTGTTTTGACTTGGGATCCAGAAGGACAGCTCCATGTGAGTAAGGCTGAACCAGAAATAAAGCAGCCCTCACACAGACCACAGTTATCTTGGTCATCCTGGAAAATCTCAAATGCTGAATTTGGATTAAGGTAATCCTGGAGCACTAGGTTCCCCTAGATACCTGGCAAAAGAAGTTGAAAATCCTCCCTGGAGAAAGATAACATAATTTTAGGCCTCAAATGACTGTAAGAAAACTTTTCAAAACAAGTTTGGCACAGTAAAAATCTACTAGATGGATAAGAAGCGAGGACTCCGTAAACAAGAACCAGCAGAAACAAAAGATCAGAGAGGTCCCAAAGGGACTCAGAATTTTGGTGTCACGAAATTTTATACAGTACAATTACTACAATGAAAAGAAATGATCTATATAAAATAAAAAGCAAAAAAACAGCTAGAAAGAAATACACCAGGATTGTGTTGGTGGTATCTGAGAGCAGCAAACTGTGGTGTTTATCTTTTTCATTTTTATATTTTCCAAATTATTTTATATTTTTGAGACAGGCTCTCGCTTTGTCACCCGAGGTGGGGTGCAGTGGCATGATCACAGCTCACTGTGCCTTGACCTCTTGGGCTCAAGCAATCCTCTGGCCTCAGCCTCCTGAGTAGCTGAGACTACAGGTGTGCACCACCATGCCTGGCTAATTTTATTTTCATTTTTGTAGAGACCGGGTCTTAATTATGTTGCCCAAGATGATCGCGAACTCCTGACCTCAAGTGATCCACCCGCCTCAGCCTCCCAAAGTGCTGAGATTACAGGCATGAGCCACAGTGCCTGACCTCCAAATTTTCTTTAATGACAATTTATACTGGAAGAAATACTTCTGTAAAAGAGAAAGCAACATAGGGTATAACCCAGAGCAGGGCTAGATTTGTAGGCATTCAACTTCTACAGCTGTCCAGGGTCTTGTGCTCAGAAGGGCCTCATGCTTGGCTTAATGTTCTGCTGTTGCTGTCTTGAAATTATTAATTTTTAATCAAGAAGCTTGATATAGTTTGGGTTATTTGTCCCTGCCCAAATCTCATGTTGAAATGTCATCCCCAGTGTTGGAGGTGGGGCCTGGTGGGAGGTGTCTGGGTCATGGGGGTGGATCCCTCATGGCTTGGTGCTGTCCTCGCAATAAAGAGAGTGTTCTCACAAGATCTGGTTATTTACACGTGTGTGGCACTTCTCCACAACACTCTCTTGCTCTTGCTTTTGCCATGTGACATGCCTGCTCCTGCTTCACCTTCTACCATGAATAAAAGCAACCCTGAGGCCTCCCCCGAAGCCGAGCAAATGCTGGTGCCGTGCTTGTACAGCCTGCAGAACGGTGAGCCAATTGAACCTGTTTTCTTTATAAAGTACCCAGCCTCAGGTTTTTGTTTTTTTTTTTTGAGACAGGGTCTGGCTCTATTGCCTAGGCTGGAGTGCAGTGGTATGAACACAGCTCACTGCACCCTTGACCTCCTGGGCTCAAGCAACACTCTCACCTTAGCCCTGCAAGAAGCTGGGACTACAGGTGCATGCCACCACACCCGGCTAATTTTTGTATTTTTTGTAGAGATGGGGTTTCTGCCATGTTGTCCAGGCTGGTCTCAAATACCTAAGCTCAGGTGATCTGCCCACCTCGACCTCCCCAAGTACTGGGATTACAGGCATAAACCACCATGCCTGGCCAGGTATTTCTTTATAGCAATGCAAGAACGGCCTAATACAAAGTCCCACATTTTCATTTTGCACTTGGCCCTCCAAAGTATGTAGCCGGTCCTGACCCAGAGGCAATAAAATGTAGATCGGTTCATTGCTCTGGTCATCAGCCTCTGGATTTGCTCTAATTTCTCCACTTCTCACTGAAAGGCATCTAGTTTCTAAACTGGAGGGAGATATGAGGCCAGGCACTGTGGTGCACACCTATAATCCCAGCGCTTTGGGAGGCCAAGGCTGGAAGACTGCTTGAGGCCAGGAGTTTGGGACCAGCCTGGCCATATATTGAGACCTATGTCTGCAAACAAAACAAAACAAAAATTATCTGGGTGTGGTGGTGCATGCCTGTAGTCCTAGCAAGGAGTTTGAGGCTACAGTGAGCTATGATAGCACCACTGCACTCCAGCCTGGGCAACACAGCAAGACTGTCTTCAAAAAAATAAAATAAAATAAATTGAAGGGCCTGGAGCGGTGGCTCACGCCTGTAATCCCAGCACTTTGGGAGGCCGAGGTGGGTAGATCACGAGGTCAAGAGATCGAGACCATCTTGGCCAACATGGTGAAACCCCGTCTTTACTAAAAATACAAAGATTAGCTGGGCGTGGTGGTGCGTGCCTGTAGTCCCAGCTACTCGGGAGGCTAAGGCAGGAGAATCGCTTGAACCAGGGAGGTGGAGGTTGCAGAGATCACGCCACTGCACTCCAGCCTGGCGACAAAGTGAGACTCCGTCAAATAAATAAATAAATAAATAAATAAATAAATAAATAAATAAGTAAAAGATGTGGCCAAATAGCTGCAGGAATGTTGGGGCATAGTAGAAAGAGCCCAGGATTAGGAGTCCGCAGACAGGATTCCAGTTCTGTCACTAGAAAGCTGTATCTCTATCTTGCTGGAATTCATCCCTTCCAGCTCTCAAGGCATTGGAATCACATCTGTGAACAGGAAAACTAGCACACCAGAGTCAGAATCAAGCAATAGTTATTTATCTAGTTCCCACCCTGTGCAAGGTACCAGGTGCTCTAAGATTCACTCCAATCCATGAAGTGCGTCTACTCTTTCACCGAGATTTGCCAGTCGTCTTTCAGGGTATTTTTCCTTGCTTTCTGGATTTGATGACTTGTCTGAAACTGAAGTTCTCTCTGGAATGACTGGACCTCTTTCACTGCAGCGTCAGGAATCTCTTGCAAAGCAAGCATGGTGAACTTCCAAGATGCTGGGCCACTGGGGGAAAGGGTGCAATTAATAATCCCTACCACTTATTGAACGTATACCAAGTGCTAGGTTTTTTACTTATGTTCCCTTTTAATCCTTTGAAATGGCTTGACTCTACTCTTATTTATGTTTTTCTGATAAGGAAACTAAGGATTAAAGAGGTTAGGTAACTTGCAGCTAGAAAACGGTCTACCTTCAAAAGCATCCTCTTGACAATTCCACTAGGACCAACACCAATACCACCGAGCCCTCGTTGCTGCCTCTTCAGCGCAGAATAGCCCACCAAGTCCACGTTTCCCTAGTCCCAAGGTCGGATGGCTGGGGAGGGTAGAGGATGCAACGGAAGGACGTTAATGGAGAATTTTGCAGGGTCTGGGAGCAGAGCAGTAAACGCAGCCCTAAGCACTGAGTATGCTACAGTTTGGTAAAATCCATCCAAGCAGCTTTGGGATCCAAGGCTTGCACTGTATCCCCAACCAACACTAGGCAACGCCCCAAGTCCCCACACTTCCCACTCCGATAGGCGAAACTGCAAGAACCGGGAGGGGCGGCTGCGGCGTTTAGGCGCGAGGCACACACCATACCCTTCCGCAGCTTCCCACCTCCTCCAGACGCACGTGTTTAAAGAGTCCCTGCTCCAACCGGTCCCGCCCCACCTCCGCTCGGCCTCCAGCCCTGCTTGTACTGCTGGCTTCAAGTTTCCTCCGAGAGGCGGGCGTGCACAGCTGCAGTGGCGGCGGCAGCGGCCACCAAGCGCCCGGCGGCGCTTCGCCACCCACCTTTCCTCAGCCCCCGGCGCTGCAGTCTCCGCCCGCCGGGGAGGGCGCGCTCAGCGGAACAGGAGTCGAGGGTGGGGCGCCGAGAGGAGGGAATCCCGGGTCGCACCGCTACAGTTCTCGCAGTGGCAAAGGCGGCGGCGGCGGCGGCGGCAGCGGCAGCAGCAGGTGGAGCGAGCTACAGCGTTTGGCCTGAAACCCACTGCTGCAGCCACCCGGGCTGGAGTTGGCCCGTTGGGTGGAGCCAGTGCTCGCCCCGGTCCGACCCCCGGTTTCCGGGACACTTGGGTTGCGGAGGCCGGCTGGCCGGAGTCACGGTTGGGGACGGGCGCGCCTCGGAGCGCACGGCTGCGCTGGAAGCCGCGTCTGGGGCGCAGGACCAACGGGACCTACCTCCTCCCGGCTACCTAAAGACTCCTTCTCTCGGGAAAGAGCGCTGCCCGGCTCTGGGATTTGGGAGGAGCTCGGAGGCCGCTCGGGCACCTCGCTGGACACTATCCGTTTGCGCCCCGGTGGCGCGGGAGGGTCCGGAGCGGAGCGCTCGTCTCTCCTCAGCGGTTTAGTGGAGAAAAGCAGAGAGCTCTTCCTGGGGCGAATGGGACCTCCTCCCTCGGTCCTCCGTGGAGTCGTCGCATCGCTTGTCGTGTTGGTCTCGAGGGGCTCACAGCTTGGCACTAATTTGCAGGTGTTCGCTGCTGATTTGGTTTCTTCTTCGATTTGCGGACGGTTCCCTCCAGCGACTCTCGACACACGTTTTCCTGTCTTCGCCGGAGGGCCGGGTCTGGGGTCGCCGGAGCCTGCGGGAATCCAGCGCTTATTCGCTGACCCTCGAGTCGCTTCGCTAGCTGTGCGCCCTCCTGGGCACTAGCCTGGAGAGGAGCGTGCAGACGCGGCTCCTTGGAGGGAGTGCGGTCCTCTAGGGAGGCATCGGGCTCCTAGGGGCTTCTTGGCGTGTGTGGTGGGATTGGGGTCCGCCGGCCATGGCCTTCACTTTCGCTGCGTTCTGCTACATGCTGTCTCTGGTGCTGTGCGCTGCGCTCATCTTCTTCGCCATCTGGCACGTGAGTAACACGCTTTGGTCTCTCTTCTTTCGCCCCAATTTCGCTAAATTTCCCCGATTTCACCCCACTTTTTCCACCTTGCGGGCGTGGGCGAACCGGAAGGTTGGACCTTCTGCCGCTCCACTGTCCCGGGGCAGGAGGCAGTTCGCTGCATCCCGCCGGGCGCGCCTTCGGTGCCCTGGCTGGAGGCGAGGGGCCGCTGGTGCCCAGGTAGGACACCCTCTGCAGGGCCCGACTGGGCGTCCCGGGTCCCGGGCGCCGGGGAGTGGCGGCTACAACCACAACTAACCCCTTCCTCTCCCGCCCCGTCCTCTCCTGCCGGCGGGAGGCGAAGGAGAAGCGCCGCCGTCGGTCCCGGCAATTAGTCAAGTAGCTATAATAACTAAACATTTAAAATGTCAGCATCTGTGGTGGGTTGCATTTAGATATAATTGGAGACAAAGTGGAAACACGACGGGAGCGCCTTGTAAGAGGTAGGGAGAAGCCGAGCCCACGGAGAGGAAGGAGACCAGGCGATGGGGGTCGAAGTGGAAGGCGGTGGGGGAAAGGCGAGAAGGAGAAGAGCAAGGAGGCGAGGGAGACTGGGAAGGGCAGGCATCATTAAGGCCATGGAGGAAAGTCACGAAGAGAGACCGTGGAGAGCGACGACGGTGTCCTCCATCTGCCCTCTTGGCGTCTGAAGTCCGACTCCTGAAGACCCCCTGCAGGTGGCGAACCTCCGCTAGGCCCCCAGCGTCCCCAGCCCACACAAGCTTCCTGTCACCCTTCCCGGGGCTACGCCAGGTGGAGGGCAGCCGTGGATCCCAGTTCTTTAGGTGTGGGTGGGAATAGAGGAGCGCAAGCTTCTGAATAGGGGAAGAGAAGTACTGAGAGAGCGCGCAGGAGTGCGTACGCCGGTCCTCTCAAAGACTGTGCAACATTTAGCGAGTGCATGCAACTCTCAAGGCTTCCTTCTCTGAGGTTGTTTAAGCCCCCTATCCTCACCCTCAGAGGGCTGGTGGGAAGAATGGCCAAGGCCAAATGTTTAGAAGGAGCACCCCAGTGCATAATTTCCCACCTTTAACAGCCTTGCCCTGCCCAGCGTCTAGGTGACAGAGAAGGACCCTGAGACGAATTCTTGGAGGCATGGTTCTGGTGAGCATCACAGACTCTCATACAGTGGGGATGACCCAAAATGAAGACGTGGAGAAAATTGCAGGGTGGGTGAGATGCCCTTGTTTTCTATAAGTGGTTTGCAGAGTGAGAGTTTGTCTTAAAATAGAACTAAGCAGCTAGAGCAGCTCCTGCTACAGGGCTCTGACAGAGAGGAGAGGGGAAACTCGGGGAGGAAGGTGGCTTCCGATCATGTAACCTTAGGAAAGACCCTTGCTGGCTTCCTTCCACATCTCTAAAGTGAGAAAATTGACCTGGATAGTCGCTAAGCTTTCCCCCATTTCTCAGATTGTGTAAATCCGTGCATCAGTAGACTTAGGAATCTGGGGGTGACAGGGAATCCAAACATAGATATTTGGGGGATGATTAAAACAATTCCGCTATTTAGAAGTAATGGGATTTTAAACCCTCCCTTCTCTGCTCTGCAAGGCTGGGTCTAATCTATAGTAGAAAATTGAGGCTTGAAGTTGTTGACAGTTCTTAAGGGAAAAGGAAACTTACCTGATTTAGAATAGAAAGGAATACAGATTAGATCATGCCCAAGCAGTGCAGCAAACCTCTGCTAATGTGCTTTAAAGGAACTTTCTCAGCTTCTTTGGATATGGGGAGTTACTTGGATTCTAGAAGGCCAACTACTCCCTTTTCTTCTGCAATACTTCATTTGCTGTTTTCTGTTTTTGCCTTGGCCAGAGGGTGTCAGGTACCAGAGAGCTCCCTCAAACTCGAGTCTGGCTTGGAGTTCTCTGAATTGGTCCCTGAAGCAGAGCAAGTAACCAGAAAGAATCATTTTCTCTCATTCAGGGAAAGATGATTAATAATTCAAGAACAGCTTCATTGAGTGGTTTGTGCAGCTGGTTGACATTTGAATGAAAATCAGGTGTTCCCTCATCCAGCACTGGCTCTATCCTCCAGCTTCTCAATGCTCACCCCCTTATCGAGGGGTGGCTGAAATGCAGTCAAATTCCAACTCAGGTTTTATCCAGATTCCTCGTGGAAGTGGCAAGATTCTTGTTTCTAATAATGAAAAGAATTTGTGCGTTTTGATTTCAAATTACGGTAATAATTTCATAGTCTCAGTCCCTCCTTTCCTAGTCTTTTCCTTCTCTATCCCTTTCCCTCTCTCCAAATCAAACAACCCAAACCCCATCACACTGATTTGGTTCCTGAACATTGAACTGGGAAACCAGAGACACCCTGATTTCAGGGCACGGTTTGTATGTCTGGGTGTTAGTTACATGGTAGTAATTATTTCAACCAAAATTGAGGAGACTTGGTTTTATGTTAGACTGTTTGCCTTCTTTCCAGCTTCTTATATTACTTATGTACTTCTTGATCGGACAAGGCATATTGATTGTGTGATATATATCAGTACCCCAAAAAATGAATTGGGCGCTTAACAACATATAGCGGTTAAAATGCCTGCCATGCTGCCATGCCTAGGCTGTAAGATATGAAGATGGCGTGCTTTTCTTATTGAATTGTACGTACCTACTTAGGGGTAATGATGGTAGCTACTATGTATTGGGTGTCTGCTGTAGGACAAGTTTTAAGTACTTTACAGAGGATCTCTCAGTCCAATCGTTTTCCTCCCCTTTTTTCCCACTGGATGTCTGGGAGCAAGGATGGATGTGGCCAGCCTTTCTTTCAAGTCTTGTTTTTTACTTTGAAAATTTATCTGCATTTGTTTTCAGTTGAAAATATTTCAAGTTACCCATTTATTTTATATCAGCTACTATCTCTGAGTACATTTATCACATTTGGAAGAAGCAGAAGAAAACTAGGTTTTTTCTGTGGCTTTGCATACCCTCAGGCACCTGGCCTCTTACTGCCCAGGCAGCCCTTTAGTCCTCATAACGGACATTTCGCAGATGAGGAAACTGGATCAGAGAGATTACAAGGTTGCCTAAGGTTGCACAGCTGATATGTATTGGAGCTGGTATGCATGGACTTGAGCTAGGTCTGTGAGACTCTTAAGCCTAAGCCCTTTCTCTAACTGTAGTCACTATTTTTGGATTCATAACTTAGATAATAATTTATATCCAAAGGATTACCTTTCTCTGTATAAATGAAATTTTAGAGTTGGAATTTCTGATTGGGGTTACAATAGCAACAGCAACCAGACTCAAGACATGCTATATATCCTTTTTTAAAAGAGGAAAATTCTATTTATTTAAATTAGACTTCTGCTTATAAAATGATACAGGTTCCTTGTCCAAAATTTTGAAAATACAATGATTTGTAATTAAATAAAATCATCAGTAATCTTATCCAGAAAAGATTATCTCTTGTGTATTTTAAAAAATTGCATATGGCCGGGCTCAGTGGCTCATGCTCGTAATCCCAGCACTTTGGGAGGTTGAGGCAGGAGGATCACTTGAGCCTAGGAGTTTGAGACCAGCCTAGGCAACATAGTGAGACCCCATTTCTAAGAAAAAAAAATTGCATGTGGACGTTTAGAAGGAAAAAAAAGCGTTCTAAAGGGTTTTTGATGTGAAGTGATATGTATTTCCAGCCAGTATAAAATGAATGGTGTTTACTCACAAGAGCCTTCTCTGCTCCGGCTCGGTTAAGCCTGTTTGCAGTGTGTCTCATTTATATAAACACAGATGAAGCTATTCTTTGAAAAGATCAAAGATTCAGTACTGAATTTCAGGTCTTTAGCTTTTGAAGTTTTTATATTTGGAGTCACTATGAGTTTTGACAATTTACAAATAAAATTAATTCCCAATAAAATTCCCTAGAAAGATCTGATGCACCATCTCACCTTGAAATTTCTTTGGATTCACAGCAGCATTTGCTGTTTGAGGGTTTAAATGGCCCTGGACAGGGATGACATACATATGTGCCGAGAGGCAGTTTTGTTAGAGAAGATGTCTTCATGGTGGAGTGTTTTGCCAGTTCCACCTTGTCACAGGCTCAGCCTCTGGAAGTCTAGTAAACATCTCAGTTTCTCACAGTACCCACCTGGAAACAAAAAATGGGTTTATGTGAAATGGTAGGATGCTTGGGGTTGACAATAAATAGCCTGTTTTTTTATGACCCTGCCTTGGCCTACTCAGATGAGGGTACTGCACTCACTGCCAGGTCTTACTTGGTCTCCACTTTCTGTTCTACTTGTGATGCCCCTGTCCGTTCTGGCATCTCACTTTCAGGTGGGATGTCCGCAGCTCCAGCCTGCTCCATCCCCCTTTTATCTCCTCCCTCCGTCACTGTCCATTGCCCCACAGCTGAAGTGGAAGGAAGCTCCATGAGAGCAGGGACGTTTTCTACTTTACCATTGTTTCTCCAGAGCCCAGAACAGTGCCTGACACATAGAGAGTGTTTGGTATAAATACTCATAGGACAAATTCTTGTTTCCTTCTGGCTTGACGCATTTCCAGTTGACATAGTGATATGTTTTGGCTATGTTCACACCCAAATCTCATCTTGAATTGTAGCTCTCATAATCTCCACGTGTTGTGGGAAGGATCTGGTGGGAGGTAATTGAATCGTGGGGGATGGGGTTTTTTTTGTGCTGTTCTCATGATAGTGAATAAGTCTCATGAGATCTGATGGTTTTATAAAGGGCAGTTCTCCTGCACATGCTCTCTTGCTTGCCGCCATGTAAGACATGCCTTTGCTCCTCCTTCACCTTCTGCCATGATCATGAGGCCTCCTCACAGCCATGCTGAACTGTGAGTCCATTAAACTTCTTTTCTTTGTAAATTACCCAGTCTCAGGTATGTCTTTATTAGCAGTGGGAGAACAGACTAACAGTAACTCGTTTCTGATTTGGCTTCTGGCTGCTTCTTAAGGACTACTTTCTGGGTAGTTTGGACAATGTGCATTTTCCCCCATGCCTTGGCACTTTGAAACTTTGGAAGCTAATTATTGCAAAGAAGACTGGCCATTGCCATGGGGTATAGGGCCCTTCTTGATGATAGTGGAGCTGGTTCTCTTTCAGAGGAGCAGATTGGGGAGAAGCACTGGCTATCCCTGGAGAGAACACCTTCTGGAAAATGTAATGTCTGGATTGATGCATGGCACCTTATCATTGTTTGCGTTGCTTGCCGCTTTATCCTTGTTTGCATTGCAATAACTCTCCCTGAAAAAGAAAGCTTACGTCATCATTGTATTTCCACTGCAGTCATGTTAGAGAGGAGAGGAGAGAAGTGTGCAGAATTCACAGGTCACCTAAAACAATCAGGAACCAGCCCCAATCCCAACTGTTTGGTGAGGTTTCAAGGCCTCACTGGGGTTGGATGTTAGAGACACTAAAGTAACTTGTCTTTGACTTTTGAGTTACTGAACAAACATTAAAGGCAGTGAATGTTGTGAGGCTCTTGCCAGGCAATTGGAGCTCTTGCCTATACTGGCCCTGAAGCTGTGCCCAGGCCCTTGCCTCACTCTAGCCCCTCTGGCTACCTGGTGCTTTTCCCTTCTGTATATCCACATGGCTCTGCGCTTTGCCCTCTGGACTTGTTTTCTGCTGTGGACCTCTCTCCCAGTAAGTCTGCAAACAGGTTCCTCTGGGGCCTTATTCTTCAGTAGCTGTGCTATCTGGATGGTGCCTTTGCCACCATCATCTGACTCACTCCTATGGGCCCCTCCACTGGGCACCACTGAGGACTTGGCTCCTGGTCACTGTCCTGTCCTTGCTGTCCTGCAAGGTGCTGGGTGCTGTTGGTTATCTGACCTCCCCTCTAGTGACCACTTCCATCTTTGTGGTCCCTGAGCCCCCTGACCTGCCCTGGACCTGCCTCTGCAGTGAGCTCCCTGTTCTCTACTCCCGCACTCTGCTGCCCCAGGGGCTCTTGGCCCTCCTTTGACTGTGGCTTTTCCTTCTTCTCTCAATGCATCGCTCCTCTAGGATTTACTTCCTCCTCTGTGTCATTACCCCTCATCATCCACCACTTAGCTCCTGCTGCTGCTCTCCACTGCTGCGTCCTCTGTTTCCTGTCGCTCCTGTAGTGGATGCCTCAGTCTCCCAGGAGTCTACTCTCTTCCCTCTCTTCTCTCACCCCAGGTACCCGGGAGCTGCTGGGTCCCAGGCGGATGCACGGTTTGACCTTAGCTGGCCTCAGTATTGCCTTCTAACTCATCAGCTGGATGTGAGTCAGTTCCTTCAGCTTCCACAACACTGTTGTAGATTGTTGTCATTTTCTCAGAGCCCCCTGAAGCTCCCAAAACTGTCCCCCACCCCTGACTGCCTCTGAGCAGATGACTTTAATTCCAGCTCCTGGAGAAGATAGAGATGATCAGACAGGGATGCCTCAGGATCCTGCCCCTCCCCAGAATTCTGATTAATGATTTATTTTTCCTTCTCAGACTCAGAAGCAGCAGAGTCTGTCCCTCATCTGAGGCCACTTCCTCCCCTCCTAGTTATCTGTGGACATTGCTCCATCACTTTTCCCCACCTGTCTGTGTCTTCAGCCACTGCCCTTCGCAGGTCCACCCGTCCCCACCCCCTGGCAGATTCAAAGGCTGTGGTGCCTCTGAGCTGCAGACAAGCCTTTGGTCCCCAGGCCCTCTAAATGCTGCTCAACCTCTCTTCCCTTGCAGAGTGGTTTTGTCTCACCACATCCTGCCTGCCGTCACCTCTTTGGATTCTGACATCAGACACTCAGAAACCACGGAGACTAATAAAACAAAGCCCTCTGCATCCACCACTCAGAATTGGCAAGTGTCAGCATTTTGCTATTTGTGTATCTTATCTCTTTTCCAAAGACACTTGTTTCCTTTCTGGCCACCTGACTTGTGCCCCCGCCCCTTCTCAGCTCAGCACTTGATGAGGACATCAGTGGTCTGTGGCAATCTCTGGGCACCATTTAGTGCTTATCTTGGCCTCTCCGTGGCTTTGAGACTGCTGTCCGTGTCTTCTTTGCAACTGCTTTCAAATGTTGTTTTTCTGGGGCCCTGTTTCTCCTCCATCTCCCCTGTGGGTTCTTCTTTCTGTACCTTCCTCTCCATGTTGGTAGTTTCCTGGCCTCCCAGACCTGTCCCCCGACACTGACCTGTGTGTCCATGGGGCCACCTGCCCCATGCCCCACAGTTGGATCCCAGCCGAGCTTGTCTTCATGCCCTCCTCACTCCTCACAGCCCCAGTGGGTTTAGTCTTCACCCAGAGACCCTCTCTACCCCATCTGCTCCTTCTGTAGTCACCAGCCATGTCTGTCCCCTCCCTTCCATGCTTCCCATCCCTGCCTTGGTTCAGGCCCCCATTTGCTGTTTCTCAGAGCATCGTGGTCCCTTCCAAGCTGGCCTCCTTGGTTATCATCTCCCCTGGACTAAACCACCCCACTCATGGCTACCAAGAGTGATCTAATACCTGAAAGGATCCTTCCATGTTATTCCCAGACTAAAGCTTTTTCTGGTTTCTCTCGCTTTCAAAGTTTAGAGGGCTGGGAGGACCAGGTCCCGGTTAACTGTTTAGCCACATTTTGCATTTTCTGTGTTCCAGATATCCTCACCTTCTTGCAATTCCCAAATGGGCTGTTCTGTCTCCCTGGAATGCTGTTCCCCACTTCATTCTTCACCCGACTGGCTCTGCTGCAGCCTTTGTCCTCTAGGAAGCCGCATTCTCCCTGGCGATCTGAGTCCACTTGTCCTCTGAACCTGTCCCCAGGTCTGAGTCCCACTGTTGTATTTGTCTCTGTGCTTGGACTATAAGCTTCTGGAGGGCAGAAACTGTTGCCCTCACTTGTGGCCTCAGTGTCCAGCATGGGGCAGTATGGTGGGAACTCAGTGATTGCCAATAAATAAGGATCTGGATAATTTATTACAGCCAGCTTAAGCTTGATAGACTCCTCCTCAATGAATACTTTCCCAGACTTACCTGGTTATGACAATCATCTG
Organism: Homo sapiens; assembly: GCF_000001405.40. Classification (NCBI taxonomy): domain Eukaryota; kingdom Metazoa; phylum Chordata; class Mammalia; order Primates; family Hominidae; genus Homo; species Homo sapiens. Next base: position 224,625,242 of record NC_000001.11, read on the forward strand.
GATGCTTACTAAAAATGCACATTTTTGTCCGGGCGTGGTGGCTCACGCCTGTAATCCCAGCACTTTGGGAGGCCTAGGCGGGCGGATCATGAGGTCAGGAGATGGAGATCATCCTGGCTAACATGGTGAAACCCCATCTCTCCTAAAAATAAAATAAAAAAAAAATTAGCCAGGCGTGGTGGTGGGCGCCTATAGTCCCAGCTACTCGGGATGCTGAGGCAGGGGAATGGTGTGAACCCAGGAGACAGAGCTGGCAGTGAGCTGAGATGGCGCCACTGCACTCCAGCCTGGGCGACAGAGCGAGACTCCGTCTCAAAAGAAAAAAAGCACATTTTTGGGCTCTGCTGAAGGCCCATGGAATCCTAGACTTGGTAGCTCTCTCTGTGTAAGGGAGGCTAACTGAGCTTCAATCCAGAATTAAGTGGAGGGGAGATGGTGGATGGGATAGATCAGGGTGGTTGAAGGTGTGGAGGAGGGCACTGCTGGGGAGAGGTTGTGAACAACAGACACCAAAGAAGACGAGCTGTGACAGGAAAGGGCTGTCAGATGGTGACTGTAGCCCAGCAACCCATGTCTATGCCCAAAAGCAGAGGATGATGTCGAGGCTGATGCAGGGGGCTGCACGCTAGTCTCTCCAACATCACGTATGTTGATTTTGTGCTTCAAGATAGCGATCCCACTGCTATCTTGTAATACCCATTTTTTTTTTAATCATAGATTGTGAAATACACCTTTCTTCCATCCTTTGACAACTAGGTGTAGATAGTCCCCTTGTGGGTTAGATAAGGCAGATATTAAATTCCAGGCTGAAATCCTTGCCATTCACATTGCTTCTGAGTTGCTTCTTCTTCTAGGACCTGGAGGGTCTTTAGAAAAATAAGCTGAACTGTTTTAATCTAGAGAAGAAGCATTAAGTGAGCTCTGCTACAAATAGTGAGGTCATTTGCATGAGTAACCAACTCAGATCTGCAGGGTTGGAAGTGGTTGCTGTTTGGGATCATTCATAGCCAGAGTGTCTGCATCTTAACAGGGTTAGCTGAGGGTTGCCTGCATTTCTTAATGACACTTGGAATCTGCTTAACTCCCACAAACTGGTCACTGAAAACTCTAAATGCACAGCTAGATCCTGAACTGGTTTCTGAATACAAATCCAGGGCATAATGATCAGACTCGCAAATATTTTTAATTTGGCATAGAAAGAGAAGCAAACAGGGACATTCTTGCATATGCTAAAATAAAGCCCAAACAAAAAACTAAAAAATATATCTAAAGATTAGGCTGATAGACTGTAATGGGGCCACCACCATTTCTGTGTGCACAGTGTCCTGGGCATTAAAAGACTTGAGAATCTTGGTTAAGATGATCCCTGCTCTAGGGCATGGGGATTGAAGACTAATCTTGAGGTCTCATGGGATCGACATAAACTGCCTGTAGGATAACGTCCAAACCGCTCAATTTGGGGTTGGAAGCCTATTACAACATAGCATTGACCTACCTCTCCAGCCGGTCTCCCACAACTCCCCATCTCACAGCCCCAACCCCACAGGTAGACTTTATTGCACCGTAGATATGTCTATTTATTCTTTCTACAAGCAGAGCCTTCTTGCCTCTTGGATCTAAGTTTTCCATGTGCTGTCACTGACGAGCCTGGGTCTCATCATCAGCAACTCTGCTCACTCCAACCTACCACAGGCTCCTACAACCTGGCAAACTTGTGTGGGTTGTTTGTTCTTCTCCAGGTACAAACCTGTGTTCTTACACACTTCTGTGTGCCTGTGCCTGGACTTTCTAAGTGAAGCAGGGGTGGATGGAGAACAGGGCTCTTGGTGTCCAATATATGTGTTCACGGGACTTAGGAGGACATGGTGGACACGTGTTGAGCGCATGACTGATGGTGGCTCTCAGACTGACCATGAAAGCAGAAAAAAGTCACCTCTTTGGTAGCCTCATTCTGGCTTATGAACCCAGAAGCTTGTGGGTCTCATTCTTTTTTTTGTTGTTTTGAGACGAGGTCTGGCTCTGTCACCCAGGCTGGAGTGCAGTGATGTGATCTCGGCTCACTGCAACCTCTGCCCCCGGGTTCAAGCAATTCTCCTGCCTCAGCCTCCTGAATAGCTGGGATTACAGGCACGTGCCACCACACCCAGCTAATTTTTGTATTTTTAGTAGAGACGGGGTTTCACCATGTTGTTCAGGCTGGTCTCGAACTTCTGACCTTGTGATCCTCCCGCCTCGGTCTCCCAAAGTGCTGGGATTACAGGCGTGAGCCACCGCACCTGGCCTGTGGGTCTCATTCTTTTGAAGAAAAGAGGGAGCCTGTGACTTTGGGGACAGTGGTGGCTGGCTGCAGGAGCCACGTCTGGCTAGGATGGTATGTCTGGCAGTGTGCAGTGGGTCCTGTGTACACTAGCAGACCCGTGGGGACTGAGGCCCGCTCCTGCAGTCTGCTCTGTGACTCTGGAAGGGGAGTCAATGCGCTGCCATCTCGGACCCACGAGTCAGTCTGATAATGAGGCTCAGGGGCCCGGGGTGCTGTTGTCAGAGGGAATGGCTTCTCTCTCCAGGGGGCTGCCTGCTTTCTGCCACTGCCACGATGGGCCTTGGCACTCCTGCTTGGGACACGGGCTCTGAGAACAGAACCTTTCATCACCACCTGAGTCTCAGAGGCCATTGTCTTGAAAGAATGATTAGATTACTCCAGCCGAAGGATTGATACAGGCCCTGTTGCTGGTCAGCAAATGGAGGGCAGGGGCTGTCTCTTTTACCTCTGCCTCTGGAATGTGTATAGGCACTAATTGAGTTTGAATCAGACTGGGTATTTCTGTTCAGACTCTATTGTTTAATAGTCTAGCCCAGATCTAGACTTAGCCCACCCTGTCAAGTTATTCATTTTCTCTAGTTCTATCCTGCTTCTACGCTTCGCTCAACTGTCTCTGTATTCGCCGGCTACCTGAGAGCAAAAGGGATCTCACCCTACCCTGCAGTTTCTACTTGGGGCTCAGTCTGGCTCCCTTAACTTAAAAAAATTTGTTGTAAAATACGTATATGACATTTACTTTTTTTAAACCGTTTTTAAGTGTACAGCTTAATGGCACTAAGTGCATTCACATTGTTTTATAACCATCACCACCATCCATCTCCAGAACTTTTTCCCCTTCCCAAACAGAAACTCTGTGCCCATTAAACAGTAGCTCCCCATTCTCTCCTCCCCAAGCCCCTGGCCACCACCATTCTACCTTGTCCCTCTAAACTGATCTACTTCTAGACACCACATATAAGTGGAATCATACAGTATTTGTCCTGCTGTGATTGGCTTTTTTTACTCAGCATAATGTCTTCAAGGTTCATCATATTGTAGCCTGTGTCAGCATTTCTCTCCTTTTTAAGGTTGAGTAATAGTCTGTAAACCAAAAATAAAACTCAAAGGCCCCCCACGCCCAACCATCTGAATGGGCTCCCTCCCTGGCCAGGGCACTCGAAAGTTAACCTGAAAGGCTGGTTTAGGCCATGAGGGGAAGGGAGGTGGGACATGTGTCATTATGCCCTCCTCCCTTTTGGAATTCAGGAAACACCAACTAGCATTTAACATCAACACAGACCTTAAGTCTGATAAGCAATATTTACAGTCTGTTCTCTCTGAAGCCTGCTACCTGTCAATCAGAAAAAATTTAAATCTACCCAGGACCTGGAACTCCCCCCCAACCACCTGCCACCCCCACTTTGAGTTGTCCCGCCTTTCTGGACTGAAGCAATGTATATCTGTTTTTTTTCTTTTCACCCCCCGAGACAGAATCTTGCTCTGTCACCCAGGCTGGAGTGCAGTGGCGTGATCTCGGCTCACTGCAACCTCTGCCTCCCGGGTTCAAGCAATTCTCCTGCCTCAGCCTCCTGAGTAGCTGGGATTACAGGTACATGCCACCATGCCTGGCTAATTTTTTTGTATTTTTAATAGAGACAGGGTTTCACCATGTTGGCCAGGGTGGTCTTGAACTCCTGAACCCATGATCTGCCCACCTCAGCCTCCCAAAGTGCTGGGATTACAGGCGTGTGCCACCATGCCCGGCTGCAATGTATATCTTAAATGTATTTGATTGATAACCTCATGTCTCCCTAAAATATGTAAAACGAAGTTGCACCCTGACCACCTTGGGCACATGTTCTCAGGATCTCCTGAGGGCTGTGTCATGGGCCACGGCACTCATATTTGGCTCAGAATAAATCTCTTCAAATATTTTACAGAGTTTGACTCTTTCTGTCGACAGTTCCGTTGTATGGATAGACTGCATTTTGTTCACCCCTTTGTCGACGAACACTGGGTTGCTTCCACCTTTTGGCTACAGTGGATAATGCTGCTGTGAATGTGGGTGTACGAGCATCCAGGGCTTGAGTCCCTGCCTCTAGTTCTCTTGTGTATGTATTCAGAGGTGGAATTGCTGGATCAAGTGTTTAATGTTTAATTTTTTGTGGCTCCTGTGATATTACAGGCAGAAACTCTTGGTCCTCAGTCTTTGCTGCACAGACTCTGCTCTTTCTTGACCCTCTGGCCCCTGATGGTTGCTGTCTCTCTGCTGTCCTCTCTCGGCTGGAGCAACAGCAGGACCCACTTCATGCATTTGCTTAAGTATCTGGTCTGTTTTACTACATTTCTTAGAAACTTCACGTCTTATAAGTGAACAAAATAGTTATAAAATCTTTATTCAAGGTTTTGCATTAAGGTCTAGTTGTGAGAAGTTATAAATGGTCCTTAAACCGATATTTTATTGAAGACAACTCTTGGGCTTTGCCAGGGAGTTTGCCTCATGATTACAGTTGTTTCTTCCAGAGGATTTCACCAGGAAGAGAGTAGCGGTGTTTCCCATGATTTTAAGGCTGTGAATGTTTTTGGCTTTGCGAGAACTGAGGAATGCACCTGCCATTAAGCACAAAGGGCATCTTGCCAAGAATTTTGTTATTGTTCATTAAAACCTTATTTGCATTTCTGCTCTCAGATCAGTGCAAAGGGTTAGCACATCTGTGGTTGAGGAGGAGAGAGTGTGGACCAGGCGGCCTTACCTGTGCTGCAGAGGAGCTGAAGTCTTACACTTCCATATTTGCCCCTAAGCTGGGGGTTGTTGGGGGCATGGAAATGAAGTAGGTTGTTAGCTCACTGGGAGACAATTTGGGGGATGATTTATTTTTTAATGTTTTTCAGCTGCCTTGAGTCACAAACGTGATTTAAAAAACAACCAGATTTGTAAAAAGGTAGTTTCTCTCTCACACATGTACACAATTACCACCGCAACAAAAAATTCCATAGCAATGCACATCCCACACTTACCTGGCCATATATTTTGTGGAGGATAGAATTTGCTTTTCTTCTTCCTCCTGGGGTAAGGGTGGGAGGTGGAGAATGCTTATGGGCCCATTTGCAGTTAGCACTCTTTGGGCTGAATGCCTTAGTGGGAACAATTAATCACACATTTATTCAACCATCATTTGCTTCTCACCATCCAGAGGCTTCTGGCCAAGGGCTCCCAACTCTGTTTTTGTGGGTGCTTGTGAGTGTAATTAACACCTGAAACTGCCTTCAGGTGAGTGAGGTGGGTGGTTTCTGCCCTTGGGGTATGCTGTCTGGCCAGAATGGAGCTGTAATTTCTGATCCTTTGCAGTGTCTGTAAAAACCGAATCCCAGCGCTTCGGGAGGCTGGGGCAGGCGGATCATGAGGTCAAGAGATTGAGACCAGCCTGGCCAACATGGTGAAGCCCCATCTCTACTAAAAATAGAAAAATTAGCCGGGCGTGGTGGTGCGTGCCTGTCATCCCAGCTACTCGGGAGGCTGAGGCAGGAGAATCACTTGAACCCAGGAGGTGGAGGTTGGTTGCGGTGAGCTGAGATTGTGTCACTGCACTCTATCCTGGGCGACAGAGTGAGACTCCACCTCAAACAACAACAACAACAACAAAACCAAAGGTGCATGCTCAGGACATGGGGATGACAGAATGACCCACTGATTCCCTTTTCACTGGATCCCTTTCATCCTAGCAAGGGAGGAATGGCAGGCCATGCCACCGTGAATCCACCTAGCGTTCCTCTCCATTCATCAGCTTTCCCATTCATATTCTTTCAAGGTTTTGGTTTCCAATTTGAACTCAGCTCCCACCACTAATCAGTGGCTTCTCTGGGCAACCTGGCTGGTTCAGAAGTCTGTGGTTGTTGGTGAGTCCCTGGCATTAGGGATTTCCCAGCCCTTGGGTATTCATTCTTTCTTTTCTCTCATTTCTTTTTCCCTCTTGTTCATCTTCCCTTCTTTCTCCCTCTTTCTCTTTTGCCCTCCTTTTATTCCTTTTCTTGTGCATACATCTTAGATCTGTGGAGGCTACACAATATTACTTAGCTTAGCTGGTGGGCCCTAGGGCTGGGAAGTAAGCTGACACCACCTCCCACCTCCACAGCGTCTCAAACCGTGGGCTGACATTTCCAGAGCATCAGTCTTAGGTATATTTTCTGGTTTTGTGTTCGCATGGTCCATTTTGACTCCGGGATGTATCTCTCCTGCTGGGGAAAAATGCAGGGGAGGAAAGCAGAGTCTTGGCACTAACTACTTCTTTTTTTTCTTATTGGCAACTGATTCATGAACTCTAAAAAAAGAGTTGATAGCAACATAGCCAGCTAGCTGTAGCAGCCCAGATGGTCCCCTATATAATAGAGACATTTGTATCTTGGATTAAAAAAAATTTAACTGTGTTCTGTGAACGTTTTTAAGAAAAAGGAATTAGTAACTGCATTCCAGAGTTGTGGCTATGGAAATAGCCAAATGATTAAGTAGATCCCCGGCATGCAAAGAGTAGGAGATAGGACTTGGGAGGTCCAGGGCCAGGAAATAAGGGGAGACACATTGCGAGGGCACTGCCCTGCGTTGTCCATAAGTCTGAGATAACCCACTCTCGAATGGGGCGCAGGGAGAGAGGTTCTGTTTGAACACATGTGCATGTGGATGTGGATGAGGAGCTACATATCCGGGCCTCTATGTCTCCCTATGGCTACTGCAAACTGGAAGCCTTTAGAGCAGGTATAGGCAGACCAGGGTGGAAGAGAACACATTGTGTCAATAGCTTCTAAATTCTACACTGAACAGATACCTAGGTTATCCTGCTTCCTTTCTCTGTGGTCATTGGGAATTGGTACAGGCCACATTCTGCTACAGTGAATCCCATATCTAGCAGAATCTCATTGTTATTGTCTTATGTCATCAGCATGCCTTTGGGTGTAGCTTGAAAGTCCTTGTCCAATGGGGTTCTAATTGCAGTGGTCATGTCACAAGAGGATTGGGTAGGGGGCAGGTCTGGGAAGGGATTTGGAAGAGCCACTGGGACGCAATATGTGAGAGCGGGGTGGGGTGGTGAGGAGAGGTGGGCTCCCAGATCATGTGAAATCATCTGGAGCTGGGAACTGGCCCAGATGCTGTGGGATTTCAAGCCACTTGGTCATTACGAGATCATGACTTATCCTGGAATAATTTTTCTTACAGGTTCCGGAGAGTGATAAGAGAATTGAGCCGAGGCCAGCCAAGCATATGTGCTGACTGGAGGAAAATGTGTTCAGTTTTGACATCCTTTCCTCTTATTGGTTGGCAGTTTTAGTACCAAAAGTCATGCCCTAGAAAGGGGCTGGCAGCGAATGGGGCTGGTGGTGCTGCTGAGGGGCACTCCTTAGCAAACCTCCCTGCATCCCCCTGGACCTTTTGTTTCCTTGTGTGTGAAATGAAGGAGCTCAACAAAGTGACATCTAAGATCCTACCAGTCCCCAAATGCTGTGGTCCTCTATTGCTTGCTCCCTGCCCCTTATTCTTTTGTCTTTCTCCTGTCGTGGTTTGTCTCTTGATAGGCTTCCTGGGTATGAGGTGTCAGGTTTCTCAGTAAGGAATGTATCAGTTAAGATTTTTTTTTCTTTTTTTTGAGACACGTTCTTGCTCTGTCCACCAGGCTGGAATGCAGTGGCGCGATCTCTGTTCACTGCAACTTCTGCCTCCCAGGTTCAAGCGATTCTCCCGTCTCAGCCCGCCAAGTAGCTGGGACCACAGGCACCCACCACCACGCCCAGCAAAGTTTTGTATTTTTTGTAGAGATGGGGTTTTGCCACGTTGCCCAGGCTGATCTTGAATTCCTGGGCTCAAGTGATCCGCCTGTCTCGGCCTCCCAAAGTGCTGGGCTTACAGGCATGAGCCACCAGGCCTGGCAGTTAAGATTCTTAGAAATCAGTTCTGGTCATCGTAACCAAAAAAGGAATTTATGGGAAGGGAATTGGAGTACTCATAAAATGGATGGAAAGTCCAGAAAACAAGGCTTCAAACAATAGAATAGCCAGATTTCGATCTCTGTCCTTGAATCACTCTGAATGTCTAAGGCTGAGCTTGGGTGAGTGCTGCCCGTTGGCTGTACACAGTGGGAACTAGAAGTATGGCAGGGTCTCCAGGCATCCTTTTAATCTCTCCAGTGGAAGGGTGGGCCTCTAGATTATCCCCCCACCAGGACTGCACTCAGTGGGAGAATTCTCCAGAGGAAATCAGACTGGTGTGGAAGTGTGGCATAAATGTGGGTGACCAAAAAATGCCAGATAATCACTGCTTCGGCTCTTTGGTTTAATTTTTTAGCTTGTCACCTCGCCTGTATTCAGGGAAAGCAAGATTTTCTCTAAAGTCAAGATTAACTTCTTGGTGCCACAGACTCTTTGATGTGTTATCCATGTGAGCTGCAGAAAAACATCTTATTTCTCTTCCTTCTCAGCTTGATGAGGAGCAGCTGTGGTCTGGTGGGGAGGATGGATTTGCTGGACTTGTGGCCCTGAACATGCTTCCCTGCAAGGGGATGACTACCCACCGCCCCTTAGGAAAATCTCCACTTCTCATGAAAACGTCCCCTGGCCGTGGAGGCAGTGCAGCATGCTTCCGTGGCACGTGTTCGTCCTTCTGAGCCTGCAGCTTTCACAGCATCCACTTGGATGAGGGCTTTGCAGGACTTTAGCAGAGCATGTGCTCACTTGGAAGGAACAGCAGTTGTGTGAATTAAGAATAAGAAAAAAGAGGCCGGGCGTGGTGGCTCACGCACTTTGGGAGGCTGAGGTGGGTGGATCATGAGGTCAGGTGTTCGAGATGAGCCTGGCCAACATAGTGAAACCCCGTCTCTACTAAAAGTACAAAAATTAGCTGGGCATGGTGGCACGCGCCTGTAGTCCCAGCTACTCAGGAGGCTGAGGCAGGAGAATTGCTTGAAACTGGGAGGTGGATGGAGGTTGCAGTGAGCCGAGATTGTGCCACGGCACTCCAGCCTGGGCAACAGATTGAGACTCTGTCTCCAAAAAAAAAAATAAAAAAAAAAAGGTTTTTTGCTAGCTTGGTGTCTCCCAGTCAGTGCAGGCCCAAATTCTAGAGGATAAATGGTAAAGTGAAACCTAGCTCTTCCTTTCCTTTTCTTCTTACTGTCCCCCATGGAGCATAAGCCCTTGCCTCGCAACTCACTCCTCTTCCTAAGAAATGCCCCCCTGCCCAGTTACCCTGCATCTGTTCTGTGTTGAGCAGAGGTGTTCAATTTCACGTCCCCGATTCACACCAAGCCTCGGCCCTACCTGCACCACTTAATATGCCCCGCTGCATCCCCGCCAGGAGCTGCTAGCTCATAATTAGCAAAGTTGGCAGTTTTCAGCACTGTTCAGAGTATAAGTTGTTTTGCTCCATAAATGGGAGGCAGCATCCGTTGTCTCACAAGGGGTGTGTTAGTTCATTTTCACACTGCTATAAAGAACTACCTGAGACTGGGTAATTTATAAAGAACAGGTTTAATTGACTCACAGTTCTGCATGGCTGGAGAGGCCTCAGGAAACTTATAATCATGGCAGAAGGTAAGGGGAAGCAAGGGACATCTTACATGGTGGTAGGACAGAGAATGGCGGGGGTCGGGGGGAACTGCCCTAAACACTTTTAAACCATCAGATCTTGTGAGATCTCACTCACTATCATGAGAACAGCATGGGGGAATCTGCACCCATGATCCAATCACCTCCCACCAGGCCCCTCCCACGACACTTGGGGATTACTATTCGAGATGAGATTTGGGTGGGGACACACAGCCAAACCCTACCAAGGGGAGAGGTGATATTATGGCTCAAAGCTATGCTGTGTGCTGGCACCTCTGTTAAAATGAGTTTCTTAAAGAAGCCAAATAAAGTTTGGTGTGGCAAGATTATTAAAATCAACAGAGAAATGACTGTAGGAACAGCAAGCATTTTCAAGAAGTGAGTCCTGCTGAGCAACAGGGAGGAAAATAAAGTGCCGGGGGCTGTGCTAGGACAGGGATGCTGACTCAGACCTCACAGCACAGCCGAGCCGGCCTCGGCCTTGGACATGAGCAGTCAGCCCACAGCATGCAAAAGTTTGGTTGTTTCTGAGACCTACTTCTTAGCTTAGTCCATATATTTCTTCACTTTTTCCTCCCTTCCTTCGTTAGAGACAGGGTCTCACTTTGTTGCCTGGGCTAGAGAGCAGTGGTGTAATCATAGCTCACTCTCACCTTGAACTCCTGGGCTCAACTGGGCTCAAGCATTCCTCCTGCCTCAGCTTTCTGAGTAGCTGGGATTACAGGTGTGTGCCACCACACCTGGCTCATTTTTTTTTCTTTCTAGAAATGGGGGGGTCTCACTCCGTTGCCCACGTTGATCTTGAACTCCTGGCTTCAAGTGATCCTCCTGCCTTGGCCTCCCAAAGCACTGGGATTACTGCGTGAACCCTCTTTTTTATATCAAAATACCAAGTGGAATGTTTCGTTTAAGAAAACAAAAATCAACAATACAGCAAGCCAAAACCCAAGACAGTAAAACGTCTGGGGTCAAGGGCTTAACCAGGAGCAGCTGTGGCACCCCGTTGTTAGAAGTGTTGGTTGCTCTGTGTTGGTGCACCAGGTCTTAGCTGATGGCACCATCCTTCTGGTAATGGGGTTGGGTTGGGTGAGTTCGGTTTACCATTTGCATATTTGTTTTCTTTTAATTTGACTACATTGATGAAAGAGGGATACAGTCATGTAATCACATAGTCCTGGAATCCTGACACCTGAAGGGACCTAAGATCACCTGGTTCTGTCGTCTCATTTGGAAATGAGGATACTTTAACCTAGAGAGGTAAAGTGACTTGGTCGAGATCACAGCCTATTCAGGACGAAGCCCGGAGGGGAATTCTGCTTCCTAATTACCAGACCAGTGTCCAGTCCCAGGAGCTTACATCAGACAAGCTAGTGTGCTTTATAGCAACATCAATAAAGAACAAAAACTTGATCTTTTTGAGCTATGCTGTGTGCCAGCACCTCTGTTAAAATGAGTTCCTTTAAGGAGCCAAATAAAGTTTGATGTGGCAAAGTTGTTAAAGGAGTCAAGTAAAGTTTGGTGTAGTTACTTGATCTTTACAGCTGTGTGTACTTAGTATTCCTACTTCCTCCACAACTCCTAATTGGATTTTGTGGCATTGGTTGTTTTCTGGATGGGCTGAAGGAGAAAGACGTTGATTGAATTAAAAAAAGCGGTACACATATAATATTCAGCCAATCTCCATATTTAAGATATTGCTTAGCCCTGAGGAAGATGTGAATTAGAAGGTTGCTTTAAGATTTTTATTTATCTATCATCTATCTATCTACAGTATCTAATCTATTATCTGTCTATCATCTATCTGTCTTTGAGAGATGCATTCTTTTTTTTTTTTTTTTTGAGATGGAGTCTCGCATGGTCACCTGGGCTGGAGTGCAGTGGCGTGATCTTGGCTCACTGCAACCTCCGCCTCCCGGGTTCAAGCGATTCTCCTGCCTCAGCCTCCCGACTAGCTGGGATTACAGGCATGTGCTACCACGCCTGGCTAATTTTTTTTGTATTTTTAGTAGAGACGGGGTTTCACTATGTTGGCCAGGCTGGTCTCGAACTCCTGACCTCCTGATCCACCCACCTCAGCCTCCCAAAGTGCTGGGATTACAGGCGTGAACCACCACGCCCAGCGAGAGATGCTTTCTTTACTTGTGAGCAGATATTTCCATCTGCGAGGTCCCCGCACACACATGCAGCCCTAATTCAGAGTTGTGAGACAGGCAATGTGCTGCACCTGGATGCCAGTCTCCAACCCACCCTCCCCACCCCCCAAGTTAGTTCTCCTGTCTCTGGGTTGCATTCTCTTACTGCCAAACAAGGGGCAAAACAGTTGCTTCAGCCTCCTGATGTTCTGAGTTGGCGGGGTCACCCTCTCCTGCCTCAACATAGCAAGATGAAGATCGTGTATTTTCAGGAGCTGTTTAGTACTGGCCCCTTGACTTGCCTTCAGAAGATCTTTGTTAACCACCAACAAAACCACACCCTTTCTCCCTTTGTCATAGTGTTGTCTGGCTCAGTACAGTCTCACAGGAACGGATCATGAACAAGGTAATGGCTGGCTTATTACCAAGTGGCCAGTTGCGGTCTTGTTGCTCACATAGTTAGCATGTTATGAATGTCACCAGCCGCTCAGCTGGGCGGAGGCAGAGCTCTGTGGTGCTGTCTTCTTGGGTGGCCTCTTGAGGCCCTTTCTATCCTCTCAGTGATCCCTTGGCCAGTCAACATCATCTGTCTGCACCCCACACCCCCAGTCCCCCTGTCTGGCACTCCCTCTCTGCCAGTGGCACCTGCCACCCTTGCCTTGTGGAAGACAGATTTGCTGTGGCTTCAATGCTTTTAAAATTGATGAATAAGAAAAGTAAAATGAAGCAAATGGGCATTTCCTGTTTATAATGTCTCCAATATAGAAAGCCTGCTTTTGAGTGTAACTGAAATATTTCCTGCCCTAACAATAAAAGAAAGAAAAGGCTCATGCAGCGAGATGGAAGAACGCCTTGCGGCTGTGCATGTGAGCAGGTGCCAACATCCTAGAGACTGGGTAGGGCTAGCCTGCACCTTCCGCTCCAGATTCCTTAGTGGCTGACCCGGCCCTTGGATGGCTTTACAGCCTGCGCACCCAGGGGGAGGCCGGGCAGTGTCAGCAGAGGATTCAGGTGAAGAGTTGAACACCATGGGGAGATTCCCAAGGGACAAGGATGTTGACAGGGTTTTGGCCCAGCGCCTGCCTCCAGCATCAGCCTTTTTCAGGGGCCTCCGGAAGGCTCTGTGGATACCCCCGAGTCCCTCCCACCAGGATTTGCATCCTGACAGGTGGATTCTCTTGTAGTTCATTCTTCCCCATGCCATGTCAGACCTGAGCTTCTGAATTTGGGCTCTAGAACTCTCCTCTGGCTTGCCTTTCCTGACTTTACCAGCGGTGCCGTAACATTCTGGGCCCCAGTTTCCTGCTCTGTAAAAGGAGGGGTGGCAGGGTTAGTGGTTCCCATAGCTGGCACATCCCTAGATGTTATCTCTCAGGAAGGCTTACGTGGGTTCAGGACTCTGAATTTTTAGCTCCCAAGTGATTAGAACATGCAGGTAGCATTAGGAAGCTTCAGGAAGCACTGGCCACGGGATCTCTCCAACATTCCATGATACTCCGTCTTATCTTCTCATGATCCTGCTCTAGGACCTCACATTAAATGAAGTTCATCACCTTGTCAATACTTTATACTTGGTGTCACCTCTGTACCTGTAACATGCCATTATTTATTTTATTTGCAGTTCTACTTTTTACCAGTCCATATTTCCAATTTCCTTCCTCCTCCAGGAAGTTTCTCATGATTTGCTTCTTACCTGCCAGTTTCCCTTTTGACTGGAGTCTCCTGTACATCCTTAAGGTGATATGTATCTCTTGCTGTGGAAAGTGAGCCTTTCTGTTTTGCTCAGGAAATGTATTCTTATGGTTGTTTGGTCTGCAAATTCTCTTTCCCCAATAGGAAGGTAAATTCCCAAGTAGCCTTCTCCCCTCCCAGCAAGGACCCCAGGGTCATGGGAGGCTCAGTACATACTATTGACCTTTGAGCTCTCTCTTCCATAGGAAATTGGCAGACACTGCCTAGCATTCTCTTCAAGTGGATTTTCAAGTACAAGAAGCCCCATTACCTGATGATGATGTGATTCAGACCTGGATGGGGTCCTCATGTCCCCCTCGTACTTCAGGCCTTGAAGGAGATTGGCTGAAAAGGAGAAAGACCTGGTGTCTGTCTTGTGAGCCCTCTTAGGGGCCTGCGGGCCCCACCTTCTCAAGCTTGAAAATAATGGAAAGTCTTGAGTTCCTTCAAGGAAAATTCCAAGTACCTAGCTAGCCTTGAAAAGTAAAGGAACAGCGTGATAAGCAAGAAGGTGATAATAGCTTAAAACAATAGCCAAGGAAATTAGAGCCAGAACATGTTTGGTTCCCTGTAGAAACTAAAGATAACATCTTAACATATGTCCCTGAGTTGTTTTTCAGAAACCTGGACCCCTACCAGATGGAAAATGGAAAATGCCATCACTGGCAGGTAGACCTCAGATAAGGGGGAACTGAGGACTGAACTCTGTCTGTCATTCTTTGTTCTAAATTTCTTCCTGAGGGCCTGGAGGGAAATCATGCCACAGGCCAGAGCTTAACATTCCTTTCTGCTGACCGCCAATATTATACCCTTTCTGCTGACCCCAAGATTATAGAGAAAGCCTGGCTTCCTTAACCCGATTGCAGATCAGAGAATCTTTAAATCCACTGATGACCCATAAGACTCCAAGATATCCCACCTTTTGAGGCCGTAACGATGTATCACCTCCATGTATTGAGTTATGATTTTGCCTGTAACTTCTGTTTTCCTGACATGTACCCCTGCCTTTAAAAACTCTTGCCTGTAAACTGTAGATAAGGCCAGGTCTTGAGCGTGAGCTGCCCAGTTTTCCTTGCTTGGTGCCTTGCAAATAAATGCCCTTCTTTCTCCCACTGCAAAACCTCCGTGTGGATGTGAGGTTTTACTGTGCTGGGCAAGTGGATTCCAGTTCAGTAACACCTTTCCATTTCCTCTCGCTATTCATGTGTGTGTGTGTGCAAACATGACAGGACACTCTCTGCTCTGTGACAGTGAGTGTATGCTCTTTCACCAGCCTCCGCCACCTCTCTGAGCGGCACTTTTCTCATCTGGGTGGCTGGGCAGGTAACAGAACAGCCCCTTTCAGCTCTTGTGCTGTAGAGACGCTGTGACTCCCTCTTCATTCCTCACTGCTCCCAGCCCTTCAACAACAGTTGCCCTGAGAGGCAATTTGAAGCAAGATGCTTAGAAAAGCCCTTTCTTTGCAGAGGAGGTTGGTGTCAAGTTTGGAGAAGGCACATGCGATCTTAGGTGATTCAGAGCTTAGCAGACTCTCAGACCCTTTTGTGTCTCTCCTTTTCTGCGATCTGAATAATTTATTTACTCCTCAGCATCACCGCTTTCTCTTCTAGCTATTCTCTGCTCATTAGTTTCTGTGCCCAGTGTCTGTGCAGGCAGGGGCTGGAGGAGCAAGTGAAGTGAAAAGCCCTTCACCGGCTCTCTGGCTGCTGTGTTGTGAACTGGTGGGGTGTCATGGCAGAGCCAAACCCAGAGATAAGATGTTTGGGAGATAACAAGGGATCTCTGCCACCATCTGCCAAGATTCCCCTTGTGTGTGTCACCCCTGAGACATGGCTGAGTGGTCGTTAAGGGGCAGGGGCTGTTCGGGGCAGGCTGCAAGCCAGCTGCTTGTTGTGTTCTAAGCAGCAGATCTAAAGGTGAGGGAGGAAGGAGCACTTGATTGTGAGCAAGTGTGGAGGTGATGTGTTTCTGGGAAAGAGTTGACATTCAGCAAAGATTATACCGTATTCTTTTACTTTGCATGTGCTATATTTGCTTCTGTGATCAGGCAAGTGCAATTCCTCAGGGGCTCTGAGGTTCATTTTCAGTATAATTGGGATGTGAAGACGCTGTGATTGGAGTCTTCGGCATGGTAGCAGAGGGACCCAGGGGAGATGCCTGGGCTAAGCCTCCTCGGCATACATCGGCACTACCCTGCTGCTGCCCTGAGCTGCAGCACCTGCTGTACAGCAAGAGGTTTAGCCCCACCTGCCGGGGAGGGGAAGAGAAGTTTCCCTTCTGAGGGAATGCTCCTCCTTGCCCACCAGTCAATTCCCGGGGAACAGTGCCTAAGCTTGACATGTATGACTGGGCTGGGAACCCTCCCCTCCATCCTTCCCCACCTGGACTCTTTGGATTCCCCACTTTTATTCACGGATGCCCTCTTCATCCCAGGCACCCAGGTGCAACGCCCTGGGGTCATCTCCAGAGAACTCTTCTTCTGGAGAATCGGGGTCTGGTTTGTACCTTCCAGCTATTGCTTCCCATTCCAGTCACCAGCCCAGCCCAGACCCTGAAGAGAGCCAGGAACTTCCAGCCCTGGGACAAATCAACATCCTGGTGTCTGAGTGGACGACGTTGCTAAGAGCACAAATGCTGCAGGTGTGGCCTCTGCCTAGGCAGCTCTAGCTGGACTCCAGGTTCTATTTTGGGCACTGGTGCACTTCTCAAAGGAAGATCGGCCAACTCTCAGAGGATGCGGCCTCTACCCACAACACACTTCCTTTTTTCTTTGTCATGTTCTGATTCCTTAGCATCTGTGTCATAGGATCTAGGATCGGGATAATGGCTTGCAACCATGTCAAAAATTTTCCTGGTGCTCCCAGGCCCCCACCTTGGAAACTCAAGTTGTATTTGTAAAACTAGTGAAAACCATTGGTTTGTTCCTCATGCATTCAGGGTATTCCTTGAACAGAAGTTTGCACACTTCAGCATGTGCATGTGAATCACCAGAAAACATCTCCAAAATTCAGACTGTAATTCCTGCCCTTAGGATTCTGGTTTGGGAGGGCTGGTTATGCTCCGTTTGGACATAACAAGATTTGTTACATGGTATTTTACTTATTTGCTATTTTGTTCAAGGATGTGAAGGATGGGTACCACCATAGTAACAGCTGATATTGATTGAATATTTGCTGTATCAGGCACTGTTCTTACTGTAACAACTCATTTAATTTTCCCAGTGTTCTATTATGCAGATACTGTTTTTTTTCCTTGAGGGTAGGGTCTTGCTCTGTCTCCCAGGCTGGAGTACAGTGGTGCGATTATGGCTCACTGCAGCCTCAAAGCCCTGGGCTCAAGTGATTCTTCTGCCTCAGCCTCCTGAAAGCTGGGACTACAGGCATATGCCACCATATCTAGCTAATTTTTTATTTTTCGTAAAGACAGGAATCTCCCTATGTTACCCAGGCTGTTCTCGAACTCCTGGCCTCTAACAATCCACCTGCCTTGGCCTCTCAAAGTGCTGGGATTGTCGGTGTGAGCCGCTGTACCTGGCTGTAGCTATGATGGTGTCTGTTTTTCAGATTAGGAAGCGGAGGCACAGGGAGTAAATGGCTGAGCCCGGACTGATTCCAGGCAGTCTCACCCCAGAGCATGGCTCCTTACCACTGTGCTCCTCTACCTTTCTGCTGTATATTCTGGGTGACTCAAGCTCTCTGTGCTCTGTAGGTAGAGATTTTATTTTATTTTATTTAAGAGAATGCTTTGCGTTTCTGATTTCTCATTGTCTTAGAACTGCACATATATCAGAGAGGCTGTTATGAAAGAAAACCCACACATATCTGGGTCTTGCATCTCTGCATCGAAAGCATGGTCTTATGAAGTAAGATGCGAGAGAGCTAGGCAGGGGGAACAGTTGGGACACTGTGAACTGTTGGTGCTCTGAGCTGTAAACTCTCCGGAGAGAGCTCTAAAGGAGAGTGCATTGTATCTGAACATGCAGGCCAAGGTGTGGTTCTCCTCCGAGATTCCTAAAGGGTCCTCCATTTCTGCCTGTGTCAACCAGCTAAGATCTGGCAGTGTGGACACATCTGCGGCCCTTCTGTGGCCTTGTTGATGGTCGAGGCGTGTGTTTGGAGTGTATGCACTTTGGTATTCACTTTGTATTCCTGTCCTCAAATGCACCTGCTTATTTCACAACTATCAAATACCTGCCGAGGATCCTGGGCCCTGGGAATAGGGGGAGAAATAAAACGAGGCCTGCTCTGAAGGAGGTGGTAGTCGACTAGAGAAAACAAATGTAGAATGAGAAATTACACTCCAGTACGGTGGTTTCTGTGTCTACAGTGCATTTTATTTGCAGCATCTTTTGGACATCGGTTCCAGTCACATCTACATGAGGCTCATCTAGATTTAAGGAAACTAGGGAAAATGCAGCGAGGTGTTAGTGTAACCACACTGGCCTGCTTTGGCCCCGCAGCCCAGTCGGCTTGTCTGGAGAGACCCTGGTGGGACAGTGAGTGGGTCATGAAGGCAAGGCCTGACGTGGTGGGTCTGGTGTGTGAGGAGAGAGCCTGCCTTCATGGAGGCCGGGCAGCCTCCCTTCTGTTGTGGGACTTTTCCTTAGTTCAGCTAAAGATGGGATCCTCGTCACACAGCCACAGAAAATTACACTCAGAGACAGTTTGAAGGGTGAGAATAATGGGATTTATTGGGCAAAAAGGAAAAAAAGTGGGGAACAGGGACTCAGCAGAACGAGAGTCCTTCTAGTATAGGCTTCCCGCCTCATGGATGAAATCCCAGGTTCTACCCAGGAAGAGGAGGGGCCGGACTCCTTCCTGCTGCAAATGACAGGAACTTCTGAGGCTCCACCCCATGGTGCATTCCTCCCAGTTCGCAGGTTGGCTGGAGTTTCTCTGGGGACCCCTTCCTACCTGGCTGTCTCACTGCTGTGGCTCAGACCAGTTGAGGCCATCCTGGCGTTTCTGAGACTGGAAGTTGGGGGTTGGCAGCAACCCTGGTGGATCTAGTGGGGTATTAGAATTGTAGTAGAGGCCAAGTGACCTTGGGGACCTCTTAGACTGAAAGCTTCATGAAGTCAGGGACCGAGTGGGGCTTGTCCATAGCCCTTGCTCCAGCACCTCAGCAGGGCCTGCACATTCAACGCATGCTTGGTGACTGAATGTGTTGAATGCCTTGGGGAGTGCTCCCTTCGGCCTTTGTTACAAGCATGTTGTTTGTTTTTGTTTTTGTTTTGAGACAGTGTCTCACTCTGTCTTCCAGGCTGGAGTGCAGTGGCACAGTCATGGCTCACTGCAGCCTTGACCTCCTGGGCTTTAGCAATCCTCCTACCTTAACCTTCCGAGTAGCTGGGACTACAGGGGTGTGCCTCCACGCCCAGCTAATTTTTGTATTTTTTGTAGATCTCTAGTGGATGATTCCCCATCCAAGGTGGCAGCTATGGAGCTAGACTACAGGATATCGGGGAGTGTGGGGTTGGACCAGGTGATGTCTGAGGCGATGTCTGGCTCTAATATTATGCCTGGCATGCAGCAGGATGTATTTGTTGAATTAAACAAATTCTACAAATCAAGGGAGCAAAAAAGCATCCCTATGACCCTTATACCTTTAGCTTTGTTTTCATCCATTCTTAAATTTCTCCTGGCTGCCGCAAGCAGATGACTGTCCTTTATCCCACAGATACCTGACTGCTGTATGCCAAACAATTTTTTTCTTCCACCAAGCTGTAATGCTCAACCGTTGCCACTAGAGGGCTGAGGTTTTGCACACTGGTGGTGCTGAAGACGCCTCCAAGTTCAAAGGTCTTCTGAGATACCCAGAGAGGCTCAGGCAAATGCCAGTGCTGGAAACTTGCTTAAGCGTAAGCAGCCAAGTGCATGCACCTCCACTGAGCTGGGGGCACTGGAGAAGGACAGTGGCTTCTGTACTGCTAACAGACCCCATGCAGGTAGTGGCTGAGATCTCTGTGTGGCCAACTAAGGACTGTGGAAGCATTTCACACCCTGGGTGAGGATGGTTATGGAAGGCAATAGAGGCTGCCTCACCACTGGGAGTGGCGAACAGTGTGAATCTCTGCTGGCCTTCTCTTTGAGTGCTGGGCATCTTTTATTTCAGTTTTACAGATGCAGAAATACACAAGAGGGAGTCAGGTCTCTACCAAGGAAAAACTGTATGCTTACCTTATGCCTCTCCCTACCGTGTTTGATCAGTTCTCTCTCTCTCCTCCCACCACCTCCCCACTGCCCTGCTCTGCCCCCTCTCTCCTATGTTACTTTCTTGGGTCTTGCCCTGTTTGGTGTCTGGCCATTACTTGGTGCTGCAGAGGAGACTCAGCCCCCAAGAGGCGGTACACTCACCTCTTGAAGGGCAATCCCCAGAGAAGCGCGAGAGAGACCTGGCTTGGCCTCCTTTCTCCTGCGCCTCTGTTCAGCGTTGTACTGGATTGCACGCGTGTTACAGAGCGTGCTGTGGAAGATGCTGAGCCAGCGGTGCCGAGCGTTTCCAGCCCTCTGAAGGCAGGGCCACGCAGCTCCCCATCACGTGGTGACACTCCCTCTGTGCTCCTGATGTGCTTATTTCCAAAATATGGTGGGTGGTGAGGTTTAGGCCCTGTTCCAATTCAGGGTAACATGTGGAGCAGGCTCAGCCCGGAAGGCTGTGCTATGGCAGCAGGTGCAGCACTCATTGTGGCCAGCGGATATTCACATCTGTTGGAGCCTAGAAACCTAAAGAAAAGCACATCCAAGCTCCAGTCATTTCCACCACTCCCTACTGCCATTCCCCACCCCATAACATGGAGGAATTTATGTTGCAGTACATTTTCTTTCTCTGGCCATCTCGCTCCAAGGGAATTAATAAGGACCAAATGGCCAAAGGGCAGGAAGCAGTGGGGAGATGCAGTGGAGAAGCATGGCCCATGTTTAATTTATAGATCAGATCATCTCTTCCCCTTGGCAGTATGCAGGCTATTTTGGGCATTGTGCTGGGTAGCCCTTTAGGGAATCCAGTTGTATTTAATTATATTCATATTTATTGAGCACCCATTGATCAGTCACAGCAAGCACATAATTATATGTGTTATAAAGAGTTAGATAAAGGCCCAGTCCTCGATCTCACGGTCTAAGATAGTAACTCTAACGTAAGACAGCAGAGGTTTTCAGTGGAGGTTCAATTCAAGGTCACGTTTGATTGGAGACATCACAGAGAGGTGGCACTTATATGGGCCTAACAGCATTTTGACAGATGAAGAGAAAGACAGAGGGATTAGTTCTGCCAACCTAAAGAAAGAACTGAGGCAACGTTAATACAGACAGTTTATCTGAGCCAAGGTTGAGGACAGCTGCCCGGGACACAATTCCAAGTTGCCTTGGGGAGTGCTCCCTTTGGCCTTTGTTACAAGCATGTTGTTTGTTTGTTTTTGTTTTTGTTTTGAGACGGTGTCTCACTCTGTCTTCCAGGCTGGAGTGCAGTGGCACAGTCGTGGCTCACTGCAGCCTTGACCTCCTGGGCTTTAGCAATCCTCCTACCTTAACCTCCCGAGTAGCTGGGACTACAGAGGTGTGCCTCCACGCCCAGCTAATTTTTGTATTTTTTGTAGAGACAGGGTCTTGCTCTGTTACCCAAGCTGGTCTCCAATTCCTGGACTCAAGCAACCCTCCTGCTTCGGCATCCTAAATTACTGGGATTACAGGCATGAGCCACCATGTCCAGTCTATTACAAGCAGGTTTTTAAAGGCAAAAGGGGACAAGGCTGAGCCAATACAAAGTTGTTTGACAGGAGTTCTCACCGGTTGACAGAAATAATATTTGTTAGTGATTGGCCCTACACTGGTGAACTATAGAGTATGAGTGCTGGTGTCCAGTGTGTGACATTTTATGACAATCTGGTGTCAGTTAGCCTAGAGCCCATATAGCATGTGGCCTCAAGAGGAAATGATTTAGCTCAAGAGAGGAATGAGACATGACTGCTGTCACACACATGGCCCCGTCACTTTTTTATTTTTATTTTTTTGAGACAGAGTCTTGCTCTGTCATGCAAGCCAGGGCGCAGTGGTGCAGTCTCGGCTCGCTGCAACCTCCACCTCCTGGGTCCAAGCGATTCTCCTGCTTCAGCCTCCTGAGTGGGGTTACAGGCACCCGCCGCCACACCCAGCTCACGTCTGTATTTTTAGTAGAGACAGGGTTTTACCATGTTGGCCAGGCTGGTCTTGAACTCCTGGCCTCAAGTGATCCGCTTGCTTCGGCATCCCAAAGTGCCGTAATTATAGGCGTGAGGCACTGTGCCCGTCCTACAGTCACATTTCAGTGCCTCTCTGGGCTTGATAATTAAAGGGGGCTTGAATTCCTCCGATAAAAAGTTTATTCTTCAGACCAAATAGTGAGGGTGTCTTGTGGAAAACCCTGAAGTAGTCTGGCTTGCTTGTCCATGGAGGTGGAACAGGAGTGTCTGACCACCCCCCTGCCTGGGCCTGGGTGTCGGGGTGGAGACTGGGGATGGGCAGAAGCTGGGACATCACTCACTGCCAGGGACTGGGTTCTGTGTGGCCAAGGCTGTGGCGGGAAATTATTACCTGAGACCAGATGTTCATGATGAGAACCAAAGCAGTGAACTGGGTTAGGGCCCTGTGGAGAAAGTGAAGCCTGGAAACTTGGGAGAATGTGTGTTAACCCCACTTCTAGAGAGGACAGAGGCTGGGACAGAGCCAAGGATGTGTGGCTGGGTGGCACAGGGGGAAGAGAAGGTGGGCTGGGAGCCAGCAGGGCAGAGGGAAGGGAAGGACAGCAGCTGTGGTTCCCAGATCAGCATAAGGAACCTGCAGGCACAGGGGCCCTGGTGTAAGGAGCCTGCAGGCACAGGGGCTGAGTGGGCCAGGTGGCTGGACAGATAGTGGCAGGTCGGTAAGAACAGAGTTAAAACTCAGCCAGGCTTTGGAACTGTTCTATCTTAGGGTACTGGTTACGGGAACGGGCAGGAATTTTTGGAGACATATACTGATGAATTCTGTTTCGGGCATGTTGAGGTTCTGGAGGAACCTGGGATGGAAACTGGATCTGGAGCTGGGGAGAGAGTGAAGAACCAGCCATGTCCAGGAGGGAGTGAAGCAGGCTAGAAATGGTAGTGGGCGGCTGGGCGCAGTGGCTCACGCCTGTAATCCCAACACTTTGGGATTCTTACCAAGACCCCGAGGCGGGTGGATCACCTGAGGTCAGGAGTTTGAGACCAGCCTGGCCAACATGGTGAAACCCTGTCTCTATTAAAATACAAAAATTAGCTGGGTGTGGTGGCGGGTACCTGTAATCCCAGCTACTAGGGACGCTGAGGCAGGAGAATCGCTCAAACCCAGGAGGCAGAGGTTGCAGTGAGCTGAGGTCATGCCACTGCACTCCAGCCTGGGTGACAGAGCCAGACTCTGTCTCAGGAAAAAAAAAAAAAAAAGAAAAGAAAATGGTAATGAGACCTGTGGGAAGGGATGAGTTTACCAAAGAAAAGAGCACAAAGGGAGAATATTTTCTGCTCATTTACTCATACATTAAATGTCTGTTTCGTGCCAGGTACTGTAATAGGCATTCTTCATTCTTCAGAGTCATTTAGGAGCAAAGCACACTGTTTGGGCTTGGGGAGTTTGCATATTGAGGCGAGGTTAGAGAAGGATA
The DNA here is from genome assembly GCF_000001405.40 of Homo sapiens. Lineage (NCBI taxonomy): Eukaryota > Metazoa > Chordata > Mammalia > Primates > Hominidae > Homo > Homo sapiens. Next base: position 224,648,648 of record NC_000001.11, read on the forward strand.
TTGGAATACCGATTTTGCCTTGGCCCAATTACTTCCCCCCATGATGTTTCTGAAGATGGTGTAGACATAAGGAACAACCTGTAAGGCCTTATGAATATCTTGGTGCACAGTGACCCTGCCCATCAGTAAGCAAGATCTAGTCTGCAGTCAGATTAGTAACTATTCCTTCCTGGTAGGACAAGAGCAAAAGGAGGTTCTCAGCCCTGCTACAAGCATGAGCTCCAACTACCACTACAAAATCCCCCTTAGCAGAGAGGGAAATGGAAGACCCAGAAGGTATGATTTATCCTGAGTTGTGAAGAATCTACCACCCTTTGTTCCCAGAATTTCTTCCTTTCTGAATCCCTGGCTTCTTCAGCCAGCCCATCAGTGGTGGCTCCTTCCTTATTTATGGGGCTCACCAGTTGCACTGGGCAGACTGAGGGACCCCCAAAGATGTTCATGTCCTAATCCTTGGAACCTGAGACTGTTACATCTGGAAAGTCCCTTCTGCCATATAAGGTGATTAAGTCAAGGGTCTCGAGATGGGGAGATTATCCTGAATTATCTGGGTATAGCCATTGTAATCACAGAGGTCTTTATAGGTGGCAGAGGGAGGCAGGAGAGACAGAGGAAGAGATGTGACATCAGAAGCAGAGGTCAGGAAATGCCGGTGGTCTCCGAGAGCTGGAAAAGGCAAGGAAATGGCTTCTGCCCTAGGGCTTCCAGAAGGAAGTAAGCCCTGCTGACACCTTGATTTTAGCCCTCCAAGACCCATTTTGGACTTCTGACCTCTAGAACTGTAGGATAATAAACTGTGTTGCTTTGAATTACTAAATTTGTGGTAATTTATTATAGCAGCAGTAGGAACTAATACTATAATGTATACCTAATTTCCAGCACAGAGCCTGTTACACAATAGGTGCTCAGTTTAATTTATTGGATGAATTATGAATTCTATATTTAACTCTAACCCCCAAGTAGGGCTCTCTACAGTGGTTTTTGAAATCTACTTGGCTTCATTTGGATAGTTAGAAACTTGGGGAAAACTTTGCCCGAGGAAAGAAATCCCAGCGGTTCCTCCTCTGTAAATTGCAAAATGATCCATTTTCCAGCCCGGTCCACCAAATGCAGGGTCTGCCTGGGAAGTATTTACACCTGTGAGGATGGCTTTATTGCTTTGCATCTAGCTTGCTCTTCACTGCTTGTATAATCTCTCTGTTGTAAATCCAAATCGAGGAGAATGTGTGCAAGCTTAAACAGCCAGGCAGAAAGACAACTGCACTAAATTGTTGTTCTTAACAGAATCTTAGAGGTCTCTGAAATGGCAGAAATCTTAGAGGTCTTTGAAATAGCAGGAACTTAGAAATAGCAAGCTGTGGTTTCTGCTTTCAGGGATGGTAGGTGTTATGCACAATTATCTACAAAAATGCTCTTCCTCAGGCACGAAGTGTTGTGTGTCAAGTGCAAGAGCTGAAGTTCTGCATTATACACAACCTAAGTGTCCTAAAAGTGACTAATTCTCTTAACTAGTGACCACACTCTTAACTAGCTTTTGAGGCTGGGGAGCATCTTCAGGGGTGGCTTGGGAGACTGGATAACCTATTCCAGGCTAAGGATGGAACCTCCACTGTGAAGACTGAGGAGTATGGGGCCAGGGCGCTCTCTGCCTAAGGAGCATTTTTCCACGGGATACAAGTTTCTCTGGACTCGATCAAGCAGGGAGGCTGAGTACATACTTCCTGGAGGTTGCACAAACTAACCAATTTGATTTTAAATATTAATACTTGGAGTAAGGCTTCTGGAGGCCAACATGCAAATTTATGTAAAAGAATGTGCAAATGAACACCAGAGCCAAGTGCCTGGCTCTGTTCCCTCACACAGGATAGCAGCCCCTGACCTGGCTGACCTTGTGTTTAGTTCTGTTCTTGGCTCTGGGACTTTGGGGCTGTTGTGTTGGCAAAACTTGGTGGGGGTGGAGGGGTGGGCAGTGGAGGGAAGGACTGCTCCAATTTAAACACCCGCAACAACAAAAGTTGTTTTAGCAAATTGGCATGCTGTTCATAAACGGCTTTCTATGTGCGCGAGGATATAGAGGCTTTATAAACTCTCTTTTTGGGAGTAAAAGTCAGGAAAGATTCATCAGAACCCAGCTCCTGAGAGGATGACAGGGGAGAAGACTCCTTGGGTCTCTGGTGGAGCCCCCTGTTGTTGCTGCTGGAATTCAGGCAAAGCTCCTCACAAGGTAAAGATCTGGATTCCTTGGGCAAGGGAAAATGAGCTGAGTACAGAGCCCAGGTGCTCAGCGTGGACACTGGCTTGATGGGGTCTTTTGGAGCAAGTCCTCAGTTTTCTGTGTGGTTGTTCACATGGGGAGGCTCAGTTTTCCAGTAGATGGTGGGCTGGAGTGAAAGTGAGAAACAGAAAGAGGGACATGGACACACACACACACACGCACAAACACACACCCAAGCCCCAGTGAACATCGAGCCCAGTGCAGTGAGCAGCAGTTTCTATGATGTAGTTAATTTAGTGGGAAGTAGTGAGTTTGTAGTGACCATAGAGTTAGAAAAGCAGGGAAATAAAAAAGAAAACAATGGTAAAATAGTATGGGGAGTATTTTCCTGATTATGGGAAAAAACATCACTTGTGCAGTGCAGGAATAAGGAAACTACGTAGTGGTCACCTCTGTTAGCGTTCTGGTGACTGTACTTTCATGTGTCTTTTTACGGGCACACACGTAATTTTACATAGTTGATAAGGGATTACATCACACATTCTGGTTTTCTTTACCATCACTTTAAAAAAGTTGCAGTTTTTGTTGCTGTCATTGCTTAACCCTTTCCTCCAGCCACTGTCCCCTCCATTCTCAGGGTTGCCGGTGTTAGCAACCTGGTGTATATCCTTCATTTGTTTCTTCGTGTTCGTGTCATCTTACATAAACACTAATGCTTTTTAGAGTGTGTCTTGATTTTGGTTTTGCATCTCTGCATCTTGCTTTTCTCACTGAATAATGGCTCATGGAGTCCCTCTGAGTTAATCGGTAAAGGTCTAACTCAGAACTGCGTAATATTCCAGATTTAGATGTGTCACTGTTTATTCAATCATGCTTTTATTGACTGGACTTTATGTGTTTCTAGTTTTTTGTGATCTCAGACAGTACCTGGGCATATATTCTTACCTAGTGGTGTCTATTTCAATGGGATAAATCCTCAGGGAATTGCTAAGTGAAGGATATGTGTATTTTCGTTAATAATAGATATTATTAGATTGCTTTCCAAAGGCTTTATCAGTTCACATTTTCACCAGCCATGGGTGGGGGCTCCTTTTTCCCTGCTTCCTCAACAGTAACTTATCACAAAATTTTTTTCAATCCATTAGGTGTAAAATGATACCTCCTTGTCACCCTTGTCACACTCCTTAGCCAACCAGTGAGGGTGAGAAACTTTCATAACATTATTGACCTGTTGGATATTCTTGCAAAGCAGGAATATTGGCCTGGGATTTCGACCTGGGATTTCTGGGTTTTGAGGGATGGCAGGTAATGGGCCTTGTGACTTCACCCAGACCCTTCTTTCCTGTGTGCTGCCTCTGGCCAGAGGCATGACCAGATGGGAGCAAGCAGATCTATATGGCGAACTGGGGTAACTTTAACATTCCTGGACTGGGACTGGACATAAGGTGGGGGAGTATAACCTGGCTACATTCCAAACAGGCTATGGAGTGGTCTGTGCACAAGAGCTAACAGGTTTGATGAGTTGAGCAGGCAGGACTCAGACCTAGCGGTAGGGAAGTGCTATTGAAAGTTTGGTTGGCAGAAGTGTCCGTTCCAAGCAGTGAATCAGCTTGCCGTCAGCTGGACTCTAGCCAGTTGATTAGTGTAGGAAGAAAGGAAGTGAGGGAAGAAGAAGGGACTTAAGGCCCCTTAGGAGAGGGGTAGGCAAGAGCTAAGTGGAGCGTCGGGCCCCTGATAGGTGTTCCAGGTATGGCGAGCCAGTCCTCTACTGTGTGGGTGGCTGGGGATGTAGCCTGGCTGCACACACCACATCAACGTAGAAGGAGCAGGAAGGACAGCAAGGGGGCTCCACAGATGCCCAGGGCTCATTTCTGGACTTCCAGAAACCAAGCCCATGGAAGCAAAACTAAATCCAGGTTGCACGAATTGGTGGGGCTGAGGCTGCTAATGGGTTTCTGTCCCTGGTGAGGGTTGGCGCAGCACACGTGGGCTTCTTCTCTCTGCCTAAGCCCACATGTGAGGGTCTCAGCAGCTCTAGCTGCACAGGTGTTCAGAGGGTGAAGGTATTGGGAACACAGCAGGAGCACAACTCACTGGAAATTCCCAGCTGGAGGAAGGCCACCGGAAGGCCAGCTGGAGGAAGGGGGCACATTTTGTGCCAGCCCTGGTGAGTCACTAGCCTAGGTTTGACAACTAAAATAAATTATTAATTATTCTACATATTCCTTGTCAACCATTTTTTGGCTCTCATTTTTCAAACTGGGAGGACCTCATCATTAAAAGACTGTAGTGGCTCATGCCTGTAATCCCAGCACTTTGGGAGGCTGAGGCAGGCGGATCACTTGAGGTCAGGAGTTTGAGACCAGCCTGACCAACATGGTGAAACCCCATCTCTACTAAAAATACAAAATTAGCCTGGCGTGGTGGCACACGCCTATAATCCCAGCTACTTGGGAGGCTGAGGTAGGAGAATCACTTGAACCCAGGAGGCAGAGGTTGCAGTGAGCCAAGATCGTGCCATTGCACTCCAGCCTGGGCAGCAAGAGTGAAACTCCACCTCAAAAAAAAAAAAAAAAGTGACTGTAGTTTATTAGACATTTCATCTAAATTTTATGTTTTTCTTCCTTGAATTTTGGAATCTGTGTTTCTCAGTCTGGTGTTTTCGATGAGGAGCAATGGAGTTTTGGGTATTTCTGTATTTTTATGGATCACTTTTTACATACTTCTCCTGTGAAGAAATCTATTAAGGAAAATACAAGACTTTGCAGTCTCTCTTTAGTATTCACTCTGTGAACTGGTGACGCTGTACAAACTCAATATAAATTCTCAGTTACTGTTGCTTTTTAATACTACCTCAAGAGTCAGTATGGCCTATATCTGTTTTGAACAAAGGAAGGCAGCTGGGCCTTAGCCTCTCTTCCTTTAAAGAGTTTGAGGCTGGGCATAGTGGTGCACACCTGTAATCCCAGCACTTCGGTAGGCCGAGGCAGGCTGACTGCTTGAGCCAGGAGTTTGAGACCAGCCTGGGCAATATGGTGAAACCCTGTCTCTATTAAAAAAATGAAAAAATTAGCTGGGACTGCAGGCATGCACTACCACACCCAGCTACTGGGGAGGCTGAGGCGAGAGGATCACATGAGCCTGAGAGGTCGAGGCTGCAGTGAGCTGTGATTGTGCCACTGTGCTCCAGCCTGGACAACAGAGTGAGACCCTGTTTAAAAAAAAAAAAAAAGATTTGGCTGGATGCAGTGGCTCATGTCTGTAATCCCAACACTTTGGGAGGCCAAGGCGGGCGGATCACCTGAGGTCAGGAGTTCGAGACCAGCCTGCCCAACATGGCGAAACCCCTGTCTCTACTAAAAATACAAAAATGAGCCAGTTGTGGTGGCGCACACCTGTAATCCCAGCTACTTGGGAGGCTGAGGCAGGAGGATCGCTTGAACCCGGGGGTGGAGGTTGCAGTGAGCCAAGGTCACACCACTGCACTCCAGCCTAGGCAACAGAGCAAGACTCCATCTCAACAACAACGAAAAAAAGATTTTAAGTTGCTTTTGAATAGCCCAGATGCATGCCTCCTTGCTGTAGAGTTGGGTTTTGTTTGTTTAATAAAGAAGATATTCTATATGCTGATATACAGCTTTTTCTTCCTTTCTTTGGTCATAAACTAGGTGTGACCTCAGTAGACACTGATTTTAGCCACTGTTGATGCCTGTTTCTAAAAACTGAATCAGCAAATGCCTTGCAGGATTTAATTGGCTATACACAATAACTCCATACAGCAGGTCACTTCCTTTAGTTACTTAGGGACACACTTTGCAAATAATTCACTCTGGAGAATTCATTAAGAAGCTGTATTGCCCAAAGCCAGATAGTCTACAGGAGCATTACCAAGATTTTTAATAAAAAATACCTCTGCTTAATAACTAGTAACAAGTAGTACCTGCTTTGAAACTTTTCTAGGCCAAACTAATTCCAATCCCTATGGTGTAGAATGTTGAAAACTTTGATCGGCCGTCCCTTTACATGCTGGAATATATCCAGAGTATTTAGGAAATGCAACTTGACCTAACCTTCAGGTCTCTCTTTGGCTCGTGTATCTTTTAGGGTCCCATTAGAAAACAGATCGCACATGCAAAGGGGGTAATTGAGGAAAGTTTAATGAAGGGACTATTTACAGAGGAGGTATAGGGTTAAAAAACCAACAGGGATGATGTGGCACCAGGATCTAGCAACCCATGAAGCTGTTACCACCCCTGGGTGTGAAGGGGTAAGGGGAGGAGGCTGTTACTAGAACTTCATGGGAGCTATAGTGGGTGGGGCTGTCTTCTGAAGGAGCTAGGGCCTCATGTGGAGAGGTAGAGACACTGTGAAGCCACAGTAGCAGGAAGGGAACTGGGCAATAAGTACCCTAATAAGATCCTTGTGTCTTCAGCTGATGCCTCCTGTTGGCCTAATATAATGGGAAGCAAGAGGGCAAGGAAGGCCAGATGGTGCATTCTTCAGAGCCTGCCAGGGCCGTGGGCAGGGTGGAGAAGGGTGAAGAGGGATCTGGAAGGGTAAATGGAGGCTTTTGAGCGCAGTTAACTTTTGGGCTGAAGGAAAATGGACATGCAAGCAGGAGGGAGAATCCTAGTTAGACTCCTCGGTTTTCACAAGTCATTGTCGATGTCACTGTCAGTGTAGTGGGCCTTCAAGCTATAGGGAGCCACTCCTAATGAGCAACATGGAACACTAGGCCTTTCCTGGAGAACCTCACTTCCACTTGTTTGTTCTCCAACTTTCCAGACACCTAGTGTTAGCAAAACACCCAGGGATCCGTTGCTCACTCTATGGAAAGCCAATTACTGGGATAACAAGTATTGCCAGGGAAGAAGCCTTTTTATTAGGGTGACATCAGTCAGAAAGATGAGAGATCAGTCCCAAACACATCTCTCTCAACGGACTAAAATTGGAGGTTTGTATAATGGGGAAGGAGTGTAACTATGCATGGGAAAGCAGGAATTAGGGAGGGGCAGTATGGAAGCAAACATGAAGGTTGTGGGACTGGGGTCTCACTGGATGTGGTGATTATGTGAGTTTCAGCTTCTTGTCCAATGGTCAGTTTCCTGAGGAAGGAACTCAGATGAGACAAATGTAAATTTCACATGTTAAGACCCGGGAGTGTCAATTTCCATGTTTATTCAAAAAACCAGAAGCATCAGTTCTGTTGAACAGTTGGGGCAGTTTCAGTCCCTCCCCTTTCTATTGATCAATTCCTCAATCATGGGGAATCTGACCATCAATCCTGGATGCTTCATGCTGAGGAAGGTCGTTGTGGGATAATGAGAAGGAATGAAAGCATTCCACTTATAATGGGAAATACTCAAAGTACCTGGTTTGCATCTGGCGCACTGGAAGACCATGATCTGTGTACTTTTATTTTGCTTTTTGAACAACATTTGAGGCCACATTGAACTAAAGTAATTAACAGCATCGATAAACCAAATTTTAAAATACCAGAATATGGAGTGAATCCACTGGGGAATCCAAGAGAACGATCCTAAGCCTACCAAAAACGTCTTCCTGATTCATACATCCCACATGCGAAAAGCTAGGGTCTAGGGGAGAACAATGACCGGAAAAGTTCATGTTCCCTTTATGATTTCTTATCTAGGATCTTTGGCTGGGTATAAGGGCGGCGGGCGGCGGGGGGGCGGTGTTCACAAGACCATGACTCTTTACTCCAGTGGGATCCCAGAGGGACTGACTGGTTTTACCCAATCTATGCAGGCTAACTTGACAGATGAGTGGGTGGTCAGCAGCATTTCAAAAGGGCTAACTTACTGTGCTTGTGGCTGGTCTTCAGCCTGTTGGGATTTCCAGGTCTTCAACCAGACTGGATCCTCCAGTTTCAAAGAGTGGAGAGGCGCATCTGTAGGGAACTGGAGCTTGTTGGAAGCAAGCTCAGAGACAGTAGTTAATATATTTCTTAATTATTTTGTATGTGATCTAGAGTTAGGAGTTGGAGAAATGGTCTTCCATACATTTCGAAGGGGCTAAGAGCCAGCCCACTTCTGGGAGCTACTTGTATCTTCAGCAGGGCAAGAGGCAAGACCTTTTCCTAGACAAGATTTGTCTCTTGGCAACTGGAGTCCCCTTGGCTACAAGTGGATCCATTCAGTTGATGGGAGGCTTAGGGCTTTGTTTTCATTTTGGTCTCTTTCGGTCTCGATATGCCAGAGGCAACATTGATGGCCAAGCTTTTATTTTGTCCCATATCATTGCCAGGGTGGTATGGCTACCTGCCCTGGGTCCATCCTGTCCTTCAGTAGGATACCTATAGCCAACTCTTATAGCCAATTAAACATTCTAGGCCAGACAGGAATGGAGGTGAGCACACAGTCCTTAACCCTTAAATCAACATAAGAGCCAAAACCCCGAAGCCAAAAAATAAGGTTAATATGCTTGTCATCATAAAGCCAGTCCGCTATGGTTTGCATACAAAGCATATATTAAGCCATAAAGTAAGAACACCACAAATAGTTTTCAAATTCTGGAGAAATAGGGTAGAGAGAGAGAGAGAGAGAGAGAGAAATATGCCTCACATTTTATTGATAAGGGTTTATTTTACTCAATTGTTAAAGGCTATCAATAGCCCAAAAGAAAAAGTGTTCTTGACTTTGAAAACAAAAACAAAAACAATCGGCAATATTTCAAATAAAAGACATAATAAAAAATTATTTCAGTCCTCTACTAGTTCAGTCCATGCAATTAGTCCTGTTCTGCTTGATATTGGGCCAGCAATCGTCATGAACACATCAGCCCTCCAACGAGAGTCCTGGACGTTTCCTCTCTAATCCAGTGGCACAATCTCCAAAGTTGTCAGAAATCTGCATTTAAGAGTCCTTTTCATGAACTCCCCTAAAGAAGCAAGTTTTTGACTGTAGCTGATTATAAACTGCTTTTTGAGAAGAATCAAAGTAAAACAATTATGGATGACAAAAGTCTTAAGACAATCAGGGTTGAAGACACAATTGACAAGGAAGATTGGTTATTTCTGTGGCATGCAACAATTTAACATAATCATAATTATTACTGATAACATATACTAAGATCAGAAATTTAGGAATTTCACATGATTTTTGAATATACATTAATAACACATTTATATCAATATAACCCAAAGAAAGTTAAACATTTACTACATGACAATGCTTTGTATATAATGTTAACATACCAGATAAGCCTAATATGTCTCTCTTGGAATTCAAGGGACCCTAATAGCTAAAAAATTAGTTTGTGGTCAAAAAGACTGAATGTATGTATTTATTTGTTTATTTTTGAGATCAGGTCTTGCCCTGTTGCCCAGGCTGGTGTGCAGTGGCACAATCATGGCTCACTGCAACCTCAACCTCCCTGGCTCAAGCAGTCCTACAACCTTAGCCTCTCAAGTAGCTGGGACTACAGGTGTGTGTCACCATGCCCAGCTAATTTTTATATTTTTTTTTTTGTAGAGGTGAGGTTTTGCCATGTTGCTCAGCTGGTCTTGAACTGGGCTCAAGCAATCAGCCTGCCTCTGCCTCCCAAAGTGCTGGAATTACAGGCGTGAGCCCCTGTGCCTGGCCAAAAAGACTGAATTTAAAACTTGAAATTTTGCTTTTGGAAAATTTGTCAAATATCAAAGGTTAATACACCTGATTTCACAAAATAGGGTCATAGTCACTATGGAATAGTTATTCATTTAGCCAGAATGATAATTCAGATATTAAAAAAAAAACACCAAATCCCGACCTTTACTTTTTGATAGGAAATCCACTTTCCCAGATAATAAGACAGCAAAGACAGCATGGGGCCAACTAAACTTGTCTCTCTCTCCCCTCTTTTTTTTTTTCCTGCAGCTAACTCAAAAGGTAAACAGAAATCTCCTATTATCTCTTATTAATATTACATATTTTGTTCAAAAGAGAAAATCGAATTTACCTCTGTATAGTGTATTATTAATGTTAAAGCTAAGTTCAGTAAAACCTTATAAACAATTTTATCTAATTTTAATCAATTTGACGTTTACATAAACCTTTCATAACCTTTTATAATTTTCTATCAGAGCAGATCAATGCTTCAAGAAAATCTTGTTATTCTGACACAGAGGCCCAGATGCTGGCCTTGCATCAGTGTGCTTTTGATATTAATGTTTAGTTTTTAGAAAGACTGAACTAATTTTACTCCTCAAAATTGGCCTTGCAATCTCACATGCCCACCTCTTCTGCTATAGTCCCTGGGCCAAGAGGGATTGAATAGTTTTAATTTCTGGCCCTGCGTCTCATGAAAGCAGTTTGTTTTGTCACCCTCTCCTGGGTCTGAAGACAAGACTTTGACTGGTGTCAGTGTTTAGGTTGTAGCAGGAGTAGGTGCCTTTTTCAGACCCAGGAGTCAGTGCCCCGTAACTTAATAGCACAAGGACTTTAAAAGCAATACAGAAAGTTACATGGATGTAAAAACCTTAATTCTTTTAAATTTTGGTTTTCCTAATTAATCAAAAACTTAATAATGATGAGATAGAAATTCTCTTAGTAAAATGTAAATCTGCTTCTTAGGCCAGTTACCAAAGGGCAAAGATGATTTGCACTGTGATTGCTTCTCCTTATGGGAAGCTCATTTAGATAACCTGAAAGCCAAACCTGATGGGAAAAGAGTACTTGAATTAATCAGATACAGGAAGAGTGTGTCCAGGGTCATGAGTGAACCTTATAAAGGAAAGAAGAAACCGGGAAACGAGTACTTTGAGCAGGGGAACAGCATGAGAAGTTTGCCAGTTACATGGAACAATTTAGACATAATCAAGAAAAGCCAAGAGTACGGAATCAAGTTATACTGGAAGAAAACATCGCTTTTCTAGACCTTACAGATAAACATTTCAGCATCAGGCCACTGCAGTAGTTAGAACTGGAGGAAAAAAAGTTAAAAGAGCTAGCAAAAAGGTTGAAGGAGAGAGTTAGCATCTCAGGCCTTTTCATGGGGAGAAAAAAGCTGAAAGCAGCAAGACACATTCTGAGACATGAATATGAGAAGTTTTCAAAAAGAAACAGTATAGTATCAAAATCAAAACCTCTTGTGATTTTATTAAGAGCAAATCGATATTTTAAGGGAAATTTTTTCTAACACAGGAGACCAATCTTTTTCACATCTCTCTCCCCTACCACTGGTTCCTTTCTACCTTGTTTCATAAATAACCTTTCCAAGTCCATAATTTAACCTTTAGGTAATGTATTAGTCCATTTTCATGCTGCTGATAAAGACATAGCTGAGACTAGGCAATTTACAAAAGAAAGAGTTTTATTTGGACTTACAGTTCCACGTGGCTGGGGAAGCCTTACAATCACGGTGGAAGACAAGGAGTCAGTCACATCTTACATAGATGACAGCAGGCAAAGAGAGATCAGATCTCGTGAGACTTACTCACTACCACGAGAACAGTGTGATGGAAATCACCCCCATAATTCAATGATCTCCCACTGGGTCCCTCCCACAACACATGGGAATTATTGGAGCATAATTCAAGATGAGATTTGGTTGGGGACACAGCCAAACCGTGTCAGATAACTTCTGAATTAAACAAAATTATTATTTTTCTCAATAAGAACACATCTTCTTTGGCACATTTTATATACAATTTTTTTTTTCAGGAAAAATGCACTGAACACATTTGCGTTTCTTTGTTTTAAAGCAAATGACAAAGACCCAGCTTACCAGCTTTACTTTTTTAAAACCCAAGCTTAACGTTGCATGTTTAAACAATTGTCAAGACCTACCAAATTGCCAGCATTTATGCACAAGTAGAAAACATCCTTAATTTATATTAAGCCAGAAGTATATTACCATTAACGCATTAATATCTTTCACTACTAAACACTGAAAAAAATGAAATTGTTTCTATAGAAGGCTTATCCTGGCAATATTAACGTCATAACAGGCTGACACTGCTTGGCTCACATTTGCAGACGTGATGGAAAAGCAGATCCATGCTGGTGTTAGTGTACAATCTTGTCCTACCACTGAAGAGTCAAGGCTCACCTTGGAGTATGTTTAATAAAAAAGCAAAGTGCATACAGATATTTACATCAATTTTTAAAACAAAAAGTCCTATTTTGTGGTCCCAACAATAAACTCAAAAGTCTATGACAAATAGGAGCTCTGAGAAGCTGTTTATAAATACTTTAGGTACAATTATACTGAAAGTCGAGTTCACTGGATATCTTCAAAAACTGTTTTTGTTAATCCTCAAATGGTGCTTGTTTAGGTTAACATTTCTGTTAAGTGTGTGCATTGAATTCCTGGTTATCCAAGCACAGCTGCTGCTCCTCACCATGTATCGTTAAGGACTTTAACTGGCCCTCTTCTTCAACTTCTGCTCTTTCTTGACCATTCTTGACAATCCTTTTTTTAGTAATTTTTTTGCCATTAACCATTTCAGTAGAAGTTGATACACATTTGAAGTTGCCCATCCCACTACCACCAAATGATGTGGAAGAGAATGAGTCCCCTGTGACCTAGTGACGAGAATGAAGTAAATCCTGTCTCAAAAGAAGAAAATCCACTTCCAAGGTATAGAAATCTACTGAATGCTGAGAAAAACAACCCATCCCTCAGCTTCTGCTCCCTTGGGGACCCCTTTGATTCCCAAAGAAGTCCTCAAATAGATTTTCAAAGTAGGTAAATGGAAATGGGTCTCTTCCACCAAAAAATTCCCTGAAGACATCATCTACGTTATGAAATGTGATGACAAACTCAAATGATTGTCAAAATGACTTCCGCCACGTCCTCTACCATTTAATCCTCCTTCTGGTTTAATATAAATTAAGCTATCTTATTTTCTAGCATCTGACAGCACCTCACGTCTCGGCTACTTGTTTGAATTTTCTCTCTGCTGCTTTATTCTCAGGATTTTTATCTTGGTGCCACTTCAGTGCCAGTTTCTGATATGTCATTTTAATATCCTCCGGTAAGGCATGTCTGCATGCCTAGAACTTCATAGTAATCCACCACATTTTATCAGATTATTGGAACAGGTCGGAGGATGTGGGCAGCTGGCGGGAAGCAGGGAAGGTGGGGTGGCAGCATGGCTGTGTTGGTGATTGTGGCCCAAAATTATATATTAGCTAGAATTCCTATTCTTAGTAACCTTAAATTTGAGTGACGATCTAGGAAGCAAGTAATTCTGAACTGTCTATCAGATGTTAGCATTTTATAGGTAAGAACATTCCATAATTTTTTTACAAAAACATGTTTTGCCTATATTATAACCCTTTCTTAATTGGAAATGACTCAGACATCTAGTGAGCAAAATAATTTCAAGATTTTAAATTACATAAAAAGTTCACTTATAGCAATTATACCATTTACCTTTCACTCATTTTTAGCAGTCTAGATTACGTATGAGAGCTGAGATATTAGACAGAGCTAGTCATTATTTCCTTGTTAATTATTTTTATAACCTGTGCATATTAAGTGCTCACTCAAGAACCTTAAATATATGGGTATTTTCACCAATAACTCAGAAGATTCAGCTCTATTAAACTAATGATACTAGTCTTACTTATAAAAAAAAATCACACAAAGATCATTTTGTTTTGGCTGGGTTTATAGTTTTATAACCTTCTGTGCCAAACTCTGACACTTTAAAATATCTAACAGAGACAAATATAAAACCCAGAAAAAATATGTTGACAACATGAAAACATTTCTGTTTTAATCTTACCAATAATTTTAAAGCCTGCTTGTTTAGGATTTACTTAAGTCACATGAACTTGAAAAAGGCTTGGACTTATATACTTAATTTATGGGTTCCTTTTTATTTATAAGCCAATTTGGTACCATGTAAAGACAACACATGATATCCAGACACATATGTACACATATAAACAAAGACCCAATAGCTTTTACCTTGGAATTCTAGCCATGAGATAGTAGTGCAAACTCACCAGTTTATGAACATGTTCATGTGGCTAAATTTTGCCCTGGTAGGTAATCCAGTGAAGCCTGTGAACCAAAATTTTGGGTTAAGCAGTTTCCAAGGCAGTTTTATTTTTAAAGGCTAAACCTCCCCAGACTCCAAAGAACACTAGGGCCAGACAGCACCACAGAAGAACATCATGTATGAGGTTGGCACAAAAATAATTGTGGTTTTTGCCATCTGAAAGCAATGGCAAAAACCGCAATTACTTTTGCACCAACTTAATACTAATCAGTCCTGACACTTTTTAGATGAGCAACATACAAGCCTGGATACAAGGAACTCTGACCCAGTTTCCCATTTAACAGTAAAATGAATCCAACTGTAAGACAGTCCTATGATTCAAAGACCTTCCAAGATGAGATGAGATCAGGCCATTCGGGGTGGTATGGGTATGGCCGTAGACTTTCCCTTGCTCTCTGGGCCCACAACTACATTCATACCAACCTAAAGAATGCATCCAAGCAGGCCGCAATGTGGGATTGAACCTCGACCTCCCACAGCTATGTCGACGTATGCACAATCACCAATACACAATCCAACTGCAGCAGTAGCCACCATGCCCCAAGAGTGTCCAAACTGAAATAGTTGGGGTGCTTTCCTCTCTTGGTTGGGCTTGTTCAACCTGCAAATGGAAATTTCTTCAGAATTCCCAAAATTGAGAGGAGCAGTTGTCACTGTTTGGACCCACAAAACATACTTGTCCAGACACAGATGTGTATACACACAAACAATCACTAACAAGCCCCAAGAGTGTCCAAACAAATAGTTGGAGGGCTTGCCTCTCTGTTGGTTACACTTGTTCAACCTGCAAATGGAAATTTCTTTGGAATTCCCAAAATTGAGCCATTCCCCTCGTCTGGTACCCATAAAAGACACTCACTTATCCAGATGCAGATGTCACATTTCAAAGGCTGTTCTTCATAGGCAATCAGAAATGCAGTAGGGCCCACAGTGACAGAGTCAAAGAGAGAGACCGAAATTTACCTTCAGCCAAAAAAGAGCCAGGCAGCTGCTTAGGAGGGCTTCTGAAACTCTCCTGGCCCATGGCTGCAGAGCCATGAACAGGGCCTTCTGGTCAAGGAACCAAAATCTGTTATTGAAATGCCAGGGGTTTGGTCTAGTCCTGTTGCTTGCTGCACAGAAAGCCAATTACCGAGACAATGAATATTGCCAGGGAAGAAAGCTTTATTTGGGTGATGTCAGCCAGAGTGATGGGAGATTGCCTTAAATCAATTCCTCTCAGCCAACTAAAATTGGGGGTTTATATAGTGGGGAAGGAATGCAACCGCATGCAGGAAAATGGGAATTAGGGAGAGGTATGGAGCAATCATGATGGATGAGGGATCTGGCATCTCACTGGATGTGGTGGTCTAGTGAGTTTCAGTTCCTTGCCTGAGGGTCGGTTTTCTGAGGAAGGAATTCAGATAAGACAAATCTAAGTTTCAAGTTTTAAGACCAGGGAGGGTCAATTTCCATGTGTATTCAAAAAACCATCAGCATAAGTTCTATGGGCAGTTGGACTGGTTTCACTAGTTGTGAAATAGATTGATGGAAGATGACTGAAGCACATTCAAAATTTGGACCACATTGCATTGTCTTGCCTCCTCCATCAAATATTTTTGCTGGGTCATATTTTGTATTCAGTACTTAGTTATTATGGAGGGGTGCTACAACAAACAGTTTAATGCCTATTGCTGTGTGTGGTATGGGGGTGCAGTATTCTCCATTGTAGTTAAAATTTGTACAGAAAATAACTTTTAAATATGAGTTTGGGGAATAGTTTGTTTCCCCTGAGAAACTGCTATCCTTTTTCTTTATGGACAAGGACAGCTAAGTAACTGATTTCTCTTTCCACTTCAGCTTCTGGGAAACTTATTTTTAATTTTTATTTTGTTTTAGGGACAAGGTCTCACTCTGTCGCCCAAGCTGGAGCACAGTGGCACAATAATAGTTCACTGCAGCCTTGAAGTCCTGGGCTCAAGTGATTCTCCTGCCTCAGCCTCTTGAGTAGCTAGGACTACAGGTGTGCACCACCTCCCCTGGCTATTCTGGGAAACTTAGATCCAAATTTTCAAGCCAATGAATTTGGCTCTTCGGGGGCCTTGTGGTCTTGGTATCTCTCTCTCTCCCACCTCTTTATTTCTTCCTGGGTCTAATTTTTATTTTCAATTATTTTTCTCTATTTTGGGTATTTCTGATAAACCATCTGAAATAATTTTTTATAAGGTAGAGTATTGCACACTCTTGAATATGTATACATTCCGTTAGTTAATTAGTAGGTCTTGGACAGCATGGTCTGGATGGAGGTTCTGAATCCTGGGACCTGCCATGTGATGGATAGACATGTGACTGGGCCTCAGAACTGCCCTCTTGTACGCTGGATACTCCCAGGCTTTATCTTTAGTGAAGAGATAATTTGCCCTTAAGCACACTAGGAAGACAGTCTGGTGTAGAGAAGGAGGTAACCTACTTCATCTAAATGAAGAACTGGGTGAGTTACTGTGATCAACTACTGAAGGGTTTATGAAAGCATTTTGAAAAGTTTAAAACGTTTTATATTTGCTCATTTAACATTCGTTGCAAGCACTGGGCCAAGGATATGAAGATGGGTAAACTCATTCATTCTTTCAATAGATACTTACTGAATAACCACTGTGTGCCTTGCCCTGATCCAGGTGCTTGGAATGCAGCAATGAGCAAAACAGTGTCTCCTTACCTGGAGCAGTACCTCCTGCAATCCTCGAGGCACTTGTAACCTAGTGGGATTCTTTGTATGTGTTCTTTGCATTCTTTGCATCTACTTATATGTGGTAGGACTCACTTATGAGATCAAAGCTGTGCTTTAGATTTAGGGTTTATGGACCTAAGTTACGACATGGAAGATGTTTGTATTTGCAAAGAGATTTACAGTTCCTCCCTCCCCCCTCCCTTTTTCCCAGCACCATGGAATGATATCTACAGGTTAGAGTCGATAGGTTTAGTGATAAGCCCAAGGATTCTGTCTGTAGGTTCCCGAGGAGCCTAGTGTGCTAGGGATGCTTCAGGTGAGGTGCAAACAATCCCCAAGTCACATTTAACCAGTCAGGTGACTCTCAACTGGCCTGGCCAAGCCACCCTCTGGTTTTGATTTAGCAGGTACAGGGCAGGGTCTGTGCCGCCTTGTATTTTGGCAGCTTTCCCAAGGAGTTCTGAAATGTTTCCCACCCCTGTTCCAAGTTCAGAAATACTGATGCAATGCAATGTGCTAATTTTGCACATGAGGACACTGAGACATAGGGGATAAAGGGATTGTTCAAAATCACACAGTCAAAAGCCAAGCCAGAACCCAAACTCAGGTTCCTGACTTCCCCATGATGCCCTTTCCATGAGCCCAGGTGATGGACCTTTCTCTGAGCATGCAGACAGCTGGTACTGTGAGGTGTTAATGGGCTGTGAAATAATCCATCCTGCTTTCTGACTGCCCTTGGCTCAGGTCTGGTAAGGGTTCCAGCAGGGTCATGTCCTGTATGCTCTGGTTGTGCTCTGAGTTGATACTGTGGTTGCTATTTTTCCATTGAAGTATTTTAATAAATTTGTAATGCCTGGCTCTTAAAATTTCCCAAAGTGGATAGTGCTATTTAGAAGAATCTTAATAAAGTACATAGGTATCCTCCTGGTTGGGGCGAGTTTTTCTGCAGGTGATCATTAGAGTGGGCACTTGTCTTAGGAGCCCATGGAGGTTTTTACAAAGGGCCATGGCTCAGCCCTCAATCGCCAGTTTGTGGGTTTCTGCAGGTTTGGAGGAAACTGCTGCCAAAGATTGTCTTTATACAGAAGGAGTCTGTCCATTGGGTACAACATGGAGGCTAAACCACTGCATTTTAGAAGTTTCTTCTTAGTAGTTGATTCCACATTTGGTTTTGAGAACTTTAGGCTTTATCATTCAAGTCCTAGTATAATTCTTCTAGACTAGGAAAGGAATTCTAGATCCCCCAACGGTAGTCTTCTCCACTCTTGGGCTACCCCAAATGTTTGCATGGTTGTCATGTCACGTGCATGCGGTTGACATATGCCTGCTGAGATTGTGGTCTCTCCCTCCTGGGCAGTTTGCAAATTGAAATTTCATTCCTTCTACTTGAGGTTGCCCTTTCCTGACCCCTGTCATCTCCTGTCACATGGAGTTCTTAGTCCACTTCTGTCATCCTGTCCAGGGACTATGCCTTGCCTTCTGTCTGCAGCTCCCAGAACAGTGCCTCATACATAGTAAGTGCTCATTAAATATTCAGTGAATGAAATAACTCTGACTCGTGAGTTGACCTGGCACAGTCCCAGATACTGGCATCTGACAGCAGGAGAGGGCTAATTAGAATCCTCGAATTTCATAAAGAAAATGTAAAATAATGTAAGAGTCTATCTTTGTGTCTTGGGGCAAGGAAGAACTTCTTAAATAAAACTTCAGAAAGTAAAAAATATGAGGCAAAAATGAGTGCAATTGATTTTCATTCAGTGAAGGACACCATAGCCACAGTTAATTAATCAACAGGTGACTGATGAGAGAAGGTGTTTAAAATGTCTAAAATTGAAAGGGGATTCACATCTACAACATACCAGCAACCAGTACAAATCAGAAAGAGAAAAAGGCAGCGATCTCTTGTTGAAAAATGGTCAGAGCATCTAAGCGACAATGAACGGAAGAGGAAACCCCAAAGGCTAACGCTTTATATTAAGAGTTGCTCCAACTCATCTCTGGAGAGGTGCAAATTAAAACAAGAGAGAGACTGCACTTTACCTATTAGACTGCAAACGCTAGAAAGCTGGATTCTGCCAAGTGTCTGAGGGGATGTGGGACAGAGAATCCGCGGCTCTGCTGGGGGAATGTAATCACTTTGAAGGGCAGTCAAGGAGGGCAGTCAGTCCAATAAAAAAAAAAAAAACCCATGACTACAATTCCACTCCTAGGTATAAATCACAAAGAAATTGGCATACCAATCCCTAAGGTGACATGCATTAGGGTTTTGTGGCATTATTTGAGGTGACATGGTCAAGTCTGTGTCTCTCACTGGTAGCGTGGATAGACAAAGTATAGTGGCCGCTCCCATGGAGCCCTGCAGCTACACTTCTGAGGGCAAAAGGTAAGAAAGAATGGGATACAAGTTAGGTAAATTTAAAATCTATGCACACATACAGAATACACATTTTGTAAGAACACAAGGAACAGAAAGATAGACATGAAACATAAACCAATAATTGCCAAGGATGGAGCAAAAGGGCTAATGGCATAAAAGGAAATGAATGAATGAATAAATGAACAGTTATATATGTAAGAGAGGGCCTTGCTTAGATCAATGATGATGTCTCAAAACAAACTACAAGCAACCGGTCACCTACAACTTTTAAGTTGTTTTAACTTTTAAGTAATGCCACAGCTGGCATTACTGCGTTCCTTTATACATATTCTGTCTTCAGTTTGATTAAAATAATCCATATTTAGGTGAGCAATTGATGCCTTGCTCAATAGGCTACCATGCCCAGAAGCTATTGTGTTTTCAGAGTCAACACAAAATGAATGGCAGCTGGTAGAGGCCAGCTACTGTCTGCCTTGCTTTTTGTTGTATCTCCAGCTGCTACCACAGTGCCTGGCAAATGGTAGATGCTTAGTAAGTATTTTTAGGAATGAGTAATGATGGATCTTCTTGGAAGATACTTTGGGGAGCCTTTCTGATGCACATCCACACTTGGGTGCATGCTCCCCCAAAGCTGGGCTAGGCTGGCCATGGACCCTTGAGGCCTAGGTGTCAGAGAAGTATCCAAGGAGTAGAGGACACTGGACCAGAAGAAGGAGGGAGGCTGAAAACAAGGATCCCAAAAGGATGTGTGGAAGGTCACCAAACATTTGAGCCAGAAATTTCTCCTGCATTCTTATGTTTGAGAACCAAGGATGCCAGAGGACGCACAAGTTTGGTGAGAGGAGGGGGAACCTGGGGCTGGGGGTGATTACCTGGGGTAGGCTCTGTGGCCCCAGTGTGCTTCATGCGCAGGGCCAGATGTAGTGCTGGTGGGCTGGCTGAGTTAGGGGGCTGGTGGAGCGGGGGGATTCTAGCCTAACTGCCCCAGGGAAGATCCCAGCACACTGCAGGCTGCCCCCACTTCTTCCCAACCCCTCCCTCACTGCTTGAGCTATTCAGAGTGGCTGCCTGGCCTATGCCTATGACAAGTTAGCAGAAAAGGGCCTTCTCATTCCCTTCTCCTCTCTGGATTTCACCCTGACCCAGATGGCTGCTGGCTGGAGTTGAGGACGGCTGTGCTGTCACCTGAAGCGAGTCAGCTGGGGCTAGGTCTGCCTGGTGTCCTGCTCATTTGGCTTTAGTCCCAGAGTTGCACAGCTCTGGGGTGTCTTTGTTTCCTGTTAACTAGATGGGAACCAGGGAAGCTATGTCAGAACCAGCTGTGTCTGCAGATTCTGGCACACGATGGCAAATAAGCCAAAGTGTCCTGTGTTTCCCAATTTGTACTCATCATTCAGGTCTAGGGACTCTTCCAGGGGCAGCTGATGCCTCCCTCCTCAGCTCACCTGCTGGTCTCCAGCTTCTGTCCTGGCAACTCTAAGTTCATGTTTCCACCTGTAACAGGATGGGCCATGCTGGCTTTATCATCCACCTGAGTCCTCAGAGGGGCTCTGCCATGGCTTTTACCTACACCCTCTACCCCAGCTTTCCCCTGCAGTGACTGGATTCTCCTGATTCAGAGGGTGTGTTGCTAATGATCATGCTCAAGGCCAGAAAGGGGAGGAGAGCCGTGAGACCAGAGGGTGGGGCCTGAACACTGCATGGTAATAATTATGGAAATAAAAGTGATAATGTTTTAACTTTACGTGCTAGGCATTGTGCCCGGTGCTTGTTGTACATTATTTCATTTAATCCTCAAAGTATCAATATGAAGTAGGAACCACTACTGTCTCCTCTTTATACTTGAGGACACCGAGGCTTGGAGGGGGTTAAGCACCTTGCCCATAGTCACACAAACAAATGAGGCAGAATTTGGATTTGAACTGAGACATGCCGACTTGCATGGTATGTGTAACAATGACACTGTTGTGCCTTTTACACAATGGCATTCCCCCCACCCCCACACCCAACAGTCTTCATTTCTCTCTATCCTGGTGCTATAGTCTGTATCACCCCATTTTGCATTCATAGCAACCAGTTGAGGTAGAGATTATTCTCATTTTATGGATAAGGAAGCCATGACCTGGAGGAGTGAAGTGACAAGCTCCAGGTCACAGAGCTGGGAACTGGCAGGGTCAGGATGCAAGTGAGACCTCCTTCAGATCCAGGACTCTTCACTCTAAAGAGGCAGCACCTGTTAGGGAGAGAGAGGCATGGAGCCGGGGTGGTCCATTTTGTGATGGTGTGAGGAAGGGATGTAGCTATGCAAGGACTTAGAAGATGGTGGCATGGGAAGATCTGGACACTCGGGGCTGCTGCTCAGGTGTGGAGGGCATGGTGGCAGAAGGGCTGGGTCTCATTTTCCTGACCAGCGGCTCTCCTCCTACAGAGTCTAAGGGGCTCTTTATCCTTAAGGCTCAGCTTTGGAATTTGCCCAGCCCCATCCTTTTGTGGAGTCTGTTATGGGTAGCCCACAGCACAGACGGTCCCCACTCATGATGAGGGTGGACACTGCTCTTGAGACAATGATAAGCTACCCTGTGCAGGCTCTGAGGGTGAGAGTGCCAGGACAGGTCCTCTTCTTCTCTGGTCCTGAGGCTCCTCATCCCTAAATGGAGGAGGCTGGGTCACACACTTTTCCCAACTTGCTGTAAGGCAGCTTCCTTCCTAAGATGAGTGTGTGCCAAGATGTGGGATGCCATGACTCATGATGGCTTCTCACACATGAAAGGGACCCACTGGTCATCACTCTGCCATTTTCCCACCAAGCCCCACTGGCCAGGGCCCAGCCTGGAGCCTGTGACAGTCCCTAGTATTGGGGGTTTGTGGTGGTTAACTTTGCATGTCAATGTGACTTGGCTATGATGTCTAGATATGTGGCCAAACGTTATTCTGGATGTTTCTGTGAGGGTGTTTTTGGATAAGATTAATATTTAAATTGGTAAAGCAGATTGCCCTCCCTAACATAGGTGGGCCTCATCCAATCAGCTGAAGGTCCAGATAGAACAAAAGACCAACTTCCTCCGAGCAAGAGGGAATTCTGTCAGCAGACGGCCTTTGGACTTGAACCATGGCACTGGCTCCTTCCTAGGTTTCCAGCCTGCTGGCTGACTCTGCAGAATTGGGACTTCTCAGCCTCCATCATTGCATAAGCCAATTCCTTAAAACAGATATTTTTCTGTGCATATATCTACACACATCCTGTTGGTTCTGTTTCTCTAGGGAACCCTGACCAATACAGAGATGAAATGGGGTGGAGTTAGGGCAAGACTCTGGGCCTCTCCAACCAGAGGCTCTGTGCTGGTTGGAAGTTCAACTTCCTCTCCTAGACTCTTGGTCATACGGGCATAAGTAGACCATTCATTTGATTGGGAGCCCTTAAAAGGCAGGACTCTGGTGCTAAGCCTGCTGTGTCCTGCCCTGCATGGCACCCCATGTGGATGGATGCATTAATAAAGGTTCCTCACTCCCCCTTACAGAAGAGGGTGAGACTGCATGGCCCAATGGAGGAAGCACAAGAAAGAGAGATGGGGAAGGTGAGGACTGGCCCCAGCACTGCCCTCTTCAACCAGGTAGCCCTGGACATTGCTAACGACCTCTCATTCTTCTTGATTCTTCATTTGCAAAGTGGGTGTCACATCATTTGGGATATTATATACAATGAACACAAAATCAAATAAAACATGTGAAAACACTTTGGAAAGCTTCAACTACTCCATGACATCTGGCATTACACTTTTTAGAAAAGGGAGTGGATTGAGAGACCCTGAGTCTTTTTCTAGACCACTTGGTGATGGGAGCTGAGCAAGGACTTGAACAGGTGGGTGGTACCCATGTAGAGTCCCCAAGAGGCTTTTGAGTTTGGAGCCAGTGCCACTTGCTTCTTGGAGGCTCAGAGATGACTAAGCAAACACTTGCATGTAGCAGTTTAGAATCAGTGTACAGAGAGACTTTAGGACTCAAGGCTGTACTAGTTTCAGGCATAAAACTAGGACTAGATATAAGATGTATGTTATAACCAATAAAATCACTCATCTCTCATTTTTTTCCTCTCCAGTGGAGCTCTTTGTGCTTTAACAGGACCTTAGAAAGGGTCCCTAAAACTTGGGCTGTGGTTTGAAGACATTGCTCTTTTGGGGACAAGACAGAGGAAGTAAAAAGCAGAATTCTCTCTAAATTAGAATTGTATTCTGAGCGTGGGTTTGGGGGACTTACAGGAAGGTTTGGGGGGAGTATAAAAGCCTGCTTCCCTGGGGAGGTGTATATTTTGGGTCAGAAATACTCGTTTGCATCTTTCATGCTAACATTTTCAGGTAGCACCAAAAGCCATTCCTTCCAGATCTTAGATGACAGCAGCAGTAGTTTCAGGTATTTTGCAAATGGAGTGTATTTGTTCCTTAGGGCAGCCTTAACAAATTACCACCAGGTGGGTGGCTTAAAACAATAGGAATTTATTCTCTCAAAGTTCTGAAGGCTAGAAGTCTGAAGACAGATGGGCCATGTTCCCTCCAAATGCTCTAAGGGAGAATCCTTCCTCACCTCTTCCCAGCTAATGGTGGCTCCTGGTAGCCCTTGATGTTCCTCGGCTGATAGCTGTGTCCCTCCAATTGCAGCCTCTGTCTTCACATGGCCTTCACTGTGTGGCTTTTTTTCTATCTCATAAAGATGACCCCATCTTTTCTAATTACACCTGCAAAGACCCTATTTCTAAATAAGGTCACATTCTGAGGTTCCAGGTAGATATGAATTTTGGAGGTCACTATTCAACACACAACATGGAGAAATCAAGAGAGAAAGGTCCGTTCAAAGTGGCCCTAATACAAATAGGAGTATGAGCACAGAACTGGGTGAGGGAGCTGTCCCTATTCAAAATTGGACCTGTAGTCAGAGTTTCTAGGAGGTTTGGGGCATGTGCCCACTCATTAGAAAACTGCGCAGCTTTTCCCAGTGCCCAAATGCTCTCTGAGAGGGGTTAACCCAAATCTGTCCTCCGAGTCCCTGGGTATGACTTGCTAGGATTCATGATCTCTTTAAATATTGCCCCTGAACATTGAGTTTTCATTTGGGTGAATTTGCTACTGCTCAGAACGGACTTGAAAACTGTCAGCCCAGCACCTGTTCCTCAGTCTGCACAACTGACACTGGTTTCACACTGATCAACCTGTATCAGCAGTGGCCCCCTCGGTCATGTCCATGCAACTCCTTTTGTTAGAGTGAGAGACCACAAGCAGCAAACACAGTCCTGCAAGTCACATAAGGGCCGCATCACCAATGGAATAGATGGGCTAAATGGCTTCATGCCACACTGTCTATTTTGGGGAGCTGCAGTTGGATGAATCCCGCACAGTTGGGATCCTGGCCAGCCCTGAGCCTTGACCTCCCCTCCCCCTGCTGTCTGTCTCACTCTCTGGCTTCCCCTGTGCAGGCCTTTCCATGCCTCACACCTGCCAAGCTTATTTCCTGCTTCTGGCATCTGCAGCATAATTTCCGTTTCTGGAAATTTCTTCCCAGACCTTTCCATGTCTGGCTCCTGGACATTCAGTCCTCTCAGCTTGAAAGATACCTCGTCAGAGAGGCTTCCCTGATCACTTCCCTCTCTACTCCCGATTCTGTTTCTTCCTATCAGCTGTTTTATTTTCTTCACACAGTCTGCCATTTTCTGATGCTTTTCTTATCTATTTGTGAATTATCTCTTCTGCCCTTACCCTTGATTATAACTTCTGTGATGACAGGGACCTTCTGTTCTTTCTCACTCCTGTCCTAGAGAACCAAAAATGGTGCCAGGTACATCGTGGGTATCTAGTCAGTATTTTTTTTTTTGGCCTCTTCAGTAACCCAACATTTTCTTTTTACCCGTTCAAGTCACAGAGGGGCAGCACAGCGTGCTGGATGGAGCACTAACCAGTCAAAGACTCAGAGACCTGGGTCCAGTGTGGGTTGTCCCTCATTCATCATGCAAGGTAAAGTACATCATTCAAACACTGTGACTGGGTCTTGGTCTCCTGAACTGTATGCTAGGGGGAGATTCCGATCCAGTTCACAAGAGTTCTTATGCAGATCAAGTTATGTCAATAAGATAGTGCAGTACACATGCAAGGTAGTGAGGTCTCAACCATTTAAGAGCCTTCAGAAATAAGAGGAGCAAATGCAGGGAAGAGAAAGTCCCAGAGAAAACCAGCCTTTCCTAATGCTAAGCTCTCTGATGGGGCAGCCCTGGGGACTCATTAGCTAATGCACATTGACATTTCAATCGTTTCTTCATCTTCCAGGAAGGTTTTTTTTTTTTTTTTTTTTTTTTTTTTTTTTTTTGCCATAGTACAGCATGGTTATTTTTAGCAAAATAATGATTTCAGACAAGTGAGATAACTTTTAATCTCCTAACTATAAATTCTGTGGACCCAAAGACAGAAGCATGAGATGCTTTATAGAGTGTTTCTATAGTTTCCCACCTCTTGAGGTGGGTCCACCCTGCTTCCCTGCTGGTGTTGAGGCTGGATGGAATCCAGGCAGTCTAGACTTAGGGCAGGCCCCAGCAGGACTGACCTTGCTGTAGTCCTTGGTGAGGCTCCGCGCAGTGAGCTTCCATGGATAGTTGCTTCATGGTCCTGTGGTTGGGGGAACAGGGAGGGGCAATAGGCTAGAGGGTTGGGGCAGCACCTTTTGGGCTGAACTTGCCTAAGCCTAGTGGTGGGTAGGGATAGGGTTCAGTGTTCATAGAAACAGCTTCACTTCTAGCGTGTTCTCTGTTTGTAGCTGCCCTCCTTTCTGGACTTCTCGGTGGCTTCCTCTGGCTCTGTCTCTCCTGAAGCCTCCATCCAGGCTAGTACTCCACTAAGTTCTGATGTTTGACCATGTATATTGCATTATCTTACTGATATAACTTGATCCTTCTCTCTCCCTCTGGTGCTGCATCTCCTGCAAGACCTCCAATTTTCTACCCCAGAGCCTCACCCTTGCCCCACTTTTTCAGGCAGGGCCGGGCCCCAGGCAGCGTAGAGGCAATCTGGCTTTCAAGGACCTCAGTTATGCCTCTTGGGGAAGAACAATAGCTCTTGCTTTGTTTCCACTGCTTTGCTGCCAACTTTTCTTACATTTTCTGTGATCACTTAAACCTCCATCTCAAAAGTCTGGTGAGAAAAAAAGCAGGGGAGATGCCTGATGAGGGAGGGTGAAATACAAAAATAGGGGTGGCTCCGAATATAAATCTGCAGATTTGACAACTTCGATGAAATGGGCCAATTCCTTGAAATCACAAACTGCCAAAGCTCATGTCATAGGAAATAGATAACTGGAATAGTCCTAAATCTATTAAATAAATTGAATTTGTAGTTTAAACCTTCCTAAAGAGAAAACTCAAGTTTTAGAAAAATATGTAAGTGAAAACCTCTGTGATCTTAGAAGTTCTTAGATTCAAAAGAGTTCATAGGTTGAATACCCAAATATGATCCATAAAAGAAAAACTGATAAATGGGATAAACTAGTTGAAATGAAAAATTTTTGCTCTGAGAAGCATACTGTCAAAAGTGAAATGACAAGCCACAGCATAGAAGACAATATTTGCAAATTACATATTTGACAAGGGACTTGTATCCAAAATTTATAAAGAACTCTCAAAGATCATCAGTAACAAAAAAACCAGCTAATTTTGTTTTAAAAGAGAAAATGATTTGGACACACATTTCATCAAAAAAGATGTACAGATGACAGCTAAGCCCATGAAAAGTGCTCAGCATCGTTAGTCACTGGAGGAATGCAAATTACAGCTGTAATGATAACTCGACACACCTACTGAAATGACTAAAAAACCAAAACTAGGCAAAAAACCCCCCAAAACTAAACTGACAGGACTTAGTTCTGGCTAGGGTGTGGAGTCATGGGAACACTC
Source organism: Homo sapiens (assembly GCF_000001405.40). Taxonomy (NCBI): domain Eukaryota; kingdom Metazoa; phylum Chordata; class Mammalia; order Primates; family Hominidae; genus Homo; species Homo sapiens. The sequence goes on from NC_000001.11 coordinate 224,675,884, forward strand.
ATGTTGCTTGTGGGAATGCAAAATAGTGCAGCCACTTTGGAAAACAGTTTTGTCAGTTTCTTATAAATTAAATCTACACTTACCACATGGACCAGCAATCCCCCTCCTATTTCTCCAAGGAAATTGAAAACTTATGTTTAGATAAAAGGCCTTGTGTAGATGTTTATAGCAGCTTTATTCATAATTGTCAAAATCTGGAAACAACCCAAATATCCTTTAACAGGTAGATAAATAAACCGTAGTTCGTTTGTACAATGGAATACTACTTGGCAGTAAAAGGGAACAAACCATTGATATAGGCAACAGTGTGGCTTAAACTTAAACACATCGTGTATTTACATATGCTTACAAAAGAAAGCAGGCTCAGAAGCCTACATACTGCGTGATTCCATTTATGTGACTTTCTGGAGAAGGCAAAACTAGAGGGATGGAGAACAGATTAGTGGTTGCTGGGCAGGGGACGGGGTGAGACATGGCGGGGGGGTGTTGCAGGAGGGAATTTTGGGGTGATAGAACTGTTCTGTGTCTTGATTTTGGAGGTGATCACATGACTGCATTTGTCAAAATTCACAGAACTTTTCACCAAAAAGAGTGAGTTTTACTGCATTAAATGTAAAAATGATTTTTAAAACGGGTGAGATATGAAATGATCTTATCGTTGGTTTAGCAGTTAAAGTTCACCTAAAGTTCAGCAGTTAAACCTGTACTGTCAGTTGCTGGGCTGAAGGGTGCAATGGAGCATTGTAGGACACACACGGAGGCTGGTCTGTGCATTCAGCTGAATTAAACTGTCTGGCCGTTCATCTGCCCATCCTTACATCATTGTGTTCATCACACTCGCAGTCAGTCCATTGCTGATGCTAAGGCTTAGCTCTAGATAGAAGTCTGCCACATGCAAAGGATGATACTACACAGTGGGGCCCGTGGCTTCTATCCTCAGACAGGTCAGGAGGCTGAAACTGGGAATCTATTTATGAATTAGTGCTAAGTGGGGGGTAGCCTAACCCCTACCTCCTCGGGGAAGCTTTGCTTTGTTTCCATGGGGACAGCTGTTCATTCTTCTGAATGTCTTCCGACTCCTTATTTACTTTTCTCTGTATGTACTTGGAGGCAGAATAACGTAATGGTAACACTCAGGTTTTAGTGTTAGGCAGGCCTTGGTTTGGATCCTGGCACCAAAGAGTAATCGTGGGCAAGTAACTTAACTACTTTGGGCCTCAGTTTCTTCTTCTCTGAAATGGGACCAGTAATAGTGAGGTAGGTACTATTATTGGTTCCATTTAATCCTTTGGGTGGTCAGAGGATTAAATGATAAAAAGCATGTGCAGCATATAGCCCGGCAGCTGACATGGTGAGCAGACAATACATGAGAGCTGTTATTACAATCGTCTTGATAGCCCTCATCACACTGTAGCACAGTGGCCTGTCTACATGGGGGTCTTCCCCTCTAGACTAGGAAGTTGGTGAGGACAGGCACCGATCTTGTTGATTTTTGTGTCTCCAGTGGTTAGCCCATTGCCTGTGTCTAAAGGATGCTGGCTGAATGTTAGGTGAATGGATGGATACATTAGCGAGTAGCCACTGGGTGTAGGGACGCTGAAAGCCTTTGTCCTCATGGGTGCACTGCCATCACATCATCAGAAAGCACCCATGAAGGACCTCTTATCTCATGGAGCTCAAAGGCATAAGCCACACTTCAGGCCTCTTTCCTCTGCGCCATCCTCTAGGTGAGGCGCTGAGGTGGGCCAAGGTAGGGGTCGCTGGCTCTCAGCCTGGCTGAACAGCCCCAGATCCCCTTTGGCTCCTCTCTGCTGCTTCAAGCTCCAGCTACTTTTGCTCTATTCAGTCTAGACCCACCTCCCTGCACTCAGACAGAGACACAGGCCCTAGAGCAGGACTGGGGTTGGGGATTGTCCACAATGTGGGGGCTTGGCTCCCTTTCCTCCATGGGTGCCCAGTCTCTTTGTGGGGGGCCTATATGTGGGGCACTAACAGTTGTGGAGTTCTGCAGCTGTCCAGATACTTGCTTTCAGTGACTGTATCAAAATATAGTAAACCGTCTTTATAACTGTATAGATAATAGGTGCCAGGAAAACCGATGTCAGCCTTACAGGAGCTAGGAATGGTGAGCTCAGAGCTCTGGCCTTGGTCCCGCTTGGTCTACATTTATATCAGGGTAAATGTGGATGTGGGTATTGACGATACTGTGTTTATTAGGATTTATATAATAGTTGGGAGATAGGTCATGTCTCAAAAGATTGGACCAGTAGACCATATTGAATAGGGAGGAATTAACCAGGATAAATATTAGTTCCTGCTCTTAGGCCTCCAAATCCAACAATGCTTGTGCAGAATGAGGTGGACTGAGTTTAACTGAAGCACATGAAAAGACCTAGGGCTTTTAATTAATTCGAATTCAGTATAAAGCCAGGAATGTGATATGGCCACAAAAAAGCTAATGCAATCAGATTGGATTAAAAGAAGCATAGACTATAGAACAGAGGAGGTGAGTGACATCTCTACTGTCTGTGCCAGCCACCCTCACCTTGAATCAAGTGTTTAGTACCGACAGTACTTTACACACTTTAGAATGGACATTTACAACCTGAAACATCCGTGGTGGACAATCAGGATGATGAGGCAGCTTAGCGCCAGTTTATGTAAACAATGGTTGGAGAGATTTAGCTTGAAGAGGAAAGATTTGCTGGGGTCCCTGGAGCTGACAGTACTTAAAGGGGTTCTTTGTGGAGGAGGGATTTGACCCATGCTATGTGCCTCTAATGCAGTGCTGTCTGATAGCACTTTCTGTGGTGATGGGGATGTTTTATATCTGTGCTGTGTAATAGCTACTAGATAGATAAGGTTGTTGAACAACTTAAATATATCTATGAACTGAATTTTTAATTTAATTTTAATTAATTAAAAGTTTAAGCTTTAATAGCTGCATGTGGCTAGAGGCTACTGTAGTGGAGAGGATAGCTCTAGAGGGCAAATGAAAGAATAGGCTGGGGTCAGCAGATTTTTTTCTATAAAAGGCAAAATAGTAAATATTTTGGGTTTTGTGAGCCTTACAGCCTGTAACTACTACTCAACCCTGCCGTTGTGCAAAAGCAGTATCGATAAAAGAATGAATGCTACTATATTCCAATAAACCTTTATGGATACTGAAATTTGAATTTTAATATAAGCTTCACATGCCACAAAATATTCTCCTTTTTGGTTTATTTCAAGTATTTAAAAAAATGTTAAAAACATGAAACCCCATCTCCACTAAAAATATAAAAATTTTTTTTTTGTATTTGTATTTTTTTTTGTACATGGTGGCACACGCCTGTAATCCTAGCTACTCGAGAAGCTGAGGCAGGAGAATTGCTTGAGCCTGGGAGATGGAGGTTGCAGTGAGCCAAGATCTCACCACTGCATTCCAGCCTGGCTGACAGAGTGAGACTCTGTCTCAAAACAAAAACAAAAACAAAAACTAAAAAACAAACCAAAACATTCTTAGCTCACAGGTTGAACAAAAATGGGTAGCAGGCTGGATTTGGCCTTCAGGCTGTAGTTTGCTGACCCTGGCTTAGGCTGTGGGTGGAAGCTTCAGGGAGTCATATATTATAGTTTAATAAGGAAAGCAATGATTAATTAGAGGTAGCCAGAAGTGGAATGAGCATCTTCAGTAAGTGGTGAGTTTCTTGTTACTGAAGCGTTTAAGTACAGGCTGGATAATTATCTGGCAAGGGATGATATAGAAATGTGTTGGTTTAATACAAGTTATACTGGAATTTTCTTCAAATTCTGTAGGAGGATTGAAATCAGGATGACATATGACTGCTTTAAAATTCTACTTGCTTTGTAGAGGGAAGTTGTTTTCTCTCACTTAATGCTTACTGTCAGCCCCATGTTGCTGGATTGGGGACATCTGGGGGCGGGAAGCTGGCTTCCTTGCTTCAGCAATTCTACCAAATGTTCAGGGACCCCTGGGATGTGCCTTCCTGGGGAGTTGGTTATGTCTGTTTATTTTATTTTCCTTTTTTTCTCCTGCCTCAGCCTCCTAGATAGCTGAGATTACAGGTGCATGCCACTATACCCAGCTAATTTTTGTATTTTTAGTAGAGACGGGATTTCACCATGTTGGCCAGGCTGGTCTAGAATTCCTGACTTCAGGTGATCCAACCGCCTCGGCCTCTGAAAGTGCTGGGATTACAGGCGGTCATGTCTGTTTATTTTCAAAAGGAGAGACTTTACTGGGAGCACCCAAGGCTTCCACACCCTAAGAAAGGACACTCCCCTGGCCAAATCCCACCTTGTTCTATTATTTATTCCTTCTGTAGCAGACAAGGTAGCTGTGGTGAGGATGTGGGCTTGTGAACCTTCACCTGTCAGTTAGGTCCTTCTGTGGAGGGCCGTGCCTCATTCTGTGACTGGAAAAGGTCCTCTCCAGCATTCTTTCCTCCAGGGATATCGGGAAAGTGTTGTTCTCTGGGGAGTTCTGAGTCTTCATCCAAAATGAACTGTAGGACTGAAGTCCAAAGGACTGTGCTTTGAAGTGCTGACTGCCCAGGAGCTGACCGTCCAGGCTTGTGGACATCTAGACATTTGGTTATTTCTATTACTGTCAACTCTACTGCCTTGTTTTTCTCTTTTCCTTCTCACCTGACTTCTGTCTGTTTCACTTCCAATCACCTTTTCTGCCCAAATACACACAAATAAAAAATAAATAGCTCTTCCTGGAAGGAAAGGGGCTAAAAGTAGTGGTTTGAAGTTTTAATTTTTTTGTGCTTTTATCTAAATCCAAACCTGCCCTCAGCACAGTAGACTTTCTTTACATCTTTGTAGAGCACAGATACTTAAAAAAACTTACTGGGGACAATTTTAAGCGTACACAGTAGACAGAAGAATATAATCAACCCCATGTGCTTATTGCCAGCTTCGACAGTGACCAGCTGCTGGCCAATCTCATGCCATCTACAGCCTCTTCCTTTCTGTTGTGTTATTTGGAAGCAAATCCACAGAAGCTTTGGACATGGTGTGTTGACTCGTGTGCACTAACACCTCAAATCTCTGTATTCTGTTTCAGATAATTGCCTTTGATGAGTTAAGGACAGATTTTAAGAGCCCCATAGACCAGTGCAATCCTGTTCATGCGGTAAGTGGCGGGTACTGGTGAGGGGAAGGTGCTATCACCCCAGGCTACCCAGGGCCTGGGAAGGAGGGTGAGAATGTGAATGATTTGAATGCGTAAAGAACATGCTCGCCCTCACTGTGCCTCTCTACCTGGCTCAAGGTTGTGGAGGAGCCTTCTCATTCTTGAAGTGTGCTGAGGTCTTGAGATATGTTGCAAATCAGATGTGACTGTCCCAGTAACCCAGGGGAATAGTCTACTGTGCTGTGGCCCTTGAGTCCTCAAAGCCTGGTGCTCTTGTGTTTTGGTTACTCATCCTTAAACAAGAAAAGAGGCTCCATGTTGGCCAGCATGTTTGCAGGCACGTGAGCACCATGAGTGGATGTCCGTGCTGCACTCTCCACCTGGGCACCAAGTGGAGACGTGGAGGGTGGGTTAATGCACAAAGTCCCTGGCGCCATCCATCACCCAGAAAGCATTCATCTCAGGTGGTTCTGTGGGCCTGAGATCAGCTCACCTCTGCCTGGAGGATTTGGTGCAGTCTGATTGTCCTGGTCTGGGTTCGGGAAGTGAAAGGTCACCTGCCCCAGCATGCGTGGTGCCTGGCATCTTCCTGCTTGTCTGGCTTGGCAGGCCCTACATGCTGCCCTTCCCCTGTGCCCTGGCTGTGCCTCTGACTGGGAGCTTCTGAATGGATGCTGGGTGGGGACAGGTGTTTTGGCTGTTTGTTTCCCTGGTCAGTGTAGTCCATGTCCCGGAGCCAGAGACCAACCCTGTATGTGGACAGAGCCTTTTCCAAACTTACTCCCTACCTGCACTTCTGAGTTCAAAGGGTGGTGCACACACAGTTCATTCAAGTGTGTTTCTCAATCCAAATTCACTGGTTCTGTGTTTAGTTGAAGTTCCTTCCAGGCCATGGTTTCCAGCGCTAAGGCAACTTTTTGCCTCTTTGAGTAGCTTTGTTGACCTTTTCAGCCAGAAGTCGTAGAGAGAACAACAGGCTCTGCTAGCGTGATACCGTCTTAGCTTGGAATGTTTGTGGCGTCATTCAGCAGGGACAAAGAGGTCTCTTCTCCTTAGCTGCAGGCCTTATGAAGAAGGATATGCTTTTAGGGAGGTACCAAAAGACCATATGGAAGAACCGGGATTCAGTGTCCCTTTCTATAGAGTTATTACTGGAGTTGTCATTTTTTTGAGTTTTTATTATGTGCTAGGAACTTTATATACATAATCTGTAATCCTCACAATAATGCTATGAGACAGGCATCATTAACCCAATTTATAAACCACAAAATGGACTCGTTTGTACAGGGATTTATAGCTCATGAGTGCTGCAGCTAGGACTTGAACCCAGGCTTGCCTGTCTCCAAAGTCTCTCATCCTGCCATCTACCCTGTGTTGCCTCTTTAAGAGACCTGACTTTATAATATCTGAGGCCCACTTTGGCATCATATTTTTTGATTCCATGAAATAGAGACGAACTCTTTCAAAGCAAATTTTAATGCAAGTTTAAAGAACCTGCAAGATCCACTTGAAAACTTGCTGTATTTCATGAACTTATAACTATTAAAATCCATTTTGTTTCCATCTACCAGCCTCACCATGCACCTGGGATAATTTGGATCTGTCAGTCCTGAAAGATTTCACTCTGGGTCTCATGTCTTTCTGGATGTTTTTGTGTTTGGCACCAACATTACACGCCTGGCCTGTCAATATCTACCAGGTGCAGTGAGCGGCTCTAGTCTGAGAGACACCTTCATTTAGGAATGCCAGGCAAGACAAGAACCTACTTTCCTTCCTTCTAATTGTTTGGGCTCAAATTAATAGGCAGCTCACTTAGAACACCCAGAGCTTTCTTGTCTGATTCCAGGGCAAATGCTAGGGAAGGAATTTGTCCTACTGCTCAATTCTATCATGCAAATTCCATGCTGGGTTGCAGGTGATTGGTGAAACCACGAAATATTTTTGTGGAACCCTTTCCATCTCACCATGGCAAAGAATAAGGAAATTTAGACAGAATGAAGAAAATCAGGACTAGTATATGCTCTCCGGGAGCTTCTGTGAAAGGCCAGTGCAGGAATAGAATTTGCACATAGTAGGTGCTCCATGGCTATTTGTCGATTAAACAATGGGTGAATATTGAAGTGGTGGCATAGAAGTTAAATCTCAATTCACTTTTTTTAACTCCTGTTATTAAAGGCATACTTCTAATTAGTAAACTGATTAATTAAGGAGCCTGGGCCCTATGAAGCTCATGGACAGAATAAAGACTCTAGGTGCCCCATGGGGAAAAGACTCTTGTCTCAGATTAAAAACAAAAACAAAAACAAATAAAAACCCTAAATGGAAGACTGCTAGACACATTTTCCCAGTTCTTATGCTGTTACTCCCTGGCAGGAAGTTAAATGCTTCAGATGCCTCATTTAACTCTTCTGCGAGGTCTTAGACCTCTATAGAGCCCCCAAGGCAGCATTTCAGACTCAGGTGGCTTAAAAAAGCTACTTCACTGATTGGTGACTCCAGTCCTGGAAGTACTTGTGTGTCACAAATAATTGCTGATCCATATGATGCGTCTCTCAATGAGGGCATGAGGCCCATTTGGATTTAAGATGCCCTGAAGCTCTCAATATCGTTGGACCCTCTGGGATGGAAAGGAGGAGGAATGCTCGGTTTTACTCCTCGTTTCTCATGTTTTCCCTTCCTTTTACCAGCTGGGCATTCAGTATTACTTTAAAGTAATGGTAGATGTTGTCCTTCAGGGGCTCTGGCTTGCTGGAGAAGGAGCTAGTGCGTGTCTTGTAGCATTCCCTTTCGTGCGTGTGTGCACATAAGTATGTGTGTTTGCGTGTGCACATGTGAGGAGGATGCAGTGTGTCTTTCCAGCCATGTGGACACTAATTTGTCCTGATGTGGGCTTCTTCCTCTGGGCTTACAGGATGCGCAGGAATCACTATATTTATGATTTAATTAGGCAAATGAAGTGTCCCAGCCACCTGTCCTTTCCAGAGCCATGAGGAATCTCATTACCATTCCATCTACAGCAACCAAATTGCCTCAGTAATGAAGCACCGGGAGATGCCACAGCTGTGTTCAGTGTGGCTTTGGAAATCGTTAAAGTCACTGAAGGAAAAGGGAGGCAACGGCATTTAGTGCACGATGCGGGCATCATCACCTGCCCAGCCACGGGCCATCATCTCATCTTCCCTTGGCAGTGAGCCAGGCCTTGACAGACTCGAACTTCTTAAAAAGCCTTAGCCTGGGGGCATCATTGTTGTCTAATTTAGTAGGGAGATTACTTCCTCCAAGTAGACTCACTTTAGAAAAATAAAACCAGCAGGCAGAGAACTTGTCTACCTTAGATACTAATGAGGGCACATACGCTCTTCGAGAACTAAGTGGGAAGGCCTCCTGGGAGGGCCGGCTGCAGGCTTTAGGATGCTCCATGAACACGAGGTACCATTCAGCAGTTTGACCACCTTATACGTACATGGAGGCTGAGAGAGACTTTGTAGATAAAGGAACAGAAATCCGTGCTGGACTGAGAGGGCAGTTGAGCCCATGCTGTTTGCTGGGAGAGTTCTGCTAAGAGCAAATGACCATGACAAGGTACAGGGAAGAAAGTCAGAAACTCTGTTAGAAAAAGCCACTGGGTGGGAGCATGCTGGCCATGTGCCCAGGAGGGGTCTCTGGTGGCTTCTGCCTCCACTATTGGGGCTGATTGCGGGGCCTTCTCATGCTATTTTAGCAGAACCCCTAACCTCCCCTCTCATTTCTTTCTTGTGCATCCTGATAGAGGGAACGGTTGAGGAACATCGAGCGCATCTGCTTCCTTCTGCGAAAGGTCAGTGTGGCAGCTTCATGCCGAGGATGGAGGATCGCATGGTGGTGGGTGGGCACACAGTGAAAGAGGCTAGTGAGGCTCTGCCTGCTCCAGTCCTGTCCACCAGGGAGGCAAATGGTGGCAGGGAAAGGGGGAGGTGGGAGCAAGTGATCAGTTCTTTGGAAACCTCCAGAGACAAGAGGAGCTAATTAAAGGAGGTGGCCATCAATCAAAGTGTCAGGACAGCACTGGGTATTTGCAAGTACCCTCTGGTTGGAGTTATAAGCTCTTTATCTTTGCATGATGATGGATGGCATTTCCAGCTGCTATTGCCACAGAGCCTTTGTTCTGTGTGGGGCTGGGCTCAGGAACACTCCCCGCCGACCTTGGGAAGTTTTTAACTAGATGCTGGGTTTCCTTTGAGGTTGCAGCGTGTCACGCAGCTTTGCAATTTGATTGTCAGCATCACTGTAAGTGCTGGATGGGTGGGATGAGGCAGTGTTACTAAAGGCAGAGTCACGTCATTCAGAGAGTTGCTCTGAATGGATGGGTAGTACGTTACAGCTTCCCCAGACTCATTCAGGAAGCGCATGTGGGCACACACAGTTCAAACTTGGTATTTAGCATAGCTCTGTGCCATAGCTGGGGGCCCCTGTGTCTCTTTCCCAAAAAAGTGTGTGCTTTTTGCAGCAAAATATGGAGAACGGCAACTTGCCGGTAAAATAACCAAAGGACATCCCTAACCTCTGTACAGAGTGGATGAACTACAGGCCATATGAAAGCCACCTGTCAGCCCAAAAGGATTTTTTGAGCCTTACATGAATAGGACAGAAATAAAATGTTATGCCAACATTGATAGAAGGGGAAAATACTTTGCAAGCTTTTAAAGTTTTTTCTGTATTTCAGTAATGATACCTTTCATTGAGAGAGAGCTTAATCAAGCAGCCGGTTATTTTTCTAGCTAATTACTTGTCTTTTAATGTCTTCTAAGAGAGCCAGTGTGTTAGAATCCCATATCTTGTATGACACAGCAGGGAAATATGCTTGGATAAAGCCTATATATGAAAATATTTGTGATCCAAGGAATAAAGAATGATTAGGAAAATAACATAATATGAATTCACAAATTTATAAATTATTTTTCCAGATAATGTCTTGGAGACCCATAACCTGCTCCAGCCAGTACTACTTTTTTTTTTAATACTTTAAGTTCTAGGGTACATGTACACAACGTGCAGGTTTGTTACATATGTATACATGTGCCATGTTGGTGTGCTGCACCCATTGACTCGTCATTTACATTAGGTATATCTCCTAATGCTATCCCTCCCCCCTCCCCCCACCCCACGACAGGCCCTGGTGTGTGATGTTCCCCTTCCTGTGTCTAAGTGTTCTCATTGTTCAGTTCCCACCTATAAGTGAGAACATGCAGTGTTTGGTTTTCTGTCCTTGCGATAGTTTGCTGAGAATGATGGTTTCCAGCTTCATCCATGTCCCTACAAAGGACATGAATTCATCCTTTTTTATGGCTGCATAGTATTCCATGGTGTATATGTGCCACATTTTCTTAATCCAGTCTATCATTTATGGGCATTTGGGTTGGTTCCAAGTCTTTGCTATTGTGAATAGTGCCCCAGTAAACATACGTGTGCATGTGTCTTTATAGCAGCATGATTTATAATCCTTTGGGTATATGCCCAGTAATGGGATGTCCAGCTAGTACTTCTATAGTCTCTGGGTTTGTTCTTTAAGACTTGATGCCTAAGTGACATCAAATGGATCAAGACAAAACCAAAGTTTTGCCTTTCAGACTCCAAGTTGCCCTTTTTTCTCCCATCCTGGATATACCATCCTGTATTCTCTGGCAGAACAATGTTCCATATCCATCACCTTTTATCCTTGCTTATTCTTTTATGCTGCTTGACCAGTGACTCCGGCCAGGCAGCAGGCAATGGCCAAGGTCCTGTGGCCCACAGACTTGCAGCCCAGAGCTAAGGGTATGAAAGTAAGCACACTATGCAAGAATTAGCATTACTTTTTGCAGATTTGCATATCGTTTGCATAAGTTCCTATAAACAATAAACTGAGGCATTTTACTCCAAGGAACACTGTACTCTACCTCTTCCTGCCTTTTGCCCCTTTCATTTGTACATGCTCCTTTTTCCCACGCCACTGCCTCTGCTGCAGCTTCTGGGAGGTCAAATGCAGTTGCTACTCATCGTCGTGGAAAATACCGGGGAGAAAAGGTAGGCATCAGAGGACATGAGACAGTGACTTCAAGACTTTAGGTGTTGTGGCTGCGTGATCACACCTTCTGCAGCCTGACAGTTTTCTAGCTCCCACGGGGAGTAGCACTGGAGTGGCCAGCACCTCTTCACTAACTCAAGGCAGAAATAAGCCATGTACCTACAACTTTATTTATTTATTTGAGATAGGGTCTTCTCTGCCACCTAGGCTGGAGTGCAGGGGTGCAATCATAACTCACTGCAGCCTTGAACTCCTTGGGCTCAAGTGATTTTCCCACCTTAGCCTCCTGAGTAGCTGGAGCTGCAGGCATGCACCACCATGCCTGGCCGACTTTTTTATTTTTTGTAGAGATGGGTTCTTGCTTTGTTGTCCAGGCTGGTCTGAAACTCCTGGCTTCAAGTGATGCTCCCAACTTGGCCTCTCAAAATGCTGGAATTACAAGGATGAGCCACCATGCCCAGCCCAGCTTGCTTTCTTTCTTTGTGGAATCTCCCTCCTCCTCCAGTCCTCTTGCCCTAAGCACATCTACTTTTAACAATTGGTTATTAGTTCTTTTGTGTGCCCTGGATACCTGAGATTGTTTTCAGTGATGTCATCATTGTTACAGGACCACCAGCTTCGTACCAGGACCACCAGCTTTGCACCCTTGCACAGTAACAGACCAATACACTGAGACGGTGGGAGTTGCAGCAGAGAAAGAGCTTAATAATTGTATGGCAGCCAAACAAGGCACGAGGGAATCTCAAATCCACCTCCTCGAGAAGTTTTGGGCTGGGATTTTAGAGGGAATTTTGGCTGAAGAACTGGGGGTTGCTGATTGGTTAGGACATGGGAGATGAAATCATAAGGATGTAGAAACTTCATTCTTGTACTAAGTCCGTTCCTTGGAGGGAGTCTGCAGACTGGCTGGTGTCAGGGGGCCTGATGGAATCAGGATCTAGAAAATATCTCAAATGGGAAACTTGAGGTTTTTTAATGTTAAGGATGTTACCTGTAGATGTTAGGACCTTGTGACAGAGGCGATGGGACTAAGCAGTAAGCGGCTATAAGGAGATGGGCTATAGGGCAAGCTGGTTAATGCTTAGTTATGCTTCTGTTTAAAGCTTATGCTTTTGTTAAAAGTCAAGCAATTTTGTTTTATTAAGTTTAGGAGGGTGATTTCAACATAATTTCTTTCTGAATGTAATTTCAAATTATAGGTGCTTCTGTCTGTCTGGCCCTTGAGGTCTGACTGTAGCTCACATGTTATTTAGCTTAAGTTGGTAACACTGTTCTCCCAAAGGCATTTAGGTCCTGGGCATGCAGGTCTGTCTCCTCTCACTAGAATGCCAGTTCTGGATGGTCAGCAATTTTGTTTCATTCACTGTCATGGGCTGTGACATAGAATGTAGAGGAACGCATAGCCCACTGAAGGTGCTCGGTGAGTATTTACTAAGTAAGTGAGTGAATGAGTGCCAACTTTCTGGGACTTCTGTCATCTAAATCCTTCTTCTTGGGAACACTGGCTTAGTCAATAATCTTTCCATTTCTTCATTTCAGTACTGTCCGTGACATACTACAAAATTTACATATTTTACTACATTTACTCCTTATATAGGCCAGGCGCGGTGGCTCACATCTGTAATCCCAGCACTTTGGGAGGCCGAGGTGGGCAGATCACCTGAGGTCGGTGACCAGCCTGGCCAACATGGTGAAACCCCCACAAATTAGTCGGGCGTGGTGGTGGGCGCCTGTAATCCCAGCTACTCGGGAGGCTAAGGCAGGAGAATCGCTTGAACCCAGGAGGTGGAGGTTGCAGTGAGCCGAGATCGCGCCATTGCACTCCAGCCTGGGCAACAACAGCAAAGATCTGTCTCAAAAAAAAAAAAAAAAAGATTTGTATTTAAAAATTGAATTTAACTCAATATTGTATTCATTATTGACACAGAAGATCTCTGACCTACAGTTTCTTCAGTCCGATTTTCTTCCATAATGCTTATACCCTCTGCCCCCTTGTAGTCTGTATTTCAACCATCCTAATATCTGCTCTCAGCCACTTCCGGGACTTTTATATTTGGAAGGTTTTGGTGAAGCGTGCAAACATCTACTGCTTCCAATCCTGCCTCTGCCCTTATTATCCATGTAACCCACAGTGTGTGCCTCAATGTGACTGTAAACTAGGGGTAAAAATAACAGGACCGTGCTCATAGAGGTGTGTGAGAATTAAGTGAGGTAATATGGTACATCTGGCTCATAAGTGTGCAATGCATATTAAATGTTATTATTATCATCCTGACCCTTAAGTTCTACCTAAAACCCTTTATGACATCACTAAGCACACACTTGGCCAGCCGAGATAATCCTTGGCTGGTTGCATCCCCTCTTAGCATCCCCTCCCATTTTCTTAGGTTAGTGCCGTTTAGTGTTTGAGCAGCATCACACGGTGGGCCGGCCTGGGCCTCCTCCCTCCCGTCTCTCTCGTTTTGAATGGGCTTCTGAGTTCCGATTCCCAAGCTGTGAGCACATGTTGGGGATGGCGGGGAGGGTTAATGGGTCTAGTTAGCAGCACCACCTTCTGGGAACTGCACCTTCCAAGAATTTCTTGGAACGAGCCTCCTAAACACCCTAGAATGTGATGCATCTCAGCAGCTGATTGTTGTTAAACCACCTCCTCAGCTTTCTTGGGAGAAAGGAAGGGATTTTCAAACTGGATCTGTTTTTAGCTCTATAATTATCAGAAAATGTGTTCTTTGGGTAATTGTCTGAACTGCAGGATTCTTGTGTTGACTTGTGCTCATGATTCATTTTTTTGTGGCAAGAGCCAGTTGCCTCTTGAGCAGCTCTCCCCACCAGAGCACATCATAAGCTCTGTGGGGCCCCTACAAAGTGCAGGTTTGGGAGCAGGAAGCATCCTGGAAGGCAGAGGTTGGTGTGACTGCCGCTTTTGGGCATATAAAGGGTTCTCGTGGGGAGGAGGCTGACTCCTGTTGCATCTGCAAGTTTAGCGAGTGGTTCGAGGAAATTAACTTAAATGTGAGCCCAAATGATTGGTATGAGAATAAGGAGAAATGTGCTTCATCAGTGGTAGTCATCAAACTTTGGGACTGGTTGTGAAATGTTCACATCCCTTAGACCAAGTTAGTTATTTTCATTTTTATTTTTTATTTTTTGAGACAGAGTCTCACTTTGTTGTCCAGGCTAAAGTGCAGTGGCACGATCTCGGCTCACTGCAACCTCTGCCTCCCAGGTTCAAGTGATTCTCCTGCCTCAGCCTCCTGAGTACCTGGGACTACAGGCATGCACCACCATGCCTGGCTAATTTTTGTATTTTTAGTAGAGATGAGGTTATGCCATGTTGGCCAGGCTGGTCTCGAACTCCTGACCTCAGGTGATCCAGTCTCCTCAGCCTCCCAAAGTGCTGGGATTACAAGCGTGATTACAGGCACCCGGCCCCTTAGATCACATTAGACAAGTTCATGTCTGAGATGATTTTGAGTTAGATTGAGGCTGCCCAATGTTGGGGACATTTAGTTGCATAGTTTGGGATGTCCCTTCTGGCTTGACAATTCTGTGATTCTCCAATTCATGTCCCAGTTTCCCCAAGGATTTGTCCAGTCCCACTGCAGGTTTTCCCTGACATTTGTGAATATAAAAAGCTGTAGTGGGTGGATTATTTTCATTCTTCATTGGGCATTCTCATCACCACATGGAGGAGAAGGGTGTGTGGGTAGGCTTTGAGGGTGAGTGGGCCATTGAGTTTATTGGAGAGCCTGCTGGGAAGGGGCAGGTGCTCCAGGTATAGTACCGGAAATGCAGTGGTGATATGACCACCGGTGCTCCCACTAATGGGCACCTGTGTCGGTTTCTTGTTAAAGCTTCCCAGAGCCACAGCTCTGTCTTACGGAGGAGTTATGATGTGAAGTGAGGCTGCCAGTAGCAGCCTGAACCCACTGCACAAATTCCATGATGTGGTTCTGAAAGCAGGGGTTGGAAGAGATGGGAAGTGGATATGACACTTTCCCAGTGAAAAGTCAGTCTTGTTAAATGAGGAGATTGCATTATTATTAATGCTTCCTTACCCTCCCCTCTCTCCAGGACTGTCTACATAATTGGCAGGGCCTGGTGAGAAATGGCAATGTGAGGCTCCATGTCAGAAACTGATGCCAAACATTCAACCAAAGATGGGGCCCTTCCCAGCTCAGGGCCTTGTGCAGCTGCACAGGTCACAGGCCCCTGAAGCAACTCAGCCTGGTCTCCGTGACCTTTGCACTATGACTTTGCAGTTCCTCCTCCTATAAGCAGAGTATATTTCCTCTCCCCACTGATACTTGGCTCTGCCAGGTGACAGGACTTGTCCACTGCAAAGTGGGCAGGCGTGGGAGTGTGTGTCAAGGCTGTGAGAGTCATTGGATATTCCTGTGTTCCCTTCCGAAATTCTGTCATTGACAAGACCAATGCACTGGTTCAAGGAGGATGAGAGGCATGGGGAACCTACCTGAGCCCACCTGTATCTCAAGGCCAAGCCTGCTAGAGCCAGTGACTGCCAACCATCCTTTAGATGTGGGAGCAAGTATAAATGGTTATTGTTTTAAGGCACTGTATTTTGGAATGGTTTGTTACATAACATTCTCATGGCAACATTCCTGACATGCGTAGATGTAAAAAGCTGTAGTGGATGGATTATTTTCATTCTCTCATTGGGCAGAGTATCTTAGCTCCTGGTATCTCATTGATACCATAAGCATGTGGCACTTCTAAAAGGGGAAAACTTTTTTCTTAAAGTGATCTTATTCTTTGCCAGAGTCCAGCCATTCTTTGACTCTACAAATTTACAAATAGATGGTTTCAAGCTTTGTCCAAATTTCTTTGACCTAAGTGGGGGCTACTAAGTACATTTATAAACCAGAACTTAGAGAAAGATCTATGTTGCTTTGGTGCACAGTATTTGTCATGTGCTAACAACTGGAAAGGGCAGGGCGCAGTGGCTTGTGCCTGTAATCCCAGCACTTTGGGAGGCAGGAGGATTGCTTGAGCCCAGGAGGTTGAGATCAGTGTGGGTAACATAGTGAGACCCCCATATCTACAAAAAGTTAGTAAAATAAAATTAGCCAGGCACGGTGGTGCACATCTGTAGTCCCAGCTACTCAGGAGGGAGGGTGAGGTGGGAGGATCACTTGAGTCCAGGAGATTCAGGCTGCGGTGAGCCAAGGTCATGCCACTGCACTGCATCCTGGGACAGTGTAAGACCCAGTCTCTAAAAACAACTGGGAGGAATGGAGAAGATGGTGCCTTTTTTCTCTAATTACTGGCACTCCTCGCCACAAGGGATTGACTTCATTTCAGTTCTTTTTAGCTGTTAATACGGTTCTTCCTACAGGGCTCTGGAGGGAATGGCATATTTTAATTGAGGGACATGATACGTGAAAAGGGATACGTAAACTCAAAGGCAGTTGTGTGGAGTGCCGTAGAGAGACCATCCTTGACGCAGAAGTTTTCTAGATCAGAATTCTCTGTTTCTTGGGAGGATTTCTAAAGCATGGAAATAGTGATGCTGACTACTGTATGCCTTTAAAAGTATTAACTCCTTTAATCTCACAACAACCCTATGAAGTAGTCATTATTAAAAGCCACACTTAACAGAAAAGGAAATTGAGGCTTAGAGAGGTTAAGTATATATCCGAGAGTCTCCTATTTCTTAAGTGATAGAGCTGGGATTTGAAGGCAAGCCCATGTGACCAGAGTCCACATTTCTGATCACCACATTATAAGGGAGATTGCTGCTTCTTTTCGAAACATGCTCCTTAAGGACCACCGCTACAGTAACATGGCTCAGCTGTTTTAAAGGGAAGCTACGGATACCGAAACCACATAGGGCCTCAGGGAGCCTGTAAGATGCTTGGCTCACTGTTGATGGGTCCGAGTGGATTCTTTTAAGGCTCTTTTTCTAATTTCATTTAACTTCTTGGTAGGGTAGTTCACCCCTGGAGGGAATATTTGAAGAGAGGTAAAAATATCCTGGAACAAAAGTTGTAACTAGTTCAGAAACCATGTCTCATGTATAATTTATTTTCAGACGCTTTCCGTGGCAAACTCCTTGTTAGTCAGAGGGAAAGAGGGAACATTTTCCTTGATGCGTAAACTGTGGTGCTGTCATGGGGTTGCTGAACCAGAAGTTGGAGGGGACTTGTCCTCACTTCACTCCTTCCCTAGGGCCGCAGCAGGCGAACTGAAGACTTTACAAACAAATCCCTAACACATGGGCACTGGCTTTTCACTGGGGATCTGGGTAGCTGGTTGGCCCTATCCTTGTTAGTTCTCTATTGCCCTGATAATAAGGTATCAAACCAGCTTACAGCAACCATAATTTATTTCTCACGAGTCCATGGGTCATGTGGTCAGTTCTGTTGACCTTGGCTGCGCTTGGGCAGGGGGGATGTTCTTCTGGTCTTGGCTGGAGCTCATTCTTGTATCTGGTGGGCAGCAGGCCATTAGCTCATCTCAGTCAGCCTCAGACACATCTCATCCTCCAGCGACCACCTGAGGCTTGTTCTCCTGGTGTAACAGAGAAGCAAGAGAAGAAGTGGAAATGCGCAAGCACCTTTTCAAGCTTTGGTCAGCATGGGGGGACTACAAAGTTAGGGGCAAAGGGTGTGGATATTCTTCAGTCAGACCTTGCTGCCTTGATTGTGAAAATTCCTATGCTAGGATCGTATCAGGAAGTAGCAAATGTTAGAGTCTGCTGGTCTCCAGTATTCGTCATTAGTGGAACTGGTGGTTTCTAATTTTTTTGCATATCAAGATCACCTCTGGAGATGTTTCAACATATATCTGCTTAAGAATCACTTCCAGAAGATCTGCTCCAGTAGTTCTTGCGAGGGTCTAGTCATCTGTATTTTGAAAATGCCCCATGGGGGGCCACGGTAGAGAGACACTCTGGGAAATATTTGGTGACTTGAGTGTTTGGTAGATGTTCTGGGGATTCCTAAGCAATGCCAGGATGGCTCCCCAGGGTCTGGAGAACTGGATCTGTGGAGGAGGAGAGGAGAGGGACAAGAGCTTCCACCCAGAGAAGTTGACAGCAGACAGATGTTGCCAGCTGCCAGCTCCTTTGCAGACAGCCCAGGATGAGCTGAGCCCTGGACTTGGGAGCATTTCCACAAGTTGCTATGTCCTGGCTGTGTGTGGAGAGAACACCTTCCTCACCTGAGACACAACAGAAAGTTGGTTTTGAGATGAATGTGGGGCCGTCACAACCAGTTTCAAAAAGTAAAGAAGTCCAGCAGCCCTCATGGCAGCAGGAGAAGAAACCCTAAAACTGTCAGGGACTTTAGGTTGTGTCATTGAGAGGGTCCCTAAACCTGGCTGTTCCTCACGTTGAATCTGGATTGATGATTAAACATACGACTCCGCAAGGTAGATTCCTATCCACCCAGGATAGTTAATTTTATCTGTCACCTTGGCTAGGTCACGGTGCCTAGATATGTGATCAAACATTGTTCTGGTTGTTTCTGTGAGGGTGTATTTTTTGGATGAGGTTAACATTTAAATCAGACTTTCATTATATGAAAAAGACACATGCACACACATGTTTATAGTAGTATAATTTGTAATTGCAAAATTATGGAACCAACCTAAATGCCCATCAGCCAACGAGTGGAAAGAAAATGTGGCATGTATACACCATGGAATACTACTTAGCCATGAAATGGAATGAAATAATGAAATAAAGGCCTTTGCGGCAACTTGGATGGAACTGGAGGCCATTATTCTAAGTGAAGAAACTCAGGAATGGAAATCCAAATATCATATATTCTCACTTATAAGTGGGAGCTAAGCTATGAGAATGCAAAGGCATAAAAATGATATAACGGGCTTTGGGGATTTTGGGGGAAAGGTGGGAGGGGGTGAGGGATAAAAGACTACACGTTGGGTACAGTGTACACTGCTCAGGTGATGGGTGCACCAAAATCTCAGAAATCACCACTAAAGAACTTATCCATGTAACCAAACACCACCTGCTCCCCAAAAACTATTGAAATAAAATTTAAAAAATAAATTGGACTTTGAGTAAAGCACATTATCTTTTCTTCTGTGGGTGGGCCTCACTCAATCAGTTGAAGGCCTTACTGGAGCAGAAAGACTGAGCTCTCCTGAGCAAGAGTGGATTTGGCCAGCAGTCGGCTTTCAGACTTCAACCACAACTTGACTCTTCCGTGGGTCTCTGGCCTGCCAGCCCACTCTGCAGATTTTGAACTTACCAAATCTCTACAGTTGCATGAGCCTGTTCCTTAAAATCTCTCTCTTTCTAAACACACACACACACACACACACACACACACACACACACCCCTGTTGGTTCTGTTTTACTGGAGAGCCCTAACTAATGCAGTCCCCTCAATTCTGGTAAGTTCAGGTTCAGCAGGTTTACAGAGAGGCCTGGAACTGCTGTGAACCGAACCTTCACAGCAACCCTGTGAGTTGGGTGAAATTATCTGCTCACCAGATGGTCAGTACCTTGTTCAAGGTCACCCAGCTCATAGGTCTGGTCCCAGAGTCCATGTTCACAGTCCTCAACCCTTGCTGCTTCTAATTCCTCACATTCATAGGAGTCCGTTATTTTCCATAACTTTACAGAGCTTCTTACCACTGCCCTAGGGGCCAATCTCTGCAGGGCCTGTGAAAAGAATGATGATCGCTCAGGCTCCCCTGTAGTCTGGACCAGATGAAACTAGGCTGGTCCCCTTACTGCATTCATCGGCAGAGGCAGAGCAGATTGTCACAGCCTGACCTTCTCAGCAATAAAGATTTAGGGACTCTTGGGAGTTTTGCTATGAGAAGTCACCAAATCATTGATTGTTCTGACAGAAACAATTTGGGTTTTCATAATATCCTTCTCCTCTCATTAATGTAACAAGGAACTCTGGGATCGTAGGATGTGTGAGAGGCAGGAAAGCGTATTGGGATATGGGTTTGGGTCTGTGAGTAACAGAGACCCACTATAACCGTGACTGAAACATGATGGGGCTCACTCTGCCTTGGGAGGCCTGTCCAGGCTGGAATGGGGTGGGTGGGACTCGGCCTCACAAAGCTGTCTAGAGACCCAGGCTCCTCCCATCTTTGGAGCTCTGTCATTTTCAGGGAATTTCCTTGTCCATGTGGACCATGAGGACATCACATCATGACCTCCTTTCAAGTAGCAGGATGGAGGAGGCAAGAGGAAAAGGGCCATTTCTTTGAAGGAAGTGACCCAGAAGTCACACACACCACTTCTCTTTAACTGTTTGGCCAGATCTTAGGCAAATGGCAGAATCTAGTCTTGATTCTGTGGGGCTGTGTGCTCAGCTCAACATCAGGGACTTTATTCCAGAGAAATGGGAGTGAGGACTTAGGAGGACGGCTGCAGATCTCTGTCTCATGGAGGAAGTCGGTCAGCAGCGCAGCCTGTGCAGGGCACACAGCCACTGATGTGCACTCTGGAAAACTAAGGGCAGGAATGTGAGGTGGGAGAGGAGCAAGACGAGGTGTCACAGGTTGAATGATATTAAGTGGGACCTGGAGGAGGCTGGGCATTGTATGGGTTGTGGGGAGCTGGGAAGTGCTGGCTGTTGGCTTTGATGGAACAGCCCAATAGGTACCAATCT
This sequence comes from Homo sapiens, assembly GCF_000001405.40. NCBI lineage: Eukaryota > Metazoa > Chordata > Mammalia > Primates > Hominidae > Homo > Homo sapiens. Next base: position 224,696,690 of record NC_000001.11, read on the forward strand.
GAATTTATTCATTCTTTCAACTGGAATTCATTTAGCACCTACCATGTACATAGTTGGTTGTTATGTGCTGAAGGGGATAAATTTGTGTGTGTGTGTGTGTGTGTGTGTATGTGGTGTGTCAGTTGTGAAGACATGCTCAGTACAGCTAAAAGAAATCTTGCTTTTTCTCTGCATTCCTGCCTGAGAGTCCCTCAAAGCGCTGATCACCTAGCACCTTATATGATAGTTGCCTGGACATGTATTTTACACAGTTGTATTCTTGAAGACAAGGATACCGTCCTTCTGGTTTCTGCAACTGCTACATTGCTTAGCATGGTGTCAGATGCATGTTAGCTAGCTGCAAAGTTTAGTCAACACGAGACTGGCAACCACAAATACCATGGGCTATGATTTTCATAATGCGTGAGCAGGAATTCCCACTGCTGAGCATGGGATAAAGGCATGTGGAGAAGACCAGAGAAAGGCCATGACAGGTGTGACGTGCTTGTCACATCAGAGCACCCTCAGTGCCCAGTGGGGGAGCATTGTAGTGGACCTAGTTAGAGCGCTAGTTTGCAACCTTGGCTGTACGCCGAAATTGCTTGCGGAGGTTAAAAAATCCTGCTGCCTTTGTCCCGCCCCCCGGAATTTCTGAAGTGCAGCTTGGCACTTGTTTTTTTAACAGCTCTCCAGATGATTCTAATGTGTAGCCAAGCTGAGGATCACTGAGTGGGAGAATAGTGCAGGTGGGGAGGCATTTTCACTCTCTCCGTTCTCCAGGGTATGATTTAGAGAGCCGTAATTTTCAAAATGGTAGCAGAGTAAAAGCAATAATTTGCCAACAGGTGCCCAAGTGGACTGAAGGAGTTACTTCCTAAATTCCAGGGAGATGGTCAGCCCAGTGGGATGACTCATTGCAAGTCATCCACGAGCCACGTGCTTTTCATGGTGGGAACTCTGCTTCCAGATGCTTCATTTTCCAGAATGTGATGAGAAGTAAAGATTCTGTTTTTCAACCCCCAGAATGCTCACCCTTCCAGGCACTCATTCTTGCCCTTTTCCAAATTGCTGAAGAAGCAAGAAACATTTCTGGGTCCTGTTTCTGGGCCACAAAATGGGCCAATCTTACAAATCCTAATAACCTCTTATTCTTGGTTGCATTATCCAGTCTCTGCCTCTCACTCTTTCCAACTCCTACTGCCCCTCTCTAAAGGTAAAACCATGCCAGCCTGTACCTAGGTGGGGACAATAAGAGAGAATTCCTCTGAGCTCCCAGCTTGTGCTGAATTAATTCGCATGCTCCAGACATATCTTCTCCCCACGGAAAAGCTGCATTGCCGAGTTATCATGCTGGCTCCATTTGTAACTTCTATGGGACTTGTTATTCCTTAAGCAATTTGGGGCATTGGTCCTCCTCCAGAACTGAGTTTCACTGGCTCTGATTTCTGAGCTGTCTGTGTGGCACAGACAATTACACAACTCATGGAGTTTTGTTTCATTAGGATAAGACCCAGCAGTAGACAAGAAAATGCACTGAATAAGTTAAATGTGCTATACAAATGCAAAGTGCCATTATTATAAAGGGACAGAAAAGCCATCCTGTTTCCTTTCTGTATCAGCCAAATGGTCAAAGCAATGATGAGATTCTGGAGGACAATGATCACCGATTATAGCACAAGGAGGTAGGCGGGGAACACGCAGCAAGAACAGCTCTGCTATTGTGGCCTTTTAGTGGTGACATCACTGCTGTTACCACTCAGCGCACCAGCATAAGGTAGCACCAGTGCCACTGGTGTCCTGGTGGGAACCAAATAAAGGAACCACTTAGGCAGGGTGTACTGATAAATGACAAACTATATGTCTTCTGAGAGAAACTGTAGAAGTCTCTGCATGAGCTAGACTTTAATACATGCCATTGGGTACTTCACATTTTTTGACAGTGGTGATACCAATTGCCAATGCTGGGTCATTCTGAGTTATTGATAATGTATTTCAAGCACACATATTCTGGGCTTTAAAAGGAAGGTAGGTATAGGTGGAATTCAGAAGGTATAATAATTTGTAAAAAGCGTGCTTTCCTTAGCAGACTAGAAGATGAGTAAGGGCACTAATTGTGAATCTGGTTCACTTGCGGAACTCTGCCTGCAGCCAGCGCAGCACATAGCCAGTAATGCTTTGCTGATGGAATGAATGAATGAATGAATGAGTGGAACAAACTCCATGGTGACTGCTACATGCTTTACATGTGCTACATGCTTTACAAGTGTTTCACTTGTTCTTACCACACTGCTGTGATGTGGAGATGGGGAGCTGAGAGGTCACTTAGTAAGTGCAGGGTCTGGATTCACACCCAAATCCCTGCCCTTTCTGATAGTCCTTATGTTCCATGCTCTAGGGATTGAAGACACGTTTCCCTACTTTTCCCAGAATACTTCCACATCTTTGAGTTTTTCAGAGCAAGCTTGGCACCATCCCTGGACATTCCCGGGCATAACCATTCCCAGGATCCACCATTAGCCTCATGCGGATGGGCCCTGTTCTCTTCTCTAGTCTGACTACCATCTCTTCTCCACTGATTCTCACCCTCCAAGTCAAAAATGGGCTAAGAAGTTTTGACCAAAGGCATTGTTTCAACCTCAAGAGACTGTTGAAACTGATGTCTTGAGAGAAAGAACCTTCAGAGGACACTGTACCCCCTTCTCCTGGCCCTTCGGCAGCTGAATGTCAGCCAGGGGTGCCATAACACAGCAGCTGGGTGGCTTTAGCCACAGGCATTCTTCTTCTCACAGGTCTGGAGGCTAGAAGTACTAGATCAACGTGTCGGCAGGGTTGGTTCCTTCTGAGGGTTCTCTGCTTGGCTTGTGTATGGCCACCTTCTCACTGTCTCCACGTGATCATTCCTCTGTGTGTCCGTGTCCTAATTTCCTCTTCTTTAAGGACACTAGTCATACCAGGTTAGGGTCTATAGGGTAAATCCATCTGACAGCAATAATTTAAGCATACCTTTAGAATGGCCCTATATGGCAGATGCATCTGAATGTGTGTTCCAAGCTGGGGAACCTGTGTGTGGCCAACCCAGAGATTCATACCTTATCTATGATAAAAATCTGAGCCCCTCACCCCCTACCTGTCCCACTTGTCAGGGACATGCACTGCACAGGGGATTGAGGCCCTGAGCTTTGGGTTGAATGAAGGTTGCCATGTGGGGGTCATTAGGGGAGAGTGTTAAATGAAAATGTCTTATAAGCTGCATGATGTTTGCAGGAGGTTGTGGTTTTCTTGCCTGCCCTGCTTCCACTGGGCCCTGCGGTTATCTTGTCTGGCCCACCGCCTACTGGACTGTAGGAAGGTGGATGTGTTGTCCAGCCCACTGCCACTGCACTGTAGGAAGGCGGATATTTTGTCCAGCCCATCACCGCTGGACCATTTCTGTATATAAGGTAGTTCTCCTGTCCAGCTTGCCACCACTGGACTCTCTCCCCTGTATGGAGGCCACTAATAAAACCCCACGTCTTGTTTGCTAGCTCTGGGTCTCTTCTTCAGACTCTTGAATCTGGTACCCTCCCTAGTGAGGTTAATAGGGTCTTGGCAATAATAGGGCCCACCCTAATGACCACATTTAACCTAATTGCTTCTTTGAAGACTCTGTCTCCAAATACTTACTGTCCCATTCTGAGGTACTGGGAGTTAGGGCTTCCACGTATAAAATTTGGGAGGACATGTTTCAGTCTGCAACAGGATCTCTGCACTAGAGAAGAGTTTTCATGGAAACAACATCCCATTGGCTAGGAGAAATGATTTACCTGCCCTTGAATTCTGTTCTTTGGTGAATGGCAAATAGAGTGAATAGTGAGTTTCTGGGTTTTAATTTTCCTAGCACTTTCTCATTATCCCAGATGTGCTTTAGAGAAAGAAAGGGCAAGACTTGGATCCTCTTTCATTGGGTTTTATTGTGTTTATCAAGATCAAAAGCAAAGTTATCCTCAGTAAAGTCTGTGAATACTTTCTCCCATCATTCTCCTGGAGAAAGGGCCCAAACAGAAGGGACTGGGTCCTGCCTCTCCATGCTACCACACCTCTTGCAGGGAGCAGAGTGCAGAGCCTGTCCCCTGGACCTAGATGGTTGGCTCAACACATGTTGGACAGGGCATGGGTCATTCGTCATTCTAATTAGCTCCAGTGCCTGTTTCCCCAGCAGGCACAGAGTCAGGACAAAATCCACATCTGCCATGTGAACTTCTGCAGAGGTGCCACTTGCTGAGTAGGGCCAAAGTCATGTAATTATTGTAATTATTTTTGTTTATGGGATGTCCCTTCCCAGGAGATCCCAGGCACTTCACTGCCCAGAAGTTGTCACTTGAGAGCAGGACAGCATTGACCCATGCTGGGGCTGAAGGAAGTGATGAAGGGCCCTGACCACCCATGGTGCTATGCTGGCTGCCCGGAAGCCATGGCATGCATAAGCTTCTGGAGAGGCCACTAGGGGGTGTCACACTGCTATGCAGAGAGTGGAAGGGGGGCTCGGGTTCTTTTTTTTTTTTTTTGCTGGAGGAGGCGAGGTTAGCTAGACATGGAAGATTGGTTCTCAGTGGCTATCTTTGTGCTGCTATAACAAAATACCCTAGACTCAGTGGCTTAACAACACAAATGTATCTCTCACAGCTCTGGAGGCTGGGAAGTCCAAGATTAAGGTGCCAGACAATTCAGCATCTGTAGAGGGCCACTTCCTGGTTCATAGACAGCTGTCTTCTTGCTGCAGCCTTACATGGTGGAGGGGCAAGCTCTCTCTGCACCCTTTATCAGGACACTAATCCCATTCACGAGGGCTCCACCCTCATGTTGTCATCTAATCCTAATCAACTCCCAGAGACCCCACTTCCTAACACCATCACATTAGGGGGTAGCGTTTCAACATGTGAATTTTATGGGGAGATGAACATTCAGCTCGCAACAGAGGCTTAAGTGTTTTTTTCTATAACAACATTTATTAAGGTATTATATGTGGTATAATATGCCAGACGTTGTACAAAGTGCTTGGTTGGATGATCTCACTCGCGACAGCCCTGGGATGTAGACATCGTTATGGTCCCCTTTACACTGAGGAGGAAATTGAGGGACAGAGAAGTTAAGTAACATAAGCTAGTACATGCAAAGCTGGGGTTTAAATCCAGGCAGTCTTTCCTTGGAGCATGCTATTTCATTTTTCGTTATTAATTGTTTCAGTTATAAAAATAATATGTTCATATTTTCACTAGTAAAATGATGCAAAGTTGATATGAAGAAAATATTAATAAGCTGCCCCACCCTTGTCCTTCCTAACTCTCTGACATAAAAGCTGGGTTTGTATCCTCCCGTCATGCTGTATCTCCACTTGCATTTAGATAGACAAATACATGTATGCACAGATATACACTCCAGCTCAGTTTTTTTTTTGTTTCTCTTTCCTAATAATGGAAAAGTTGTTTTCCTATAACTAGTTTTTTCCCCACATACCATTACATCACCGATACCCTTGTAGGTCAATAGCTATAGGTTTCTCTTAAAAATAATTACACAAGCTTTCATAATATTCCATAGTACACACAATTTATTTAGCCATTTTCATATTTATAGACCTTATGTATGTTTTCAGTTCTGTTTATTTGGCCCCAACCCTGCAGTAAATACCTTTGTGGGCTTATATCCCAGGAGTGGGATCGTCAGGCAAGAGGGTATATAAATTTATACTTTTCTTAAAATTGTCAGATTACTTTCTCAGACAGGTCAAAGCAGATGTATTCCCACCAGCAGTATAAGAGAGTGTCTGTTTCCCCACACCAGCGTCACCATGACTGGATGCTCCAGGGTGCAGGCTGGCCTGTTGCAGAGGCGGCCTTCTGTCCTCAGCCCCAGGCGCAGCCCAAGGTAGATGCAGAATTGAGCAGTCAGGAACTTCTTCTCAGAGACCAGCTTTCTCAATCTCAGCAGCACATTTCAACCCACTGGGGGACGTTTAAAACCCAAGGATCCAGATGCAGGACCCCACCCCCAGAGAGTCTCACCTGATTGGTCAAGGGGGCACAGACCGTGGTGTTTTCAAAAGCTCTCAGAGGATTCTGATGGCCTGCCAAGGTGGAGACTTCTACTAGAGACCTTGCAGACACCAAGATCCTAACTTCTCTTTCCCCTCTCTTCCCTTCCCTCTCATTTCTTCCCCACTCCTCGGGCCCTGTCCTTGCTGGTCGGGGGAGACTTCGCTGAGATAGTATCCTCTACCTTTACTGTCCTGGGCCTGCAGAAACACATTGGTTGTAAGGGCTAGCTTTTAATTTCCATGTCCGAACCTCATCATTGAATTGGAAACTCAGGAGGTGAGGTTAGGGCCTCAGCATTTTATAAATGCTGCCAAGATAGCTCCAGTATGCAGGCAGAGGCAAACCATTGCCCTGTTTTTTTCCAGAGCAGGAAACACTTCTGACCTCTCAAGGTCCATCTGTCCTGGCTGGTCAAAACCTTTTTTCTACCTGTTGGAGGGGCCAGATTTTGAGGAGCCAGTGACCTAGTGTCTGTGCATCCCACGTGGGCCTGCACTCATGAGGGCAGAGGGCTGGCCAAGGTAGACGTGACCACCGGACCAGCTGAGCCACGATGGGCAGCTTGAATGTGTTAATGAACATGAAGCCTGCTTAGCAGAGGGGCTCAAACTTTGCCGCACATTAGAATCACCTGGGGGAAATTTTAAAAATCCTGATGCCCAGAATTCATCCCAAACCAATTAAGTCATAATCTCTGGGGTGAGACTCAGCATCAGTATTTTACAAAGCTCCCCAAGTGACTCCACTGTGCAGCTAAGTTGGAAAAATCAGTGCCCTAGGGAGCATTTTGCAGTGTTAGTTATCATGGTTAGGGCGCTGAGTTTCATCAGCCTGGCTGTGCTGATGGGGAGCTACTGCTTTCCTATTAGCATTGCTGCCTTTACCTGCCTGGTTGCCTCTTTCAAGCCTCCCTACCCAGTTCTTGAGCTAAGAATAGAGTTTCCAAAGCAATTTGTTTCCTAAAAGATAGAAGTTCATCTTTTTTCATGAGGCAAAAATATTCCTAGTATTTTTATACATGTGAACATTTCCTGGTTCTGCAGGATTCTGTTGACTCTGTTAGCCCCATCACCCACTGCCAGCTCATTCAGCCCGCAGCAGGTATTTAGGCAGAACAAGATGAGCACCTGCATATTCTCCCTGCAGCACACCTGAGTCGCTGCTGCTCTGCAGGCCTCCCACCTCAGCCTACGACGTATTCCAACTCAAAGGGAGCAACGGTGCACCAATCATGCGATGAATGAGGCCAGAGTTTCATTGGATTGGATTCTGTAATACATCTCTCAGAGGTGCGCCTTTGGTGGAGTGAGAACATGAACTACTGTTCAGGAGGTAGGGGCATGGACCACACCAGTGCACACTGCAGGTAGTAAGGTGCAGGGTGGCAGGTGGAAGGACGGTGTGTGTCCTGCCTGGTGTGAGCAGGCTGCATCACCTACAGAGCAGGACCTCCATGAGTCTCAGGTCATCAAAGAGGAGTGGAGACACAGCCCCTTCTCTCCTAGAAGCAGAGGCACGGGAACAATGAGAAGGCTCTCTCCAGGGCAGTGTGGCCCTGCAGGGTCCTAACAGCTCTGAAAGCCAGCAGGGGCTCTCTGCAAAAGCTAAAGTCAGCAGCAGATGATATGATGCAGGATTATGCACATTCGAATCCCCTGGGGAGCTTTTAAAACCCAGGGATCCAGAGGCAGGGAGCCATCCCCTGAGTCTCATTTAACATTTTATTTTGAAAAATGTCAAATATAAGGGGATGTTGGAAGAGCAGCACAATGAACACCCACGTAGCCTTCACCAAGATCCGCCGCTTATTCAGTTTGCCACATTTGCCTTCTCAGCTCTTCCCCATCCCCCGTGTATGTACAGCACATACTTTTTTTTTGCTGGACCATTTAATTGTATACATCATGGATCTGCATCCCCAAATACATCCTCCGACATAACCACAATACCATTGTCACACCAAAGAACATGGCTATAATATTGTCACCTAGTCATAGTCACATTTCCCCTAGTTTCCCTATAGTATTCTTTATAGTTGTTGTTGTTGCTTTTTAAATTCAGGATCCAATCAAAAATCACACATTGCACCAGGCACAGTGGCTCATGCCTGTAATCCCAGCACTTTGGGAGACTGAGGTGGGTGGATCACCTGAGGTCAAGAGTTCAAGACCAGCCTGACCAATGTGATGAAACCCCGTCTCTAGTAAAAAATACAAAAATTAGCTGGGCATGGTGGCAGACTACAGTAGGCTGTAGTCCCAGCTACTCAGGAGGCCAAGACAGGAGAATTGCTTGAACCTGGGAGACGAAGGTTGCAGTGAGCCGAGATCACACCACTGCACTCCAGCCTGGACAAGAGCGAGACTCCCTCTCAAAAAAATAAAAATAAAAATAAATCAGACATTGCATCTAGTTGTTGTGTTTCCCATAGTTTCCTTTAATCTAGAACCATTCTCCACTTTTTTCATGACACTGACCTCTTCTGAAGAGTGCCGAATGCAGGTAGTTTTTAAAAGTTCCCCATGTATTTCTAATGAGCAGCAGGATTAGGAAGCACTGCAATCAAAGGCTGCATGCTTTGCTTTCCCCATATAAATATGTGGGCAAATGAACAGGAAGCCGGGCGCTGGCCTGGAGCCCCCTTCATTCTTGGGAAGAGCCGCATGTGCCTTCCATGCACAGCCCTGGCCCCTTTCCACAGTGGTGTTTAGTTTTAGTTATGCAGAGTCACAAGCCACTCTGATCAATACCTTTTCTGGTGGCTCAGCACCTTCACCTCTTCTTTTCCCCTCCCTCCTGGGATCCCCTGCTCCCATTCTGTGATTTTTGTGCTGGATGTTCAAGGTATTGAACCTGTGATAGGAATTGCTTGAGCAACCTCACAGAGGACCGTGAAGGGAGGGGACATGGTGGTGTCTGTTCTCTCTGTAGCAGCAGCAGTGAGGGGTTGTTGTGAATGTTCTGCAGAGAGGGATGTCTCTCCCAGGCTGCCATAGTACCCTGCTCCAGCCACACTGAATTAAGCACCATTCACTTGCCCTTCATCTTCCTTCTTCCTTCACTTTTTTTTCTCTTTCTCTTTTTCTTTTCTTTTCTCTCTTTCTTTTCTTTTTTTTCTTTTTTTTTTTTTTTGAGCTGAACCTACCCATTCTTTAAGACTCAGCTCACATCGTCACTTCGGGGAAGCCTTTTGCTTCCTTCCTCAGTTGGAGTCTGTGTGCTTCTGGGGGCTCCCCTAGCACCCCAGGCTGATGACTACTCTAGCACTTACTAGGCAGCACTGCATTTTTCTTTCCGCAGCTAGACCAGGAGCTGCCAGAGGACAGGGACTGAGTCTGTTATGAGTCCAACACCAGTGCCCGCACATTGTAGGTGTCCAGTAAATGTTTGGTGAATGAAAGCAAAAGAGGTGTGTTCAGTTCTGAGAATTCTACAGTCACAGTTCTCCAGGTTACAATAATAGAATATTAGGGCTAGGGTGGGGACAAAAGTGACTTCATCTTGGATGCTGATCTGCCGTGTTCACTTCTGATTAGCCTTAGTCCCAGGAATGGCTCTTGATTCCCACTTTACTTACTGTCTCCACAGTAAGAACATGTCAACCTTGATGTCATCAGACAAATTACAGGCAATGACGCACATAGCATCCTCGCCTGTTCCGGAGGGTCGCCTTTGATTGTCTTGCTAGAGCACATGTACCCTCTCCCTGTGGTCTATAAGCCTTGGGTCTGAGGAGTAACAGTGCGGAGATCTACCTGTCTTGTGGGTGCCCAAGACCACACTTTTGTCTGTACATTCCCTGAATCAATGACCCAGTACCAACAAACTGGATTTGTCTGCCCCCTTCTTTGGTGTCTCAGCTCCTTCAGCATTTGGGAGGTTTGCATGTATGTCTCTTTAATGGAAAAGCTAGAAAGGATCTTAGTGAATTCTGGCCTCGCTCTTTCATCGAAGGTAAACAAAAGTGCAGAGAGAGAGACCTGCCTCAATGCCACAAAGTGGTAGAGTTAGTCAGGACTAAGCCTGTCTCCTGTTTCCCTGAAACCAGGGTTTTTTCCCTATGATACCATTCACCTTTATTTCATTAGACTGTTTATTGATTTCATATGTCCCAATCCTATTGACTTTTCATTATTCACATGTGGATAATTTTTCATATTATTATGTACTTTAAAAATCCAACCTCTAATTGGCTGCCTCTCCTTTCCTTTCTTTCTTTTTTTTTTTTTTTTTTTTTTTGAGACAGAGTCTTGCTCTGTCACCCAGTCTGGAGTGCAGTGGCGTGATCTTTGCTCACTGCAACCTCTACCTCGTGAGTTCAAGCAATCCTCCCATCTCAGCCTCCTGAGTAGCTGGGACCACAGGTGTGTGCCACCACACCCGGCTAATTTTTGTATTTTTAGTAGACATGGGGTTTCACCATGTTGTCCAGGCTGATCTCGAACTCCTGACCTCAAGTGATCTGCCCACCTCAGCCTCCCAAAGTGCTGGGATTACAAATGTCAGCCACTGCTGCCTTTCCTTTCTGACCACAGGAAAGAAAAGTTCATTTTAATCAAAGTTTAAGCACAATGTAATCAGGAGAGCAAATCTATTGGATGAAAAGCAACAAGCCCAAAACACACTTCAACCACCCTCAACCTCAAATAACGAATTCTGTACTGCTTTGAAACAGCATGGAGAGACACCCCCCGCCCCACCCCGCCCCACCCTCAATTGGTGTGGATGATTGAGAGTTAACCACAAAGTTCACAGAAGCAGCTTTTCTTCTCTCTCTACTCCACTGTGGGCTTGGCCAATGAGCAATGTGGGTCCTGGGACGGTCCGAGAATATTGCTATTCAAGTGGTCCATGACTTGAATAGCATAGTGAACCAGCAGCTTTGGCATCACCTGGGAGCTTGTTATAAAGGCAGAATCTCATGCCCCACCCAGATCTGTGGGATCATAATCTGCATTTTAACAAGATCCTTGTATGCACATTATTTTGAGCAACATGGCCGAGAACCCCGGCTGTCAAGTTCAGACCTGGCAGGCTGTACCCGCTTTTCAGCACTTACTGGGCATCCACCTTGTGTGGCCTTTTTAGATGGCACCAAATAAATGAACATCCTGCCCTCATTGTTATCTTGTTGTTATTGACATACCTTTCCCACCTCATCAGTTTCATTCCTCTGGGTGTGTCCCTGGTGCTGCTGAGACCCTCTCTGTCCACTAGAATTCCCACCATCTCACTGTTGCAGGGTCCTCCTGCCATGCAACTATCCTCTGACTCACCCCATCCTGCTCCCTGTCTCTGGTCACGCTGCCTCCATGGGCAGCTCTGGTTTTCCCTACCTTCCTTAAGTTCCCCAGCAATCCTGCCATCCCTCAACCCCTTCTCTCTCAGCCATGGATGCTCTTGAGTAAGTGGAGGTTGTTGATGCTGAGTTCCCTATTTCCCCCTCCACTTCCTGTCCTCACCTCTCCAATCCTCCTCTCCCATCTCAGGGCCTCTCTCCTCTCAGGGCCCCATTTTAATGCTGCCTCATGATTCAGTCCCCCTCTGACTCACTCTGGAGCATATCCAGATCAGCTCCCTCTTTTGAGTACCTTCTCTCTCTCATTGTTATCCAGCTCCTTTTTTCCCCTGTCTTAAAACACATTTCGTCTTCCTTGTTCTAAAAAGTTGCATTGGCCTTAGTAACCCTTCATGCTACCAACCCACACATTTCTTTTTTCATATGTTGCCCAATTCTGGAAAGAGTCCCTTGCACTCCCCGCCTGCGCTTCCTGACTCCTACGCATCTCAGAATCCCTTGCAGTCCGGCAGATGTGCCTCTCCTTCTATTGAAACTGCTGATTGAAGGTCACCAATGACGTCCCAGTTGCCAAATCTAATAGACTGACTTGTTTGTCCTGTTCCCCTTTGACCTCTCTGTAGTATGACATGACTAGTCTCCTGCTCCTCTTTGGCTTCCTGGCATGAGACCATCTTAGTTTTCCTCCTGTCTTGTGCACACGCATGTCTCTCCTTTTTCTCTCCTCCTTTCTCACACCCCAAATACAGGTGTTCATGCGCCTTCTGCCCTTGTTTTCCTCTTGCTCTGTACTAAGAGTTGCTATTGGCAGCCTGTGGATCAGAGATGTCCTGCAAATTTGTTTTCATTTGACTCATTTAATATTTTAGGAACCTGAAAACCCCACACAAAAATCTGGGTTTCAAGCTGCTTTTGAAAAAAACAAAACAAAACAGAACACAGGACCTGGAAATAGTGGATTCGTATTCTTCAGGACAACAATCAGCTGGAGTGGGTAGCTGATTAACCCTTTAGATGGGGTGTCTGCCCTCAGATCACTTCCGTGACCACCACGCGCGTCTGTCTAGCACCACATGGTTTTGAGTGTGAGCCACTTGTGCTCCTGAGTAAGTGTGGGCTCTCCCCTAAGTGTGGGCCCTCCCCAGGGCTCATCTCCTCCAACGCTGAAGCATCTATCATCGTTCATCTTCTAGCGGCTCCAAATCTATGCATCTTCTCCTGCTCTCTCTCTCTCTCTTGAATTCCAGGAATGTGCTTCTAACCATCTTGGGCATCTTTACCTGGTTTTACTCATTGTACCTCAAACTCAGTCTTGGGGTTAGGAGTGCTTATGTATCACACTTACCCACCTCTCTGAGTTTTGAATCAATTGAGAACAGACATAAGAGTCTAGATGAGAGCCGAAGAACCATGTGGTATCCAGCCAGCTGCATGGAAGGGCATGGCAGGACTCCAGCACCTTCAAGTGTAGGAGAGAGAGAGTATTGAAGAGGGGTGGGCTGGCTTCAGGCTTGTGTTGCCAAGGAGGCAGTCTCTGGACCTGACCACATAAACCTACCACATGCTTGCAGGAGTAGAGAAAGAGGATGCCTGCAGTTTAAGGGCAGGCAAGTCCAGGAGCAAGAGAAGCCAGGCCACAGGCTTCCTCCCTAATACTTCCCCAAGATGTGGAAAAGTTGGTGGAAATTCCTATTTTATGGGTTGAAGCAGGAATACAGAAAGAGGAAGAGAAGGGTTCAGGGTTCTCTCTTCCTTCAACCTGCCATCTACTCATTACAGTAGTACCCCCTTATCCATGGGGCATATGTTCTGAGATCCCTGGTGGAGATTCCTGAAGTTGCAGATAGTACCAAGCTGCGGTATATCCTATGTTTTTCCTATCCATACATATCTATGATAAAGTTTTACTTATAAATTAGGCATAGTAAGAGATTAACTTTATTAATTATCTTTATTATTAATAACTAATAAAATAGAAAAATTATAACAACATACTGTGATAAAAGTTATATGAATACGGTCTCTCTCAAAGTGTCTTATTGTACTGTACTTACCTATTTTCAGATGTGGTTGATCACAGGTAATTTAAATAGTAGAAAGTGAGACTACCGATAAGGGGTATTGCTGAATTGCTTTACAGCATGTTCGTTCACCCATTTTAGTTAATTGAGACACTGTCTTCCATGTTACTTGGGATTTACACCACATCTCTTGTCTTTCTGTGGATTCTATTTCCCGAGTGCTTCGTGAATTACAGCCCTCCTCCTCCAGGCCACTGCTGAAAGAGCTCAGACTCTCATTTCTTTGCCTGGACTATTACAGAGGCTTCCTAGTTTGTTTGCTTTTTGTTTTTCTTGGTCTTCGTTCAAGTCCTTAGGCCTCCTCCTCCATTCACCCTTCACATTGTTGGAATGATCTAAGCAAACCTTGATCATATATAATTTCCATACCCAGAAATCTCTGGATCCCAGTTTTGGAGAATAAGTGACCACTAAAGGACTTGGCATGGCTCCTAAGGTACTCTGTGACTTCCCCTAACATATCTTTTAACCTTATTGCAATCTGCTTTTTTTCAAACACCCATTTTCTCAGCCAGCATTTATCAAGTATTTGCTATGTGCCAAGGAGGGTGCCAAGTGCTGGGAAGAGAGATGCATAAGTTACAGTTACTGCCCTGTGATTTGAGATCCTCATGCCATTACTGACACCACTTTATCACTTGGAATGTTCCTCTCTGTTGGCTAAAATGTTATCTTTACATTTCAGCTCAAGTGTCGTCTCTTCTATGAAGCCTTTTCTATTCCACTAAAGAAATGATCTCTGCCCTCTCTATTTTACTGGATTTTTAAAAGCATCTTCTTCCTGCATAATGATATCTTGTGTACATGTTTTATCTCGCTTACCTGGCTGTAGTCTTCCTGAGGGCCAAGGATATATCTTTTTCAACCTTGAGTTCCCCACACAGCCTGTGCAGTCCTAGTGCATTTGGGGCACTCCATAGATGAGTGTCTTTAAAATTGCATCTCCTCTGAAGCAGAAAATGAAACAAACCCAGAGAAAAATGTTTTAACGCACATATAAATTAAACGCGATCCGAGGTATTACTAAAGATACCTGTATGGAGATGAATATGTCATAATTAATTAATAACACATTTGTGAGCCATCTACTATCCTTTTTGAAACAAAATGGTATTTAACATATTTAAATAATGTTTCTTCATCTCTTCCTTTTCATTCCTACTGCAACCAACTTAAGTTTTTAATCTTTCTCTCTCTCTCTCTTTTTTTTTTTTGGAGACAGGGTTTTTGTTCTGTCGCCCAAGCTGGAGTGTAGTCATGTGATTGTAGCTTACTGCAGTCTTGAGCTACTGGGCTCAAGTGATCCTCCCACTTCAGCCTCCTGAGTAGCTAGGATTATAGGCATGAGCCACCGTGCCTAGCTCTAACCATTTTACTTTTAAGAACCAGAGGGTGGGCGCAGTGGCTCACATCTGTAATCTCAGCACTTTGGGAGGCTGAGGTGGGTGGATTGCTTGCATCTAGGAGTTTGAGACCAGCCTGGGCAACATGGCAAAACCCTGCCTCTACAAAAAATACAAAAATTAGCCAGGTATGGTGGTACCCGCCTGTAGTCCCACCTACTCAGGAGGCTGAGGTGGGAGGATTGCTTGAGCACAGGAGATCAAGGCTGCAGTGAGCCTTGATCATGCCACTGCACTCCAGCTTGGGTGACAGAGCCAGACCCTGTCTCAAAAAAAAAAAAAAAAAAAAAAAAGAACCAGGAAGTTTTGTTGGCTTCTCTAAAGCCTCTTGCCAACTTTTGCCAATCCATTTATCACAACTCCAATAATTATTTCTGCTAACACTGCTGTGCATGCCACTCTCATGCTTAGGGGCCTTTGATGGTTCCTCACTGCCTGCTGCATCAGGTCCCAACTCCTTAGCCTGACCTTCATGGCTGTCCCCAAAGGCCCTTTCCCCAGGCTATTGCCCTGGTTCTCACTAGCTTCAAGCCCGGGCCAGCCGGGAACCTCCCCTCCATTCAGGTGCCATATCTTCCCTGGATGATAAAGGCTTGTCTAAAGTCCACTCACTTTCACGACATTGTTAATGACCATTTCAGCTGGGAATAGGTTCTTCTCTCACCTTTAGCAGTTGTTCCCAAACCTGGTTGCATATGCACAGCATTTAAAATACAAATCCCTGGGCCCCACCCTCTGGAAATTCTGAAGTAGAACTTGGGAATTTGCATTTTTATTAATATCTACGAAGGGATTCTGATGTGCAATGGTTTTGGGAGCCAGTGACTCTTGGGACCCTACAAGCTGAAGGTCTTGTCCTGCTGTGTGTTGTGGGTATTTATGTATCTTTTTGATCTCTCCTTCTGGATTGTACTCTTCCTAAAAGCAGGATTGCATTTGGATCACCTGGCAGGATATCTGGCTCTCAGCAATAGGATAAATTACTCAACAAGTATTTATTCAATGAATGAATGAATGAATACATGCATGAGAGACTCCTTTGAAGAGGTGAGACTTGAAGGGTAGCAGGAACTTGTAATGTAGCCAGGAGTTGAAAGGAGGAAATTCAAGCAGAAAGAAGAGTGTCTAGTATCAATATTTTGTGCAAGATGCAGGTGATAATCAGACCCCTGGGGACTCACTTTGAAATCTCTTTGCTTCCAGGGTTTAAAATATTCCTCATCAATTATTTCCAGTTTGGGAAGACGCTCATCATTTTAAGAATTTCCAATATCTGCCTTATTATGTGGTTGTTTCATTCTGGCTCTCTGATGATCAACTGGGTGTTTTTAAAATAGAATGTTTCAGCTCTTCCAGGATCTAGTCCCTGAGGTTGCTCTGGCAACCACCTTAAAAACTCCAGAGAGCATTATCCTAAGTTGCCAAATGTCTCAGATTTTCTGGCTGCCACACCATTTTTCAGTAGTGCCCTGACAAAAAGGTTAACATTAAATAATCTCAATTAATTAGCTCAATCTCCTAAAATCCTTTCAAAAAAGCCAAGCATGCTTAACATCCTTGTTGTTGAATGTTCCTTTCTTGACTGTACTGTTATTGAGCTCTGGATCTTCAGCAGCTGGTCAACCAGGTATCAAACACACACTGCCCAGGAGACCCGTTGCAGTCCAATAGTTTATTGAAATCATAATCAATGCACCTGTAGCTTCCAGAAAGTGTCTTTGTTTTACTGAAAAGCCAACCAGAGAAAAAACATTTATCTGCTGAGATGTGTATGTGATTTTGATTATCATGGCGAAGTCTTTGCACAGTTCCAGGTATTGTTATTGACACCTCAGCTCTCACCTTGCTTTGATGATTCAGTGTGCACATGATGTGTGCAGGTTCAGGGGTTTATTTCTGTAAGTCCACATGTGCTGCTGGTACCAGAGGTCAGGGCTGCAGTCCTGTTTGAGTCACTAAAAGGCAATATGACTTCAGGAAAGTTACTCTGAGTTCTCTGAGCTTCACTTTCCTACCTGTAAAGTAGGGATTATAAAAGCACCTACTTCATAGGTTGTTGCAAGGAATACATATGATAATGTAATAAAACACCACAGTGGTTGGGGCTGAATAAACATTAGCCACTATTATTACCAAGCAGCTTATATACATATAGCCCAGTTTATTGGAAGAAAAGAGAAAAGCATAAGCTCTTTTCTACCAAGATGAAATCTGTTTATTTTAGTGTTAATACTTTAGCCTCACTGAGTTTTGCTCCTCTGGTTTCAGTGCAACTTTTTTAAAATTTAAATTTAAATTTTTATTTTTTGAGACAAGGTCTCATTCTGCCACTTAGGCTGGAATGCAGTGGCATAATCACAGCTCACTGCAGCCTCATCTTTTGGGCACAAGTGATCCTCCCACCTCAGCCTCCCGAGTAGCTGGGACTACAGGCATGCACCACCACACCCGGCTCATTTTTGTATTTTTTGTAGAGATGGGATTTCACCATGTTGTCCAGGCTGGTTTTGAACTCCTGGGCTCAAGTGATCCACCCCACTTGGCTTCCCAAAGTGCTGGGATTACAGGCGTGAGCCACTGTGCCCGGCCTCACTGCAACTTTTAATTGGTGTATAACATAGAGCATTAATATTGGCTATCTTTTAAGCAGCCTCTACAAGGCCTGCGCTCCCTGAAATTAAAGCAGCCTTTAGTTGGAAGGTCCCAGACAAGATGACACTGTTAGCTCCTATTTTTCCGAGTTTTGTTTCAGAACAGTGTCACAAAAACATATTCCTTTGTAAGACCCCACCCCCACCACTCCTTAAACTCACTGAGAATCAGCTTGTTGGGACCAACTTCTCAGGTGCCACCAAGGGAAAATATGAAAGATAATGGGGAGTCGCCAGTGGTGGGAGCAGAGACGAGATGTGTGCTGGCTGTTTCCTTTGCTCTCTTCAAGGGAGCAAATATGCACATGGAGCCTCGCTTGTCATGGAGTGTCAGGAGCAGCTTCCTTTACACTTCCCAGTGTGTACAGAGGACATGTCCCATTGTGTGCCTTGCACACATTCCCTGTGCCGTGGTTTGAGGTGATATAAATTCTGCCAGGCCCAGGGCTCTGGTACTGTTAGGCCCTGAATAATGTCTGTTGAGTGTGGATGGATGGAATGAGCTGCCCATGATTGAAATTCCAGGGAGAAGTGATTAATCAGACCTCAGGGTCACTCCGTTCATCCACCAGTTGATTAAGTCATTATTGAACACCTACGCTAGGACCCATGACAGCCACATCCCAGAGAGCTGTTGGGGCTCCAGGAGAAGCACGGACTGTCCCCAGCTTATAAATGGTTGTTTGCATTCCACAACTTTGCCTGTAGGTTGATCATTTCAAATGAAAACCTAATGTTCAGTCTTCGGACTAATCCAGATTTCACCTTACGTAGTAAGGAACAGGATCAATATTTCTGCAGCTGTCCTCTCTCCACATAAAATTGTGCTCATCTAATAATGCCTTCTTGAAAACAACCAATCAACAAAAAACCCCTTGTTCACACGCGTCTCCCTAGTTCCTGCCCTCTTCCTGCCTGCTTTCCACGGCCACACTTTTCTAAATGGTGTGTGAAGTGGCAGTGACTCAGCGTCACCAAATCCAGGGGGCATTTTTCATTCTGCGTGATATTCATCTTCCTTAGCAGTGTCTGGCAGCCATGTCTCCATCTTTAAACGTTCAGTCCTCCTGGCTTTCCTGACTCTGCACCCTCTGGTTTTCCCCTGTCCTGTGTCTTTGCTGGTCTTCAGCCTCCTTTTTCTGTGCTGCTTTCGCTACTCATTCCTTGAAGGTTGGTGACCGCAAGGACTGTGTCCCCCATCTTATCTCACTCTCCACTCTCCCACCAGCCCAGGGTTTCATTTACCATTGATGTTTTCAGAACCTTCAAATTCCTCTTCTGAGAACCAGTCCTCAACATCCAACTGCCTTGGATGTTCTACAGGGACTTTGTCTTAGTCTGTTTTGTGTTACTATCAAGGAATACCTGAAGTTGGACAATTTATAAAGAAAAAAGGTTTATTTGGCTCATGGTTCATCTGACCGAAAGGTTGGGCACCTGGTGAAAGCCTCAGGCTGCTTCCACTCGTGGCAGAAGGCAAATGGAAGCAGGTGTGTGCAGAGATCACACGGCGGGAGAGGAAATGAGAGGGTTGGGGAGGTGCCAGGCTCTTTATAATAACCAGCTCTCATGGGAACTAACAGAGTGGAGAATTCACTCATTCCTGCAAGGACAGCATCAAGCCATTCATGAGGGATCCGCTCCCATGACCCAAACGCCTCCCATTAGGCCCCACTTCCCAGTACCGCCACATTGAGGATCAAATTTCAACATGAGATTTGGAGAGGTCAAACCTAACTACAGCACACTTCACACAGTGGCCCATGCTGAGTTCTTTTCTTTCACCCCTAAAAATATTTCTCCTCCCAATGCTGCTGCTCATTCCAGTAAATCATTCACACTAATGTTCAAGATTTCTCAGAGTAATGCTCATACTCACCCTCTCATCCAATCAATTACTAAGTTCTGTAGATGGTACCTCCTAAGTATTTTTCAAATCCATCAATATGACTCCATCACATTCTGCCCCTAACTACCTGTCCTGACCATCACCATCTCTTGCCTGGAACACTACAAAGAAAGGTAGGGCCAAAGGATTACTCTTCTACTTCAGCTTTGATTATTATTCTTCAGAACAGTCTTCCTAGAATCCCAGACTCCAAACTCTCACCATATGTTTCTTCATGCATAACATCAACATTCTCCTTCATAAAAACATGTGTTTTCTACACTAGCCTATAAGCCTATAACTTCACGCAGGCAAGGATGGTGTCTTACTTCTGTA
Source organism: Homo sapiens (assembly GCF_000001405.40). NCBI lineage: Eukaryota > Metazoa > Chordata > Mammalia > Primates > Hominidae > Homo > Homo sapiens. The sequence continues at coordinate 224,716,401 of NC_000001.11, forward strand.
TACCCCACCACCACTACCACATAGGACCCAGTATATAATAAATGCTGAATGAGTGAATAAACACATGTCCTGCATTTTGCTTGGGAATCACAGAAATTATCTGTTACTTGCTGTGTCACTTGCTCCAAGAATGGGGGTTTTGGGGGCTGAGGGAGATGCATGGAGGACAAGATTCTTGGGATTAGCAGCAGGAATGGAAATTTGGGGAAGGAATGGGGTACAGTGTGGGGACCGTGGGGGTTTGGAAAGCAGGCTGATAACTTAGGGAATTTTGAGGCACCCAGGAGGGAACTGGGAGGCACTGTGATGGAGAGGAGGGAACTGTGGGGTGAGGAGGAAAGTTCCCAAGTAGAGTCTGCCTTCCCCTCCCTCTCTTGCCCTCCTCTGCTATTGCTGTGGTCACCTAGGGAGTGGGTGTAATGAGAAATGGAAATAAGAAAGGACGGGAAGTGCTGTCTTCTGGCAGTGATGCCGTAAAGCTCCTCATCAGGCCCCTTCAGAACACCCACTTCTGCCACTGGAGAAAGGGGAGCCCTGCTAGGGTTCTGGAGTGGGGACATCAGGAGCTGCAGAGGGTTCTTTGCAATACCTAGGGACGGGTGACCTTTCCTTCCCTTCTCATAACACTGGCCAGCCTTTTCCTGCAGCTCTTCCTTCACCCCTTGCACCACGACAGTGGGGAGCAGTAGGAGGAAGCTCCAGTGAGGCATTTGGTGTGTGTGTCTGTGTGTGTGCATGCACACGTGTGCTTGGGCTGCTGCAATGAAAAGACCATAGATGGTGGCTTAACAGAAATTTATTCTCACAGTTCTGGAGGTTAAAACCTCAAGATCAGGGTGCCAGCATGACTGGGTTCTGATGAGGGCCCTCTTCCTGATCTGCAGATGGCCACCTTCTCACTGTATCCTCACATGGCAGAGAAGAGAAGCTTGCTCCTTAGTGTCTTTCCTTATGAGGGCACTAATCCCATTCATGAGGGCTCCACTCTGATGACCTAATTACCTCCCAAAGACACCACCTCCTAATGCCATCACAATGGGGATTAGGACTTCAATATATGAATTTAGGGAAGGGCACAAACATTCAGTCCATAGCAGTGTGTATCCCAGCAAGGGCTAGTGTTGGCTGATCTGCCTCCCTCCTCCTTTGACCCTATTATGCTTATCCTTCTATTTTGCTTCTCCCTATATTCAGCCTTGGATTATATAGTCACTTAGGTTTTCGGTTTATCTCTCCCGATCTATTGTAAGGTCTTTGCTGGGCCTCCTGCCATATTTAATCCAGGGCATTGGGTGCTCAAAGCCTGGAGAGTTGAGTTGAGTTTGAATTTCCATGGATTCTTCTTTGTCCACACCCTTTGTGACCAACTGTACTCACCTGTAAGGGACCAGCCAGCGCTAGAGCTTCAGTCTGTGGATGTACAACAGAGAGATACACTGAGGCCAGACCTACTGAACCTGAGGCCTGCTAAATTAGTGTCGAGTCAACACCATTTCTTAGTTACTGGGATGGCTGTTATGGTTTTTCATATTCAGAAATCAGCTCAGTGATGGTGATAGCTATGCTTGTGTGGGGAACGACCAAAGGACCAATTTGTTTTCTCACTCAACAACAACAAAATTGCACCGTGTGCCAGCCACTGTTCTAGGAATTGGGGGTAAAGTCATGAAAAAGACAAGCTGCCCTATGGAACATTCAAGTGTGGGAAATAGACAATAAGCAAGTAAACAAACGCACAATAGGTACATTTTCAGATAATGATGCTGAGAGCCATGGAAAAATTAAAGTAAATAAGGAGGGAGACGATACTAGATTGGCAGGGAGGGCTCATCTGAGGAGGTGACCTTGAGTAGGTTCTTGAGTGATGAAGGCACTGCCATGCAAATATCTGAGGAGGAGCTCCCCAGTCAGGGGCTACAGCATGCGCTAAGCCTCTGAGGTGGGAACAGACATGCTGGGTTTGAGGAACAACGAAGGATCAAGTGTGGCTGGAGTGGAGTGAGCAGGGGAGTGAGTGGCGGGTTGTAGGGCCCAGGGGCACAGAGGCCAGATCATGTGGGGCCTTAGAGACCATCGTAAGGAGTTTGGATTTCATTCTAGGAGGAGTGGGAAGACATTGGAGGGTTAAGCCAAAAAGAGACATGATCTAATTTATGTTTCAAAAAGATCACTTTGCCTACTGGTGAAAAATAGCTTAGGGTGGAGTGAAAGTGAGGGGACCAGTTAGGAGGAGACGGGTGGCTCTGGTGGGAGGAGGCAGGGACGGGGGATGAGAGGAGGAGGAAGAGGTGACACTTCAGGAGAAAGGGGCAGTTCCTTCCTCCTGTGTGAAGCCTGTTCTTTGATGTGGGAGCAGAGGGTTTTCCTGGGACTCGTGGCAGTTTGTCATAGTGATTCTCAAGACTCAGAGATGGCCCCAGGTGTTTCCACCATTCTGCAGCGGGATCCCTCTCCATGTGTGCCTGCCAGGTCGCGTGTCTGCTCTGGTTTCCCCACTACCTGTAGCTCACAGGCTGTGGCTTTTGACCCCTTTGCCTACTCACCAGTGTGTGAGTGCTGGCTGCGGCATGGTCCAGTGTTCAGCTGTCGGTCTCTCCCATCAGCCTGGGGGTGCCTGGAACATTGTCACCAGGCTCATTGAACTCATCCTGGCACCTCCAGTGCCTGCCACAGTGTTTGACACCTCATAGTAGGCTCTTGATGCGTATCTGTTAAGTGAATAAATGGAGAGTTTGCTGAGCACCTACTATGTGCCGGCCCCTGTGCTGATGGAACAATTTTATGGAGAGAGACCCACAAAGACACACACAGACAAACCAATGGCACAGACACCTACACCTGCACAGCACTGACTTGAGAGGTGAGAAAAATCCTTCTTCAGGAGCATGGGGAGCTTTTATTGCTTAGGAGTGGTAATTGCTGACACACAAAATGGTCAGACTCCCCAGAACACATGGTGTTTCTGGGGATAAAAATTATTGGAGGAAGAGGATTTTTAAAATTTGCAAGTACTAGAGAGTGAAAAGGAAGATCTATTGGTTTAATTTTCAAAGGAGTTTAATTGCTGCTTTTTAAAACTATATGGAGTATTTGAACTGAGAAGGACTGTAGAGATTGTAAGGTCAAATGTCTCCTCTTACAGGTAATAGTTATTATTTATAAAGTGTTACTCTGTGCCAGAAACTATTTTAAGAGCTTCACAGATATTAACTCATTTAATACTCATAACAGTCCTATGAATTAGATACTATTATTATTATCATTTTCATTTTGTAGATGGACAAACTGAGCCTATTGAGGTTAAATGGTTTACCGAAGTTTCTGTAGTTTCTTAATAGTCCAAGCTACAGCCCAAGTTTCTTGTTCCTTAATCTACTACTATTTTCACTAAGACACTGGCACTCAATCCCTTGCTGGAAACAAGTTACAATATTATTTTGTCTTTTCTTCAAAATATTAATTTGCTAAATCAGAGTTGTGGTAAAGCTTGGCACAGTCCAGCTAATAGGAATTGTTGCCAGACTTTGGACAAACACATATGCATGTGCTCGAATTCAGACAACCCCCTCTGCCTGGGCCACAGGGAGGGAGGGCTGTGTCCATTCGTCTTGTTCTTGCAGTTAGGGCTCTGGGTCAGGACGTTCAGCAAATTGCCCATTCCCCTGTATGTGCACTCAGTAAATATTAATTGATGATGATGATGATGACAGCTCGTGTTTCTTTTGCGAATGCCAGAACTTCCCATTCTCATTCAATTCACCCTCTTTTGTTTGTTAGGGCAAAATTTTTCCAAGCTGCTGAGTGTAACAGGTAATTAACACCACTTAATAAGTGTTAAGTAGGATAGTCATCTTTTTTTTTTTTTTTTCTTGGAAAAGGTTCTTTGGAAGTTAATGGTGCTGCTGAAGACTCAGGCTTACACCAGGTTCACTCTGTTAAGGAGCATAGCGGTGCATGAGGTCAGCTCCCTCCTCTGGAAACATCAGGTTCTTGTTACATAAGAGACCTGGCAGCAGAGCCTCACCTGGGAAACGTGGCTGTAGCAGGCAGTGGAAGTGGGGAGGTGTGGCCCTGGGGACTTAGAACCCTCTTTGTTAAGCAGAGTTGGGCTTCCTTCCCTTTGCTCTGGGCTGGGTGGGCACCGTGGGTGGGACAGGTTGGAGAGGAGGGCGGAGCTCTCAGCTGTGCTAAATTCCCATCGAGCTCTAGGCAGGTGGGGCTGATGTCGAGGCTCATTATCATCTGCCCCGTGCTGAGTAACTAGAGGCAGAAGATGACCTGTTTCTGCCCTAGTTCCCCTTCCTGTCACCATGCTCTTCCTTGTCAGGTAAAATCACTGTGACTATTCCCTGGAAGTCTCCCAGGTTTAAAAAGAGACTGGCAGAAAGGATTTCCAGTCGCCATGTCGTTCCCTGGAAGATGTATAAGAGATAGCCCACGTGATGGAACGGAGATTTTCTTCCCAGGACATAAAGGAAAAAGTGATTGTCTCAAGCCCCTGAATGAAAGGATGGCTCTGAGTGTCCCTTGGGAGCAACTTTGGCCACTACGTTCTGCCTTCCATAGTATAACTCATCCTTTAAATCTCCACTTGAGAGGCCGTCACCTCCAAGGGGCCCTCCTTCATTTCCTCACTCAGAACAATGGTTTCTTCTCTCCTTTCCTCCTGCGTCGAGTGCTCCCGTGCTGCCTCGGTTTGTCCTCTGGCTTCCGTGTTTGTTGTTCATAGAGCCTGTGCTACACCTGGTCATTTACATTGAGTCTCCCCAGCTGGATGGCTTTGCATTCACCACCTAGTAAGTGCTTCTAATAAATATTTGCTGAATGAGTGTGAAAATGGGGCTCTCCAGCACCGGAATAAGGCTTGTTGAACCCTTAACCCCACTGCCCTCCTTATTCTGAGAGGAGAGGTGAGTGCCTCTCCTCTCAAACCATCTGAGTCTTTGCCTGATCACTCCCTATAGTCTGGGCATGATTTCTACTCCCTTCATCTCTGGCTCAAAGTAAAGAAGAAAAGGAGTGGGAAGCTACAAGTGTTAAGAAGCTCTGAATTGCCAGCAAGTTGTAGGAGAATTTTGTCCCTTAAAATATGTGGTATTATTTGAGAGAGCGCTTTTATTCTCATCTCCTCCCTGAGTGAAATCTTAGGTAGTTCAGTAATTTAACAAGCGTGTGAAGAAACTGGCAGAGGCTTTTGAAATTCAAGTGTGTCTTGATGCTGTATGAAAACAATTATAAAAGGAAGGCTGGGAGGAGTGGGCAGAGCAAGGCTGGAATCCAAAGGTTTGGTCCTAAAAGGAAGCTGTCCCCTTACAGATCTATAAAGTGTCCATTGAGACACCAGAAGGGCCAGAGACAGGTGGAAGGAGCTTGTGAGGCTGAATGAAGAGGGGGCCTGTGGAAGGTGGAAAGAATCCGGCCAGAACTGGAGGGGGGATTCTGGAGGTGGAAGGATGCTGGAGAGCTCACCTCCGTCCCAGGAATATGCCAAAGCCAGCCCTCCAAGACTAGAGACCACCAGCTGCAGGGCTGCAGGACCCCAGGAAGCCTCAGGGGTGCTCTCCCACGGGGTGGTGTGTGGGAAAGCCAGGAGCCAGAGACAACTGCCTTTGACTGCAAATGCCGGTTGCCCAGACTTGAGCCCCTGAAGCAGTAGTAAGTGAGCAGGGCTGTGTGTGCTCAGGACCCTCATGATGTGGGAGAAGACCCACAGCCTCTGGGAGGGTTGGGTGGGAGGAGGCCTCACACCAGGGGTTTTAAAAAAGAAGCATCTGCCTTGTGTGCTCTTCAGATGGGATTGGGCATATTCCAGGTGTTATGGCCCGGTGACCCTTGTACGCTTTTCATACCTTGGGTCTGTGAATCTCAGCTCAAGTGTTTAACAAAATCACCTGGAATGCTCTGAAAAATGCAGATTCTTGACCCAGAGAATCTAAAGAGTCTAGAGTGGAACCTGGAAATCTGCATTTGTAACAAGTGCTCTAGGCAATTTGGATGCAGGTGGCTGGGGGACTCTATTTTGGGAATCAGTCACTTCTCAAACTTTAATGTGCATGTAAGTCACTGGGGATTTTGTTACACTGCAGGCTTTGATTCGGTAGGTCTGGGATGGGGCCAAAATTCTGCATTTCTAACAAGATCCCAGGAGAAACTGGATGCTGGAGCAGGGACCACACTTTGAGCAGGGTTCTCAGTGGCTTACGTGGGACCTTGTTAGAAAGGGGGACTCTTAGGCCCCACTCAGATCTACTGCGTCTGAAACTTGGGGGGAGTGCAGTCAGCAATCTGGGGTTTAGCAAAAGCTCCAGGGGGGATTCTAAAGTACCATGAAGTTTGAGAACCACTGCTAAAAGATGAGGAAGCTTAAAGAAATGGGTGGGAGGCAGGGTGGGAACAGCCAGGCTGTAGAGCAGGGCACTAGGCCCAGTCAGTCACCTCCTGCCTTGGTTTCCTTCTCCTCCAGAAACAAGCTGAGACCTGTGAATTCCGATGGAAGAAGCCTTCTTCCTCATGGTGTTGTGCATACGTGCTTTTCCTCTTGGATCAAAGCAGGAGAACTTCCCCAGTCGACTGGCTGGGATCTGTAATTTATGCAGGATGGTTGGGCTGCATCCCCTGCACAGGGTACAGCTGGCGGTGAGGGCCCCAAGGGAAATGACGGTGGGGCTAGAGGTGCCTGAGCTGGTCAGTGTCAGTCAGGCTGGAAGCTGGTCCCCAACGAGCAGTGAGGACAGGAAGGGTCAGGCAGCTCCCAGGGTGCTGGGCAGGGCAAGAGCAGAGCCCGGTGCAGTCCACGAAGGCAGTGTCTGGAGCATGTGTGGCTGGTTGCTGATGTGTCAGGCACAGCTAAGTCCCAACAGGGGCCTCTGGGCCATCACACCCTGGGTGATCAGGAGCAATGGGCAGCAGGGGTGCTGGTTTTGACCCCCCTTCTCTCTCTGTGCCTTTTCCTCCCTGTGCTGCCTTCTCTCAGTGCAGAGGTGGAAATGAGTCCAAGTGGGTGCCAAGAAGCAACAGGAACATCCACAGTGTGGATTAAATGTGCTCAGGGAGGGTAAGTGAAGAAAACATAGGGAGAAACCAGAGGCCCCATGGGATGGAAAAGTGGGAGGCCTGGAGAGAAAGCCCCTCTGGGGCTGGAAGCAGCCCGTCACTCCTCTGCCCTTCATGCCGTCACTGACCACTGGGCCTCCCCAGGCCAGGAGGAAAATTCTTCTGTCTTCAGGTCCTGGCTCACTCAGGCAGACAACTGTCTCTTGCTTTCTCTAACTTATTTTCCTTCGTGTTCCTGGTGCAGGCCTATGGGGAAAATAATCTGCTACTGGTTTCCCTTGAATAGTGGCCCAGGCCCCAGTGGTCAGCCATGAGGGTCCAATTCTGGCCATGGAAGGCCAAGATCAAAGCAATACTTGGTCCAGGCATTTAGGAGAGCTCCTAACAGCAAAGGGTTTTGAGTCACAGCCACAGTTCCTGGTGTACATAAAATCAGTAGGTGTCATATTAATTTTATGGTGACTTTTTAAATTATTCTAGGACCAGACATGATGGTTCACGCCGCTAATCCCCACAATTTGGGAGGCTGAGGTAGGAGGATCACTTAAGCCCAGGAGTTGAAGACTAGCCTGGGAAACATAGACCCCATCTCTTAACAAAAAATTTTAAAAAATTTTAAATAAGATTATAATTCTAGACTAGGTTATTCTGTGTTAAGTTGCTTATGTAGCAGAGCCTTTGTCTTATGGCTTAAAACTATTTAATAAACTTTGATGCAAATTCCAGGAGGTCAAAACATTTAATATGCCAGCACCAACAAATAGGGACCACTCAAGTCGACCCAACCCAAGTCCCAGCTGGCGGAGTGTTCCTACTGTATCATGCCATTTGAGGTTGGCTGCTAGTCCCTGACACAGCAAGGCCTATGGGGCTGGGCAGCCCTCCTGGATGCCCAGGCTGGTGCAGGCTTTCCAAAGACGACCTTCATCCAGAGTGATTAAAGAGCATGTGGCCTCCTGAGAGCAAAGGGGCCCAGAATGTAGTTTCCTGACATTGCTTGGAGATGCTCACGTGCATGATTATTCATTTGGGAACAAATGGAGAATGATCTCCATGCTGGGAATACTGACTTCGTCCGGGGCATCCCAGAGGGATCCTCTGTTTTAGGGCCAGTTTAGTATGGGCTGAGGAATCAAATAAAAGATATAGTATCTTTTTCTCCACACTCTTTGGCTCCTGGGGCAAATAAACCTTAGGGCAGACACACAGAACTGGATTATTGCTGTTGAAAACAGGCAAGGATTGAGGTTTTTTATGATTTGAGAGGCAGGCTGTTGAAACAGCCCTTGGTTTCTCTTCCCACTTGAGGAAGCTGGAGCTTGGTTCAATCAGAGGGAGTCAGGAGACTGAATTGAAAAATCAGGAAACCAACTCTGGTTCTGGGTCATTTCATTGACTTTCACGGTAAGAGCAACAAGTTATCTACCTGAGAATGGTCATCATCTAGTATATGATTATTAAAAATAATAATGACCGGCCAGGCATGGTGGCTCATGCCTGCAATCCCAGCACTTTGGGAGGCCAAAGCAGGTGGATCACGAGGTCAGGAGTTCAAGATCAGCCTGGTCAATATAGTGAAACCCCCATCTCTACTAAAAATACAAAAATTAGCCGGGCATGGTGGCACATGCCTGCAGTACCAGCTACTCGGGAGGCTGAGGCAGGAGAATCACTTGAACCTGGGAGGTGGAGGTTGCAGTGAGCCAAGATCGTGCTACTGCACTCCAGCTTGGGTGACAGAGCAAGACTCTATCTCAGAAAAAATAATAATGATAATAATGATCACAACACAATAACAATAGTGGTGTCTTCTTTTGCTGGAGGCTTCTTCACTTTTGAGAGCACTGTCATTCATAGTACATCCTGTGTCCCTGGCTGGTAGGTATGGCATTTTACAGATGGGTAAAATAAGACTCAGCATGGGTAGCTGCTTTTCTAAATAGCACACAGTTGAGTATTATGTAACTGTAGGAATTTATATAATGCTTTGAGACACTGGGCTAATATATTGAGACTTATGGGATTACAGCTGTAAAGCTTGTTGTCTGAGTCGACAGGGGCATTCAGAGATGGGTAGAGACTCTGAGTCTCACAGCTTCTACTGTCTTCAAGATAAACTCAGTGCCAGGAGCTTCCCTGTGGCTTCCATAGCTGTGACTTTTAAAGTGTTTGGTCCCAGGCATGCTGACACCAGCCCCTCAGAAAACCTATGCCCTTGGAATGCATGATGAGAGCCAGGAGCAGACGGATCTCCAACAACAGGGGCGCTTGCTGCCTCTTCATCTCCCTCATCTTCTCCCTTCCCCTGGTCTTAAGGAATCCCTTTTCTCCACCAGGAGCATTATTCCCTTGCTTCAACTCCAAGCATCCCCTTCCTACTTCTTTTCCTTTAGGGGTAAGAAGAATCTCTCCCACAACCCCTGATGCCCCTCTCCACCACAGTAGTAAAAATAAGACAGGACTTGGCACACGATTCTATTGTTTTCATAATCTATAAAGGGTACCAATCAGCTGCAGGTCATTGATGGGATAAAACAGCAAACAAATGGATACATGAATGAATGAGAGGATACATAACTAGAAATAAAATATTTAGAATGCAGACAAGTAAAATTCCTGGAAAAACAAGATTGTGGACAATGGCTTACAGCTGAGCTGAGCATGGCATATACTGCTCTGTTGGGTGGAGGGCACATGTGTGCAGGGATGGAAACCTGCTAGAAGGTTCTTGCACCAGCCTGGAGAGGAGGTCCAGGGGCAGGATAAATAAAAAGGAAGGAACAAATGCAAGTGGCTGTGAAGAAGCAAGATTTGGAAACAGACTTACATGGAGACTGATGAGAAGAAGGAGTCAGAGATGGTATGGTTAGTAGAAGTTGGAAATTTAGGAGATAAAGTTTGCAGGTACTGATAGGAATGTGAATTTCAGCACAAAGTGGTTGTGGGATATCCAGGTGGAAATGTTTGCCAGCAAATGAAAATTGACTATTAGCATCTGGGTAGGAAGTCAGGACAGGTGGAATACAGTTAGCGTTTACACAGTCCTTACCGGTTATCATTAATGTCCTTTAATAGGGGCCCTTTGAGGTGGCCTTGTTAAGGAGCCACCCCAGACCAGTGACTTCCATCTCTCTATGCTTTTGCTTTCACTGTTCCACTTCTAGGATGCCGACCTCTGGTTCCCATAAGTGATTAGGTTTTACTCGCCCTTTCCAACTTCCCTTTGATCACAAACCTTCCATGATCCCCCTGGTTGGAATGAATTGCAGTCTTTCAGTAATCCCACAATACTTATATTGAGATTTAGGATTTATGACTCTAGAAAGCAGGGTAATAATACATGGCAATTCAATAGGCTGTGGCTTGCATGAAATAGTTTCTCCATTTGTTGAAAGAATGAGATTGGCACCATTCAACAGCTTCTCTTATTAAAAAAAAAAAAGTGTTTTCCAAAGCTAAGGGATGACTCAGGGTCATGGGGCTGTGGTGAGCGCTTGCATCAGCATCTCTGTATTTTGCTTAGAAGCTTTAGGGGTGGTCCTTATATAACAGACACTCTCAGAGTTGGGAGGGAACGCCTGGTCTGACTGCCCACACAAATGAATGAGCATTATGCCTGCCTGGTGGTTATTCAGCCCCTGCCCGAGCATGTCCGGTGACAGGGAGCTGTGTCCTGCCGGCCTCGATGGCTTGTTAAGGAAGGGCTGAGTGGATGGTTGGGGGAGGATAAACAGTGAAGAGCACAACTTTGCTTTTCCCATTGATTACTCAGTCTGGGGCTTGCTGATGGTATCATATGAGATAGGTTAAATCATGCTATGGCAAAACAACAACAACAACAACAACACTCAACTCTTGGCAGCTTAAAACAACACAAGTTTCTTTACTGCTCACACTCTAGTCCATCATGAGTTGCCTGGGGGCCTCTTTCCTTACTTGTGGCTTCAGGATGATGGAGTACCCACCATCCTAAATGCTTTTTGCTTTGTCAGAGGAAAAGGAAAAGAGACTCTGGAGAATTTTGTATCAGCCGTTAAGTGGTCTGGCCTTCTCTCCACATCACTTCTGCCCACAGCCCATCAGCAGCCCCAACCCCTGAGAGCTGGAAAATGAGACCTTACCACCTTCCAGAAGGCTGAGTGCTGGGTGTGAGTGGAGGCAGCCATAATGGCTATGGTGCAGGCCTCATGCAAATGGCCTGGCTGATTTCCATTTGGTCTAGAAGGAAGAGGTTCCTTACCTCTTCCACATCATTGTGACAAGAAGCAGCTGGTGAAGTAGGCAAGGATCAGTGTGTGTATCAAAAGGTCACTGTCACTCCTAAAAGTCTCTGGATTAATTGGAGGAGCCTCTTCTACTTGTAAGGATCCTGTTCAGTGTTCTAGGCATAAGAGGTCATCTAGAGAAGCCACCTGAAATGGCAGAATAAATTCTTCAGCTTTTTTCCCAACCTCCAAAAGGCTGGAGACCTCCGTGACTAGCTGGCCTGCATTAAGCAGTTTTCCTCTACGTGGAGACAGTGATGAATCCTCCCTGCTTGGAAGGTTGCAGCCTCCACAATAAATCAAGCCCCAAAGAGAGAAGAAGCAGTGGTGATTAAGAGTGGGACCTGAAATCCAAACTGTAATCAGTCAGAGATTTGTCATTGGAATTGGAGATGGAGATGGAGAAATAATGGATGATTCAGGCCCACGGTGGCTGTCTCTAAACATGTTAATTGCCTCAGCTTAAGTGGCTGAAACTGATGATTAGAAAATGTAGAGATGTGCATAGCAGAACTCACAGCCACTGCCTCCCGGGGCTGGCGCACCCAGCTCTGAGAAAGTGGGCTTTCTCTTTGAATGGGAGGGGGTAGGGTGATGCCTTGGCTGGGGGTAGATAGGATTGGTTATCACAGCTCTGAGGTCCTATAAGGAGATACAATAGGGACATGGCGTGCCCCCTCCTGCCAGGTGGTTGAGATTCACAGGGGCTGGTGGTACCTGCTTCACCCACCAAGGGTCACCACCTCTGGAATGATGGCTCCTTTGCTCTGATTCCTCAGGTGATTGCCTGAGAAGTCTAAGGTGAGGGTTAATGCAATTCATCTACACTGGACTTTGAGAATAAAGAAGGTGCCCCATAGTTACAAAATGTCTTACACGTGTGCTGTGCATGTCTTTATTTTTAATGTGTGCGTATGTGTTTCTCCCTCTGTGTCTGCCATCTGGGGTAGTTAGCTCATCTAACTAAATTGAGAGACCAAAGTCATGGTCCATACCCAAATGGGATGGTTTGAGGGAGTTTGTTCTCCACCCAAAGAAATCTTAGTTTGTAACCACAGGCTGCATATCTAATGCCAGCCAGCCATGTTGTAAACATATGCACTTGGTCATTTCAATGCACTTTACCACGTATTTGTTAAGTCTCTCCTAACTGCCATGCATTGTACAAAGGCGCTTTGCAAATGGAAATGAGAAAAGAATAGACGTTGGCTAAGATGGCTTGCAGAATGCTGGACAGAGGAATCTATCTGTATTGGAAGGTGGGAAGAGGATGATGACTCCACAATGGATAGATTATGGAAAGTACCCCTGGGAGGGGGTCAGAAAACATGCTGTGGGGCCCAGAGGTACAGGGGAGGGTGGAGGAACAAGGGACGGTAGGCAGAGCTCCCAATAGAAAGTGTCATTTGAGGCTGGGGACGGTGGCTCGTACCTGTAATCGCAGCACTTTGGGAGGCCGAGGTGGGCAGATCACCTCAGGTCAGGAGTTCAAGACCAATCTAGCCAACATGGTGAAACCCCCTTTCTACTGAAAAATATGAAAATTAGCTGGGCGTGGTAGCAGGCGCCTGTAATGCCAGCTACTTGGGAGGCTGAGGCAGGAGAATTGCTTGAACCCAGGAGGCAGAGGTTAGAGTGAGCCAAGATCACGCCACTGTACTCCAGCCTGGGCAACAGAGTAAGACTATGTCTCCAAAAAAAAAAAAAAAAAAAAAAAGGTAAGTGGCATTTGAGATGGGCCTTGAAGGATGTTTCAAAAGATTTTGATGGGAAGAACAAAGTATTCATGAGAGCCTAAACAATACAAAGTATATTTATATATTATATAAATAAATATATTTAGTAATATGTATCTATATCTCCCTATATAACTGGGTAAAATGGTGCATTTATATCTGTAGCCTTCCCTACTGCTGGTCTAGGTGCCAAATTTCTTCCTTACAGTTACCCTTTAGCTTACAACTTTGATTTCTGATAAAATGAAGTTACCCTTGGGAGCAGCTTTTCAATGATTTTAAGCTCCTTTTACCCATTTATACCTGTGTGGCTGGATTGGAGGTGGGAGAGCTTAGTCTTCCTGCTGGTCACACTTCCCACCATCAGGCCTTTCTTGGTCAGGATCAGTTTCTTCCCTCTTCCCCCAGAGGCTACACTGTCCCTCTTCATCATTGCTAATTGTTGTTTTTCTCGCGTTCCTCTTGCTCCATCCACCATCAGGCAAAATGCCACTGCCTTCTGAGGCTGGCCATTTTTTCCTGACCCTCCTATATTTGTGATAAATGTACATATTCACTTTAGGTTTGTGAGTTACTATAGGAGGATACACAGGGGCCAGAAAAACAAGAGCAGGGCAGTTATGGATTCATTAGAAACCCTTGCAGTATTTCTCCTAGTGGTCCTGCCTTGGGTCAGATGACACATGGGCTGGACCAGCTCTTCCAGTCTTCCCAGTGGCCATCCATGGGTGACCCCTAGGAGCAAGCGTGGTATTCTGTTAATAGTAAGCAGTGCACTGAGGGCTTGTGTCATTTGGGTTTGGGTATAATAAAAAGAGGAGTGCCATAAAAAGAAGAACTTACCAGAAATGGATCTGTGTTGGGGCAGTGGCTCTACGTTGCTGCAGGGAGGGCCTTTGTGTCAACCGTCTGTGAGAGGCAGTGTCCAGGCAGAAGTCAGCTGCCATAGAAGCAGGAGTGGCGTTTTCCTCCTCTAACTCAGGGCCGTGTCTCTGCTCCCTCTTCAGCTGGTGCTGCCAGAATACTCCATCCATAGCCTCTTCTGCATTATGTTCCTGTGTGCGCAAGAGTGGCTCACGCTGGGGCTGAATGTCCCTCTACTTTTCTATCACTTCTGGAGGTAAGTCAGACTGGGACTGGTATATCCTTCGTCTTTTCTGCCAGGGCAGCCTGCTCTCCAGTGATGATGTCACCCAAATAGACAGCTTCTATTGCCTTCCAATCATCCCTTCCTTTCTGGGTCTCTCTCTTTAAAGCCTGTTCCCAAACTGCTCTTAGGCAACAAGTCCAATAAGGAAAGGCCCTTTTTGTTGGTTTCATTAACCACAACCCCATCCCTTGTAGGTCAGTGTTAAAAGCATCTATAGTTGCATTCACAACAGCCAAAGAGTGGAACCAACCCAAATGCCCATCAGCTGATAAATGGAGAAACAAAATATGGTATATCCATACAATGGAATACTATTTGTCAATAAAAAGAAATGAAGTACTGATACATGCTACAACATGAAGCCCTAAAGAAAGTATCAGTGAAAAAAGCCAGACACAAAAGGCCACATATTTCATGATTCTATTTATAGGAAATGTCCAGGAAAGGCAAATCTATAGACAGAAAGTAAATTCATGGCTGCCAGGGGCTGGGAGGGAATGAGAATAGGGAATGACTGCTAATGGGTCAAAGGTTTTCTTTTTAGGGTGATGAAAATGTTCTGAAATTAGATAGTCATGATGGTTGCACAACTCTATGAATATACTAAAAACCACTGAATTGTACAGTTGTACACTTTAAAAGGGTGACTTTTATGGTATGTAAATTATATCTTAATAAAAAAAAAAGCACCTACCAGATGGGCTGGATTTTCTGGGACAGTTATAATTTCATAGATTCTATTCCCTGCTAAGACCATGTGTCAGATCATGTGATTTTTGGCTTTTTGTAAAATAGAGTCACCATATGGACACAGGAGGCAGAGGTGGGGGAATATCTAAATAGTAGAGAAGGTATTTGCGCAGATAAGTTGCCTGCCCTTGACCCTTTGCTGCCAGAGCATTGGACCCCAAAGTGTTTTATCATTTTTATTGTACCATAAAATCTGGCTTGAATTTAGCCACACCTAAGACATGCACTCCTTCATTTAGAAAACATACGGGATACATAGTACACGCCAGGCATTGTGAGGGATTTCACGTTAAGTGTAAAGCAAAACCTTTACCCTTAAGGAACGTACATCCTAGTGGTGGAGGGAAATATGTTCTTAACAGACATATGAGGAATACTGGTAGGAGCATAGAGAAAGAAGCACTTAAATTAGACTCAAGAGTGACATTGGAAAAGCACATTCCAGGGCGAGGGCCCAGCATGTGCAAAGGCCCAGAGTTAAGAGAACACTTGTTGTGTTTGGGAAACAGTAGTTGCTCAGTGAGGTTGGATGTAGGGTTCTTGGAGGGAAATAAGAAGAGACAGGGTTGGCAGGCAGCTGAGAGTATGGTATGGAGGGCCTGAAATGATTTGATGGGGAAGGTGGAATTAATTTATTCTCTAGGTAATGAAAAATGATCAGAAGCTTTAGAAGAAGACAGTGGCATTACCTGATCTGATTTTTAGGAAGGTGGCCTGGGAAGCAGTGTAAAGGATGGGTTAGAGGGTGAAATATTGAGGATGAAATCCAATGAGGGGGTTATGGTGGGAACTCCAGGTGGAGAGGTGAGAGAGCCTTGACCCAGGTGGTGGGAGTCAGAATGGTGAGAGAACAAGAGAAGCTGTGGAGGTGAACTGGATAAGCCTTGGCCCATAATTGGGTGCAGGTGAGGGAGAGAAAGCCTCTAGGCTGCGTGGCCGGGAGGTCGATGGTGCCATTGACCAGGGCCAGCAGGGTAGAAGAAATCTCAGATTTAGGGAGGAAGGAAAAAGATTCGGTTACATCGAGAAGCCTCACTTTAAGTAAAGGCAATCTGCTCTCATCTGAATTAGAGAGAAGTCAAATAGAAGATCCAGGATTCACAACAACCAAGTGAGCTGGGTTTCATTTTCTGTGTTTGATACATGGGGACACAGAGACTCACAAAGGTTAAGTCAACTTAACCTGTGTTGCTCAGCTCGGACGTGGCAGGGCTGAGGTTACACCCCACCTCTGTACGAATTCCAGTCTGAGTCCCTGCCACCTGACACACTGCCCCAGGGGCTGGCTCTTCTCCTCCAGGAAAGGAGTTCGTCCCAAGGTCCTTCAAGTAGGGGGCTGTCAAGGCAGGGTATCAGAAATGTGATTAATGGACAAAACATCGATCAGGGCACTGCTTCGTGGGGCTAGCGCTTGTCCAAAAGGGAGGAAAAGGAGAGGCAGCCAGTGTCCGTAGACTAGGAAAGTTGATCTCTATGGAGGAAGGGAGGGGCTGCAATCTCCTTGCCAATAGGGACTTTGTCTTACCTTTTTTTTGAATCCCTGACAGGATCTAGTCTAGTTCCTGGCAATTAGTAAGTTCTCAGAACATGAAAGAAAAAAAAGAATGAGGAGGGGAGGAGTCCTTTAAAAACCAGAGCCCTTGTACACCCTTTATCCCCCTTTTTACTCCCCCTCCTTCCCAACAGGTCCAGACCAGTGACATTTCACATACAGAGAAAGTCCCCTCCTGCTCTGGCTCTTAGTTTGCTTAAAGGAAATAGAACTGTCTGCTGTTGACTCAGTACCTGTTCTTCCCAGGTTATTTGCATACATCGCCTCACATAATGGTCACAACAGCCCTTTGCAGTGGGCAATTCCATCCCCATTTCACCGATGAGAAAGTTGAGGCTCAGATGGGTTAATGACTGACCCAAGGAAAGTCAATGTGGTGACTGGTGACTGGCAGGGCCTTTGCTGTTTCCACGGAGCCACATGGCCACCCTGCCCTTCTGCCTCCACTTAATGAGGTCACCTGGGAATAAAACCACAGTGACAGCAAATAGCTTTTGAGATTGGCTCCCAGGAAGAGGAGAGATGAGTGGCCTGGAGGGCTGTGAGCTGGCAGTTGTCATCGAATCTGGCTTGTGATTTCTTTTCAGCACAGTGTCAGTGACAGATAACGTCAGTGCAATTCTCTGAAGGGGAAGGAGGAGGGAGCTGAGATTCCGGATCTGCGAGTTGCTACATTGCAGGATGTTCTTCAAAGCCAGTGTGATTAATCTCCCGGTCGGAGCCCTCTCCCTGGGCCCTTTACCACCATTGAGAACCACTGTCTGTCCCAGAGCCCAGGGAAGCCATTTATTTGCACTCCTGGCCTCTGGGTGGCTTTACCAGAATGACTGAAAAAGGAACTCACTGAGAGATTCCAGCTGTACTTTGTTCTTGGGCTCCGGCAGGAGGCTGTGGCCAGGTCCCTGGGGGCAGTGTCCTGGGGGCAGCGACCACTTCCCAAGGGACTCAGGAGGCTCAGACTCCTGCCCCAGGTCTCACCAAGCCTGACGGCTCCCCTCCTCAGGGGCTGTGGCCAGGTGAGCCTTGGGAACGTAGTATTTTGAAGTACACACAGTTCGCGTTAGCTGCTCCCCCTCCTCCTCTTTCCCACCTACGTTCTTTCACTCACCCAGCTGCCGTCCAGGGCACGCTGTCTCCCGACAGATGGCTGATGTTCTTTTTGAGTTCTAGGTCCCACTATCAAGAAGGAAAGCACCTGTAAACTGCTCTGCGCTCAAGTGAGAATAGGATGTCCCGAAGTATTCAGGATTTTCAATAAGGGTCTGTGTAAAGTAGTTTTAGGGTAGAATGGAGGTATGGTGGCATCCCAGCAGTGGTGGTATAGCCCTTTACCTCTGCCTGCACTTGTCCTGAGAGGCGGCTCTTCCTCAGACTCCTAGGCAACGCCAGGTGACACATTTCCCCTTCTGTTGGAGCAGCTTTGTATATGGGTGAAATTGCCATGATGCCAGTGGATTGGAGTATTTGGGGATTTACTACCTGCTGGAAGATAGTGGCTGAGCCACTCTTCAGCGGTGCTTCAACTGTGATTTGGGCAGAAGGCAGGCAATTGCTTGGCAGGGATTGCTCGACAGAAGCCCTGCATCGGAAGGGTTTGCCCAGGTTACGCCAGAAGTACCAGGACCTCAGAGACAATGATGTCCTCTCTCCCTGCAGGTATTTCCACTGTCCAGCAGATAGCTCAGAACTAGCCTACGACCCACCGGTGGTCATGAATGCCGACACTTTGAGTTACTGTCAGAAGGAGGCCTGGTGTAAGCTGGCCTTCTATCTCCTCTCCTTCTTCTACTACCTTTACTGGTGAGTATCTGCCCCTCCTGGTGGTTTTGACTCCTGCAGCAAAAGGAAGAGAATTTCAGGCTGGCCTCTGGGAGGCGTCCTTTGGGAGATGGCGTGCGAGGGTGGGAGTCATGGCCATTCAGGTGTAGTCCCAGCTGTCTGACTCTGGCTCAGGAGCAAGGGCTTCTGTATAAACAAGTAAGGGGGCAGGAGATCCTGCAGGAGGCCTTGCCTGCTGATCGGCACATCCTTAGGGCCACGCAGTGAAAACACCCTCTCAACATCCCTTTGGAGATAACTGGTGAAGTGCAGTTGGCTACTCCTTCTTCCCTATAGGGCTTCCTGCCTCTCACGACTTTGCAGCTCAGCCCAGCAGGTTGCCTGTGGCCACAGGGGCTCAGGCTCATCCTCACTGTCCCTTGCCCCAAGGATTCTTGGGAACCATAACAGAGGCCCCAAACTCCCCACCCCAGCCCCACAGTGGCTGTCACGGTTCATAAAGTGGCATTTTGTGTCGCTAAATGCTTCATTTACAGTTTTCCCAATATTACATAACACCATTCCAATTAAGAAAAACCTGCTGACTTTGCAGTCCTGTTTCAGGAGTGTCCCTTCTTTTCACCTCTCCGCTCAGAACATCCTAACTAAGCAGATAGCTATAAACAGACTGTCTTGTGGTTTGACACCACAGAGAGTGCCTTTTCCGCAAATGTCTCCTCCTCCTTCCTGCTCCTCTTTGGCTCATCTCTGGGGACTCTCACCTGTCACTTGCGATTCCATCATTACCTGTGGCAGGGCCATGGTGATCTCCAAACCTCCCGGTGATGTCTCCAAAAGGGCATGGTTGACAGCAGCCAGGTGAAGAGGAGGAGGGGTCGGGATGTTGGACTGCACGCCACCCCTAGGTTTGGATTGGGCTGTGGCAGGCCAGAATGTGGCTGCATTTGTCCAGCATTTTTTATTTTTTATTATTTTTTAATTTTTATTTAAAGATGGGGTCTCACTGTTTTGCCCAGGCTGGAGTGCAGTGGTGCCATCGCTGCTCACTGCAGCCTTGAACTTGGCTCAAGTGATTCTCCCACCTTAACCTGAGTAGCTGGGACTGCAGGTGTGTGTCACCATGCCCGGCTATATTTTTTTTTTTTAATTTTAAAATTTTTTGTAGAGATGGGGTTTCACTGTGTTGCCCAGGCAGGTCTTGAACTCTTGGGCCCAAGTGACCCTTCTGCCTCAGCCTCCCAAAGTTCTGACATTTAAAAATGAGCCAGGCTTTGTGCTCAGAGCTTTGTACGTATCGCTCAATTTATAAGATAAATACTATCCTCACTCACATATGAAAAATGAACTGAATCTGAGAAGTTAGATAATTTTCCTGAATTCCAGCTATTAGTGTCACAGCTGTAAGTAGTACATCTTGAGTCCGATTTCAAAGACTGAACTCCTTTTTCCTTTTTCTTTTTTTGAGGGTATCACTCTGTCTCCCAGGCTAGACTACAATGGCAGGATCATAGCTTGCTGCAACCTTGAACTCCAGGCTCAAGGGATCCTCCTGCCTAAGCCTCCTGAGTAGCTGGAATTATAGGCATGTACCACCATGCTCGGCTAATTTTTGTATTTTTCTGTAGAGACAGGGTTTTGCTATGTTGCCCAGGCTGGTCTTGAACTCCTGGGCTCATGTGATCTACCCGCCTCAGCCTCCCAAAGTGCTGGGATTACAGGCGTGAGCCACCGTGCCCAGTAGCTCTTAACTGCTGGCTATCTTAGAAAACCTCTAGAAAAGTCTTCATCAAAGTGTGGGGTAAGGAAGGGAGGAAGGTGTGCTTTTTAAAAATGCAGATTCCTGGGCTTATAGCTACCTATTCAAACTTTCCAGGGCTGGGCTCTGCGTTTTAAACAAGCTCTCTGGACAATCTTGGTGCACACCTTGGTGGCTCTGGAGCATTCTACTTGGTTCTGCCTTCCCTCCCCTTTACATCCCCAGTGTCCGCAGACTCTGTGGGGTGCTCTGGGATGTTTACTGCTCCAGCCTGCAGGGAGCCTGACGGTCTTTGAAGCCTCCGGAGATTTCTACGGTGCCCAGTGGGTTCACCTAAGTCTTTCTGACTCCAAGTCTGAACTATTTAACAACCAAAGGCTTGTCAGATGGGTTTCTGTCTTGGGAGACCTACAGAGTGTGGACAAAGCCGCCGTGGGCTTAGGGACTTGCCACCTTGGAGGTTAGGTTTTTTCCCTGCAGTGTGCTCAACCCTGCTTTCTTTGTGGAGCCACAGACTTCCCCTTCTGCAGAGTCATGGGCTGAGTGGCCTGTCCCCAGAGACAGCACTGTCTCTCCTCTAAGCCAACAGAATGAGACCATTGTTTTCATTAGCTCCTGCCCCTTTAGCCTGGGATCCACCTCAGTGTGGATGAAGACAGAGGCGAGACTTTCCCTCATTTCAGTTTTGTTGCAGTAACTGCTGGAGCCGAGGCGTCGCAGGGAAGAAGCCATATGAGTTCACAGGGAGGGAAGCGGCTGTGCGTGCTCCGCTGCGGGGGTGGGAGGGGGTGGGGTAGGGAGGTCTTGGCAGCTCCTCTCGGTTAGATGGGTGTGATTGTTCTGTAACCGAGTGTGTTCCAGACAGTCTGTTTGACTGTTTGTCCTCTAATTCATTACTTCAGTTTGGCCCTGCCTTCATGATACATGTGTTAATCACTCTGTTTCTAAAACAAAATTGGAAACAGTTCCTGCAGCCTCACTGGGACCCTGGGTGGCCGCCACGGGCACCCACATTCTTTGTTGAATCTGGCCCCTTGGTGCTCTTTGGGGCTGCTTAAAAGACTCTGTTTCTCCCACCTTAGGAGCTGCCAGCCCCTCAGATCCGGAGCTGGTGGAGAGCACAGCAGCGTCAGCGCAGGCCACCGTGGGAGGGAGGGAAGGGGACTCGTGTATGCAGAGCCATGTCTGAACTGAGCTCAGGGCTAGAGACCCACACAACAGCGGGGAAGACGGGGTTGATAGTTTATAGTTTGAGCTCCCTGAGGGGCTCCTGAGGACTTCGGAGAGGTTAAGAAATGTGTCTCAGGTCCCTGCTAATAATTAGCAACATCTGGCTTCAGAGCCTGTGCTCTTTCTTCTATCCTGTTTGAACCGCATGGCACCCATCACCCCACTTCTCAGGTTGCCTTGTGGACCAGGTGATATTTGAGGGTTGTGTTAGAAGGGGACTAGCTAATGCAGATACTAATACTAGCTAGTGAGCCCAGTGTGAACAGTGTCTGCTCTGTAGAAAGATTTTTTTCCGACCTGAAGTAGTAGGACCACCCTCCTGCGTGGTTATTCTGGATCATGCCTGTTCCTCCTCAGGTTTATTTCTCTCCATCTATGTTATTTATGATTTACTTGTTCCTTGACACTGGAGACCATGTTGGTTTCATTCACCTCTGCGTCTGCAGTGTCCTGGCCCGTGCCTGGCACTCACTGAATCCTCGTGGTTTGTTGTTACAGCTTAGCTGTATGCTTCCTCAAGGCAGGAATTGGGGCTGCACACTCACCATTTTCCCCAGCACTGAGAATAGTGTCTGGCATAACGAATGAAAGTGAGTAAACAAAGGTATCCACTTGAGGCTTAGTACTGTTATGCAAAAAGCACTGGCTTTGGAGTTAGAATGTGGCTTCTCGCCCTGCTGTCACTCCTCATCTGGCCCTCAGCTTCCCCAAGTAGAGTAAGTCCCTCTTGCTCCAGGTCTGACCAGTGGTTCTCTGTGTACATGAGGTGTGTGAGGTTCCTGAAGATGGAACTTGAGCTACTCAGAGGAGCTCATTGGGCATCCACAGCTGCAAAGGGTTAGAAGTCAAACCTTTTCATTTCTTTCCTTTGGTTTTACTTCTTAGATGAATCTTTTTTTCTCACTATAATGTGAAAAGATAGTTGGTTTCTTTTTCTGCGAAATAGACAAAGAGGTATATTTTGGTGCAGATCATTCCTCAGCCTTGCAAAATTACCCTGAAGCCCTTACTAAGCGCACAGGGATACATGTCCCCTTCACCCCACTCTTAGTAGTATTGGGGCAATACTTTAGGTCACACACTTTTAATGCATGTTTAATTCCTGGAGTCCATTAAAAATAAGAGGGCCAGGGAGTTACCCAATCAAGAATTCATTGAGTTCTGGTGCCCAGAGGGCTTATGTTCCCACGCTGGCCTTTGCAGTAGTGATGATGATCTTTCCCCCAGCACTACCGTATTATCCAGCATCATCTGGGAGCCCCTGGACACAGCCATCATGCAAGCACATGGCAGCTGGTGGCATAAAGAATCCACTGCACCCCCACCTCCACCCCCAGACCTGCCCTGCAATTGCACAAAAAGGAAAACAACCATAATCATCATCCTGATGAGAATGATAATAGGCACTTAGAGCTTTCACATCTTTTATCCAAGGGATACAATATGCTCTCCCAAAAAATTTTTATTCCAGTGTTGTGGGAAGTAGAAGGGGCACAGTAGTGGAGTTGGCGAGATGCTGTAGTGACAGGAATGAGGGAGAAGCCAAGGGGTCTGGCCTCTGGAAGGTCCCTCTCCTGAGGGGCAGCCTGAGTCCTCTGTGGGCTTCTACTAACACCTTCCTCTCTTTTTTTTTTTTTTTTTTTTTTTTTGCATTCAGCATGATCTACACTTTAGTGAGCTCTTAACGCAAAGACCATGCACATCATCAGAGACTGAGATGGGAGAGGCCTGAGACGGAGAGGTGCATTTCTGCTGGTGACTGGAGGAGGGACCAGAATGAGGATACGTGAGAAATAGACCCGGCAGGCAGTCAGACTGAATGGGAGCTGGAATCACGCAGCAGCTGGGAGCCGAGTTAACCCTGCGTGTCTGTGTCACCCTGTTTGTCAATCTTTGGCATTCGAATTCCACACACGGGGTCCTAGAGCCCTTCTGAGCATCAGTGGTGTGGGGGAGTAGGTGACGAAACACTAGACCTCTCCTGAGAGAGAATTGCTGCTTCCTGAATCCACTTCATTGAACAGCACCTTGCAAGTTCAAATGAGTTCCTGGGAGCGGAGGCTGGAAGGCCACAAGGTGCTTGCTAAGGAACAGAATGACCCAGAGTCAAGGCCAAGTCTGCAGGGACCTGTTGAAAGCCTCGAGAATGTCTTGGCTGCCCAAGACTCTTGTTGCCTTTCTTCCAAGCCATGGCCATGCCCTTTTTCTCAAATGGGAGGGGCTGGAGGGTGTGTGGGATTTGTCTTCAGCTGCAACCAGCCTTGAGCCTGCTGGGCTATTTTCAGCTGAGGAGGGGTGAATATAGGAAAAATGCATTTTTGAAACGTTTGCAACATGATCAAGGTGTTAGTTCTCCACCACACAAGTTGTATTCTTCTTTTGCCACCTCAAACCATCACAGAGTCTTTAAATGCAAATCAATTGGTCAATGCTAGTCAAAGCTATGTTCTTACAAAAACCCCAGACAGCTCAGAGCTCAGAAAATCCTGTGGAGTGGCTGCTCTGTACCGTGGGCATCCGGCAGCCAGGAAGTGAGACAACATAATTATAACTTTGTTTTATGATGCTGCATCATTTGTACTGTTTAGGTCGACGTGAGGACATCATCTTATTTAGAATTTTCCGTTTGGCATTCTCTTTTGGGTGGGAGTTATGCTGGGGGTTGTAAATAATGACAAGGCTGAGATTTTTATGATGTTTAAATTGGGCACAATGATTTTGACCTTATTCCCCAAACTTCTTTTCTTTTCTACTGTTTAACATACACAGGCTATTTATACACGTCCCCAGCTCCCATCTGAAACCTGTGACTCAGGTTTATGAATGGTGTTTGTGTAGCAACACATTGTGTGCTATGTTTATTAAAATGCAGCGACAACTTGAGTGTCTCACTTAACTGGCTCTCTCATTTCAACCATTACAGCTGAATTTGTCTACATATGGTTGGAAAACTGATAGGAAGAAAAGGCAAATTTTCAAAAAGGCATCATGCTGCTAAAAATTCTGTGGAAAACAAAATGCAGACTTTTACTCTGAGGTTTATGGTATAAAACTGGAGAATTTGAGGTGATGATTTTGGGAGAAGGCTTCCTCTTGGCCAATGCCCTTTTTACCGACCAGGTAACTGTTGTTAGGGATAGAGTTACCTTTCGGCTGCTTGGGCCTGGCTTTGGCTTCATTCCTGAGAAGACTAGTGACCCTCATCCAGAGAGGCAAGCCTTGGATGGCAGGCTGCAGACGCTAATCTAATCGCACAGCCGTCCTGCAAATGCAACTGGATGTAGAAGGTGAATGGTCTGTGTTACTTCTCACCATGGAGCTGTTTTGTTTCTATACTCTGTCTTCTTTCAGAAAGATTTGTAGTGGCTCATAATAGGAGACACAAGTACACAAAGACCATTAAAATGGAAGTAGAAATGTCTTTTTTTTTTTTTTTTTTTTTGAGATAGGGTCTCACTCTGTCGCCCAGGCTGGAGTGCAGTAGTGCAGTCATGGCTCTCTGCAGCTTTGACCCTCCTGGGCTCAGGTGTTGCTCCCACCTCAGTCTCCCGAGTAGACTACAGGTGCACACCACCATGTCTGGCTAATTTTTGTATTTTTTGTAGAGATGGGGTTTTGCCATGTTGCCCAGGCTGGTCTCAAACTCTTGGACTCAAGCAATCTGCTCACCTTCACCTCCCGAAGTGCTGGGATTATAGGCTAAGCCACTGCCACTGGCCTGACAGCTCTTATGTTTATGAAAGAGAAACATCCAGATATTTCCCTCCGACAAGTTGTGATTGGGAAGTAATTCTCGTGATCTGTTGGGAGTTTCAGTGAATTTTCAGTTCCTGGGAGAAGCTAATCATGATGATAAAGATAAGAGTAAAGGGCACAGTTGATGGGGCACGTGCTGTGCGCCAGGCACTGTGTTAAATGCTCACGGGGTGACCTCACCCACCCCTCACAGTGATCATGCACAGCAGGTTAGCTGTTCTCGTCCCCACGTCACCCATGAGAGAACTAGGGAGCCTCAGGGAAGGTGAGTCTTCCCTAGGTGAAGTAGCGCAGAACAAGGCCTTGATGCTACGAAGAAGTGGCCAAATAATGACAGTTATAAACCAAGGCACCTGGCAGTGATCTAGATGCTTCATATGCTTTTCCCTGATCCTCATGACAGTACCACAAGGTGGATATGATCTCTCTTTTATAGATGAGGAAACTGAGAAGAGGAGTCACTTGCAGAGAGCCACAGCTAGCAACGGGTATGTCTAGCTGTAGCTGGGATTTAAACCCAAGTCCGCCTCTTCTCACATAATTTTGTTCTTATTGCCCAGTCTCTTATTGTGTATCCCACAGAAGTGACCAAAGGGAAGAAGAGAGGAAAAGCAGGAGAAACTCCTCTGTTTTCCAAAATACAAAGTGAATATTTTCCTTGAGAGACAAAAAGCTCACCTTTCCAAGCATGCGTCAAGGAGAGAGCTTCCCAGTGGGGCAGAGTCAGCTCCTGAAGATGGTGTTGGTGAACTGGTTCCCATTCTTTAGAGAGGTAGAGCTATAGGCCTGGTGTGGCTGTGCCCAAAGGGTCAGAGGGGAACCTGGAAGAGTCACTTAAAGCTCACTTTTCGCTTTGCTAAGGTGGAAGAATAATGGCACCTACCACACTGGCTTTCTATAAAGATTAGATGAGTTCATACCTGCAAGTAACAGAACAGTACCCTGCGTGTGGTCAGCACACTCACTGTAGAGGG
Source organism: Homo sapiens (assembly GCF_000001405.40). NCBI lineage: Eukaryota > Metazoa > Chordata > Mammalia > Primates > Hominidae > Homo > Homo sapiens. The sequence continues at coordinate 224,742,402 of NC_000001.11, forward strand.
CGAGTCTTCCCTGCCATCTGGGCCAATCCATTGTTGTGTTGCTATAAAGGAATACCCGAGCCTGGGTAATTTATGAAGAAAAGAGATTTACTTGGCTCACAGTTCTGCAGGCTGTACGAGCATGGCTCCTCCCTCTGCTGAGGGCCCCAGGAAGCTTCTAATCATGGTGGAAGACAAAGGGATAGCAGACTTGTCACATGGTAAAGAGCAAGAGAGAGAAGGGAGAGGTTTCAGATGCTTAAACAACCAGATCTCATGTGAACTGAGCGAGAGTGCACTCATCCCCAAGGGAATGGCGTTAAGCCATTCATGAGGGATCTGCCCCCACAATCCAGTCACCTCCTACCAGGCCCCACCTCCAACATTTGCAACCACATTTCAATATGAGATTTGGAGGGGACAAACATCCAGACTGTATCACCATCCTTACTATGCCCTGTGCCCATTCCAGGGCAAGCTCCCTCCCTTTGGGAGGACCATGAAGCCAACTGGCCACGTGGAACAGGAGTGAAGATTCCTGGATGCTGCCGCCCTCCCGAGGCCCCATTCCTGTCTATAGTATCCTGAATGGAGGTCAGGCTGGGACCCGACCCCTCTTTTCAGTGTCATGTTCTCTGCTAATAATGATAACCACTGCTGTCGAGTACTTGCCATGTGCTGGATGCTCTGCAAAGCACTTGACATATGTAGTCTCATTTAATCCCCACATCAATATTATGGAATGGGAATAATTGTCTTCAATGCATAGTTGAAAATATTAAAGCTTATAGAGGTCTAGCAATTGAGCCAAGGTCACAATTGCTAATAAGTCATGGAGCCTAGACTTCCACCCAAGTCCTTTTGACTCCAAGGCTTTGACCATTTTCTCATTCCTGAAAGGGTGATAGAGTCCACGAGGACAGTGGGATGTGAGATAGAAGAGAAAAGGGGATGACGATGGGACAGCAGTGTGGCTCTGCTGAGCTCACATGTTTCACAGCAAGCAATTCTATGTGAATGACTTTATAATCGGAAGGATTTTGGCTACAGGATCTTGTGCAAACTTCTTAACCTTTAGAGACTCAACTTTCTTATCTGTAAAATGAGGCTAATAATACCTCCCTTTCAGTATTCTTGTGATAATTTAAGTAAATTATGTACAGAATGCTTGTTGAGCCTGTCTCAAAATTGGTGCTCAACAAATCTCGGTCCTCAGTGCTGCACCCGACGGCACTTCCCTTCAAAGAGGGGAAGGGAGGATTATGTAGATAAAAACGGGTAAAATGCTTCTTCTGGTAACACATGACGACAGTCAATGAATCTTAGCTCCCTCCTTTCCCCTCTCCATCTTCAGGGTGGACTGTTCCAGGCATGCAACATGGGTAGCAGAGCTCAGCCCTCTCAAGAAAATCCTCCCTTTGCATCCTATTTTTAGGTTTGGTAATTGCACCAATGTTGAATAAAGTTGTCATCGTTATGACAGTTTTGTTCTCCTACATAAGAGATGAATGCAGCCAGCAAAATGCTTTGACAACAATTAATTGCACTCACGCTGTGTCGTTACACAGATCCATTTCCATAACCCTTTCTCTTCCTGGACTTGGGCTGTTCTGTTTTCATCTGTGCTCTGGCAAATGACTGTTTGGGCAGAGCCTTCTCCAGGCCTCGGAGCTGCCGGTCCAAGCTGGACATCTTGGGGCTGCCTCTGTTCCTGAGGCTCAGGCAGAAGGCACTACTCACTGTGGGCGTTTGAGGGGGCATCCTGGGACATGCCCTGTGATTTGGCTCATCCCAGGCAAAGGAGAGGAGGAGCTGACCAAGGGAGTAAGCCTTCAGGACACAACCACACATTCTAGGGAAAGGTGGGGGCAAGTTGTAGCTTTTTTTTTTTTTTTTTTTTTTTTTAGACCGAGTCTCACTCTGTTGCCCAGGCTGGAGTGCAGGGGCACGATCTCAGCTCACTGCAACCTCCGCCTCCTGGTTTCAAGTGATTCTCCTGCCTCAGCCTCCTGAGTAGCTGGGATTACAGGTGCCCGCCCCTATGCCCAGCTAATTTTTGTATGTTTAGTAGAGATGGGGTTTCACCATGTTGGCCAGGCTGGTCTCAAACTCCTGACCTCAGGTGATCCACCCGCCTCAGCCTCCAAAAGTGCTGGGATTACAGGCATGAGCCACCATGCCCGGCCAAGTTTTAGCTCTGTCCAGTTTAGCAGGGAGCAGGAGCAGGCTTTCCTTGTGGGGAGCGGCACATGATGGAAGCATTTCACACAGCTGCATTTGCAGAGGGAGACCTCAGTGCCCACACGTCGGATTGGGTTTCAGTTGCTGCCCATGATCCAGAAATAGAAATAGAAACAGGGTCAAAACAGCCACAACAAAATAGCATTTTCCAGGCTTTGCTCCCACCCACCCACTCTGTGGTCATTTCTGCCCCTGTTAAATTCTGCCTAGATAGTATTGGATACGCCAAGGGTGCTATGAACTTGACCTCTTAGCTACCACATGATGCCCACATTTCTTCCCAGCCAGTGGGGTGCTAAAAGTGACTTGTACAGGCTTATGAGAGCCAACTGTTTAGTTTTTTAGGGATTTTACTAAATAGTTGTTAAACAGAGCCATTATTAAAACTGAAGTTATGTAAACTTACAATTAAATAAATAATTTTAAAAACAAAGGTAATACCTAGTCAAACTCACCACTTCCCAATTATTTTACTACATTTTACTTGAGGTTATGTCTATTGTATCTGTGGCAGAAATGCTATGTGACGGTATGCTGCTGTGTATCTCTTCCCAGCTTTGCATTCAGTGATGACCCATTGATTGCTTGAAATTGGCCATGGTGAGAGTATTTACTCTCTGTGGATGTCCCCCTCCCTCGCCATTCTTAGGGCAATTCCTCTACATACACGGCCTCCTCTAGGCAGGCCAGTCTCCTCACTGGACCCCAGAGTACCTCAAGGGGCAGACACATACCTTTTGGCTTAAAGAAGCAACAGTGCGAAAAGGTGGTTTTATGTCCCAGAGTTTGCCTGCCTGACAGCCAGCAGAGAGACTTAAATGCCACCACAGTGTTTCTGTTCAAACATCAAACAGGAATCTGACAGTAAACCTTGTCCTTTTCAAAAATGCTTGACACATCAGAAAAACAAGATCACCTTTCTGGCGGTTTTATATTTCTGATCTTCTAGAGCAGAGGAAGTAGGGAAAATGAGAGCCCCACTAAATACTAGTCCCCACATCAAATTATAATGAAACCCATCAATCAGGCCCCCATGCCTGGGACAGTCTGTTTTGATAGCTGCAATCAAAACAGCAGGGCAGCACTAGAGGCTTTGGGGGAAGTTTTGTAAGTGGCTTCCTAGGACAGATCTTGTGATGCTGTTCTTATTTTCCCAGAGCTAAGTTGAAAATAAGTGTGATGTCGAGGCCACTTCCCAGACTCTATAAGCCCTGTCAGTGAAATGGAGATGCGCAGCAGATGAGCCAGATCCCCAAAGGATGGTTAGGAACCCTGCACCGTAGTGGACCAGTCTTTAAAATCAGCAGTTCTATGTTCTTCAGTAATATTTTATGCTTGCATTCAAAACACCTATGCCCTGAGGTGTAGCGCATATCTAATGGTGTTACAGGTACCAGTGGAAAAATTAGTCATAAGGACCCAACGGCAGCTCTAGCATAACCACTTCTAGGTGAAAATAAGAAAATGAGGCCAGATCACATTTTTCATTTGAGACACATGCCCCCCAGGTCTGCATTACTGGGAAACCCCAACATAGGTTTCAGCTTCACAGTTTGAGGAAGCCCAGCCCATGCCAGGTGCAGACGTTCAGCCCCAGTTGGATAATGATACTTTCTAGGGAGCTAAGTAGTGGTAACCCAACAGCACTGGTTCACGGGAGGTGGAAGGCCATCCTGAATGAGTACCTTGGGGCTTTGCAGTTGACGCTGTCCTCTTCACTGCTTATTATCAGTGACTTTCAGATGAAGGCAATTGATCAATTCTGGGCTAACACAAAACTGAAAAGGATTCAATCAGGACAGGAAGAGATTTTTTTAAAAAATATCATAAGCTCAGACTCACTAGAGGAAATACAATAGGCATACGTGAAAGGTCTTAAGATTGGGCTCAAAAAAGTCAGCAGCAAAATATAGAAGGGGTGAAGGCAACCATGTGCTTTAGGAGGGACATTGAGAAATCTGAGCCTGCCCATAGCAGGGCATCCAGAGTCAATTTCACAGGACTGGGGAGAGAAGTCTAAAAGACTGTCTTCAAAGACATGAAGGCTCCAAGAGGGTAGAAACCAGGACTTGGGTGAAAACAGCACCCCCACCCCACCCCTTGCTCTTCAGATGGTGTTGGTTGAAGCAGTTGCTTCCCAATGAGGGTTCTGGAGAAGTGTTAGGCGAAAGGACCGTTCTGTGGTCAAATGTGTGTGGAACTGCTGGGCTAAACACAAGCAGTCCTTTTCAAATCTGTCTCAGTGGGACCTTTGGTCAGAAGCACCAAGAGGGGCACTGTTTGCAAAGCACTTTTCTGTGAAAGGCAGCAGTGGAGACTCAGCAGAGAGAGGCATGAGGCAGAGCTTTCTGGGGTTGATGGAAGACTGAGGGATGAGTGTGTACCATGGGATGGAATGGTTCCAAATATGGAACCAACTATCAGAAGTACTGTAAAGAAATAGGACTTGCCCCAAATTGAGCAAAACACAATGACAAACCACATAATTGAAATGCAGAAAAAATAGGGCCGAATTCAGGATACCATCAATTATAAGCCCTTTGAGGACAGGTATTTATTTAGATAGCTTCGGAGCTGGCTTTGTCCTTACTAGGCCCATAGTAAATATATGTTGAATTAAATTGAATTTTCGATGATTAGAACCAGCAGAAGGCAGAGATAACCTCATAGTAAATAGGAATCAGTATCCCAGGGAGGAATGTTAAGGCAACGTGGCAGGCCCATGCAGGCTGTGTCCTGGCAATATCCTGTCGGGTTCAGTAGCAGTAAAACAGGAAAGGGCATGCGAAGGGCATCAGCAGATTGTCCTTTACCACTGCAGAGATCACTCCAGACTAAGGTGGAGTGGTTTCTTCTTCTGAATTCTTCTCTTTCTTCTCTGAATCACTAAAACATATGACTCCTAGGCCTAAAGGAACAAAGACAACTGGCTCTCCGGAGTCGCAGAGTGATTATTGTTAAACTCCATCACCTTTTGTACATGTAACAATTTAGAAAACATTAACCAAAAACAAAAACGAAAACAAAAACCCAAACAAACAAAAAAGCCAGGCCTTTGCATATTATTTATTGGCATGAGAGAGTCTGGCTTATGGCCAGGGGAGCAGCAGTTGGGGAGTGACACACAGGAAACCCGCCCACAGTGCCCCGGGTGTCTAAGAGATGGTCTGAAGTCCTTCATTGGCTCAGCTCTTGTCCAATGTTTCTGGCAGAAACGGCTCAGAGGCTCTTGCTCTGCCCACAAACCCTTGGAAGTTCTCCAAGCTAGGCCTGTGAAAGGTGAGGGAGGGGATGAGAGCAGAGCATAAGGACAGCAAGAATGACTTTAAACTAATCACCTCTACAAGGTTTCCCTTTTTTCATATCCAACATTTCTGAGGGTTGGTCGGCCTGGTCCCAAGGGAAGCAGGGGAGAAGGCAGGATTGAGCTGGTTGGGTAATGTCATCTGGCCTGGGCTCAGTCAAGGCACTACATGCCCTCCTCCTCCTGTACCTGGAAGAGGCCAGAAGCCTGGGAATGGGAGTGGTGGTGCTGAATGATGGGTGATCCCAGGGGTATACAGTTGACTCCAGGGTCCAAGGCTATTTGGGAATGATTGGGAACTCTGGGGTTCATAATCTGCTGCCTTCCTGAGCCTGGAGTTCCAACTGGGGCTGTGATGTTAATCAGGTGATCAGTGAAATCTTACCTCATGGAATGAGCTCTGGTCTTGGAATGAGAAAGACCTAAACTGGAATTCTGACTCTACTTCTTGTCAGTTGGGTGATGTTAGTCAAATTTCTCAACCTTTCTGAGTCCCAGTTTACTCAACTACAATATGGGAGCGCTAATGCATAATTTTGTGAGGATGATGTGAATACTAAATAAGCTTATTTACATGAAATCAATTTGCAGTATAGAAAATGCAATACCGATATGAGGGGTTGTTACTTTTATAGTCACAGAAGGAGTTGACTTTTCTTCTGCTTTAAGAATATGCTTAAAATATGGCTGTATCTGAGAATATTGGATGAAAGTGCTTTAGAAATTGGCTTTGGGACAAGAGGGAAAGAAATTGCTGCCCAGCTCTTGTTTTTTTTTTTTTTTTTTTTTTTTTTCAGAAGCCGTCCTTGGCTTGTTAGAGGGTCCTAGACCTCTGTGAAGGTTGTTGTCTAGTTGGAGTACAAGGCATCTTTGACACTACAGTTTTGAACCCCCCAGGTCAATTTTTTACTCTGTGTCTAAAAATACTAATTTTAAAACGAGAACCTTAGCAATCTTGATAGCTTTTCACTGAGAAAGATATTTCTAGAGTGAACTCCGTTGGGCCAGTTTAATTCCTTGGATAATTTTTAATATAGAATTAATAAACTATTTCCAAATTTTTCCATTTTCATTTTTCTAAAATTATTTCCCTGGGATCGATTATTTTCTGTGTAAATTTTATGACAAAGATTAAATTTATTAGTTTTTGAAAGTTGTAGCTTCTGCCATTGTGAGTTTTCTATGAAACCACCAATTTACCAAATTCAAATCCCCAAAGTTAAATTTTGCAACACCACATTCTTTTATCAATGTCTAGTCATGAACACATTTTATTATGGGATGTTTTAGCCACTGGAACTCTTATTTGAACGTTTTACTAATTCCATTCTCTCTCCATATCAAATCGTGCAGTTTCCATTGTTATCAATCAGAAGCAGTTCTTCAGTACATTCATCTGTCACACATTTCATCATGGGCTACTTTAAACATTGTCACATTTATTTTATTTTGATTATTTCTACCAGAAATATCATTGGATTCAGGAATGCTATTTCATTTTTACTTCTTAACTCATGTGTGTTACTGTTATTAGCAGTTGTCTTTGGACATTTCTTGATGGCTCCTTTGGCTGGGATTGGCTGTGTCTTTGGCCAATAATCCAGTTCTGTTGTGCCCTTTCCGGTAGAGAAAGCGAAGAGGTCAGAGTCAATGTAAGGGAGGGTTGGAATGTCCAAATTTGATTGGAGCTTTAAAATAAGATGAGAAACATGGTCGGATTTGGCTTTAGAAAGTCTGTTCTAGCTTTCAAGTGGAGAATGAATTGGAGAAAACAAAAATCATTGGGAGATGGTTAGAAATTACTGCAGAAACCCAGGTGAGAGAAAAATTGCAAACATTTATGTAGCACTTACTGTGTGACAAGCATTAGTTTAAGCATTTTGTAAATTTTAACTCATTCTATCCTGATGACAAATCTGAGGAGGTAAGTATTATAACTATTTCCATTTTACAAATGAAGAAACTGAAGTACAGAAAGATTCAGTACATGTCCAAGATTACAAACTAGCAAGGAGGTAGGTGTGGATCTAGAATTCAAACCTGGGTAGAAGGACTTCAGGGACTGAGCCCTTGACCCCTCCAGTGGTTTTCTCATCCGAGAAAGAAAAGGGTGGCAAGGAGGAGGTTGTTGAGAAATGCTATGAGAAAATGGAAATTTTGAGGCTTGGTGAAAAGGGTACGTTTCTGGCTTTGTATGTGGTAGGTGGTAGGGCTATTCCTTGAGAAAGGGAAGTTGTTTAGGGGAAAGATAATGTGTTCGGTTTTGAAGCTGAATAGGAGAATTCTAGCTATAGCGTACTAAAGAGACTTACTCTGTTTTTGATGTTTGACTACTGACACCTTTCAAGCCCCATAGCTCCCCCTCTTCCTTCTGTCTCCCATGTGAGCAAACCAATAGGAAAGTTTTATGCTCCCTCCCTTGACACCAAGGAAGTTCAAAACCTGGCCTACATTGGGAACCCTCACCTTGGACCCAACCCCTAGCAACAGCAAAAGCCAGAGCCAATCACCCCTCCTTGCTCTCTCAAGCCATTTTTGGACATGCTTGGGAGCCTGCCCTGCTCTCCCTGAAAGCCTCATTATGTGAGTGATGAGTCTGTTCATCCTCTCTTGGTGCATGTGTGGCATTAGTCAGTTCTCAACGTCCAAACCAAATTTTGGGTCAGAAGTTGGTACAACCTTCATCCCACACAGCAGATTGGGAAATGTAGTCTAGGTGGGTTTTGGTGAGCATGTAGCTGTCCCCACCATGGATATGTTGAGTTTAAATGTCAATTGGTCATTGAGATAAGATGTTTAGAAGATTGTAGAATGGAAGGGTCTGAGGAAAGAGTTTTGAGCTGGAGCTGTACATTTATAAATCACCTTCTAGGTGATGAAAGGAGAAAAAGGAAAGAAAAGGAAAAAGAATAATTCTGTTCCTAATGTCCTTTTTGTTTAATTTTCATGTTCAAAGATTGCTTTCCAGAACCTCACCAGCAGTAGTTGGTGTTGGGGGGTGGGCGGTGGGGATTGAGTAGGAAGATGTTGAAACCATTTCAGAATGAGCAGCATTTATACACACACCACACACACACACACACACACACACACACACACACACACACCACACACACACACACACACACACACACACACACACCACACACACACACACACACACACACACACACACCACACACACACACACCACACACACACACACACACACACACACACACACACACCGGCACGCACTTTAAAAAATGATTTGGCCCTTCCAGTTTCCTGCTCTTTTAAGCCTCCAGTGAGAGGAAAAAGGAAGTAGCGGGCTAATTGGAGAGAACTGTGAGGGAAAGGCAGAGTTGGTAAAAGAGAGAGGAAATCAGTTTGCTATTTTAAGGGTATGAAAGTCTTCCCATAAGCCATTATGTCTTCTTGCCAGTTAATTTCATTTTGAATGAAGTTGAAAGGTAATCTGATAGGTTTTGTTATTTCTGCAAATAATTCATAAATTCAGATGAACTCAGAACTCTGGCATAGAAGGAGGATTTCAAAGTCTGACAAGGTGGTAATTACCAGGACTGCACTGGGACTGACAGCTGGTATTGGAATGATCTCCTTTTTATTGAAGTCCTCGATTAGGAAAAAAGACAGTTAAATTCAGTTAATCTGAAGCAGCCAGCAGACCTGAATTGCTTCAGTGCAGACCAGCAGAGCTGATGTGTGTGGAGATGGCAGAGTCTTTGTGGCTGATTTAGAACGTCATACATAGAAGACTCTCACATTTTACTAATGACAAGAGCAGTTCAGATATGCAGAGAAGAATGGCATGTTCACTTCCAGAATCCTGGAGCAGCCTTAGAAAGGGAATCGGAATACATTTATTGTACTAGCAAGCTCATTTGTAGTAGCTCCCACTTTGCTCAGGCTGGAGACATATTGATGCCTTAGTTGGTTACATTCATTCTGCAATCTCTCCCCTCTCCGTTGCTCCCCTAGCAGAAAGTGAAGACAACATAAATATTTGTCTGATGAACCAGAAGAAAGATGGGCTTTTGTAAGCAATGAAGTATTGCTTTATGGTAAGGATACTTAAGCAGATAGAATATCTTCTGCAACCTGAAATATGTGTAACCGTATGAAAAAAACACAGTTTATGTAAGTTTAAGTTTCAAGATGACTATACGGGTATTGGATAGAGTGCATATATTAGATAATTAGTACCTGCAAGTCTTTCATCTGTTTATTCATTCATATATTATTTATCCGCTCATTCATTCATTTATGCCATACAAGTTTATAAAACCTCTGCCATGTACAACATAAAATGCATAAAGATGAATAAGATGAGGCTTCTTCTCTCAGTCCTCCAGGAGTTCACACCTGTCCATTTCTCTGCCTCTGTCTCCATCCATCCATTCATCCATCCATATGCCCACTGGGACCTCAGGGCCCTTAGAGGTTTAACCAAACTTCAAATCCTCACTATCATAGCTCTGTGAAACTTCGAAGTCCTCCTTATGGTTTCTCTGTGTCCCTGAGGCTTACTCCTTTTCCTGCTCTCTGCCTCTGTGCTTTAGGTCTTCCTGGCGGTCTTTATTCCAGTACATCAGCATGGACACAAAGGCTTGCCCCTTCACTGGTTTCCACCTCTCCAATTGTGTCTCAACTATTTTGTGAATTTAATAATTTTACTCAAGATGATAGGGAGGGGCAAAGGGAAGAGTCGTATCATAGAGCCTTTGCTCTTCACCCCTTCTCCCTTTATCTCATTCTTGTGTTTCTTCTTCAGATGCACAAATAAATGTGACTTCCAAACTCCCTCCCTCCATATATCCTATACTCTTTTTTTTTTTTCTGAGACACAGTCTCGCTCTGTTGCCCAGGCTGGAGTGCAGTGGCACAATCTCAGCTCACTGCAACTTCTGCGTCCCAGGTTTGAGAAATTCTCCTGCCTCAGCCTCCTGAGTAGCTGGGATTACACGCATGCACCACCACACCTGGCTAACTTTTGTATTTTTAGTAGAGATGGGGTTTCGCCATGTTGGTCAGGCTGGTGTCGAACTCCTGACCTCGTGATCCGAGGCATTAGCCACCACGCCAGGTCTATATCCTACAATCTTATACCAAAGTAAATCATGCCCTGGAGGCTCAACTTTTACCCCAAGTCAGTTGGTCAAAAAACCATTTTCTGAAAAACTTTTCCCCAAAAGGATTTCTAGAAAAGAAAATTTCTTGCCCCCAGTACCGTATATTATTTATCCATGTACTTCTATCTTAAAACCCCAGTCTTAAGACATAGCATGGATAGATGAATGAATGTGAAGGAAAATAGGTGGTTGACAGGCAGGTGAATAAGCAGTAAGCTTTGAAACTAGTGTCAACTTCTGTATATCTCAGAAAAAGAAAATGAAAAACTTTTCTTTTTCTCAGAAAAAGAAAATGAAAATGAAAAACTTTAACAATTATAGTTCTGTTCGCATTTCTTATTAAACTAATGTTTTTAAAGTAAGTATCTTGGCCTGAAAACATAGACAGCAAGGTACAGAAATGCACTCAATTCTGTTTAAACAAAAGAGCATGTATCAGTTATCTACTTCTATGTAATAAATTACTACAAAACCTTGTTGCATAAAAAAACAAGCATTCATTATCTCATAGTTTCTGAGGACCAGGAAACTGGGAGATGCGTTGCTGGTGGTTCTGGCTCAGGAGTCTTCTTGAGGTTGGAGTCCAGATGTTGGCCAGGACTGCAGCCATCTGAAGCCTTGATCAGGGTGGAGGATTTGCTTCTGAAGGGCTCCCTCATAGGGCTGTTAGCAGGAGGCCTCAGTTCCTCATAATGTTGGCCCCTTTTCACAACATGGTACATGGCTTCTACCAGAGTGATTAGAGAGAGAGGGAGAAGTCAATGTGTTTTATGACCTAGCTTGGGAGGACACTGCACATGGGCATGGTAGCTAGGAGGTGAGGATCAAGGGCCGTCTTGGATGCTGGCTACCACAAGGCATTTACTTATGGGCATCAGAGTCAATTTTATGAACATCTGGGAGCCCAAAATCAGTTTTATAGGTGGACTGGGAAGACAAGAACTTGTGGTCTCTTCCATCCCTGCTTCTTTTTAGTTCCTTTTCTTCTCCTAGTGCTCATAGCTTAATATGACCACTTCAGGATCCAACTTCATATGTTTTTCAGTTCAGCATTAGCACCAACCATAAAAACAATGTGTTTTACTATAATTTTTTTTTGAGACAGGGTCTCACTCCGTCACCCAGTGCAGTGTTGCAATCTTGACTCACTGCAGCCTCAACATCCTGGGCTCAAGTAATCCTCCCACCTCAGGCATGGTGGCAAACGCCTGTAGTCCCAGCTACTCAGGAGGCATGAGCCATTGTGCCCGGCCTCACTAATGTATTTTACAATTTTTATTTTTGCAATGGCTAACATTTCTTGAGCAGTTGTTTGTCTATGCAGTATGTTAACTACATTGCTAAAGTGATTACATTTAATTCCAAAATCATATGCCTATTTTGCAAATGAGGAAACTGAGAATAAGTGATATGTGAAAGGTTACAGGGCTAAAATTCTGTACCATTCATTTCAAGTTTCTTTACATAGAATCTCACTGGCCATTGCCAATCAGGTTTCCATATGTGGCCAGAAAGATGCATGTCATAGCAGAGGCTTCCCAGTTCTGAGGCTGTGGGCACAAATACTAAGCTAGATGAAAAAATTGAGCATGGCAGGAAAGTTGATTAGCATATCTGCTACAGTAAAAAATCACTTTGTTAAGCCTAAGACCTTGCCTTAATTGCCGTCATTAGTAAATAGAAATCTGCTTGCAGAGTGTGTAGATAGCAGCTAAAAGCATTAAAAGTACTCTGAAAGATTTTCTCTCAGAATATCAGCAGTTTAAATGTATGCTACTTTTTTTTCATGTTAATTTTTTGCCATCCTGTGGCTTGCTTTACAGCTACTGAAGAAGCAGGGGGTTTTTGAAATGAGATACAAGCAAAAATTCTAGAGGATGGGTCTATGGTGGGTGTGTTTTTCAAATATACCTCTAGCTCCCCCACCAAGAGAGCAGATAAGAAGCCAGGATATCCCCATAAGAAGTAAAAAAAAACTTAAATACCAAGTACTTCATCCAACTCTATCATATTTTTGTCTCATTCCATCTTTATATATATATATATTTTTGTTTTTCCGAAAACCAGGGTGGCGAATATCAGGAATGTGGATAAGTAGGAGACAGGAGTGTTCATTCATTCATTCATTCATTCATTCAACAAACACGTGTTGAGCTTTAGTGTGCAAGGTGTCATGCTGGGGGATGGTGTGTTCAGAATTCATTCGCCATCTTTTGATAGTATTTACTGAGTACTTTTTAGCTCCCTGACACCCTGATAGGTGCTGTGAAGGTTTAGGAAAAAACAAGTGAGTAAGTTAAGTGAGACAAGCTTCTTGTTCCAAAAATATCTTGAAATACCATTGGGAAAAGAGAATCAACATGAACCAATTGAGGAATGAAACAAAGTAGTCATTAAGTGCAAATTTTTATGGTACAATCTCTGGGAGCACCAGGAATTTTTAGAGGAGGCTGATGAGAAAGCTAGGAGAGCTGGGGAGACTTCTTGGTGGAGGTGTCACTGCAGTGGGGTTCTGGTAACATGCAGACCATGCTGCTGTTCTCATAGGGGGCTGCTTCAAAGAGCCAGGAGAGAGAGATGGGGTCGTAAGTAAGAAAAGGGACACTCTGGAGAAAGTCCCACCACTCTGACTTGGTTTCACCCTGAGTCAGACATTTTCCTGTGTACATCTCCCCTTCCCATTCCCCTCCGAAAGTCCAGAGCGAAACTGGGTGCTTGTGATGAACACTCAAGTTCAGACTAGGCCAGGTTAGAACCTTGTGAGCCCTGACCCTGCAGCTCACACTCCCGACTGGACTCCAAAGATGAGAATTCCACCCAGAGTTGGGGACAATTCCCTGGAGCCTTTGGTCTTTCTCTGGTTCTAAGTGAGGGGCCAGGGGCCAGGATGGGGTGGGGTCAGAGGAGAGTAACCAGGGAATATGGCATGACAGCACAACTGGAAGGGACTGGTATTATTCAATCCGGAGAACACAGGAAGATGAAATAAAAATGATTCTTAATTACATCAAAGCTCTTATACAGTGAGAGGCTGGTGAATTGTGCTGTTTTCTCTGAAGGCATTTGAATAAATCAAAAGGGCCATTATAAAACAGTCAGAAAGTTTGGGGTTAGCACTGTTGGGCTTCCTCCCAACCTTTGACATGACCTGACACCTTGGCACAATCCACCTACGAGGGGACCTTTAGGATTTTCCTAGGGTGGCCAACCATCCCAGTTTGCCCAGGACTTTCAGTGCTAAAACTGGGATGGTCCTGGGCAAACCAGGGACCAAGAACACCTCTCGTATACTTACCTTCTCAGTTCTGCTGCTCCTCCTGGCCCTGGCTCAGGTGTGGTCCCCTCTAGCACTGCCCAAATAAGGGAATTGTGACCTCTCCAGATGGAAGAGGGTAGTCCCAAATTGAACTGAGAGGGAATTTGCCCAAGAGCACATGATCCGATGGATCAGGACAGATTCCTGGTCATAGCTGGAACCCACTGTGCCTTGCAGCCCACTATGGAGGGCACCAAGAGAATAAAACTGGAATAGTGAGCAAAGTCTGATGCCAGGGGTGTTGGGCACAAGGAAGATGACACTGCAGAAAATGAATCTGTTCTTTTTTTGTTTGTTTGTTTTGAGACAGAATCTCGCTCTGTCACTGGGCTAGAGTGCTGTGGTGTGATCTCAGCTCACTGCAGCCTCCAACTCCCTGGTTCAAGGGATTCTCCTGCCTCCGCCTCCCGAGTAGCTGGGATTACAGGCACGCACCACCACACCCTGCTAATTTTTAGTAGAGATGGGGTTTCACCATGTTGGCCAGTATGGTCTCGATCTCCTGACCTTGTGATCCGCCCATTTTGGCCTCCCAAAGTGCTGGGATTACAGGTGTGAGCCACACACCTGGCCGAAAATGAATCTATTCTTGTGCCCAATTACCCCAGGGCAGGAAAACAGCCCCTGACAAAATGAGCAGATCCGCAGACTCCATCTTTCTCATTCTCACACGAGTGAACTTAGTCACGAATCTCGTGGCTCCTGGGAGACTTGTCAGGCACAGTTTCTGACAGTTAACAAGACTGACTTTCTGCTGACAGAACTTACTTTTTAAGGGACCAAATTTCTTTGGAAAGTTTTAATTTTATCTTAAACAGACATAAGTTTTTTAATTTTTTAAATTTTATTTATTTACTTACTTATTTTTAGACAGTCTCACTCTGTCATCCGGGCTGGAGTGCAGTGGTGCGATCTCAGCTCACTGCAACCTCCGCCTCCTAGGGTTCAAACGTTTCTCCTGCCTCAGCCTCAGAGGTAGCTGGGATTATAAGCACCTGCAACCATGTCTGGCTAATTTTCATATTTTCAGTTGAGATGGGGTTTCACCATGTTGGCCAGGCTGGTCTCGAGCTCCTGACCTCAAGTGATCTATCCGCCTTGGCCTCCCAAAGTGCTGGGATTACAGGAGTGAGCCACTGCGCCCGGCCTGATTTTATTTTAATTGAGTAATTTTAATTACACTTAAGCATTTCTAAATGCTTGGCAACATGCTGAGTACTTCATTTGAATTATTTTACTAAACTCTCGCAATAATCCTATAGGTAAAGTGCCAATGTTTTCCCTGTATTTGCAGGTGAAGAAACTCAGGTCAGGGAAGAGATCACAAGGCCAGCAAGCTGGGAATCAGCCAGTGAGTCTGGCTCCAGAGCCCAAGTTTTGAACTGTGCCGTGGGCCTGAGTTAACTTGTCGGCTGAAATGAGTTTTAGAGATTCTGGATTTTACTTTGATGTCCAAGAGATACCCTCTATTTATAGTTGGCTTCAGCAATCAAGTTAATAACCAATGACAATTATATTTAGCTAATTTTATTAGAAACTATCAACAATCCTAAAAATAGTCTCTGTTGGTGATCATGTTGATTCTCATTTTTTTTTTTTTTTTTTTTTTTGCCCTGAGGCAGAGTCTCACTCTGTTGCCCAGGCTGGAGTGCAGTGGCGCAATCTCGGCTCACTGCAACCTCTGCCTCCTGGGTTCAAGCAATTCTCATGCCTCAGACTCCTGAGTAGCTAGGACTACAGGCGTGCACCGCCATGCACGGCTAAATTTTTTTTTTTTTTTTTTTTTTTTTTAGTAGAGACAAGGTTTCACCATGTTGGCCAGGCTGGTCTTGAACTCCTGACCTCAAGTGATCCTCCTGCTTTGGCCTCCCAAAGTGCTGGGATTACAGGCATGAGCCACCATGCCCGGCTGTTGATTCTCCTTTTTAAAGGCAAGGACGTGGTGACAAAGAGAGGCAAAGCTATGATTCTATTTAAAGGATCATTACTGTGATTTTGAACAATTTAAGATTACACTGGGGATGAGACTTTACTAGTTTAAATGCTATTTTTCATGCATATAATTGAAAGGAACCAAGCTTAGGCTGTCAGAGGAGATGAGAGAGTGATTTGGGACCTGAGTGCTCACTTCAGGAAACTCACAGCTACATCCTCCATGCTTCGACTTCAAGTTCCCAGACAGGATGCAGGAGAAGGAACTCGGCTGGTGCAGGCCTTTAGTTTGAAAAATTTTCAATGGTTTGAGCCAAACCAAGCACCCCAGATTACATGCCAGTGATAAAACTTAACTGGATTGTCTAAAACAGTCTAGTCTCTGGGAAAGCCTAAAGTTTTAAGACTCGGCATGACTATGTGTCAGATCCTACACAGGGGACAAGGATGTAAAGCCAAATAAGACATAGTCCCTGCTTCCAAAAACCATACAAGAACTTGTTTCCTCTGAGGGGAGCATGCACATAAACAAATGAAACAATGCAGCTGTGACTAAGATTTGTCCTGGCCCTAGGGGAGCAGATGGGAGGGCCTCCTAAACCAGCTCAGGGGTGAGAAGGCTTGGGATTAGGGAGAGTATTCTGGAGGAAGGGGGCCTGAGCTGAAATATGCACTTGGCCCATCTTGGAGCATCTGTAGCTACCCAGAGTTAAGAGTAGTGAAGAGCTTGGGCTCTGAAGTCAGCTGGAACTGAGGCTGAATCTTGGCTCTGCCAGTTATTAGCTATGTGACTTAGGTGAGCTACTTGTCCTCTCCAAGTCTCAGTTTTCTGATCTTATAGGAAGATGATAATACCAACTTTTTTGGAGGTATTGTGATGAATCAAATAATGTACGTGAAGCTCTTAGCTTCACAAGAAGTGCTCAATTGATGGCAATGTTATTGTTGTTATATGTTTGTCTAAGAGTCCCATTGTTATAGGACCAACAGGTTCATGTGCTCCCTGTGCAGTAATAGACCAATACACTGAGACAGCAATGTTTGCAGCAGAGAAAGAGTTTAATGATTGCAAGGCAGCCAAGAAAGGAGATGGGAGTAGACCATCACATTCATCTTCTGGAGGATTTTTGAGCTGAGGTTTACAAGATAATTGTGGAGGGCAAGGGGCTGGAAAACTGGGGTTGTGGATTGGTTGGGGTAAGGAGGATGAAATTATTAGGATGTGGAAACTGCATTCTTTGTGAAGTCAGTTTCTCATGGGGTCCTTCAGACCAGCTGATGTCAGTAGTGTCACATGGTGTGCAGGACCTAAAAGAATATCTCAAATAGAAAAATTAACATTTCATAATGTTCAAGTTGTTATCTATAGAGCAGTGATGGGGAACTCTAATCTAGGCTCCATGTGATTCTGAGGCAATAGGCATCAAACAGCTCTGAGGAAGTGGGCTAGAGAGCAGGCTGGCCTCATGATGAATGCTGAGTGTGCTGCAAGCTGGATTTATTTTCATTTCTCTCCCCCTCTTCTTCCATGATTAACTTTATAAAGTTTATAGGGATGGTTTCACCATGTGATGGCTGCTGGGCAGGAGCTCAGTCTCCTGTGTGGGCAGCCAGGGCTGTAATTTCAGAAGAGTCAGAGTCACCAGATCCCTCTGGAGCCCCTAAGCCCCTCCTTTATCCTCTCTTGATGTTAGAATGCTATTGACACAAGACAAAGCCTTCCATTTTGTAATCCCATGAGCATTAACCAGGAAGCCATCCAGGAGAACACAATTTCAGAGGATAAATCTGCTCCAGGCTTTTTTTTTCCTCAAAGCAGTTTCTGCAGAAACGGTGTTACTACCACGTGGGTCATGGTGGAAGGTGGAAAGACAGGAAAAGAATGAGGAGAAAGAAAGTTGGGGACACAGAATCAAAATTCCCCTGGATTTGTCCAGGTATATGCTTGGTGGTAGTGTGCTTGGGAGGAAAACAGACGTGGGAGCTGGCAGGGTCACTCCCTGGATGGCTTGGTGGACTTGTGCTCCTGGCTGCCAGTCAGGTCACATCCTAGGGTCCTGCAGCCTGAGCAAGTGGCCAGCTCAGTGGGGGCTGGGAGTCTGGGCTCCTTGGGATGCTCCCTTGCTTATCTTGCTCCCCTTGGCCAGGCCCATTTCCTCATTTTTCCAAAGCTGGAGTCCAGGGATATGGGGACAGACCGGTCAGACAGTGGCTCCTTCAGCCAAAGATTCTGTTGCCAACAGAAGCCTGAAGGATATGATACCAAAGGGCTGGGCAGGGGTGTGGGTTTTTCCTGATGGCAGCCTTGGGCATCGATTTATCTAATTTCTTTGACATTTTCTTCCAGTATTTCCCCCTCTTGGGGTAAAAGATTTCCCTGAATCACTGGTATTGCTTTCCTGCAATGGACTCTAGGGTATTGGCCAGTGACTCGCAAATTGCAACTGAACCAAGAAGACCTCATTTCTGGGGTGGCACTGTCCCAGTGAAGATCCTGGTCCTGCCCATGTCACTATCTCTGTCAATTCCCAGTCCTGACCTTCTGGTCTTTCATTCTCATACAGCCTTAAGTTGTGCCGTAACACCTCTCTCCACTTGGAGTTGATTGCTTTTCTGTCCTTTGAGGCCAAGTGGAGTTATATAAATCACCCATTGCAGGTGAGCAGGAACAATATTTTACTGGAAGGGCTGACCTGTATCCAAATAGCCATGTCTAAGATGCAAAAGTGGTGGATAAAAATAAGCCATGCTCATTAGATGGCTCCCTGCCCTATATAGCTGCTCAAAAACCT
Organism: Homo sapiens; assembly: GCF_000001405.40. NCBI lineage: Eukaryota > Metazoa > Chordata > Mammalia > Primates > Hominidae > Homo > Homo sapiens. The sequence goes on from NC_000001.11 coordinate 224,761,098, forward strand.
ACGTCTTGTTCTGTCCAAGTGTAAATAGTCTCCCTATTTAGAAATGGCACAGTGGGAGGTAAATGAATTGGCTAGGAGCAACCAGTCATAACGCATCACGTTGAGAAGCTTAAAAACTCTTTATGTGAAAAATACTAATGCTGTGAGTTGCTAAAAGCCAGGCTGTGTGCTAGGAGCTTTACATACATTATCTTATTTAATCCTCCCACCAACTCTGCAAGGTTCTTCTTATTCTATTTTACAGATGAGGAAAGTAGGCTCAGCGAAGTTAGGTTAAGCTTGCTCAGGGTCATGCAGATAGTGATAGTGAAATTGGCAATCAAATATTGGTCACTCTTGTTGGGACAAAGCCCAGTGTTCTTCTCACTGGACCTCACTGCTAGGGATTGGCCAGGATGGTGAGGTTATCAGGTGCATTTAGAGACCTGGTCTCTTATTATTGTCAAATGACTCTTGGTCTGATCCTTGGCTGAAAGGTGTTCTGCAGTGAGGCTGCTTCTATGGAGAATAAAGCTTGAAATTAAATTCCCTCTTGCCATGGTCATGTCCATCCCTGGCTTCCCTGGATCTCAGCCCGTTGGCAGGGCTCCTGTACCCTAAATGATGGCCCAGGTGGTAATGACACTATTGTACCCTGCCTGCCTCTATGCACTGATCTTTCCTGGATTTCCTAATGAGAATGGCCATTGGGATTTTGAAGCAGTCCGATAAATAGTGCCCGTATTCCCTGTCCATATTCTGAATCAGAAATAAGGCAGAGAGTAAGGAAGCTGTAGGCCAAATCTCATCTTAGTATAAATAAGTGCTAGATTGGAGAATGTAGTTTACTGCAGGAGCAAAATGAATTTCTGTTGCAGGGGAGTAGGAAACAAAATCCAAGATGAAGGTTGGCTTGCAGAGGTTTATTAGGAGTCCTTTTGGGATCTATACCAATAGGAGGGGAAGGAATGGAAGCAGGATTGGCAGAGGGAAAAGTCAAGCAGTGCTGCAGTCTTATCAAAGATCTCAACCGATTCTGTGGAGCATGTTGGGTCTTTATACTTTTTTTGTTGTTGTTTTAATCTAGTCTTCATTTTTACTGAAGTTACCATGATGAAAAACTCTCAATTGTTATCCTAGGGTTACTACAAACAACAGATCCTGGCTATGACCACTGCACCAATTGCCAGCTACTATGAGGCAATGACTTACAATCCTTCTGGCTTTAAAAAAATTATTAACTAAAAAAAATGCTAATACTGCTATATGTGAATATTTTAGTTTGAAATAGTATCTGTTCATATTTTACTTTGGAAGATGACTCTCTGACACCCTCCTAAATTAGTTATACCGTCTTCTTTATTTGCAGCACTCACAGTTGTATTTATTACTTTTTTCATTCACAAATAAAAATTTTATACATTTCTTGTGTACAACATGATATTTTGAAATATGTATACATTGTGGAGGGGCTAAATCGAGCTATTTAACATATGCATTACCTCACGTACTTACCATTTTTTGTGGTAAGAACACTTAAAATCTACTCTCTTAGCGATTTTCAAGACTCCAATAGATTGTTATTAATGAAAGTCACCATGTTGTACAATTGTTCTCTTGAATCTTTATACTTCTATATGGGCTGGTCATTGGGTTCAGGCTGCTTCTGAAAAGGAGGTGTGACCTGGGGAGGCAGCAATCTTTGGTCAAAGGCAATTCCCAGAGAGGGCTATTCGCTGAGGGCTGTCAGCCAGCAGCACTCACCATGGAGGGAGAGAAGACCTTCAGTCCCCAAGATGGATCTTGGAGGCTCATGACAGCATTCACTGCATGGACCTATATTTCATACATTTCCGGAAGCAGCATCTCCAGCATTCCCACAGCCTTGTTCCCTGGCAGGGTAAAATAAAGATTAGTGGGACAAACTACAGCTTCCATCACAACTGATACTCATTGTCTCTCTCATCCTCAGGAAACACCTCTGCTGGTTGAGTCACACTTCTTGCCGGTTGGTGTGACCTAGACCCTCATCTCTAATGACTCCAGTCCCTGGACATTATGCCTTCCTCAGGCTCTGGTTGATGAACTTGCCCATTGATCATCAAAACTGGTCAGAGGAAGTGCCAGGAGGTGCACAGTGGATCATCTGGGTGCCAGATTTCTTTGTCCCTACTGGGCACAGCAGCTGTCTTTCCTCCTGCTGGTCAGGGCCAATTTCCTCTGCCAAGATGGTGACTCCGCTTCTTGTGAGGTTCCTTGGCACAGGCCCCAAGTGTCCTGGCAGCATGTGCTACATCCTTTGGTAGGAAGGTTCCCCCTCTGGAACCTGGACCTCTAAACCTGAAAAGCCCAGAATAGAAGGGATAGGAAGCACAAAGTCCCCAGTGGGTTACAAGCAGTGACAGTAAATGGGGCCATGCCACTATAGTTTCCTACTACTGAATCCTGGAATTAGGTTTGGTAACTCACGCAATCATAGCCCAGCTGGGCCTGGGAAGAGTGAAGCAGGGTGGATCAGAGTTACATCAGCTTCCTCCTCCTCCCTTACCCCTGACTTCGTTCTCATACAAGGATAGAGTTCGCTCCTGGAAGAACAATGGAGGATGTGTACTATTTGGGGACAGTTCCTTTTTTTTTTTTTTTTGAGACGGAATTTTGCTCTTGTTGCCCAGGCTGGAGTGCAATGGCACAATCTCAGCTCACTGCAGCCTCCACCTCCTGGGTTCAAGCGATTCTCCTGCCTCAGCCTCCTCAGTAGCTGGGATTACAGGCATGTGCCACCATGCTCAGCTAATTTTGTATTTTTAGTAGAGACGGGGTTTCTCCACGTTGGTCAAGCTGGTCTCGATCTCCCGACCTCAGGTAATCCTCCTGCCTTGGCCTCTCAAAGTGCTGGGATTACAGGCATGAGCCACTGTGCCATCTGACAGCTTTATTCTTAAGAGGAAAAGGGAGCAACTGAGCCAAGCATTTCCAATTTGCTCTTCCCAAGTTAATCGATGAGGTATCACACGACTTTCCCTGTGGCAGAGTGAGTGCAGTGGTAGAGAGATGCTGACAGTGTTGTGCTAATGGGGCTCCCTCCACTTGGAAGGAAACAGCAAGAATTGTGAAGAATTTTCTTTCTTCAAAAGCTCCAAAGTGTTGTTTATTGAGCACTTACTCTTTGCCAAGCTTCCTGCTCAGTGTTTTTCTTATCTTCACAACAGTCCTTTGAGGTGGGGGCTATTTTTGCCTCCAGTTTATTGATGATTAAGTAAAGTACAGGGAAGTAAATAAATTGGCTGAGAGTCTAACCCAGTCAAGCCCCCAGTCAGGCCCCCAGGCCTGGATCAACAATGGTTGACCCAGGCTCCGAACCACTAATTTAGTAGCTCTTTTGCCGGTTTGCTTAGGAATCATCTGGGGTAGTTTGTGATAACTCAGATCCTGGACCCACCTTCAAAGATTCTGATGGGCTTGAGGCAAGGCCCAGAAATCTGAATTTTTTAAAAAAATTCAATTTAATTTAATGTTAAGTTCTGGAATACATGTGCAGGACGTGCAGGTTTGTTACATAGGTAAACATGTGCCATGGTAGTTTGTTGCACCTATCAACCCCATCACCTAGGTATTAAGCCCTGCATGAATTAGTTATTTATCTTGATGCTCTCCCTTTCCCTGCACCCCCCATGACAGGCCCCAGTGTGTGTTGTTTCCCTCCCTGTGTCCATGTGTTCTCATTGTTCAGCTCCCACTTATAAGTGAGATCATGCAGTGTTTGGTTTTCTGTTCCTGCGTTAGTTTGCTGAGGATAATGGCTTCCAGCTTCATTCATGTCCCTGCAAAGGACATGATCTTGTTCCTTTTTATGGATGCATAGTATTCCATGGTGTATATGTACCACATTTTCATTATCCAGTCTATCATTGGTGGGCATTTGGGTTGATTCCATGTCTTTGCTATCATGAACAGTGCTGCAATGAACATATGAATGCATGCATCTTTATAATAGAATGATTTATATTCCTTTGGGTATATACCCAGTAATGGGATTGCTGGGTCAAATGGTATTTCTGGTTCTAGGTCTTTGAGGAATCACCACACTGCCTTCCACAACGGTTGGCCTAATTTACATTCCCACCAACAGTGTAAAAGCGTTCCTATTTCTCCAGGAATCTGAATTTTTAACAGGTTCCTCTTTATCCCTCTGCCAGGAGAATATGATTTAAGTGACATGACTTCCATCCTTTGAGAAATACTTCATGATACTATACTTTCTTCTCATGTGTAAGCCCAGGGCATGAAAATGAATAATTGCTACCCAATAATTGGGCATCTTTTCTGTTTCCACTGCTGGAAGGAGGGGCAGATGGGTTGGAGGAGCACAGTGTGAGGATAGGCAGGCTCAACTTGCTTATGGAGCACAGATCACCAAAGATAATGCAGCACACCGTTGGCAGAGGGCTAAACCATGTGGCTCAGACTGGAAACACACTGAGAATTTAGAAAATGGAGCCACCACTTTAGTGGGACCTGAGTGGTCAGCGAAGGAGTTAGTAGGCGAGCTGGGCTGGTGAAGGGGATACAGCAAGTGGGAGAAGGACAAGGAGGAGCTACTTGGAGAATATGTCTAAGGGAAGAAGGTTAGACGTGGGGAGCTGGAAGAACAGATGTGATATGGGAAGAAGAAGAAGCAGAGACACATGAGATCATGCTGGCAGTAAGCAGGTGCACAGTAGCACGGGGGTGTCAGCCTCCTCATTGTGGAAAGCATGAGCCTTAGCCCCAGAAGAGCAAGAAACATCCACAGACAGCCTGAGAAACCATGAAGACCAAAGAAGGGACAATGGAGCAGCAGCATCCAGTGGATGTTCAACAAGCATGTATTGCGCGTCAGGCATCGAGCCAGTACTTACGATGCAGAGAGGACTAAGACTCTGTTCCCACTCTCCATAAGACACTACCAAAGTGTAGAGTTAGGGAAGACAGCTTCAATGTGTTCATTTCTTTCATATATTTAACTAAGCTTTTTTTTAAGTTTTATTTTCTAAGCACATAAGGCAGACTTTGTTAGCTTTGAGGGGAATCTGTGCTGGGTAGGGAGGTGGTAAGAAAAGGATGAAAAGAGAAACAGTCTTTTCTCCAAGCAAGTTAATGCTTGAATAGGGGGAATAAGACATAGTAGGATGTAGACACTAAGACTGGATTCTAATCTTCTGGGATTCCAAGTTCTTCTGCATGAGCTTAATGACAATGAGATTGCTTGTGACTTCACTCCTCGCCTTGACCACACAGATGGAAGGTTTTGGCTGTGTTAGGTCAATGCATGGGGAAAGGTGTCAGCTTCCCCACCGTGCAGTCAGTGTTGTGCAAAAGCAGAGGCAGGATCTGAGGGCAAGACAAACTGGGGGCTCCTGCTTGATTGTCTCACCTGCCCCTCTTTGGCAGCGGGTTGTGTCCCTGGCCTTTTAGACCTAAGCAGAGAGGGAATTTCAAGTCAGGTGGCGCCTGTACAGTCTATGGAATAGGTAGTTAATGAGGTCTGGAGTTGATGTTGCCTTCCTCTCCTTCTCTGATCACTTTCATGTCACTCACCCATCCCAGATGCCATGGTGTTCTCAATGCCCCAGTTCTGGGGTTTCCTGCCCCACTCCACCTTTCCTTTCCTGATCCTCAAGAAAACTGACTTCTTTTCCTAAGCCCCCCGTCTCCACTTTGTGAGGGGCATTCTGAGCATGGAGGCTAATCAATATGTTCTCAGTATCCAATGGAAGCCTAACGTGCCACCTCTTCCAAGGGCAGTGCATTTTAACTCAGACCCAACGCCCCAACCAAATGAAAGATCTCTAATCTGGAATTTTCAACAATGGGGCTGGTGGGTCAGGGTGCACCAGATCTCAGGAGGTTTATCCAGAAGACTTTCAAGTGCCCCAAGAGGCTGAGTGGTCCGCCAAGTGCCTGCATGTGTGCAGTCAGGAAGCTTGAGTCTGGGTTCTGCCTGGGGCAAGTCACTACAACTCCCAGAGCCTCATTTCTGCTATTCGTAAAATGGAGAAGACACCTCCTATGATATCAAGTCACTGACTTGTTCCCAGGTAAAAATGAGATGGAAAGCTGTTTTGTGAACCAAAATGCATGCTTTTGTTACAGTGCGGGGATGCTGGCTGGCAACGGCTGTGAAGTGCAAGGCTGGGGGAGGCAAGAGGGTGCTGGTGGGAGGAGAGCTGCAGAAGCAGAGTAATCTGCAGAGCTAAAGCAGGCTGTGCAAGGAAGGGGCAGGTGGCCTTTCCAGAAATCTGTACAAGGCTGTCTAATTGCACACAGAATGGGATTTAATGCAACCTGCATGACAGTTCCCTGCCTCCAGCCCCTCCTTCCATCACCCCTGCAGCTGATGGAGAAGTTGAGTTTAGGAATTAAAAGGGTGATTTTGCAGGAGCAGAAGTTATTTCTGCTACCATGTCTCTTATCATTAAAAAAAGAATAGAGAAACTTCCAGAAACGTTATTTTGAGGAGAGGGGCTTGGTTCACCTGCTGACAATGAGGCAGTGAGAAGAAGACACTAGAGAAGGCAGCTCTACATGCACTGTAGGCCTGAAGGACCCCACAAGACTGCCCGCTTGGGCTGACCTTAGCAAAGACTGGACCAGCTTGGTAATTATTCAGAGACTATTAAGTGCATGTTGCCTGTGGATTAATTAGCTTAGAAGAATGAAGGAATTAAGTGGCATCTTAACATGATGGGAGGCTTTACGGTATTATGAACCACAATTAATCTAGCCTCTCTGGTAAATTTGTAAGCACACTTAGCAAATAATTGCATCCAATTATAATTGCAATTATGGCTGGAGGTAGCTGCAAGTGGTCTTAATACAAGCAAGTCCCAGTCTCAAGGATGTGTAATTCACATCAAATAGGGCATTTCAGACCCAGTGGGGCTGGGGGAAGGAGGAGGGGAAGAGCAGGAGGAATTGAACAAGGATGCAAGAGAGAAAAATGAAGAAACAGAGAGGGCATAACAATGTCCTTTCCTCTGCTGATTGAAATTCACTACAGAAGCAAAGAAACTGTGAAAACAGATGGAAATGCAGAGTAGACAATAAAGATTTAATCCCCAAATGAAATTAGTGAGTGGATCTTCCATCACAATGAACACAATGAACCTGTATTGACCTCTGAATTAATTTTCATCTCAGTTGAAGAAGCACTTGTTCTTTACCAGCTATCCAGAGACGACACACACAGTTGCCTTCATTTGGGTTGTGTTGATCCCAGGTTTCTGGAAAGCTTGTCCTTAGTCACTTCAAAGGATTATAGTTTCTACTTTTTGACACTCGAAGAATAATCCGTTCAGCAGGGCGAAGAGAAAACCTTGCTGACTACAATCAGACAATGTTGTTAAAAGTCCTTCCAATAAGCTGTCTCATTTAAAGCTACATGAAACCTGAAGAAAAGGGCTGATAAATTTGGAACATACGGTCTTTCCACTGTGTCCAGCATGGGTAACAATGATGCCCTAGTAATACCTTAAATTATAAAGGGATTTCTCCTTAGGAAGATGTTTAGAGCTAGTGGTTTCCACCATTAGAATCACCCAGAGAGCAAAAAAAAAAAAAAAAAAAAAAAAAGCCAAATGCCCCCACAGCTCCACTCCTCAAAGATTTTGATTTGATTGATGTAGGGTAGGTTGCGAGCATGGGTATCTGTTAATCTGCCCAGATGGTTTTTTATACAGCTGAAGTAGGGAAATGCTGACTTATAGAGTTTACATGACTGCAGTTCCTTATTGCAGAGGCTGGGCTCACCCTTAGACGTTGATATTTAGTAGGTTTAGGGCGGGCCTGAGGATCTGCATTTCTAACAAGTTCCAGGGTTGTGGTGATGCTGTTGGACCTAAGGAACTCTCTTTGAGAACCACTGTCCTATAGTATTGTATATGGACCCTGGCCCTTCAGCTTTCTGATGGTTAAACGTGGCCATGCCCAGTGGCCTGCAAAGGTGAACTATGGCTACGGTTCCAGCACCACTTTGGATCCTCCCTGAGTTGCTCCAAATTGACTTCTTTTCTCCTCTGGGTTCTACCTGGCTCCTGACCCATGGCATCCTTTCCCGCTGACCAGCAGCGTTTGGCTTTTGGCTTGGCTTCCCTGGCTTAGACTCTCTCAGCACTTCTTCAGGTGTTGGCTTGTTCATTCCCCTCTGACTCTGCTCCTGGATGGCTAAGAATGGATTCTTGGCCGGGCTCTGTGACTCATGCCTGTAATCCCAGCATTTTGGGAGGCCAAGGTGGGCAGATCACCTGAGGTCGGGAGATTGAGACCAGCCTGAACAACATGGAGAAACTCAGTCTCTGTGAAAAATACAAAATTAGCTGGGCATGGTGGTGCATGCCTATAATCCCAGCTACTTGGGAGGCTGAGACAGGAGAATTGCTTGAACCCAGGAGGCGGAGGTTGCGGTGAGCAGAGATCACACCATTGCACTCCAGCCTGGGCAACAAGAGGGAAACTCCGTCTCAAAAAAAAAAAAAAAAAGAATGGATTCTTATCCCAAGCTGCTGTCCCTGGAGCAACCCTCCAGCACTGGCTCAGTTGCCATGCCTCCTTTGCCCCTACAAGGGCTGAAAGGAAGATGGATGGTGACAATGCAAACAGTGAGGATACTGGTGTGTTTCTCAACATTGTTCTCATGTTTCTGAGAGTAATCTTATATTCCCAATAACAATCATAATAATACTGATAGCTAAAGCTCTTTGAATCCATACCATGTGCCAGGCATATGGTATGCTAAATACTTACACGGATAACTTCCCGTTCTGTTTTCTTGTTTGCCCAACTTTACTGTAAGTCACCTGAGGCCAAGGGTTATGTAATACACAGATTGCTGCTGTAATATAATGGAGTGTCTTGTGTGTCGTTTAGTCAGTCCCCTCACTTTATAGTATGTAGTACTTCTCTGATTGACTTGAGAAGTTAAAAGAGAGAGGAAAATATGAAGCTATGTAACAGGACAGTCATTTGCCACTGGAAATTGCTGTGAATGTTCATGCTACTCCCACCAGCTGGGAGCATGCTGTTGACTTCCTGTCTTCTTGTGTAGTGGATACACCGCTGAGGCTGCTGTGCTGAACACAGGGCTGGTTGCAAGGTGGAAGGGAATAATTCCCTTCACCCTCTATTAGGGATCCACTACCCTCTGCAGTAAACACTGACAGCATGCATAGAAGTGACATCTATAACTACATCTCTCTTCATCTTGGGACATCTGAAACATGAAGAAAGCCCGATATTGATAGCAATTGTGTGGTTTAGCTGATAGGCAAAGACCCTCAGATTATTTGGTAGTCAAAGTTCCGGAGTTGCTCCCATCAACTCTCCGGGCAGCAAAACCTTGTCCTAAGACACAGAGTGAATGTCCAGTCTCCACTCTAATTTTGTGTTTACATATTTGACGTGTGACTCACCCTTGTAATGGATTCGGGCTGTTTCTGAGAGTGATATCTGAAGGGCTTTCAAGTAGAGATAGTTTATAAAATTGGCTAAGGTGACATTAAGGAGAATGACTGTACATAAATTTCAAGTTAGTAGGTTTTAATTAAAATTTTAAAAATTGTGCTATGGGGCAACATTTGATTCCTCTGTTAGACTAAAGTAGAAATAACTTTTTTCTGGCTAGGGAGTACCAGTCTTAACATGTATGGAAACAATCGTAGCTGATTCTATTTTCATTTTATTCTGTCACATCAGAGACTACATGTAGGGGGATCCAGGGATGGAATTCCCCTACAATGGGTCTCCTAATTAATCCAGAGTCCTCGTAAAAGATCACAGATCTTTTCTTCAGCTCATTCATTCAGTCTAACCAGCATGACAGGCCACCTGTGCACTGGGCCAGCCCTCTGGTTAATAGGGTCAGATATCTGGACAGCAAGCTAATTTGAAACCCCAGTAGTGTGAGCACCTCAGGAGTTAGATTCTAAGGTAGGACTGGGAATGGGTTAGAAGGGAGTACCTTAGTCAAAATTTTTGTATTCAATTTGGGTTAGAGTAAGTGAATGGAATCGAACAGAAAAGATTCTGGAGAATGGATGGCAACTAATAACATGCGTTTTTAAAAATCTTGGGAGACTTCTTCACATTGTTACCTATTGTTTGTTATGCTTCGTCAATTTAAGCCTCAGTGAAGTTTTAAAAAATGTTTTAAGGCATGGAATTTTTTCAAGCTTTTAAGAAACAAAGACTTCCATGCTAATTTAATTTATAGAAGACGCAAAGCCCCCAATCTGTTCTACAAAGCAAAACAAAAGACAACACAGAAAGCAAACAACCAGCTTCACTTCTGAATATAGACAAAGACATTCTCAATAAAACATTAGCAAATATAATGCAACCTTATTTCCCGTAATGCAGTGGGGTGGATGCCAGGAATGATAGGAGTATTCAAATTCAGCAAATACATTCATAGAGCTCATAAGAAGGACCTTAGTGGTGTTGAGGGCTGTTGGGACTACAAAGTGGGAGCCCTTACAAGGTCTTGAGCACAGTAAGGTGATGTGATATGTGGTTAAGTGGACTACTTTGGCTGCTGTGTGAAGAAGTGATTTAAGGGAGGCAAGAAACTGGGAGTGAGTTAAGAGGTGTGGTGAGCAGAGTAACGGCCCACAAAGATGTCCACATCCAAATCCTCAGAACCTGTGAATATGTTATTTTACATGAGAAGGGGCAATTAAAGTTACAGATGGAACTATGGTTGCTAATCAGCTGACCGTGAGGTGGGGAGACAATCTTGGATTATCCAGGTGCATAAGGAAATCACAACGGTCCTTATAAGTGAGAGGAAGGCAGGAGAGAGGGAGGCAGAGTGATGCAGTGTGGGAAAGACTCGCCCAGCCATTGTTGGCTTTGAGATGGAAGGGACCACGAGCCATACAATGCAAGGCATCCATAGAAGCTCAGTAAGGCAAGAAGATGACTTCTGCCCGGAGTTTCCAGATGGAAAGCAGTCCTGCTGACACCTTGATTTTAGCCCAGTGAGATCCACTTCAGACTTCTGACCTCCAGAACTGTGAGAACATAAATCTGTGTTGCTTTAAGTTGCTCAGTTTGAGGAGTTTGTTGCAGTGGAAATAGGCTACTAACACAGGTTGGCTACTGCAATAACCCAAGTGGGAGTTGGCAGCGGCTTGGATGGGAGTGGTGGCAGAGAAAGTGCCAGGAAGTGGTTGGATTTTGGACATGATCTGAAGTGAAGTCAATGAGATTTACCGACAAACAAGGTATTTGATTGGGTTTGAAAGAACGGGAAGTCAATGTGAGTCTCAGTGGAGAGGAGACTTTGAGTTTCCGTAAAGAGGCAGTAGAATTTGAAAAAGTGCCCCTAAGAGACTGAGCACTTTCTTTTTCCCCCTTCCAGCCCCACCCCTCATCATACCCAAAGACCAGTGATCCGGACTAAAACCATGCCCAGTGGGTTTTGTGGGCTATTTTTCTAGACCTACCCCCAAAGGTTGGCCTTTAAGATATTGTCACTTCGATGAAAAGAATGATCAAGAAACAAATTATTGAATTATGCGATTTACAGCATCGTTCCTATCCTCCTGACTGTGAAAGAAAGAGAATCCTTGAACCTCCCTCCTCCCTTTCTTTCCAAGGGAAACTTTGAATTTGTTAGCTCAATGCCTGGGCAGGAACATCTACTGAGAGAGGCCAGAACATTTCCATCAAAGAGGAGGCAAATATCTAGTGAGAGAAAAAAGTAGTTCCAAGACTGGGGGCTGGGGCACCAAAAGAAGTTGAGAGCCACCTGCATGGTTTACTGGAGAAGTGTTGGCAGCAAGCTGGAAATGAAACGGAGAGAGACTCTTTGATCCACAAGGTCTGTGAGCAAGATTGAAAGGAAAGAAAGGAAAAGAGGGTTTTAAGCCACGTTGTCATGGATTGGAACTGTATCTTCTGTGATATTCTTTGAGAACATCGGTAAACATTGGAATTGCTTGTAAGTATATAGATGAAAAACATCTTATGCCCTATAACTCATTTGTTAATCCTCCTGTGCTACCCTTCTCTTTTCCAAATTGTAAGTCCTCAGATTGTCAGTCTGTTCTGTTTTCTTAGGTGCTAAAAAATGAAATTACATTGCTTAGCCTTGAAACTGTGCAACCTTTCAACTGCTGATGAAAACAACCTCAGCAAGATGAAAATTTCTCCATTTTCCTGAAACTATTCTGCATCATAAAATTCATTGCAGGTGGTACCTTTAAAAATAAAAGACTTGTAAAAAATGTTTTTGCAATTCTTAATGGTTGTCTTACTTAATAATTAGTTGTCCTGGTAAGGGAATAATGTTTAAGTCGATATCTCAGTTTTCTGAATGGTGTCCGTGTTGTAAGTTTTCATTGATACTTTCTTCTTCCACACGAATGGACATAAAGATAGGTAAAACCTAAGACTTTGTAGGTTTCTTATTTTGAACAAAATGTTTGGGTGTCTGGATCTCATCCTTTCTTAGCAGACACTTGTGTTTGCTGAACCATGTTTCCTAGAATATAATGCTGAGCAGAGACTGGCCTCTGTGATCAACTGATGGGCTCAGAGAAATAACAAGTTTCATAAACCTGGGAGAGAATGGGATTGAGCTGACCTCTCCCTACATCCTGGGGAGGTGAAGAAGTCATCCTGAGCAGTAGATTTCCACCACTATTCCCACCCCAAGCTGCATGGGAAAGAAGGGCTGGAGGGGTCCCGAAGCCACTTGAAGAAGGGCCATTTGTCAAGAGAGTGCCTGTCCCATCCAGCCCTGTTCACCTGCTCCCACTAGAGGCTCCTCCTCCAGCCACAGCCCCTCAGCTCTGTCCTTGAAGCTGTCTCTGGTTTTGACCCATTTCAGGGAAGAGTAAAATCAGGGGAGCAAAAGCCTCACTTCTCGTGAGGTTAGTCAACTTTTCTCCCTATATTTTTTTCTTCTATTGATTCAAGGACTTCTTAATAGCCTGGACTGTTGATGCCCCAGTTAAGAGATATCAATAGAATAGCAGGACATTTTTTTCCCAGTATTTTCATGAAACTCTTCCTCTGACCCTTCTCATGGCTTGCAGTATCACCTTTCTCACTGAAAGCTCTATGTATTAATCATGCATTTTAATCTTCTGTATTTTCTGATGTTTTGATATCAGTGGCTTTGCTGATCCCAAGGAGATGTTTACTCCCAGGGCTAACTAGTTCTTAGAGATAGAAAAGGATGGGTCTGCAAGTGTACTCCTCATCTGACCACTAACCAACCCCAAGCCCGTATTCTCCAACCACCACCTTTATCAGACGCTCACAGGGCTCTCACACTCTGGGCTGGTATTCCCCTGTCCTAACCATCCCAGGACCAGGTCCCAGGCAACTCCGGACCGCTCCTAAACCTCACAGCCTGCCAGACTTATTCACACTAACCAACCCTAAGTCCACTTATCCTGCCCTTCCTTTTCCTTCCTACAGACACCATAGTAAAGGCCCTTCCACACTTCCTCCCTCCCTCTCTCTGCCTGCTGACTGACCCTGGTGCTTCCCCATGTGGCCCTGTGTGGCATGGCATGCACCCTCCTCTGGGGAACTGTGGGTGACATACTATCTTTTCAGTGGCAGTCAACTCCTGATCCCAAATCATAATAAACTCAACATGCCCATATAATAATAAAGCTTGCATTTTGCAACACCCCAGCCCAGTACCAGACACATAAGTGGTGCTCAATACATGTTCATTGAATCAATGGCCAATGAGATGAGCAACTCAGCAAATCAAGGCTCTTGGATGTAGCTGTTAGAAGACTCTGAAGGTGATCAGGAAATTATTTCAAATAAGCTCTACTCCAAGTTGACTAAATACCAGACCCAAAACTTACGGCCAAGGTTTATTTCACATCTCAAATTTTGTTTGGCGACGTCCTTCAACCAAGCTTACCAGACCAAACTATACAAAGGTCCAGGTATGCATGGAAAGCTCTGGCACCCACAGCATCCCAGGAGCAAGACATGTCCAAAATTTTCTTACACTCAACAACACTGAAACACTCCTACCATTATCAAATCAATTCATTATTCTCTTAGAGGAATAGAGATTCCCCCCCCTTCAAATTATAGAACATTTATGCCCTGTGGGGCCTTCGATCTCTTCTTCAGGAGCCTTGGGCATCTTCTACTTGAATTCACAGGGCTGTTTCTGCACTTTCAAGGTGGGCTGAGTCTAGGCCCAAGCCTCTTCCAAGGCTCCAGGGTGCTGCCATGGTACTCAAGAATGTTGCAGCATTATTTAGAAAGAAAATCACCAAATATCTCAACCAAATGTGACTGATGCAGTAGCTGATAATCTGAAGAAATAATTATCTTACATAAGAGATCATTAAGAAAAGACATCAAAATGGATATAATAAAATTGAACATCTGTTACTAATAAAACCTCTTAAAAATTAAGAATAGATGGCTACTTTCTTCAACTAATTAAAAAGTATAACATTTTATCATCAGCCAGCATCATATGAAACAGAGAAATAATGAAGAACTAGGCACAAAGTAAGGATGTTCATAACCACCACTGTTTATTTTTTTGGGTGTTCTCGCCAATTTGATATAAATAGAATAAAAAAGAAAGAGGCCTAAATATTGTTAAGGAGGAGAAAAAGCTATTATTAATTGAAGGTAGAAATGCATCTATTGAAAATCCAAAGGAGTAAAACTGAGAAAAAAATATGAGAATTAACGAGCTCAGTAAGGTGGCTGATTGTGTAATAAATACATAAAATCAATAGCTTGCTTCTACAGTATTAAAAACAAGTTATAAAATATAATAAAAACTGGGATCCTGATTATAATAGGAGAAAAAGTACAAAATGCCTACAAGCAACCTTAATGATAAAATTGAATGATGTATTTGGAGAAAACTATAAAATTACAAAATGTTATTGAGAATTATAAAAGAAAACTTGGGTAGAATTTTGGAATATGTGAAATATGTCAATTCTTTACAATTTAATTGCTGTATTTAATATGTATTTAATTCAATAGTACAATGTGATATTTTCATAAGTTGAAAAAAATCATTCCTACTTTCACCTGACAGAATAAGCAGGCAAGAACAGCAGTGGGTTAGGAAGGGAATATTAAATTATTAGATATTAAAATTCAGAAAACTTCAGAAATTGAAAGTGTGATATTTGTGCAAGAGTAAATCAGGTACTCTTGCTATAAGCCACCATGGCATTCTTCATATATTTTCTTCAAAGCTGTTAGAAATACTATAATTAAGTAATTATTGATTTAATTATTTGTTTAATAAGTCTGCCATCATCCTCCACTGTATCGAGACACTTAGACCACTTTCTGGCATGTGTAGGCACTGAATAAATGTTTACCAACTGAGTGAGTAGATACATAGAAGAAAGCAAAGAAACATATTCTACTACATATAAGAATCTAATATTTGTCAATGGGAAAGAGAATATCTGTAATAAATGGATTTAGGTTCTATGGTTAGAAAATCAAGAGATAAATTAGTTTATTCTCATTCCACATACTAAATTCCATACCTTCACATGGTAGACTGAATTCCTCATGGAATGAAAAGTTAAATATTAACAAACTCAAACTATAGAAAAAAAGTAGTGGATATTCACCAACCCTCCAAGCTTAGAATAGAGGGAAAATACTGACATTTGACAATATAAACTTTAAAAACTTTTCTAGATCCAACAATCCTGCACACAGACATAAACAAATGCCCCAAATTAAAAATCTCCAAATGGAGGAAAAGATGGCAAAAATACTAGAACACAATGTGTGTCAAGATCCTTAAAAAATATTTACATCCTCTGATACAGTAAAGTACCTGTATCATCTGGACCAAAGGGAAGGGCTCTTGGAACAATAAAGATCTGGGTTTAATTATTGCTTAGCTTTGCATCTTAAAGCAAATTAATATCTGAGTCTCAGTTTCCTCATCTACAAGATGGGGATATAATTATTTACTTTGAAAAGTTGTGAGTAGGGGTAATGCAAGTAAAATTCCTATAGTAAATGCTCAAAAAGTGATCATTATCATTAGCTATATTACTATTTTGTATCTAAAACTCTATTTTAGAGCAAAGATAACTATGAAATTAGCTTTATGCAAAAAGAATTGACATGAATTATTTATAGTAGGAAATATCCTAAATGTTTTCCTAAGGGGAACAGCCACATAAATTAAGATTCATCTTCTCACTGGAATATCATCCAGCCATAAAAATGAATGTTTATGAGGGTTATGTAATATCACGGGAGAATGCTTATGGCCGTTTAGTGGGAAAAAGCTGAGTAAGAAACTGCATTTGTAGTATGTTTACAATGTTGTAATATATACATATGTATATATAAAAGCCTGAAGGAAACATAATAAAATGTTAACAATGACTGTGTTTGTGAAGACTATGGATGGTTTATTTCTAATAGTATTTTCTGCATTTCCAGCTTAAAGACTGAGTATGGCATATTTTTGAAATAAAAATATATACATTTAGAGAAGGAAAAACAATGACACTGAAAAAAATTGCTTTTGTAATCTGGATATTATTTAAAGAGTCAGTCTTGAGCAGTATCACTGAGGCTCAATATGACACCTCTCACCATCTGAAATGTTCTGAAAAGGGAGACAAAAACCTCTTAAGTTTTAAAACTGAAGACTTGTAAGTGACTTCATACATCATTAGAATCTGAGAATTCAGATGGGAATTTGAATTCCTGGGAAATTCGGAAGGATCAGAAGCACTGGTCAGTAGGAGCTTATTTTCTAGGAACCAAATTCAAGAAAATTGATTGGCATCTTTAAAGTGTACTTGGGGAGGGACAAGCTTCCAGGATTCATAAAGAGTAACTCAATAGTGCTGTCTGCATTGCAATTCTGTCTTTTCCCTGCTTCCTTTTTCTCACCTTCTTCCCACCCCTCTCTCTATCATCCTCCACCCCTACATAGTCTAGGGGAGAATGTAAAATAGTACAGAATTTCCAGAGGGCAGCTCAGCAATATATATTTTTACCCTTTAATTTTTAAATTTTAATTTATCTATTTATAGTTATTGTAGAGATGGGGTCTCACTATGTTGCCCACGCTGGTCTTGAACACCTGGACTCAAGAGATCTTCCTAAAGTGTTGAGATCATAGGTGTGATCCATTGTGCCCAGCCCCTACATCCTTTTTTTTTTTTTTTTTTTTGAGAGGGAGTCTCGCTCGCCCAGGCTGGAGTGCAGTGGTGCGATCTCAGCTCACTGCAAGCTCCGCCTCCCGGGTTCACGCCATTCTCCTGCCTCAGCCTCCCAAGTAGCTGGTACTACAGGTGCCCGCTACCGTGCCTGGCTAATTTTTTGTGTTTTTACTAGAGACGGGGTTTCACCGTGTTAGCCAGGATGGTCTCCATCTCCTGACCTCGTGATCCGCTTGCCTCGGCCTCGCAAAGTGCTGGGATTACAGGCGTGAGCCACCGCGCCTGGCCTACATCCTTTAATTTAATAATTTCACTGCTATCAATCAATCCCAGTGAAATAAACAGAGAGGCATAGGGGAAAAGGTATAAAAAAAGATGCTGTTAATCAAGCTGTTTATCAGAGCAGAAAGCAAAACACAAGATCAGGGCCAACATTGCTTGGGGGAAGCATTGGTTAAATAAATTAATGTTTATGTATTTGATGAACCAGTGTGTAGCCATTAAATTGGTTTTTATATTATTTTATATGTTAAATGGGAAATGCAGTAAACTAAATTCCATATACAATAGGACTCCAACTAAATAAAAGAAAAACACACAAAATCACCATAGATGTGTGCCTATGTGAATCTGAGTTGACCAGAAGGAATACCCCAGAAAGTTAACAATAGTTCTGTCTAGGTGGCATCAGGATGAGAGATTATTAATTTCTTTATATTTTTCACATGCTTTCAAAAATTCTTCTTACAGTAAGATACATTATTTTCACATGCACCAAAAAGCTATTATCTAACAAAGAAACAAAGATAGTTATTATCTTGGAAATGGAAGAATATTTGTTTCTAAGATGATTTATACTCTAAGGAGAAAACCATTGTCCATCTCCTTGTCTTTTCAGTCCTTTCTGCACCTGGATATCCTCAGCATTAACAATAACACCATCAACTCACTCATTGGACTTCATGAATGTGTGGTGGAGCCTCCTGAGGATTTAACTTTCAATACCATGACTTATTGATGAGACTTGTAATCAACAATAAAATTGGAAGGCCTCCTAACCATCTGCATTAGTCCATTCTTGAGCTACTATAAAGAACTACCTGAGACTGGGTAATTTCTAAAGAAAAGAAGTTTAATTGGCTCACGGTTCTGAGAGATAGATGTACAGGCCTCTGCTTCTGGGGTGGCCTCAAGAAACTTACAATCATAGTGGAAGATGAAGGGGAAGCAAGCATGTCTTACATGGCAGGAGCAGGAGAGAGAGGGTGGGGGAGGTGCCACAAACTTTTAAACAACCAGATTTCATGAGAACTCTATCACAAAACAGCACTAGGGGGATGGTGCTAAGCCATTAGAAACCACCCACATGATCCAATCACCTCCCACCAGGCCCCACTCCCAACACTGGGGATTACAATTCCATTTGAGATTTGGATGGGGCTCAGAGTCAAACCATATTACCATCTGAATAGACCCTTCCTCTGGGCCAAGGGCATTCCAGAATTAATCTGAAAAAGTAGTTCAGGCTGGATGAAGAGGGGATTGGACATGGCTCATCATTCCTATGAAGCATTAACATCAATACAGACCTTAAGTCTGTTAAGAAACATTTACAATCTATTGTCTCTGAAGCCTGCTACTTGCAGGCTTTATCTGCATGATAAAACCTTGGTCTCCACAACTCCAGACGTTCCTTTCTACTGATGATAACTTTCTACTGCTAATAACTGTTTCAACCAATTGCCAATCAGAAAATGTTTAAATCTACCAACGATCTGGAAGTTCCCCTCCTCGAGTTGCGTCGCCCTTCCAGATCAAACCAATGTAAATCTTTCATGTATTGGTTGACGTATTATGTCTCCCTAAAATGTATAAAAGCAATCTGTGCCCCAACCACCTTGGGTACACATCGTCAGGACCTCCTGAGGCTGTGTCATGGGTGTGTCCTTAACCTTGGCAAAATAAACTTTCTAAATTGATTGAGACCTGTCTCAGATACTTTTGGGTTCACAGCCTAAGTATAGGCTCCTTTAATAGTTAAGCGACTCCCTGAGGAGATGTTGTGAATTGTTAAATTCTCCATTCCGGCTTTTAGAGGATGCACAGAAACAACTGGATTGTCTGGAGTCAGCCCCATTGCAGGCCGCTGAGAAAGACAGCTGCAGACTATCTTGAGCTAAAATCACAATGTTAGCTCCACCAAGGTAAGGACTGCATTTGCCTAACTTACGGCTTTATGCACAGCAACCAGCACGTCTACCTACACACATAGGGGTCACTTAATCATATGTGAATTGACTTTGAGTGAATAAAAGAGTAGATATTTGTTTAACAAAGGAAGGAAAAACAGAAAAAAAGGGTGGTCTATTAATATCCTATTACTTTTTTGGAATGGGAGGCAAGTCTCTATGAATCTCTCACATTTCTTCACATCTAGGCATCAACACCCACTTTCCTCAGATTTATTTACTTTCCAGAATGGTAAAGATAGTGAGAATGTCCCCCTCCCTGGAGATGGTCTAGGATAATAAGGATAAAGACCTCTCTCCTCTTCTTGAGAAAGATTTGTTTACATTGCAGGGTAGTAAGATAACATCTCTCCCTGGAGGGGAGGATGGGCAGTTTTCCAGAAGCCCCATTGTAACGTAGGGGGGTTCCTAAGCTTAGGATTCCCCAGCTGTGAGGCGCCCCTGCACTCCGTGCATGGTATTCACCTGTGCCAACCTTTGCATCACCCTTGTGAGATCTGGGGCGTAAAGAGAACTGATACAAACAGGAAGCTTCTACCATTGCTGTGAAGTATCTAACTCCATCTACGTGGGCTCATTGTGTCCTTACTGGCAGAGACTATGGAGCTGTGATCAGGCAACCTGTCAGTTCCCACTGTTCTGCTGCTCAGTGCCTACCTGACCATGGGACATACCTACCATGTTTTTGCTTGGTATCATGATCCAAGTGAGCTATGGAATTAGCTTTTGTATGGGCCTCATATGTAGATGAACTTCTACTATGTGATGTTGGGGAAATGACTTAACATTTCTTAGCCTCAGTTTCTACATCTGTAAAATTACTTTCTTATGAGTTTGTTGTAAAGATTAACTATAAAGTGCCCAGCACAATGGCATGCACACATTAGTACAGCACCCTACAAAAGCTAATTTACCTTCTTTCCTATAAGCCCAGAAATCATAGACTACAATTTACTTAATTTGCTACTGTAGAATACTCTTTGATAACTTTTAATCCATAATTTCCATTTAAAATAAAATAATTGTATTACATTTTTTCCATCAAATTCTTATTAAAAGCAATTACAGATTTTTTTCACAGCAATATCAAAAATACTTTCATAAAGCAGTTATAAATATGTAAAAGTATACAGAAATATACAGAAATATTCCTTATTGTACAAATAGGAATCTTATTTATCTTATTTTCCCAGAGGGAAGAGAAAGGGGAATATTTGTTAAGCAGCAATTTTCCAGCCACTTTACATGCATTATGTTACTTAAAACTTTCAGGAATATTCTTTGTTATTATTTTGCAAATGAAGAAACAGAGGCTCAGACATATCAAGTAAAACTTGTATAAGATCACATAGTAGTGAAACCAAAACTTGAACCTTGAGTCTATTGACTTTAAAACATGAACTCTCTCTTTCACAAGTACCCAACTGCAGAAAGTGTTTACTCTGAGTTTCTCATCCTCTGCCCCTAATTCCCTGCCCGCTTCCATACCTCTTGCTGCAATCATTAATGAATTAGCACTGAGTTCCCTGTGTCCTCAAAATGGCAGCATTTCCTGGTATAACTAAAACTGGAACTTTGAGCCGTTTAGTATGGTGAATTCTACCTCCCTTCAAGTACTGAATTGCACAACTTCATATGCAAAAAGAAGCTTAGTATTTATTTGTTTGCTTTTTTTTGCTAAAAGAGAAGAGAGGATCCAGCGAAAGAGCTGGGGGGAGAGTGATAAGGGATGGGCCACATGGCATCCTGGTGGACATTTGCCATTGCTTTTTTTTTGACCACCCAACTCCTGAATCTTCTTTGTATATTTGGGACTTCCACTGTGTGAGCTGAGATCACTTTTGTGACCTCAAGAGAAGTCCAGACAACAGCTCTCCCAGCCCTCCTGAAGCCTGAGTGTGGCAAGTGACCAAGGCCTGGGCAATCAGGCAACCCCTGCAAGGACTCTGAATTGGGAAGTAGTGAGCAGGAGGAGGTTAGGGCCAGCAGCTGAAAGATAAGTGTTGCTGACAGACTTTGTCAGTGTCTAGGAACCATCTGCATCAATTTGAGGCTAAGAAACATAGTATCACCCATAGCTGGAGAGGGGACTGTCCCTCTACTCTGCTCCCCGAGCCCACTTGGCTATGGCCATGGTACCTCTGGTACCCTGAGGACTCTGGGTTCAGCAGGGAAAGAGACCTGAGTTTTGGAGGGAGAGTGTCTTCATATCTTCCTGGAGGCCACCAGCAGTGGAGGGGTCAGGAGGTTTGATGAAGAAACTGGAGGAGGGGACATGGGCAGACTTGTTTCTGATTACATGCGAGACACTCTCCCAGGGAGGTCCAGAGAGAACCAAGAGAGCTCTCAAAGGGCTTGTTTCTGTGTAGGTGGGTGGGCTAAGGGCCATGTGCATTAGGACAGATGAGGTCTGGGATATTCAGGTGACCTATACAATGAATAGATCTCTTCTAGCAATCCCATCAAAGAGTGTGTGCTTGAAGATGTAAACACTGATTTCACAGCCCACCTCCAACACAAATAAGGTGTGTTGGTGACACATCGCAGAGTGAAGTCACAGTGTCTGCATCTGTGAAATGTACATGATAATGAATGTTTATCCAGTTGTTATCGAATGCCCAGGGTTTAGTCTAGGTCCTGTTGCTTGCTGCATAGAAAGTTAATCACTGAGACCATGATTATTGCCAGGGAGGCTTTATTCGGGTGATGTCAACTGAAGAGATGGAGACAAGCCTCAAGTCTATCTCTTCTCCCATCTAAAATTATGGGTTGATTTAGCTGGGAAGGAAAACAGAAGGGGCAAGGAAGAGGAGTTGGTCAGCAGGCAGCAGGTGGTCAAATGAGGGTTCTGGTGTCTCATTGTAATCACATGTGGGAAAACAGGAATTAGGGAGGGGTAAGGAAGAGGAAGTGGTCAGCAGGCAGCAGGTGCGTTTCATTGTACAAAAGTAAGTTTCTCAAGCTTCAGTTCTATGGCCTTCTGGCTGGCTGGAAAATTGGGCTAGTTTCAGTTTGCAGAGCAATTATAAATAAATGAGAGTCTCTAAGTTAAAGAGCAAGACTTTGGGGGAGGAAGGGGCCAGATACCAATTATATCTATACCTTCGAAAACATTTACTGCCTTAGCCAGTACTAGGAAAGTGAGAGGCATCACATGGTAAAACTTTAATCTCCTTATATTTGCCTCTAAACATGATCTACACATGTTTACAGCATTTTAACCAGGAATCCTGTCCGTTTTCACTGAGAAGCCTTTGGTTGGAAACACAGTAGAGTGGACGTCTGTTTTTGTTTTTGTTTGTTTTTAACGTTGTTTTTTTCTTTTTGAGGAGGCACAGCATCCCTTATTTAGGGAAACTGCCTGCACAAATCCATGTAGTTCTGATGAGGCTGACAATGTCAGTATTCCAGGGTCCTGACCACAGCAATTGACATTTAGCCTAAGCAGAGAATGTCACTTTCTCTGGAATCTAATCTGGAACAGAGACACACAGGGCTAAAGCCCATTGGTGCCACATACAACGGCAATACCTCAGAGAAACAGAGACCACAAACTCCCACTGCTGTCCATGCTGTCGCCATCGTTTCTGTATTTCTGAAACCATTTGTTAGCTTTTCCTTTTTATATAATACTTTGGATAACTCCCTCTTCCTGTTTATGTTAGAGTTTACTTGTGCCGCTCAAACCCAAAAATATCTCAACAGATAGATTTTTAATTTACGTCATGGAGAAAGAAATGCTATTTAAAACTAAAACTATAAAGCAGCTTTTGAGTTTAAAGGGGAGGGTGGTTTCAAGATGATGGTAACATATTTCTAGGCTGTCCCATTCCTCTTGCAGAGGCTGGTGGGAGGGTGAGAAAAGGAAGATGGTGCATCTCAGAGCAGAGCCGTGCAAAGGGAGGTGTGGGGATGGGTTGAGATAAGGGCTCGATTGCTCTGCCTAACAGAGTGGGAAAAGTTGCTGGAAGACAGTAGGCCAAGCCATATGGCAGGAGACTAGAACTTAAGGAGAAAGTGGC
Source organism: Homo sapiens (assembly GCF_000001405.40). NCBI lineage: Eukaryota > Metazoa > Chordata > Mammalia > Primates > Hominidae > Homo > Homo sapiens. The sequence continues at coordinate 224,784,546 of NC_000001.11, forward strand.
CAAAGGAATTTTGAGAAGGAGGATAACATATTTAAAGTTAAGTAGTTTGAATTGTTTCAGTGTCAATCCAACATCCATTTCCTTCCGGGGAAAGTCTGTTGCACACAACTTTGTGTATGATCAACTGTGTGTGTGTGCCTGTGTCGTGTGTGTTTTGTATGCATGCATTGAGGAAGAGGGGGCTAGAATCTATGTCTGGCATGATGTGGTGTGGGGTAGGGATGGAAAATAGAGGAAGGCAAGATGATTCATAAACTAAACCACTTTAGCAGAATGGGTGACTTCATTCCCCCTGGAGAGATTGAGAAGCATGCAGCTTGCCTCTACATGTGGTTTCATTTTAATCTCAGAGGGCACAGTACTTTAGCTAATATCTGGCTCACATGATTATATATTCACAATCAATACATGTACATTTTGATGCTCTGGAGAAGAACTTGGAAAACAAGTAGGAAATAATCTTATTCCTCTAGAGAAGGGGCTGGCAAACTACTGGCATTGATGTAAATAAAGTTTTTCTGCAACATAGCCAGCTCATTCCTTTGAGTCGATTTACCACGAGAACTTATGGACCACAAAGCCTAAAATATTTACTCTCCAGCCCTTTAAGGAAAAGTTTGCCTACTTCTGCTTTAGAGGCCAAATGAGGCCTTACAGGAAGGAATAGGTTAGCCTTGTTCTACAAGTTGGACAACTCAATATGTACTGCTGGCTCAAGGTTTAAAGGTCCTTCATATTTGGCCTATAAACCTGAGGTGAGGTCTCACTGTTTATTTCAAGAGAAATCAGATAAAATCTAAACCAAGTACAGAAATGCTTTTTACAAATTTTATTTTAACTTTTGTCTATGGATTTCTTAACTCTCTTCTTCCCTTTTCTACCGTTAAAAGCAGCATGGTAGAGAGTCAAGGGCATGGGTTTGGGATTAAATAGTTACACATATGCAAGCTAGCTTCTCCATGTACTGCTTGTGTGACCTTGAGCAACGTTCCTAATTGAGAGCTATACCCCTGTTTTCTCATCTGTGAAATGGGCAGCATAATGCTCATTTCATAGGGCAGTTGTAAAGATTGTAAAGACAATGTTCATCGGGGTCTAGAATTTTGAAAATTCTCAACTTATATTACTCACACCCCTCCCCATCCTACTCCTGGTTCTTTGTTGTACTTTGCGCATGCAATGGAGGGCTTTATACTCAGCTGGTGTCCTCATGGTCATCTCTTTGCTATTAAACACTCATACTGTCAATTGTTTGGATCTGTGCCAGCAAGAAAACTGGGAGAGGCTGAGGGAATAATGTTTACCTCCATTTGGAATCTTCATGTTATTCTAAGGAGGAATGAGAAATCAGACCTGCCCAGCTCCCTGGGAGTTCTTTAACCTACTAAGCCTGGATTTCCAACTCAGGGCCTCATTGTGAACCTGGAGAGGAGGAGGTCATGGTCAAGAAGGGTTCGGGGCCAGGTCTGTAGAAGCACTAGTGTCCTGGTATCAGAAAAGCCCAGACAGAGCATTTAAGATGATTTAGGACAAACAACTTCCTTCTCAATTTGTGGACCAGGTTTAAGATCCCAGAGACCCAAAATAAATATAGGATTTCTGCCTGAGCAAGGCCGTACCCCAAGTTATCCCCCACAGAGAAATTACCAGCCTAATGCTTGAAAAGCACTTCACAGATGAAAGTGAACAAATACCTTAGATACTAATGTGGCTAAAAAGTCTGGCGTCTTGGACTTGGCTGTCGTGAAACTTCCGTGCCCTCCACCCTGACTCTGTGAGATAGGAAAGGCCTCTGCCACCTCAGGGCTCTTTTTTTGCCAAGCCAGCTCCCAACAGTGTTGAAGTTAAAGGAAATGCAATATCTTGTGTGAAATCCAAGTCTCTTCATTCCTGAATACAAATTAAGACCCCTTTGGCCTAATAAACATCATTGTCATGATTACAGTACTGATAGCTACCATTGGCTGAGCTCATGGAAGGTATGCACCAGGTATTTTACACAGCTATTATTTCCAGACTTCATCCAGCCTGAAAGTTTGGATTTGTTATCCCCATTTTAGAGAGGAAGAAATTGAGGCTCTAAGACATTAAATTCATTAAATTACTCACCTGAGTCAACAGGTAGTCAGATCTGTTTAACCCCAAAGCCACTCTCCCAAGCTTCCTTGCCTAAGCTGTTTTAGCTTTGCTCACAGAGGTCTAGCAATGCCCTAACTGCTCTGACCATTGTGGCAGGCACAGCTTCCCAGGTTCCTCTGCAGGAGAGTCTGATTCAGGGAATTTGGGGTGTAATAGGTGGTTCTTGTCATTGGGGAGCTTGAAAAACACTGGTAGTCACCACTCCCCTCCTCCTGCAGCTCCAAATGTGACTCATCCTGAGACCAAAGTGTAGACCTGTTTTTGAGACATGAAGCAAACAGGCTTCCCAAGACACCGTCTGATATGGTTTGGCTCTGGCCCCATCCAAATCTCATCTTGAATTATAATCCCCACTTGTCAAGGGAGGGACCTGGTGCGAGGTAATTGTGGTTTCCCCCATGCTGTTCTCATGATAGTGAATGAGTTCTCTCAAGATCTGATGGTTTTATAAGTTTTTGACAGTTCCTCCCTCACAGGCTCACACTTTCTCTCTCGCCTGCCACCATGTAAGATGTGTCTGCTTCCCCTTCTGCCCTGATTGTAACTTTCCTGAGGCCTCCCCAGCCATGTGGAACTGTGAGTCAATTAAACCTCTTTTCTTTATAAACTACCCAGTCTCTGGCAGCTCTTTATAGCAGTGTGAGAACAGACTAACACACCATCCCTATAAACTTTGAACATAAGGAGATAGAGAAGCATAAATGTGATAAGTTTCATTTCCTATGGGCTTGCGTGGATTTCTTGGGGATTTGAGATGTAAGACATGGACCAATAACACAGGTGAGATAACTGTGCTAACTTAGTTGTTGTGGACTGGCTTTAGCAGATGACAGCTGTGAAAACCAGCCAAAATAAACTGAGCAAAGCCTTCGAATGACTGAGACAAGCAGACTTCTCGGCTGTGTGAACATTGTGCACTCTGTGATTGGTTGTAGATTGCTGAGATGATGAAGCTGCAGAGAAGTTGACATTCTACAGGATGCTATTCCATCAGTGGAGAGCACGGAGAGAAAAGATTTAGAAATGCCTTTAAATCCAAACTTATGAGAAGTCTTCCATGTGGAGGCAATTACAAGGATTAAAACAAAATCACAATGTTTATCTCCAGGCAGATACAAGCCTTTCAAAAATAAAATAGAAAAAAAAAGGGGTGCGGAACCAAGAGAAATTTTATCTCATGTTCTGAAGTGGCAAAAACAGAGATGTTTTCCCCCCAATTATCCAGAATAAAAATGTTTGGTCCTCCAACCATCCAGATAGTCTTCTCTAGTGGTGTTTGGTGGCTGTAATAATTCTTTCTGAGTTAGAAGATGTATCTGTTAGGATTAGGTTCAAATGTGTATGATGAAAATAAACAGGTAAGCAAAACTGGCTTAAACAAGATAGTGTAGTTTTCTCTCTCGTAAAAGAAGTTTGGGGGGATAGTCCAGGGCTACTGTGACCATTCACGGCCTCAAAAACCCGGGCTCCCAGGCTCCTTCTATTCAACTATTCTTCCATTAGAGTGTGACTTCTACCCCAAGAAGGCCTAAGATCCAACCATCATGTCCACATTCTAGTCCACAATAATGAAAGAAAGAAAGTGGCAAAGGGCATATGTTAGCTATTTTTATTTTTATTTTATTTTATTGAGAAAGGGTCTTGCTCTGTCACGCAGTGATATGGTTAGGCTTTGTGTCCCCACCCAAATCTCATCTTGCATTGTAATCCCCACATGTCAAGGGAGAGACCAGGTGGAGGTAATCGAATCATGGGGGCAGTTGTTTCTTCCATGCTGTTATCACAATAGTGAGTTCTCACGAGATCTGATGGTTTTATAAGGGGCTCTTCCCCCTTCACTGAGCACTTCTCCTTCTAGCTGCCTTGTGAAGAAGGTGCCTTGTTTCCTCTTCGCCTTCCACCATGATTGTGCGTTTCCTGAGGCCTCCCTAGCCATGCCGAACTGTGAGTCAACTAAACCTCTTTTCTTTATGAATTACCCAGTCTTGGGCAGTTCTTTATAGCAGTATGAAAACAGACTAATACACTCAGGCTAGAGTGCAGTGGTGAGTGGTGTAATTATGGCTTACTGCAACCTCGACCTCTTTGGCTTGAGAAATCCTCCTACCTCAGCCTCCCAAGTAGCTGGGACTGCAGTCCTGGTTAATTAAAAAAAAAATCTTTTTTTTTTTTTTTTTTTTTTTGTAGACATGGCGAGGGAGGTGTGTGGTCTTGCTTTGTTGCCAGGCTGGTCTGGAACTTCTGGCCTCAAGTGATCCTTGCACCTCAGCCTCCCAGAGTGCTGGGATTGAACCACTGCACCTAGCTGTAAAGAATTTTCCTGGAACTTGCCACCTGGCACTTCTGATTTCATCTAATTGGCCAGCACTGAGCCACATGGCAAGGGAAAATGGGAAATTGGTTTTTGGGCATTCATTTGCATAGCTGAAAATTAGGGATGCTATCACTAAGGCACAAGGGTTAATGGATAGTAGAGTAGGCAAATTGTAGTTTTTGCAACAAAATGTAATGTTCAACCCACAAGGAAACAGGTTTGAGGTGATCATGTTACTGTGGTGTTCATGTTTGAGGTGATCATGTTATGGTGAGACTATGAGAGGTATGGACCAGGCAACTACAGGGACCTGAGGATAAGCCTATCTCTACCTGTTGGCTTCACCTGTATCATATGAGCAAATTACTGATTCAGAAAGGAAAGTCTTACCTGTGCACTGCCAGGTGCATTCAGACAACAGGTGTTACTCTGGTGCACTGACTGGCAAACCCATTGGTAATTATACCACTGGTTCTTCTCACTAGGACACTAGCTGCCAACCCAGCTGGCCTGAGATCTGGAACTCACACTGCCTCTGTGGCAGACATTGGTCCACCTGTTTTCTCTGGCCCAGAGTGCAAGGATTGGTCACTTAGCTGCCCTCAATGGGGCTAAGAAGGTAATATGATGAAGCAACTGGAGGAAGAGGGTTGCACAGCTCAAAGGTTTGCATTTTCAGGTTAATAAAAACATCCAATGAGCCTTTACTCTATGCCAAGCATCACTCAGCATTTTCTATTTAGTTCTCATAATAATACTGGGGAGAAGACGAACTCACCACACCCATTTTACAGTTGAGAAAACAAAGCCTTAATGAAGCTACTTGCTCCAAGTGAATAAGTGATATAGTCAGATTTTAAGCCTTGGGTGCCTCTGACACCAGAGAGAGCCCTTCATCCCTACATTATACCTTCCAGCATCCTAAGGGGCATCTCAAAAACTCATGAGGCAGGCAACAAACTTCCTGATGCTGTTGACAATTCAATGCAGCCACAGCAGAAGAACTGCATGGCTGTGAGTGTTGTGGTAGTGGCAGGCTTCATTCTGCATTGCCATATAGGAGTCCATATAGGGGATTTTTGAGCAAAACTGATGCTGGCTAATTGCTCTAAATAAGACTCTGCCCAATGTAAGCTTGAAAGTGGCAACTTTTTTCCCCCACTTTAGATTTCCACCTCTCTTGCTCTGCTGCTTTTGAGCAGTTGTTAGTGATACTAACAAGTTAGCAGGGGATGTCAAGAAAGGGATAATTTATTCCCCTTCTGCAGCAGTTGAGGACATCACCTCCCTGATGACAGACACTCTTTCTACAGGGAGAAAGAGTAAAATCTGGCATTCTAATGAGTGGTCAGCCAGGGTTTCCTGACTAATACTCATTGTGTCGAAAAGGGAAGGGAAGGTTTTATTTCCAGATACGTTTCCATGCTGTCTGAAAGATGTTGGCTTCTGAGGCCCAAGGGGTGGCTCCTGGGACCACCAGGAGCAGAGACCCAACTGCCCAGTAAGATAGCTGAAGAGGTCTCTAGTCCAGCCAGCCCTGAATTCTTCTCTGAAACCATTGAAAAAGGATCGACTGGGAAAACAAGAGAGTTTTTGTTTTTTTGCTTCCTTTTTTTTTTTTTTTAAGTTTGATAACAGAATTTGTCTGTTTGGTTTATGTAGCCATTTTCCTCATTGTCTATAGCCAGTCAGTACAACCATCTGATAGAGTGGTGACTCTATCAGATTCAAACCAATGGGTAGACTTCATCAGAGTAACAACTTTTTGATAAAAATTCTCTTGTCCGGGTTGATTCCTCTACATGGTTCCTAGTGTTCATAAGGAAAAAAAAAGCGCATTAGTTGGCCGGGCACGGTGGCTCACACCTGTAATCCCAGCACTTTGGGAGGCTAAGGCAGGTGGGTCACTTGAGGTCAGGAGTTTGAGACCAGCCTGGCCAACACAGTGAAGCCCTATCTCTACTAAAAATACAAAAATTAGCTGGGCGTGGTGGCTCACGCCTGTAATCCCAGCTACTCAGAAGGCTGAAGCAGGAGAATGGCTTGAACCCGGGAGGTGGAGGTTGCAGTGAGCAGAGATCATGCCACTGCCCTCCAGCCTGGGCAACAGAGCAAGACTCCACTTCAAAAAAAAAAAAAAAAGGTGCATTAGCTGCTCAGAAGATAACATTACTCTTTCTGGATCTGAGACCTTAAAGGAATTTATTCTATGGCTCTTTACAAAGTGGCCTCTGTAGAACAGTGAACAAGATATCTAGTGATATAGTATTCTCATGATTAGGTTTGCCAGATTTAGCAAATAAAGATACAAGACAGCAGTTAAATTTGAATTTCAGATAGGCAATAAATGACATTTTATTATAAGTTTATCCTATGTAATACTTAGGACATAATTTATACCAAAAATTATTTGATGTTTATCTGAAATTCAAATTTAACTGGGGTTTCTGTATTTTATCTAGCAACCTGACTTGTGATTAAAAGAACACTGAGGCTCATGAGGCTGCTTTTATTTTGTTTAACATTTTATTATCCATGCTATGTATATGCAAAGTTCAGGAAGTCATAGTTCCGTATGGCGTGCTGTAAAACCCCGCTTCCTCCATTATTCCCTTCCCTCATTCCCCACAGTCCAAAACAACCTTTTTGGCTCCCCTAACTGATTTCTTTTTTTTTTTTTCTGGCAATGGAGGTTTAGCTCCATTTCTCTAAATGCCATGCTTGTATTGCAACATCTTGACTTCCTTCTATGGGAGATGAGAATTTAAACTTGTGCCACCCCCTCCTCAAGCTTACTTCCCTTCTCCACAACTTCCCAATATAGTTAGATGGTAATTTTAATCTGTTCAATATGCAGGGTTTACATTATTATGACCACGTATGTCCTATTCATAGCTGAGCCATTTACATTTCTTTGTGGCATAACTTTTTGGTTTTTTTTTTTTTTTTTTTTTTTTAGAGTCAATAATTATCTTGCTTTGCATAGTTTTAAAGGTACTGATCACTAACTTGGCCCCAAACTCTCTCCTAGTTGTATAAATCTCCTAATATATTCAAAGCACATTAGGTATCCTATCAATTTTATCTTCTTCAAGAAGTCCTACCCCCTTCTTACCTTCTCCAATTTGAATTGGTTGATCTCTTGTTCAGCTGCATAGCCTCATCCTAGAATTCTTCATTACCAATTGGGATATTCCCTTTGCCTCTTGTACTGGATCACCTATCCCCTGGAGGCAATCAATGTCTCCTATTTCTTGGATCATTCCCCTATCTTGGCATAGAACATCTTCTAATAACTACTCAATAACTACTTGAAGAAAGAGTGCATGAGTTAATGAAAACCATTAATGTGTGATGAAGACTGCAGTCCCTTAAAGGTTGCTATTGGGCCCTTCATCTCGCTTTGAACATGTTGTATCTAAGACATGCTCTAAATCCTACCTTTCTGTTGTCATCACCAGCCCCCTGATTCTTCTTGTCTCCCCAGAAGCAAGTATCAAGTTAGGATGTCTTCATTTTCCATATGAAATGTCAGGGCAAACAGTACTAATGAGTTAATTGATAAGAGGACCCCAAGGATGCCTGAATGCTTTGCTGGGTTGGGCACTGCTGAGGGATGCCCAGTTTCTCAATTCTTCCTGAGCCTGAGTAGAATCTCACCTCTTTACTGCCCAAATCTTGATTGACTCCCACTATTTCAAACAAAACAGTCTGAACAAAGAGTCATTAAAATGTCATTAGAAGCAGTGGGCACTAGGTGTTGAAATTGATGAAATTACATTGAGAGTGATGAGTAATGGAGGTAAGAGGACACTTTCTATGTTTTTTTTTCTTCTTCACTAGTAATTCACTAGTAACTGACTAAATAAAGGCCTAGCAATTTAATGGCCTTTAATGATTTGCCTCTCTTCTAATTGAGTGTGGATTGTTGTAAAGGGGATAGATTAGTTTATCTCCAAATTGTAGTTTGACAATGTTTCTGTTTCCTGATTGAAACTCTCAATTGTCGTTCATTCACTTTTCCTCCCCCAATAGAATAAACATGGTGCAGAATGAGAATCTGAATACTTCCCTCCTTCAATATGCCAGAGATGTGGCCCCAACATCACCTGGTCTGACCAGCACTGTTGGCTACATTTGTCTAGTTAATAAAAATAATATGGCTTGGCTCCATGACTGCAGTGAAGATGTTTTATGGTCCATGCTATCCACATAGATCAAAATTTGATTTTTTTTTTTAAAGAGTAGAAGGGACTTTCTTACCTGGAATTGACAAATTGGTCATAAAAGACAATAGGAATCCAAACAAATTTTTATTCTGGACTCTCACAGTCGAGCAAGGGCTAGGCCAGCCAGTTTTGTGGATTGAAGAGAAGCCAGTTTTGTGGATTGAAGAGACAGAGGCAGAGAATTCACATCTGCATTGGGAAGAAGCACAGAGAATTTCCTCTGGAACAACATAGTTAGAATGAAACCATGGAGCCCTCCTGATGGCTGAGATTGTGCAACTTAGAAACCATGTTCAGTGATGAACACTGTGAATTTCCATCTATTTAGGGGAAAATAACTAATATACCTGCTTGTGTGGAATCTTGTTCTTGGAGGAAAGTATCTGCATGAAATTTATTTTATTAAAAAAGCACAATCAGGAAAGTTCTAGCTGCCTTTGGTTGTTAATAATAAAGTCCCAAACACAAAGACAATAGTTTTTGGAAAAAATACTTTTTAGTTCTGTAGCCAGTTAGAAATGTTGAGTCTTTCCCTAAGGCCAACTAGACAAAATGTCATAGATACTATCTGAGGAAAGAGGAAGGCAAGTTTTTAAAAGCAAAGGAAGGAAAAAAGAATGAAACATGGATGACAGCAAATGTTGGATGACAAAGAATATTTAGCCATGGTATTATTTAAAATAACAACAAATCCACTAAAGACCAGGAAATTGAGACTGATGGATATAAGTAGAGATAAGCCCTCAAACCACCAGCAAACTGGGACTAATCTGTCTGGATGGGCTTTTCCACTCTCTCTGTCTTTGCTCTCACTGTGTCTTTGGTCCAGGGCACCTTTCTTGCCTTGCTCCAGCTGGCAGGATGACACCCATTCTTAGAGGCCTATTTCAAATGTTCTCTCAACTCCAGAATTTCTGCTTGATTCTTTGTACATCAATTTCTTTGTTAAATTTATCTGATAGGATTCTGAATTCCCTTTCTATGTTACCTTAATTTTCTTTGAGTTTTCTCAAAAAATGATTTTGAATTTTCTGTCTGAAAGGTCACATATCTCTGCTTCTCTGGGATGGGTCCCTGCTACCTTATTTAGTTTGTTCGGTGAGGTCTTGTTTTCCTGGATGGTTTTGATGCTTGTGGATGTTTGTTGGTGTCTGGGCATTGAAGAGTTAGGTATTTATTATAGTCTTTGCAGACTATAATATCAGTGCATTTATTATGCACTTTGCAGACTATAATAAGTAGGGCTTGTTTGTACCTGTCCTTCTTGGGAAGGCTTTCCAAGTATTCAAAGGGATTTGGGTGTTGTGATCTAAGTTTTTGGTTACTGCAGCCATATCTGCATTAAGGGGAACTCCAAGCCCAGTTACACTATCGTTCTTGCAGACTCAGAGGCACTGCCTTGGTGGTCTTGGATAAGATCAGGAAGAAGTCTGGGTGTGGTGGCTCACACATGTAATCCCAGCACTTTGGGAGGCCGAGGGGGGCGGATCACCTGAGGTTGGGAGTTCAAGACCAGCCTGGCCAACATGGTGAAACCCCGTCTCTACTAAAAATACAAAAAATTAGCTGGGTGCAGTGGCACGAACCTGTAATCCTAGCTACTTGGGAGGCCAAGGCAAGATAATTGTTTGAACCTGGGAGGTGGAGGTTGCGGTGAGACAAGATCATGCCACTGTACTCCAGCCTGGGCTACAGAGTGAGATTTCATCATGCACACAAACACACACACACAAAATGAAGAATTATCTGGATTATCAGGCAGAGAATTGTTTTCTTCCCTTACATTTTCCCAAACAAATGGATCTCTCTCTCTTTCTATGCTGAGCTGCCTGGAGTTCGGAAAGAAGGGTGACACAAGCACCTCTGTGGCCACCATCACTGGGACTGCGCTGGATGACTTGACGCCAGCAAAGTGCTGGGTCTTGTCCAAGGCCTGCTGTAACGACTGTCTGGCTACTATCTATGTTTGCTCAAGGCCCTAGGGCTCCTTAAGCAGCAGGTGGTGAAGCCAGCCAAGTTGTGTCCTCCCGTTAAGGACCACAAGTTCCTCCATGCCCTGGGCAGGTCCAGAGATGCTACCTGGAGTCAGGGTGGGGCATTAGAAAACTTAGGAATCTACCTGGTGCTCTATACCACTGCAGCTGAGCTGGTACCAAAACCACAAGGAAAAGTTCTTCCCACTCTTCTCTGCCCTTTCCTTAGGCAGAGGAGTCTCTCCCCATGTCCACCACCACCACAGGCCCATGGGGAATACTGCAAGAGTACCATCAATGTTCACTTAAGTCTCAAGGGCTCTTTGTCAGCTTGTGGCAAATGCTGCCAGGCCTGGGACTCACCCTTCAGGGTAGTGGACTCCCCTCTGGCCCATGTTAGGTCCAGGGATGCCATTGGCCAAGGCCTGAAATCAGGGACCCCAAGATCCTGCTCGGTGCACTTCCCCATTGTGGCCAAGTTGGTACCTAAGCTGCAAGACAAAGTCCCCTTTACTGTTCCCTCTGCTTTTCTTAAGCAGAAGGAGTTTCTCCTCTTAGCCACCACAGCTGTGAATATGCGGGGTCACACCTGAAGCCAGCATGTCTGTCTCACCCAAGGCCCATGGCATGTACTACCTGGGTACCACTGCTGATTATTCAGGGCCCAAGTGCTATTTAATCAGGAGGTGATAATATCCTGTCAGAAATGGGTCCTTCCTTTCAAGGCAGTAGATTCCCTTTGGCCAAGATTGTGTCAAGAAATGTTGTCTGGGAGCTAGGGCCTGGAATGGGGGCCTCATGACTCTGCTTGGTGCCCTATCCTACTGTGGCTGAGCTGGTATTCAAGTTGCAAGACAAAGTCCTCTTTACTCTTCCCTCTCCTCTTGAGTGGAAGGAGGAGTCCCTTTCAGAGCTGCAAGCTGCACTGCCTGGGGTTAGGGGAAGTTGGTACCAGCACTCCCTTAGCCACTCCAGCTGGTGTCTCACTAGGTTTTATGCCCCCCACGTCTACTGTCTTCAAGCCCAGTACAGTACTAGGATTTGCCTAAGAGTTGCAGTCCTTGTCACCTAGACTGCCTTTCAAGTTTGTTTAGAACCTCAGAGCACTTTAGCCCATGGGAGTGAGGCTTGGCAAAACTCAAATTCTGACTGCTGGAATGGTTGATTCCCCTCTGGCTGGGGCAGAATCCAAATGCTCCCTCCAATGGCATCAGCGGAGTTCTGTCCAGTGTCAGCAGCACTGAGTTCCAATGCAAAGACCCACTGTTGCCATGCTATCCCTTCGCCAACTGCACAAATTCTCCCTCCATGTCATATTGCCACTGCCTGAGGGGTAAGGGAGGGGTGGTGCTGGCAATTCAAGACTGTCTTTCCTACCCTCTTCAGTGCATCTTTCAGTGATATGAAGTTAAAACCAGGTACTGTGATCACTCACCTTATTTTGGGGTCTTATGAAGGTACTTTGTGTAGACAGTCATCAAATTTGGTGTTCCTGTGGACAAGACAATTGATGGAGGGTTCTATTCAGACCTCCTGCCCCACCTCCTCTCAAATGGCCTCTCTTCTGGAGAATCCTCATAAGGTGACTTGGGAGCTGCTGCAATATCTGTACCCACCTCTAATCTCACTGTGCTGTCACTGTTCATATGTCTGCTTTCTGCTAGAAGTGTGCTACCTCTGAGACCATCTTATTCATTTTTATAGCCCTAGCAAATGCTATAATACTTGAAAAACAGCACTTAGTAAATAATTATTGAATGATTTAATAAATGACTTTCCTTGTTATTTAATAATAGCTTGCTTTCTAATTGCACTTTATAATTTTCAAAGTACATTCACACACACTATCTCATTTACTTTTTGGAGCCTACTGTGAAGTAGGCAAGGCAAGTGTTAGTATTAAATAGGACATAAAACAAATTCAATCACTCCCTCTTAAGCTTTTAGAGAAGAAATGTGATATAGCCCAACTTGTATTGGTTATTGTACAATGAGAAAAAACTGGGAACACTGTATGCTTGATCAGATTCCCTTTTGTGGGATTATTGAAAAAAAGTCTAAGTCATGTCTATATTCCTTCTAATTATCTTTAATTATGAACATATGGCCCTGCTTCCTGAGTCACGATCTGTGAAGCCTAGGCACATACATAGAGATTATAAAACCAGTAGTAATGGTCCAAGACTTTAAAAAAAAAAAATCTGTGTTCTTATCTGGGGTGTGAGCTATGGAGAACACTAAGTTATACTCCCATTTCTTCATTCATCCCTCTGGACACAGGAGAGTTGTGTGGACCACATGTTATGTCCTACTTGACTCCAAAGAAAGCTACTATTACAATGGAGAGATCCTTGGGATTGATGCTGAACTTTTTTTATTTACTTATTTTTTGAGACGGAGTCTCACTGTGTCACCCAGGCAGGGTGGAGTACACAGACACAATCTCGGCTCACTGCAACCTCTGCCACCTGGGTTCAAGTGATTCTCCTGCCTCAGCCTCCTGAGTAGCTAGAATTACAGGTGCATGCCACCATGCCTGGCTAATTTTTGTATTTTTAGTAGAGACAGGCTGTATTTTTAGTAGAGACAGGCTGTATTTTGTATTTTTGGAAGAGACACCATGTTGGCCAGGCTGGTCTTGAACTCCTGACCTCAAATGATCTGCCCGCCTTGGCCTGCCAAAGTGCTGGGATTAGAGATGTGAGCCACTGGACCTGGCCCAGTGCTGAACTTTAATATAGCTGTCTTTGCTCTGAGTTGTGGGAAGATGCTATAAAATCAAGATTCCAAAGAGAGAATTGAGAAAAAAGAAAATGGGAATTAAATAAGGTAATGGACTTTTGTGCTTTTTTTGTGCCTATTTTTCATTCCTTCTTCTGACAATAACTCTAATTTTCTTTGAAGAAACACTGTTCACCCCATATAGTTTTGGTGGGGCAGATTTCCTGGTAAGCAGATAGTTGGAGGTGGACTAGTTCCAGGGGCAACCATGTGACTTCAGCCTGGCCAATGAGCGTCTTCCACCTCCATAGCCACATTGATTGCCTCAGTGTTGTGCACATGACTCAAGTTTCTCCACTGAGATTCAGTTTTGAGGCTTTGTTGGAACTATTCTCCTTCTACTGGAGATGCTAACTAAAAGGAGACTGTAAACCCAGAGCTGGCAGGGGGTTACTCTGGATAGGTCCTGACTAAGATGAAGCCAACTGAGAGCTGAGAAGAGAGAGATGGGCATGGTCTGAATGACTTTTTTGAGCCCCTGTATGCAGTTATACCTAACTTTGGACTTTTCAGTTATATAAGCTAATACTTTATGACTGATTATTATTATTATTATATTTTTTTGAGACAGAGTCTTGCTCTGTGGCCCAGGCTGGAGTGCAGTGGTGCGATTTCGGCTCACTGCAAGCTCCACTTCTTGGGTTCACACCATTCTCCTGCCTCAGCCTCCCGAGTAGCTGGGACTACAGGCACCCGCCACCACGCCCGGCTAATTTTTTGTATTTTTAGTAGAGACGGGGTTTCACTGTGTTAGCCAGGACGGTCTCGATCTCCTGACCTCGTGATCTGCCCGCCTTGGCCTCCCAAAGTGCTGGGATTACAGGCATGAGCCGCCGCACCTGCCCTATAACTGATTTTTATATTTCTGTTTTGTTTGTGTATTTTTGCTATTCAGAATCCTGACCAAAGCATACAACTAGCAGTGGTGTGGTGAGAGGGTCACATGAAACAGGAAGTTGTTCATCCCGGATTTCCTATCTCACAGCATCTAGGCAGAAAATAGGAAAGGAAGGGGGATTAGAATTCTTATGCATCTGAAGAGGATAGTGTGGGTGTGTATAAATGCAGAGGCAGAAGCGAGTGATACAGCTAAACAATCACATGGCAATGTTATTGGCTGGTGCTTCAGGTGGGCACAGTGCTAAAGGGGTGTATGGGAATGGTTTGTAAAGACACGTGGTTGGCATTGTCAATTAGAAATTAGAGGCAATATAGAATTGCTGTTGCTGTGTCTGTATCCAAGGAGCCTTCTTTTATGATCGGGTTGTAAGAAGTCCCTCTGCAATTTGAACGTTTACTTTGTGCAAATTATATTCATGACTCACTTTCCTGCATCTGTCACATATGGGAGAGGTAGAGGAGGTGCATTATAACAATAAAACTCTCTTGACCAGGGATGCTTCATCTGGGGTTCATGGCTTATGTTTATGCTTTAGAGGCTCTATGAACCCCTTAAAAGTAGATGTGAAAACTGCACATATGTGCATTTTTCTGAGAGGGCCCAATTCTCCAAAAGGTAGAACAAAAGACATTTGCTTGGACCTGGGATGAACACCTGACCACAATGGCCAATTAGCCGCTGCCTCTTGTGCATTAAGACTTGAGGGCTAATATCCAGAATCTACAATGAACTCAAACAAATTTACAAGAAAAAAACAAACAACCCCATCAAAAAGTGGGCAAAGGATATGAACAGACACTTCTCAAAAGAAGACATTTATGCAGCCAAAAAACACATGAAAAAATGCTCACCATCACTGGCCATCAGAGAAATGCAAATCAAAACCACAATGAGATACCATCTCACACCAGTTAGAATGGCAATCATTAAAAAGTCAGGAAACAACAGGTGCTGGAGAGGATGTGGAGAAATAGGAACACTTTTACACTGTTGGTGGGACTGTAAACTAGTTCAACCATTGTGGAAGTCAGTGTGGCGATTCCTCAGGGATCTAGAACTAGAAATACCATTTGACCCAGCCATCCCATTACTGGGTATATACCCAAAGGACTATAAATCATGCTGCTATAAAGACACATGCACACGTATGTTTATTGCGGCACTATTCACAATAGCAAAGACTTGGAACCAACCCAAATGTCCAACAATGATAGACTGGATTAAGAAAATGTGGCACATATACACCATGGAATACTATGCAGCCATACAAAATGATGAGTTCATGTCCTTTGTAGGGACATGGATGAAATTGGAAATCATCATTCTCAGTAAACTATCGCAAGGACAAAAAACCAAACACCGCATGTTCTCACTCATAGGTGGGAATTGAACAATGAGAACACATGGACACAGGAAGGGGAACATCACACTCTGGGGACTGATGTGGGGAGGGGGGAGGGATAGCATTAGGAGATATACCTAATGCTAAATGATGAGTTAATGGGTGCAGCACACCAGCATGGCACATGTATACATATGTAACTAACCTGCACATTGTGCACATGTACCCTAAAACTTAAAGTATAATAATAAAAAAAAAGAAAGAAAAAAAAAAAAGACTTGAGAGTGAGCATTTTCCTGTCAGTTTCTGAGAGGCTGGAACTGAGGAGAGTAGACACGGTCTGTGAGCTATTGTGATAGGGGAAAGCAGACACGACACTGCCCATCTGCGGGGGAGAAAGGCAGAACGGATGTCACAGAGTGAAGACATAAGGACGTGTGGCCCCGGAGACAGATGGTGAGAGCTGCTCTCTGAGTTGAGACAGCTTGCCAGCTCTTGGTTCAGGTGCCACGCGATGCCCTGAAGTCTGACTCTGCCCCTGTTTTGCCATCTGTGAGTTGCTCCTGTGCTTTTCCAGTACCATTTGATTCTTTTTTTTGAGAGGTTGGGGGTGGATTTGGTTATGCCATTTGCAAGTAAAAGAGTCCCCAATGAAACAAGGAGTTACAGTAAAAAGACATGACAAAATCCTTGCTGGAAGACAAAGGGGAGCAAGTGGGGGCTTTCCTGCACCCTTTCTCATTTAATCTTCCTGCCATTTTACAACTGAGGAAATGGAGCCTCAGAATGGTTAAAAACCTTCTCAAGTTACATAGCTAAGAAGGGGAACATTATAGTGATGTTCTGGTAAACTTTGATGAATACCATTTTTATTATAACAATAACTTTCTAGTGACTCAGGTATTCATATTGCCTCCTTTTGGGCAATGGGAGTGCAAATCGACACTCCTGGAATCTCTGGCTCCTCCCAAGAACTTATCAACTCATTTCTGTCAAAGATCACTTATCTTCTTTCCTTATTTTAAAATTAATGTTTCTTTTATCTACTAACTTTAATAACTACTTATTTTATTTGAAAATATAGTTATATGTTCATCATACAAAATTTGAAAAACGGGGGAATAGGAAGAAAAGCCACCATCCCATTATCCTAAATCAATCACTACTAACATTTAGATATATTTCCTTCTAACAGATTTTACTGTGCATAGTTTAGGATATTTTGTGTTGTATTTTGTCTCTTGTCATTAGGAACATACTGTAATTATTAGTGTGCTTTACCAAGTTCCTGAGTGCAATAGAACTTTGAGATTGTAGGAAGCATTGGCTATTACTATTGCTACTATTTTTTCTACTGCTATTGCTGCTAGTATTCTTCTTCTTACTACTACTACTATCTCAATTTGGAAATGTACCTTATATTTATAAGGCACATTTATTTATTTATGTTTTATTATTTTTTACTTATTTTATGTATTCTTTATTTCCTTATATAAAGATATGGAAATGTGCCTTATATTTATAAAAAGCTTTCTTGTATGATCTTAACTCATCTTCATCATTCCATAAATAAGGTAAATCCTTTTTGTTCCCATTTTGAGAAGAAGAAACTGGTGCTTACAGAAACCAAATGACTTGCTCAAGTCCATGTGTATTGAGAGAGAGCTGGGACTAGACCCAGTCTGCTCACTGGGAGTGTAGTGCTGTTTCCGTAGAACCACCCACTGCTTCTTTGTCCCATCATCTCCTACAGCCATGGGAGGAGCTGCTTAATGTCTAGTGTTCCTCAGAGGTGGATCACAAATACAAGATGAGGAGTGTAGTTTCAGATGAAAGGGCCACATAAAGCCTTGGACACTTGATATAGGTTGGATTGTTATCCTCTCCAAATCTCATGTTGAAATGTGATCCCCAGTGTTGGAGGTAGTTCCTGGTGGGAGGTGTTTGAGTCATGGGGTCAAACCCTCATGAATGCCTTGTTGCCCTTCCCATGATAATATGTTCGTGCAAGATCTCATTGTTAAAAAGAACCTGGGACTTCCCCTGCTACTTGCCCCCTCCCTTGCCATGTGACACACCTCTGCCTCTTCACCTTCCACCATGAGTAAAAGGTCCTGACCAGAAGCAGATGTTGGTGCATGCTTATACAGCCTACAGAACCATGAGCCAAATAAACTTTTTTTCTTTATAAATTACCCAACCTCAAGTGTTCCTTTATAGCAACACAAAACAGACTAATACAACCCTTCAGACATCATTTTGTATCTTCAGTCTCCTGTCTTAGTGGCTCCATGCTAAAAAGCTTGAGGGAAACATAGTGAGTATATCACCATGGTTCTGGCCCTCAAGAGATTAGGTGTCATTACCTGTCCTTTTTCTTGTGCCATTTGCTGCCCTCTTATTATTATTAAGCGATATCAAAAATTAAGTGATCTCCAGCCTATCTTGGTGGTTGCCATGGAACTCAACTGTGCATCTCTTTAGGCTGGTAAAACCAATTGAGACAGTAGTTGGGCGAGGGGGAGCTGCCTGCGATTGCCAACATGGGAAAGAGCTCTTCAGCAGCCTATGAAATGATGCTTTCCAGTGGGAGGGAGCATGGGGCATAGCCACACTGCCTGAGCCTGGCAGCATATTCTAAAGCAGAATCAGGGCCAAATATATTCAAGGAAATTTCCAAAGAATCTTGAAATAATTTGGGAAATTTATTTTTTTGAGGAGACAGTATAGAAAATAGAAGAACAGATTGGGATTTGAACAAACCAGTGGCTTTCATATGTTTTCTGACATGACTCACAGTAAGAAATATATTGCAACTCTCTATATGTCTGTATGTAAATGAAACAAAAGTTTCAGCAAATAATACTTCTATTACATGCTATGTACTCTGGTCCTTCCATCCCAAACCAATCCATTAAAATAAATGTTAGTTATGACCCACTAAATACATTTAGCACCCATTAATCCAACAATGGGTAGTGACCCACAAATCAAAACATATTGAGATAAACCCTAGTTCAAGTTCTGCTCCTCTACAACTTTTCCATCAGTAAAAGGGAGAAGATGATACCCTCCTCTAGGTGGTTATGTTAATGAAATGCCATCCCACATTGCATTAATACAATAGCTGAGCTCTGCGCTTTGTTTTCTTCACAACAGTATCCCCTGCACCGAGTATAGAGCCTAGTGAACAGAACGTGCTGAATACATGGTAGCTATTTTCATTACAGTCTGGGCTGTTGGAAGCATGCAGGCCACATTAGGGCATCTCCAGCGGGATACAGGGCAGGAGACTTGAGATGTATCATTCTGTGGGCCAATATGAGGAGGAGTATTACAGAGGTTGTTGTAATCAACCAGTTAGCTAAATCTGTATCTATCAAGTGTAAGACCTTGGAGTGGGACCAGGCAGGACTCAAAAGAAACCCTATTTTCTGTAGTCCCACTTACTAGGAGTTTACCTTGTTGAAGAAGTGACACAAACACTGGGAGATGAGTAATGGCACCAGACAAGCTAATCAGTACTGTACACAGAGGACACAGGGATAACGACTGAAGGACAGAGAATGCCAGCATTTTTGAGTTGATGCAATTTTTGTACACAATTAACTGAGAATATAATAAGCTCCAAGGAATGTATTAATGATGAATTTATATGTTATTATTCTCTATAGAATATGTATGTATTTTGTACTCAGTCCATAGACAATGGATTTGAGGACTCCTAACAATGCCAGGGAGACATCGAGGTCTTACTGCTAAGAGTAAGGGCTTTGGAATCATTCCGATGTGGGTTTGTCCCAGTTCTAACACTTTCTAGGTCTGTGGCCTTTGGCAGGTGACAACCTCGGAGTCTCCCAACCTGCTAAATGGGGCTGGTAACTATACCTCCCAACAGTGTCTTTGGGATGATTAAATAGACGAAGGTGTGTAGAGCTCTCAGCAGGGCTTCTGGCAGAGTGAATTTTCAAGAAAGTTAGCTGGTGCTCTTGTTGCTGCCCTTCAGAGGCCAAGGCCCTTAGCAGTAGGAGATGAAAGAAGGGGAACACACAGCCAGGTGGTTGGCTTCCTCTGGCCCCAAAAGCATGTGGTTCTTTCAGAAGTCCTGCAGTTCTGCACGGACATTAGTCATCCTGTAGCAGAGAAGGTAGGAGGCGGCAGAAATTGTTTTCAAGATGGAGGGAATCTGACACAAAGAGGTTGACTGAAGTTTCACATCTTAAAGAAAGTGGAAAAATTGAGCCACACTGAAAAGAGAACAAAACAACAATGGGTTTAAGCTCTGATTTCTCTACTTCGTGAACTCTGTGATCCTTGGCAAGTCACAGAAACCATTTTGAGGTCCAATTTCCTCATCAATAAAGGGAGGATAACAACCCCTTCCAGGAACTCTTGGAGGGTGACAGAGGTGAGGGAGATGCAAAGAGAGTACAGTGAACAATTTTATTTTTGGTGACACAAAGTGGGTATAATCAGCTTGTACTTTTTCCCAGAATAATGCTCTATGTATAATGCCACTCTGGATATATCTGCTTTCGACGTCCTTGTATCCTCCTGCCCTGCGCTACTCTGCTTGCCTCACACTCTCTCCTAATGAACTAAACTCCCACCTGCACACCAGTACCTGTCCCACCCTTGGGAATTGCTTCTTCCTGCCTCAGATGCTTCTCCAGCCCTGCCTGTGAGCCTGGAAAACTGACTTCATCTTTGCCTTTCTTAATCAAATCCCACCCAGCCCCACACATGTAGGAGTTCTATGTATTTAAAGCTCTTCTCCAGGGGATGAACTACTGAGGGGCCCAAAGGGGTTCTACTCTGTTTTGTGGGAGGATACATGTGAAGAAGAGGGACCTGCAGGAGAGCCACACATACCCCAAGCCAACCACTGCCATCCATTGTAGGTGAGTTGGGGCTAAGGAGCTTGGTCTCAGGTGGCCACACTGATGCTGGTCTGGAGGCAGTCATGGGATTCTTCACATCCAGCTATTCACTGCTAGGAAGATGGTTTTGGGGAGTGAGAGACCTGCCGTGGGGAGATGGCTGCTGACCACCATCAGGAAACAGTGTGCTCTCTGAATGACATGGGAATCCAATGTATGACTTCTATTTCGTTAGCATCTCTAGTGACAACCTACAAAGCTCATTACGTTAAATATGGCTACACATTCTTTGCAACAATCCCCATCCAAAGGGGGAGTCTTATTTCTCTATTCCTTTGAGCCTGGTTTGACTTTGTAACTTGTTTTAACCAATAGAGTGTGTCAGATGTGGCATACTATAATGTACAAGCCTTAGCCTCGAGAGGCTTTGCAGTTTCTGTTCTTATTCACTTGTAATGTTGCCATTCTGAAATTGTCAAACTGTGAAGAGGACTGGGATTAAAGACCACATGGTGCAGCCACCCAATTCAGTCCAGGCCCATGCCATCCCATTGGCTTTATGCGGCAGTCTGAGTGAGTCCAGGCAAGACTGGCAGAAGAACCACCCAGTCAATTCACAGAATTGTGAAAAATAAATCACTTAAGCCACTAAATCTGGGGCTAGTTTGTTATGTAGCAATAGCTAACTGATATGAGTACACCTGTAAATTAACAGAGAAATGTAGTGTGTGGGCCTAGCTGGCAGCTAGTCCATGAGATTTAGGGGTAGGACAGGCTCAGAACCCAGATTTAGTGGCTTAAGTAGCTAATTTCGCATCATTGTAGTAAAGCACAGGTCATGCCACAGGCCCCAGGGCAGAGATCTCAGCAGCTGAGCTGGTTCTCCATTTTCACTTAGGGGATCCGGCTGTCAGTTGGGTTCTAGTCTTGTGCTCTAGCATGCATTTCTTCTGCATGGGCTTGGGTCAGCATCTATGAGTCTGCTTCTTTCACTGTTAAGTTAGGATGATAACAGTGATCTTTCAGTTCTGTTATGATCTTGGGCAAAGGACTTTCCTTCTTTGAGCTTCTGTTTCCTCATTAAAATGAGAAGTTGGACTAATTGTTCTTCTGCATCCCTTTCAGCAATGAGTTTGTTTCTTTGATTTCTTGACAGGAACATGTTATGGTTTTTTTATTAAAAATATATCAAATGGTAAGTGTTGGGGAGGAACTACATTACACCTCAGCTTTAAAACCATTTTATGTGCTGTTGTCAGTTTAAAAGTTACATTCTAATCAATTTGAATTGAAATACCTTAAAAAGATGCATTTTTTTTGGTAATGTGAGCCACTAGCATCTGTATTATATTTTTTAACTTTATTTTGAAATAATTTCAGGCTTAAAAAACACAGCACAAAGAATTCCCATATACCCTTCACTCGGATTTCTCCCAAATTGATATTTTACCACAATTGCTCAATCATTTGTTCTCTGTCCACAGAAACACACACACACAATTATTTTTCTAAGATGTTTGAGAGTAAGCATTGACCTCTATATACTTGAGTGTATAGAAGTCAGTACTTCCCTAAAAACATGGACATTCTCTCACCTAACCACAGTGCAATTATCAAAATCACAGAATTAACATTGTCACAATTCTAATGGAAGACCTTAAGGTTTGCCATCTGTCCTACTAACATCCTTTCCTTGGTCCCTGATCACATGCTGGATTGACTTGTCTTGTCTTCTTAGTCTTCTTAATACAGAAGAATTCCTTGGTCTTTCTTTGTCCTTCCTGACCTTGAAATTTTGAAACAGTACTGGCCAATAGTTATCTACAACATAGCCTTCAGGTTGGATTTGTCTGATGTTTCTTTAGGCTTAGATTCAGGTTATGCATTTTTGGCAAGAATACCAAAGAAGTGATGCTTTGTTTTTCTCAGTGCATATCAGGAGTCATAGCCTGTCAATTATTTTGATTATAAGTGATGTTGACTTTGACCATATGATTAAGGTGCTGTCAGCCAGATTTCTAAATTGTAAGTTAATGTTTTTCCCTTTCCAATTAATAAGTAGTTTAGGGGTAAATACTTTGAAACTATTAAAATCCTGTTTCTCATGCTTTCTCCCACTACACTTATTTATGAATGAGTCTAGCCTGAAGCAATTATTACTGTGGTGGCTTCCAATGGTGATTTTCTAATTCTATTATTTCTGCAAGAGCTGATCCTTCTCTCTATCTATTTACACACTTATATCAGTGTAGATTAATGAATTCTTTTGTTTTATTGGATATAGTCCATTGTTGTGTTGGTGGTGGTGGTGTTCAAAATGCCCCATATTGGGCCAGTGGGAACCTCTTCAAGCTCCTCTCCTGTTGTTTTGACAAGCCCTCATCCTGTTTTAAGCTTTCCTTAGCTTCTGACATCACAAGATGTTCCAGGCTTATTTTGTATTTTCAATGCCCCACCCCTGGAATTAGCCATTTCTCAAAGAAGCCCTGGTTCTTCTGAATGGAAAATGGTCTTAAGAAATCAAGTTCTAGGCTAGGGTGCAGTGGCTCATGCCTATAATCCCAGCATTTTGGAAGGCTGACACAGGTGGATCACTTGAGGCCAGGAGTTCGAGACCAGCCTGGCCAACACAGTAAAACCCTGTCTCTACTAAAAATACAAAAATTAGTTGGGCATTATGGCCCACACTTTTAATCTCAGCTACTGGGGAGGCTGAGGCATGAGAACTGCTTGAACCCAGGAGGCGGAGGTTGCAGTGAGCTGAGATCACGCCACCAACAGAGCAAGACTGTCTCAAAAAAAAAAAAAGAAAAATCAAGTTCTAGGCACTAGGTATGCCAATTGGTTTTCCCTTTCCTTGGTGTCATTGTTTCTAGGCCCCCTAAGCAATCAGAGCTAGAAAAATATTTCTATGTGTATATGTATTTATCAATGTACACATACATATTCATTTCTACATTTGTGCATGTGTGTCTGTGTTTGGGGTGAGAGAGAGAGAATGAGCACTATGAGCCTAAGGTCATACTGATATCTCCCTAATTCCCCATCCAAAACCATAGGGTTCATTCTAGCTTCCTCACTTTATTTATTTGTAACTCTTTGCCAACATGAGAAAGCTGGTTCTCTCGTTATCTGCACTATATTTAATTATTTGCTCAGTCTTACAATACACTTAGGGAAGTTTTGGAATTGGTAATGTATACCACTCTGAAAACAAATCTAACTTGAGTACATTACAGTGCTTCAAAATGTGTTCCTTATATTTGTTCTGTACCCTCAGATTCCCTTTCTAAGTGTAGTTATTTTACTCATTTGGAATATAGCTGGGGTCATTTGTTTCTGTTTGTATTCCATTTTGAATTCCCCCACCTTGCCCCAGTCCTTGATGATTTTGCTTATTTTTTTTGAGTATACAAAATATTCTAAAAGTCAGAACTAGGCCAGGTGTGGTGGCTCACACCTGTCATCCCAGCACTTTGGGAGGCCAAGGCAGATGGCCAGGCACTTTTGGCCAGGAGTTTGAGACCAGCTGGGCCAACATGGCAAAATCTCGTCTCTACTAAAAATACAAAAATTAGCCGGATGTGGTGGCATGCTCCTGTGATCCCAGCTACTCAGGAGGCTGAAGCATGAAAATTGCTTGAATCCTGGGAGGCAGAGTTTGCAGTGAGCTGAGATTGTGCCACTGCACTCCAGTCTGGACAACAGAGTGAGACCCTGTCTCCAAAATTAATTAATTAATTAAATTAACTAAAAGAACTACAAAAAATACTGAGAAACGTGTTTACCCCCTCCCCCCCAATCTTTTCTACCCCATTCCAATCCTCCCACCCTTTCCTCTCTCCAGCAGGTAACCAATCTCATTTTTTTCTGGTTATCCTCCCTGTGATTCTCTTTTGCCAAATTAGCAGATCACGTATAATTTCCAGTCCCTGCTTTCTTAGACAAAAGACAGCGTACTAAGGATACTCTTTTGTGCTTTGCTTTTCTCACTTAGCACGGTGTCCTGGGAAGTGCTTCACTTCAGTTTGTACAGCTGCAGGCTACTCCATTGCACTTCTGCTCATTCAACAATTCTCCAACATATGGGCATTTAGGTGGTTGCTACTCTGCCACCTAGAACCTGCTGCTCGCTGCCAGAGCTCCTAGCCTGCCTGCTGTCTACCCTTGAGTGTCACCTTCTGTGGAGTCCTCACTGTCTGGTCCAGCCCTCCAAGGCCGTGCTCCACCAGAGCTGCCTGTGGGCACCCCTTGACTTTGAGTGAGTCCAGTAGTGGCAGCGGCAGGGTTCACTGGCTTGACAAAGCACCTGGCCGAGAGTGTGAAGTGCAAAACATAAACAGGACCTAAAGGAGGAGGGTTGAGAGTTGGGAGAGGTGAAAAAGCGGGTGGCCAAACTGGAAGGTAAAAAGGATCAGAAACCAGAGAAACAAGTACCAGTTGAAATGAGTCAGGGAGAAATGAGTCTGGGTGTTGAAGTTTTGGTCAAGAACTATATTATGAGATTCTCTGGGCCAGAAGCATCTAAACTGTACCAGATACCCACAGCTGTGCTTGGTGTAACTATAGAGACACTGCAGTCCACTGGCTCCTGGTGACCGTGACTGTGTCGTGTGTCTGTGCACACCAGCTTGGCCAGGCTGAGCCCCTTTTGGAACAAGAAGTACCTTGCTGGCTTCTGTCCCACCCCAGAGAGCTGGCCTATTTCCATTCGCTGTCTCCCAGGTGAGGCCGTAAGCACTAGGTTCTGCTTGGCTGAATTCTGAGCAGTGCAGTTCCCTTCCATGATCAGTACCACTCTCTGTGGAACAGGCAAGCCAACTTTGCAGATAAGAGGATGGGAGCTTGTAAAGGTCATCTGACTTGCTCAAGGTCACCCAGCTACTTTGTGACACAGGATCAACTCCTCCATATTAGGAACAGTAGGTGCAGTGACTAAGACCCGTGACAGAGGTCTGTGAAAACGTTTTTATTTTCATTTCTTTTAAAATCAAAAGGAAGAAAAGAATATAATTCCAATCATAATGAATATGTGATAATGAATTCAGCCTGGATTATATTCATCTCTATACCAACACAGTTGTAAAATATAATCGTTAATACTTTTGAATGGAGGAAGAGAATTGCAAAGGCACAGAAGTGCCTAGAGTCTCTGAGAGTCATAGCGTGGCCCTGTAGTGGCAGAGTGGGGACTAGAAAGTTCCCCGTTCTGCGTGCAGTGTTCTTTGGCCTTAATTAGTGAGGGTCACTAACTCTTGGGTCTTTAAAAACAGGAATCTGAGGACAGTGTCCATCAGAGCCACACAGGGACCAGGAGAGCCAAAGAGGAGAGGAAACTTCCCCTCCCCTGGCAGAGTTCTTCATTCCCATCCCCTATGGTGTTGCCAGCAGCCTCAGGCCCCAGGCCAGGAGTGCATGTGGGAGGGTAGGACAGGTTACCCCAGTGGCAGTGTGGCCCCAGCATGTGTTTTGAGTATATATTGACCATATATTGAAATGTACATCCAGTTACTCTTACTTGCTATTAGCTTTTGGAAGATTTTTAATCTGTAAACAGATAATAATAAGGATATGGTTTGGCTGTGTTCTCACCCAAATCTCATTTTGAATTGTAGCTCCCACAATTCCCAAGTGTCATGGGAGGGACCAAGTGGGAGGTAATTGTATCATGGGGGTGGGTCTTTCCTCTGCTGT
The DNA here is from genome assembly GCF_000001405.40 of Homo sapiens. Taxonomy (NCBI): domain Eukaryota; kingdom Metazoa; phylum Chordata; class Mammalia; order Primates; family Hominidae; genus Homo; species Homo sapiens. Next base: position 224,810,799 of record NC_000001.11, read on the forward strand.
TCTCATGACAGTGAATTAAGTCTCAAGAGATCTGATGGTTTTATAAAGAGTTTCCCTGCACAAGTTCTCTCCCTTTGCCTGTTGCCATCCATGTAAGACATGACTTGTTCCTCCTTGCCTCCCACTATGATTGTGAGGCCTCCCCAGCCACGTGGAACTATGAGTTTATTAAACCTCTTTTTCATGACTAAAGACATACCCAGTCTCGGGTATGTCTTTATTCAGCAGCGTGGAAATGGACTAATACAATTTCCCTCACATAATAGTTCAGAAGATAAAATGAAGTAAAGTGGGCCAAGTCCTGAGTGCTCTTCTACACAGCAGGTGAAGTTTAGCTCTTTTCCTCCCTCCTGTGTGCTTGCCACAGCCTGGGCACAGGGGTAAGTCTCTCTCTCCCTCTCTCTCCCCATTCTTTCCTCTCCCCATCCCCTGTCTTTGGCTGCCTGAAGCTATCTGTGCTGAAGTTGTTATTGCCTTCTGTTGTACCTGTGACAAGTGGAATGTGAGAACACTCCACTGGATTCATTTTAGATTATAAATAGAAGAATTATTTAATTTTTTTCAAGTCACTTGCATTTACTCCAACAGTTTGTTACTGAAACATGCAGTCCTGAACACAACAGGACTTGACAATAGAAAATGTAGCCCGAAGAATAAGTAATTATTTGCTGCAAAGAACCAAAATAACCACATCAGGTAGATACAGGGGGATGTTTTCAGGTTTCAATCAGCACTGCTGGGTGGTGGAGAGGGAGAGGTAATTATAAATGTGACTTCACGTGGTTTGATGCCATCGCCTTCCATGTCCTTTGGTTGACTGCTGCCTCTTTGATTTCAGTGTGTTTGTGTGAGAAAGCGAACCTGAAATGAGACACAGCCTGGAGGGGGATCCATCTATTTGCCCTCTTGCCCTCATGCCTGACTAGGGAGGATGTGGTAGCTGGCTTGGTCCGGCCTACACAGGGACTCCAGCAATCCATCTTGTGGGTTTCTCCTGGGTCAACCTGAATGACAGGATGGTGATTTTTCAGACGCATGGTAGCAGGAGAAAAACTTTCTGTGACTTCACATGGAGGCAAGAGCGAGCCGCCATTGTCACATGTGCTCCTTGAAAGAAGTGTGATGTCTTCCCAGTCAGGAGATACAAAACCCAACCTTGCATGAAGCAGGGGGGCCAGTTCTGATGCCTCACACAGCTCCTCTCACCCAGGGAAACTCAGCCTTGATGAAAGAGGAACAAAAAGCAGGCAGGAGAGGCCCAGGCTGGGCCCTTGGCTCCCTTGCACTGCGGTAGTTGGCCCGTCTTCCACCCTGGGCTGTTCGTCCCAGGAGAGTGCTGGGAACACATCAGGAAGATTTGAATGTCTCTGTTCTCTCCAAATTTAGCTTCTAAATTATAAGGTGGCCTGACTTTCTACCTGTAAAATGGGAGTTTATTCAGGTTAACTGAGAAATAGAAAATAACCCAACCAGGTGCGGTGGCTCATGCTTGTAATCCCAGCACTTTGGGAGGCTGAGACAGGCAGATCACTTGAGGTCAGGCATTCGAAACCAGCCTGGCCAACGTGGTGAAATCCTGTCTCTACTAAAAATACAAAAATTAGCTGGGCATAGTGGTGCACACGTGTAATCCCAGCTACTCAAGAGGCTGAGGCAGGAGAATCGCTTGAACTTGGGTGGTAGAGGTTGCGGTGAGTGGAGATCGCACCACTGCACTCCAGCCTGGGTGACAGAGCGAGACTCTCCCCAAAAAAGGAAAAAAAAAGTAACCAAGAGGTTGCAGCAGCATCCCTGTCCTGCAACCCTGACTCTGCCCTGGCATTCTGTTCCAGGTTGGCTTTGCCCTTCATCAAAACAGATATAAACCTGGATCCTTTCCTGGTACAAAAAAAGCCACTCACTTCAAGCACTGGTCGAGTGCATTTACTTTCATGAAGATTCCAGGGCCCAGGATGAGGTGCCCCAGAGCACACACATCCCTCCTTCATGGCCTCCCATGGATGAGGGAGGATCTATACTCCACACTGTAGGTTAGATTCCCCATCTTCTCAGCATCTGGGCATCACCACTATCAGTGCTGTTCAGAGCCTCTGCCCCTGCTCAGAGCTTATTTGTCAAGATTTTCCTTCCTAAGTACATGAGGCTGTTTCTCTCTACAGATATCAACTGCTTTGAGCTTTATCGAAGCTTGTCTGTTTGGCTTTGTTCAATGTGAGGGGCCATTTGTTCCTCAAGGTCAAATCAAATATCACACGGCAGAAACAAAACCTAATTGAGGGAATTATTCACTATGTATTTCAAGTTCAAATACAGAGGGTTTGTAGCAATCCTGTGTCAAGATGGCTCACTGATTTTATTACAAATTGTTGAGAAGAAACTAGAAATCATTTGTTTCTACATTTTTTTCAATTTGTGGTTTGCAAAAGCAACTAGTGGGTCAAGGACAGCATTTTAAGAAGTGAAGTAAAATGGAATAAAAACAATACAAAATAACACTGTGCTATGTTCTGAATGTTTGTTCCCTTCCCACCCCCAAATTCATTTGTCAAAACCTAATTATCAATGTGATGATATTAGGAGGTGGGCCTTCAGGGAGGTGATTAGGTCATCATGGTGGGGCCCTCAGAAATGCGATCTGTGCCCTTGTAAAAGAGGACTGAGGGAGCTTGTTTTCTCCTCCACCATGTGAGGACACAGCAAATGAGAAAGCTGCCCCTCCCCCAGATACCATATCTACTAGCACCTGGGCTTTCTGGCCTCCAGAACTGTGAGAAATAGGTTTCTGTTATTTATAAGCTACCCAGTTTATGGGGTTTTGTTATAACATCTCAAACAGACTAAGACACTGAAAACTATAAAACATTGCTAGAAGAAATCAAAGAAGATACAACTAAATGGAAAGACATGCTGTGCTAATGGATTGGAAGACTTAATAATGTTAAAATGTCCCTACTATGCAAAAGCAATCTACAGATTCAATGCAACCCCTATAAAATTCTAATGGCATTAAAAATTATTTTGTTTTAAGTTCTGGGATACATGTGCAGGATGGGCAGGTTTGTTACATAGGTAAACGTGTGCCATGGTGGTTTGCTGTACCTATCAAACCGTCACCTAAGTATTAAGCCCTGCATACATTAGCTATTTATCCTGATGCTCTCCCTCCCCCAACCCCTACCAACAGGTCCCAGTGTGTGTTGTTCCCCTCCCTGTGTCCATGTGTTCTCATTGTTCAGCTCCCTCTTATAAGCAAGAACATGCAGTGTTTGGTTTTCTGTTCTTGAGTTAGTTTGCTGAGAATAATGGCTTCTAGCTTCATCCATGTCCCTGCAAAGGACATAATCTCATTCCTTTTTATGGCTGCGTAGTATTCCATGGTGTATATGTACCACATTTTTGTTTTCCAGACTATCATTGATGGGCATTTGGGTTGACTCCATGTCTTTGCTATTGTGAATAGTGCTGCAGTGAACATACATGTACATGTATCTTTATAATAGAATGATTTATATTCCTTTGGGTATATACCCAGTAATGGGATTGCTAGGTCAAATGGTATTTCTGGTTCTAGGCCTTTGAGGAATCACCACACTGTCTTCCACAATGGTTGACCTAATTTACATTCCCCCCAACAGTGTAAAAGCATTCCTGTTTTCTCCACAGCCTCACCAGCATCTGATGTTTCTTGACTTTTAAATAATCACTCTAATAACATTTTTTAGAGAATAAAATCCTAAAATTTGTATGGAACATCAAGGGACCCTGAATAGTCAAAACAATTTTGAAAAAGGACAAAGTTTGAGGCTTCACATTCTCTGGCTTTAAAACACAGTACAAAGCAAAAATAATTAAGATGATGTGGTAGTGGTATTAAGATAGATATAGATGAATGAAACAGAATAGAGAATCCAGAAATAAACCCTTGCATATAGGTCAAATGATTTTTGACAAGAGCAGCAAAACTACACAATTGGAAAAAGACAGTCTCTTCAACAAATGGTACTGGGAAAACCGAATATCCACATACAAAAGAATGAAGTTGGATCCTTACTTTATATCATGTACACAAATTAACTCAAAATGGATTAAAAACCTAAATCTAAGGCCCAAAACTATTAAACTTCTAGGAGAAGACATAGGGGAAATCTTCAGGGCATTGGATTTGGCAATTTCTTTGAGATGACACCAAAAGCACAGACCACAGAACAAAAAATACACAAATAGGACTATATCAAGCTTAAAAACTCCTGCACATCAAAAGAAACAGTGACAAGGCAACCTATGGAATGGGAAAGAATAACTGCGCATCATATATCTGATATCTAGGATATATAGGGAACTTCAACTCAACAAAAACCAAACAAGCTGATTAAGAAATGGGCAAAGGATTTGTATAGATAGTTCTTTAAAGAAAGTATCTGAATGGCCAATAAGTACATGCAAAGATGTTCAGTATCACTAATTATTAGGAAGGTGCAAATCAAAACCACAGTGAGATACTACTTACCCATAGGGATGGCCACTATCGAAAGAACAGAAAATAGCAAGTGTTAACAAGGATGTGAAGAAATTAGAACCCTTGTGCACTGCTGGGAATGTGAAATGGTGCAGCCATTATGGAAAACAATATGGGTTTTTTTTTTTTGGAAAACTAAAACTGGAACTACCAATTGATCCAGCAATTCCACTTCTGGGCATATATTCAAAAGAACTCAAAGGAGGACACCAAAGAGATTTCTGCATGGCAATGTTCATCATGGCATTATTCACAATAACCAACATGTAGAGCAACCCAAATACCCGTCAACAGATGAATGGATAAATAAAATGTGGTACATAAATACATACAATGAAATATTATGCAGCCTTAAAAAAGAAAACCCTGTCACATGTTACAACATGGATGAACCTTGAGGATATTATGCTAAATGAAATAGGCCAGTCTCAAGGACGAATACTATATGATTTTACTCATGAATTATCTAAAGTAGTCAAACTCAGAAACAGAAACTAGAATGGTGTTGTCTTAGTCAATTCAGGCTGCTATAACAGAATACCATAGACTGGTGGCTTAAACAACAGAAATTTATTACTCACAGTTCTGGAGGCTGGGAAGTCTAAGATCAAGGCACTGGCAGGTTTGGTGTCTTGTGGGGGCTGCTCTCTGCTTCCAAGACGGTACCTTGCTCTGTGTCCTCCAGATGGGAGGGATGCTCTATCTTTACTTGGTGGAAGGCAGAAGGGCAAGATGCCTGAATGCTGCAGGAAGCTTCCTTTATAGGGGCCTTAATCTCACTCATGAGGGAGGAGCCCTTATGGTCTAATCACCCTTTAAAGGCCCCACCTCTTAATACTATCACATTGGCCATTAAGTTTCAACATCTGAATTTTGGAGGGAACACATTCAAACAAGAGCAGGTGGTTTCCAAGGGCTGTGGGGAGAGGAGGAGAAGTTAGTGTTTAACAGGTATAGAGTTTCAGTTTTGCAAGATGAAAAAGCTCTGGAGATCTGTTACACAACAATGTGGATATACCTAACACCACTGAACTATACACTTAAAATGGTTAAGATGGCACAGCTAATGTTATGTGTTTTTTACCACAATAAATTACAAAATAAATTGAATGCTTCATATAAGATGAGCCTTATATATTGCTTTTAATATATCTGTTTTGATTGTGTATATGTGAATATCTTTTATATATTGGATCATTGGATCATGATATAAAATTGGTTTCTTATTGAGGTCATCCTGAGAAAAGTTTGAAAATCACTGATTCTATTTCATTATTTCTCAAACTGTTCTCTAGATTATTCACTTCAAAATTGCATTAAGGAAAGCTTTATATATATATATATGAGTTTATTAAGGAATATTGACTCACACAATCACGAGGTGAGTTCCCACAACAGGCCGTCTGTTAAAAATGCAGATTCCAGGGTCTGCCTGCTTGGAGGCTGTGAGGTGAGCCTGGGAATATGCACATTTAATAAGTTTCCCCCAGTTGAGTTTTATGTTTATGCACTTAAAATCTACTGGGCTTCTTACTCTGTGGCAGGAACAGCTTTGTGCCTCATGTGTATTACCAAGTTGTTAATATGAATGGGAAGGCAAGATGTGGAAGGCTAAGCAGTGGGCTGGTATACAGATCAGCCTGGTGCTCAGTGCCACTTCACCGTGTTTCACTGCCTCTGCATGGTGATAACAGCACTCAAATTTGTGATCCTCTCGTTTAAAAAATCATGGAGCAGAGATCCAGAGAATCCCGTGTAGCAATTGCTCAGAATCACATTAATAGTTAATAGAAGAACCAAGACCAGGACTCAGGCTCCAACTACAGGCCCACCCCTCTGCTCCTGAGGGGCTGTCTTTCCCCCATGACTCTCTGGCTCCTTGCCTGGGAGACTGTGGTCTTTGATATCTCAAGGGATGTCAAGATGGACTTCCTGAGTAGCCTGTCCACAAGTGGCATTCCCCCTTTCCTCTCATTCCAACCTCAGGTGCTGTCTTGGGTAACACACTCAATTTTCTCCTAGAGAAAAGCACTTCCCCAAGATCCTTCTACAGAATGGTCTCATTACCAGAGTCACCTCAGTAGCCATTTGGAGTTCCTGGAAACTGGCAAGTGTCTGAACTCAAAGAAGGACAAAATGTATTTCCTTCCAACCCTTGAAATTGAGGTTAGGAGTGGTTGCCTTCGTTTTCATATCCATGATTTTTATTTAGATATGACTCCCTGGAAGGATGGACTAAGTCATGGTAATTTATTCAAAAATTGAAACCAAATGCTCTTCCACTCAGTACTTGTGATTTGCATTGCTTTGAAACAGTATGAATATGCAGAACTAACAGTGTGTCTTTAAATTTCCCCCAATATTGAATCCCTACATTGCATGTAAAGTTTGTCCTTGAATTCCGTTAGCCGAGGGCCCCCATCCAGCTCCCTTCCCTTGCACTCTCCTGCCCATCAGACACTATGTGCAGGTGCTATCAGGTAAGCTTTCATCAGCTGAGCCTCTTGGGGTGATGGGTGACTTGGGATTCTTGAGAACAGGGATGTGATGATTAATTTATGTGTAATTGCCTGGGCCAATTCAAACATTATTTTGAACAAACATAAGTTTCCGTGAGGATGTTTTTGGATGAGATTAACATTAAAATTAACAGACTTTAAGTAAAGAGGATTGCCTTCCCTAATGTTGGTGAGCCTCCTTAATCAGTTGAAAGCTTAAATGGAACAAAATACCTCCCCTGAGCAAGAGGAAACTCTCTAGCAGACAGCCTTCGGGTTTCATCTGCGACATTAGCTCTTCCTGGTTGTATAACAGACTGCCTATAACTCAAACTGCAACTCCTTCCTGAGTCTCCAGTCTGCCAGACTCCTCCATCAGATTTTGGACTTGCAACCTCCACAATTGTGTGAGCCAATTTTTTATAATAAGTCTCTTTCTGTCTTTCTATATATATGTACACACATCCTATTGGTTCTGTTTCTCTGGAGAACTCTGCCTAAAACAAAGGACGAGTGTGTTGCCACTGCTGTAGTCTTCTCCCCCATTAGGGGAACTGGGAGGGTTCTTGTGTTTTCTGTCTTTTGTACATGTAGTCAGAAAAACATTGTTAAGCTCTCAGCTGTTCCCTAAGTAGCCCAATATTCCCCAGACCTCATCCCCCATGAAGGAAATTAACAGGAATAATAACATTCTCCTGATTTGTGTCCCAAGCAGCACAAGGAAGGATCCTCAGCTCTAATATAAAATCTTGCCAGTGGTTCCTTGAGGTTCCTAGGGGTTCTCTCATGAGAACCCTCAAAAGTCATGTCATGCACCCCTTGTTAGCCCATGAGGCTCACAGCTGCCACTCCAGGAAGGACCCACCCTCAGGGAGGACACACTGCCCATGAAGAGCAGCATCTCTGCTTCCCTGCAGTCTTCCCTGGGCTGGTTACCCAAGTCCCAAGCAGAAAGGACATGCCCTTTCCATGTTCTGGTCAGTGTGTGTTCTCCTGTATTGTACAGAAGCCCCTGAAACTGCACCCTCAGCTTCTCCATGCAGCATCTCTCCATGACTGTGGAGTCCATGAGACCCAGCCTCTTTCCATCCCTTTCTCTTCCCCAAGCCCTGTCCACAATCATGGGCCACACAAGCTTCTTCCTCCCTTGCTAGATCACTCAGGCAAATAGATGCCTACAGATTCCCCCACTCTATACTCCTCAGATATGCCCAGAAAGGTCTGGACCCCAGGTGCAGGCACAGTGCAGACTGAGCCAGGATCTTCATTTAGCTGGGCATTGCATACATGTCCCAGTTGTCTCCCTAAGGAGTTTACAAGCACAGCGAGGCACCTACCTCTCCTAAGTACCAAACAGAGTGCTAGCACAGGCCTTCAGTTGTCCATCATTGAGTGCAGGAAGCTCTACTTGTGCCTAGAGAGACAGAAAGTCATTGGCATGAGAAATAGGCAGTAAAGGGAAGCACCATCTTAGCATTTCTGTATGAGCTCCACTTCAGAATACATGGAGCTTAACCTCTCAAAACCCAAATGCCTAACCAGCTTGTTGTATTCTTTTGCCTTTTGTACCTTGTGGAAGGGGTTGGATATAGCCAGAAGGAAGGAAATGGCACATAATCAGGGCTTCTTCCTAGCAGCCTAGTTTACCATAGTTGTGGGGGTGGAGACAGGTGGTTCCATGGCAGGGGAAATAGGAAGTTGATTTTTTCTCCCTGAATGCGTGTACTGCCCTCAAAGACCAAAATTATCTTCTCAAAAGTACCATTCTAATTGTGTCCTTTCAGTGCCTAAAACTCTTCAATCACTTCCTGGGGCCTTAAGATAAAGACTCAAACCTTTAAAGTGACCTACCAGGCCCTGCATATCTGGCCCCTGCCTCTTTCTCCCTGGCCATCTCATCCTGGGTGCCCTCTCCCCCAGACTTTCCTTCAGCTCCTTGAGTACGCTCTTGTGCCTTCTCCCCACAAGCCTTTATCCTCTTAGCCCAGCACTCCCTCCTGGGGAAGCTTTCCTTGATTTCCAAACCATCTCCCTGGTATATGCCCTTGCAGTACCATGTGGCTCTTTTTGTTCTTATCACAGCGTTAATGTAAAATTCAGTGAATATCTGCCTGCCCGGTTAGCTGGCAAGTTCCAAGAGACTGAGGACACGTCTCCATAGCCTCATTGTTTTCAGTTCCTAACCCAAGGTGGAGCACAAGGAGGCCTTCCATGAGCATCTGCAGATAACAACACTGGAAAAGTTATTTAATGTCTTGCAACCTCAATTATGTTATCTTACTGATAAGATGGGGATGATAATGTTATCTACCACATAGGAGCATTGTGAGGATGCAGGCTGATAATGTATAGAAAGTGCTCAGACCAGGGTCTGCCTCCTTAGAAAGCATGCAACAAATGGCAGCCAATATAATTCTATTTACTTGGGGGTAGAAGCAGTGGTAGCACTAGAGATAGCATTATGATACAGCCCTTGCAATATTTTACATCAACCAAACACCTTTTGAGAGAGTTGGTGTTCTGGTTATCTGCTTAACAGACCACCACGGAACAGTGGTTTAAAATAATAATTAATATTTATTTTTGTTCATGTGTCTGGGGTTTGACTGGGCTCAGCTATGCAGATTTTGCAGACAGATGGTGGTGTCTGCATTCATGTGTCTGGGGCTTCTCAGGATCTCTGTCTCTCTGGTCTCCCCACGTGGTGGCTTCGGGGTAGTTGAACCTTCTCACATGCTAATTGGACTGAAGATTCCCAGAGCAAATGTCTCAGAAGATCAGCTGAAGCTGCAGGGCCTTTCCTGAGCTAGCATTGGAGATGATAGCATCACTCTGCTACATTCTATTTGTCAAGGCAGACACAGGTTCTGCCCAGACTCAAGGGAAGGGGACATAGACTCCACAGCTTCATGACAAGATGGCCAAAGAACATGCAGACACGTTTTGAAACTTCCATGGATGTGGCAGGTGTGTAATGGCCAGATAATGGGACCACAGTCTCTTGGCATTTCAATGATGTTTCTGGATTAAACCCCTAAATATGAATTTACAATTTTATAAGTCTCATACATAAGCCATAAAAATCAATCTTACCAGTCAATAATTCACAATCTTCATTAGACTTTAAATTGGCAAGACTTCCACTGTCAAGTCTTGGGCCTCAGTGGGACCATTTCCTTAGATACAAGAAAGAAACACAACTTGCCTTTTAGCACATTTCTGTGTCTGTGAAGTGGGTTATTTTCCATCACGGGCAATTAGGTTTTGTTGCTTTTTTCCTTAAATGAAAAGTATCCCAAAGCATTCAAAACTATTGCACAAATAAGTGAGCTTGTAAACACAGGGCTGGAGAGAGCTTTGGAAACACCTGTTAGGTGCATGGTTGTAATGTTATGCTGAGAGCCAAGGATGGAGGCACCAGCAGGTGGTTTGTGGCTAGTTATCTCCTGGTGGCCTGATCTCAAGGGACTTGGCTCAGCCTGCTTTAGGACCATATTGCTCATCTGGCTTCTCAGAATCCAGGCATGAGGTTCTATACAAGACACTCAGTAACGTTTAAAAACTACGCAGATGGAAGCAGTTTATTACTTTCCTTCCGTAGCTCCTGATTACAAAAGAAAGCCAAGCAAGGAATTCTTTAGTTACTGGGGGAAATTCAGCCCCTGATATTTCAACGTGGGTACTTTTCTATTTTCCCTAAATGTCGGCCAGTCTGAGAAATAAAGGGAAAGAGTACAAAAGAGAGAAATAAAGCTGGGTGTCCGGGGCAGACATCACATGTTGGTAGGTTCTGTGATGCCCCATAAGCTGTAAAACCAACAAGTTTTTATTAGTGATTTTCAAAAGGGGAGGGAGTGTACGAATAGGGTGTGGGTCACAGAGATCACATACTTCACAAGGTAATAAAATATCACAAGGCAAATGGAGGCAGGGTGAGATCACAGGACCGGGGTGAAATTAAAATTGCTAATGAAGTTTCAGGCACGCATTGTCATTGATAACATCTTATCAGGAGACAGAGTTTGAGAGCAGACAACCAGTCTGACCAAAATTTATTAGGCGGGAATTTCCTCGTCCTAATAAGCCTAGGAGTGCTACTGGAGACCGGGGCTTATTTCATCCCTTATCGACACCCATAAAAGACAGACGTTCCCAAAGCGGCCATTTTAGAGACCTCTCATTGGGAACACATTCTCTTTCTCAGGGATGTTCCTTGCTGAGAAAAAGAATTCAGCAATATTTCTCCTATTTGCTTTTGAAAGAAGAGAAATATGGCTCTGTTCTGCCCAGCTCTCAGGCAGCCAGACCTAATGATTATCTCCCTTGTTCCCTGAACATCGCTGTTATCCTGTTCTTTTTTCAAGGTGCCCAGATTTCATATTGTTTAAACAATTTGTGCAGTTAACACAATCATCACAGGGTCCTGAGGTGACATTCATCCTCAGCTTATGAAGATGACATGATTAAGAGATTAAAGTAAAGACACGTATAGGAAATCACAAGAGTATTGATTGGGGAAGTGATAAGTGTCCACAAAATCTTCACAATTTATGTTCAGAGATTGCAGTAAAGACCGGCATGAGAAATTATAAAAGTATTAATTTGGGGAACTAATAAATGTCCATGAAATCTTCACAATTTATATTCTTCCGCCATGGCTTCAGCTGGTCCCTCTGTTCAGGGTCCCTGACTTCCCACAACATTTATTCTACTCCTTCAAGCCAAAAATAATAGGCCCTAGTTCATTCCACATCAATCTCTGGCCACATGAGTAGGATTCCTGGAACAGGCATGAGCAAAAGTAGACACTGACTCCCTTACTAAAAGTGCCAAGGAGGAGCAGAGCATTAGATGGAAACCTAGAAAGAGGTTGAAGTCTTGGTCAGGAGGGAAGGCCCATGAAAGGTCTTCCATTTGAAACACAGCTCCCCTGATACAGATGAACCAGGTGTGTGGTTGAATGCAGCAAGGTCAGTGAGTGAGCTGCTTTAGTTTTGACCCTGATCCACAGTTGCTAACTAAATAATAATTTGAGCCATTATTATATTTTTAGGATAAAATCTGTATCACTTATTCCTATCTAACGTACTTTTTTTTTTTTATACAGAGTCTCACTCTGTTGCCCAGACTGGAGTGCAGTGGTGCGATTTCACCTCACCCAGCCTCTGCCTCCCAGGTTCAAGTGATTCTCGTCCCTCAGCCTCCTGAGTAGCTGGGATTACAGGCATGCACCACCATGACTGGATAATTTTTATATTTTTAGTAGAGATAGGGTTTTGCCATGTTGGCCAGGCTGGTATCGATCTCCTGGCCTCAAGTGATCTGCCCACCTCAGCCTCCCAAAGTGCTGGGATAACAGGTGTGAGCCACTGCGCCTGGCCCCTATCTAACATACTTTGAATGACATTGTCAAAATATGACACTGTTGAAATCGCTATTTCTCCTTCAGCACCACAGAGCTTTCTTTTAGGGGGCAAATCACTTCTTAGGGATGCTTTCTCCGTGTGCCTTTATTATATGTTGTTCACCTAGGGCTTTTGACTTAGCCTCCCTGATTGATAGGTGGTGTTGATTTCAGGATTTTCTTGCCTCCTAGGATATTAAAGGAGTAGTTTTTCTAAAAGGGCTTTTCCTTATTAAATTATGATTACAATGACTTGCAGGACTTAATAGAATGGCTAAATTGAAAACTCTACTTTTCTGTTTTCTTCTAAACTCTCTCCAGGTAAGACATGTAAGTTTGGAAAGAGACAAGTTCAAAACTATTCATCTGTATTCTGAGGTACAATAATGAATTTAAAGAAACTTATATCTTTACATGGGATAGAGGAGAGTATTCCTAAGAAATCTAAAAACTCTCTTAGGAATGCATAAAAGTGCTGATTAAATTCAATTAAACAAATGCTGTCTATTGTCTAAATCTATAGTGTATTATGCTAGGCCTTGTGAGGGCAACAAAAAAATTAAATGGCCCTGTCTACTGGGTGCTCATAGTTTTATTGGAGAGATCACCAAGGGAACACACAGCATTAAATGATCATCCAAGGCACCTTGAATGAGTCATTTAACCCACCTGACTGAAGCAGGTACCTAGCAGTGCTCTAGGCAGTAGTTAAGGGTGCATATCAACATCACTCACCAGTGGAGCCTTTGCTAATACACATGCTGGATCTTAGAAGATTTTAAAAACTTCTTATTTTAAATTAATTTTAGACTTTAAAAAGATTGCAAACATAACATATAGAGTTTCTGCATATTGTTCACTCAGCTTTCCCCAAATAAGATCCCATTGCACACTTATATATATTTTTTATTTCAATAGATTTGGGGGTATGAGTGGTTTTCGGTTACATGGATGAGTTCTTTAGTAGTGAATTCTGAGATTTTGGTGCACTTTTCACTGGAGCAGTGTGCACTGGATCCAATATATTGTCTTTTATCCATCATCTCTTTCCCAACCTCCCCCAACCAAGTTGCCACAGTCCATGACATCACTCTGTATGTTTTTGCATCCTCATAGCTTAGCTCCCACTTATACATGAGAACATATGGTATTTGGTTTTTCATTCCTGAGTTACTGAGAATAATGACTTCCGGTTCCATCCAAGTTGCTGCAAAAGACATTATTTCATTCCTTTTTATGGCTGAGTAGTATTCCGTAGTGCATACATACATTTTCTTTATCCACTCATTTGGGTCAATGGGCACTTAGATTGGTTCCATATCCTTGCAACTGTGAATTGTCCTGCTATAAACGTGCATGTGCATGTGTCTTTTTCATATAATGACTCTTTTCCTTTGGGTAGATACCCAGTAGTGGGATTGCTGGATCGAATGGTAGATCTACCTTTAGTTCTTTAAGGAATCTCCACACTATTTTCCATACTGGTTGTACTAACTTACATTCCCAGCAACAGTATAAAAATGTTCCCCTTTTACCATATCCACAACAACATCTATTTTTTGACTTTTTAATTATGGCCATTCTTGCAGGAGCAAGGTAGTATTTCATTGTGGTTTTAATTTGCATTTCCCTGATGATTGGTGATGTTGAGCATTTTTTCATATGTTTGTTAGCTGTTTGTGTATCTTCTTTTGAGAAATGTCTATTCATGTCCTTTGCCCACTTTTTGATGGGATTATTTGTTTTTTCTTGCTGACTTGTTTGAGTTCCTTATAGATTCCAGATACTAGTCCTTTGTTGGATACATAGTTTGTGAATATTTTCTCCCAATCTCTGGATTGTCTATTTACTCTGCTGATTATTTCTTTTGCTGTGCAGAAGCTTTTTAGTTTAATTAGGTCCCATTTATTTACTTTTGGTTTTGTTGCATTTGCTTTTGGGGTCTTAGTCATGAATTCCTTGCCTAAGCCGGGTGTCTGGAAGTTTTTCTGACATTATCTTCTAGAACTTTTATGGTTACAAGTCTCAGATTTAAGTCTTTGATCTATCTTGAGTTGATTTTTGTATAAGGTGAGAGAGGTGGATCCAGTTTCATTCTTCTACATGTGTCTTGCCAGTTTTCCCAGCACTATTTATTGAATAGAGGGTCTGTTCCCCAATTTGTGTTTTTGTATGCTTTGTTGAAGATCAGTTGGCTGTATTTGGCTTTATTTCTGGGTTGTCTATTCTGTTCCATTGGTCTAAGTGCCTATTTTGATACCAGTACTGTGCTGTTTTAGTAACTGTAGCCTCGTAGTACAGTTTGAAGTCAGGTAATGGGATGCCTCCAGATTTGTTCTTTTTGCTTAGTATTGCTTTGGCTATGCAGGTTCTTTTTGGTCCATATGAGTTTTCAGATTGTTTTTTCTAGTACTATGAAAAATGATGATGGTATTTTTATGGGAATTGCATTAGATCTGTAGATTGCTTTGGGCAGTATGGTCAGTTTCACAATATTTGTTCTTCCTATCCATGAGCATGGTATGTTTGTTTTTCCATTTGTTTGTGTCATCTATGATTTCTTTCAGCAGTGGGTTGTAGTTTTCCTCGTAGATAAGTTTCACCTCCTTGGTTAGTATATTCCTAGGTATTTTATTTATTTATTTATTTATTTATGCAGCTGTCATAAAAGGGATGAAGTTCTTGATTTGATTCTCAGCTTGGTCATTGTTGATGTATAGCTGTGCAACTATTTGTGTGCATTGATTTTGTAACTTGAGACTTTACTGAATTCACTTATCACATCTGGAAGGCTTTTGGATGAGTGTTTAGAGTTTTCTAGGTGTATGATCATATCATTGGCAAACAGCAAAGTTTGACTTGCTCTTTTCCAATTTGGATGCCCTTTATTTCTTTCTCTTGCCTGATTGCTCTGGCTAGGACTTTTGGTACTATGTTGAATAGAAGTGGTGAAAGTGGGCATCCTTGTCTTATTCCAGTTATCAGGGGGAATGCTTTTAACTTTTCCCCATTCAGTATTATGTTGGCTGTGGGTTTGTCATAGATGGCTGTTATTACTTTGAGATAAGTTCCTTCTATGCCTATTTTGTTGAGGGCTTTTATCACAAAGCATTGCTGGATTTTATCAAATGCTTTTTCTGCATCTATCGAGATGATCATATGGTTTTTGTTTTTAATTCTGTTTATTCTGTTTATTGCACATTTATTGAAATGAGGAGATTAACATTGACATAATACTATTAATATATAGACTTTATTTAAATTTTTGCAAGTTAGCCCATAAATGTCCTCTTTTTTTTTTTTTTTTTTGGTCTAAGAACTTATAATGCATTAAGTTATGTCTCCTTAGTTTCCTCTAATCGGTGTTGATATGGTTTGGCTCTGTGTCCCCACTCAAATCTTACCTTGAATTGTAATAACCCCCATGTTAAGGAATGATGGGACCAGGTGGAGATAATTGAATGATGGGGGCAGTTTCCCCCACACTGTTCTCTTGACAGTGAATGAGTTCTCACAGATCTGATGGTTTTATAAGGGGCTTCCCCCTTAGCTTGGCACTCATTCTCTCTTCTGCTGCCCTGTGAAGAGGTGCATTCTGCCATGATTGTAAGTTTCCTGAGGGCTCCATAGTCCTGTACAACTGTTAATCAATTAAACCTCTTTTCTTTATAAATTACCCAGTCTTGGGTATTTCTTCATAGTGGCTGAGAATGGACTAATACATGTGTCCTAAGACATTCTTATTTAATAGGTTTGCGGTGAGTCCTAGGAAGTTCTATTTTTCAAAAGCTTCACAAATGCATGCTCCCCAGTAGAAAATCTCTGCTCTGGCATATAAAGATAAATAATACTAATATTAGTACTACTAACTTTGCTACTTCTAATAATATTTAAAATTTATTAAGTGATTTTTGGGTGCCAGACACTGTTTAATTTGTGTTGTATTTTCTACCCACTTAAATCTCACTACAACCCTTAAGTTAGGCACTATTATACAAGTTTTTCAGAAGAGGAAACAGAAAACTTTAAGTAACTTGTCCCAGGTTACATAGTTGCTTAGTGTTAGAGCTGGGACTTGAGCACAACCAATCTGGCTCGGAAGTCATACAAGATCTTAACTGCTGCAGTGCATACTTTCGCTGGTGGGCAATGGTCTTTTCTAGATAGCAAACCTCAAAGGTCTATAGTGTGATAAACAAGATATGAAAGATAAATAATTATAGCCCTGCTGTGACAGAATTATATTCACAAAGGAGCTCATGTCTCTGCCCTAGAGAAACTACAAATGCTCCTCGACTTATGATGGAGCTTACATTTCTTGACTTACAGTCTGATAACCCATTATAAGTTAAAAATACTATAAGTAAAACATGTATTTAGTATACCTAGCCTACTGAACATCATAGTTTAGCCTAGCCTACCTTAGATGTGATCAGAACACTTTTATTAGCATATAGATGGGCAAAATCATCTAAAACAAAGCCTGTTTTATAATAAAGCATTGAATATCTAGTGTAATTTATTGAATACTATACTGAAAGTGAAAAACAGAATGATTATATGGGCACTGAAAGTATGGTTTCTACCAAATGTGTATTGCTTTTGCACCATCATATAATTGAAAAATTGCAAGTCAAACCATCGTTAGTCAAGGATTGTCTATAGTAAAAGCTTCCCAGAACAGACAACTGAGCTCATCATCTTCAGATGAGGTGTTTGCCTCATAAGAGAGTAAGGCAATGGGAGAAGGACCTCCCAGGAGAAGAAAACTGCATAAAAGTGTGGAAGGGAGGGAAAGCAACCATGTGCCCCACAAGGTTGGCCACAAGTAGGGCCCAGGGGTGGTGGAAGAGAAACAGGGGATGAGTCCAGAGAGGCAGGCATGACTGTTGGATAGATATGAAAGGGCCTTGAATGCCATGTGAGGAGCTTGGGCTGAACCCTGCAGGGGAAAGATCTGAAGCAGGGGAGTTTTATAAAGGTCTCTCTGTCCACAGAATGGAAGACAGATCTGAGGGGTGGGCCTGAAAAATCCTATTTGCCTGGATTACGTGCCTAAATGTGAGTGATAGATACATCGTAGTACCAGAGGAGGCCAGAAATGAAAACCACTCAGTCTGAAATGGACACTGATTATAGTTGTCTGCAGGGAGGAGGAGAAGAGAGAAGGAACCAACTTCACATTAAGCCAGAACTCTGAATATAACGCCCGCACAGAAACCTGATGGGAAGTGCATTAGCTTTTTCATAAGGTAGCTGTTAGCTCTGTCACATGGTGTCCTGGTTTGGGTTACCTCAGAAGTAGACCCAGAGACAAGGACTCCAAGGCAAATGGTTTATTTAAGAGGGGCAGGAGGCACCAGGAGGAAAGAGTGGGTGATGGCACAGGGAAGAGAAGACAGCCCAGAGATAGTACATTATCAGACCAGCTACCTTTGTGGGTGCCTGGAACTTAATCGCAAGAGAACATTGGATAATTATGTAAGACATATTCCTCAGATTATCCCACCTAAGGGGTGAGGGACTTGGGGTATGTATACACCAGCTCCTGTTGGTTGTTGATTGAGAGCTGCTCCAGGGAAATGGACCACTCCTTCCCCAGGTCTCTTGGGCCACAGAGAAAGCCTTCAGGCAGAGAGATGCACATGTCTGTACTTAGAAGTTGGCAGGAGTTCCCCCAAATGGTAGATGCCCAAAGAAATGTTAAGGATCTGCTAACCACAGGATGGCTAATCTAGCAAATATGCTGTGTTGAGTGAAATAAGATTTAAGAATATGGATCTAAAATATTTAGAAATTCCATATTAAAATGACCTATTTTAATAATTCTACTTGTAAAAGTTTAACTTGTTAGTCACAGATTGTCATACAAGGTGTACAGGGCTGGCTTGCAGGGTAATCCCTACAAAAACTTTTATAAGTTTTTGTATAAGACCTGAACAAAGGCGAAGATGGGCTCTGAGAGATGTAATGTGATAAGAATCACCAGAATGGGGCAATCTGGTATATCCAGACAGAACTTTTAGATGAGAGGATCTGAGAAGGTCTCATGAAGGACGTGGAATTTGGCCCAGGATCTAGGATGGTTAGGATTCTAAGAGGCAAGGGTGGAATCCAGACTGCAACAGCCCAAGTGATGGGAATGAGGTCAAGTGGTGAAGGAGTCTTCAGTTTGTTAGGAGAAAGGGTCTGGTGTAGGAAAACTGGGAGATAAACCTAGAAAGGTCAGGGCGAGACTAGGGAAGACTCTCAAATGCCAGATTAAGGTCTTGGGACTTATGTGGCAGGCAATCGAGAATCGCCTAAAGCTGAGAAAGAGAGGTATGCACGTGGAACAGTACTGTTGGAACACTAAGCTGGTGGCTTTTTAATCAGATAAATTTGAGGGTAGAGATGAAGGCCAGAACACCTTATTAGGTTATTAAAAATGCTCAGGTCATAAGAAAGTAGAGTATGGAAGTAGCAGTCGAGGGGAATGCAATGAAAAACAGATGCGTGGGGCTTATAAAATAAAAATCAACAGGAAAGGGGTTTGCTTTGGTGGGGGAAGTGGTACTATCAGTGTCAAAAACGGACGGCATCATTAGCAAAATAGAGAAGTCAGAAGAAGGGACAGATTTGGAGGGGAAGCAGATGAGTTTGGAGTGGTAAATGTTGAATTGAAGCCTCGTGTCAAATGCTTTGCTAGATGCTTTGGCAATTTCAAAGCTGAAACATAGACATATACTCTGTCTGGAAGAAACTCCTAGTCTAATAAGAAAATTAATACCTGTTCTTAAATTACTATAACACAAGGTAGAAAAGCTAATTGTGAGTAACTAGAGAGGTACAGATGATAAAGATTCCACGGGAGGGAGGGAGAGGGAAGGGAGGGATCCTTCAGCTGCAGGGATTTGGGAAGGCTGCCTGGAAGCATTTTATAGGTAGGATTTGAACAGGTCAAGAGAATAGTGCTTCTAGGCTGAGAGAACATCAGGAACCAAGGTATAATGATTTTTTTTAAGTGAGCTCTGTTAGGAGATCTCAGTGGTTCATTTTGGAGGAGTGTGCATGAAAAGAAACAACAGGAGATGAAGTTGGAACACAGTTTGGGGCCAGATGTCAAGGGTCTCTACTGCTGGATGAATGAATGTAAGTTTTAATTTATAGCTACTGAAGACTCTTGAACCGGGAACCATCCCTATCAGAGCATGGACTGGAGAGGGGACACCAAAAGCCCAGGCAGGTGATTGCATGAGGCATGAGATAATAAGGCCTCTAGCAGGATGGAGACAGTAGAAATTGGGAACAGGATCTATTTCAGGAAGATTAATGAGCAGGTGTGTTCAATAAGATGAGTTAGCAAGCCAGAGTATATCTGCATGAGATAAACAGCCCACTTCCAATTTCATGGTGTGCCTTCGAAGCACACAGCAGAACTTTGGCTTTACTTTTGAGGCAAATTCACTGGGGTTGGCCAATCTTGAGTATGTCTTGTAGGTTAGTTAGTTTAGGTTTCCTTGCTTTCCAAAGTTTTCATTTTTACAAACATAGCCATGGACTATGCTGAATCACTGCTTCATTCTCAGTGGGAAGCTTTAGACAGATCCAAGAGCACCATTGGTTGAAGTGCACTGACATGCATTCGATCAGTAATTCTGCAAGTAGTTTTATCAAGTGTTTACTGTGATATAACAAAAGTTTGCTGCAAATGACCTTGAAGAGAATTGGAGCACTGCCCATATCAAGCATGAACAGATGGAAATTTGTGTGCAGACAGCAAGAGAAAAATTTGTTTTGAAAGCTCTTGAAAAATCATGTCACCTACAATGTCAGAACAAGCATCAGTGTAAGATCATGCTCTGTGCTTGCATAAAAAATAAGAATCTTATATTATTCCTGACAAACTGTTTTTTTAAGAAAGCATATAAATGTGTGTTGGTTTTCCTATAAATTATTGATAATTTTTGTTTTAATTTTGAACATGTAAGTCAAAGAGCAGGACATTTGAAGTTTGCAATTTGAGGTTGACCTAAGTACCCTTATGATAATATAAAATGTAGATAAATAAAATATCTTGATCAGGAGAGCATACAACATCATCACAAGAATCCCTATGGCTGACTGTATTTTCCCTAAATTGAACAGCAATATTTCTGCTTCTACATGTGCTCCCAGAAATTGCCAGTCCCCCATGAAGAGATGGAATCTATTTTTCCTCCTCTTGAAACTGGGGCTAGGGGAACATTGCAATTGCCTCAATCAGTAGAATGTAGTGGATGTGACACTGTGGGACTTCTAAAGCTAGGTCATAAAACGTGATATGACTTCCATTTGGCTCTCTCTCTCTCTCTCTCTCTCTCTCTCATATGACACTCACTTTTGAGACCCAGCCACCATGTTGTGGGGAAGCCACGGGTGGTAGTTTTAGCCAACAGCATTAGACAAATTGACAGCCAGCCTCAACCACCAGACACATGAGTAAGTTAGCCTGCAGCCGATTCCAGTTCCCAGCCTCAAATCATCCCAGCTGAAGCCAAGTGGAACAGAGGCAAGCCTTCTCCACCCAGCCCTGCCAAAATTGCAGATTCATGAGCAAAATAAATGTTGGTATTTTAAGAAGCTGAGTTTTGGGGTAATTTGTTATATAGAAATAGGAACTGGAAAAGTCCTTTAATGCCTAAGAGGAAGAGCATGCTGAAAGGGTGCCAGTAAGTGGTATGTGCTGGGCTGAAATTCTTGATCATAAAGAGGCCTGGCAGCAGGTGAGAAACTTAGAATAGTTACAGAGAGGATATGTAGCATTCCAGGCCACAAGAAACCTATAGTCTGGCGAGAAAGGGATACTTGTGGCTTCAGGTGAAACCTCCTAACTGAAGCATGTGCATGAGCAAAAGAGAATGCAGGGCTGCAAGAGTCACAAATGCCTGAGAGGATAGAGGCACCTGGTGACAAATATCCATTTTTCAAGAGGACCTAGTCATAGATCTTGAAAAGAACATTACCTAAAGGCTCCAGGGAGGATAAACAAAGTAGGAAAAGCAAAAGAAGTTTTTTCTGTTCTCTGTCTAAATTGCAAAGGATAGAGACTTGATGGGAAAGATTAATCAGTAATCAATGAAAACATGACATCCACAAAGGCTCCTCTGATGTGAAATATGAATGTAATAGGTGACAAATGGTGGGACAAAACCATCAGTTCGTGTTCACCTCCATTTCACCGCCAGGACAGCTTAGGCAAATTTAGATAGTTTACCCCATCAGTAAAAAGATTTCAAACACATACCACCAATATATGTATTTTATTTGTAAATTATATTCATATACAACTCTACTGATATGGTATGTACATTTAAAAATATACACAAAATAAAGATACAAATATGAATAGAATTTTTTAGTTAACAATATCTTCCTCAATGTTGAGTTATCTTGTGTCCCACTTAGGAGACTAATGCATTAAGAGTTTAGATTTTAGACTTAGACCTTAGTAATAATCATGATCAGGACACCACATTTCTGTATGGTTTTGTGTATGTTACTTAACCATTCTAGGTTACATCTCATTATAATAGGATAACTAAGCACTGTACAAATAGATGCCATTACATAATGACTGAAAAACTATAGAGGCTTACATTGTGCTCAGTTAACAGTCTAAGCAGCTGTTTGGATAGGCTGGAGGCTTTCTTCCATGCTGTGACTCAGGGAACTGGTTTCTTTTCTCTTGGGTCTCTACTCTCCCTAAGGATCTTACATTACATGCATCTAGTCAGTGCAAGAAGAAACAGAGGGTTGAGGATGCACCCTCTCTTAAAAGCTCTGCTCAGGAAATGGCATCCATCACCTCTATTCTGCAGGAGAAAATTTAATTATGTGCCTAGCTGCAAGGGATGCTGGAAAATGTAGTCTAGCTTTCTATGCCTGGCCATAGTTCTATAATTATGGAAGGAGGGAAGGATAGATGTGACCTCCTCTTTATAAATTATTATCTGCCTATAAATTATTATAATTTTACAAGGGAGTAAATTGAAAGTGATCTCCTCACATTGAATGTGAGGAAATTATAAAATTATAAGTAATAATGCCTTATCCATGAGATATATTTGGAGGATTAAATGCAGAATATCCATGTAGACACTTGGCCCAGTCCTGGGACATTCCAGATGCTAAATAAGTCTCAGCCTCCTGGGGAGAGGGGAGAAGCAGGAGTGCTGGGAAGGAGTTTGATGAAAGAAGGAATTGTCTCTAAGGTGGGAGGCCTGGATCTTCAATGTGACTTTGTCACCAGCCTGGGATCTTGGACAACTCACTTTCCCTCTGGGCCTCAGTTTGCTTACCTATGAAATGAGAATATTGAGCTTGTGATTTATGGGTTTCCATATCTTTCCACTTTCAGCCTTCCATTATTATCTCTTATGTTTTTGGGCCATCACTAGACGGACTCCCTCGAGGACAGAGACTGGATCTTTTATCCCTAGAACCCTGTGCTGGGCTGGCTTTCTGCAAACCAGACACCTTTTCTGTTCTCTCCATTTGCTCCACCCCCATCCCAATCCTCAGGCCTGTTATGCTACCTAAGGCCATCCATGATGCAGGAAAAATCATTTGATGCCTACCTACCTATCTTATCTGCATGTTACAAGTCCTCATCCCATTGGGTTCCATTTGATCAAAAAGGCCTGAGGTTGGAACTTTGGGTACTTAATGACTGCAGGATCTTTTAGAGCTGGTGGCAGGGGGTGGGGAGTCTTCCTTCAAATTCTACTGCAGTGGCCTTCCCTGCTGAGACAGCATGGAAGGTATGCCCCCCAGAGGATCATAGCCTACTATGAGAAAAGACATTAACTTCACTTTTCTTTCTCTTCCAATTTATCTTTAGAGTAAAACACTGTCTATTGATAATGTGGAAGCTCAGGCCTCCCTCCTTCCTCCTCCTGTGCCCCTGGACAACACGCCCACATACACACTCTAGTTATAGAGCAAGAAAACCATGACCAAGGTGGGGACAAACCCAACACTGCTTATAGTGTCCAGATGGCTCACCTATCCCTTCCACATAGGTTCTGAATCCACAGGCAGAATAGAAAAATTAACAGAAGGATAGAGTGCAAATATTTCTATTATTAGCTGGCCCATGATTTCTGTCAGACTCATTTTCATAAGGGAAATATCTTGTCTCCAGTTTATCTCATCAGCAGGGAGCAGGGCTATAACAAGCACTAATAATTGCAACATTCTACCATTTACAGAGAGCACTTTCACACTGATTACCTTATTTGAGACTCATCAGTGAGACTTATCATTGTGACTTGCCCAGCATCACAGAGCTCATACATGGCAAAGACAGGACTGGCATCCATGTCTTTGGGCTCAAAGCTACTTTAAAATACAAAACTATTCAAATCAAACATTTTCCTTTCCAAAGGAAGAACCAATCAATGATGTAGAAAAATTGTTCAAGCTCATTGGCAGAACTTTCCTCTCAAATTCTCATCCTAAACACAGTATTTATAGTCAATTGCCAGGCTGACAGTATTTCCTGCAAACGACAAATGTTTCCACCTGCTTCCTAAGTGCACCTGTGAAATCTACACGACACCACTGTCATGATTCAATTACCAACCGATGTAAGGCCTGCTCCTATCTAGCTCTTCTCTCCCTGTTTCCCCACCCCTCTCCTTTTGTTTCATGTAGGAAACTGAAAATATTCTTATTGGGTAAAGCCAGGAGATGGGAATGCAACATTTGCTACTACATCTTTCATTAGACTCCAAAGTTAAAATAATTCATGTAGATGGCAAGGTCATCAGGGCTCTGCCAGTGTATTTTAGAAGAGTCATTTTCTACAATTTAGATGGCAGGCTAAATGTCAACTCTAATAAGGTAGAAAATTCTTACAGTGGAAAACTCAGTGTGTGCGTGTTTCTGACTACAAACTCTGAGGACCCACTGTGCATCGCCTTATTTAGAGATCATTTTTATTTTGTTCTTGCATAATGAAGAGGCTCGATTCCAATCTCAAAGGCAAATGCATATGGAGATATAAAGAATAAAAGGGGTGAGAGGGAGAAGCAATTTAAAACCCAACAGTATCTCTCTCAGCAAAATGAATAATTAAATTTCAGATTTGTCTTCTATCAAAAATGGTAATACGGGCAGCCATTGAGGGAAGTGTGGCCATGGCATATTAATGATGGATGAAATGAAACATTATATCATTCTATTATTACTATGTGAAGCTAGGTGTGAGAGAAGAGGACCAGCTTATGGAAGCAGAGTGTTCCGGGAGATGAAGGTACACTATAGTTTTGTGATCCTACCTTGCCCTTGAGTTCCATTTGGACTAAGGAAAAATTTTATTCGGGTTTTATTATTATTGTTCCTTTCTCTCTCTCACTCTCTCCATAGCCCATCACAGCCCTCTGTGTGTGAGGGCTTTTTTTTTTTTTTGAGACAAAGTCTAGCTCTGTCACCCAGGCTGGAGTGCAGTGGCATGATCTCAGCTCACTGCAACCTCCCCTCCTGGGTTCAAGTGATTCTCCTGACTCAGCCTCTGAGTAACTGGGACTAGAGGTGCGTGCCACTACACCCAGCCAATTTCTGTATTTCTAGTAGAGACGGGTTTCACCATGCCGGCCAGGATGGTCATGATCTCTTGACCTCGTGATCCGCCTGCCTTGGCCTTCCAAAGTGCTGAGATTACAGGCATGAGCCACCGTGTCTGGCCCAGCCCTCTGTGTTTAAGATTAGATTGGCTAAATTCAGGCCTGGTTAAAAAACTTTGACCTAGGCCAGGTGTGGTGGCTCACACCTGTAATCCCACCACTTTGGGAGGCCAAGGTGGGCAGATCACAAGGTCAGGAGTTCAAGACCAGTCTGACCAACATAGTGAAAACCCGTCTCTACTAAAAATACCAAAAATTAGCTGGGTGTGGTGGTGTGCACCTGTAATCCCAGCTACTCAGGAGGCTGAGGCAGGAGAATTGCATGAGTCCGGGAGGCGGAGGTTGTAGTGAGCCAAGATTGTGCCATTGCACTCCAGCCTGGGGCGACAGTGTGAGACTCTGTCTCAAAAACAAACAAACAAACAAACAAAAAACAAAACAAAACAAAACCTTTGACCTATTCCTTGATGCCAGATAAATTAATAGTTTTGGAAATAAGAAACGTAGAACACTAGTTTTCATATTAACAGCTAACTGGATGTGTCATAGCAGCACTATTCACAGTAACTCGAAACTGGAAATGACCCAAATGTTCATCAAGAGAAGAATAGATAAATTCTAGCATATTGATCCAATGGAATGCTATGTTCCAGTGAGAACAAATGATCTACAACTTCTTGCTACAATATGGGTGAATGTCACATACACAATGTTGAACTGAAGGAGCTGGGCCCCAAAGAGAATCCACCATGGGAGTCTGTTGATAGACACGGAAAACAAAAATGGGTGAACTGAACCGAATCTCTCCTGTTAGAAGCAAGGGTTGTGCTTATCCTTGCAGGTCAGCAGTGACCAAAAGAGCACAACAGGGGCTTCCTACATGCAGATAACATTTTATTTCTGGATTTGGGTGCTGGTTAGTCAGGTGTCTTCAGTTTGTGAAAATTCATTGGAACTGTTCACTTCAGTGTCCTTTTCTGTATCTATATTCCAATTAAAAACCAAAAGACTTCACTGGGTGGACCTTTAAATGGTGTCTTTCACAAAGAGACTTAGCAAATTATAACATATGTTCATCTGGGACCCAGGATGGATCGATCTTGGTACAAACATAGTCCCACCAAGAAGTAAAGGTAAACAACTAAAAATAATTAAAATGCAATTCTGGTCTTTCCTCTCCTGTCCTCTCCTTTTTCCTCTCTCACTGCTCTGCTCTGGAACCTCCCGTTCACTTAAGCCCGATCTCCTCTTTCCTCCCTGGACCATCCTTGAGTTCTAAGCCCCATGGCCCTCACAGCTGCTCCTCTGCCTCTCTCCTGATTTTCCAGTCCTGTCTGTTTCAATGCATTCTCGCTCTTATTTCATATTCTTAACACTTCTGTATGCTGCTTCTTTATTAAAATAAGGTATACAAAACCATTACAATAAACCTCTGGAGTAGAGCATTCTGAAAGTCTAAGGGACAAGTTAGCAAGGAAAGACATTTTAAAGGTCTCATCCAGGGAGGTAACCATGGGGGATTAAAAGGCCTTACTGTGCCGAGATAATTTGCATCTTGTTTGATATACAAAAGAGAAGAGTTTGTTTATGAACTTTGGGTGAAGGAAGTCAACTGCTAGAATAATAAGTATGATGGTTAAGTTTAGCTTAGAACTCAAGGACTGGAATAAGAAACACCTAGAGTGCTAGCGGCCGGGCGCGGTGGCTCACGCCTGTAATCCCAGCACTTTGGGAGGCCAAGGTGGGCGGATCACGAGGTCAGGAGATCAAGACCATCCTGGCTAACACGGTGAAACCCCGTCTCTACTAAAAATACAAAAAAAAATTAGCTGGGCGTGGTGGCAGGTGCCTGTAGTCCCAGCTACTCGGGAGGCTGAGGCAGGAGAATGGCGTGAACCCAGGAGGCGGAGCTTGTAGTGAGCCGAGATCCCGCCACTGCACTCCAGCCTGGGTGACAGAGCGAGACTCTGTCTCAAAAAAATAAAAATAAAAAAAACACCTAGAGCGCTGGCAAAGCATTCCTTCTGGGTGTGTCTTTCAGGGTTTCCAAAGGAGATTGGCGTGAGAGACAGTGGACTGAGTGGGGAAGTCCTCCCTCAATGTGAACAAGCATCATCCAATCAGCTGGGCATCCCAATAGAACAAAAAAGGCAGAGAAAAGGCAACTCCCTCCACCCCTAACTCTCTCTCTCCTGGAGCTTGGACATGAGCACTCTAGGCTCTCTGGGCTTTGGATTCTAGGACTTAACACCAGTAGTGCCCTGGACCGGGTTCTCAGGCCTCTGGCCTTGGACTGAGAATTACATCATTGGCTTCCCTAGTTCTCAGGCTTTCAGACTTAGGCTGAGCCATGACACCAAGATCCCCCAAGCTCTCCAGCTTGCAGACAGCCTGTTGTAGAACTTCTCCACTTACATAATCACGTGAGCCAAATCCCCTAATAAATCCCCACTCAAGTTCTGTCTATATATG
This sequence comes from Homo sapiens, assembly GCF_000001405.40. Classification (NCBI taxonomy): domain Eukaryota; kingdom Metazoa; phylum Chordata; class Mammalia; order Primates; family Hominidae; genus Homo; species Homo sapiens. The sequence goes on from NC_000001.11 coordinate 224,838,336, forward strand.
CTATTGGTTCTGTCTCTGGAGGACCCTGACTAATACAGTAAGCACTTGCAAGTTAACCAGGGGAAGAAACGGATGAATAGTAATAGGATGAAGCCAAAAAAAAAAAAAAAAAAAAAGGAACACAACATTGTAAGTATAAGGTAGGATTAAATAAAAAGTTCTCATGTGGATGAGAGCAATTACCTTCTAATTGCTCTCCCTGAGACAAGTCTAACCTGTCACATACTTAACCTCCACACAAGACCATGGCAATCTGTGATCACGACCTGACTCCCCCTGTGCCCCCACCTTGCATGCTAAGTCATCCACTGGGCAAAGCCCAACTCTGCCACACAAGCCTCCCTACCTTGAAGACTTGCTTTTCGCTACTCTCCTCCATCTTGGAACCTATTGCCAGGACCTCCTTTCTTCTGGGAATTGCTACCCCGCACACATCCACATGGTTACCATTTGAGCTGTGGTGTCTGTGTAACCTTTGGCCACAGTTGGTTGGTTCTGGGATGGGCACTTGACCAAATAGGGACCAATTACAGTCCCTTCTCCACATCACACCTCCCCTACTACAGTTGGTTGGTCCAGAAGTCAGAACTCAGCTGAAGTGAGCGAATTACAATGCTTCTCCAGGACGTCTTGGAACTAGAATGGAGAAGGAGAGATAAGTCTTTTTCAGAAGTTAAAGCTGTTGTGTTAAAACTTTAAGAACCTTGGCAGCCATGTGTCCTGATGTCTGGAACAGAGACATCATTAGGAGAAAGAGAGGTTAGAAAGGAAAGAGAGAAAGAGAGATATCAGAAGAAAGCCGAGCTGAAGGTCAAAAGGGCCTGACAGTGTTCAAGTTCTTCATTATATCCCTTTCTGAAGGCCTGTGACTTCCTTGGAGTCCACAAGAAAGCCCAGTATGCTGGCTGGGCGCGGTGGCTCACGCCTGTAATCCCAGTACTTTGGGAGGCCGAGGCAGGCGGATCATGAGGTCAGGAGATCGAGACCATCCTGACTAACACAGTGAAACCCCATCTCTAATAAAAATACAAAAAAATTAGTCCGGCGTGGTGGTGGGCACCTGTAGTCCCAGCTACTCGGGAGGCTGAGGCAGGAGAATGGTGTGAACCCGGGAAGCAGAGCTTGCAGTGAGCTGAGATTGTGCCACTGCACTCCAGCCTGGGCGACAGAGCGAGACTCCGTCTCAAAAAAAAAAAAAAAAAAAAAAAAAAGCCTAGTATCCTCAGTATAACCTTCTGTCACTTCTAACCAAGAGTCTTGTTACCTCTAAAATTAAGAAATTGCTTTGGTTCCTTGCATATAGTGTGCTAGTAAATGAGCCCTTCAAAAAACAAAAACAGAGCCAGCACCAGTTGCCACTGCACTGTCCCAAGGTTTCTGGCTTCCGTGTCTTGGTTTATTGGGTTCTCTCTCCTCCCAATGCCCTTCTCATCAGCTTTCTCCCTTGGCTTGGATACCTTTTCAAAGTATATTTCCTCTACCAGGTCTCCTGGGAAGCCTTTTCTAACTCCCTCCCTGTTCCCTTAGCTCCCTTTGTTTGCCTCTATTGTAGTACTCAGCACATTAAACTGAATTTATATAAAGACTTATGTTTTCCGCTCACGTCCGTGTGAAGAGACCACTAAACAGGCTTTGTGTGAGCAACAAGGCTGTTTATTTCACCTGGGTGCAGGTGGGCTGAATCAGAAGAGAGCGAAGGGAGATAGGGGCGGGGCTGTTTTATAGGATTTGGGTAGGTAAAGGAAGATTACAGTCAAAGGGGGTTGTTCTCTGGCTGGCAGGGGTGGGGGGGGGTCACAAGGTGCTCAGCGGGGGAGCTTTTGAGCCAGGATGAGCCAGGAGAAGGAATTTCACAAGGTAATGTCATCAGTTAAGGCAGGAGCAGACCATTTTCACTTCTTTTGTGATTCTTCAGTTACTTCAGGCCATCTGGATGTATACATGCAGGTCACAGAGGATATGATGGCTTAGCCTGGGCTCAGAGGCCTGACATTCCTGTCTTCTTATATTAATAAGAAAAATAAAACAAAATAGTGTTGAAGTGTTGGGGTGGTGAAAATTTTGGGGGGTGATCTGGAGAGATAATGGGCGATGTTTCTCAGGGCTGCTTTGAGTGGGATTGGGGCAGCGTGGGGACCTACAGTGGGAGAGATTAAGCTGAAGGAAGATTTTGTGGTAAGGGGTGATATTGTGGGGTTGTTAGAAGAAACATTTGTCATATAGAATTATTGGTGATGGCCTGGATACGGTTTTGTATGAATTGAAAAACTAAACAGAATAAGAGGAGAAAAACAGGTATTAAAGGACTAAGAATTGGGAGGACCCAGGACATCCAATTAGAGAGTGCCCAAGGAGGTTCAGCATAGCCCTGCCAGCAAAGATTATTTATTTACTTTAAGAGCGAGTTAAGAGTGGCAGTTTGGAGATAGCACCAGGAGATATCAGATGTGATGGCTTGGAGAAACAGTGTAAACCGGCAGCATAAACAAGAGCAGGGCTTGTATGAGTAGTTGAGAACAGTGAATAGGAGTGTGACCAGACAGAAGATAGTAGGGATGACAAGTTTTTCGGGGCACAGTCTAAGTTGGTCTGGTGTCTGGAATGAGACTGGGGCCTAATAAAAAGGAGCGTCTATACAGGAGCTCAAATGGGCTGTACCCTGTAGCATTCTGAGGACAGGCCTGAATTCTGATAAGGGCAAGTGGTAAAAGTATTGTCCGGTACTTTTTAAGTTGGTGGCTGAGCTTGATGAGGTGTGTTTTTAAAAGACCATTAGTCTGTTCTACCTTTCCTGAAGACTGAGGATGGTAAGGGATATAAAGGTTTCACTGAATACCAACAGCCTGAGAAACTGCTTGAGTGATTTGACTAATAAAGGCTGGTCTGTTATCAGACTGTATAGAGGTGGGAAGGCCAACTGAGGAATTATGTCTGACAGAAGGGAAGAAATGACTGCAGTGGCCTTCTCAGACCCTGTGGGAAAAGCCTCTACCCACCCAGTGAAAGTGTCTACCCAGACCAAGAGGTATTTTAGTTTCCTGACTGAGGCATGTGAGTAAAGTCAATTTGCCAGTCCTGGGTGGGGACAAATCCCCGAGCTTGATGTGTAGGGAAGTGGGGGGGCCTGAACAATCCCTGAGGAGTAGTAGAATAGCAGATGGAACACTGAGAAGTGATTTCCTTAAGGTTAGATTTCCATGATTGAAAGGAAATGAGAGGTTCTAAGAGGTGGGCTAGCAGCTTGTAACCTCCATGGAAGAGGTTATGAAATGATGACAGAATAGAATGGGCCTGTGAGGCTGGAAGGAGATATTTTCCTTGGTCCAAGAACCATTTGCCTTGTGTAGGAAGAGATCGATAGGTGGAAGTTTCAGTGGGAGAGTAGGTGGGAGTGGCCAGATGAGAAGGAGAAAAACTGCCGTGAGGGATAGAAGTTGGAACGCTAGCTGCTTTTTTAGCTACCTTATCAGCATAAGCATTGTCCTGAGTGATGGAATCTGATGACTTTTGATGGCCCTTGCAGTGAGTGACTCCAGCTTCCTTTGGAAGTAAAGCAGCTTTGAGAAGAGTTTTTATTAAAGAGGCATTAATGATAGAGGACCCTTGCATAGTGAGGAAATTTCTTTCTGCCCATATAACAGCATGGTGGTGCAGGATATGGAAGGCATATTTAGAGTCAGTATAAATATTGATGCATAGTCCTTTTGTAAGAGCGAGGGCTTGAGTTAAGGCAATGAGTTTGGCTTTTTGAGAGGTAGTGGAGGGGGGCAGAGAGGTAGCCTCAATGATAGGTATGGAAGATACTACAGCATAGCCTGCCTTTGCTGGTAAGTGGCGATTAGGCCTGGTGGAGCTGCCATCAATAAACCAATAGTGTTCAGGGTTTATCAATAAACCAATAGTGAACAGGAAAGAAGGAAATATGGGGAAATGGAGTGAATGTCAGGTGGATCAGAGAGATACAGTCATGGGGGTCAGGTGTGGTATCAGGAATAATGTGGGAGGCCGGATTGAAGTCTGGGCCAGGAACAATGGAACTGTGGGAGATTCAACAATGAGTAAGTATAGCTGAAGGAGCTGGGGAGAAGAAAGTATATGCATCATGTGGGAGGAAGAAAATAGATTTTGGAAGTTATGAGAATTTTAGAGAGTGAGTTGAGCATAGTTTGTGATTTTGAGGTCCTCTAAAAGTATTAAGGCAGTGGCAGCTGCTGCACACAGACATGAGGACTAGGCTAAAACAGTAAGGTCAAGTTGTTTGGATAAAAAGGCTACAGGGCACAGTCCTGGCTCTTGTGTAAGAATTCTGACTGCACTAACCATGCCTAGGAAGGAAAGGAGTTGTTGTTTTGTAGAAGGGATTGGGGTTTGGGAGATTAGTCGGACATGATCAGCAGGGAGAGCACGTGTGTTTTTATGAGAATTATGCCAAGATATGTAACAGATGAGGAAGAAATTTGGGCTTGACTGAGCCTATCTGTGAAGCCTTGTGGCAGTACAGCCCAGGTAATTTGCTGAGCCTAATGGGTGTCAGGGTCAGTCCAAGTGAAAGCAAAGAGAGGCTGGGATGAAGGGTGCAAAGGAATAGTAAAGAAAGCATGTTTGAGATCCATAACAGAATAATGGGTTGTGGAGGGAGGTATTGAGGATAGGAGAGTACATGGGTTTGGCACCACGGGGTGGATAGGCAAAACAATTTGATTGATAAGGCGCAGATCCTGAACTAACTTGTAAGACTTGTCCGGTTTTTGGACATGTAAAATAGGGGAATTGTATGGAGAGTATACAGGTTTCAGAAGCCCATGCTGTAGCAGGCGAGTGATAACAGGCTTTAATCCTTTTAAAGTGGGCTGTGGGATGGGATATTGGCATTGAGTGGGGTAAGGGTGATTAGGTTTTAATGGGATGGTAAGTGGTGCATGATTGGTCGCCAAGGAGGGAGTAGAGGTGTCCTATACTTGTGGGGTAAGGTGGGGAGATACAAGGGGAGGATGTGAAGGAAGCTTTGAACTGGGGGAAAAGGTGGCAATGAGGTGTGGCTGTAGCCCAGGAATAGTCAGGGAAGCAGATAATTTAGTTAAAATGCCTAGACCTAATAAGGGAGCTGGGCAGGTGGGATTAACTAAAAAGCAGTGCATTAAAGAATGTTATCCAAGTTGGCACCAGAGTTGGGGAGTTTTAAGAGGTTTAGAAGCCTGGTTGTCAATACCCACAACAGTTATGGAGACAAGGGAAACAGGCCCTTGAAAAGGTAATGTGGAGTGTGTAGCCTCTGTATTGATTAAGAAGGGGATGGACTTACCTTCCACTGTAAGAGTTACCCAAAGCTCGGCGTCCGTGATGGTCCAGGGGGCTTCCGAGGTGACGGGGCTGCGTCAGTCTTCAGCCGCTAAGCCAAGCAGATCTGGGAAGGAGTCAGTCAGAGAGCCTTGGGCCAGAGTTCCAGGGGCTCTGGGAGTGGCTGCTGGGCAAGTTGGAGAGTCTGATATCCAGTGGGGTCCCGTACAGATGGGACACAGCTTAGGAGGAATCCCAGGCTGCGGGCATTCCTTGGCCCAGTGACCAGATTTCTGGCACTTGAAGCAAGCTCCTGGGGGAGGAGGTTCTGGAGGAACCCCTGGAAGCTGCGGTTCAGGCGTTTGGAGCTCCTGTGTGCTAGAGATGTGGCTGGGGTTTGTCTCACAGTGGAGGTAAGGAATTGCAACTCAGAAATACATTGCTACTTGGCTGCCTCTACTGTATTATTGTACACCTTGAAAGTGAGGTTAATTAAGTCCTGTTGTGGGGTTTGAGGGCTGGAATTTATTTAATTTTTGGAGTTTTATTTAATGTCAGGAGCTGGCTGGGTGATAAAATGCATATTTAGAATGAGATGGACTTCTGACCCTTCCGAGTCTAGGGCTGTAAAGAGTCTAAGGGTTGCTGCTAAAGGGGCCAAGAACTGGGCTGGGTTTTTCATATTTGATGAAAAAGAGCCTAAACGCTAACTGATTTGGGAGAGGTCGGGTAAAGAAAAAGGAGCATTAACCTTGACTATGCCTTCAGCTCCAGCCACCTTTTTAAGAGGAAATTGCTGGGCAGGTTGGGGAGGGCTAGTCATGGAATGAAACTGTAAGCGGGACCAGGTGTGAGGAGGGGAGTTGATAAAAGGATTATAGGGTGGAGGAGCGGAGGCTGAGGAAGAATTGGAACCTGGCGCGGCCTGGCAAGGAGCAGCCTGGGGAGGAGGGGAGAGGTCAGATGGGTCTGTAAAAAAAAAAAAAAAAAAAGGAAGATTGGAAAGACTCAGCAACACTTGGGATTGGGACTGAGGGGACAGGCGGAGGGAAAGAAGGAAGATTTGTGATGAGTTGCATTGGGAACAGAGACTAGGGAGGGACCAATGTGTAAAAGAATGCCTGGACGTCAGGCACCTCAGACCGTTTGCCCATTTTATGACAAGAATTATCTAGATCTTGTAGGATGGAAAAATTGAAAGTGCCATTTTCTGGCCATTTAGAGCCATTGTCAAGTTTGTATTGGGGCCAAGTAGTGTTGCAGAAGAAAATAAGGCATTTAGGTTTTAGATCAGGTGTGAGTTGAAGAGGTTTTAAGTTTTTGAGAACACAGGCTAAGGGAGAAGAGGGAGGAATGGAGGGTGGAAGGTTGTCCATAGTGAAGGAGGCAAGCCCAGAGAAAAGAGAGGCTAGAGACATGGAAAGAAGGGGTGGGGGGTGCTTGCCCCCCAGGAAAGTGGAAAAGGGGTAGAGACATGGAGAGAAGGAGTAGGGGGGTGCTTGCCCTCCAGAAAAGTGGTGCTTGCCACTAAGGGTGAAGGACCAAGGCAGAAAAGAGAGGGTAGAGACATGGAGAGAAGGGGTCGGGGGGTGCTTGCCCCCCAGAAAAGTGGTGCTTGCCGCTAAGGGTGAAGGACCAAGGCAGGCATCCCCATGTGGTCAGACACCTCTGAAACGTGGGTGAATAATCAGGCAGGCATCCCCGCGTGATTAAACACCAAGGGAAGACTGTCGTCCTGAGTCCATGAGTGGTGCCGGAGTTTTGGGTTCATGGATAAAATGCGTCTCCTGTCTCTACCAGAAAAGGAAAGGAACTGAAATTAAGAGAAGGCAGAGATTGAAAGATGGCGCCAAGATTGAAAGGAGAAAGAGGTTGAGGGATAGTCAGAGAGGTTAGAGAAGAGAGTAAAAAGAGGCCGCTTACCCGATTTAAAATTGGTGAGATGTTCCTTGGGCTGGTTGGTCTGAGGACCCAAGGTTGTAGATGGATCTTTCTCACAGAGCAAACAGCAGGAGGACAGGGGATTGAGCTCCCAAGGGAGGTCCCCCGATCCGAGTCAGGGCACCAAATTTCACTTGTGTCCGTGTGAAGAGACCACCAAACAGGCTTTGTGTGAGCAACAAGGCCATTTATTTTACCTGGGTGCAGGTGGGCTGAGTCTGAAAAGAGAGTCAGTGAAGGGAGATAGGGGTGGGGCTGTTTTATAGGATTTGGGTAGGTAAAGGAAAATTACAGTCAAAGGGGGTTGTTCTCTGGCTGGCAGGAGTGGGGGTCACAAGGTGCTCAGCAGGGGAGCTTTTGAGCCAGGATGAGCCAGGAGAAGGAATTTCACAAGGTAATGTCATCAGTTAAGGCAGGAACAGGCCATTTTCACTTCTTTTGTGATTCTTCAGTTACTTCAGGCCATCTGGATGTATACATGCAGGTCACAGAGGATATGATGGCTTAGCTTGGGCTCAGAGGCCTGACATTATATGCCCCTCCAGGCTACCAAGGCTATGTCAGTCATCTCTGTAGCCCCCATGCCAGCCCACATACTTGCTGCCCAGGACTGTCTTGGAGAGACTTGGAATAGCTCTGGGTGCTCTTTGGCAGAAGATCCCTGGCTGAGACACTGCAGTAGGAGCCAGGCCCTTAGGGGACAGCCAGCAGAGTAAAGGCTCAACTGGCCAGAGCCCTG